>NC_000018.10:62037528-63287528 GCF_000001405.40 Homo sapiens
CTTACGGTGATGTAAGTTGTTTGGGAATGCTGCCATGGCTGTGAGCACTGAGGGCAGCGGGTCCATGCTCTGTGTTCCTCTGCTCTACTGGGCAAATCGTTCTCCTCGGGCTTCTAAGAGCCCTAATCTTTGGTGGAGGCACGGTGAGCTGGAGAGACCTTTGAGGGGAGGGCAAAACCACCTATATATTTTTCTCTCGTTACTATCTTTCCAGTGTTTGTTGCTTTTGCTGAAGAAAAACCAAACTTGAGTAGAGCCTAAGACATCCTTCTTGACAGCCTGGAACCCAGACCAGGCTCGCTGAGGTCTGGCCTAGCACTAGTGGTTGCAATAACTCAATTATGTGAGATCATGAGTGTAAAGCCCCTGGCACAGGGCTTGGCATATGGCAGGCTCTCCATTGGGATTATTTGTGCTATTGTTTCTCCAGTAGCACCTATGAGAAAATTTGTATTTTGTTTTGGAGGAATGAACATGTAAGAGTTCTTTGCAGTTCCTGGAGATTGAGGCTATGCAAAGCTAAGATTTTTAATTCCTGTTTTTACTACATAATACCAAAACAGGGCACTTGAACATTTTGTAGTATTAGGCATGAAAGCAGCACTGTGAATCGGAGGGATAAAGTCTGAATCAGTTTTCATGGAACCATTCTGCCCCCTAAATTCCAACTTAGCAGAAGATAAAAACCAGGAACAAAAATAAACATTTTAAGTGGAGCTTCGGATTTCTCGTAATCCACCGTGTTCTTAGAGAGATCAGTGAATTCAATCCCCCTCCGTGTTTTTTTTTTTTTTTTTTTTGAAAAGATTACTTACTGGGAGGTTACTAGAATATTTCACTTAATTGAACTTGGCCAAAAACAGCTCTGAAACTTCACATGTTAGAAACTTTCTCTCAGTTGCAGCTTGAAAATCTTGCAAAGAACTTAGACTGGTCTTGTGTGGGTTGGATGTGCACCCCTAAACTAGTCAAATGTGGTGAGAAGGGTCATAAAAAATTTTTGGCTCCTGCCAGAAACAGAAGGTTAGCAATGCAGGCACAGTTATCTCAAGAGGAAATGCTGAGCAAAGGCACAGCTGACCACTACACACTCATGTGAGATTTATGTGGAACATAATAATTGGCTGGGCACAGTGGCTCGTGCCTCTGATCCCAATACTTTGGGAGACCAAGGGGCAGATTGCATGAGCCCAGGAATTCAAGACCATCCTGGGCAGCATGGCAGGACCCTGTCTCTACAAAAACAAAATATTTAAAAATTAGCCCGTGGTTCCAGCTATTCAGGAGGCTGAGGTAAGAGGGCTGTTTGAACCCAGGAAGTCAAGGAAGCAGTGAGCCATCATTGTACCACTGCACTACAGCTTGCACGACACAGTGAGACCCTGTCTCAAAATAATAATAATAATAATAATAATAATAATAATAATAATAATAGCTACAATAATTGATTGAAAGTAATTCAGGAAGAAAAATGTTATACACATTGGGCTCTAACATGGCTCAGAGAGGAGTTACAGGAGTGAAAGAGCAGAGAGAGAACTAGGGAGAAATAACGAAAACAGAAAAAAACCAGTGAACCACCCCTTCAATCCTCTGCTTCTCTGTTATTACACTTCTAATGCATTTATGTAAAATTATGTGTATAGAGTAAAAATTTTAAAAACATAAAATTACAATTTTAAATAATCTTGTTATTTTACAATAGTTTTATAGAAAATTTGCAAAATTAATACAGAGGGTTCCAACACACTCCCTCACCCAGTTTCTCTTATTATTAATACCTAATGATTACTAATTACTAAAAACTACTAAGGCACAGTTTTCACATTTAATGAACAAATATTGACATTTTATTAACTACATTCCATACTTTATTCAGATTTCCTTAGTTTTTACCTGATGTCCTTTTCTGTTTCAGGGCCCCATCCAGGATGCCGCACCCCATGTTTAGGGCCCCATCCAGGGTGCCGCATCTCATGTTTAGGGCCCCATCCAGGGTGCCGCACCCCATGTTTAGGGTCCATCCAGGGTGCCGCACCCCATGTTTAGGGTCCATCCAGGGTGCCGCACCCCATGTTTAGGGCCCCATCCAGAGTGCCGCACCCCATGATTAGGGCCCATTCAGGGTGCCGCACCCCATGTTTAGGGCCCATCCAGGGTGCCGCACCCCATGTTTAGGGCCCCATCCAGGGTGCCGCACATCATGTTTAGGGCCCCATCCAGGGTGCCGCACCCCATGTTTAGGGCCCATCCAGAGTGCCGCACCCCATGTTTAGGGCCCCATCGACGATGCCGCACCCCATGTTTAGGGCCCCTTCCAGGGTGCCGCACCCCATGTTTAGGGCCCAGCCAGGGTGCCGCAACTCATGTTTAGGGCCCCTTCCAGGGTGCCGCACCCCATGTTTAGGGCCCCATCCAGGGTGCCGCACATCATGTTTAGGGCCCCATCCAGGGTGCCGCACCCCATGTTTAGGGCCCCATCCAGGGTGCCGCACCCCATGTTTAGGGCCCCATCCAGAGTGCCGCACCCCATGTTTAGGGCCCCATCGACGATGCCGCACCCCATGTTTAGGGCCCCTTCCAGGGTGCCGCACCCCATGTTTAGGGCCCAGCCAGGGTGCCGCAACTCATGTTTAGGGCCCCTTCCAGGGTGCCGCACCCCATGTTTAGGGCCCCATCCAGGGTGCCGCACATCATGTTTAGGGCCCCATCCAGGGTGCCGCACCCCATGTTTAGGGCCCCATCCAGGGTGCCGCACCGCATGTTTAGGGCCCATCCAGGGTGCCGCACCCCATGCAGTGGTCATGTCTCTACAGGCTTCTCTTGGCTTTGACAGTTTCTCAGCCTTTTCTCGTTTTTGATGACCTTGGTAGTTTTGAAAAGTACTCACTGGGTATTTTGCCAAATGTTCCTATATTGATATTTGTCTGTTTTTCTCATGATTAGACTGGGTTTATGAGCACTGGGGAGGAAGTCCGTGTAGCTAAAGTGCCATTCTCATCATGTATCCAGGGTACATACTGTCAGCTTATCACTGTTGATGTTCACATAGATCACCTGGCTATGCTATGAGCAGTTTTTAATAAAATAAAACCAATCACAATAGCATGAGAGATAGGACATGATAAGCAAACATGTATCAGGCAAATCAGGATTTAATTGTATGGTTTCTAACTTTAAGAATATTACTTCTCATCAGCAAGGAGAGGAGCTTTTAAAATGTTGACAGACGATTTCTAGAATTTCAAGTAATACAGGGATATTCGAGGTAACAGTTTATGTCTGTAAGATTGACAATTACCTGTGTTGGTCCCTTCGTTAATCACATTAGTCAAATTCACTGAACATTATCTGCTTAAAGTAAAAACAACTTTAAAAAATTCATGGAATCACTGATGTTTGATGCAATTGGTATTTGATACCAGTCAAGCTAATTAAATTCTTCTGTAAAAAGAATTTATCTTTTCATGAGTTTACCCAAGAGTAATAATAATTTTAGATTTTAGCCCTTTGAGGCCAATTAAAGGAAATTTTGATAACTGATGTTTTCTTTTCATAGTTTTTTTAAATAACAAAGCATTATAAAAATTTAACTACTAATCACTTTCTACACTGTCAAATCATAAGAAAACAAGTTGAAATTTGGTGCAAATTTATTTTTCAGGTAAAAGATATAAAACATAAGGTATGAAGGCTTAGTCTATACTCTAGCAGGGCTAGACAATGAGCCATGATGAACCGAATGCAATCTGGTACCACTGGCCTTTCCCACATGAAAGACTAAATGATGACAGGTGTAATATATACAGAGGCAGGAAAAATTGCAGGAAATTGTAAAGTTTTCTCACATTAAGGGTTAAAGTAAAAATGGTATTCCAGTTCTCAGGGAAAAAAATTCAATCAACATACAACACCCTATTTTCAAAACTATGACAAATTAAGGTTTTAGTGCAAAATTATATGGAGACATTTCTTTTTGAGGCAGAGTCTCACTTTGTCGCCCAGAGTGGCACCATCTCGGCTCATTGCAAATTCCACCTCCCAGGTTCAAGCAATTCTCATGCCTCAGGCTCCTGAGTAGCAAGGATTACAGGAGCCTACCACCCCGCCGGGTGTGTGTGTGTGTGTGTGTGTGTGTGTGTGTGTGTGTGTGTGTGTGTGTGTGTGTGTGTGTGTGTTTAGTAGAGATGGGGTTTTGCCATCTTGGCCAGACTGGTCTCGAACTCCTGACCTCAAGTGATCCACCCACCTCGGCCTCCCAAAGTGCTGGAATTACAGGGGTGAGCCACCAAGCCCGGCTTTGGAAACATTTCTTATGTTTACCAATCAGGAAGAAAACTCTAAGACAGGGTCTGCTGTCAAGCTAGTGGAAACTTTTGGCATAATGCTATCTTCCTCCCTTCACAACGTACATCACAAGTTAAATTCCCTTAGAACTAATGTAAATATACCTATTTAAGGTGGTTTGACTAGATGTTTCTCAAATATATTTAATTAAGAAACTCTTTTCAGCTGGGTGAGGCAGCTCACGCCTGTAATCCCAGCACTTTGGGAGGCCGAGGCGGGTGAACTGCTTGAGGTCAGGAGTTCAAGATGAGCCTGACAAACATGGTGAAACCTTGTCAGTACTAAAAATATGAAAATTAGCCAGACGTGGTGGTGGGCACCTGTAATCCCAGCTACTCAGGAGGCTGAGGCAGAAGAATCGCTTGAACCAGGGAGGCGGAGCTTGCAGTGAGCTGACATTGCGCCACTGCATTCCAGCCTTGGCGAGAGAGCCAGAGTCTGTCTTGAAAAAAAAAGAAAGAAAGAAAAAAGAAACTATTTTTATTATGACATTTATTTGTATTACAAGGAACCAATGTTCTAAGGGACAATCTCTGATAAATGCTGCTGTGTGGCAAATAAATGCTGCAGTTCTGAAGGTAGAAAGTTGAGCAGTAACTGTAACCCGTTTTAAGTGTACCCAAGGAAATGAATAAGAGACACATCTCAAAGGTTCTTTTTGTTTCTTTATAGAATGAATATTAAGTACTTTTCATGAGTTTACCCAAGAGTAATAATAATTCTAGATTTTAGCCCTGTGAGGCCAATTAAAGATAATTTTGATTATTAATGTTTCCTTCTCATTTTTTTTTTAAATAACAAAGCATCATAAAGAAATCCCAGTCAAAAAAAAATGCTGCTGCCTGGAAAACATAGTGAAACCCTGTCTCCATCAAAAAATATTTTAAAATTAGCTAGGTGTGGGGGCATGTGCCTGTAGTCTCAGCTACTCAGGAGGCTGAGGTGGCAGGATCACTTGAGCCCAGGAGGCAGAGGTTGCAGTGAGCTGAGATGGTGCCACTGCATTCTAGCCTGAACAAGAGTGAGACCCTGTCTCAAAACAAAAACGAAAAAAAAAAAAACAAAAAACCATGCTTATACAGAAATGGGAAAATGCTACAAAGATATTGCCATAGTACTGAAAGCACACAGCATAACAATCATTAATGCTTTGAAGCATTTTAAAAACAGTAAGGGGAATGTCAACATAAAAAAGAACAACTACGAAAAGGTGAGAAATGATCAAGTTATCTCTGGTCTCTTAAAAGAAGGAGTTCTCAGAACTGGTCTGAAGGGGGTCTTCTCCAAATGACAGAGTTGATTAGCTCCATTCTCTTCAGCCCCCTGACATGATGGCATCTAGTGTGAATATGGGAGCTCACCAGGTTCTCCCAAGGACAGGGTGGCCCTGCAACAGCTACGCCTGTCCTAGAGACCATACCCACGCAATCTCCTTCATTCCCTCTAGGCCAGCTTCATCAGAAATCATGTTTTTAATGGCACAGTTATATGTCAAAAAGGAGGAGAAAAGGAGCCCCTAGTCCACCAAAACAAGTGTAAAAAGGTCGCAGGAGGGGAGGAGGATTGACACTGATGTTCTTAATATCTGAGTTGGCTGAAATTTGTAATAAGTTTTTCATGAGAAACCATATTATAATGGATGAAGAGCTTTTCTAATTCAGCTCTATCATTAATAAATAATTATAAAGACATTACTATGAAAATATACAATCATTTATAACATTATTTTCCTAAAAAATAAAAAAGCATTTTGTATTCTAAATACTGTACACTAAGTATAATAATTAACATATTGGAAAATGACAGACAAGCTGCAGCGGTTTCCTAAAGCCTTAGGATTCCCTCTAAGGTTTATTCATGGGCCCTCTAAGATGATAGCATGGCCTTTTTTTGGTTCAATATTTTCACAACTTGTTCTGCCTATTTTAATTCTTATAACAATTCCTAATTTAAACATTGTTAATCAGCAAATGTCCTAAGTCTTGATTCAGAAATCTATGGCATAGGTAGAATGAAAAAATAAATACCTTAAATAGAAATACTTTTTCCCTAACTCGTTTCTTTTTTCTGTTTTGCAACATAAAAATATACATTTCAAAACATTTAAAGATATCTGGGAAACTGCAACAGAAAAGGCTTGTTCCCATGTGAGTCTGAAGGGGCCAGTTACGGTGCAGCAAGGCGAGCCTGTGGCTGCAGGCACACAACACAAACTCCACAAACTCTATGATACTGTCAGAAGGAAGTTCAACCTATTCTACAGACTCACACTGACCTGAAAGGACAAAATTAAGAAAAAGATATGCCTCAAAGAGCAAAATAAAGAAAGATAAAAAAACTGAGCACCCTTTACAATGTTGTAATAAAATATTTATTAATTTCTCTTTATAAAAATTTGGGAAAAGATAAAAGGCAAAACTACACATAGAAAAAGGTCAGTGATAAGTGTTTATACAGTCAGTTTTTTCTGATGTGTGAAAAAAACTGATAAAAAAATCCTTTGAGGTAATATGAAAGTTCATGATTCTCATTCCATCAACATCACTGTTTGCTACCATAGCTTCTTAGTTGTCCAGCTAGATTTTATGCTATGAACTGATGCATGAGATTTCATAAAACATTAATACCTCTTTTTTATACTACAGTTCTTTCACTGGTATACCATAAAGTAGTATTACAAATAAATTATGACTATACTTCATCATAAATAGAAATTAAGAAAGTACACTTTGCCAAACTGATTTCTGACTTTTAAATTGTATTTATTCACTCCCCACCAATTTGAAAAATCTTGTAAATTACAGAGGGTTTCCTAGTCATTAACATGAATTAGTAATGCTATAACTTAATTCAAAAGCAATTACTTCTTAAAAATAGGGCGCATACCAGGAAAGCTTAGCATCAGCCAAAGCTACTAGCACACCACGGGCAAAAGGCCAACTCTGCAGGGATATGTAAAGGTCATTTTATGGATAATCCATATAAAAACTGCTCTCAAGATATTTTGCCCATTAGAATTTGTTTACAAATGGAAATCTAATTTGATGATTTTAGGCCTTTGTGCTAGAATCTCACAACCAGAAAGAATAACACCTTTAATATGAATTCTTATGATATTGTCAGAAAGTTTAACAGGAGTTATTTTAACTCCTGTTAAAATAATAGATGACAGTAAAAAGAAATTCAAAGGGAAAGAAACAATATACGAAAAAGCTATGGGGTAACAGATGTTGAGCCTACAATTAAAAACTATTTATTTTAAATGTTTTCCTATGTATAAGACAGAAATACCAAGCACTTTCTACTTTTGTGTTGTCAGAAATCCCAGGAAAATCCAGAAATGAAAAAAAAAAAGTGAAGGATAGACATGCATCACATGCATCTAGCTGGTTGACTGAGAAAACCTGAGAAATAGCACTAAAAAGGATAAGATAGCATTATTGCATACTAAAGAAATATGACAAATACCTGCAAACACTTTTTTTATTGAAGCTCTTGAAATAATACACCCTGACTGTCTAACAAAACCAGTGCTGAAAGCTGATAAATATTGACGGTGGCACCTGGTGATTTCCTTCCAGCTCAGCCACAGCAATGACTCTGGATGCCATCAGCACTGCCCCCACAGGCATATGCTCTCCTCTGGGTATGTGGGAAGTTGTGCGACTGGGGACCAGATTGCTGCAGGTGCTCTCAACATCACTGGGAAGAGCTGCCAGCCAAAGGAAAAAAATGAAAAAGGAGAATGCCTTCCTATGCTTTTCCACAGATATAATCACTATTTCATGCCTGCAAAACCTAGAAAAAAAAAGAAGCTCCTTTGTTCCAGATAACCTGTCAATTCGGAATTCCAAATACCATTTTCCTTACAGGAGTAGAATATACTATATATCCATATCCATCTTCTTATTGAAGCCTTGATGAGATTTTAGCTTAAAAGGAGAATCAGGATCCAGATGCTGAATGGTGCTTCAGCAACCTCACATGAAGTGACTTTTGGGTTTGCCACATAGTCTGAGTTTCTTCGTTGTGAGCAGCTGGGCCAGGCCATTGAGGAACACCAAAAAGATGGTCATGGACATGACAATCACATAGTGGCTGATGCTGCAAAAGGAGAAAAAGATGTTACAGGCAGAGAGAACACAGGTGAGGAAAATCATGAGATTCCTCTGAATGGTTTTAAATGGACAGATGAAAATCTCCACTTTCAGGAGCTGGAGTGGGTGTTCTTTACCTTATTCCTCCTGCTAAGTACAGCTGTCTGTTGGTATCTGGTTCCAGGACCTTCAAGTACAGCTGTCCATGGACTGGTTCCAGGACCTTCCACGAATACCCAAATCTTTGAATGCTCAAGTCCCTGATATAAAATGGTGCCGTATTTGCATATAAGCTATGTATATCCTCCTGTATACTTCAGACCAGGGGTCCCCAAACCTCAGGCAGTGGACTGGTACCAGTCTGTGGCCTGTTAGGAACTGGCTGCAAAGCAGGAGGTGAGTGGTGGACCAGTGACCATTACTGCCCGAGCTCCGCCTCCTGTCAGATCAGCGGCAGCATTAGATTCTCAGAGGAGCACGAACCCTGTCGTGAACTGTGCTTGCAAGGGATCTAGGTTGTGCACTTCTTATGAGAATCTAACGAATGCCTGATGATCTGAGGTGGAACAGTTTCATCCCGAAACCATCCCTCACCCCCACATACACAGCGGCGTGTGGAAAAATTGTCTTCCATGAAACTACTCCCTTATGCCAAAAAGGTTGGGGACTGCTTCTTTAGATCATCTCTAGATTATTTACAATACCTAATAAAATGTAAATGCCATGTAAATAATTGTTACACTATATTGTTTAGGGAATAATAGAAAGAATAGAAAGTCTGTACATGTTCAGTACAGATGCAATTAAAAAAATATTTTCAACCTATAGCTGGCTGAATCCATGATGTGGAACCCAAGGATACAGAGGGCTGACTATACAACTAAAAATGTTGGACACTATAAACAAACGTAAGACGACTCCAGGTGGTGGAAAGAGGGCAAACTGGTCAGTGATCTTGGGACCCAAAGAATTTCCTGAATTTTCTTTTGCAGGAAGACAGCAGCAACCTGGAAATGCCACTGGGCACAGACCAAAAAGAAATCCCCAAAAAACAATAATACCACCACCACAAGAGCCTATGCTCGCAGCTAAGGGACAGACAAGGAAAGGGGCAGCCAGAAAGACAGAAAATGTTTAGATATTAACTGATCTACTTCAGCCAAACACCACAGAAAAAATGTGGCTCCACCCCTACCTATTCCAGCATAGGCTGAGTGGGGAGCCCAGACTTCCATCCTCACCAGGCTATAATGGGGCACTCTAACTCCCCGGCTATGCCCTCCCCTCCACTGTCATGGTGTCAGGGAAGGCTGAGGAGGGAAGCTGGTACTTCTGTCCATACCTGGAGGATGTCAGTGGACATCACGTGGGGAGCCTAGACTTCCACCTCCATGAAGCAGTAATGAGGTCCCTCCCCCTCTTCAATGGGGTCA
This sequence comes from Homo sapiens, assembly GCF_000001405.40. Classification (NCBI taxonomy): domain Eukaryota; kingdom Metazoa; phylum Chordata; class Mammalia; order Primates; family Hominidae; genus Homo; species Homo sapiens. The sequence continues at coordinate 62,047,406 of NC_000018.10, forward strand.
TGTCAGAGGAGGCCTAGTGGAGAGCCAGGAATTCCACCTCCACTCAGAGGTAGAAAGGCCATTCCTTTCCTGACCATGTTATTAGTGGAGGTTGCATGGGAGGCAAAGGGGACCTCTGTCTTTCCCAGTCATGAAGGCAGTAGTGGAGGCCTTGCAGGGTGCCGTAACGCTGGTCCCTGGCAGGCAGCAGTAAGGAGCTCCCTCTCGGGTGCCAATGGAGGCTGCAAGGGGAACCTGGATTTCTAACCTCATCAGGCAGAAATGAGGTAGTGTCCCCTCTTCCCCTGCCATAGGAATGTCAGAAGCCAGTTAAAACAGGTTTAAATAAGACTGAGAATCTCATAACCAAATACCCAAAATGTCTAGGTTTCAAAAGAAAATCACTCACCACATCAAGAACCAGGAAGATCTCAAGCAGAATGAAAAAAGACAATTAACTGATATCAAAACCTAAATAACAGAGCTGTTAGAATTATCTGGCAAAAATTTTAAAGTGGTCATTATAAAAATACTTTAATGAGCAATTATGTACATACTAGAAACAAACACACAAAAAAACAGAAAATCTGAGCTAAGAAATAGGAATTCTCAGCAAAGAAGATGTAAATAAGAAGCAAATAAAGAAGTCTAGAACTAAAAAATGCAATAACCAAAATAAAAATTTCCATGGAAGTGCTCAATAGCAGAACTGAGGGGGCACAGGAAAGGATCCATGAACCTGAGGATAAAACAACAGAATTTACCCAGCCTGAAAAACAAAAATAGATGTTAAAAAAAAATGAACAGAGTCTCAGGGACCTGTGGACTGTGACAAAAGATCTAACATTTGTGTCACTGGACTTCTAGAAGGAAAAGAAAAAGAGGCTAAAAGAGTACTCACAGGAATAGTGGCTGAAAAGTTTCCAAATTTGGCAAAAGACATAAATCTTACAGAAGCTAAGCAAACCTCAAATAAGGTAAACCCAAAGCAATCCACACAAAGACACATCAAATTACTAAAAACTAAAAACAAAGAAAAGAATTTGAAAGCAGTGAGAAATGACACCTTACCTATAGGGGAAAAACAATTTGAATAACAGCAGATTTCTCATCAGAAAATATGGAAACCAGCAGAAAATGGTGCACCATTTTTCAAGTGTTGAAAGAAAAATAACTGTCAACCCAGAATCCAATAAAAATATCCCACGGAAATAAGGGGAAATCAGAATTCACAGATGAAAAAAAAAAACCAAATGAATTTATTGCCTGCAGACCTAACCTAAAAGAATGTCTGAAGGAAGTTTTCTTTTCTTTTTTTTTTTTTATTATTATTATACTTTAAGTTTTAGGGTACATGTGCACAATGTGCAGGTTAGTTACATATGTATACATGTGCCATGCTGGTGTGCTGCACCCATTAACTCGTCATTTAGCATTAGGCATATCTCCTAATGCTATCCCTCCCCCCTCCCCCTACCCCACAACAGTCCCCAGAGTGTGATGTTCCCCTTCCTGTGTCCATGTGTTCTCATTGTTCAATTCCCACCTATGAGTGAGAATATGCGGTGTTTGGTTTTTTGTCCTTGCGATAGTTTACTGAGAATGATGATTTCCAATTTCATCCATGTCCCTACAAAGGACATGAACTCATCCTTTTTTATGGCTGCATAGTATTCCATGGTATATATGTGCCACATTTTCTTAATCCAGTCTATCATTGTTGGACATTTGGGTTGGTTCCAAGTCTTTGCTATTGTGAATAGTGCCGCAATAAACATACGTGTGCATGTGTCTTTATAGCAGCATGATTTATAGTCCCTTGGGTATATACTCAGTAATGGGATGGCTGGGTCAAATGGTACTTCTAGTTCTAGATCCCTGAGGAATCGCCACACTGACTTCCACAATGGTTGAACTAGTTTACAGTCCCACCAACAGTGTAAAAGTGTTCCTGTTTCTCCACATCCTCTCCAGCACCTGTTGTTTCCTGACTTTTTAATGATTGCCATTCTAACTGGTGTGAGATGGTATCTCATTGTGGTTTTGATTTGCATTTCTCTGATGGCCAGTGATGGTGAGCATTTTTTCATGTGTTTTTTGGCTGCATAAATGTCTTCTTTTGAGAAGTGTCTGTCCATGTCCTTCGCCCACTTTTTGATGGGGTTGTTTTTTTCTTGTAAATTTGTTTGAGTTCATTGTAGATTCTGGATATTAGCCCTTTGTCAGATGAGTAGGTTGCGAAAATTTTCTCCCATGTTGTAGGTTGCCTGTTCACTCTGATGGTAGTTTCTTTTGCTGTGAAGAAGCTCTTTAGTTTAATTAGATCCCATTTGTCAATTTTGGCTTTTGTTGCCATTGCTTTTGGTGTTTTAGACATGAAGTCCTTGTCCATGCCTATGTCCTGAATGGTAATGCCTAGGTTTTCTTCTAGGGTTTTTATGGTTTTAGGTCTAACATTTAAGTCTTTAATCCATCTTGAATTGATTTTTGTATAAGGTGTAAGGAAGGGATCCAGTTTCAGCTTTCTACATATGGCTAGCCAGTTTTCCCAGCACCATTTATTAAATAGGGAATCCTTTCCCCATTGCTTGTTTTTCTCAGGTTTGTCAAAGATCAGATAGTTGTAGATATGTGGTGTTATTTCTGAGGGCTCTGTTCTGTTCCATTGATCTATATCTCTGTTTTGGTACCAGTATCATGCTGTTTTGGTTACTGTAGCCTTGTAGTATAGTTTGAAGTCAGGTAGCGTGATGCCTCCAGCTTTGTTCTTTTGGCTTAGGATTGACTTGGCGATGCGGGCTCCTTTTTGGTTCCATATGAACTTTAAAGTAGTTTTTTCCAATTCTGTGAAGAAAGGCATTGGTAGCTTAATGGGGATGGCATTGAATCTATAAATTACCTTGGGCAGTATGGCCATTTTCACGATATTGATTCTTCCTACCCATGAGCATGGAATGTTCTTCCATTTGTTTGTATCCTCTTTTATTTCATTGAGCAGTGGTTTGTAGTTCTCCTTGAAGAGGTCCTTCATGTCCCATGTAAGTTGGATTCCTAGGTATTTTATTCTCTTTGAAGCAACTGTGAATGGGAGTTCACTCATGATTTGGCTCTCTGTTTGTCTGTTGTTGGTGTATAAGAATGCTTGTGATTTTTGTACATTGATTTTGTATCCTGAGACTTTGCTGAAGTTGCTTATCAGCTTAAGGAGATTTTGGGCTGAGACAGTGGGGTTTTCTAGATATACAATCATGTCATCTGCAAACAGGGACAATTTGACTTCCTCTTTTCCTAATTGAATACCCTTTACTTCCTTCTCCTGCCTAATTGCCCTGGCCAGAACTTCCAACACTATGTTGAATAGGAGTGGTGAGAGAGGGCATCCCTGTCTTGTGTCAGTTTTCAAAGGGAATGTTTCCAGTTTTTGCCCATTCAGTATGATATTGGCTGTGGGTTTGTCATAGATAGCTCTTATTATTTTGAGATACGTCCCATCAATACCTAATTTATTAAGAGTTTTTAGCATGAACGGTTGTTGAATTTTGTCAAAGGCCTTTTCTGCATCTATTGAGATAATCATGTGGTTTTTGTCTTTGGTTATGTTTATATGCTGGATTACATTTATTGATTTGTGTATATTGAACCAGCCTTGCATCCCAGGGATGAAGCCCACTTGATCATGGTGGATAAGCTTTTTGATGTGCTGCTGGATTCGGTTTGCCAGTATTTTATTGAGGATTTTTGCATCAATGTTCATCAAGGATATTGGTCTAAAATTCTCTTTTTTGGTTGTGTCTCTGCCCGGCTTTGGTATCAGGATGATGCTGGCCTCATAAAATGAGTTAGGGAGGATTCCCTCTTTTTCTATTGATTAGAGTAGTTTCAGAAGGAATGGTACCAGTTCTTCCTTAAACCTCTGGTAGAATTTGGCTGTGAATCCATCTGGTCCTGGACTCTTTTTGGTTGGTAAGCTATTGATTATTGCCACAATTTCAGAGCCTGTTATTGGACTATTCAGAGATTCAACTTCTTCCTGGTTTAGTCTTGGGAGGGTGTATGTGTCGAGGAATTTATCCATTTCTTCTAGATTTTCTAGTTTATTTGCATAGAGGTGTTTGTAGTATTCTCTGATGGTAGTTTGTATTTCTGTGGGATTGGTGGTGATTTCCCCTTTATCATTTTTTATTGCGTCTATTTGATTCTTCTCTCTTTTCTTCTTTATTAGTCTTGCTAGTGGTCTATCAATTTTGTTGATCCTTTCAAAAAACCAGCTCCTGGATTCCTTAATTTTTTGAAGGGTTTTTTGTGTCTCTATTTCCTTCAGTTGTGCTCTGATTTTAGTTATTTCTTGCCTTCTGCTAGCTTTTGAATACGTTTGCTCTTTCTTTTCTAGTTCGTTCAATTGTGATGTTAAGGTGTCAATTTTGGATCTTTCCTGCTTTCTCTTGTGGGCATTTAGTGCTATAAATTTCCCTCTACACACTGCTTTGAATGTGTCCCAGAGATTCTGGTATGTTGTGTCTTTGTTCTCATTGGTTTCAAAGAACATCTTTATTTCTGCCTTCCTTTCATTATGTACCCAGTAGTCATTCAGGAGCAGGTTGTTCAGTTTCCATGTAGTTGAGTGGTTTTGAGTGAGTTTCTTAATCCTGAGTTCTAGTTTTATTGCACTGTGGTCTGAGAGACAGTTTGTTATAATTTCTGTTCTTTTACATTTGTTGAGGAGAGCTTTACTTCCAACTATGTGGTCAATTTTGGAATAGGTGTGGTGTGGTGCTGAAAAAAATGTATATTCTGTTGATTTGGGGTGGAGAGTTCTGTAGATGTCTATTAGGTCCACTTGGTGCAGAGCTGAGTTCAATTCCTGGGTATCCTTGATGACTTTCTGTCTCGTTGATCTGTCTAATGTTGACAGTGGGGTGTTAAAGTCTCCCATTATTAATGTGTGGGAGTCTAAGTCTCTTTGTAGGTCACTCAGGACTTGCTTTATGAATCTTGGTGCTCCTGTATTGGGTGCATATATATTTAGGATACTTAGCTCTTCTTGTTGAATTGATCCCTTTACCATTATGTAATGGCCTTCTTTGTCTCTTTTGATCTTTGTTGGTTTAAAGTCTGTTTTATCAGAGACTAGGATTGCAACCCCTGCCTTTTTTTGTTTTCCATTTGCTTGGTAGATCTTCCTCCATCCTTTTATTTTGAGCCTATGTGTGTCTCTGCACGTGAGATGGGTTTCCTGAATACAGCACACTGATGGGTCTTGACTCTTTATCCAATTTGCCAGTCTGTGTCTTTTAATTGGAGCATTTAGTCCATTTACCTTTAAAGTTAATATTGTTATGTGTGAATTTGATCCTGTCATTATGATGTTAGCTGGTTATTTTGCTCGTTAGTTGATGCAGTTTCTTCCTAGCCTTGATGGTCTTTACAATTTGGCATGATTTTGCAGTGGCTGGTACTGGTTGTTCCTTTCCACATTTAGTGCTTCCTTCAGGAGCTCTTTTAGGGCAGGCCTGGTGGTGACAAAATCTCTCAGCATTTGCTTGTCTGTATTTTATTTCTCTGAAGGAAGTTTTCTAAACAGAAATAAAACAATAAAGAAAGAATCTGCTAAAATTATGAAGGAAAAAGAACTCAGTAAGTAAAAATCTGGGTAAAGACAATAAGTTTTCCTTGTCCTCTTAAGTTTTCTAAATTATATTTGCTAGCTGATGTGAAAATTCTAATACTGTATGACATGGTTTCAAATGTGTGTAGAGGAAATATTTAAGACAATTTTATTGTAAGCAAGGGAAGGCAATGGGATGTAGAAGGAGGTAAGGTTTCCATATATTACTTAAACTGGTAAAATGACATCACCAGTAGACTGGGATTAGCTATGTATATATAATACCTACAGCAACCATTTAAAAAGCCATACAAAGAGATACATTAATAACACCACAGAAAAGTAAAAAAATAATTCTATAAAATGTTCAAGTAATACACTGGATGTCAGGAAACACAAAACACTGAGAACAAACAGAAAACAAAAAAATAAAATGGCAGACTTAAGCCCTAACATATCAATAACTGCATTAAATGTGAATAGTCTAAATACACCAACTGAAAAACAGAGATTGGTAGAAGAGAATAAAAAACATGACCGTGACCAAACCACATGCTGTCTAAAAGACACTCACTTCAATTATGGAGGAAACATCATGCAAACATTTATTTTAAAAAAGCTGGAGTGGCTATATTAATATCAGATAAAATAGACTTCAGAGCAAACAGACTTCAGAGCAAAGATACCCTTTTCTCAAAAATTGATAGAACAACAACACTGAAAATCAGCAAGAATACAGAACTCAACACTATCAAACAACAAGATTTAATTCACAATGATAAAACACTCTACCCAACAACAGCAGAATACATGCTCTTTTCAAGTGCTCATATATACCAAGATAGATCATATTCTGGGCCATAAAACAAACCTCAGCAAGTTTAAAAGAACTGAAATCACACAGAGTGCCTTCTCTGACCACAGTGGAATCCAACTAGAAATCAACAATGGATAACAGATACATTACCAAACACTTGGAAACTAAACAACACAACTGTAAATAATCCATGGGTCAAAGATGAAGTTTCAAGAGAAATAAAAAAAACAGATTGAATGTAATGAAAATAAAAAACCAACACATCACAGTTTATGGGACACAGCTAAAGCAAGCGCAGACGGGGAAGCAGACCCATGCAAATCTGCACCCCATCCCCCTGAAAGAGTGTAAACCATATACCTGATATCACCACACCCTATCAGTGTGAGTCTCACACTATATACAAAAATTAACTAAAATGGATCATGGACTTAAAAGTAAAATGTAAAAACATAAACATTTTAGAAAAAAAATCTTTGGGATCTGGAGCTAGCCAAAGAGTTCCTAGTCTTAATACAAAAAGCACAATCTAAAAAAGTAAATCTGATAAATTGGGCTTAAAAAAAAAAACAAAAAACTTTTGCTCTGTGAAGGGCCCTGTTAAGAGGGTAAAAAGACAAGCTACAGACTGGGATAAAACACTTGCAAGCCACACATTCAACAAAATACTTTTTTTTTTCCTATTTTTTTTTTTTTTTTTTTTTAGGCAGGGTCTTGCTCTGTCACCCAGGCTGGAGTGCAGTGGTATGATCATAGTTCACTGCAGCTTTGACCTCCCTGGGCTCAGGTGATCCTCCACCTCAGCCTCCTGAGTAGCTGAGACCACAGGCATGCACCACCACAGCCAGCTAATTTTTGTATTTTCTGTAGAGATGGGGTCTTGCCATGTTACCCAGGCTGGTCTTGAACTCTTGGGCTTAAGCAATCTGCCCGCTTTGGCCCTCCCACAGTGTTGGGATTACAGGCATGAGCCACTGCACTCAGCTACAAAGGACTATTTCCTAGAATAAAATATAGAATAAATTCTCAAAACTCAACAGTAAAAAAAGCTCCACAAACAATTCAATTAGAAAATGATCAAAAGACATGAACAGACGTTTCATCAAAGAGGATATAAAGTCAGTAAATAAATAGATGAAAAAGTGTTCAACATCATTAACTATTATGCAAGTTGAAGCCAAAATGAGATATCACTACACACCCACTTGAATAGCTAAAATAAAAAATATTGACAGCACCAAATGCTGGCAAGGATGCAGAGAAACTGGATTGACAGTCTCTGGTACAACCACTCTGGTGGCAGTTTCTTTTAAAACTCAGCATGCAAATAATATAAGACTCAGCAAATATGATTCTGAGCATGCATGCCAGAGGGAAAAAACTGTTCACAAGAATGTTTATAGGATCTTTATTCATAATAGCCAAAACCTTGAAATAACCTTGATGTCTTTCAACAGGTGAATGATTAAACAAACTGTGGCACATCCATACCATGGATTTACTCAGCAATAAGAAGTAACGAACTACTGAAATACGCAACAATGAATCACCAGAGAATTACTCTGACAGTGAAAAAAATGCTAACTCCAAAAAGTTACATACTATATGATTTACTTTGTATCATATTTATGAAGTAACAACTACAGAAATGGAAAACATTAAATGTTGCCAGGGGTTAAGGAGGGTTTCTGGGTGGGAGGGAAGTGCCTGGGCTATAAAGGGCAACATGAAGGATCCTTGTGCTGGTAGAAATGTTCTGTCTTTTGACAGTTTCAATGTCAACATCCTGGTTTTACTATATGTTATACTATAGTTCTGCATAAAGTTACCACTGGGGGGAAATAAGGTAGAGGGTATAGGAGATCTCTCTGTATTATTTCTTACAACCTCATGTGAATCTATAATAATGTTAAAATGAAATGTTTAATTAAAAATTTTTTTTAGTTCACAGGCTGTACAAAATCAAGAGGTGGGCTGCATTTGGCTAAAGGGCATAGGTTGCTGGCCTCTACCCTGGCCTGTGAGCTCTGTGGAAGCAGGGACTATAATTTTTATCTCTTTTCCCATTGCATCTCTAACGTCTCATGCAAGGTCTTATAGGCACTTAATCAATATTTGTTAAATGAATTATTAAAGATAATTTATAATTAGAAGAAATGATAAAATCTTCTTTTGTTTTATGTTACCCCGGCAAATTTAATCTGAACTTATTTAAGTTGGTGCAAAAGTAATTGTGGTTTTTGCCACTAAAAAAAAAAAAAAAGGCAAAAACCGCAATTACTTTTGCACCAACCTAATAAGATCAGACTCTCCCAAAATAGAATAAGCATAATCAATACCGAAAGCTAAAAAGCAAAACCAAAATGCCAAAGGAAACGAAAAGTTTCTACAAAACTAAAGTAAAACTCACCCTGCAAAATATTAAAATATAAAGTTAAATGTAATACGGGCATTAGAATCAACAGGACAACGGAAGAGAACAGATCATCCTGTCACCCAAGATCAAGGAATCATCATCAGTAACTCACAACTGTTCTGGCTGGACTCACTTTAAACTTATAAGCACAAATGAGATTTGGTTCTCATCAGTGTCTCAATCCTGATTGCACACTTCTGAGTTATTCTTCTCTGAGTCAAACCAATTTGTGTCCTTTCTCCTCTCCTCAAAGTCCTGTCACCTTCCTCCCATCTCAGCAGATGACTCTGCTTTTTTTTAAACCGAGAAAATACTGATAAAGTGATCGCAAGAGAAGTGCCTCTTCTCACCCCGAACTTTCTAACCCACTCATATCTGTGCCCACACTGCCTCAGGTACCTTTCTTGTCTAAAACAAACCCCTCCACTTCTAGTTTGGATTTCATCCCAACTCTCCCACTAAAGCTGGGGTCTCCAACCCTCAAGCCTTGGACCCGTACCAGTTCATGGCCTGTTAGGAACTGGGCCACACAGCAGGAGGTGAGCGGCGGGGAAGTGAGCGAAGCTTCATCTGTATTTGCAGCTGCTCTGCATCGCTGGCATTACTGCCTGAGCTCCACCTCCTGTCAAATGAGTGGCGGCATTAGATTCTCACAGGAGCACGAACTCTATTGTGAACTGCGCATGCAAGGGATCTAGGTTGTGCACCCATTATGAAAATATAACGAATGCCTGATGATCTGAGGTAGAATGGTTTCATCCTGAAACCATCCCCTGCTGGCCCCTGCACCCTTCACCCCATCCGTGGAAAAACTGTCTTCCACGAAACTGGTCCCTGGTGCCAAAATGACTGGGGACCACTGTACTAAAGGACTTTATTTTTCCAATTATCCCTTTCCCTCTTAGATATCACCCATTTTTCCTTCTCTAGGTGAGCATATCCTTTACCACACAAATGTGTAATTTGTCTCATTCTAACTCTCCCAAGATCCCATAGCTCCCTCCAGCACCATCCTAATTTAAATTTTATATATGCAAAACCCAGATCTTAATCTCCCACACCTTCCTTCACCAAACTCACTCCTCCTAGAGCTTTCTCCAGATTTCTGCAATGGCTTTCCTAGTCACTCAGTTACTCAAGATTAAAAAACAAAACTAGGAGTTGCCCTTGATTCTTTTTTTCTCCCAGTATATTAGTCTATCAACAAATCCTATCAACCTCTCTGAAAATATTTTCTAAGTCCAGCCACTTGTTGCTATTTTGAATTGCTACCCTAGCCTAAACTGCCATCATCTCTAGCTTACGATACCACGAAAGCCTCTTCCTCAATCTTCCTTCTCCCTCTCTCGATCCCTCCAATAGGTTCTTTACATTGTGGCCAGTGTTATGTCAAAAATGTGAAGCAAATAAAATAACTTTCTGCTCAACAAACTAATGCTTCAACTTACACTTGGAATAAACTCCCAATTCTTTACAATGACTTTCAAAGGCCATAAGTGATAGCAAATATCTACTCTATGAATTCTCTCCTGACCATGTTTTCCCTCATACCATTCTAGCTACACTAACTGTACAGAGCACCCTTGACACAAGTAACTCCATCTCAGAAAAAGACTCCATCTTACATTTCACAGGACACTTTGCCAACAGGGAAAAGATACTTTGCTTAATAAATTAATAAATAAAGACTGCATCCAACCAGATAAGGACATAAACAGGCACACTCTTCCACTATCAGTCCTCACTGGAGGACTCTGCAGCCATAAAAAGAGCAGGACTTCACAGCTCAAAATGGCTGTCTTAACTGACACTGTCTTGCTATCACTCCTGATAAGCACCCAGCACCTGCCACTGAAGGTGGGTGGCCTTCAAAGACTCTTTCTTGTAAAGACTCTTTCTTGTAAAACAGATGGGCCCTGGCCCAGACCAGGAGGTTCTTTCTGTCTTCCTCACTCTCCCTGGACTATTTCCTTAACCCTTTTTCCTATCTCTCTTCTCTTGATGTTAAATGTTACTTTGTTTGTTGTGGAATGTTTAATCTGTAACATTTATATATTAATTAGGTATAATATTACATATAGTTGACAATATTGACTGACTTGTGGAGTGGCTTGTGGCTGTGCAGCTGTGACTACCAAGTGACCGGAAAGTTCTAAGGAGGACTGCCTCCTAGAAAACTCCATGCAGTTCATGGCCTTTTGCTATTGAAATAGCATCAACAGAAGTCTGACACTATGGAAAGACGCAAACGTGAATGAATCTGGTTATCTCTGACCTTGCACTGCTCATGAGACTAACTTTCATATTTTCAAAAGTATTTACTCACATGGGGAAATGGTTATTATAGAAAACCATCTTTTAAAGAAACTGTATATGTCTGCACATAAATTAAAGCTAAAAGGACATACATCAACATGTTGAATAGTGGTTCTCCCTGAATACTGCAAACTGAGACACTGAATTATGAATGACTTATCTTTTCTTAATGCTTTCAGTATTTTCTTTAGTATATTTGTAATATATTGCTATTTATGTGATGTTTACAAATTATGCTAGGTTTAGCCACAGAACTCTAAGGCTGACTCATAATTACCAGAGAAATCTTCAACTCTATTCTGTTTCTGAGGCCTCAGAAGACACTCCAAAATTGGTACCAGCTCCTGAGATTAAAATCCTCAATCCAGGCCAGGTGTAGTGGCTCATGCTTCTAACCCCATGACTTTGGGAGGCCAAGGCAGGAGGATCTCTTGAGCTTAGGAATTTGAGACCAGCCTGGGCAGCAGAGTGAGACCCTGTCTCTAAAAAATAAAAATTAAAATAATTACCCGGGTGTCACGGCACACAGCTGTGGTCCTCACTACTCAGGAAACTGAGTTGGGAAGATCACTTCAGCCTACAAGGTGGAAGCTGCAGTGGTGATCACCTCACTGTACCCTGAGACCCTGTCTCAAAAAAAAAAAAAAAAAAAAAAAAAAACACTGGATATAATCATCCCAACTTCTTCAGGGACCAAAGTTTGTAGTCAGAGATGAGATGAGTGAAGGAGTACAAACTCTTCAGCATAGAGCCTGGAGGTCAAATCCAGAAAAGCTCAATCTGACCTTGGTTCCAGGGGGGAAACCAGGCAAGGAGGTGGGGAGCTAGGTAGATTAAAAGCAACAAGGACCATAAAAGATTAATCTTTTATAAGCATTATAGAAAGGATAAACAGAATGTGGTATATCCAAACAATGGAACATTATTCAGCAATGAATAAAGTACTTTTACATGCTGCAATATAGATGAATGCCAAAAAAAAGTTACACTAACTGGAAGAAGTTAGATGAAAAAAACTACATATTGTATTTTTCTGTTTATATGAAATGTCCACAATAGGCAAATCTGTAGAGACAGAAAGCAGATTTGTTGTTGCCTGGGCTTGGGATGGTAATGGGAACAGATTGTGAACAGGTAGAGGGTATTTTCTGTGTGATGGAAATGTTCAAAAAATAGATTGTGATGGTTGCACAACTCCATACATTTGCCAAAAATCATCAAAATGACTTAAAACATTTATTAAATCATTAAAAAATGAAAATAGATAAATTTTATGGTATGAATTATACTCAATAAAGCTGTTAAGAATAAAAACAAAGAAAGAAAAGATTACATGCTAGCAGATTTTTCTTGCTGAATTTTGCCATCACTTACAGGTTAAAATATTAAATCTGATTTGATGTCTAAACAAAAACGGTTTGTAAAACCAGTAGGTGACCCATCCTCAAATTTAATCTAAAGTCTGTCTATAAAAGGCATTCCACAGATCACTCATTTCCTTACAGTGGCCTGAAATTACTGACTCTTGGCTCATGTAAGCTAACATAATTGGCAGGAAACAGTTGTGAAGCTCATCATCTTCATGCAATTGAGCCATAAGGCATCCAGCTTGTGTTATCTTGCATCAATCAAGTCTTGGTGTCATCTCGCCATAGCAGAGTTAAAGGAACATCAAATTTCAACTTGAAATGAGTTCAGCTGTTCGCACTCCCCTCCCATGACTATTGTGCCATCATTTAAATCAGCAGTTCTCAAGGTGTGCATGTGTGATGGTCGAGGGGAAGAGCGTATGTGTGGAGGCACATGGAATTGCCAGGCAGGCCTTTTCAACCTGCACAATGGTGACAAAATGTTGATCATATTTCTCCTCTATAAGGGTGATGGGCGATAGAAGCAGGTCATACCTGTTCAATGTACTGGGGCAGAAAAAGTCTGAGAATCATTGGTTTTAATAAAGTTTGGTATTCACTGTAACAGTACAGATGTTTTATGACACTTATTAATTACATTTAGGATATACAAACACTATTGAATAGAATCATGAGTTCTCTCTTTTTTTTGAGTTCTCATTATATCAAAAGAGAAATGATAAACACGTTAGTTGTCATTTGTATTTCAATAAGGTATAACAATCGTGCATGTGAGAAACAATTAAAGTCCAAATGAAGACTGCCATCAAATCAAACTCAGCTCAATCAAACTGATGATCCTGACTCTATTCACCTCACTACAAATGCATTGAGGACGCAAATCTGAATATACGTTTTTATAGTTATGAAAATTACCTCAAAGGAATTTTTTTCTCTAGTTTTAAAAATGTACTTTCAGTATGCCGTATAAAAGGCAATACTCTATAAAGTTTATGACCTGCTATAAATGAAGATAAAGTGTAAAGATCAAAAGAAGAAAATACTAAATTAGCTCTGTCAGCTGAACAGTTTTATGGCCTGGGCAGGATATTTTTCACATGGCTGTTAAAAAGCATACCCGATGCCACAGGTTCTCAAGAGAAACACTGAACTCACACCAGTAGTTTCAGCTGAATACACTGACTGTAGTGTATGCTTCCTGAGTCTCAATTTCAGTTTGGTAAAATCTGCTCTGAAGATGCATTTGAAACACAGAGTACTATGCCTATAAACAGATATACTATCTAATGCCCTAATAATACAATCTTTATTATTTAAGAAACTATACTTATTAACCTGCAACTATTAATAACAGGTGACAAATCTCTCAAAAGTGTTCTGAAAATCCATGGCAATCACCACAACACTATAAACATTACAGATACATGCCAGACTACATTCACGGGGCAGTCAGCTCCCACTCCTCTCTCAAATTCTGGGACAGATTCCCGCCATTTCAGGAATAAATGCAAAAAAAAAAAGCAATAAAGGAGCTTGCAGTGAGCCGAGATTGTGCCACTGCAGTCCGCATTCCGGCCTGGGCGACAGAGCGAGACTCCGTCTCAAAAAAAAAAAAAAAAAAAAAAAAAAATGCAATAAAATAGTGAGGACAAAAGGGCAACATTCCATTCCCGTGAATAAAAAGCATGGAATGGCTGAAATCGCTAATTATACTATTAACACAAAGGAGTTTAGGAATAAAATTCGTCATGAAGGGGAACCAGTGCAGGAGCACAATTCCAATAACCCCGGCACCTGTGAAGGGAGCTCTGCCGGTCAGTTTATAATATCAGCGACATGACAAGAAACACCACAGCTTTTCAAATGTACCTTCACACAAGAATAATTGGAAACTCAAAACTTAAATGCAACATTCTCACAAACAGAAAGCAGAAAAAGTACAATAATGAAGTTTTGACATGTGAACCCTATCGTATGGTGCTTTAGTTTTGAATCTTGACGTACATTTCCCCCTACTTCCCCACCATTATCCAAGCCTTTTCCTCGCAATAAACTAGATGTTTATGAAGATGCATGAACCACTCCTGCCCATTAGACCAGCACCACATGGTTCACAGAGGCACTATATGACATCACCGCTATAGAGGATACAAAGGAAAGACCTTAGAATTCTAACTTAGCAATAAGAAAAACATCACATTGCAGCATCAATCAGGGGCAATTCCATTTAGAAAGCCTAACTTCACCAACTCAGATTTCATTTTGGCCTCTCCATCCTGACCCTGCTCCCCCCACCTGCAATCAACTTCCTCTCTTAAAGTGGGCACCTTTTAGATGACATAATAAGAGACAAAGAAGACAGAGCAAGGAGATATTTCATCAGGAATGACTAAGAGAATATGTGGGAAATTTATGTAGATTTGTTCAGTGCCATCAGCCTGATGAAGACAGATCTAAGGTTTCTTATACCTGCCTTTGAGAAGTTTCTCAGAGCAAGCATCCCGTTTAACCTATGGGGGTTAGATCCCCAATGATGAAATACTGAGAATGAGATAAACTAAGGTTTAACATAACTTATTAACTGGCTGTGCCTTTGTCTTCTTCTTATCCACTTTGGATTTTTAATGTTGTATAGATGGGGGTGTAATGATTATAGCAGGCCACCAGGCATAAATCAGGAAGTCTCCGGGAAATCAGGGCATAGGATCACTGTATATTCAGGGCAGCTCCCATTATAAAAAATATTATCACGAAATATTCCTATAGCATATTTTACCCTGAATTGCATTAATAATATAATATTTTAATATGTATACATAAATCATTGAAACATAAAGTTAACACCCTTTTCTCATGGCTAGTACCGGGTGGTGGTGGTTATAAATGCATTCTCTGCCTATAAGTGCTGATATGTCATTCTGTTTCCCTTGGTTTGAATGATGCTCATTATTTGTTTTATGCTTTTGTATTCTGCTTTTTTTTTTTTTTTTTTTTTTTTTTTTTTGCTGTTGTCGTTGCTGTTTTGTGCTGTTTATTCCATGAGGGCTGTGTAAAGGAATGTTAAGGATAAGGCTGGAGGTACCACACAAATATCAAGAGGAACATCATGATAGACGTTAAATGCAAGCTTGCACTAGCTCTTTTAAAATGTACTGAGCATCAACACTCATGAGAGGAAGGGAAAACAAAAATAACAAAAATGTGTCAAGCAAACACAGGTAATAAATGTAAAATAAAATGGACCATATCAAAATAAAAAACTTAAGCCTCCCAAAGGCTATTTTCTAGAAATTTCTTTATCCAAAATCTATGGTTTTATAGATTTTATCCAAAATCTATGGTTTTATAGATTTTAGCCAAAATCTATGGTTTTATAGATTTTAGCCAAAATCTATGGTTTTATAGATTTTAGCCAAAATCTATGGTTTTATAGATTTTAGCCAAAATCTATGGTTTTATAGATTTTAGCCAAAATCTATGGTTTTATAGATTTTAGCCAAAATCTATGGTTTTATAGATTTTAGCCAAAATCTATGGTTTTATAGATTTTATCCAAAATCTATGGTTTTATAGATTTTAGCCAAAATCTATGGTTTCTGAAATCCAAATTATTTATCACATATCATGCACATATGCATTGGGCTTTTTACCTCTATGGCTTTACTCATGTCCATCTGTCTGTCTAAAATAGTCTTCCCAAACCTGTAAGTCCCCTAATTGAAATTACAAAAGGTGCCAAAAGGTATAATTTCAATTAGGGGACTTACAGGTCTGGGAAGACTACTTTAGACAGACATATGAAAATGTGGCACATATACACCATGGAATACTATGCAGCCATACAAAAGGATGAGTTCGTGTACTTTGCAGGGACATGGATGAAGCTGGAAACCATCATTCTGAGCAAACTATTGTGAGGACAGAAAACCAAACACCGCATGTTCTCACTCATAGGTGGGAATTGAACAATGAGAACACTTGGACACAGGGTAGGAAACATCACACACTGAGGCCTGTCATGGGGTGGGGGGAGGGGGAAGGGATAGCATTAGGAGATATACCTAATGTAAATGATGAGCTAATGGGTGCAGCACACCAACATGGCACATGTATACATATGTAACAAATCTGCACGTTGTGCACATGTACCCTAGAACTTAAAGCATAATAAAACAAACAAAAAAAGAAATTACACCTTTTGTTCAAGGCCCAGTTCAAATGCCAGACTTGGCATAATGTTTCCTGTCACTGAAGGCTTAAGTGAAGCAGCCTCCCTCCTGTATTTTTATAACCCTTAACCACATGTTGCCTTATACTATAATCATTATCATTATGTCTTTAAACCTATATTAGGCCATAACCTCCCTGAAAGCAGTGGCCATGTGTTAAGAGTCATACACTTCCAGGACTGGAATGTCCCATACCAGTTATACATCCTTATGCTTAAGTTCCTGATGAAGTAGCTATCTGTCTCCAGAGATGGAGCATCACCAAGTCTTAAGGCTGGCAGTCCATTCATCTCTGGGTACTTGACAATGTCTGGGAATGCTTTATGTATGGTGAGTGTTCAATATGTATTTTTTTCTGAAAAACGATCAATTTATTAAACACATACACAATGCAAAAAATAAACCTAGCTATGCCACATTATTGTGCAATCAGTCTTTCAGAACCAGTTTCTACTCTGTAAAACAGAAATTGTTAATATTTTCTTCACATCATTTCATGAGACTCAATGAGATAACATAAGTACAATTCCTAATACACTGCATACAATAAATGATATTCTACTCTAGTAATATCATTATCATCAGTTTAATACCTTTCTCAATAATCCTTAACTTTTCCCAATCACTGTTTAACTTAACCTGCTTTTCCCAGGTTTGGGTAGAAGTTTTTCTGTGGCAAAACAATACAATCCCCCAATTAGTTTCTGGTGATCCCAGAGGGAGAGGAGAGAAGAGAAACATGGTTGTATTAAATTACTTAAAACAGCTGAACTTGACACTTCTAAAAAAAAAAACTTCCCAGAATTTTCAAGAGAAAAATGGTGAGTCTTTAAACAAGCAACATTAAAGATTGCAGAAGGGATAAAGGAAAGCCTCCTGGACAAGGACAAACACGGGACTTCCGGAATAGACCAAAGGCTGATACTGATGCAGGAAGGGGGACAATAAAAGGCTAAAAGGCGTTTTCTTTTTCTTTCTCTCTCTCTCTCCCTCCCTTTGTCCTCCTTTATTCCTTCTTTCCTTTGCATGCCTTCCTTCCTTCCTTTCTCTTTCTCTTTCCTATCTCCCCTCCTTTCCTTTTTTTAAAAACTTTTTTATAAAACAGTGCATTATTACAGAGGTAGAGAAAGGAAAGAGAAGTTGTTCTGGGAATACTCTGCCAATCAAGTTTTAGATGAAAGACTGAAGGTGACAGAAACAAAACAGGGAAAAGAGTGCTCAACAGAATGGAACCCATGATGAACTAACAAGAGAATGGATTATTCAGTTGAGAAAAACTGAATAAGGGGCAGGATGAATATAATTAAAAAGACAGGCTTGGCGGGGCGTGGTGGCTCACGCCTGTAATCCCAGCACTTTGGGAGGCCGAGGCGGGCGGATCACGAGGTCAGAATATCGAGACCATCCTGGCTAAGATGGTGAAACCCCGTCTCTACTAAAAATACAAAAAAATTAGCCGGGCGAGGTGGTGGGCGCCTGTAGTCCCAGCTACTCGGGAGGCTGAGGCAGGAGAATGGTGTGAACCCGGGAGACAGAGCTTGTGAGCCGAGATCGCGCCACTGCACTCCAGCCTGGGTGACAGAGCGAGACTCCGTCTCCAAAAAAAAATAAAAATAAAAAAAAGACAGGCTTATGTTGTTGCTCAGTAAGTGGTTGTTGAATGAAAGCATGAAAGACTAAGTATGTTAGTAAGTAGGAAAAAGATAATGAATTCAGGATTCCAAGGCTGAAATCTCCTCTATTTCAGTCCCAGGCATCAAGGTAAGCAAAGGGGATGCTGCAGCCAAGGAAAATTTCTGTTCAGGGGCCTGCTTCTGGGTATCTCGTTTCATCACTACTTCCCTGATTTTGCCCCATTCTCTGTAGCCCTAGCAAAAGCCCTTTTGGGTCTTACTCAAAGCTTTAGTTTTGGCAGCCTAATACTCCCACAGGCTTTCTTTAACCATAGCTTTTAACTTGCTAACAATAGTCTTCATGTCACAAGGCTTTCCTTTTAATTACCAATGTGACATTTACTACTTGTTTCTGTCTTCTGACATAAATAACAAATCACTTTTTCAACTGTGCAGTTTGGCAGCATGCACAAAACAGGCAGTGACTGAGCAGCCTACACACCCCATGGCAGCTTCCCCATTCACAAGTGCATCCTTTAAGATCAGCTCAACCACTGATCGACTCTGTGACATGAGCAAGTCCCAATCTCCTTAGGGCCACAGTGTCCTCATCTGTAAAATGGAGATGGTAAAATTATCTACTGTGAACGATAGTATCTACTTTACAGTGTTACGAGGAAAATCACATGAAATAATGTAGAAGATAATGTAAATAGAGTAGCACAGTAGAAGTGTTGGTTATTTTTGGTAGATGTGTGACCAGGGGCAATCCTTTGACTGACATCCTGGGCCTCCTACTCAAGTTTGAGCTTCTATCTTACTTTGCCTTTTATCTAATAGAGAGGACTCTGTGGTCTCTGAACAGCCTTTATCACGTCTTTCAGGACTCCGATCTCAGATAAACAACTGTTGGGTATGTGGACTCTGTGTAGCAATGCACAGCCTTGCTGTGACCTTGTGGGAGGCTCTCTGCCTCTACTCTGCTCTGGGAATGAGTTAACTCCATTTGGGCCCCACATAATGCCTTCAAAATCCTTCTTTGACAGAGAGTAATTAAACTGATTTAACTAGGGACATTCACTCCTTCTAATTATAATATTCCTCATGCTCATTAGTAAAATAAATGAAAATATAATCTCCCTCAAAGGGAGGTGTGAGAGTATTCCCATGCAAATACTACTTTGTTTCTCCTCCCCTTTCTAATTAAACTTGAAAGAGTGGTCTGTACTTAGAACTCTACTTCCTGACCTCCAATTCTACTTATGCATTTTTCTCTTTAGCTTTTATCAGTCATACATGCAAGTACTAGAAAAGCAAAATAATGGAGAAAGATTTATAATGAAAAGCAACAATCTTTCATTCCTTCTTATTCACTTTTTACAGCAACCACTCTAACTACTTTTCTTTTTAGATCTTCTGGTGGTTACCCCCCTAATATGACTTATTACCTTTATGTTGTTGTTTATGCATGCACCCATTTGAAACAAAGTCCCTCCTACTAACCAGAATTTAATCTATGCATACTAGGCTCCACTCATTTCAACTTTTAGTTTTTCTATTTTTCCTTATGAATCAACTTTGAGGTATAATTTACATGTGAGAAAATGGAACCATTTTAAATGTCCAGTTAGCCGATTATTGACAAATGCTACATCCATGTAACTAAAAACAACTTCAATATATAGAACATTTCTGTCACCCTAAAAGTTCCTACAGGCCCTTTTGTGGTCAATCATACCCCAACTGCCAGCCCCAAACAATCAGTGGTCAACTTTCTGTGACTATAGTTTTGCCTGCTCTAGAATTTTATATAAATGGAGTACACTATATACTCTTACATATCTGGTTTCTTTAACTCTATAAAGTATCTGATAGTCATCCATGTAGTTGAGTTCATCACTTACTCATTTCTTTTTATAGGTAAGTAATATCCCATTGTATGGCAATAGCACAATTTGTTTACCCATTCATGTGCTGATGAACATTTGGGTTGTTTCAAGATTTTGGTTCTTATGAATACAGCTGCTATGAAAATTCCTGTACAAGTCTTTCAGCATACGTATGTTTTGCCTTCTCTTGGGTACCTAGGCATGGAATTGCTGGGTCAGAGGTAGTGTGTATTTCACTTTTTAAGAAAGTTTCTTTTCCCTCTAGGTCTCACTCACGAATAGGAAGGCCACCAGTAAGTTCTATGCATGTAATAAGAATTGCTGTGTCGTGTTTTAGGATGAGCGGGAGGGATGCCTGTCTCTGTCCTTTGTTAGGAGGAGGCTACACATGCTAGAATGGAGAACAGCCTTACTAAAGTGGAGGCACATATATCATAGCAATGAAATTCCTCCCAGGTCTTTGTTTGTTTGTTTGTTTTTTTGTCTCTTTAGAGGTGTCTTCTGGTTTTCTACTTGGAATAAAATGCCTGTAGCACTTTCTCCATGGGGATGAAGGAAGGAGACGGGCTATGGAGAGCCTGTTGATATCATCATTTGGTAGGCAGATATCCAATTAATCTCCTGCTTCCCTTCCTCACTCCTCCTTCCACATTACTGTCTCACTGAGTCTGAGGTCCCTGGACCTCCTTTCCCTTTGCCATACCTGTCTGTAGTTTCTCAGCTGCTGTTTCCTCCCTCTGGTTATCTATCTTCTAGAAATTTGTTGAACTCAAATTTGCTGATAGTCCTTCTCCCACTCTTTTCATTTTGCTAAGTTTGTTTATTTTTATTGGGGTCTTGGTAGAAAAAAGAAAAATGTTTATCTTTGGTCTGCAGTCCTCACCTGGAAATTGGTGGATCTGATTCAGCACAGCAATCTAGCACCAGATCCTACCCCTGAAACTTCTCCAGCCAAGCTCAACAACGTCCTCTGCCACTTAAACCAAGGCACACCTTTATGTTTTCACTTACACTCTGTCATATCTGAGACTGCATGACCTCTCTCCTGCCTGAAATGCTCGCTTGATTTTCACAATACTGCTCTCTCTAGATTTTCTCCTGCCTTCTGGCCACTTCTTTCAGCCTTGTTTCCACACTTCTTGTTCTCTGCTCTTCACCTTCTCTCACTCTACACATTCTCCCTAGTTCTTGTGACCCAATGTACTCTTGTAAGCCCCACACTTGCAGTGTTCAGACAGCTCCTGTTCTGAAAAGCCTTCCTTAAGCTACAAGACTCAGAGAGACACCCTAAGTGTCCCCACAGTACAAGAGAGACTACTCTAAAATTTCTCACACTGCACCATATGGCCTGCTCACGGATCTGCTTCCTCCTCCAGCCTTATGCTTCCTGAAAGCCCAGAACTGTGAGTTTCTCATCCCCAGCAACTCTCCTAGCATACAGCTGGTGCTCAATAAATATTTGCTGGATTGAATTGAGATCATGGATATGAAAAAGTGCTTTATGTTTTATACATGTTATTACTGGTAATAAGAGTAAACAATTTTTACTTTGAAGAAAAAACACGCCAGGTAAAGATAAACCTCAAGCTAATTAAAGAAAATCTAAAATTCTTAGTGCAATACAAATGAATGCCTGTTCATAAACTAATGATGCACATCTTCCTATGAAAACTGCATCTTCTTCATTCCTTGGCACCTGTTTAGAGTCAAACCAATTTAATTTCTCTCATCAAAACAGTCTCACTCCCAAGTTCACAGCAGCATTATTTACAATAAACAAAGGTGGAAACAACTCTAGTATCCATTGACAGATGAACAGGTGAACAATATGGCATATGCATATATACGTACAATGAACTATCATTCAGCCTTTAAAAGGAACAAAATTCTGACACATGCTACAATATACATGAACCTTGACGATATTACACCAAGTGAAATAAGTCAGTTGCAAGAAAGACAAATACTGTATGATTTCATTTATATGAGATACCCAGAGTCATCAAATTCATAGAAACAAAGGTAGAATGGTGGTTGCCAGGGGCTGATGAGCGGGAGAATGGGGTGTGACTGATTAATGCATTCAGAGTTTGTTTCTCAAGATGGAAAGAGTTCTGGAGACAGATGGTGTGTGGTAATAGTTGCACAACCATGTGAATGTATACTTAATACCATTGAACTGTACACTTAAAAATTGTTATGATGACAAATTTCATTATGTGTAGTTTACCACAATTAAAAATAAAAGAAAAAGTCTCATAAACAAAATACTGTATTTTACCAGAATATTTTTGAAACAAAATTCTGACCAATGTCTAAAATGAAAATAATCAAATGGTAAAGAAAGGTATGCCAAATGCAAGAAGCACTATAAAGGACAAAAAAACAGAATTACAGAATGACAACAGTAACAATTGCTGACATTCACTGAAGCTTATTAGATGCCAGGCACTATGCTAAATACTTAAATGCTTTATATAAATTAATTCATTCAAAATGACTACAAGAGAAACGGGGGGCTTAGAGAGATTAAGTCACTTAGCAAAGGTTTCACAGCTCAAAAGTGGCAGAAATGAGATTCAAACCCAGGCGCTCTGGTTTAAAGCCCATGCTCTGGCCACTATCCGCCTGGACACTTTAGAATGAGAGGGCTGGGAAGCAGAAGGGGATATCTAAACTTTCCCTAAACTTTCAAGTATAAGAGACAAATGAAAACCAAATCAATTTTCTATGGAGTACCTTTTACGTACCAAGCACGTATGGCATGTAAGAGATTCAAATCCAATCCTGGATCTGAGAGCATCCACAGTCTATTGGGAGAGGCAGATATGTACATAAATAACCAGGCAGTACATGCCAGGAGTTGCCTAAGAGGTATCAACAGAGGGAAGAGGATGTTTAACACATGGTGTCTCCTGCAAACCCATACAATTCCTGGCAACACAAAGTGATGAATGAATATTGACTAAATGAAATAAAATCAGTATACAAAAATGTATTCTGTCTCAGAATGCATTTGGAGAAGAAAAGGCAAAAGGGTCAATTTTGCTTTCTTCTTCTCAAAGAAAAGAAATTTAACAGGTTATGGCAATCATTGAAATTTAAATCACAATAAAAAGGAACCTGACTTTTTGTTCAGATTATACTTTATTTTTAATTAACTAATTAATTAATTTTTTTTTGATATGGGATATCACTCTGTGGCCCAGGCTGGAGTGCAGTGGCCCAGTCATGGCTCACTAAACTCTTTTGACCTCCCAGGCTCAAGCACTTTTTCTGCCTTAGCCTCCTGAGTAGCTGAGACTACAGGCATGGGCCACTGCACTCGGGTAATTTTTTTTTTGCTTTTTGTAGAAACAGGGTCTCACTATGTTTCCCAGGCTGGTCTCAAACTCCTGGGCTCAAGCAGTCCTCCCACCTCGGCCTCCCAAAGTGCTAGGATTACAGGCGTGGGCCACTGTTCCTGACCTCAAATTACACTTTAAATAGTTATCACATGTTAAAAGGTTACCATATTAAAGATTCTAAGAGGCAGATAATGATCACATGAAATTTAAACCACCATATAAAATTCATACTGCAACCGGAACAACCTCATTTTTCTAAACAGAGATGAGAGATTAAGAAAACACACTAGGACTCTGGAATGATCAACTTTGAAACCGCGGATTCAAGCAGTTTATCTTGCATCTTCTGCTGCCCTTTAGTTCTCTCTAGACTTAACATCTATCATCCTCCCCACAGCATTCCATGTAAACATTTGCTAATGTGCTAATGCCAAGAATTGGAAAGATGTCTCATTTCCAGGGGCTTAAAATAATTGCTAATTGCTGCGCTTACCTCAAAATCATATGGGCACCTTCTATACTAAGATACTAAGTTTTAATTTTTTTTTACTGCACTATTAAGAACTTCTGCGTGAGTGTAGTCATGCACCACATAATGATGTTTTAGTCAACAATGGACTGCATATACATGGTGGTCCCATAAGATGATAACAGACCTAGTGATAGCGCAGTGTCTTTGCAGCACAAAGCATTACTCTCGCTTGTTTGTGGTGATGCTGGTGTGAACAAACCTACTGCACTGCCAGTCCTATAAAAGTCTGGCACACACAATTATGTACAGTACATAATATCTGATAATGACAATAAACAACTGTTACCAGTATCTACATTTACTATACCATATTTTTCATCGTTTTTTAGACTGTACTCCTTTTCCATATATATATATATATATATATATATATATATATATATATATATATAAATTTAACTGTAAAATATCCTCAGGCAGGTCCTTCAGGAGGTATTCTAGAAAGCACTGTTGTCATAGATGACAGCTCCATGCATGTTATTGCCTGTGAACACCTTCCAGTGGGACAAGATGTGGAAATAAAAATCCTGACCCTCTGTAGGCCTAGGTGAATGTGTGTGTGTGTGTATCTTAGTTTTTATCAAAAAAGTTTAAAAAGTAAAAAAAAGTGATTTTAAAATATTAAATTAAAATATTAATTTTAAAATAGAAAAGAGCTTAGAGAATAGGGATATAAAGAAAGAAAAGGTTTTTGTATAGCTATATAATGTGTTTGTGTGTTTAAGCTAAGTGTTATTATAAAGTCAAAAAGTTAAGAACCTTATAAAGTAAAAAAGGTTACTGTAATAACTCACTGACTCACCCAGAACAACTTCCAGTCCTGCAAGCTCCATTCATGGTAAGTGTCCTAGATAGGTATACCAGTTAAAAAATCTTTTACACTGAATTTTTTACTATACCTTTTCTATGTGTAGATACATAAATACTTACCATTGGGTTACAATTGCCTACAGTATTCAGTATGATAACATGCTGTACAGGTTTATAGTCTAGGAGCAATAGGCTGTACCATATCCTAGGTGTGTTGTAGGCTACACCATCTAGGTTTGTGTGAATATACTCTGTGATGTTTGCACAGTGAAGAAATTGCCTAACAATATATTTCTCAGAACTTATCCCTGTTGTTAAGCAATGCATGACCATATATACTATACCTTGTCCCAATATCAAGCCAGCTGCCATAATCCTTGACCAAGAAGAAAAAATGCTGTAAAAAAAAAAAAAGGCTTAATGAAAAACAAAGCTATTTAGATTCAGTCTAAAAACAAAGCTATTTTAGGACTGTATGTTTCAGATTTCTGACTCTAAGAATCACTATCTGACTGTAATCAACAAGAATATGTCATTTACTGAAACTTTTGCTTGGATTAGAATTAGCAGTAGTCTAAAATCCAGAAATAGAATTATCAATCAAATGAACACAAAAGTGACATTTCTGAATAATTAGAAATAAAGAAGAACAAGCCAACATCAATAAAAAAAACTAGATAATACTAAAGATGTCAGTGGAAAGAAGCCACGTCATCCATCTACCAACAAATATTTACTGTACTGACTACCTACTGTGTGCCGATCACTGTCTTAGGTGCTGGAGATAAACTCCTCCTCACAAGGCATAGGCTGTAGTAAATAATTCCATCAAATTATCAGGGGTGTGTGTGTGTGTGTGTGTGTGTGTGTGTGTGTAAGGGGGGGATGGAGGGAGTGTTATCATTGGAAAATATAGGCAATTATAGAAACAGAGGAAGGGGTTCATACCCTGATTAGAATGGAAGGGAAGGCTTCCCATTGCAAGGTGAAATCTAAGTAAAAAGTAGGAGTCAGATGAAAGGAGGTTTGGATAGAAAGAAGTTTCTGGCAGAGGGAATAGCCTATATATACATCAAGAGTCCAGAGAGAGCTTGGTAGTGTCAAAGGGAGGATGGTGTAGAGAAAACAAGGATGGAGAGGTAAGAGAAGATGTCAATCAAATGAGCAGAAGTTATATCACAAATGGCTGTTCAAGTCAATTTATGCAATCTTTTTTATACAAAATTAATCAGAATTTCAATCCTCTTCTATTAATATGTCTGTTTGTCACTTTGCACAAAACTGAAAGCTGATTTGCTCTCACATTATGTGTGGTCAGTTTCAGAAATACAATGAATAATGGTTCACCACCACACAAAAGTACTCTCATCTAAACCGAGTGACTAGGAATCTGATTTGGGAAGCTACCCTTATTAGTATTCCTAGTTACTTCTGGCATGGGATGTTATATGGTGACAAATTAACCTTACCCAAAAAGACCGCTGGTGTTCATTCTCAGCTACTGGGAGGCAATTTCTGGGCCCTTGGAATGTCATGGAATGTCATGCCTCATAGAAGGTTCTGCCTGAGGGCTTGGCCACTGGACAGTCTAATAATGTGATATATGATGAGGGCTTTGGGCCATATTACCAGCTGTATCCCCAGAAGGGATTAAAGGTCAGCCAGGTAGGCAGTATGTGATCAAGCCCCACTAAAAAGTCTGGACAACAAAGCTTAGGTAAGCCTGGTTGGCAATACTCCATGTGTACTGTCACACATCAATAGTGGGAGGGTAATGCTGTCCTGATTCCACAGGGAGAAACAGAAGCTTGGCATTTGGTGTCCTGGACTCTGCCCTATGCACTGGAATAAACTGTAACTGAATATAACAGCATTCAGTGATTTCAGTGAATTCTAGTGAATTACTAAAGCTGAGGGTGGTCTTGGGAACTCCCCAAAGTTGTAGACATAAAATAGGTTCCTCTTTTTGTTAATGAGAGAGGCCTACCTACATACATCAGAACTCATTTATTGCAGCTACGTCTTGATTAACATCTTCCCAACAGAAAAGCTGTATTTCCTGTTTCCTTCCTTCCTTCCCTCCCTCTTTTCCTTTCATTTTTAATCTGAGAGAAGGGTTAAAAATCAACATTTCAGTAGAAAAATGATGTATTATCTAAATTTAAAGTTAGCTTTTTCTGCTAATTTTCTTTGGAAGGTTCATTTCAGATACAAAGCAACATGGAAGACGAGGTATGACAAATTCAAGTAGTAAGACTTTTGACACCTGAAGAAGAGCACACATCCTGCATAACTAATATAAAAGAACATAATTTATTGTGTAAATTATGCCAGCACTTACAACTCAACATCTAAAGATTTCACGTACCAAAATGCATTCATATTTCTCTTTATTAAATTAACCCAGGACTCTTAATCTAATTTATATGGACTACCCAGTAATGCCTTACCAAAGCCATAATGTCTGATATGACGAGAACAATGAGAAAAAGGCTGGAAAAAAAAAGAAGGAAAAATTACATCTAATACAACAGGTGCATTTTTCAAGCTCATTAAAATCCAAGTGAGACTAGGCAAATAACCTAGTATTGTTGGTATTTTTGCTTCTGAAAATACAACTTTCAAAGGTTCTTTTCATATTATCATGGGTGACCATACCATAGAGATGAGCTGGACTGTAAAATGTGTTATTAAGTGCTCTGAATATTTATTTCAGTAAAATGAAAGGGACATACATTATGATTTTCAAAACTAAACTTTTGAGGTAATTGTTAACTAATATGCAATTTCAAGAAATAATACAGAGGGATCCTCTGTACCCTTTACCCAGTTTCCCCCAGTGGGAAGATCTTGTAAAACCATAGTATAATATCCCAAGCAGGACAATGACACTGATACTGTCAAGGTAAAGAGTGTTCCCATCAGCACAAAGATCTCTCATGATGCCATTTTATAGCCACATCTGTCCTCCCCTCACCATCCCTCTGCCTAATCCCTCACCCCTGAGAGCCACTAATCTGTCCCCCATTTCTATAATTTTGTCATTTTAAGAGTGTTTTATGAGTAGAATCACATACATAACAAGTTGAACAATTTATATAACACTTTGTTACCTTTTGTAACCTTCTGGGATTGGCTTTTCTCACTTAGCATAATTTTCTCAAGAATCATCCAAGGTGCTGTATCAATGGGTCATTTACTTTTATGGCTGAATAGTACTCCATCATATGGATATACAATGGTTTACTTAACCATTCAAGCACCAAAGGACATCAAGGGTTGTTTCTACTTGTGGCTATTGTTCCAGTTTGTGGCTCTTACAAATAAAGCTTTTATAAACATTTGTGTCTAATTTTTTGTGTAAACCTTTCATTTCTCTAGGAAAATACATCAAGAGTGCAATTGCTAGGTCATACAACAGTAGCATGTTTAGTTTCATAAGAAACTGTAAAACTCTTTTCAGAGTGGTTGTACCATGTTACATTTCCACTAGCAATGCATGAGAGCAATTTCCTTACATCCTCAACAGCATTTGGTGATGCCACTATTTGTTTTTAACTATTCTGATAAACTGTTCTGGTAAGTGTGTAATGATATTTCATTGTTGATTTTTTTTTTCTTTTTTGAGATGGAGTCTCGCTCCGTCGCCCAGGCTGGAGTGCAGTGGTACAATCTTGGCTCACTGCAACCTCCGCCTCCTGGGTTCAAGCGATTCTCCTGCCTCAGTCTCCCAAGTAGCTGGGACTACAGGCACCCGCCACAACGCCCGGATAATTTTTGTATTTTTAGTAGAGACGGGGTTACACCATGTTGGTCAGGCTAGTCTTGTACTCCTGACCTCGTATCCGCCCGCCTCGGCCTCCCAAAGTGCTGGGATTACAGGCATGAGCCACCACGCCCAACCCATTGTGGTTTTACATGCATTCCTTTAATGGCTAATAATGCTGAACAACTTTTCATTGTCTTATTTGCCATCTGTATATCTTCTTCAGGTGTTTTGCTCACTTTCTAATTAAATTATTTTTTTACTGTTGAGTTTTGTGCATTCTTTTTATATTCTAGATACTAGTCTTTTGTCAGATAACCTGGTTTGTAAATATTTTCTCCCAGTATGTAACCTATGTTCTCTTCCTCTTACTAGAGTCTTTCACAGAGCAAAAACTTTTAATTCTGAAGAAGTCCAGTTTATCAATTTTTCCTTTAATGGGTTACAATTTTGATGTCAAGCCTAACTCTTCGCCTAACCCAAATCCCAAGGATTTGCTCTATTTTTTTCCTAGAAGTTTAAATCTGTGGTCCATTTTGAGTTAATTTTTGAATAAAGTGTGAGGTTTTGGTAGAGGTTTGTGACTTCTTTTTAATAAATAATTGTTTTTCTAACCATAGGTTTGAAATAAAGACATGTAACTCAATAATTCACATATGCAGATATATACCACAAGTCAGACTGATCATATCTTACTGAAGTATAATTCCATTCAGACACATAATAAAGTGTGTTAATCTGATTAAGAGTTTGTAGAGAATGCAATGGTCATCCAGTACAACCTTCTACCTAAAGCATGAATTCCCAAAGTATCAATCCCAATAAAGGCATTGTCTAGCACTAGTTTTAGTGGTTGCAGCAACAGAATCCACTCCATTTTCAGCAGCTCCAATTACTGCAGAGTTCTTTCTTCTGTGAATCAAAGCACAACAAATATTCTACCCTATGGACCCAGTTCTTCTGGAATAGAAAAATAATAAATACAATTCAAAAGAGCTTTAGAATGAGTGCGGTGGCTCACACCTGTAATCCCAGCACTTTAGGAGGCCGAGGTGGGTGAATTGCTTGAGGCCAGGAGTTCAAGACCAGCCTGGCCAACATGGCGAAAACCCGGCTCTACTAAAAATAGAAAAATTAGGCAGGTGTGGTGGCACATGCCTGTAAGCCCAGCTACTCGGGAGGCTGAGGCACGAGAATCGATTGAATGTGGGAGGTGGAGGTTGCAATGAGATCACACCACTGCACTCCAGCCTGGGTGACAGAGTGAGACTCTGCCTCAAAACAAACAAACAAACAAACAAACAAAACCTTTAAAAAACCTTTACATACCTTTTTTAAAAAGTTTTGATTTTTTAGAAATATTTTTATTTTTCTAAAGATAATTATATTACTGTGTGACACAGATGATATTCTGGGATCCTTCTGAAGTTAAGACACATCTGATTAAGTTATTTATTGTCTTAGCCTCAGTTTCCTTATCTATAAAATGGTTGTAATAATATCTATATTTCCTAGTATCATTGGAAAAATTAAGTCAGGTAATATGTGGAAAGTACCTAATACAGTGCCTGACATATGGTATCTGCCTAGTAAATATCGGTTTCATTCTCACTCCTTAAACAAAAGCTTTAAATGAAATTAAAGATATAATCTCTCCCCTTATGGAGTTCACAAGGTGTGTATTAGCTAGGGTTGCCATAACAAAGTCCCACAGATTGAGTGGCTTAAACAATATAAATTTCCTCATAGTTCTGGAGGCTGGAAGTCCAAGATCGTGTGTGAGCAGCATCGGTCTTATTTGAGGTCTCTTTCCTTAGCTTGTAAATGGCCATATTCTCCCTTAGGTTCACATGTTATCTCTTCTGTGTTTGACTGTGTCTTAATCTTTTCCTCTTATAAGGACATCAGTCATATTGGACTAGGGCCCACCCATATCACCTCATTTTAGTTACCTATTGAAAGGCCCTGTCTCCAAATTTAGTCATATTCTGAGGTACTTGGGGGTCAGGACTTCAACATAAGAATTTTAGGGGACACAAATCAGCCCCTAACTGGGTGTGAAACAGAAAAGTAAGAAACAATTTTATCAGCCACAGTCTGAGTTACCTAACTTAGCCAGAAATTTGAGGGTGGAAGGATTCTGGAGAGTGGAGCAGTTGGGTAAAAAAGGTTTAACAGAGAATACGATCCCTGAACTAAGTCTTAATTAAAAGGAAGGAAAATGATTTTCCAGAGCAAATCTTCATATTCTTGAACCATTCTGTGGAAACTGAAGAACCCAGAAGTAAGCCTGCTCAAGGTCACACAGCTAGTAACAGTAAGTCATAGACTTCTAACAGCAAGTCTGGCCCCACAGCCTGTGCTCCTAACCATTACGCACACTGCCTCCCTATGGCTCTACTGACTCTCAGAGGCCTTCAGCATCTTCACCACGTTCCTTTGAATGTGTCCCTGGTTCCCTCGTTTATTCATATGTTGCTCAAATGCGAAGGCATAAATGTAATACACTATTCAATATTCATGGTGATCTAATTTTAAGAAGGATAGGGTTATCATTCCCTTGCTCTAAATACAATAATTTTATTGAAGTCAGGTTAGTTATATGGTATTATTTGATCTCCAAGATGTTTTGAAGCTACTGTGTACCTAGATCCTATGAGTTTCCTCGTAAATACCTTTTTATTCAAGAGATAAATACCTGCTATTGAGCTTTTATCCAATTGATAATAAATATTACTTATCATCCCCACTGAGCCACTGTGATTGTTCACTTGCAAGACCCTTAATTGATCTCCCTGCTCTTATTCTTGTCTTCCTAAAGTTATTATCCATGCAACAGACAGAACAGCCTTCAAAACCTACCAAAGGCTTCTTGCCACAACTGAATAATGGTGAAGTCCTATCTGTGGCCCCTTCTTTTCTGCCCCTGCCAACCTGTTCAACTTTATTTCCTACAATTCTTCTGCTAGCACACTCTGCTTAAGGCTACCTTTCTTGCTGTTCTCCAAATACACCAAGCATGTTTTCAACTCATGCCCTTTGTATGTTTCACTCCCTCCACCTGAGTGAACCATAAAACTATGTGAGTAAAGACCATATTAAGGTTTTTGCATAAATTGCTTCTCCTTAGAGAAGTCTCCCTGAATCACTTCATTTTTTCCCCTGACATTTAACACTACTTGAAATTTTGTTATTACAAGCATTTTATTTTCTTTGTCTCCCCAGGTAGACAGTAAGCTCTGATCACAAAATGTATCACCAGTGGCTAGTACAGTGCCCGGTATATGATACAAACTCAAACCCTATGTACTGAATGAATAGTAGGAGAAATTAGCATAAAATAAAACTGAAAATGGCTAATGCCACACATTGTGAAATATGCTTTAGATTTAAGACTGACTTAAGAGCCTTTTCCTTTTGATTTCATAGAATACAAAAAATCTGACCCAGGAAAAATTAGACCTGGTAGAAACAACACCAAATAACATTGTAGAAGGCTAAAACCACAGAATAAAATCTGTAACTAACAAAATAATGATGGAAGAAGCAAATCTTGACAATAACCAGATCTGTAATATCTGATCTAGGTGAATGAGACCTGGTAGATATGATAACTGTAGAAGAAAAAAAAAAAAACTCTGGCAGGAGCTGAAATCCATAGACTTTAAGATAAAAACAAATAACACAAAAAGTTTCTGAAAATTAATAAAAATAATTTTAATAAATTAAAAATCAAAATAGAAATACTTAGAAGTAATTTACTTCTACTTCATATAAAATTAATTTAAAAATTAAGCTGATTTAATAGAGTACCCACATAAAAACACTTTCCCAATAAAAGTTATTCAATATTATAATAATTCTGATTCAAATTTGGATTCCTAAATATGTGAGCAAAACATTCTGGAGATAAAAATATCCATCAGAACAAAATGGTATATTCAAAATTAGAGTCAAAATATTTTCACTTCAATTAATAGAGGGCATGAGAAAACTAGCTTTTTGGCTGCTAGATCACATTGTTGACAACTGCTATTTCCAAGTTTTTGTGTTTTTTTTCCCCCAATCCCTGCCGTGTAGCCATGGCTCTTGTACAGTTGAGTATTTAATCAAACACAGAACTGAAAAATCATCCCTTTCAGATCTTATATGGTTGGTTGTTGAATACTTCTGTAATACTAAAACTTGTTTCTCTTTCTCAGCGGCCTTCTAATCTTCTCTCATGCTTTGCTGCATTCTGAAGGTGACAAAGGTCTTCATGGTCCATGTCATCTCAAACTGTGAAATGAACTGGCCACAATTGTGACACTTTTGGCAGGTTGTTTCACACCCCCACACCTTCCTTTTCCCTAACAACCTTCCAGTTTAAAATGAATGTGTGCCAGACAGAGTTCTGGCCATAGAGACATAGTCAGAAATCTGCTACATGGGGCCTTTGGGAAAGACACTGCTACCCTGACAGAAAAGGAGAATCGGCTGACATATCTCCTTGCCTTTTTCCTCATTAGTCCTTTTCCCTTGTTCCTGTCTGGATGGCAGATGAGATACGATGGCAGATGGAGGCATGATGAGAAAAACACGAGGGTAAAAGCAACAATCTAAGAATCTACCATTCTTAGGAATGCAGAAAAGCAGGGTTGCTGATGGCATCACAGAGTTATGGGCTGCCAACCTCCAGACTCCATGTGACGTGAGGACATAAATCTCTATTTCTCTGAGCTACTGTTAGTTAGATTTTCATTGCTTACATCCATAAGCATTCTTAACAGATAAACTATCAGGTAATCTTCATGCACAGCTACTACCTTTTTGTGGTCTCTACCCAAAATTTACAAGGTTTTGCTGATGAACCCAATTATTAACACTGAGACACTAGATAAATTATTAATAATTAGAAAAGTAAATTTTAAGTTATGAAAAAAAACAATGTTAATACAACTTTTCTACTTCACTTTTGTTCAATACACATTTTAAGGAGTGAGTCGGAAGAGAAGCAGAATCATTTCACTGGTTTGTTATACTGAACTCGTCCTTGGCATTATAGACCTAATAAACAAATAAGTCATTAGTATATATATCCACCCCCATCTTAACTGTAGGCTTCCAACAGTTGTAAGAAAATGATTAGCAATATAAATAATAAGACTGTTAAAAGGTGAACAGAAAGGAGAGATGATATCAGTGATTATTTGGTAAGCAGTATGGCAGTAAGGGTGGCTGGACTTCAGCTTGTGTGATGTATTAAATAAAGAAAACAGGATGAGAAGCTAGTTTGCAATAGGAAGAAAAGGCATCACTGGCTTCAATGTGTGACATTAAATTTGATGAGTCAGTGTGATATCCAGGAAGAAATGTCAGTGACTTCTGAGTTTAAAGGTCAAAAGAGACCTTTCTGAGCCACCTTTGCCTCAGTTCTCTCCTGTTGTGTTTTGTTTTTCATTGCACTAGTTTCCAGATAGCATTACTATAGACACGCACAAATATAAGAATACATACACACATACATTTTGATGAGCCTTCTATTTCTCATTCCACATGTCCCCAGCTCTTCTTATTTAAACCTTAATTAAAATCCCTTCTAAAAATCTTATCCACCAACAAAGATGCAGGAAAGTACATGTCATTCACCAGTTTTTATTGCATCTAAGTAAATATCTCTTATGTGATATTGACAAGGCATAAATACTTTCAATATTAAATTCATGTAAATATCCTGCAAAAATATACTAAAACTAGAAATGAGATTTCTAGTATTCTTAAGCAGTGGAAGAAAAACTTTTTTCATTATGGCATATCCATAATACTATGCTAAACCCAGTTCTAGCTTATACTCATCAAGAACAACATGCAAATTTATGCTAATATTAGTTATTTCTTTCAGCATTGAATATGCTAGCTTGATTCAAGAATAACAAAACTGCTAAGCTTCATATTTATATCAAGTATTTTACAGAGTCCCTGTGCTGATGAGGCAATTTTATTGGTTAAAAAAAGCAAATAGTTGAGTTGACAGCTTTTCTTCCACAGTCTTGATTGCTTAAGACGGACTGCTCCAGAAATTCCTCAAAACTCAGAAAGAATACTTCCTACTCCATTTGTCAAATGTACAGAAATCATGACAGAGAAACTGAGTATATTTTTGACATGTAGAAAAGTTAATTTTAAGTCATGGAAAATGAAATAATGTTAACATATTTATATAACATATTTAAGAAATAAACCAAAATAAAAGTTAGAGTATCTTTTGCTTTTTGTAGGCACAGTTATAACAAGTAATTAACTACAATAATTTAACATTTATGTTTTACTGTTTTCTAGGGAGGTTCTTCACTAGCTTGAATAATACTCTAATAACATTTTATTGCTGAGAAAGCAAGTTTGTCTGCTAGAGGCCCTAATCAACTAATTTCCTCTAATGACAAGCAACACTGACTAAACGGGTGAAAATTTTCTCATTTTTGTAATAAACAATCTATGTTACAGTGTCTTAATAGCAATCATATGAAATGTCTTCGAAAGTTTACTCTCATCTCCTAAAAATAGGCAAATCAAATGTTTCTTAAACTAATTCATCTTACCTTTTTGACGATAACTGAGTAGTCAACTGAACTGCTTCAAAAGCACACATAACAAGAACAAAGGGGATTAAAATCTGTAAAAGAACAATAAATGATGCAAGGAATAACTGAAGCATCTGAAACACTTTTTGAAAAAAATACTATTTCTGCTTACAGAAATATTTTCAATTTCTCAAGTAACTTTTATATATACTAGTGAAGAGCAAACACTGAAATAAAAGCATGATACCAATGGCACATAGAACGGTGATGAAACTGACTTAAAAACCTACATTAATAAGCTATACGATGTAAAAGACAGCAAACATCAATACATATTCCAAATAAAAGCCTATTACAAATTTTGTTCCATTTAATGTATTCTAATAATTAACCACAATGTTCAAAAGATTCCAAGAGGGTGTGAAAAGCACAGAATGCCCAAATCAAATAAATTATATAACCTGATAATTTGATTCACAGATCCTTAAACCCATCTGGTTATTTAAAACTATAACATTATAAACATGATTCAGCTTCTTAATCTTTGCCTTTTTTAAAAAAATACATTTATTTATGATTATAAAATTCACACTCATTATAACAAATATGAAAAAATTTATAAAACATTTGAAATAAAGCTATAGTAAAATTTATGCTGGTTGAAAATCCATAATCCAGAGCTAATACTGTTAATATCTTGAGGTATTGCTTTCCAATTATCAATTTTGAAAAATATATATAACTTGATGTTTCAAAACAGGGGGAGATATGGAAAATAAATGATGTTCAAGGCAGCATACAGTTCTTTTTCAAGTGAAGGACATATGAATAAAATAGAATTCAGCAGGGCCCTCACTTCTAGACACATCAGTCAACAAAAGTCATCAAGTGTATTATGTCATTAAAGCTTACTGCATTGTGCTGGAGATTAAGAACCTAGCATTCTAATTTGAGCTTTGTCTTTCTTTCTTGCTTGCTTGCTTGCTTGCTTGCTTGTTTTTAATTAAAGGCCAATGGTCTTTAATAAACTGGGAAAAAAAACCATTTAAAAAATGTGAGTGAAAATTAAGGAAATAGCAACATGTTTTAAAATAACTCAGTAGGGAACAGGATGTGAGAAACTGAACATCTTTTTAACACTTCTTAAACTTCCATTTGTATTAGTGTAATAACAAAAAGTAGACATTAATCCTATTAAGATGACACCTTTAACCATTTTTATTCATAAATCTGAACATTAGGTAATCGGATTTTAGGCAAGAATCAGTTTACTTTATTTAAACAAATATATACTAAGTAAAATGTGTCAGGCATTATGGTAAAGGGAATAAAACAAGCATAATGACCTTAGAGAAGAAGAACATGAATTACATTCTAATGAAGAATCTGAACCCCTGGAAAGCTGAAAATGGTCATTATCTTTGTACTGTCAGCACCCAGCTAATATCTGGCACATTACTAAATATAGCAGAAAATGACACATTTGTTGAATGAATTGATCAATTCCAGGTACATGGCTTATGAGAAAAGATTATGTTGGCAATCTCATGGGTAGAGAACATGGGTTCAGGGAACCTTATACTCTTTAGCAGCACTGCAGTTTGATCCATAGCTTCCCACAGGCTTTAATCACATCTGATAAGATCCTCTCAGATTAACAGTTGAATCCCTACTCTTTTGAAGTCAAATGCACTTATGAGTAAAGCAAAAAGATTAACTGTGGTTTGGAGTAAGGGATAGAGGGTCTCACCTCCAGTTTAGCAGTGCCAACTCTGAAAGGATATCTTCTTTCCATTGCTACTTAACTCTGTCTAAATGACTTTATAATCTTAATCAATCAATAGCTTAAGACAAATAACAAAATAAGAAAACTAACCTTCCACATCATCAGGGCTCCCATCATAAAAGGACTGAACACAGTCAGAAAGCAATAGACAGAGGCAAGATCAAAGCTAGGGAATTATAACAAGGAAAAAGAATTTAGAATTCACTCTGTAACTTTAAAAGAATATTCTTCTAAAAAGATGTTTAAACTAATTCTCTGAAATCTACTTACTAAAACACAAGCAAACATCATATTATGAAGCCACTAAAATGAACGCAGTAGATCCGAATGTGCCAATACATACCAATCTCCAAAATATATCATTCAGTATAAAAAGCAAGGTGCAGGCTGGGTGCCGTGGCTCACGCCTGTAATCCCAGCACTTTGGCAGGCTGAGGCGGGTGGATCACCTGCGGTCAGCAGTTTGAGACCAGCCTGACCAACATAGTGAAACCCCGTCTCTACTAAAAATACAAAAATTAGCCAGGCATGGTGGCGGGCACCTGTAATCCCAGCTACTCGGGAGGCTGAGGCATGAGAATCGCTTGAACCTGGGAGGCAGAGGTTGCAATGAGCCGAGATCACACCACTGCCCTCCAGTCTAGGCAACAGAGTGAGACTTGGTCTCAAAAAGAAAAAAAAATAATAAGGTACAGAACAAAAGGTATAGAAGTCCCAGGTTGCATTATTTTTTAGTTATATATATATGCCACTTTCATTTAAAATTACCTGTTAATAGAAGCTATATTTCCAGTTCCAAAAAATGCTGTCACTAAGAAGAAAACCTAAAGGGAGTCAAGGAAATGGCAAAACAACTCAGATTTCATACAAATTTCCTTTTCATTTAGAAAAGATATGCTAATTTTACCTTGAGAGTAATTTGCTCTTTTACTTGTACCATGAATTGTTTTCAATGAACATTCCATTATAACTCCTTGTGAATGCATTTTAAAACAGCCAGATTGAAGAGGCTGTGTACCGAGAATAATGAGGCCTGAGAGGTCATCCTCACTCAGTTCCTAGTAAGTTATTTTCCTCTTCCCTAATATGAGCAAGGTGGACCATATCTGTAGTGGGCTGCTAGTGATTTTTTCAAAAGAAAAACATGGATCTAGTGTGTATCATAGATATTTTCAGCTGAGAGACACAGTTATAGTCTATATATGCTTGCCGTAAACCCACCACCTGCTAAGCACATGCTAGACCACTTGAAAGGCTCAGGAAGAAACAAGATACCATGTTTTAAAATAATTCAATAGAGAATGACACATGAGAAAATGCTGAACATCTTTTTGACATTTCTG
Organism: Homo sapiens; assembly: GCF_000001405.40. Lineage (NCBI taxonomy): Eukaryota > Metazoa > Chordata > Mammalia > Primates > Hominidae > Homo > Homo sapiens. Next base: position 62,085,784 of record NC_000018.10, read on the forward strand.
AAACTTACATTTGTATTAGTAAAGCAATAAAACATTGATATTAATCTTAGTGTCCAAGAACTTACTGCTAGCAAAGCACTTAAAATGGTGCCTAGCCCACTGAAAGGGCTTGATAAGCATTAGCTCTTTCATTACCATAGACACCCACAGAAATGGTGAGGCAACGCCGAAGAGGAAGTACGAATCATGACAATTTTCAGTGAAAAAGAGGCATTTGAGTTGGTGAGCTGAGCCTTTAATGTATTCATGCATTCAGTGATTCAACGAATCATCTAAGCAACCGTTTATTGTCTAGTAGATGTCAGAGACAGAGATAGGCACTAAGAATATAAACATAAATAAAATAGTCTCAAAATACTCAAATGGTGACTAAGATATGATGACAGAAATAGAGGAGAGACATTTTAAGGTAAAGAACAGTGAGAAAAAAATGACAACGCCAAGAAAGAGTAAAAAGGCTTGACAGATAGGAACTTAGACTTTATCGAAGGATATGGTGAAAGATGAAGCAAGAAATATAGACTGGTGGCATATTAATAAAAAGCCTGAACTGGGCCGGGTGTAGTGGCTCATGCCTGTAATCCCAGCACTTAGGGAGGCTGAGGCGGGCAGACCACGGGGTCAAGAGATCAAGACCATCCTGGCCAACATGGTGAAACCCCGTCTCTACTAAAAATACAAAAATTAGCCGGTCCTGGTGGTGCACGCCTATAGTCCCAGCTACTCAGGAGGCTGAGGCAGGAGAATCACTTGAACCCGGCAAGTGGAGGTTGCAGTGAGCCAAGATTGTGCCATTGCACTCCAGCCTAGTGACAGAGTAAGACTCCGTTTTTTGTTTTTTTTTTTTTTTTAAAAAGCCTGAACTTTATTGTGGATACAGTGAAGAGTAGCAAATCTTTTAGGCTAGTGTTATAATCAAGAAACATCAGTGACTGTGTGATATTCAGATAAGGGAGACAAATAATTGGAGGCAGAAAATTTAAGTTGGGAGCCATTTCAGTAGTCCATGTCAGAGATAAGGAAATGTGAACTGATGCAGTGGGAATGAAGATCTAGAGTGAAGGGAGCCACAGGGACTTTAGAAGTGGACAAGGAGCAGTTAAATATGACAACAAGTTGGATGTCTTGGGGACTGGGAGTATGGTGATGCCATTAAATGAGATAAGGCCTGCCAGAGAGAGTGACTTTGAAGAGGAGTGGCAGTTGTTAGTCAGTTTGGGACACATATTTGGTGATGCCCAGCAGAATGTTAGACATGTGGTCCTCGAGGTCACGAAAGGGGTCAAGTTTGGAAAAACACATCTTAGAGTTGTTTGCATAGAAGTGTCTACCAAAGTTACAGGAAAATATGGCATAAACCAGGCACAATAAAAGAAGGTTAATGGTGGAGCATGGAGAAAAAAGTATGGCTGAAGATCAGGCAAAGGAAGTAATTATAGAGAAGAAGAATAGAAGTGATATAAAAATCTTAGAAGAAAACTTGTACTGTGTACTGGATGTGAAGGGAAAAGAAAGAGAAAACATAGACTTGAATGTTAAAGTGTGGTCAGGTAAACTGAATAGATTTGAGTGATCAGGAAGCCCCTGCAGACCACTGACAGTACAACTTCGGCAGAGACATCTGACAAATACTGATAGAGCACTGCTACGTGCCAGGCATTGTTAGAGGTTTGCGGATATGGCATATACATGGAGAGAAAATAATGGCAGCAACTATAAATTTTTCTTTCAAAAAATTAAACAGAAAGGACAAGATGAAATTATAATTTAGGGAAATGCAAGGTTCAGTGGGTAAAGTGCTTTAATAGTATTAGCTGATTGGAAGGAACCTGTAAAGAGAGAAAGAAAGCAAAACAGAGTAAAAGCAAGAGACAGAGAGGATGGAATATTTATTTCCTGTACCTGAGGTCTAGACTCTGCACCATGGTCAGCTCAAAGAAAATGCCTCCAATACTTACAAGCCATGTATCTGATAAGGGTTAATATCCAAAACATACGAGGAACTCCTACAGCTAGCAAAAGTAAAATAGTCACACTTAAAAAAGAGAGTAGAATGATGGTTGCTGAGGGCTGAGAGGAGTGGGGAAAGGGGAAATGTTGGTGAAAGTGTATGAAGTTTCAGTTGTGCAAGATGAATAAGGTCTGGAGATTAAATGTACAGCATGGTGACTATAGTCAGTAATATTGTATTGTATACTTGAAATGCGCTAAGAGAGCTGATCTTAAGTGTTCTCACTGCAAAAACAGAAAGAAAGAAAAAGCAGTAAGTACGTGAGGCAATCGATATGATAATTAGCTTGATTGTGGTGATCATTTTACAATGTATACATATATCAAAACATCAAAATATACACCTTAAATATATACAATTTTTGTCAATTATACTTCAATAAAGCTGAATAAAATAAAATAAAGGAAATACATCCCTATGATTTCTTGCAGCTAGTCAGTCAGCCTTTCCAAACTAAGACTTTCCTCTGCCATACTGTCTTTCAAACTTCTACTACTAACAACTTTCACAACATTGCCTCTGATGTGATCCAAAAACCTCTGTGAGACAGATGTTATGTAATGTGAGTTCAGAATAAAATGCACATAAAAAGATATGAACTCATAATTGTGGTTTCTTCCAGGATGTGAGAAATTCGATTGAAGTCGGGAGTTGAAAGACTTTGGCTTTAGCTCTAATGTTTTAACTTCTTAAAAACACATTTTTAAAAAACATATGTGACAAAGTACTAATGGCTAATATCTGAATAGCAGGAATATATATATATACATACATAAAATTATTTATACTTTTCTATAGTTCAAAAAAATTTTTAATGTGAATTACATGAGAAAACTATAGTTCAGGGAGGTTAAAGTACTTAACACCACTATTAAGTGATGGGCAGAAACACCTTCCATGTCTTCTTACTCCATTAAGTGGGAGTTGCAGCTCTTTAAACCAAAGTCTCCACAAAGGATACAAGGAAAAAGGCCCTACGGATGTCATCCAGATATAGCTGTCGAAACTGAGTTATATCAGTATTATAAGAGAACTGGATACTGGTGAGCTGTGAGATAATAAGAAAAATATTAATGCACAATAACAGTTGGCTTATTTCTATATTTGAAGGCAAACTTACAATGGCTAAGTTACAATGGCTAGAAACATGCCCTGTGCTGACAAAAAAATAAACAATAAACAATAAACAATAAATCTTTCCCTAGGGTTTAATTACACCTTAATAAAATGTGCCAAAAGGTAAAATATGTTGCTAATAATATATAGAACACAGTTGTAGTGTTGCTATATGTGTAATAAAAGTGAGAATTGAGTTTTTTCTTATCTTATATAAATGCTTCATTTTAAAATCCCTATATAATTCTTCCCTCTTCAAAGACTAATTTCTCAGAGTGTCCTGATCATCTTAAACCTAGATATGGTATCATATTAAAAGACATGGTAAAATTAAATGTTTGTTTATTTGTCCCTCTATTAATTCTATTTGCAGAGAAATTTTCTTTCTATAAAAAAGCAACATAGTCCTGTCTTTGGTAGAACAGAAAGCCACTCAATCCAACAAGGTGAGTGCACTCTTGCTTAATCACCCTCCACAAATAGAACACTAATGGGTGAATTTAAAGGTAGACTTTCCCCACTCCTACTTCCCATGTAATTTTCTAGTAAGTTCTTGGGATGTTTTAATACTCTTTTCTAGAATGAAATACATTTGCTTTTAGTTAAAAACATAGAATTTAAAAAGTAACACAATAATCCTCAGCCTGACAAAATATTTAACATTAAGGCTAATCTCTGAGTATTTACATGAATCTGCTCAAAACTGCTTTTCATGTATTATTTTAATATTCAAGGACTAAAAGTTTAAAACCAGTAATTATTAAATATGCCTCAATAAAGTTTCTTCTTTATTGAAATTAATCATTCTGAATTATCAATAACAATCTACAAACTCAACTGGAGCCATATAACGATGGATCAACTATGAAAGTATTTTCTGTAATATTCATTTTATCCGACCTTAGTAAAACTGCAAATATTCTATCACCAATTTCTCAGAATTACCATCAGCTCTAAATATAGACAAGAAACATCAATTTAACTCTGTAGCCCACCATGATAAAGGTATCCTTAAAAATTGGTTGGATTTTAGCCAACTCAAAGTATTATGTGTTGCATACACAATCTAAGATTTGGACTGAGGCCACAATCATTAAGGCAGCAGAATAAGCAATTTGGATTAGGATGACCAGAAAGTGAAAAACAACAATAGAAACGTAAATGTCACCTTATAATAAAATTCATAAATTGACTTGTGACAACATTAAAATTCTTCCAAGATAAATTGACGGAAGGAAAAATTGGATGTGAAATATGAAGAAAATAAGATAAAAAGCATTCTTTTCTGTATTCCTTCACTTATATTGACTTTTTTAAATCAATGATCCTCAAGTAATCACTAAGAAAAGCCCAACCTATACAACAACAAAATTGTGCTTTTCTGTGATAAGTAAAAAATCTTCCTTATCTATTATTAAGTTTAACTTAATTATTAATGCCAAACAACTAAAACTTTTAACACTAAAATTTTAAGTAGAAAGAATTTTTGAAATAATATTGCAACTTCCTTATAGGATAGAGACTAATAGTCTCAAATAAAAACAAAAATGACTTTGACCAGCTACCTTTTGTTTACAGCAAACACCAGATTGTTGTAGAGTTTCTTGTTCTATGTTTATCCAGACAAACATCAAACAAGACAACACTAGTGGAAAGAGAGCTTCATACCTAACAGGTGGGGAAAGGTAGAAATGAAAAGAAAAAAACAGTAAAATAAGTAAAAATGCAAATTTACACTGAGGTCTTTCTCAAAATTAAAACAATTTGATAATACTTCTAAGTCACAATATTACAAAACTTAAGAAGAAAGTAGGAAAGTAATATTTAAATTTTAACTCCAACATCATCTTTTTTGAGTGATGTGAAATCTTGAGATAATTATGTGTTTAAAATAATAGAAATATATAAAAGCCATTCATAAAGCAAATGACAGATATACATAAAAGAGAAAGAAGGCATGAAGACAAAGGTAAAAAGATAATTCTTGAGGTAAAATTATTAACATACATAGAAGAGGAAAAGGAACACTCTAAATTTTCAAAAAAATGGGCGCAACAAGAACACAAACACGAAAATTATGTTTGACCTTATTGATAACATATGGAAATGAAAACAATGGTGATATATCATATTTGCCAATATTAAAACAACAGTGTTGGCCAGGCGTGGTGGTTCATGCCTGTAATCCCAGCACTTTGGCAGGCCGGAGCAGGCAGATCCCGAGGTCAGGAGTCGAGACCAGTCTGGCCAGCATAGTGAAACCCTGTCTCTACTAAAAATACAAAAAATTAGCCGGGTGTGGTGGTGTGCGCCTGCCCAGCTAACTCGGGAGGCTGAGGCAGGAGAATCACGTGAACCCGGGAGGCAGAGGTTGCAGTAAGCTGAGATCACGCCACTGCACTCCCACCCAGGTTACAGTGTGAGATTCTGTCTCAAAAACAAAACAGTGTTGACAAGAATGTGATGAAAAAGGAACTCTCATATGCTCTCTATAGGAATATACACTTTCTGGAAGACCATCTGATACTATGTATTAAGAATCTCAAAAATATTCATATACTATAATGCAATAAGGCCATTTCTAAAAATTTACCCTGAGAAAATAAGCAGACATGTGCTACAATTTCCATTATAAAGATATCTGTTGTAATATTGTTTACAGAAGCAGGAAACAGAAAACAACCTACATGTCCACCGGGGAATGATTAAATGTGTGGTACACCTACAGGCTGGAGTGTAAAATGGACACAAAAACAAAGAAGAAATGCTCATGAGACAACACAGTGATAGAAGCCTTTTCTAAACAGTTTCCGCTTTGTCTGGGGTAAATGTTCCACCTTCATAATCCCTAAATGCTCTATTATAGTACTTACACCATCTTAATCACATGTCTACCTGTAAGCGTCTATTATTACTTTATAAAATCTTTGAAAACCAAGTCTGTCTGTCTCATTACCACTGCTGGCCCAGCTCACAAATATTTGCTGAGTGAGTTATTTATCTAATCAGAAGTTACAAAACAAAACAAAGCCTTATTTCCTTTTTGAGTCTTTCAACTACTGAACTCTACAGCATACGCCACTATTTCCTAAAGATAAGAAAGCAAAAAAAACCAAACACTTTAAACGCTATTACAAATTATAAAATTATAACACTGAAGACTGGGCAGAAGGAAAGATTCAGGTTTCAGAAAGCATACACAAATCACTTGATATATAAGACTTAGAAGGCCCAGGGATATGAACAGATACCTACACACATGAGAAAATATCATGAGTAAAACAAGTACAGAAAACTGTACAAAGCAGTGCCACTTTTGACCTATTAATATAACATTTGATATTCTTATTTAAAAATGGAAATACCAAATACTGTTACATATTTGTTACAGATATGATGAAATAGTACCCCTCATATATAGTTTGTTGTAGATATTATACATTGGCACTGTTCTTAAGACAATTACAAGTTAAAAAAAGAAAGTTCACACCCAATGGCCCAAATACACTATATGAGAAGTGAACAAAGGAAATAATCTAGACTATGAAAAAGCTTATGCATAAAAACATAACTCAAAATATTATCTGTGATAATAAAAAGTTGAAACAAAATCCATATCATGAAATATTAAATATCTATTAAAATGGTGGCTAGAAAGCCTAAGAGCCACCTAGAAAATGCTTCTGAAATAATGTTAATTAGAAAAAAAGATCCAAAATAGAACATGTACTGTGATTAATTCTATGTTAAAAAGACAAATACGGGGGTAACACCAGAAAGAAATATACCAGAACATTAACAAGAGTAGAGTTAATACATGATTTTATCCCTTATTCCTACTTTCGATAATGTGATGACACTATTTTTCCAATGATTTTTTAAAAATTGAAAAACAAATATTTACAATGCTTGTATCCCTGGCCTTTCTTTAAAGTTCAGTTCAACATCATTGATGGCACTAACTCAGCTTTCCTATTCAAGCTCTTTCTCTAGTCAGTCTTCATTTCATACAATTCACAACTTCATTAACTCACAGTAACTTAATTGTTTGATTTTGTAATTGCCTAACACTGTAAAATATAGTTCTTATTTTATAGCAGCTTATAACTCTATTGTACACTAGCAGTACACTAATGGTTCTCTCTGTGTGATTGCATAGTGCTCTGGACACTGGAGATATGAAAGAAAAAACAACTGTTGATTAATTGAATTAAGGTGCATACTCTGAACAAAAGGCAACCGTCATTTTTTTAAAGATTTGAAGTTATATATGAAGTTACTGTTTCCTAATATTTAAAAACATAAATGTCATAGTTCTACAAATAGTAGAATTTATTTCCTTTCAAAAACTATACATTATGATCACTTTCTTTTGTAAAATGGAGATGAATAAACCAGATAAAGATAATCTTCCTATGGGACTTTATCTCTTAAAACAATCAATAGTTCATATAAAGTCTGTATATCTGCATTAATAAACTGAAATATCAATGAAATGTCATCACCGGCTCAGGGAGAACATAATGAAAACTTACTAAATTAGGATCTGCTGGTTTGGTCTCTGTGAAAATTGAATAGGGCAGACAAGGCATTTAGCTTTGTATTACAGTTTGCTAAGCAAAGGAATAATGCAAAGAAAATTTCAAAGGGAAATGTTTAACCAACTTTAACCAAGAGAACAAACTATTTTCAAGTATTACAATAGCTCCATTTGCATAAAAATAATTAAGTGCTGATTAAAAATGAATCTTCTTTATTCAATAAATCAAGGATGCATTGTAAGAATTTAGGATTACTGCTGCTATATTTCTATATTATAATATAACTACATTTCTTTTAAATACTCTGTAATTCTGAATATTCACTAATTTACGTAGAGAACCCTCCAGGTCATCCAAAATGGTGAGGCTGAATCATAACAGGTGGACTGTGTTTTGCAAAACTGATTTGACACTGAGAAGATGTACTGATTGAAATGACTGAACTGTGCTATTTCAAGATACTCTTTTTAATTTTTTTTGGCAAAGCTAGATATACTTTCTGATGTTGAATAATGTATCTCTTAATGAATTCATTAACAAGGTTATATAGTGCCTTATTATTCTGATTTTAGGTATAAATTTTCACTTTTTAGATTTTCTTAAAATAAGTTATGATTATGATTATGCTTATTATGATAATTTGTTTGGGCATCTCCTATGACTATTAAATTGATGATTTAAAATATTTATCCCCTATGTAAGTTACATGATTAACTAATGCTACATTATGAAATAGTTTTTCATTCAAAATTAAACTTCAATTATCCTTGCTTCTTTCTCTCCTTTTCTAATCCAGCAAATCAGATCTATTTTTATATTTGTTTACATTTTTAATCAACTACACATCCCTTTAAATCTGTTTATTGCTTTAGAATTTGAAAGTTCAAAAAAGAGAAAGGCCTATTAAGAGACTGTACAGAATTTAGTACATATTTCTGGACGCTTTCAAACATTTATTTCCTTAAGTCAACCTCTGGGTGTGATCTCTTAATAAAACTCACAAGTCTCCCTGAAATGGTAGGTTAGAATAGAAATTATTTTAACTTCTGCTTCCTTATATAGATTAAAAACTTGTGCATAGTTGAATTCATTTTTACTCTCATAGATTCTAATTTAACAAAATTATTTATCCTGAAATTTCACTAATAAAGGGTGAAAACTGTGAAAGATTTTAAGCTTTCATGATGTTCATCACTCTTGAATAACAGATGCTCATAAATTTCCAGTTTTATTTTAAAGTTATATTTCAAAGGTCTAAATCTCAAAGGAAGCCTATCTTATAATCTTATTAGGTAACTGGTAAAAATTTCCATGACATTCATATCACATCTTCAGAGCTGTGGCCCACATCTGGTTAGGCAGGGGGAAGGGAAACAAAAGAAGATAGACAGCTTTGGTGAAAAAAAGGTTTAGGGCCCCACTGGATCATCTCTTATATGAGACTACAAGAACTCCTGGGGTCTAGGTCACTTAGGGTGTTAGAGTCTACTGTGGGAAGACTTTGAGAACATCTCTCTAATTTTGAACTATGACAACTAAGTTTCCAAAAGGGAGAACCTGAGCCTTAGACCCCAAATGGCTTTACAAAATCATTTGAACTGTGAATAATCTCATAGCATAATGGTGAATCCCTAGGTTTAGTCTAACTTCAATCAAGATTCTGTATTTGGGCCAAAATTCAAACTGTTTATGAGTGGTGTTTATTCACTGTTTGTTCTAGTCATTGTTTGTTATAATGTACACATTTCTTACCCTCATAAAGATTTAAGTAAGGACAAAATTCAAAAGCAAGAAAAGAATTCTTCAAAGTTAATGGACAGAGTATATCCCTGTCTTCACTGAGTTCTAGAAAATGCTTTGGGATTTACCCCAAGTCAAGCTGCTGATTTTTTGTTTTGTTTTGGCAAGAAAATTTCAATCTTAAATAAAAATCTTTAAAAGTTTTGGGAAAATATTCTGAAGGTTCTCTGAATCAAATGAATATCTGAACTGTGAGATATGTAAGATTAAAAAAATACTATATTCAAAGAAGAATGGACAAATCAAAGCATAATTTAAAATCAATATAAGGAATGCAATAAAAATAAAAATCAATGAGACAAAATTCTTCCACAATCAGAATTTTTTAACATTATAGTTAAATGGTATTTTAGCAACTTCAGAAAAGAGAAAGACAAAGACAGCAAGCAATATCATGAAATGGATTTAAAAAACAGAAAACAGAAGATTACAGATCAAGTCAGATACAGTTCTCATAGAGAAGAAAATATTTATAATGTATCCCTCAAGATTTAGAAAACATTTTTTATTTCCAGAAGTTAAATACTAATAGAGAAAATATCAATATATCATTTAAAACTTGCTGCTATAAAATTAAATTGTTAAAAAGTTTATACCCTGTGCTTAGAAGTAGGTAGGTTGACATCAATGAAAGAAGTATGCTGAACAATCGCTGAAAGAGAACTGGAGAACTCAGTAGTGGCACAACCAAGGAAGAGGCTGCAATGAAACAGAACAGGTCATCTGTCAGTATAAGAGACACAAAAAAAATGTTAGCGTAGGGCCGGGCGTGGTGGCTCACACCTGTAATCTCAGCACTTTGGGAGGCCGAGGTGGGCAGATCACCTGAGGTCAGGAGTTCGAGACCAGCCTTGCCAACATGATAAAACCCCGTCTCTACTAAAAATACAAAAATTAGCTGGGTGTGGTGGCAGGCGCCTGTAATCCCAGCTACTCAGGAGGCTGAGGTAGGAGAATCGCTTGAACCCGGGAGGCAGAGGTTGCAGTGAGCCGAGATTGCACCACTGCACTCCAGCCTGGGTGACAAGAGTGAAACTCCATCTTAAAAAAAAAAGTTACTGTAGAAGCTCTGAATAATCTAGTATCATTTATGGCATTTATTGTTTTGTGACCTTGAACATGAGGCTACATTTCCCCTAATCACAGTCAAGCCTCACATTTTTAATTAACATTACATTTCATTTTTTTAACTACGCCCATATTTTCTCAATTTATATTCAGCCCAGATAACTATAATAATATTAACTCAAAAATGAATTATTTTCTTTTTTTTTTTTTTTTTTTTTTTTTTTATTATACTCTAAGTTTTAGGGTACATGTGCACATTGTGCAGGTTAGTTACATATGTATACATGTGCCATGCTGGTGCGCTGCACCCACTAATGTGTCATCTAGCATTAGGTATATCTCCCAATGCTATCCCTTCCCCCTCCCCCGACCCCACCACAGTCCCCAGAGTGTGATATTCCCCTTCCTGTGTCCATGTGATCTCATTGTTCAATTCCCACCTATGAGTGAGAATATGCGGTGTTTGGTTTTTTGTTCTTGCGATAGTTTACTGAGAATGATGGTTTCCAATTTCATCCATGTCCCTACAAAGGATATGAACTCATCATATTTTATGGCTGCATAGTATTCCATGGTGTATATGTGCCACATTTTCTTAATCCAGTCTATCATTGTTGGACATTTGGGTTGGTTCCAAGTCTTTGCTATTGTGAATAGTGCCGCAATAAACATACGTGTGCATGTGTCTTTATAGCAGCATGTTCATGTCCAAAACACCAAAAGCAATGGCAACAAAAGACAAAATTGACAAATGGGATCTAATTAAACTAAAGAGCTTCTGCACAGCAAAAGAAACTACCATCAGAGTGAACAGGCAACCTACAACATGGGAGAAAATTTTCGCAACCTACTCATCTGACAAAGGGCTAATATCCAGAATCTACAATGAACTCAAACAAATTTACAAGAAAAAAACAAACAACCCCATCAAAAAGTGGGCGAAGGACATGAACAGACACTTCTCAAAAGAAGACATTTATGCAGCCAAAAAACACATGAAGAAATGCTCATCATCACTGGCCATCAGAGAAATGCAAATCAAAACCACTATGAGATATCATCTCACACCAGTTAGAATGGCAATCATTAAAAAGTCAGGAAACAACAGGTGCTGGAGAGGATGCGGAGAAATAGGAACACTTTTACACTGTTGGTGGGACTGTAAACTAGTTCAACTATTGTGGAAGTCAGTGTGGCGATTCCTCAGGGATCTAGAACTAGAAATACCATTTGACCCAGCCATCCCATTACTGGGTATATACCCAAAAATGAATTATTTTCTAATGAAATAAAAGTATTACTCAAGATTTAGCACTCTTTGCTTAATTAGGCATTTATATCTTAGTTCAAAGACAACTTACTCCTCAGAAACTGATTTTTTCCTAACCCATTCCTTCTCCAAGTTTTCCCACCGTAAAGTATGCACTGACAGTTGCAGTATGCCCCTTGGAAAAGAGAAACAGGAATGACTTCACCATGCATGAGAGATGTATCGACTCTCCCCCGGGATAATAAAAGCAACTACCCAAGTGGAGGAAGGGCAGATGAAGTGGGTGGGGTGGCAAAACATAAACTCCTCCATCTCTATTCTGGGAAGGAAATGTGCATAACTTTCTAATCCCCCTAGTGCTCTAGAGGTTGAAGATAGACAAGTTGGGATGAAATCCCGGCTGAATCACTTACTAACTGTTTAAACTATAGGGCAAGTTCATTAACTGATCCAAGCAGAAATTTACCCACCTGTCAAATAGAGATAACATTAAAAAGTTGTGAGGATTAAATACAATTTCACCTATACAATGTTCCCTGAGCATAGTGCCTAGCACATAGTGCTTAGTAACTGTTAACTGTGGTTATTATTATTAGTCAACATCTTCTAAATTAAGTTACATGTAATGTCAATTTCACCTAAAGTCAAGTCACTGCAAGATTTAAGACTATGAAGTTACATTTTTTAATACCCTTAGATGAGTAGCTTCTGACTTTTTTTCCAGATGTGTAGCTCCAATCATAATAAACTGATACATATTTTAACTGGAAGGAATAACATTTCAATATGTCTGATTTTAAAAGTCAGTTAATCTGTTGGACATACGGTGGTTGTTAAGAAATAAAAAAATAAAAAGCAAATAATAAAAGTCAGTTCAAATGAGACCTCTTCTGTAAAACTGTACACATTTTCTGTCCTTGTTTTACTTTTGTCTAAATGATTGATAAGGTAATAAAGGGGAAATAAGAGTCTCTATTCTAAATGACATAAGTAGAACCAATTTCAAAATATACCATCCATTTGGAGATCATAGCATATTAAGCAAAAATGCTCATTAAAGCTAGACCATGGTGTATCTGTGCCTAAAAGAGACCTTTGGAGATACTGATGACTTACCTATGAGTTAACAATTTCATGTCTTACATCATTTTGTAGGTATCCTCTAGAACCTAGCTCTACCAATCCCAAGGAGGAAAGATCTTGTTTAAAATACATGCCCAGAGAAACTTTCATGTTTGGTGAACAATAGCAGTAAACTGATTCTGAATCTCCTCCTCACCATTCCAAAACAATAATCAAATCAATAAGGACAATAAATAAAATCATATAGGATACTCCAAATAGAGAAAGAAGCATATAAAACACTGCATAATGTACAAGTGTGCTCTGCTACAACATAAGATTTGACAGAATCTTCTTGACAGAATCTTCAATTTGTTGTAGTAGAGCACACCTACACATTATGCAGTGTTTTATATGCTTCTTGAGAACAAGCCTACGAGTCATGTTAGTAAATGTGAATGAGCTCAACTCACCTTTTTAGTTAAAAGAAAAAAAATTGTCGAATTGGCATATAAAGCAAAACCTAACTCTACGCAGAATACAGGAACTAATCTTAAAACACAGTGATTCAAAAAGGCTAAAAATAAAGGCAAATGGAAACAGCACGAAATCTAGAGTTGCAATCCTGATACCAAAGTATACTTTAGACCAAAAACAATCAATAAAGCAAAGAAGAACACTTTGTGATGTTAAAAGTAACATTCCACAATGATAATGTAATAGTTATGAATATTTTGCTTCAAACAACATATATAAAACAAAAATTATGACATCCTTCACAGAAATAGAAAAAATCCTAAAATTCATGTGGGCCCACAAAAGACTCTGAATAGCCAAAGCAATCTTAAGCTTTTAAAAAAAGAACAAAGCTGGAGGCATCATGAAGTCAGGCTGAAGGCATGATTTCAAAGTAAACTACAAAGCTATAGTAACCCAAACAGCATGGTACTGGCATAGAAACAGACACATAGATGAATGGAACAGAATAGAGAACCCAGAAATAAATCCACATATTTATAGCCAACTCATTTAGACAAAGGCACCAAGAACATACATTGAGGAAAGGACTGTCTCTCCAATAAACGGTGCTAGGAAAATGGAATATCCATTTTCAAAACAATAAAACAAGACACTTATCTCTTACCACATAAAAAAGAAATCAACTCAAAATGGATTAAAGGCTTAAATGTAAGACCTGAAACCATAAAGTACTAGAAGAAAACATTTGGAAAACACTTCAGGACAGTAGTCTGACAAAGACATTTTGGGTAAGACCTCAAAAGCACAGGCAACAAAAGCAAAAGTAGACAAAGGGGATTATATCAAGCTAAAAAGCTTCTGCATAGCAAAGGAAACCATCAACGGAGTGAAGAGACAACCTACAGAATGGGAGAAAATATTTGCAAACTACCCATCTGACAAGGAATTAATAACCAAAATATATAAAAAGTACAAACAATTCAACAGCAAAAAACCTATTAATCCAACTAAAAAATGGGCAAATGATCTGAGTAGACATTTCTCAAAAGAAGACATTCAAATGGCCAACAGGTATATGAAGAAATATTCACTATCACTAATCTTCAAAGAAATGCAAATCAAAACCACAATGAGATATCATCTCACCCCAGTTAGAATTGCTATTATCAAAAAGATAAAAAATAGCAGATGCTGGCAATGATGTGGGGAAGGGGGAACCTTTGTACATTGTTGGTGGGAATGTAAGTTAGTACAGCCATTCATGAGGGGTGGGCCCCCATGACCCAAACAACAAAAATCATCAAAAGATGTAAAAGTTAAAGCATATGTCAAATTATTCACAGGCATTACAAAGTGTCTTTTCTGAACAAAAAACTTGAGCTCAAAACTTGCTCTTGTCTTCCAACTGGAAGGGAAAACCTAAGTCCTTAAATTACATGTTTGCTTCACACATATATTCCAACATTCCTAATTAAGAGGACTACATAGAAAAATATGCTTTCAAATGTCTAACTAGCTTTAAAAAATATGTAAGGTATACTAGTCGATGTTATTTTCAGGAAGGGAAACAGATAAAATTTAAACATTTCCCAGTCCCTGTGTAAGAACAGAGAATTTATGAATTGGCATGAAAATGAGGCATAAGATCCTCTTCACCCTTATCTCTTTTGGAATCACTTAGTCAAATCTTATGAGATGTTAATAAATACATAGCTTTATTATCAGCTCATAAATATTCTATCAAATTATCTTGTTAACACATGCATGAACATAAAAATTCTCTTTGTTAAATTCCAGCAAGAGATAGAAATAATAGCCAGTTATTATTATTTTCCTGCAATAAAATTATTTCTTTCAATAACAATGATACAGACATAAACAGATCATTTTAAAATAACTAAGTTGATGTCAAATTACCTCACCTGGTTTGAGTGGCCTCTTACCTAATGTTGCCCAGCTAATAATTTGATTCATGAGAGGCAGTCCTTGCTTCCTGAGTAGACTACTCTGAGTGCTATACACAACATACATGGAGAGCACTGTGCTCAGCACCTAAAGACAAAGATGAAATAGGTTAAAAAAAGAGAAGGTAGTGAAAGACTCTAACTAGCAAGAATGTAAGACATTCTTATTTCTGAGACATTAAAATGTGGAAAAAATGTGTATCTTGGAATCAATGAAATACAGTGGACAGTACAGGAACTGATGCAAGTTAATAAACCTAATGCAAAAATGAATTTTGTAACAGAGTTACCTAATACTCAGGGGTATGTCTAACAAAGCACGTAAGAATGTTAGCATGATATTCTTGGCTACCCTAGAGAGAGATTCAGAAACATTCACTTCTGTCAAAGTACTTATTATTCTGGATACATTCTGTCAAAGCTACTATGGCTTAAGTGTAAAGCCAGTCAGAGTACCATTTAAAAGGAAACATATGTTCCAATGGCTTGACAGGATTTTTGACAAAAAATTCTTCTCTTTTTATAAGTTCCCTGTTGCTCTCCAAAAATGAATTTAACTTGTGATGTAATCCTTCAAATGTTGTATATTTTTATTTCAGAGTGTTCT
This sequence comes from Homo sapiens, assembly GCF_000001405.40. Taxonomy (NCBI): domain Eukaryota; kingdom Metazoa; phylum Chordata; class Mammalia; order Primates; family Hominidae; genus Homo; species Homo sapiens. Next base: position 62,101,703 of record NC_000018.10, read on the forward strand.
TGGAAATACCATCTACTATCCAAGCTCTATTCTTGAGGAAATTTTTTGAGAACACTCATATGAGTTTTGCTTTTTGTGTGTGGTCTAGACGTGGTTATTTATTTATTTATTCAGTTAAAAAGAAAAACAGATGTTTTCCATCGTTATCTATGGAAAAAGTTGTCATTTTATAGACTATCACATGATATGATCTCTGTCACAACCCTATCAGATATTATCTCTACAGATTAAAAACAAACTGAAGTGGCTGTGTGGTGGCTCACGCCTGTAATCCCAGGACTTTGGGAGGCCGGGGTGGGTGGATCACCTGAGGTCAGGAGTTCAAGACCAGCCTGGCCAACGTGGTGAAACCCTGACTCTACTAAATATACAACATTAGCCAGGCGTAGTGGCTCTCGCCTGTAATCCCAGCTACTCAAGAAGCTGAGGCAGGAGAATCACTTGAACCTGGAAGGCAGGGGTTGCATTGAGCTGAGATTGTGCCACTGCACTCCACCCTGGGTGACAGGAGTAAGACCTCATTTCAAAAAAACACATACAAAAAACAAAAAAACCACACAAACTGAAATCAAATTACTAAAAAGTACCCATCTAGTATGCAGCGTAACTGGGAACTGACTCAATTTTGAAACATCAAGTTCAAAGTTATTTTCACCACACCAAAGCCACCAACCATGCTGAAGTTTATTTTCACCTGGGACATTAACTGAAGTCTTAAACTGGCTATTCTTAATATAAACATACCCCAGGCTGCTTTCACTTCAAGGAAGTGACCTTCCCTGACCCAAATGAGGACAATGTAGAATCTCAGTCCAGATGAAGCCCTTTTCAGTTCAACTTTTTGGTCAATACAGTTTCCATAACCTCTGCTCTTCAGGCATCACTGGGCTGCCTCTTATGGACCTTTTGCTATTTCATACCTCTTAAAGAACACATTTCCATGTAGCATCTTAAATGAAAGCTTTCTTCTCAGCTGGCAGATACTAAGTAGCATAAAGGTAATGGCATTTTATGAACATAATTAAATATAACCATAAGACACATTTCAGTATATCATTAGTATAACATAGTATTGAAAATCTGTAACTGACCTGTAACAGATGTACCAATAGCTCTTCCTTTATAAAGCTATCTTTTCTTTTCATGAGAGATGTTACAACACACAGGGATAACAGAAGAACCAGCAAGCCTGCACCCATCCTGTTTTGAAATACAATTAATTTTAAATTTTCTTCAGATATTTACGAACACATATCAGATGGAAATATGAGACATCTTACTCTAATACAGAACCTCTCAGTCATTTGGCTTAATCAAGAGGAAGTAGCAAAATGGGTACATTTTCAGATTTTTAAGAAAACTTTTAAGTTTTAAGATTTTAAGAAAACTTTTAATCTTAGGATAAAGATACTGCTGGATGGGGTTATTTGTAACCTCTCCCCACAATTTTCTAAGTATCTCTACCTTGCTTCTATAATTTAATTTAAAAAAATTTTAGGCATATCAAATACTATAATATTTAGCCTGAATTGGGCAAATTTACAAAAATTTACAATATAAAAGATAGCTAAACAAGTATATTATCAGTATCTACAACATGTATTTTGTGATTATGAAACTTACTCATGCAAAAAGTATCTACATATATAACCCACATTATTTCTAGCAGGAAAAACAGCTCCCTTCTGTGACAGACCTTGGTATTTTCCTCAGCTGCTCCTGGCTGAGGGAAGGGGTAGGCAGTGGTCACATGGGTGGCATGCAGGTGAGGCATTTGTACAGTAATGAAATAACAGTAAGGAAACACACCAGGTATAGTATGTTTCCTAAAGTCAAAGGTGACTGATACCAAGGAAATGGTGCCCTATTGTTGAGCTCTTTCTCACCTCCTTAACATCTGAATAACATAGCACAGCCAGAATTATGCTGAGGATGAAATCCAGAACCCAAATAGAACTAAGAGAAAAGGAATTGGTTGAAGAGAAAAAAGAAAGAGCAAAAAGCAGAGCTGGACACCTAAGAAGAATGCAAAGCAGGAATCCCCAGAAAAATGCTTGATGGTTGGTTGTGATGCTTCAAATACACTCTTTGAGAATCCTAAGGAGAAAGGTAATCATATATTCAACATGGATTATCATTAAAATTTAGGAAAAAATAGTCACATATGATCAAGATTCTTTGCTTTTTTTCTCTTTCTTAATTTTTAAAATAATTTGGTATCTAAACTTATTGGCAAATATGTTTTTACTTTAGAACACTGGAGTAACAGACATCACAACCATGTTGTACACGTTTGCTTTTTCCTTTAATTGTATCCTTAAATGTTTCACAAAATCACATCTTTGTGATTTTCTGAAGAAGGGAGATGCTGTGACAGATGAAAAGGAGAGTAGAAATTTCCCCATGAACCAGGAATCAAAATAAATAAGTTGCAAATATAGCTAGTAGGATAAACTTAAAGTCACTGAGCAATTTAAATTTAGAGGGAAACAATATAATTTTCTAAAATATAAATTAGATTTCTCATATTTTAACAAGTTTATTTGCTTCCCACATTCATCTTTAGTAGAATACGCAAGTGGCAAATTTATACAATTTCCTTCCCTTTTAGCATATGATAAATTCTGCTCAACTATGGCAATACTGCTTGAGCAGGACTGATAGGCAGAGACTGACAAAGGGAAGGAAAGGGGCTTTATAGAAACAATACAAGAGCTTACAGAGCTATCTGAAGCAAGAAATAAATGAAAATATTGGAATTCATTTTGTCATATACTATTTATAGGTTATGACAGTTGCAAAATGTTTTTACCTAGTAACACTCTAATAAAGTATGGCTTAGATAGTATGGTGTTAGAATTCAATACAATTATTTTGAGCTCTGCTAATAAAGTGACTTCCTGGGATATTTCCTGGTCTATTGCATATTGGTATTCTCATACAAATAGGAGAAAATGTATAGAATCTCATAAATCAGCACATATTTTTACAAAATAGTATTTAGTTAATCTTCCTTGATTTAAAAATATATACCATTATCCATTACAGACTTGGTTAGAATGTTTTAAAAAATGCTTATAGCATTCTGAAGAAAGTAACAAAGATGATTTAATTTCTAATTCCCATGATTAGACAATAAGAGAGGAAATGTTAAATGAAATAATGATCATATGCACACTCAAACAGCCCATAATTTACTTGACAATAAAGTGCAGTTAAAAGCAAAGGTAACCAGTTATTTTATAAATTTATTTAGGTCTATTGAAGAGAAATAAATATAGCAGCACAGTAAGGAATTTAGGTAAGATATGCAGAAGAATTTTCAAACAATTTGAGTGGTTAAACATGGGAAAGCTGGCAAGGTGAATAGAGTTTCCTCCCATGGAGATCTTTACATTCAATTTAGAATAGCAGAAAATTTAATTTTTACATGACATTTTAGTGTGGACATGATTAAAGCAAAGAGGGCTAACACAGTAGCTTTGAGACATTTTTGTTTTGGCAACAGAATGTTTTTTCACATGAAACTAAAACTTTTACTGATTCCTCCAAGCATAAAAGAAAGAAAACCTTCTAGACTTAAACAAAAAAAAATGGGCGGGATTTTAAGTTATCAGTGGCACAATTTCATTATGAAAGCCCGAAAGCACCTACTAGGAGGTTTAATGACTCTTAGAACCTAGGCCAAAATCATGACTAATGGTTTGATATTGGTATTTTAAATTCCCGTTAGTTCACATGATTTTATATTCTTGACCAAGATTAGGTTCAAATTTTACAGTGTTAATTGAGGAAAAAAAAGTGTATTGAAAATAGAATAAAATACAATATTATTCATACACTAGAGAGATGTCTGGCTTTCGACCTACAACCGGCATCAGTGGGAACACTGCCAGGAGCAAAGAGAAGAAAGTCCAACTCAGTGAGGTCATCTAAAATCAAGAAAAAAGTTATCTTTAGACAAATATGGTATAGAAAACTATCATTAGTGTTTCACAGACTATATGACTGTGAAGGTAAAAGGAAAATGCAAAGCCTTACAGCTGTTTATTATTTTATTTTTCAAATACTTTCTAGCAGAATCAACAGCTAACTACTTTAAAAAGTAATAGTTACTATTTGTGAAGGACCTGTTGCATAGCAGGTATAGTATTAGGTATAATATGAGCACTTTCTCATTTAATTCTCACAATAACCTCAAGAGGCAGGTATTATCATTCCCAATACATCAGATGATGAAACAGAGCTCAGAGAAGTTAAAATATAAGTAGTACCAGGTCCATGACAAGTAAATAAAATAACCAGTATTTAAACCTGCATAAAGTGCTTCATTCAATTTAGGTTAGACCATATATTGATGAAGACATCTATAAAAAAGGTGGCCTACAATAATCACCAAACAACTGAGCCCAGAAGGAAAATAAGTAAAACTACTTTTGTAATTAGATTAAGATCCCTCACAAATTAAAAGATCGATAATCCCATTCATTGAAGATTTTTTAATAAATTCTCAGAGTAGAAAGAAGATATCTTCCTGCTACTTCTATCAAAAAGTATCAAAGTGGAAATATAAGTGCATTCTTTGTAGAAGCACATTGTAATTCCCTATGTAGCTGAAGGAAGAAAATCAAGACTGACTATATTTTTAATAATCTATAATAAATACATACTTATCCAGAAAAAAAAAAAACTGAGTGGCTCAGGGTAACGAGGGAGGTGTTTCCTGTGACTCACAGAGTGCAGACCCCTAAGCCACTGGGCTGTGCTGCTCTGGACGACTCCTTGCCTGGTCCATTATCAAGATATTTGAAGCTAAACAAATCCAGGAAATGCTTCAGAGATGGACATATCAGTACAACTTATATAGCATTTCAATTACCACATAACTGGCCCATTTTGATGTGAAAGTCTAAGTGAATTACTGAAACCTTACAGGTAATGTCAGTCCTCCTATCAATATGACTAGGCTCTTTTATGTAAGAACACATTCTACCCTTTTCTTTAAAAATAAACAGTTCCTTGAGTTACACATGTGTCAAAACAAAGTAGTTACTAATCTGTCCTATGTCAAAATGAGTACTCATACCTTTGCTCGAGTCCACAGCCGAGTGAGAAATGGCCAAGCTGCAAAGGCAGTAAGTCCAGCGGTAAGCATATAGCGGTAGAAAAAACTGAGAACCTAGTAATGCATTCCAAAGAAGGAATGAAAAATAAGGTCATTTAATACTAGTTACAAATATATAAAAGAAATTTGCAAATGTTGTAATCTGGTAAGTTACTTACTAATACTTCAATTCCCAGGGTAAAGGCTAACAGGTACCCAACAAAATGGCTCAGAGGATAGGTCAACACTGATACAACAAGGTCCTGAATAACTTGAAATCTGTTTCAAATAAAAAGACTGATTGAATTTTAAAGTTAGGTCATACATAGTATAACAATACAAACTTTGCACAAAGCTAAAACACTACATAATTTTCCATTTATAGATTATTCAAAAACTAAAATAAGCTCTAACGGATTTGTTTCAAGGGCTTTATTTACCTATTTTTTTTTAATCTAGAAGTATTTTAGGGAAAATGTAATTTCTGAATTAATTTGAAAACGATCAGCCAGGTGCAGTGGCTCAGGCCTGTAATCCCAGCACTTTGGGAGGCTGAAGAGGGCGGATCACCTGAGGTCACAAGTTTGAGACCAGCCTGGCCAACATGGTGAAACCCCATCTCACTAAAAATACAAAATTAGCCAGGCGTGATGGCACATGCCTGTAATCCCAGCTACTCAGGAGGCTGAGACAGGAGAATAGCTTGAACCTGGGAGGTGGAGGTTGCAGTCAGCTGAGATCATGCCATTGCACTCCAGCCCGGACAACAAGAGCGAAACGCTGTCTCAAAAAAAAAAAAAAGAAAATGATCACAAAAGTTTGCTTGGTTTTTATAAGCATTAATGACAATAAATGAATCTTGTTTGATCTTAGTTTAAACACGGATTCATACAATTACAGATACAACATCAATATAAAACACAATGAATCCAAATGCATATAAACTGAAAAATTTTTTAAAATTCACCCAAGTAATCCTATATTTAAATCTTAATGAAATAAAGGTAGGGTTTCCTAATCTAGTTAGAGAAAAATCTTAATTACATTTTCTAACTGAGCTAAATAACCTTTTCCAAACCCAATTTAAGATGTCACTAATTGTACACTAACGGTAATCAAGTGAACTCATAACCATCAAAAATGTATTACATACTTGAGTACTTTTTACATTTCATCACTAGGAAAAAAAGTTAACATTTGTAGTGCATTATTAAGTAGGTAATTTTAGAAGGTCAGTATCATTTGGTTTATGACCTTTCTCTGACTGAAAGCAACAGCTGCAGAATTTCATCAAAATGAGGAAGGTGCCATGTAGGAAAGAAAAGCTAACACCAGTCAAAAGGGGAATGTTTCTTTTATTCTTAACAATGAATAAGCACAGAGGATCAACAGATGATTTTGTAAAATCATTTAGAAGACTGTGAATTTTTATGTCTTTTTCCTATACAATCTATCAAAAAGATAAAGATAGGACACAACATACTTTCAAAATCATGTTTTCCCTTAAAATTTAAATATATATGTTTTCTTCATAATTAGGACATTTAATAATTCAGGAGGGGTTCTGTACTAGATACAATTTTCTGCAAAGACAAAACCTTTTGTTCTAAAAGTTTAAAAACCAGACTAAATGACATTTTTAAAAATCTGAGTTAAATATGCGTATGCAACAACCCTATTCCTTTCAAATGGAGAGGTAACAATATGTTATTTGATCAGTGTCTTTTTGCCTTATAGTTAATATTTTAAGCATTTTAATATTAATATTAATTTTTGATATTTTTAAGTTAATTTTTTTTTTTGAGACAGAGTCTCACTCTGTCGCTCAGGCTGGAGTGCAGTGGTGCAATCTTGGCTCACTGCAACCTCCACCTCCTGGGTTCAAGCAATTCTCATGCCTCAGCCTCCTGAGTAGCTGGAATTACAGGTGCATACCACCATGCCCAGCTAATTTTTGTATTTTTAGTAGAAACATTTTGCCATGTTGGTCAGGCTGGTCTCGAACTCCTGACCTCAAGTGATCCACCTGCCTTGGCCTCCCAAAGTGCTGGGATTACAGGCGTGAGCCCTTGCACCCAGCCAACTCCGAAATATTTTTAATACATCATGTTTTAAAAGAAGGAAGAAGCAGTCAAAGCTAAAGTTAAGAAAAATTAGAATAAAATTATGCATAGTGTCACGATGCACATGTTAAGCCAACCTTGGGGATACCCTTATTATAATAGGCTCTCATTCTTTCATTGACTTTAGGGGTCTGGTTTGCTCAGAAAATACTTTGATATCCATGACTAAGTTTAAATTATAGATTACTGGTGTAAAAATAGAAACCAATAAGATCTGCAACATGACTCCAGCTGCCAGTGAGCATGAACTAGTACTCCCTTCTAGTGGTTTTATTAAAAGTGTTTGAAACTCACCAAAGAGCCTTACTTCTAATGTTTTCTACAATGTTAACAATACACTCTATTTTAAGTACAACCTGTGAGGAAGCACTTACAGGTAGAACCACAGCACATGTGAAAAATATAGACTAATCTCTGTGTGTAAATATAACCGTATTAGATTTAACTACAAAGTTTAATTTATCTAGATCTACACAATCGCTAGGAAAGGAGGAGTCAAAATGTATGGAAATAAAACATGCAAATATCTTTGTCAAATATGAAGATATATTGGAATCTGAGATGATGACACAAGTTCAAAATGCAAGTTAGTCTAGGCATAGTATGATCAATATTAATCGTTACTTTTATTCCATTTTTTTTCTATAAAAGATACACAAAGAAGTGAACACTGCCACTTCAGAAAAATAAAGATGAAGTCAAAAGGGAAAAGTACAACAGAAAGAATGTTTATATCCTACTCAACATTTATGCAGTTATAAATGAAGTGAGAGGGACTGGAGGTTTGAAAGTACAGTATTATAAATATATTTGATGACTTATGGTACAGAAATCTACTGCATTTTAAATACAGATTTAACTGTCAATGAAGTGAAAAAACAAGGCAGCAAGATGCATTACTTACTCTCTTAGAACCGCATACCATATTGGCAGTGGCAACAAACCATATACATAATATGTCCAGGGACAGGCTTGAATCAGCAGAAAAAATGCTACTAAAATGCCAATAGCTACAAAACTACAAGGCAGGAGATGGCTTGGTTTCTGAAAAATCAAACAAAACATTGAAACACTTCCAAACCAATGGTAATTGATAGGTTTTAAAAGAGATTTTATAAAGTAAAGAAAACCTATTACTTTCTTTCAATGGTTATACTACTAGATGATTAATCAAAGAGCTGCATTAAGACAAGGAAAAAAATCTATTATTTGAGGAGCATATTAGAGAGGAAAAACCTAGATAACCTGGAATTGCTGCAATTAAGCAATTCTCAACTTAAAAGTGACTATGGCCTTAAAGTTTGTTTGCAAGTAACTTGTTCAGAATTCTGAACATGTTTCCTTTTAGGAATATTTTATAAATGTTGATTGAGTTCTCTGGATAACTCGCAAAAGCCTATTTAATCCATAATAAGGTATGGGACTTAATTATCATTTGGAACAATGTCTTATCTATTCAAGCTCCAATGTGACAAGCTATCTAAGCTTCTCTCTCTATTGCCCACCCAATAGAAACTTCATTCAGTCATATGCACTATTCCCAATCACCTGCCAAAACAGAGAATTCATCAATCTAATTCACTAGTGATAGTCTGCATGGTGTAAAGGTCAGGGACTTTAAGTACAGGAGATTATCCTAGATAATCTGGGTAGTCCTCATTCAATCCGTTGAAAACCTTTAAGAGCAAAACTAAGGGTTCCCTAAAGGAGAAATTCTACCTGTTGAGTGCAGCTTCAGCTCCTGCTGGCGAGTTCAGTCTGCCTTTCCTGACAGCCTGACCTGTGAATTTAGGACTTGCCTAACTAGGCCCCACAATCACATAAGCCAATTTCTTATACTACATGGCACATGTGTACATATGTAACAAACCTGCACATTGTGCACATGTACCCTAGAACTTAAAGCATAATAAAAAATATATATATAATACATATATATATATAAATATGTATATATATTATATATATATATAGCCTGGTTCTATTTCTCTGGTTTTTATTAACGTACCAAACTCCTCACTAAATAAAGTGTAAATGCTGTAGTCCAGCATTTGAAGCCTTTGATTACTTCGGCCTAATCTATATTGTATTATTTCTTATCAGTCCCTCGAACAAACCTCCCACATTCTATACAAAGTGAACTATTTATTTTGAAGGAAGCATGGCATAGAAAGAGAAAGAATTCAAGTGTCAGAAAATATGGGTTCTGTCATTTAAAACCCATGTGTCCTTGTGGAAAACAGGTAATTTTTCTGAGCCTAAATCCCTCCATCTATATTATGAGAATCATAACCACCAAATTTAGGGTAGTGTTAAGCCTAACTAAATAACTTACATAAAGCACCCAGGGCAGTCCTGGAACAGTGGGGCTCAATACATACTACTATTAACCCAGAAGAACAGTACATCTTCCCAAATCTGCCTCTGTTTACATCATTCAGTTTGCTTTAATTCTCAACCTCTCCCTAGATTCTGACTGTTAAACTCCCACCAAGACTTACTTTTTCCTGTTATCGTCACCCTAAAGTCAGCTCTCATATTTAAAATATGATAGTCTTTTTATTATCCCAAACACTTTACATATCTTAAAGTTTTCTTTTGTAGTCGAGTGTAGATATAGTGACTTATGCCTGGTAAGGTGGTTGGTTATATGTGTACATCTCTTACCTACTTTATTAAATTCTAAGCTTCTTGATGGTAGAATCTGAATCTTTTATTTCTTTGTATAGCCTATACAGCAAGCTTGTCCAGTCTGCAGCCCACAGGCCACCTGTGGTCCAGGACAGCTTTGAATGAGCTTTAAAGCTCATCAGCTGTTGATAGTGTATTTTATGTGTGCCCCAGGACAATTATTCTTTTTCCAATGTGGCTTAGGGTAGCCAAAAGATTGGATACCCTTGCCAGCATCTAGCATTGTACCATACACTCAATTAAATATTGGCTGTATTATCAGATTAACGAATAATGAAGAACTATCAGCTATGAAATCTTGTTAACATATCAATATAAAAACATATTTTTTTCTCAATAAACTGAATATTAAGATAAACATGAAAAGGCACTCTCTGGCCCACGACTGCTCTGGATTAAAGTCTCAGTCCCTCACATGCTATCTGAGTGGCCTTTAATAAGTAACTTAATCCTCCTCAGCTTCAGCTTCCTTTTTTGCAAACATAAATTATGTCTACTTCTAGCACTGTTATGAGTTCTAAGAATGCCTAGATACAATTCCCATTCCAGCCAATTTCACATACACTCAAATAATTAAAATTACTTGGGGGAAATTATTTAAGATACATTAAAGCATTATACAAAATTATAATAAACACTAATGGCCTTACTTCCATTACAGAATAATAAAATATAAAATTGGAAAAGTTACCACTGGAAATATCTGCAGACTATTATTAAAAATACACCACCAGGATATATTACTTTTTAGAGAACTTGAACATGGTAATAATCATTAAAGAGAATGAAGCAAAGGAAATGAAAGTGGCATAGTGCCCCTGGTAAATGATAGTTAGAAATATATTTTAAAAGAGTAAAGTGTTTTAATGTAGTAAAACCATATACATACTGTTATATTGTCTCAGCAATATGAAGTATCATTAAAGAGATTTTTTTAATTTTTATTTTTTCACTGAAAGCATAGTAAAGTAGGAACAAATTCTTAAAATAAGAATACTTGGAGAGGTCTAGAAATCTGCATTTTGAGAAACTTCAAAAAGTTAAAAGAAGGTAAGTAATTAAAAAATGTATACATCATTTAAGAAGAAACATTATGAGCAAATAATTTTATTGTTCTCTAGCTCCCAAACTTTTAATATCAAATAAAATTAAACATATTGTTTTGAAGTAGTTTTCTGACCAGTTGTACTAGAAAGATATGGAATACTTATAAAATGCTAGTTATAAAATAAAACAGAAGGTCGACACCATTGATAACATAGGAGCACTTAAATTACTTACACCTCTATCTTTATAGCTTTCTTAAGTTATAGGATCATTATTATCAATATATCTTTTTCTCAACTGAAGAAACAGAGATAACTGAGGAAAAATCCAATACAATAAAAGCAAATGAAAGATAAACAAGAGTTAGCTTAGAACAATGACTTGCACATCCTATAAACTCATTACACTGGATTCAGTACTAGTGATTTTATACCATCATCTGAATCCTCACATTTTCTAAACGTACCTTCACTTCTTTACTAACACCTTTTATAAGGTTGGAATGAGACTTGATGATCAACAAAGAGGCATAAGATATCCATCCCACAAAACCAATAACAACATTGACGCCCAAAAAGAATCTGTCATATGTGTGATAATAGGACAATCCTTTCAATGCAAGATGAATTAGCTCCTTGCAAAGGGAGACCTATGGAGAAAAAACATATATAACTTGCTAACAGAAATAATAAGAAAACCTACATTTTAAAGAAAGGAAAATTTTAAATTCCTAACAGCCAAACTGTTGTATTAAAATTAGTGAATAACTGTAGATGATGGATTAAGAACAGATTTTAATTGTTCCAGGATCTTCTTTTAAAGTATGAGAAAAATTTGGAATAAAATGAACTTTTTAATCTTAATAAGAAAGGGCATTTTAAATGTAAACTATTTGTGTTGTATATGTGTGTTTGTGGAAATGATATTCAGACAACTCATAAAAGAAATGAAGGCTCTCTAATATAGGTCCCAAATAATGATAATGGCCATATTTATATTTTTTCTCATATGAGATTACTCAAATCAGTTATAAAACATCATTAAGTAGCTTAATATTTTACAGGAGAAGAATAGCTTATCATTTTAAAATCATCAAAAAAAGCATTAGAAATGCACGGATTGGCAATTATTTAGGCAATTTTAGAAATGAAAACAGAATTCTTTTCTACTTTAAAATTAAATGACCATTTAACAAAGAAAAATTAATGAAAAACAGTGAGATAGGAGTTTGGAAGAGTCAAAATTTCAACATGAATCATTAGACTTTTAATAATGTATAGATAATTCCAAGTGGCAAACATATAGTATTCTAAAATATTATACATTAAGAAGGGTGACACAAACTTGGCATCTATTTTCTCATTTTAAAAAATGGTAATAGTTTATTTCTAATGCTAACCTAAAAAAATGTGGGCCGGGTGCGGTGGCTCATGCCTGTAATCCCAGCACTTTGGGAAGCCAAGGCGGGTGGATCACCTGATGTCAGAAGTTCAAGACCAGCCTGGCCAACATGGCAAAACCCCATCTCTACTAAAAATACAAAAACTAGCTGGGTGTTGTGGCGCATGCCTGTAATCCCAGCTACTCAGGAGGCTGAGGCAGGAGGATTGCTTGAACCTGGGAGGCGGAGGTTGCAGTGAGCTGAGATTGTGCCACTGCACTCCAGCCTGGGCAACAGCGACACTCTGTCTCAAAAAAAAAAAAAAAAATTTACCCATAATATTAGTTGAAATAAGAGAGATCTGTCCACTGCTAAAGCAGCTACTCAGGAAATGCAATCCTTCCTTGAGGGCTCAAGAAAGCTCCCTGGCCTGCCTACTTTGCTCTATTTTTCTCCTCTCCATCCCCAAAATGATAATCAGCTATTTATGTCTATAAGGCCGGTATACTTACCACTTCATCAAACTTTCTGTGTTTTATATAAGATCTTGCTTTTCTTAAAATGTTGAACTGTTTGGAATCAGAAAGCAGTCTATATATAAAAAAAAGAATAGGTTTAAAGGGTTTCCTCATTCCAAGTATATGTTTCTTTTTTCCCCTTAATTAAAAAACAAAGATAGTGAAAATTACAAAACAGCAAACAAAACAAAAATCAAAGAAAAAAACCTGAATTGCTGTTTGTTCTCTGAAGTCTTCCAAGAAATAGCTTATAGTTAAATTTGGTTTTCTTGACTCGAAGTTTCAAATGCCAAACTACACTTATGAAAGTCATATAATCCATCATTCTGAAGAAATGTAATACTCTGGCTAACAAAGAAATTCTGATTAAATTGAAGTAATTAGCAGAACACCAAACGTATGGCATGAGCTCTGCCACTCAGTTGTCCTGTGCTCATGGCAGACTTCACGTGATTGAGGACAGATCCATCAATGTTCTTTTTATCCCTGAGCCAAACAGGGCCTGAGAATTCTTATTATCAAAGAGCTCCAGGCAGAGACTAACCACCATTGGAAGTTAATGAATAATTTGAACGTATTTGCTATTTTTATACTATATCATATACCTTCTTCGTTCCTCTTTCATTTCTCTTTCCACCATTTCCCTATCCTGTTTTACCAGAGTAGAAACACTAAATACACAAGAGAAATACTCCCAAAAAATACTGCATAACCCGAAACTACATAAAACTAAAGTCATTAAATTTATGGAATGTAGAAATTGAGGAAATATAACCAGAATTTAATTGTCTTAATGAAATAAATCTATATATTTAAATTCAAATTTGAATATATGCTGCTTAACTAAAACCTACATGTCTAAAATGAATGGCTTTACATTTTAAAAATGCATGCAAAGTTATTTAAGGCTATATTAGGTTGGATCACATGAAATTGATGTTTCATAGGCCAAAAACTACTAAATTAAATATTGGCAACTGCACATGGGTCGACATAATATAATCACTTATCTTCTTTCTACTTGGCTCAAGCAGTCTCTGAAGAGATAGGACTGAGACTTGTACAAAGTAAATCTTTTAAGCAGTAATTATTAATTTGGGAGGGGGGAGGGTCAGAGACTTCTTTCAGAATCTGAAACTCTTGTCTAGAAAATGTACATAATCCAAAATTTAAAATATAATTTCAGAAAATTCATAAACCCAGAAGCTTATCTATGAACTCTCTCAGAGTTCTATGGGATACTCTGATTAAGGATCTGTGCTTTGGCTTGGGACAGTGGTTCATGCTTGTAGTCCCAGCACTTTGGGGGACCGAGGTAGGAGGATCACTAGAGGTCAGGCATTCGAGACCAGCTTGGGCAACAAAGCAAGACCTCATTTCTACAAAAAATAAAAAAAGAATCTGTGCCTACTCTAAGAGCTCCCAGATATTCCAACTCAGGGGAACCCAACCACACTGGGTTCTCATGTTGCAGACTGCAGGAAAATTCCCCACCACTGGATTCACTGGGATTTGGAGGGAAAAGGTGCCACAAGGCAAAAACACATGAAAGAAAAACAAGTTACTTTAAAATGTTGCTTTGATCCAGTTCTCTGTACCTTCAGATACCACACATTTTGAAGTGTTTTCCCAGAAGCCTTAGTATAGCAATTACTGTGCCAAAGTGCATAGGCATTTTTTGGAAGGCTATATCTAAGTTGAATTTCCCAAATTTCCATAAAAGCTTTCTAGTTGACCTCCTTCCTCTTGCTCTGATCCACTCAGCTTCCTAAAATACTGATTGCATCCTCTCACTTACAATTGATATGGGCATCTCACTGTCTACTTCATCAATTCTAATCTTCCTGGACTATTGATGACCCTCTGCTGCTACTTCACTTAATTTCCCATTATCGCAAATGTGTACCCTCAGCTGCATAATGGTGAAACTCTTCAAGCTTCACCTAGCTGGTATCATAAAGATGTTCCCCTCTTTGCTTTCTAAAATCAAATATTCATCATCCTTTATGGTCTACTCCAAATCTCACTTCACATCATTAGCACTTCAGTTAGTGGTCTAATGATCAGTTTATTTCTCTTCAATTAAATTTTAGCCTCCATGTGGGCCAAGATAATGTCTTATATTCCATTAATATCCACAATAATACTTAGCAAAGTGCTAAAGCACATAAAATGAATCAATAAATTTTGAATACAATGCTATCAAAATATTGCAGACCTAAAAAAGGAAGAAAAATAAGAGACTACCATACGTTGCCATTTGTAATGTACCTAAAATTTAAAATAAAAAGAAAGGAAAAAAAGCTTGTCTGAAGCTAAATTACTTAAGCTAATTTAACAGACATTCTGTTAAGTGAAGTCTTATGAAGAATAAGAGAAAAAAATTCTTAAGGAGAAATATTTACATTATATATTATGTTATGTTATATTATATTGGAAGTATTAAGGTAAAGAAACAGGAGTCAGGGTAATTTGTAATTTTTCCTAAATGCACTATTTATAAAACTTGGGACATGCCAAAGGTAGACATATCAAAGATTTGCAATATATCTGGAATTCACCAAATGTTCTATACAAGCCTCAATGTATCACCATGACATTAAAGACTCTCATACACTTGTCCCCAAATATACGTTTTATTTTTAGTTTTCCATCAAATTGAGAGGGGATATAAAGTAAATTTTCTTGGTATCACATACTTTAAACATAAAGAGGTTTTGTAAGAAATATAAAGTCTAGAATATAGAGTAAAATATGTTCAGATTTATGTAAACAAAACCAAATAACAACAAAATAAATGGGGGTTGGCAGAGGAGTAATTAAAGGAATGCCATATGTGAACTAAAATGAACAAGGGAGATCTATACATATAAACATGGATAAATCCTGAAAACCAAACTAAATAGAAAAAAGAACTGTTAAATAAAATAGATTTTTAAAATAGGGATTGAAGTGTATTACACCATTTTATTCCTCAGCCCCCCCCTCTAAAAAGAATCTAAATATGGTAAAATGTTAACATTTTCTTAAACCTGAGTTGTGGGTACAACAATTTTTATTATATCCTCTATTCTTTTCAGCATGTTTGAAATATTTTATAAATAGAACTTGAAATATAACAAGAAGGATATACATATATCATGTATACATATGTATTCTTGTCTACTTCATCAATTCTATTCTGTCAATTCTTGTCTACGTCATCAAAGCTATTTTTTTTAGCTCCCACATATGAGTGAGAACATGTAAAATTCGTCTTTCTGTGGCGGCCTTATTTCACTTAACATAATGATCTCCAGTTCCACCCATGTTGCTGCAAATGACAGGATTTCATTCTTTTTTATGAATGAATAATATTGCAATATACAAGACGCATCATGTATATATACCATATTTTCTTTATCCCTTAATCCACTGATGGGCACTTGGATTGATTCCATATTTTAGCTACTGCAAGTAGTACTGCAATAAACATAGGAGTGCAGATTATCTCTTCAATATATTGATTTCCTTTCTTTTGGATATTATTGGATATTATTTAGATTATATTCCTGTATATATGTATACATGATATAGATAGATAGATACATAATAAACTGCAACTTTGCCTCCAAAGAAAAAGACTATAAGACTGGAATACAGGAGGAAAAGTGACTTTTTATTATTGTTTGTATAAATTTTATTGTGTGCATGCATTACTTGTTCATTAACACTTTTAAATAAAATGACTAAAACACTAAGATTTAACCATAACTTCTGGTTATGCCAGAGAAGCTTTGGGCATAGCAATGCTCCCACCAAGAACAACTAGAAAGCCCAATAAAATAAATTTGAAGGTACCAAAACAATCAAGTAATGAAAGGCTAAGATCCTAGAGAGAAGGAAACCACAGGGAAGTAATCCAAAATTCTACAAACTGTAACTCTGAGGGAATCTACCATTGTTATTCTTGGCACAAAGCAAGAGGCTGAGAATTTGGGGATATAGCTGCTGCCAGGAAGTAGAGAATCCAAGAGTCTTTGGCAATCTTGGAAGACTGGAGAGATAAAAATTAAAGTTTTTAGCTGCCAATGCAGCCAGAACTTGAGGACCTAAAAAGGAAGAAAAATAAGAAAATAATATACATTTTCATTGTGGATTTTTTAAGAAAGACATTTTAAAAGTGCATCTGGAATTTTAAACTAACACATATTCTGAGGTGAAATCTTAAGAAGAGTGAGAGAAAGAGCTTTTATAAGAAAGAAATATTATATTATACTATATTATTCAGAGAACTCAGGTAAAGAAAGAAAGGCCAAGTCTTGATGAGAAAAGAGGTGAAAAAAAAAAAAGGTAAGTCTGACACTCATTTGTATAGAACAAGAGGACAAGAAGCTAAGAAGAATGTCCCTGAAAAGCAGACAGAAGTTTTGGTAGTCTCAAGATGTACAAGAGACAAAAATTGGTATTCAGTGACCACCAGAGAAGAAAGGTTCTAGATACTACAAGGTCTGTATAGGGATCCCTGAGATACTACACTCTAAGAACAGAGACAAACCAGAGATCAAAGGAGGCTTAAAATCGCAGCACGGCCTTGAGTCAGCCACTACTCTTTGTGGCCATCAGAGGACAAGGCAAAACCTCTCTGGAGAAAAATGAGATAATCCAGAGATTCTAAAACTTTTAATATATAAAGATAAGGATTCATTTTAAAACTACCAGACTTAACAAACAAGACCAATTGAAAAAAAAAGAATCGAAACAAACTCACAAATGGTTTGGTTATTGGTATTATCAGGTACAGATGCTAAAATAATTATGGTTAATATGTCAAGAAGACAAGACAGAAAGTTGTAACAAAGAACAGAATCTATTTTTTTAAAAATCAAAATGGAAGTTCTAGAATTTAAAAACATTTAACAAGTGAAATTAAGAACTCAATAACAGCAATCTAGACACAACAGAAGATAAATCTGGTGTAACTCATGACAGAATCAGTAGAAAATACCTTGCCTGGGCTGGGTGCGATGGCTCACGCCTGTAATCCCAACACTTTGGGAGGCCAAGGTGGGCAGATCACTTGAGGTCAGGAGTTTGAGACCAGCCTGGCCAACATGGTGAAACCCAGTCTCTACTAAAAGTACAAAACTTAGCCGGGTGTGGTGATGCATGCCTTTAAACCCAGCTACTCAGGAGGTTGAGGCAGGAGAATTGCTTGAACCTGAGAGGCAGAGGTTGCAGTGAGCCAAGATCGTGACACTGCACTCCAGCCTGGGCAACAGAGTGAGACTCTGTCTCAAAAAAAAAAAAGAAAGAAAGAAAGAAAAAGAAAAAAGAAAAGAAAATACCTTGCCTGAAGCTTGAAGAGCAAAAAGACAGAAAAATACTAAAAAGATTATAGAAATAGAATGCGAGTCATGATGAAACAGGTCTAATATGAATGTAATTGGAATACCAGAGAGGGAGAGATGGAATATGGCAGAAGCAATATCTGATAAGATAAAGGCCAAGAACTTTACAAAACTAATGAAAGATACTAATCCACAGATTTAAGAACATCTACAAACCCCAAGCAAAATAAGTACAAAGAAAACCATGTATATGGACAGGCAGTAAAACTGCTGAAAACCAGTCAAAGAGAAAATCTTAAAAGCAGCTGGGGGAAGGGGAAGGGGAAGGGGACAAATTGCCTTCAAACAAATGACATTAAAACAGTTGGTCACTGAACAGGAATGATGGAATGACATCCTTAAGTTTCTGAAAGAAAATAACTGACAATCTAGAATTTCACTTGAAAAGATGTTTGAAAAGTTAAGGTAAAATAATGAATTTTCAAACAAATAACAACAGAAAAATGTCTTTCACTGGCAAATACCCTTGAAAAGAAATGTCATATCATAGACAAGAAATACAGAAATGTGGAAAGGAATGAAGAGCAAAAGGCACAGTGAATATATGAGTAAATCTAAATAAATGTTGATAATACAAGGCAAAAAGTTGAAATGTAGCAATATACTTATAATTAAAATATATAACAATAACATCAAAGGTATGAAAGTTATTTAAAGTTAATTTACATTAATTTAATTTATATTAAACTAATAATGTGCCCAAAATGCTTGTCATAATCTTTAACATGACCATGAAAAGGATGTATAAATAACAAGCCAATATGTGGGCAGGGGAGGGCTGGAAAATTAAAATAATTTAAAATACTTAATTAATCCTACAAAAAAACAAAATAAAACAGAAAAAGGAACATAAAACAGATGGGATAAATTGAAAACAAACCTAAATATATCAGTTATTATAGTAAGTATAAATGGTCCGAAAACACCAACTAAAAGAAAAAAAGTAGAATACTGGATAAAAAAACAAACAACAAAGTCAATTATGTGCTACTTACAGAAGACATACCTTAAATATAAGAACATCAAAATGTTAAAAGTGAAAGGATATGAGAAAAGACATAACACACAAATATAAACAATGCTGCTGTCATTATACTAATATAAGTCCAGGCATTGACTTTAAGGCAAAAGTCTTAAGATAGGGTGAGGGCATTGGCAAGGGCATTTGCCAATGACACACTAGAATGCAAAGACTAAGGTAATGCTGAGAGATGATGTAAGGCACAATAGAAAGCCAGGGATATTTCTGAAGAAGAAAAGGCTACAATAGCAGCCAGCAGTGTCATTTTAGTCTTAGGAAAAGTTGTTCTAGTAAGTCACATAAAGAGTTGGCACCACAATTCCTGTGCCCAGACCTCAGAATTCACCCATCAAACCACAGAGGTAAAAAAATTCCCATTCTAAACCTTATTCAGGCAATAAATCCAAGCACTTTACACATTTTTATCACTAAAAGCTGATAATCTATTGAATATTATTCAATAAATATTGAATATTTTATTGTTATACATGAATTAACACATAAATTATTCCATGATGCAGAAAAGTTTCTACTTCTTAAGGGCACAACCTTTTGCAGGGAATTCTATTTATCTGAATGGATGGTAAGAACATTTCCTATCTATTTTTTTTAGCTCCCACATATGAGTGAGAACATGTAAAATTTGTCTTTCCGTGTCGCTCTTATTTCACTTAACATAATGATCTCCAGTTCCACTCATGTTGCTGCCAGTGACAGGATTTCATTCCTTTTTTATGAATGAATAACATTGCATCATGTATATATACCATATTTTCTTTATCCCTTAATCTACTGATGGGCACTTAGATTGATTCCATATTTTAGCTACTGTAAGTAGTACTGCAATAAACACGGGAGTGCAGATTATCTCTTCAATATATTGATTTCCTTTCTTTTAGATATATATACCTAGTAGTGGAATTGTTGGATCATATGGTAGTTCTATATTTAGTTTTTTGAGGAACCTCCAAACTGTCTTCCATGGTGGTTGTACTAATTTACATTCCCACCAACAGTACACAGGGAGTAGAGAGTAGACTGGTGGTTACCAGAGGTTAGAAAAGTAGAGGGGAGAAGGCAATGAAGAGAGGTGGATTAATGGGTATAAATAACACAGTTTGATAGAAGAAATAAGAGCTGGTGTTCAATAGAGCAGTAGGATGACTATGGTTAACATTAATATATTATACATTTCAAAATAGCTGGAACAGAATAATTAAAAAGATCCTGGTGTACAGAAAAGATAACTATTTAAGGTAATGGACATCCAAATTTCCCTGATTTGATTATATGAATGTATCATGTACCCCTAAAATATGTATGTAATGTATCAATTTTACAAAGAAAATTTTCAAACTAAAATTCCTAGATTACTCATATAAGCTAAATTTCTACTTAACTTCCTTATATTATTTTTATTTCAATTAATATTTTTTTTATAATATTCAGAATCCAATAGCAAATTTTTATCAGTTCCCTCTTAATGAATGCAAATGCCTAGCACTTCCTTGCTTCTAGGTTGATAGCACAAACAGCGACAAGGACATCTGGAGTGGATTCAGAATAGCAGCAAGATCAAATACAGGGTTGAAAATTAACTTTCCCTAAGGAAAGGATGAAGGAACTACATAATTTAATATGGTGAAGAGAAGACTTCTGGAATGAAAATATGTTCTCAGATGCTAATAAAAAAGACCCTGATTAGTTACTCTTACTTGTGAAAAGTAAATTGATTTACTTGGTACAAGAATCTTTGTTCAGAGAATATGTTTTCTTTTCAAGAAAGCAGTTTAAACATTGACACCAAAGAGTTTAGATTCCTTCCAGTTCCCTCTAGACCTATCTTTCCTCTTTTTCCAAAATAATACAAGTTTTAGATATAATATAGTATAATAATGATAAATTATTCATCTATAAAGTCTCTGGGATATTTGCAGCGTTAATTAACTCTCATGCCCTTATAAAGAATAAGCCAGCAATGGAATGTAAATTTTTGATTAACAAAAATGACCATAATAGAGGCTGGGTGCAGTGACTCAGGCACTTAGTACTTTGGGAGGCCAAGACAGGAGGATTGCTTGAGGCCAGGAGCTCGAGACTAGCCTTGGCAACATTAGCCAAGCATGGTGTTGCTCACCTGTTGTCCTAGCTACTCAGAAGGCTGAGGCAGGAGGACAGCTTGAGCCCAGGAAGTCAAGGCTCCAGTGAGCCATGACTGGGCCACTATACTGCAGCCTGGGCAACAGCGTAAGACCCTCTTTCTAAAAATGAAATTTAAAAAAATGAAAGACTATAATAGAAAAAAATTCTTAAAGCCTTAATAATTGCTGAAAAGTTACATAAGTGATCAAATCTGCACTTAAATGCCTACAAGATGATGGAAAATGAGGATAATAAAAACATACTGTCTACTGATGAGAAAAAACAAACCATGTCTTGAGTGAAAAAGAAGGCACATTAAGAACTAAATGGCTGAAAAAAAGCTATCATGATATTAATTTGCTGATAAGAACTTTCAAAGAATATTACCATTTATTCCATAGACCAAATCAGGATGATTTTTCTTCCTAAAATCAGGATGAAAATAAGAGTGAGGAAACTGAAAGATATTAGAAAGCAGTTGTACAATGAATATCCAATTCATTTCACCTTTTGAATTAAGATAATAAGAGTCTGATACCAAGTTAGTTTAACAAGAAAATATGGTATTATCCACATCTATTCAGTTTTTGAATTTTAGATATTAAGGGAGAGTTTGAATAGTAAGGGGCATCTAAAATATTAACTGAATGTTTGGTTCCTATGTTAGGAAAACTAGTTAGCATAATGAAGAATAGGAAAGGATACTGGAATGCAGACAATAGGAAACTTGGAAGGCCAGAGAAGAAGAAGATCCACTAATTTTATCACATATTATAACTCATTATATCTTCTGTGACTATAAAAATGAAAAAAAAAAAGTGAGACAAAACTGTATAGAAAAGGTTTCTCAAAATTCTACTTTTATGAACTAATTATGAGCCCTAATGCATGAAGCATCATATAGAGAGACTGAAACACTCAAATTTTCACAAAGGTGTTATGACACTAAACTTGTTGGCTTACCTCCCTGACAACTCCTTATTCAGAAATGGAATAACTTCTTAACAATAAAAACTGACTATGTCTATATAATGAGCTGCCATTAAGATCAGATTTTGAGAAAAATGATTAAATAAACCACAGCAACATTAGTAGACCAAGCATTCCACAGAAATACCATTATTTACTATATTACTGAACTATACATGTGATCTAAATCTGCTTAAAAGAATACTTACCAAATTTCACTAAATTTACTAATTTACCAAAAGATCTGATGGTATTCCCTTTAAAAACATAAAGGTACTAAATTACATATCATTTGAGGCAGAAGGAATGGCAAAAAAAGATACCAGATTAGGAGAGAGACTGTCTAGATTCAAGTTTTAGCTGTAAATCTCACTAGCAAGGTAACTAAGGACTTGGGAGTTTCAGGTTTATTATCTCTAAAGTGGAGGAAAACCTGCTTCCCACAACTCACAGGTACCTGTGAATGATATGCGTAAAATGCAAATCTAACCATGCCTTAAAATCCACTACTTTGAGGACAAAGTAAAAATGCTAAACCTGCCTATGAGGAGAGATATGGCCCCTGCCCATTCCTCTCTTTTGCTCTTTCCTGCACTTCTTCAAATACCAGACATCATATGCCTTAGGGCCTTCTCCAACATGCTTTGAAATTTTTGTTGTGTTTCCTTTCAATGTGTGTGCATGGGAAAACAGGCAAAATTTATTTTACATTTTGCCTATTTTTCTTTGCTAAAAAACTTTATGTCTCATTATGTGCCTTTATGTAAACCTATTTCAGAAAACTATAAACTATAGAAATACTTCTCTTTTAAAAATATTTTTCTCGTCAAAAAACATGTAATTATTTTTAATAGTTAAATACAAAAAAAGCATGAGTAAAAAATAAAAATCACTGCCAGAGCACATATCTTACTAATGTTAGCATTTTTCATTAAATTCCCTTTATATATAAATATACAATTTGTACATACATGTATATAAATATACATGTTTGTACATACATGTATATATACACGTTTGTACATATGTGTATATAAATATACACGTTTGTACATATGTGTATATACATGTTTGTACATATGTGTATATAAATATACACGTTTGTACATATGTGTATATAAATATACACGTTTGTACATATGTGTATATAAATATACACGTTTGTATATATGTGTATAAACACACACACACACACGAATTTTTAATGTAGTTGTAATCATACCAAATGTGTAACTTTGTAAGTTGCATTTTGTTGATGATTATATTATAAACATTATTCTAAGACATATTAGAATCTGAAAACAGAACATTTAATGGTTGCATAGTCTTTCTAGTAGACATGTTATTATTGTTCAATTATGTGGCTTTCCATTTTTTTGATTATAAGCAATCCTAGGATGAATACCTTGGGGCAAAGACTTTTTCACATTCACTTCCTGAAGTTCTGTATCACACGATGGAACTGCTTGGTTAAAGATTTTAAATACTTTAAGGTTCTTTACAGTGTGGAATTTACTCTCCAAAAGAGTGATTATATACGTGTATACTACAACAGCATTTTGTGTCCATTTAGCAACATAATCATATAAAAATCTTTTTTGCTAATTTCAAAAATGGAAAAAAGTATGTCTAACTTGAATTTGTTTTTCTTTGATAAATACTAAGGTTGTGTTTGGTGTATATTCTATTACGAAAAAACTTTTTTAAGTCTTGCTTTAAAATGGGATGTTAAAGTTATAAAACTAGAATAACTAAATATTTTAAAATACGAATGAAAAACACAAAAATCAGTGTTTTCATGACATCATACATAACTCACAAAGAATAATTTGGAAAATCTGAATAACAATTCTGAAATACAGTAAGTTACAAAAGTTTTATGACTTACTAGTTGGTGATTACTAGAACCCATCAAGGGTTTTAGTAACCCAATTGTATAACAGTTTACAATTAAAACAGCATGAGAAAAAAATCTGAAAACAAGAGTATCTGGATCAGTCATTGTATCTATTTTTGGCCAAGCAATTTCTCCATGCAATTTCTATTTTTATTAACAAACAAAAGCAGTTTCAAAAATATTATTATATATATCACAAAATACCATAAGACTTCACCTGTTTGTCCTAAGATTCTTTCAACATATATAACATTTAAATAATAATTATCATACTTTCTAGTGATTAATACATTTTTCTACATTCTGCCAGATAAACTAAATATTGATGTCATGAATTCATGGTAAACACTATAGTGTTTGCAAACTGACAAGTTTATGTCATTTTTCTAAAATTTTACCACAGAAAATATCATTTTATATTACAGGTGCTGAGTGATTTATTAGGCTGGAGCAAAAGAACTAGTGTAAACTATGATCAAGGAACATAAAAATCACTGTAATGAAATGCTTATATGTGCTTAAAAGCTTCATGTGAACTTTTTAAAGTCTCTGCATCCCAGTTTCATCATGTATTGAAAATCTATTTTACAAAATGTAAAAATAGGGAAAAACAATATTAGCACTTCCTACGCTTTCCCTCTGTCCTTGCCCAATATTCCAGCCTCTAGTATCCTTAACTGAGGGATTTCACCCAGCCTCACAGCATCAATTAATACTAGGGTATGGATAATTTCCAAAATCTATATTTAGAGCTTGATTCCTGCTCCTGAGCTTTAGATTCAGATTTCCGATTGTCTATACAGTCACACCATGATGCTGTTCTACAGACAGCTCAAACTCAGCAGATCCACAACTGAACTTGACCCTCATCCTATGAGCAGCAGTTTAGTAAATCATAATATATGTCCAACATCCGTTCAACTTAATTGTTGAATGATTCAACTTCCATTGTACCTTAATGATTCAACTTCCATTGTACCTTAAACCCCTAACTTCCTTCCATTCCTATCTTGTCAATCTTAAAGCAGTATTTCTCAAGGAGGACACTGGGAAGGATAAATCTTACCCTGGTTAGTGATAGATTCTGTGCCAGACTGCCTGGGTTCCATCCTAGCTTCAATGTTTACTAATTCTGTTACTTGGGGGAAGTATCATTCTGATTCAGTTTCCTCATGTGAAAATGAGATACAGGTGCTCCTCAACTTAAGATAATGCTACATCCCAATAAACCCACCATAAGTTGAAAATATCTTAAGTCAATTTCCATTTACATCTAACCAACCAAACATCATAGCTTAACCTAGCCTATCTTAAATGTACTCAGAATATTTACATCAGGCTACAGTTTGACAAAATTATCTAACACAAAGCTTGTTTTATACTAAAGTGCTGAATATCTCATGTAATTTATTGAATACTGTTGCTGAAGTATGGTTTCTATTGAATGCGTATAGCTTTCACACCATCATAAAGTCGAAAAATCCTAAGTCAAACCACTGCAGCCGAAGTATCTGTAATAACAGTACCCGCCATATCAGGCTGTTTTAAGAATTAAATGAGCGAACACTGATAAATTATTTAAAACAGTGCCTTGCATACACTAAGTACATAATAACTGTGAGCGGGTAGTCATGAGGAAAGCAATGGTGCAAGACCTTATCATTTGCTTGAACAACTGCAACAGTCTGGTTTTTTTGTGTGTTTTTTTTTTGTTTTGTTTTTTGAGACAAGGTATTGCTTCTTCACCCAGACTGGAACGCAGTGGTGTGACTGAGGTTCGCTGGAGCCTTGATCTCCTTGGCTCAAGTGATCCTCCCATATCAGCCTCCTGAGTAGCTGGGACCTATATCCTGTGGCATTTTTCTTACTCCAATTATCCAGGCCATAATAAACATACATAATAGCGGAAGGAGAAGATAGGACTGATGATGGAAATGGCAATTAAAAATACATGGTGCTATTTTCCCAACAAGAAAATGCATGGGAAACTACACATGGAAAACATACCAACAAACTTATGAAAAATCCTTATGAAATTTTCTAACTCTTGGTTTAGGATATTTATCTTCTAAAATATTTTTTATTCCCACTTTTATAATGTCAAAAACATCTTATAATTCCCACAAGAATTATTCCTGAATTTAAAAATATCATATATAAAACAACTATACATTTAAAAATCACTATACTATTCATGACATTACCAAAAAAATATATAAAATTCCTGAATTTCAAACTTGGGGAAAAGGATTTGATTATTTTCTTCCCCTCTTTTCAGATACTTGTGACTGGTGTGACAAACTGAGGACTTTCAGAGATATCATCTTTGGAGATGATGAGATTTGCTTGTGGTAAAAAGTATAAACAAAGAAATGGCTGGAAGCCAGCCAGGAGGAATGCCAAAGAAACTCCTAAATGATCAGACCACAGAGCTAGTAACATAATTAAAACCACTAGGCCACGGAAGGTATTTTACATTTAAACAAGGAACTTTAGAACAGATGGGGTCCATAAGAGATCAGGGGGAAAAGCTACCCAACTCCAGAATCACTGCATAGGTAACAGTGTTAGCTCAGGGCACAGCTGGATACTCACATGCAGCCACAGAGATCAAGAAAAAAAAGAAAAGAAAAAAAGGTAGAAGAGTTCATTTAGGTTGATATGAGGAAAAAATTATCCTTTGTTTTCACATTACAAAAGTGGGTTTTGAGTCATTAAAATATTTTAATAAAATGTTTAAAATATTCATTAAATTCTATAAGCCCATTATTTCTAGAGGGCTATAATATTTTATTATTACATTTGCATCTACTGTCCCTTAGCTAAAATACATTTTCTTTAATATATTTAACATGAAAAATGTAAGGCAAAAATAAACTATTAAGTTTCTTCTATTTGGCTTCAAAATAAGAAGTCATCATAAAGAAATATTAAAATATAAGTATACAACGATGTTTCATTGGAAATGCAGATCTCCCCACTCACTCCCTGCAAAATTCCCTTCCAAGGACAATGCAAAGCCAATATTGGAAAGCACTTTCTATTAGCTCTCAACACCTGGCTTTCTCTCCCCTTGCCTCAATTCCTTACTCCCTTCTCTCCCTCCCTCAGTGGCGTGCTGAGGGCTGCTCACACCAGCTCCCGAGAGCAGATGGTGTACAACTCTTCCCTTTCTCTAGTCGCATCATCCTTGGTAGCTTGAGATTGATCATAGTGAGCGTATTTATACCAATGAAATTGGCAAAGGCTATTAATGGGAGTCTTTCCCTCTCTCAGAGAGCTGAGTCTCTTGTTAGCACATCACTGCCATACTTTCCCACCTTAAGTCCACATTCTTAGCTGTCTCAGACCCACTGCAGCCCATAGCAATTAGTGTCAAGTTAATGAAAGCTAGTATATTGGCTGTTACTACCTCAGAAGTGCGTTGAGCTGAAGACTTCTTGCGTCTCCATCTCAGCTGCTCTCTGAGGTATCAACAAATCAAAAGTTCTCTTTCCAACACTGCCTTCACTGAAGTTGTCTTATTTAACTTCCTATAAATTTGCATCCCTCATCTGTGGGTTTGGTGCTCCTCAACTGTTCTTACAAAAACAGTCACTCATAATACATTGAATTATCCCTTATCATGCTGTATCATTTGCTATACTGTCTATATGTTCCCATTAGACTTTGTGTCCAACAAGGGCAGGCACTACGTCTATCTTTTCCAACATCAGTATAGTGCCTGGGACACAGTAGGAAAACAATAAATACTGGTTAAGTAAATCAATGAAGCATTGTAAGATAATTACTCTGCAATGGCTGAAATGATGACAAATGTAAACTATTAATTTCTGTTGAGAGTTAAATTGTGTCCCCCAAAAAGGTCCTAACCCCTGGTATCTGGGAATGTGACCTGATTTTGAAATAGTGTCTTTGTAGACATCATCAAGCTAAAGCACATTAATACTAAATTAGGGTGAACCTTAAATCTAGTGACTGGTGTCCTTGAGAGGGAGATCTGGAGACAGAGACACAAGGAAGAAGACCACTGATGACAGAGATAGAGAGTAGAATGATAAAGCTACAAGCCAAGGAAACCGAGGATTGCTTGCAGCCCCCAGAAGCTAGGTAGAGGCAAGGGAAGATTCTACTCTAAGCCTTTGGAGGGAGCATGGTTCTGGTGACACCTTGCTTTTGGACTCCTAGCCTTAATTTTGGACTTTAGTCTCTAGAACTGTGAAAGAATGTATTTCTGTTATGCTAAGCCATGTAGGTTGTGGTAGTTTGTTATGGCAACCCTAGAAAACTAATATATCTTCCTATCAACTGCCCAAATTCAGATTGCCCACAAGGAAAAGTGATGGTTTTACTATTTGTTGTTCATTTTCCCTTTAATCTATGCATAGTTACAGATATGGATAAACTAATGAAGTATTAACTTAAAAAGCAACATGTTTGAAATACAACATTCTACATAGTAATTTGTGAGGAAAAATTTCCTTTATTGACTAAATTGTTTTTATTGAAAATATCAAGTTTTAAAGAATCTATAAACATGTCATGTTTAAGTTAAAAAAAAAGAGAGAAATGAGTTGTCTTAATCTGTGCACATTACTTTGCTGTAATTGTTACTATTCATTTTTTTAATGGTTACTTAATACTATAGAATAAGGTAAACCACATTTTAGGATTACCAAGAATTTTATCAATTATTCAGGGTCAGCTAGTGTTTAGAGGACAAGATCTCCTAAAATGCTGCCCTTTCTTACTCTGATTTTTGTTACAAATTTTTTTTGCTTTCATCTACACATGACCTAATATTTTAGTAATACTTGTCTATTCCTTTTTAGAATGTCTATTTAAAGGGAAAAATATTTTAAGAGTATAAAGACAGAGAAAGCAGGATAAAAAGTTATTTCTAGAATAATTTTCATTCCTTTAGCATGACCAATGATATAGAATCGTATCACCCTTCATGTCATAAGTGAATAAATGAATAATATTTTTCTATGTAGGTATGTGATGCACAGAAGTTTTTTTTAAAGATAAATTTCAGTTTTGAAGCAGAAAATTATGTTTCTTACAAATAATTAGTAAATCAGATAGGTAAACTGGTAGAAAGGTTCACATACAAGCTAGTATTTAAGTTGGGTCTAAGGGAAGGGCCTTTATCAGCTAAAAGAAACAAATTTTATAAGAGAAACCAAATACTGTTGCCATTTTAGTAGAAAATACAGTTTTTTGTTAAAATTTCTTTGTTTATCAAATTTATATAATAATTTTCAAATAAAAAAGTAACAAATATTTTTGCTTCTATTGGCAAGGTATATATCCCCTTCCCAATTCCGTATTCTTCCCCCTAAGATATCTCTGAAGAGATCTTTTTTGCTTTCTTCTTATTCTGTGGCATTTTTTCTTTTAAATTATTTCTTGTCTTACTCCAGCCTCTAAAGTATACAATTTTAAACATAAAGTGTTTTTCCTCCTTTTACAGATGGGTGATCCTTTTATGCCTCTCCTGGTCATGTAGCTCCACCTGCTGGTCATCCTTCAGCATACCATCACCAGGGTCTGCCAGACCCAATTTTAGCTTCAGGTGTTTGTTTTTTAGCAGTTCTCTTTATCAGAATGGATGTTTTATGACTTTTATTCTTTTTAGAGGTCTTTAAAATATCAAAGAGAAAATTTATTTATTTTTGCAAAAAAATAGGATATGCAATTACCACATGGCCCTGTTAGACCCTTTTACAAGCCTAAGATAAAGAATCTTGGCAATTTTATTTTTCCTACGTCCTGAAACATTTGCTATTTCATTACCCTAGGAATTATTTTATTATTCACCAATTACTCATAACTATGCTAGAAAAGACTGAACAAGATAATGGAAAAATGGTGAAGATACCATTAAACTAAAATCTAATAATGCTGGTGAAATTAATCATGTCACGAAAATTTTGATACTATGAATTTTCAGATGCCAATGTCCTAGATGAATTTTCTCAAGTTAAGAACAGACAAGTGAACAATATATTTCTAAGAACAAAAAAAAATGATGCTTATACAAAAGGAAAGACTTTATTACACAATAGTTTGTGAAAAGAACCTGGGTTATCTTTTTTGCTAAAAGCATGTGTGACAACAGTACTCTTTGATCTTTTATGTTTATAGGCCCACATTTACTTGATATAGTTTCTAAGAAGACATGCTGACATTATGTGCATATATAAAAGTGATTAAAAAGAAATATATGATGTTAATGTGAAAAAAACCCACTGGACTAAAGAAATAAAGGGTCGATGGTACTCAGTAAATGGTGATAACTGTTTTTTCTGATAACACCAAACATTAAAGACTTGTAATGCAGAGCTAACATTTAGTCAATGCCCTTAAATATTCTATTTCAAAATACCTCAAGGGGGAATGAAATTTTTAATGAGTGAAACTAAATACTCTTAAAAATAATTTAACAAATAATTTCTGTGGTTCACATCTCCCTAAATGATTAAAAAATAATTTTCAATTTAGTATTCCACCTGGTTCTGGTATATTTTCCAATTTTATGTAACTGATATAATTAATAAATTCTGATTACAGTCAGGCACAGTAGCTCACACCTGCAATCCCAGCACTTTGGGAGGCCAAGGCAGGCAGACCGCTTGAGCCCAGGAGTTCAAGATAAGCTTGGGCAACATAGGGAGATCCCATCTCTATTAAAAAAAAATGATAAAATAAAATTCTGATTATGATGCTAGCTAATATCTTTTCCATATGACTGTTAAATTTTATATTTTATAGACCTCACACTTTTACTTATTTTTAAATATTCAGTTCTTTAATCAATGTAGAATTTAGTTTTGTGAATGAAATGAGGTTACAAGAGCTAGCCTTATTTTTTCCAAATGGTCAATTTTCTTAGTACAAATCTTTCTCCTACTGATTTGAAACACTACCTTCAGTCAAAACCAAATCCCATATACAGATTGTCCCAAACTTATGAGAGTTTGACTTAGGATTTTTCAGCTAACATGGAAGTGATATGCATTCAGTAGAAAGCATACTTTGAGTACCCACACAATCATTTTGTTCTTCACTTTCAATGCAGTATTCAATAAATTACATGAGATATTCAATACTTTATTATACAGTCGGCTTTATGTTAGATGATTCTGACCAACTGTAGGCTAATGTTAAGTGTTCTCAGCACATTAAAGGTAGGCTAGACTAAGCTATGATGTTCAGTAGGTTAGGTGTATTAAATCCATTTTGCACTTACATTATTTGCAACTTAGGGATGTAACCCCATCATAAGTCAAGGTGCACGTTGTAGACAAGTGAATCTTATCTCTTTATGTACTCACGAATCAGTTCCACTAAATCTATATGTTTGGCCTGCATCAATACTACATTTTTTAGAGTTATAATAGCTTTAGAATGTGTTCTGTTATCTAGCAGAGCAAATCTCTTATCTTGTTCTTCTTTCTCAAAACTAATTAAGCTATTCTTGAGAATTTATTTTTGATATAAATTTTAAAATTATGTTTTTGAGTTATACAAAAATCCTTTTGTTATAATACCATATTCAGTAAGTAATTTGGAGAGGACCGACATTTTTACAGTATTGAACAGTATTATCCAACATTTGTTTGTTTATATTGCCTGTTATGTCCTTAATAAAATTTGACAGTTTTCTTTACAATATACATTTCTCATTATTTTATTGCTGGGTATTTTATTTCTATTATGAATAGTATCCTTTTCCAATTACATATTCTACTGAATTTGTGCCAATGATTAGAATATCTATTTATTTTGATAAACATACTTTTAAAAATAAGTTTTATCAAAGCAATATATGCACATATTTTTTAAAAATCAAACACTACACAAGGGCATAATAACTCTTTTTCATTTCTCAGTTCACCAACCCAGACCAAAAACTTTTACATGTGTTTGTTTTTAGTTATTCCGGTACTTGCCTACATTTTTAAAAAACATGTTCTTCTTACTTTTTCTTGACTTGATGACTGGGGGTACTTTTTGTTGACCCCTTGTTGTCTCTGGCTTTCCTCCCCACTCAATTTGGCTATATCACATTTTTACCTCCTCTTTTGGTGACCTTGGTTACTTTCATAATCTAATACCTAAGGCTGGGCGTGGTGGCTCATGCCTGTAATCCCAGCACTTTGGGAGGCCGAGGTGGGTGGATCACGAGGTCAGGAGTTCGAGACCAGCCTAGCCAACATGGTGAAACCCCATCTCTACTAAAAACACAAAAATTAGCTGGGCGTGGTGGCGTGCTTGTAAGCCCAGCTACTCAGGAGACTGAGGCAGGAGAATTGCTTGAACCCAGGAGGCAGAGGTTGCAGTGAGCCAAGATTGCGCCACTGCACTCCAGCCTGAGCAACAGAACGAGAGTCAGTCTCAAACAAAACAAAACAAAACAAAAACTAATACCTAAACCTCTGACGAATTCAACTAAAGATAAAATTCTCCATATTCTATTTCATGAAGACAATAGCACCGCTACTATTCCATGTACATTTCCTTCCCTCTCTGCCTTCCAACCTGTTAACTGCACTTGTACATTTTCAAGGCTGCTAACATTTGCATTCTATTCTGTAATCATAATTCATTCTTCCCTGCTTTGTCCAAGGATTGACTCTAAAAGCTGAAAACCAATACTTATATCACATGACTATTTAAATACTGTCCACTGAAAAACAAAGTTTTATGCTACAATTAGATTTTCTCATCTATTTCTTTAAAGCCTTGATCCACATGACAATGTTCAAATGAATTCCCTTTCTCACACTCCTAGCAACTGTTCAAAATCATGCCACATCTGAGGGTGCTTTATATTTGAAGCATGCTTTCTTGTAAAGTTTGAAATGTTTCTTTCTCCCTTAAGTTTCTGATTGTCATTGTTTTTTTTGATGGGCGGGCGGATGAAGAAATGTATGCTTTCTATGTATACATCATGTCCTTAATTTCCTCCAGCTTCTTACTCAATCCATCTACTACTTAAAATTCATTTCATTTAGTTTGAGGTCCACTCACTTCCTATTCTAATTTGGAGGATCTGCCTCTCATTTGGACCATTCTTATACAACTTATCTTTAAGTTTTTTGTTGCATTCTTATGAAATATTTATTTTCTTATTAAATGTAGAAGTTATTTTTAATGCATCTAGTACCTTTCTACATTTTGCAAAGTTAATGCTGCTTTTGTTTTATGGATGCAATAGTTTCTTAAATATTTCTGAGAATTTTAATGTTTTTAGGTTTGGTTCTGTTCCTTGAATTTCATATGACCTCAAGAGTCCATTTCTCATGTTATCTTAGATTTTTTTGACCATATTGCAGGCTTTTAGCAAGTGGTGATTTTTAGCCAGACAGGTCTACAGGCAGGGCTGGTCACTATGCTCTAGAGTGGGTGAACCAGTACATGGGAATCAGCCATCCCGCCAGACCCCCAGAGGACACAGTGGCTTTGAATATGTATGTGCAGGCAGACACTGAACATCAAAATAGGGGAAGTCTATGATCAGTTACCATGCCACGTGGAAAAAGGGGTAGCAGTGTGCACCTGAACCCTTGACGAAGAGTCCTTCCCTAACTAGCCTTTCTTTCTTTTCTTTTGTTTTTTCTTTGTCTTTTTTTTTTTTTTTTTTTTTTCAGACAGGGTCTCACTCTGTTGCTCAGGCTGGAGTGCAGTGGTGGGATCTTGGCTCACTGCTGCAACCTCTGCCTCTCTGGTTCAAGTGATTCTCATGCCTCAGCCTCCCGAGTAGCTGGGATTACAAGCAGGTGCCACCATGCCTGGCTCATTTTTATATTTTTTGGTAGAGACAGGGTTTCACCACACTGGCCAGGCTCCTAACCAGCCTTTCTAAAGTGGCTGGTCTAAAGTAACCCTCACTTATTCTCACTCTCAACAGCCGGTGTATTTTCTTCATAAAAGGAATTGATAATGTATTCCTTATTCACTTCTTCATTTGGTTATAGTTTGCCTGTGACACTACTGTACAAATAAACTCTATGAATGCAAAGCCTTTGTCTATCCTGTTCACTGCTATATCCGCAAAACACATACTAGTCAATCAATATTTCTTGAAAAACATATGAACATTTATATATTCCTCAGAACCAATTCCATTAACAAATCTCAATTCTACTATACTACAATAAAAGAAAATTAGAATTAGCATAAGAGATGTAAATAACATAATATCCTAATGATATATTTAGGGTAATCAATTTTATATGATTATAACTTGCAAAATCCTAATTTCATTTTATTTTTACTCTCCTATACACATATATATACACACATAAAAACTCAAGTATACAACCACAGTATTCAGAGGGTAATGTAATATTTATGCCTTTCTTTTATTTTTGAGATGGAGTCTCGCTCTGTTGCCCAGGCTGGAGTGCAGTAGTGCGATCTCAGCTCACTGCAACCTCTGCCTCCCGGGTTCAAGCGATTCTCCTGCCTCAGCCTCCCAAGTAGCTGGGACTACAGGTGCCCGCCACCATGCCCAGCTAATTTTTGTATTTTTAGTAGAGACGGGGTTTCACCATATTGGCCAGGCTGGTCTCAAACTCCTGACCTTGTGATCCGCCTGCCTCGGCCTCCCAAAGTGCTGGGATTATAGGAGTGAGCCACCGTGCCCGGCCGCCTTTCTAATTTATGAATATCACACTAGTGCAACAGAAGTTGTCAAAAATAACTCCAATGAAGTCATTCAATCACATCCTTAAGATTCATAGATAAAACAATTTCTATTTAATTGGTCAATAGCAAAATCCTTGCTAATTGAATGTGAACCTCAAAGATGCAAGCCCACATATGCAGTCAGTAGTGCAGAGCCAGGTCTGTGATCTAGATCTTCCCTTTCCTGATGCAAGGAAAACACATCTTCCTGGACCTGGGACAGCAAAATCTGCTGCTCACCAAAGTCAGCTCTCTTCTTTGCCTACTGTGATGGTTAATATTGAGTGTCAACTTGATTGAAGGATGTAAAGTATTGTTCCTGGGTATGTCTGTGACATTGTTGCCAAAGGAGATTAACCTTTGAGTCAGTGGAGTGGGAGAAGCAGACCCACCCTCAAGTGGGCATCATCTAATCAGCTGCCAGCACAGCTAGAATAAAGCAGGCAGAAGAATGTGGAATGAGCAGACTTGCTGAGTTTTCCAGCCTCATATTTCTCCTGCGCTGGATGCTGCTTGCACTTGAACATCAGACTCCGAATTCTTCAGCTTTTAGACTCTTGGACTTACACCAGTGGTTTGCTAGGGGCTCTCGGGCCTTTGGCCACAGACTGAAGGCTATACTGTCAGCTTCCCTACTTTTGAGGTTTTGGGACTCAGACTGGCTTCTTTACTCCTCATATTGCAGACGGTCTATTCTGGGACGTCACCTTGTGATTATGTGAGTCAATACTCCTTAATAAACTCCCCTTCACATATACATCTATCCTATTAGTTCTGTCCCTCTAGAGAACCCTAATACACCCACCCAGTAGAAGCTGATGTCTCCCAGAATTCTAGAGCCTCCTACATGTGTAGCAATTCTCCTGCCTCAGCCACCCGAGTAGCTGGGACTATAGGCATGCACCACTATGCCCGGCTAATTTTTGCATTTTTACTAGAGACGGGGTTTCACCATGTTGCCCAGGCTGGTCTCGAACTCCTGAGCTCAAGAGATCTGCCTGCCTCAGCCTCCCAAAGTGCTGGGATTACAGGAATGAGCCACTGCGCCCAGCCTATCTTTATTCTCACGGCTTCAAAATCTTCACAAGCAACATACATCTTCTGAGACCCAAGCCCCTCTTTCTAATTAATTAACTGATATCTTCAAATGTAAGTTGAACTTAGTAACATTCATCTTTGTCTCCTGAACTAGTTCTTCTTTCAAAAAGCCATATGGTACCAGCATCTTCCTAATCAACCAAGCCAAGTGCCAGGAAGTCACACTCGTTCCTGCCCCCACACCTTCCTAGCCAACCAGTCAAGCCCTGTGGAGTTCACCTGCTTAATATTTCTCATGTATCTCTCCATTCCCTCATCCCTCTTCCAGCCATTCAAAGTTATCTAGCACCTGGCTCATTATTTAACAACAGCAATAGAAGAGGATTTCAATTTGGAGTTTACACTAATGTATATAAAATGGCAAACTGTATAAGTAAACTAATCCTATCACTCAGTGAAAAATTGCAAACTCAGTGGAAAATTCTTTCCTTCAAGTTAATAAAAAAATGTAAGGGACTTACTTAAATGGTGTAAACAAAAATGGTAAAGTAACTTCTTTCTTCTGAGTCATTTTCACCTGGGAACCAAGTATGAAAATATTACAAATGAGAAAAATAATGAATTCCATTTTGAAATATAAACATCCATTAAAATGATTCTTTAGGGATGGTTAACCACTTTGAAAATAAATGGAATTTTATGTTACTATATTGTTTCATAAATATTTAAAGAAAAATTTAACATTTTCTTACTATCTCAATAAGCTGAGAATTAAACATATCAATCTTGCAAAGTAACATACTGTAATTAAAACTGTACTTCCTTAACTCTGAAAATAAAACAAGCCAAACCGCTTATTCTTAAAAGCATTAAGAATAACAGAAGGTTTTAGTCAAAGGGTCACCTCTTTAAATTCTTAAGGAATCTCATAACATACATGGAATGACAAGAAATGTTGCAATCTCTAATATGATTTCTATGGGGCAAATTCTAATAGTTAAAGAATTGACTTGTAGTCTTTGTAAGCATATGTGGTAATCTTACATGCAGTCATACTCCTCAAACACAATTTTATGTCCTCAGACTGAGCCATAGAACCTACCCTTCAGAAATGTGAAACACAAGTCAAATACATAAAATTTAAAGGTAAATTACAGGGAAATAGTTAAAAACAAAATCAAATATTTTCCCTAAATATATTCAATATTTAAATTGTAGTATTGTCCATTTTTGTGCGTGCCTTTTTGAATTTTTTTTTTACCTTGAACTGTTCAAGAATCTGTACTGCATTTGTAAACATGCTCTCTGCTTTGAAGAGATCAGTGTTGTTAAGATAATCCACAGGAAGGATTCCCTGAAAATAACAAACACCAGCTTATTGATAGTATTCAGACAGCTCAGGCTATCCTTATAAAACAAAACAGACTTAAAAGCAATAAAGATAAGGCATATGGACAAATAAATAATTGAAATAGTTAAATGAAAAATCTTTTTAAAACTATAACTGAAAGATGTTCTATTATTTTTCTCACAAAGTAGATGTATTAAGGTAAGCAAAGCAAGAGATGAATTAAATTCAGTAACACCTGGCATTGGCTGAGAGATAACTACGTGCTAGGTAGTGAACTGAGTGCTTCACGCACAAAAAACAATTACAATGGTAGGCCACAGCCAGCATACTTAAAATAAAAGACTTCAGACATATCAGAGTGTACTGTACATAATAAGAGTAAGGACTATTCTGTTAAACTTTTGTTTCATTATACATATACACAAACACTATGACTGTCGGGGTCATATTACTTAGCATTCTGGGTTAAATAACATTATTTTTTAAGAGTACATTTGATTTCGAAGAGCTAATAAGAGTGGCTGGTTGAAATAGTTATTTTTTGGCATTTCAGTATCCAGGGCCCATTCTTAACAGCATTACTATTTTCTGTTGAGAAATCTTGCCCATTATATACAGCATGTTAGGTTTATAATCCAGGGACCTGCTGATTACAACCCAGGCTAGACCATCTGGAATTTGACTCCTGATAGTCAAGGGATAGAAACTAAGGTATAATGCTACTCTACCCTCATGTCAGTGCCCTGAGAACAGCTCTGCCATGGGATCATGGCTGTGGTTCCTTCTTCCAAGTCTCCAGATATCCTGGTTCCAGGTTATTACAAGGCTGGTTTTCAAGCACCACTTTGTTTCAGCAAATCACCAATATCTTTTCAATAATTTCCCTTTAAACGAAGTCAGTTTTTGCTGCTTGTAATAAAAAAATTACTTATACATTTCTATCAATTATAACCAGAATACAAAGATATAAATCATACACATTTTAGAAAATTAAAATATTTAAAGAAAAGCTATTTGGCTCATGTTCCATGTTATAGAATATAATACACAAGCAATCATGAGGTATTGCATATTTAGAAATAAATATACAGGAATATATAGTTTTAAATGTAATCAAAGATTATATAAGCTGGAAGCAGTGGTGCATGCCTGTAATCCCAGACACTTGGGAGGCTGAGATGGGAGGACTGCTTGAGCCCAGAAGTTCAAGACCAGCCTGGGCAACATAGCAAGACCCCATCTAAAAAAAAAACCCAGATTATTCAGAAACACATAAAAAAGAGTACATTTTACTGTGCGATAGTTTTTTTTTATACTGAGAGTTGATAATAAAATTTTATTCCTTACCACTGAGTTAAGAGGAAAGGGAACTCCAATAAGGGAAGTCATCAATGGTGCAATATCAGCCTACAAATAAAAAAGCTCAATTCTAAGAAGTCTATGGACATCAACAAAGAAATTAAATAATGTAATGCAACCATATTTTGGAAAATAACCATGATATTTGTTATAATCAGTTACCTTCAAACATGTATTTAATAAAAAAGATATTAATCTCTAAAAGTGTCATTTGCTAGATGTATATGAACCTATAAAAAAAATTTTGAAAAGAAACCACTAAAGGCCCTAAATGTAAAACATACTAAAACAAAAAATTACTTATCCTATTAGCTAAGAATTTGACCATTTTATGTAACAGTTTTTCAGTATTATACAAAGGATGCCTTATTTAGACATAAAATGAATATCAAGAGTAGACTTTAACTGGAGAAATGTATATATTAAGTAGAAAAACAAAGTATCAGAAGGAGGTTTGACCAGCCAGTGATGTCCAGAAAAGACATAAACCAGAGAAGAGGCTCTTTAGTCAAAAGATCCCAAATACCATTTTGGATATCTCCTCTTTAAGTTCAATTTCTCGGAAGAGTTGTTCATGCTTTTTCTATCTTCGCTTCCTCACCTTCCCATCACTCTTCTGCCCACTGTGACTCACTATGACCCTTTATCATTCCAAAGACTGCTCTCTCTAAGAGAGCTAACAACCCCATTTTCTAAATCTAATTGACTATGTTTATGTAAGTCCTTATAATTTTTCAGGCAATAAAGTACTCGGAATTGAGAATGCCCAGTTTCAAATTCTCAGGTAGGTTTTTTAACCCTCCAGTTGCTTGATTCCTTTATCAGTTAAAAAAATAAATGCAAGTTTTTCCCTTACAGAGGTGTGACAGGATTAAATGAGATAAAACTTATAAAGTACCTGGCACATAATAAGCCTGTGATAATGGTAGCTACAATTGTTGCTGGCATTACTAGGCCTTTCAGCAGTATGGCATAGGCCACTCCTTTCTTGGCCTCAACACCACACAGCTGAGTTTCTTCTATCTCACTGGCTCCTCCTTTTCAGATACGTTCGCTAGTCCCTCATTTAAAGTTGGAATTCATCAAGTTTGTTCCCAGGCTCTCAGTCTTTCTCACTTTCTACTATTTAGATTGTCATTACCAGGTACCATCCTCCAGAAAACTGGAAATCTCCAAAGTCTTCCTAGTCACCTTTTCCTTTTCCCTCAGAATCCACTGTCGGCCACCTCTAATCTCTTCTCCATGCTGCAGCCAGGGGTATTCTTTCACACACAAAAAACCACATCGTGTCACTCTCTAGGCTTCAAACTCTTCAAGGATTCTTTGAACTTTCAGAATTAAGTTCACAAGGCCCATGAGACCCTGAAGGGGCTGCGCCTCCCTTCTTCTGCCTCACACCACCCCATGGTTTCTATTGCTATATAACAGCTTTCTTCAAGACCCTTTAATACACCATGTACCCTCTCACCAGAACTTAGTGTACACATTTCCTCTGCCTGAAAAGCCCTCCTCCTACTGCCTTGGCCTGCTAATTCCTGCTTATTCATCAATCTCAGCTCATTCCTCGACTTCTCAGGAAGCCTTTGCTGACTACAGTCTATCATATACATCCACTCTACAGTCTCACAGCTGCACAAATCTCTGTTGCAGTACTTACCACAGCTATAAGTTTACATGTATTTGTACAACAGACTGATGAGTATCTGTTCTTACCCCTAAGGTATACATTTCCCAGGACAGGGATTATGTCTGCCTTAACTCACCACTAAATACTTAGACTTAGCACAAAGTTGAAACACACCACAGACACATCACAGTGTTAGTAGAAGGAATGAATAGACAAAGAGATTCTCATTTGATGGAGATTTGAAGCAGGAGTGTTTGCCAACAGACTGACAATTCAGAGAGCAATAACTGAATCTATGTTCAATTGCTGATTATGATCTGGTCTGGCTATGAATAAGGGATGTTCTTGTTTTGTGATCTTCAAGTCATTCCCGTCTTTTTGACAGTGATTTTTAATGGCAAATTAATAAACTGCTATTCTGACTTTATATGTTCATGTTCATTTACTTGGGTAGTATGCATCTATCCCAGGAGAAGACTATTCTTATTTTGCTGGGAAGAAACAAGTTTCTACAACCACAGGCCTGAAAATGAGACCCTAGACCTTGGTTTGTCCACCACAGTAAGTAATCTCAGCTTGTGTGGTGACCTGGAAGGCAAGATACTCCTGCCACTTTGGAAGCCATATCCCAATGATGCTATACCTTCTACAAATAGTGAAGATGGCTATTAAGGTAGCATGTTTTTAACAATGAAAATTCTGTGCTTCATATTTACAGACAATGCTACTGATCTAACTTTATCAGATTGGCTATACATTTTCCTCTAACAGAAGGTTTCTAGCTGAGTAATTTATAATCTCATCATTTTTTTCCCCATTGCATTTGTAAGGTTGCTGGTTAGAAGTAAAGGTAAAATATGTGTTAACAAAAAGAAAAGGTAACTGACATACTATAGGAAACAAACCCATAACAGGAATTTTAATAGATCTGTGCTTAAATTAAGCAATACAACCATGAAAAGCAATCACAGAAATTTAAGAGGCATGCAAATTTCAATTTACATAACAAATAATTATCCAATGTTATTTGGAAGAAGTCTTTTAT
Source organism: Homo sapiens (assembly GCF_000001405.40). Classification (NCBI taxonomy): domain Eukaryota; kingdom Metazoa; phylum Chordata; class Mammalia; order Primates; family Hominidae; genus Homo; species Homo sapiens. The sequence continues at coordinate 62,143,104 of NC_000018.10, forward strand.
TTTCACTTCAAGTTTTGTTTGTTTTGCCACAAGAGAGATTAGCTGGGCTAAAATATTTGCACTAAAAGAATTCCCCTTAGTAACTGAAATGTTTTGAAAAAGACTTTGTCAATATTAATATTATCTCTTTTTCATAGTTTTTGTCTAACCTTCTTATAGAAGATAAAATTAAATTTGAATGTAATAAAATCGAACTGGATACCTGATTGACATCTAGCCTCTTCCAATTCTCCAATCTCCACTCTGAAAGATACAATCAGACACAAGATCTGATGTTAAGATTTAAAAAAGAATAAATCATTTGATTTTTAGGAGTGGCCAATACTTATGGAAAACATAGGTGTTAGAAATGTCTATTTTAAGCCAAGTATGAATAAAAATCATGCTTAAAGGCAAAGGTGTATTTTTTTAAAGAATTTAAAAAAAACAAAAAGTAAATATTTGGTGTTTCCTGTGATGATTTATTAAGCTTCTTAAATGTTTACTGGGAGATAATTGTTTCAAAACATCAGAGGCTGAGGAAGGAAAGATGGAAGTGAAAAAGCACAATGGTAACAACTGTCAGCATTGACAACTCATTACAATCCTGTTCTAGAGAGTTATTAAGGCAATTCATAGGAAGTTAATTAATTCAAGCTTCTCTTTTTCTCTGTGATGGCAGTTCCTCCCAAAACACCTAAAACTGTAGTTGTGATGTTCCTGTAGTCACTAATCACAAATGTTAACATAGTATATTGAGTTATTATTAAAATTGTCTTCAAAGATAGGCTCATTCTTCCATTTTTCTACACATAAATTCAGAAATTGCATTAAACGGAAATCTAAACAAGTGATTATGAGAGACCGTCTTGATTTAATGGCTTTAGGATACACTGCCAAAAGAGTTATAAGATATTTGTATAATAAAATTTCATTCAATAAGCTAATTAAAGTTTAAAAATACGTTTCTGACTCTACCAAAAATTCACACTAATCAGTTGATGAAAAAATGCCCATTCCTTTTCTCTAAAATGTATGATATTTAATATTCATATGAGAAAAAATACATTTCTGATGATTCTTGAAATCATGTGATTCTAAAACGTCAATTCAACATGAAATCAAATGCCAAAATAAAGTTAAATCTCATAAATACAAACATACTATTTACCCTACTTTCTATTTTGATCCAATCTAATCCATTTACCACAGAGCAGTCAGAAAGGTAGCTCCTATGGCAAACTGGAATGTTGGCAATGCTCTAACAGGCTTTAATGATAGAGCACTGCACTCGGAACATACTTCATGCTCTCCTTACCCAGGATTTGGTGCCTCAAATGATCTACCTCTTGTTTACCTCTCCAACTCTCAACTCATTGTACTCTGCTCCCAGCTGACAGTGCTCAGCCACATCAGCCTTCCAATTCTGTTCCTCAAACAAGCTACGCTCTTTCTATTTTTAGCCTCTTCATTTGCTATTCCCTCTGCCTGGAACACTCCTGCCCTAACCTTCATATGAATGGCTCCCTCTTATCCTAACTGTGAAAAGATGTTCTATTAGCCCACTCTATAAAATGTATCCTGCTCCATAAGGGAAACTTCTAGGGTATAAATGTATGGTGAATCTGGATGGAGACTACATGGTATATATATGCAGGTAAAATTCATAAAGCTATACATTTAAAACCAATGCATTTTGCCTCCTTTGCCAAATATCTTAATAAAAATGTGGCAGACTGAGTCAGGCATGGTACACACCTGTGGTTCCAGCGACTTGGGAGGCTGGGGCAGGAAGATTGCTTGAGCCCAGGAGTTCCAGGCTGTAGTGAGCTACGACTGGCCTGTGAACCTGTGAACAGCTACTACATTCCAGCCCATTCCATTCCTTTAGAGACACGGCAAGAACCTGTCTCTAAGGAAACTGGCGGGGGGGGGGGGGCAGGGTGGAGAAAGGAGCCCAGTCCTACCTCCTCTTTTATCATATCACCCTAATTTTCTTCATAAAATTATCATAATGTGTAAGTTTTGTTTATAGTTGCTTTAATTCTCCTACTAGAATGTTAAGTTCTGAGAAAGCAGGGGCTATCTCAAAGATATGTAGTAGATGAAAAAAAGAGTCCACTAGCTTCTTTTTCTTTCATGCTTAAATAAATCTGGAAATAATCATGGCAGTGTACTGGTTACACTGTTCTGGCCTTTTGTCAATGTCTCCCCTGTGGACCTATGATGTGGCATGATGCTCTCCATTAGCACTTACAAATATATAAGAAATCGCCCTCTGAAAAATGCACCATTACTTACTGAAGACATGCTGTTGAGTGCATTATTCACTGTGCTCTTCTGTCTTCATTAGGGCCTGGGGTTGAAATAGCTCAGTACTACCTCTTGCTTTTTATCTAATAGAAATATCTTGTAGGTAGGGTGATTTTATAACTGACAGCATGTACTTTGTTTGGGTTGAAAAATCTCAAAAACTGATTATTTACCTCTATGAAACCTTAAATTTCCTCTTTTTTAATTTTTATTTACTCTACCTCACATTCAAATTAATAAATTAATAAAAGAACATCAAAAGTTCAGTTTATCAGTTTAGACATTCAGAAAGTCTAGTTATTAGCAGTGGTGTGCTGGGAAGGGTTCAACAAATGGCTCTGTGAGAAGAGAGAAGCCAACAACCCCTTGTAGTGTTTGTATAGAAATAGTAATGGCACAAATGTCAAAATGAGGGATTTACAACTAAAATTTGAAGAGTGATTTCTTAAAAATTTAAACTTTGTTCTTATTTTAAGAGGTTGTATTTATAAACCAGTAAAGAAATGCTTGTACCTTTCAAAAATGCATCATCAAATTGCTGAGCTGATACTCTTTGGGGATACTTGATTCCAGCTCCCCAAGTGACTAAAGGAGTTAAAGTCTCTGAAGGATGACCAGCCCCATGGGAACCTACAAATAAGATATAAAGAATAATAAGACAAATATAGAAGAACTAACTTACAACTAAATATTTTTTAAAATAGTTTGTTTTAAAGAGTTGATCCATATATAGTTAATTCTAGTGACTACATTACCAAATGGTTACAACCTTTTATGGCAATTAGTTTGACAATATTCCTATAAAGCAAGTTAGAGAAACAACAACAAACAGGCATAAAGTAAAACAAAAAACCAGACTGCCTGCTGAGTAACTATGGTTGAAAGAATAGAAATAATAACAATAAGACATGGAAGAAATGTTGCTGCTGCCAGAGCAGCACTGCAGACAGAAAGAACAGAGAGCTCCCTTGGGCAGTAACCACCCAAGCTTGGGGCAAGCAGTAGAGACTAAGTCTTTCTGGAGAAGATGGCAAGGTCTCTGGGTCCTTTTCTTCCAGGCCACTCTGGCAGGTAGAGCCAAAAGAAGTCCTTTATAAAGTGGAACTCAAATCACTAGAAATCCATATTGTGATTTGGGGACAAATCTCATCTTTGCTTTATTTTGTTCTCTGTGCACACATTGCATTTGCCTTGGGAATCTCACAGGGCGCACAGGCTTACCCGGGACAGAATTTCAGCAGCCCTCGGTCCCTCAGTAACACCATCTTAACGTCACTCCCTTTGCCATCATATACAGTTAATTCTCTGTAGATAAATAATAGCTACTTTTTATTTTCTTCTCCACTTTTCTCTAGTTTGTCATTTGTAAATGAGAATATATTCGTTTTTTAGTTAGAGAAAATATTTTTTTATAAGATCAGTTGTTTTTTAGGCTAACATTTTAAGCACAGAATTATGTGCTAGACATTTTGTATACAGCAAGACATCTAATCCTCTCAACATCATAAAATATTTACCAGCTACATTTATCACTACTTTAATTGTAAGGTACATATCAATTAAAGACACACTAACCCCAGTCTGTCATTCCATGGTCAGAGGTAAAGATAAATGTTGTTTTCCCATCATTTCCATAGAAGTGGTTAAACATAGACACGATTTCTTTAACTCCATCATCAACTTTTTTAATATTGTGCTTGTAGTCTCTATTTGTAAAGAAACAGAGGAACAAATTAAATTAATTTGGAGAAATCAAATTTATTCAACGTGGATTCATTACATTCAAAATCAGTAACTTCTGAAATGCTTTTAGATTTCATCTTTAATATTTTAAAATCAGAGTACTCTAGATTGTTAAAATAATTTTTTCTCCTTTTAATGAAGCTAAATAACCTGAAATAGTTTTCAAAGATGGCTTAAAAGGAGGGGAATGATTAACAAATATATTTTAATAAACCCTTTTTAGGTCCTAAATGAGATAGATGACGTTCATGTCTCTCACTCTTACTACATAAACTAAACTGTTTGGCCACATTACAAGTATCATTTCAAGTATAGAATATTTTCATTCCCTAAAGTGCTTTTGATATAAAATATAATATCATGTTTTGAACACATTATATTTAAGACTGCCACACAACTGAACAAGGTTCATTCGATATGAATATTCCATCAATTACAGCAGTGCATCACGTTTAAGAAGGGGATTGTGAGGTATTCATCACTGGCAGCTAACCCAATAGGCTTTACAGCCACTGTTAGGCTAATTTAAACCAAATGCAAAGTCAGAAATAAGAGTATAACATGGTATCTTCCTTTTACTTATGGTCCTCAAAAGTGAGAAAAATACTTGCTGTCATATATAAGGAGTGTTATTGAATTATGGTATACAAAAATGTATACAATTTATTTGCTAGATACAATACTAATTAAAGGGAATACACAAGGAATAAATAATTACATCTTTTGGTGATATAAAAGTTAATACCATAAAATGCTTTATATTTTCAAGATTCACTGAAAATATTTCTAAAATATATAGATATTTTAGATAATTTTTTTCTCTGCTTCAGTAAATGAAGATTATGTAATATGTACAGGATATATTTTACTTATATTAATGTGCCATCTGGATACAGCACATATGATTTAAACGACTATATTGGAAATCTCATATAATTGAGAACTTAATAAACATTACAGTAGTTGTTTAAAATATTAGCTCTGTTGTTATAATTCCAAAGAAAACTTTATAATAAAAAGTTCAATAGAATAGCTGTTGCCCTAAAAAATACAATTAAACACAATATTAAATTACCTCGAGGATGGTCGATGAGCATGTCCGTTTGTATCTATTCCTAATAAATGTAAGAAAAAAACTATTTTCTCTTCATTTATTTTAGAAAACAAAGACTGGTTGTTTCTGGCATGATGAAAGAAGTCCTACATATAACAAATGAGTTAAAAATATTTAGTTCATTTGTTTTATTTTAAAAATAATACTGATGAAAACATTTAAATTTATGCATAAGTACAAAATTAAATTATCTCACGTTGTTTAAATCTGTGCTCAAGACCTACCAACACAACGTCTTTGCTATCAGTTCAGACATCTATGTTCAAATAATGAGTTAGCTGTTTTCTCTGTTATAATAAGGCCAAAAAAAGATGTTAGAAAGGGGATCATAATTTCATAGAGATCTCATAATGTTGTTAATCCCACATCTAACTTAATAAAATACAGCAGATTGAAGACATATTTTGGCAAGAGTCAAAAATAATATAGTAATACTGTTACCAGTTTAAGAATAATTTATTTTTTTAAATATTTCAGAACTGGACCACTTTTCATTGTCCTGTGTACTATCAACCTAGTCCAACCGTAATCTCTAATGTAGAACATTGCAAATAGCCTCCTAATTACTTCCTTTGCCCCAGCTAGAATGTGTTCTTCAAATCATGTAACAGAAAAGCAACCAATTAATAAAATATTACTTGGCAGGGTGAGGCTGGGAATAATTAATTAAAATAAAATTTGAAGATTATTATGCTAATTAAATAATGATAAACTAGATTCATAAACCCTTCTAAGGCAAATGATTCACCCTGTATTCACATATGCATGAACATGGGTGCAAAACTATGAAGACTACTTTTAAATTATTTTAAATAAGTTAACAGGCTATCCAAGATACATCTTTGTTGTTCACATAAATGCCTTTAACTGTAGAAGATGTTAACTTTTAACAAGATATGTTTAACTTTTCAACAAAAGTCTGAAGTATTTAAGTATTTTTTTCAAATAACTCTTCACTACTATGTTAAAAAACACAAATGGTGCAATTAGAGAAACTATTCAAGAATAGAAATAAATTAATACAATATATAACCTATCATCCTTCTCAAAAGTATAAAATTGCCCCCTAACTTTCATATACATTCTACTTAACCCCTAAGAAAATTTAAATCTAGATAAAAACAATAAGCTCTTTAAGAGAAAAGAATTAAAAGTTAAACACATAATTGAGAGCTGAAAACAAAAAAACTGAGCAAATGACTTGAATTACATCTATAATTTGTTCTATGGCTGGTACAATATATTCAGCTATGTAATCCTTTCTGGCAGCTAGATGTGCCTATCCTATCCTTTCTTGCAGCTAGATGTGCCTTTGTGGTTTTGGCCAATGAGATTTAAGTCAAACATTTCAGTCATAAAGCTATGTGGATCTAAGGCTTTTTGAAATAAATATAATTCAGTAGGAAAGAAGGTCCTTTTTTATTCTTCATATTTTTGACCTATAACACTAACATAAGGGCGGGAACTCCAGGATTATCTTGGGTCATGACATAACTTTGAAGATAAAACTCATGCCCTGAAGTTAGAGGAAAACTTTAGGAGACTAAGTGTCAGTGATACTGTAGAACCACTATAGCATCCTGGACTGCATCAATGCTCAGCTGCCTACTGCCAGCATTATCTTTACTAAGATAGAAGTAAACTTTTAAGTTATTTTTTTCCATATTACACAGGTATGATCTAATCTAAGTTAATATACTTATTCATGTACCAAACAATTCCCTGATAAGAGTTTGTTGCTGTTGTTGTTGTTGAGACAGTCTCTATCGCCCAGGCTGGAGTGCAGCAGCACAATCTTGGCTCACTGCAACCTCTGTCTCCTGGGTTCAAGCGATTCTCTTGCCTCAGCCTCCCAAGTAGCTGGGATTTCAGACATGCACCACCATGCTCGGCTAATTTTTTTGTATTTTTAGTAGAGAGAGGATATCACCATGTTGGCTAGGCTGGTCTCAAACTCCTGGCCTCAAGTGATTCACCCACCTCGGCCTCCCAAAGTGCTGGGATTACAGGCGTGAGCCACCGCGCCCAGCCTCTGATAGGGTTTAAAGTTAACAGTGTGAAAAAGTCAGTATCTGTGCCAACAAGACGTATATTGAAGGGGAATATGTCAATGTATGAACAGTTATAGTATAGCACAATAAAGTATTAAGGGAATATAGAGGAGGGTTATCTAAGTCGAACTGGAAATAGGGCAAAGCAAAGAGAAGTCACAGAAGACCTAATAGAGAAGAAGATGCATGAACTGAGTTTTTTAAAGTAAATAGATTCAACCCAGGCGAACCTTTGAGGCCATTATACTAAGTGAAATAAGCCAATCACAAAAAGACATAGACTGTATGATTCCAGTTATGATATAAGGTGCCTAGAGTAGTCAAATGCATAGAAATAGAAAGTAGAATGGTGGTTGCCAGGCGTTGGGGGAGGGGGAAATGAAGAGTTATTTTTTTTGTTTGTTTGTTTGTTTTTGAGACGGAGTCTCACTCTGTCGCCAGGCTGGAGTGCAATGGCGCAATCTCGGCTCACTGCAACCTCCACCTCCCGGGTTCAAGCGATTCTCCTGCCTCTCAGCCTCCTGAGTAGCTGGGACTACAGGCACGTGCCACCATGCCCGGCTAATTTTTGTATTTTTAGTAGAGACAGGGTTTCACCATGTTGGCCAGGATGGTCTCAATCTCTTGAGAACGTGATCCACCCGCCTCGGCCTCCCAAAGTGCTGGGATTACAGGTGTGAGCCACAGCGCCTGGCCGGAGTTATTGTTTAATGGGTACAGAGTTTGTTTTGCAAGATGAAATATTCTAGAGATTATTAGCTGCATAACAACATGAACATACTTAACACTACTAAATTACAGATGCTCCTCACTTGCAATGGGGTTATATCCCAATAAACCCATCCTAAATTGAAACTATTGTAGGTCAAAAATGCATGTAATATACCTGTTACAGGTAGTTAGACAGGCATGAGTGGGGCAAGGGAGGGGTCTTCCCCGACCACTAGGAATGTCGGGTGATGATTCAGCAATTATCACACTGCCTCTCTAAAAGTGGTAGATTGGCAGCTGGCACCAGGGAGAGGCCATTTCCTGATGGTCTACACTTGCTGCACTAAAGTGTTAACTGAATGCAAGCACCAGAGAGATGCAACTTCTCAGGTATGTGCATTAATAGACCAAATGGCATAGTATGCCTGTCAGGGGGCACTCCACCAGAAAAGGAAAGAAAGCCTCGGATAGGTATGTGTACAACTTTCTAAACACACTATGCATGCTCACCTCCCAAGGTTAAGGAGGGCACTGTGCATGCGGGCGCCCCACCCTAAGGGAAGAATCATGGAAAGCGGCCAGCCTATAAAGTCCTAGGATCAAGATTAAACACTGCACTTGACCTCGCTGCTCACTTGGGACTCTTCTAGGCATACTTTCCTTTCTTTCCCGTTCTAAAGTTTTTGTAAATAAACTTCCATTGCTGCCTTGGTCTCTTCTTCTGCCTTATGACCCCCAGTCGAAGTTTTTCTTCTGGGAAGGTAAGAATTGAGGTTGCTGCAGATCCTTACAGATTTGTTGCCGGTAATTCAGATACCTTGTGCCAGTAACATACCTAACCTACCAAACATCATAGCTTAGCCTGGCCTACTGTCAACGAAGAGTCACACTCTATAAAATATTTGAAGAGATTTATTCTGAGCCAAATATGAGTGGCCATGGCCCATGACACAGTGCTCAGGAGATCTTGAGAATATTTGCTCAAGGTGGTCGGGGTGCAGCCTGGTTTTATACATTTTGGGGAGACATGAGACTTCAACCAAATATATTTAAGGAATACATTGGTTTGGTCCAGAAAGGCAGGACAACTCAAAGTGGGGATTGGGGGGAAATTTAAAAATTTTCCGGTTGGCAATTGGTTGAGTTTCTCTAAAGACTTGGGATCAAAAGAAAGGAATGTCTGGGTTAAGATAAGAGATTGTGGAATCCAAAGTTCTTATTTGCAGAGGAACCCTTCAGATAGTAGGCTTCAGAGAGAATAGGTTGTAAAATGTTTCTTTTTTTTTTAATTTTATTATTATTATACTTTAAGTTTTAGGGTACATGTTTCTTATTAGACTTTAAGGTCTGTGTTGACGTTAATGCCAGAGAGGTATAATGAGGCATGTCCAACACCCACTTCCCCTTATGGCCTGAATCAGTCTCTCAGGTTACATTTTAAAAGCGCCCTGGCTGAGAAAGTCCATTGAGATAGTTGGGGGGTTGGGGGAGAGGTGCTTAGAATTTTATTTTTGGTTTACACTACCTTCAACATGCTCAGAACATTTACATTAGTCTACAGTTGGGCAAAATCATCTAACATAAAGCCTATTTTTTAATAAAGTGTTGATAATGTGAAATAAGTGAGATAATAATTACAATCTCATGTAATTTTTGAATACTATACTGAAAGTAAAAAACAAAATGGTTGTATGGATACTCAATGTCCGGTTTATACTAAATATGTATTGCTTTTGCACTGGTGGAAAGTCAAAAGAATCGTAAGTTAAACCATTGTTAAGCTGGGGACTGTCTGCAAACACTTAAAATGCTTAAGACAGTAAATTCTGTATTTTGCATATATATATATATATATTTTTTTTTTTAACCACAGTTACAAAAAAACAGGTGAGTAGAAAACTGCATGGATCTGGAAACTGTTTGGCTTGAATTAAACATGAGTCTCTAGCCAGGACATGAAGTTCGAGTAAAACCCTTACCTCACTCTCTAGCCTCTTCTGAGACCTGGCTCCCAGGCAGTCCTCCTGCCACACTAACCTCCCTTCTTTCTCACTTCCTCAAATCCATTATGCTGGCTCTTGACCAAGATTTACATAATGCTGTTGGCCTGCAATACCTTTCCATACCAATCCATCCCTATCCATTTCTTTGTCTCCTGTACCTGCTCAGAGATTATCTCAAACCTCTTAGCCTTCCCCTAACTACCCAGCACAGATTAGAATTTTCTGAAGATATATTCTTGGTCTGTATTTTTCCTTCACATCACTTACCAATGCTGATGACTTCATATTTTCATTATAACTTGGTTAATATATATCTACCATATTTTATGAAGTCATGTGCAAATCTTTTTTTCTGTTCACTACCGTGTCAAGACTAGTAGTGTTGAAATAAAGAAAGGAAGAAAGACATGAAAATCAGGCCAGCTACCAGCTATGTATGTACATTCACAAGGAATCAATTCCATGATTTTGGAGGGATTTTAGCTACACATATGAAATTAGAAGCCAAAGGATTTCATGCAGATATTAATATTAGCACATTAAGTTAAGAAGTGATGATTAGCAAAATAATTTGCTAATCATTTTCTTACACAGATTTTATTTAAGTTGAAAGTTTTCCCTGTTGACAAAAGTATATATTAAAAGTAAAAAGAAAATTTCAAGGGAAAAACCCTTGGAAAAAAATAGGGTTTAGCAATGAATTTTAGAGCACTTAATTTCTGCTAAGCAAATACAAAGAAAAAGGCAGATATATACTAAGGAGTACATTTACAAACAAACAAAAATGGCTATATCATGGAGAAGTCCACAAAGTCAGTTCAAAAGACATTACTAGAAAAAAGAAGTATCAATCAAAGCTTCTTATAATGGATGAATTATGAGTTGTTATTTGGAGATGAGGAATAATGCACTGGTAAAAGAAGAGAGCCAATGTCCACAATTGAGATTTTCACACACTTTTTGAGAATATAAATTATATCGTATTCCTCATGAAACTATGATAATTGTCATTATAAAATGTTCAAAAAACTAGTACTTAAAGGAACCATAGATTTTTATTATGATCAATTTGCTAATTTGTTTTTGCCTATATAATCTGCTTATCTAATTTTTCTTTAAAGTATTTTTTAAAAAATCATCCACTTTGTTATTATAAATGTATTACATTTGAACAGCATTTTCCCAAAGGCTTTCCTACATCTCATATGGTCCATTACTACAAGAGTCTGATTCCATGGTCAATGAAAGATCAAAATTTACCCAGGATGAATCACAAACTAGAAACGAAAAACAGGTTTCCTAAATCCTAATCTAGGGCTCATTTTACTAATAGAAACAAAGGAGTTTAAAACTTCTCTTATTTATTTAGAATGTGTAATTTTTTAGAATTAAATCTTAGAATTCAGAACAGTGTGCTACAACATAGAACTTTCAAAGCTCATGAAAACAGAAAAAACGTGGGATACAGTCTCCAATACTTCAGGTAAAAATATGCTTTTTGTATATTAACCACTCAATAGCACAAACCTTAACATTATCAAAAACCCACGTATCCAGTTTTGTTGCATCTTGAGCACCAAAATCCTCTCTTTTAGCATCATAACTATATGTATAAACGTGGTCTCCACTAGCACCTGAAAAGAAAATTTGGAAAAAATAATCTTTTTACAAAATCTTTTAAACTATCATAAAATATGAGCTAGTCATTCACAGATTTTTGTGAGTAACCAGAATTTTCACAAAGCATTGTTCATTATGATGGGGAAGAGAAAAATGGGAGGAATAATTAACATTTATTTATGTTATGTGCTATGGACCATGCTACATACTTTAATGTATTCTATTGCTTTTTGTCCTCAAAAATAACATATTTTAATTTCGCAGATTCATTATATGTTAATTAACACACCAAAATCACAACTCTAATAAGCAATATAACAAAAATAAGCACAATATTTGTCTCCCTTTAAGGATTAAACTATTCAAAACATGTGTGCCCCTTAGAATGCTACAATCTAAAATAGATGATGTGTGTTGTACAAACCTTCTTAACATAAGAAGAAAATTCAGATATTTCACTTCTCTTATTCATAAACTATGAGTATTTTTCTCAACTTCTAAGAGAATAAATATTGCTTATTGCCAAAGAGTTTGAAGGGGTCAACAGATATGACAATCTCATATATTTGCAAGAGTGTATTAAGAATCTAAACAGTTTAGTGAATTTCTGAGTTTGATAGGCTCTTGCAGGTAATAAGAAAGAGATATGGCCAGTGTGGTGGCTCACACCTGTAATCCCTGTATTTTGGGAGGCCGAGGCAGGTGGATCACCGGAGGTCGGGAGATCGAGACCCCCCTGGCCAACATGATGAAACCCCGTCTCTACTAAAAAGAGAAAAAAATTAGCTGGGTGTGGTGGTGTGCGCTTGTAATCCCAGCTACTCAGGGGGCTGAGGCAGAAGAATCGCTTGAACCAAGGAGGCAGAGGTGGCAGTGAGCTGAGATCGTGCCACTGCACTCCAGCCTGGGCAACAAGGGCAAAACTCCGTCTCAAAAAAACAAAAACAAAAAGAGAGATATATAATAAAGTAATACAATCTTTATAGCACCAGTTCAGCTCTAATGACCCTATTCCACAGCTCAGCCATTCCTCTTCCCACATCCCAAATAAAAAGGTCTGACTGGGTTTGCTGTTTACTACAAGATATGGAACATTAGACTATCTCTAATTCAATTATTTGTCCTCTCCCATCCATTGTAGCCAGAAATAGGAATGTTAGTTTGATAAGCCATAGCAACTGAATCCACCCTTACCACCACCAGCTCCCAAAAAAACGAAACTGCTTTCCAAAGAAGGCAATATATAAATGGCAAACAGTTTGGGGCTTTTTGGTCCGCCCAGTATAATAATGTTCTATGACTATCATCTGTAAAATTCTCAATATATATTTTGCTTCCTGGACACATAATAATCTTCAATAGTTCCCATTATTTTAATTACACTCATGACTAAGTATGTTACAAATCCTTTCTGATAAGTGAAATGATCAATCTTTCTGCTCCCACTTAAAAGCATTTAATGACATGAAATTCATCCAACTGATTTTAGAAAATAATATAAATGAATTTTCTAATTAAGAGATGTCCCAATATTTGCAGAATCATGCATATAAACAATAAATCTAAATGCTACATTCAGTATATTAAATATCAATTTAAATAAATTATATGTTAAATGCCATATATATCAAATGCCAGAATATATGGCATCTTCGATGTATTAAAACAGGAATTATAACTATATATTTTAACACTTAAATATTTTTTTTGAGATAGGGTGTTGCTCTGTTGCCCAGGCTGGAGTGCAGTGGCATAATCATGGCTCACTGCAGCCTCAACATCCCAGGCTCTCAAGCACTCTTCCCACCTCAGCCACCTGAGTAGTTGGGACTACAGGCACATGCCACCACACTCAGCTAATTTTTTGTTTGTTGTAGAGATGTGGGTCTCACCTTGTTGCCCAGACTGGTCTCCAACTCCTGAGCTCAAGTGATCCACCTGCCTCAGCCTCCCAAAATGCTGAGATTACAGGTGTGAGCCACTGTGCCCAGCCAATGTTTAAATCTTTATATGAGTAGCTACTAACTTTTAAAATAATTTACCAAAGTATAATGAACCACACCTCAACATCATCATTTATAATCAAGTTATGTGAAAAGTGCTATGCTAAATATTTCACATGAATTACATAATTTAATTATAAAAATAAATCTATGAGACAGAAACTAATATTATCACATTTTATGAAAAGGAAATTGAAGCTCAGAGAGGTTATATAAATTGCTCAAGATTATATAGCTGTTAAGCGATAGTGCTATATACCACTTAATTGAATCCAAAATACTATCTAACTGTATGATGTGCCAATATCTCAAGTATAACTAAGAAGGAAAAAAAAATACTGTAATTAAACATCCCTATTTCAGAAATGTTAAAAATGTAAAAATATGTGTAAAAATCAACACATACATTACATACATAAAAATAGAAAACTACCATATTGACTTACTCCCTATTTACTATCTGAGGAAACATAATCAGTGACTCTTACCTTTGGCAAACATAGGCAGGATATCTGGGCTTCCCCAGCTCCATGTGTATTTACTTTCATTAAAAAGAGAATCAAACTCTACAGGATTTTCCTTCCATCCTTCAGAAAGCAAGCAAGCAGTAATAGTTATATACACATGGTACAATAAGCCCCTAAAGAACTATTCTTCAAATAATAACAATTACATTAGTCAGTGAATAAATGCAAAACTAATAGATTTTATATTATGCATATTATACCACTATTTAAAAAAAAACTAACAATAGATAATTTACTTCTTAATGAAATATAAAATTATTTTTGAACTTTCAAGAGTAATATCTAGGAAAATTATGCTTCCATCCAACCCAAATTCTTTCAATAACACAGGATAATGAAATACTAAAGTTTCAATTCTGGAGTCAGTACCAGTGGGTATTCATGTCAGCAAAGCATGCTAAAACATTTGTCCAAAATATCTCAAAACATACCTTCACTTTGTGACATGATTAAGTGGTAAAGGACTAATATTTACTTGACAAATTTTTCATTTCATAAGATTGTCCAAATAGACAATACCTTTGGCAACTGCACTGACATCTTCATAAAACCCAGCTATCAGAGCTACATGACCTGGCCGAGATTCTGTTGGCACACGTGTATGAGATATGCCCCAGCTGCCTTCATGCATTATGATATTCCTAAAAGATATTAAAGACAAATAGTTAACACAGACTATGATTAGATACTCTCACATAAAGCTTTAGAAACATAAGATTATTACAGAAGGAATCAAAAGCAAAAAACTTAAGTCAAAACTTAAGAAGGAAAGGAATTTTTCAAATTCCAGGTGAGCCCATTCCTAGCATCTACCAGCTGAATGCAGCAGCATGAATTTGCTGATGTAAGACCAAACAAAGAACCATTCAACCACTGCACAGAATCATGAAACAAAATACATGATTGTTGTTTTAAGCCACAAAACAGAGATGGTTTGTTATCCAGAGATAAAACATATATTATTATATCAATGTTAAATTGCATTAGGTGTGATAATAGTATTGTGGTTATTTAAGAGATATAGGCTGAAGTGTTTGGGGTAAAGTTTCTTGCTTTCGAATTGTTAAGGAAAAAATAATTATAACTAGATGGACATACATGGGTACCCCTGTGGTGCAGGTGGCAGAGGGGCCAGGAGAGGGTGAACGCAATTATGAAAAAAGGTTAAAATTGTCATACTAGGTAAAGGGTATACAGATGTTCATCAAATAATCCTTTCAAATTTGTTTAGTTGAAAAATTCTTAAAAAACTAAGGGGAGGGAAAATGGCTACACTCCTAATTAGGAGTTAAATTATATCCCCAAATTTGAGATTAAAACAGGCAAAAAGATTATTTTGCTAAAAGATGTCAACATTATTTAAGTTGTATCCACAGTGATTTGCAAAATTTGGGGAAGAAAGCAAAACTACAAGTGGTGCTATTATAGGTGAAAGGCCAGCAGAGCAATAAGTTATAAAATAGTAAACTCAACAATAACATTTTTCAAGATAAATATCTGCCTCTCAATACATTCTAAAGAAAAATATTTATAACTACTGGTGTCAGTTCTTTTACTATTGACTTACCTAATAATAAAAGCAGTTTTGGTGAAATACATTCATAATAAGTAAACAGTTTCAAAACCACTGGACCAAATATTAACGAGAAATATTCTTTAACTTCTTGAGTTATATAATGAAAACTGGACTTAAACAGAAAGGGGAGGTATAAAGAAATGTGGATACTCTATTTAAAAGCATTAGTTTAGATACTGTATTTAAAAACATTAGTTTAGATCACGTTTTTATAAAACAAATTTTGGGCCAGATGCGGTGGCTCACGCCTGTAATCCCAGCACTTTGGGAAGCTGAGGCAGGTGGAGGTCAGGAGTTCGAAACCAGCCTGGTCAACATGGTGAAACCCCGTCTCTACCAAAGGTACAAAAATTAGCCGGGCGTGGTGGCACGTGCCTGTAATCCCAGCTACTCAGGAGGCTGAGGCAGGAGAATCGCTTGAACCTGGGAGGCAGATGTTGCAGTGAGCCAAGATTGCACCATTGCACTCCAGCCTGGGCGACAGAGTGAGACTCCCTCTCAAAACAAATAACAACAACAAAAAACCTTTCAAAAACAGGCTTAGAAGAAGCTAGAAGATTCCTGACATTGTAAATATACAATGGCACACAACACAAAACATCAACTGTTTGAGCCCACAGAGCTTCCGTTAGTAAGATCCAAAGGAGAAACAAGTGCCACCAGAAAAGCTTGACTTTATTTTACCAGTATATTTTTATCCTCTTAATTTTGAAATGAAGTATATTTCTCTCTTTCCTTTGGCAACTAAGAAATTCACCCAAATACTTTAATTATTTCTAGAAATTTGTTACAGATTTTTGTGTACTGTACTTAACCTTGGTTTGATCTTATTTTCCCACAATGTTCGTCTATTGACTTGAGTCTCTCTTTTCTTTATTTTTATCCTTCAATATGTTATGCATCTCTCTGAGCTATCGTAAATTTAGTTCTGAAAATTCAACACAGCATTAGAGTTCATCCATTCTTCTAGCTGTCAACAAATATTTGTTAATTGCCCATTATGTTATAGGAACTGGAGATAAAGTGGTGGATAAGTCCCCAGTCTCATGGAACTTTCATGATGGAAGTACTATAAAGAAAAATAAAACAGGCCAGGCACGGTGGCTCACGCCTGTAATCCCAGCACTTGGGAGGCTAAGGCAGGTGGATCATGAGGTCAGGAGATCAAGACCATCCTGGCTAACACGGTGAAATCCCGTCTCTACCAAAAATACAAAAAATTAGCCGGGTGTGGTGGCGGGCGCCTGTAGTCCCAGCTACTCGGGAGGCTGAGGCAGGAGAATGGCGTGAACCTGGGAGGCTGAGCTGGCAGTGAGCTGAGATCACGCCACTGCACTCCAGCCTGGGTGACAGAGCGAGACTCCGTCTCAAAAAAAAGAAAAAGAAAAAGAAAACAGAGTAAAATGATAGGAGGTAATGATGACAGATGGAGATGGGGGAAGACACAACATTTTAGATAAATTTCCTCTTGAATTCTATTTTAATCTCTCCATAACAGCATTACAAGGCCTTTCAGGAGTTGCCACTAATCAGAAAAAGAGCAATTGTTTGTAGGCCCTTTGTAAGTCCAAGAAATTAAATATTTCTTTTTAAAGCAACTTAACAGAAGCCAAAGTTATGTTAAACAGTGATATAGAAGTGAAAGGGCTCTATATTCTTTTACAGAAGGTTGTGTTTTAATTTGAAGTCTATATTTTGTACTTAAACATCATTGAAATTAGTAATTCATTAATATTTATGCTTGTCTTTATTTTGTAAAATTAGCAGACTTTTTTTTTGTTTTTTTTTTTGAGACGGAGTTTTGCTCTTGTTGCCCAAGCTGGAGTGCAATGGCACCATCTCGGCTCACTGCAACCTCTGCCTCGCAGGTTCTCCTGCCTCAGCCTCCCAGGTAGCTAGGATTACAGGCATGTGCCACCACCCCCAGCTAATTTTTTGTATTTTTAGTAGAAACGGGGTTTCTCCATGTTGGTCAGGCTGGTCTCAAACTCCTGACCTCAGGTGATCCCTGTGCCTCAGCCTCCCAAAGTGCTGGGATTACAGGCGTGAGCCACTGTGCCCAGCCAGCAGACTTATTTTTTAAGAAAAAAATAATATAGTGAGTCTTGAGCCAAGTTTGGGAAATTAGGACAATTTAGCTTAAGCAGCTAAGCCTATCCATTTCAATTCACCGGTTATCAGCTTCAACAATACCAGAAATAACACCTAGGAGGAAATAAAGTAGCATCTAGTGCTGACCCATAAGACAAAGGCAAATGTACAAGTGCCCTATTCTCTTTCTCATCATCACCCCTGTGCCCAGTGCATGATAAATAGTAAGATATTTTGCAGTTTACTTAACTCAGAATAACATTTTAAGAGATGTCTCTGTATCAGTTTACATGCTTACCTAATAAACGGTGCTCTAGAGTTTCCATTTTCATCTAATTCGTAAAGTGCATCTGCTCGAAGGCCATCAGCAACAAACAACACTAATCTTCTCGCTGGAGGAGGCAATGGTGTAAACTGAGGAGTCATTCCATGAACCAAAGGAGATGTAAAATAAATGTCAAAGATGGAGGCGAAGAACACAAAATGTATAAGCAATCCCAAAGTAAAGAACAGCAGCATATCCAGTGTAACTAATTAGTCTTCAAGAACAGCTGAAAGAGAGAACAAAATTAAATTGGGGTAAATCTTAATGCATTCATATGTATTTTCACATATTTTGATGATCACAAGTAGATGAAACATATATTTTTAATTATTATATAACTCACAACTTTACTTTCATTTGTGGTGGTAACAATAAGCACTATTTAATAATGTGACATAATACTGAAATCAAATATGTAATAAAGTACATCTAAGCAAAAAGAAAAAGTTCAAGTATAATAAGTAATTGGGACAAATAAACTATAATGAATTTAACTGCATAATAAGCTCATAAAAATTAGCACAGGACCAAAGAACAAATAAATAATTAAATCAGTCCTAAAAAGAGTTAGCGTTCAGCCAAGTCAAATCCTACAAAAAGAAAATATAAGTCGTGCAACTCTTGGTTGTACATATGACAATCATTGCCAATAACGGATTTTTAATTATTTAAATCAGTTATAATTATTTAGATGTTGCTGAATTGATTTAAATTATTCAAATATTTGTGATTTTTTTTTTCTTCTTACTTTGGTATTCTGGCTCTCTTGACTATTACCATATTGAGCAGGAAACATGTATTCTATCACATTTGGCAGAATCATATGAAGTTAAATTTCATCTGTGCTTCAGAAAATTTGTACTTATTAAAGAAACATTTTATTTTAGTTCCCTGAATCAATCAAAAAGGTTATGTTTTATCCACTCAATAAAAATGTTTTGTGCACACATCACATGCATAACTGGGTGCTGGGGTACTATAAAGAATATCGAGTTCTCTGTAAGTTCATCACAGAGCTGATGAACTTACAAATACTTAAGGAAGAAAAACGAAGCAATATGAAACATTTAAATAAAACTGTAAAAGAAGATACCATTAAATTGCCAAGATCAAACGGAACATGGGAGTACTTTCCAAGCCAGTGTGTAATTTGCTATTGTTGGTGAATCTCTGCAGATCGAGGAGAAAAAAAAAAGTATTGGAACTTGTCTTAGTTGTAATGTAACGGCATTAGCTACATATAGTGATCCTAGGCTGAAAAACACCAAGGATGAGGTAATTTTAGCTACAGACACATCTTTTTCTTCTTGGCCTGAAGAATCACATCATGGAAGGAAAGGATGGCAAAATAACCTTGCAAAAACAAATGAAACATTGGAAAAACACTCATCAAAGTCAAGCAGATTATAAAAAAGAAAACATGATAGAGCAAAAGGTCAAATTACAAGCCACTTATTTTCTGAGAACCAAGGGTCAACTAAATATCAAAGATATTCTACAAAGTACAAAAGTTCCTTAGTAAGTAGATGCTATTTTGCATCTCATAGCTAACTGACAAAGAGAATCTTTATGTGTCATATAGCATATTCCCTCCCCTCTTCTGTGCTACTACAAATCAACTTTCCATTTTCTGAGGCAGTTTAGAATAATAATCACTGTCCTTAATTTTTTTAAAAAGTAAATTTTATGTTTTTTTACTAAACAACCTAATGAACATTAAATGCTAAATTATCAATATGAATGTAAAATAATTCTGAATATATTTGTGTTATTTTCTTAAATATAATTCTCAATGTAGAATTAAAGATTCAAATATTGTGAAAAATTCTTCAAATTACCAAACCAATTTAAGATTCCATTAGAAACATGTAAATAACTGTTTACCCAAATCTGAAAGTTCTGAAAATTGACAGTAATCTTTTTAGTGCATCAGTCATATTACAGTACTTTAAATTTATATCCATTTTTATTTGCTTGCCTGCTAGCCAGTAAGGGTGTATACTGATTTCCTACTTACAGTTCTTCATGACTTGCTCTTTTGTTTTGATTATTATAGTAGATTTTAGACATTAGACCTTTTCTACTCTAGAAACAACACAGAGGTCCCAACGAAAAAAGGACTACGGTACACCTAATAATAAACCTGACCCAGTTGTATTTTCCTGTTGGAGATAACCTTTATTACGTTATTTTCAAAGCTCATATTTGCATGGTGTTCTGGTCCCCGAAGAAACCTAGATTAGTTACCTTTGTGGCACATGGTATTTTTTGTTTTCAATTTTGTTTCAAGAGCATTTTGTTGGGTCAACTACTTAAAATACCCTCAGAGAATACGAAGAAGAAATGCAAAAGTATCTATATCTAAATTTACCTTCCAGGTTTATCATCATCTGTTCAAAAAGATTTAGCTTTTAAGGAACATCTATGTTCAAAATTATAGGTCTCCAAAGGCTACAGCTCATCTCACTTTGCACAGGACTGAGACATAATACTGTTTCTAGAACATAAAACATTAAAAAAATTGTTAAAAAATTCACATAACATTTACCATTTTAGACATTTTAAAGCACAGAGTTCTGTAGTGTTAAATATATTCACAGTGTTGTACAACCAATCTCCAGAACTTTTCATCTTACAAAACTGCAATTCTATATATACGCATTAAACAACTCTCCATTCGCCCCTGTCCTAACCCTGGGGAACCACTGTTCTACTTTCTATTTCCATGGGTATAACTATTCTTGCTACTTCATACAAGTGAAATTATACAGTATTTATTCTTTTTTGATTAGCTTATTTTACTTAGCATAATGTCCTCAAGTTTCATCCATGTTGTAGCATATCAGAATTTCCTTCCTTTTTAAGACTGAAATCAGAACATTGCATGTATATACCATGTTTTGGTTATCCAGTCACTTATTCATAGACATTTGAGTTGCCTGCACCTTTTGGTGACTGTGAGTGATATTATGAACATGGGTACACAATCAGTTTTGTTTTAAAATAAACATTGGGTATTGACCAAAGGCAGTCATGTAGATCCACTTAATTACAAGAAGCTGGAAAATATGGAAAACTGAGGAAATATTTGGTAAATATCACTGTCTCTGCTGCAGACATATTTTTACACATATTTCATACTATAATATATAACATAATGTATTAGTCCATTTTCACATTGCTACGAAGAACCATCTGAAACTGGGCAATTTATGAAGAAAAGTGGTTTCACAGTTCCACAGGCTTAACAGGAAGCATGACTGCGAGGCCTCAGAAAACTTAAATCATGGTAGAAGACAAAGGAGAAGCAAGCACGCCTTACCATGGCAGAGCAAAAGAGAGAGTGAGCAAAGTGGGAAATGCCACAGACTTTCAAACACCCAGATCTCACGAGAACCCACTCACTATCAGGAGAACAGCAAGGGGGAAATCCACCCCATGATTCAATCGCCTCCCACCAGGTCCCTCCCTCAACACATGGGGATTACAATTCGAGATGGGATTTGGGTGGGGACGCAGAGCCAAACCATATCACACAGTAATACATACATTATGTTGATTATTATCACACATAATCATTATTATGTATATGTTAATACATATGTTAATTACACTGGCTGAATGTAGAGAGCAGATTGTAGTGGGTAAAGAAATGAATCAAGGAGACTATTAGAAAGCTAGTTAGTATGTAAAATAGGCCAAGAAAGAGATTATTGTTGATTAGTATAAATTAGTGCAGTGGAAGTTAACAGAAGGAAGTTGATAATCGAGTTATACTTTGGAGGGAGATAAGGAAGGTTGCTATGGTTTGTGCTTTTCCCCACGAAAAGGCATGTTGAAATTTGACCCCATTGTGGCTGTGATGGGAGGTGGAGCCTAGTGAGAGGTGTTTAGGTCACACGGTTGGATCCCACATGAATGGCTTGGTGCTATTCTCACAGCACTGAGTTCTCACTCTGGAGCAGAGGAATTAGCTCTCTGGGAATGGATTAACTCCCCTTCTCAGGAATGGGTTGTTGTAAAGTGAGGTTCCTCCTCCTGTTCGGTCCCTCTTCACACATGCTCACATCCCCTTTGTTCTTCTCTGCCATGTTATAACAAAGCACAGAAGCCCTCACCAGAAGCCAGGTCCGTGTCCTTTAACTGCCTAGCCTGTAGAACTGTGAACTAAATAAACCTCTTTTCTTTATACATTACCCAGTTTCAGGTATTCTGTTATAGCAACACAAAATAAACTAAGACCTGGGGCTTCAATAAAAGGATATGGGTAAAGAGGTAAAAAATGACTTCCAGATTTCTGGTTTGAGCATGTGAATGGTCTTTAACTTAGAGAAGGAAAAGATTTCCTTACAGGATATGGGGGGACGTAAAGCTGAGGGAGAAAGTATTGAGCATTTTCTTTTTGATACATTAAATTTAAGCTCGAGATGCCATAATAAGGCAGACAGTTGCTGTGAAACTCAAGAGAGGATATCTTAACTACAAGAATGACCTAGAGAGAGCCACTACTAGAGACAGAAAAAAATTAGCCAGTGAAGTAGAAGGAAAACCAGATGAGGGGCCCTTGAAATTAAAAGAACAGTGATTCAAGCGTGAAGGGTGTGGTTAACTGTCAGATCTGCTTAAAGGCTGGAGTAAGGACAGTAATGAGTAATCTAGGAGCTTGGAGTTCTTGTTAACTTTATTGAGAAGTTTAAACAGTCGTGTGAGCTGAGTCCCATTAAAGTGGTTGTTTGAAAAGTAAATGGGAGGTGAGGGAGTGAGAGTGGAATGAGCACAACTCTTTGGGAGAATACTAACTTTGAAGAAAAGAAGAAAAATAAAAATTGATGTAGGGTCAGTAAAGGGTTTTCCTAAGCTATTAGAGACTAGAAGATTTGTGTGCTGAGGAATAATTTAGAATATAGAAGGATATGAATGATGCAGCAGAAAGCTGGAGTTAAATTCTCAGGATAGCAAGAGGGGATGGAATGGAGAGCACAAGTGGAGGAGCTGGGCTACTCTGAGTTTGCGCAGGACCTTCTTGCTTTTAGCACTGAAAGTCTAGCAGCCAGAGAAACATATTGGTTGCAGGCAAACTGGTATTGCGCTCTGGTTGGCTCTACCCTGCAGCAGGCTTCTTCTCATCTTTCATGCCCCTTCTCAAACGTCACCAACTAAAGGTTCTTCTGATCACTCTGAAGTAGGCCCCTCCTCCATCTTCCTTGATCCAAACAAACATACATTCTGTAGCTATTGTTAATATTTATTTAGTGGCGAGGCTGTGGAGAAATAGGAATGTTTTTACACTGTTGGTGGGAGTGTAAATTAGTTCAACTATTGTGGAAGACAGTGTGGCAATTTCTCAAGGATCTAGAACAAGAAATACCATTTGACCCAGCAATCCCATTACTGGGTATATACCCAAAGGATTATAAATCATTCTATATAAAGACACATGCAGACATATGTTTATTGCAGCACTATTTACAACAGCAAAGACTTGAACCAACCCAAATGCCCATTAATGATAGACTGGATAAAGAAAATGTGGCATATATACACCATGGAATATTATGCAGCCATAAAAAAGAATGAGATCATGTCCTTTGCAGGGACATAGATGAAACCAGAAGCCATCATTCTCAGCAAACTAACACAGGAACACAAAAACAAATACCACATGTTCTCACTCGTGAGAGTTAAACAATGAGAACACATGGACACAGAGAAGGGAACAACAAACACCAGGGCCTGTAGCAGGGGTGGAGGACAAAAGAAGGGAGAGCATTAGGGCAAATACCTAATGCATGCAGGTTTTAAAACCTAGATGACAGGTTGATAGGTGCAGTAAACCACCATGGCACATGTATACCTACGTAACAAACCTGTGCATTCTGCACATGTATCCCAGAACCTAAAGTAAAATAAAAAATAAAATAAATATTTATTTAGTGTATCTCTTCCACTAGAATGTAAGCTCCTTAAGAACACAGACTGACACCTCGTTCTCTCCCGTATGCCTTGTCTATTGACAGAGAGCAGGAGCGCTCTCTCTCTCTCTCTCTCTCTATGTATATATATAAAATCTCTCTCTATATATATATACACACACATATATATAGATAGAGATATATAGAGATATATATGTGTGTGTGTGTGTGTGTGTGTGTGTGTGTGTGTGTGTGTGTGTGTGTGTGTATTCAAAGTTGGCCAGGCATGGTGGCTCATGCCTGTAATCCCAGCATTTTGGGAGGCCGAGGTGGGTGGATCTCTTGAGGTCAGGAGTTCAAAACCAGCCTAGCCAACCTGGTGAAACCCCATCTCTACTAAAAATACAAAAATTAGCCAGGTGTGGTGGTGCACACCTGTGGTCTCAGCTACTCGGGAGGCTGAGGCAGGAGAATCGCTTGAACCTGCGAGGCAGAGGCTGCAGTGAGCCAAGATCGCACCACTGCACTCCAGCCTGAGCAACAGAGTGAAACTCCGTCTCAAAAAAAAAAAACAAAAAAAAAACAAAGTTATATGTCTCCATAACACACTCTCTCTCTCTCTCTCTACATATATATATATATACACACACACACAATAGAAGTGTAGTGATAACTTATTGTAGATAATATATTATGAAATTTACATTTTCCTGATGATCAATGATCATGAGCAACTTTTCACATGTTTAATGGACATTTTTTAGTCTCATCTTTTTATCCCTTCTCATTTTTTTAACGGTGTATATAAAAAAACAGTACTTTTAAATTCTGATTAAGTTCAGCCAGGTGCGGTGGCTCACGCTTGCAATCCCAGCACTTTGGGAGGCCAAGGCTGGTGGATCACCTGAGGTCAGGAGTTTGAGACCAGCCTGACCAAAAATGGAGAAACCCTATCTCTACCAAAAATACAAAATTAGCTAGGCGTGGTGGCGCACCCAACCACTTGGGACGCTGAGGCAGGAGAATTGCTTGAACCCCGGAGGCAGAGGTTGTGGTGAGCCAAGATTGCGCCATTGCACTCTAGCCTGGACAACAAAAGTGAAACTCTGTCTCAAAAAAAAAAAAATTCTGATTAAGTTCAATTTACCAACTTTTCTTTCTGGTTATTATATTTTATGTCCCAACTATGGAATCATTGTAAGTAACCATGCTTTCTTTATTACACATTTTTAATATCTTTTATTTGAAAATAATTTCAAACAAAGTTACGAGAATGGTACAGACACCTGTATACCCCTTAGCATATTCACCTAAATGTTAACATTTCCCCTATTTGTTCTTTTTTCCCACTCTTTCTCTGCTTTGCTCCATCCCAGCCTTGCCTCTGTGCTTTGTCCTTTTTCTCTGTATATATCTGATCACATAACATTGTTTCTGAACCATTTGAGGATAAGTTATATACACCATGACTCTTTATTCCTAAATACTTCAGTGTTTACTTCCTAGGAATAATGATACTCTCTTATACACCTACAGTATAGGTATCAATTCAGTAAATTCAACATCAATGTAATATTTAATCTACCATCCATATTCCAATTTTGTGAAGTGATCCAATAATGTTCTTTATAGCATTTTTATAGCTTTACTGAGGCATAATTGACCAAAAAACTGTACATAAAGTGTAATAATCACAGTCATAATGAACAAACCCATCAACCTAAAAGTTTTCTTATGAGTCTTTGTAATCCAACATTACCCCATTTCCTAGACAACCACTAATTTTTTTTTTTTTTTTTTTTGAGACGGTCTCACTTTTTGTTACCCAGGCTGGAGTGCAGTGGCATGATCTCAGCTCACCGCAACCTCCGCCTCCCAGGTTCAAGCAATTCTCATGCCTTAGCCACCTGAGTAGCTGGGACTACAGACGTGTACCACCATGCTCAGCTATTTTTGTATTTTTAGTAGAGAGAGGGTTTTGCCATGTTGGCCAGGCTGGTCTTGGAACTCCTGGCTTCAAGTGATCTGCCCACCTTGGCCTCCCAAGTGCTGGAATTATAGGTGTACCATGCCCAGCCCACTAATGTATTTTCTACCACTATAGATTTGTTTGCATTTTTGAATTTTATAAAAATCTATTTCTGCATCATGTACTCTCTTCCATCTGAATTCTTCCACTGAGCATAAATACTTTTAGAATCATATATGTTTGTTCCTTTTTATTATTGAGCATTATTCCATTGCACAGATATAGCATAATTTGTTTATTCACTCTCATGTTAACAGACACTTGTGTTGTTTCTAAAAGTTTTTGGCTATTTCAAATAAAGCTGCTATGAAGAATCACGTAACAGCTTATGTATGGGCGTGTGCTTTCATTTCTTCTTCTTATTTTTTTATTATTTTTTTTTTGAAACTCCTGGGCTCAAGCAATCCTCCTGCCTTGGACTCCCAAAGTGCTGAGATGACAGGCGTGAGTCACTGCTTTCATTTCTCTTCAGTAAACACTTGGGAATAAAATGGCTAGGTCAAATTGTAAATATATGTTTAACTTTTTTTTTTCCCTTGAGACAAAGTCTTGCTCTGTTGCCCAGGCTGCAGTGCAGTCGTACGATCACGGCTTACTGCAGCCTTGACCTCCTGGGCTCAAGTGATCCTCCCACCTCAGCCTCCTGAGCAGCTGGGACCACAGGTGAGAGCCAGCATGCCAGCTAAGTTTTAAATTTTTCGTAGAGATGGGGGGATCTCAGTATGTTGCCCAGGCTGGTCTCGAACTCCTGGGTTCAAGTGATTCTCCTGCCTTGGCCTCCCAAAGTGCTGGGATTACAGGTGTAAGCCACTGTGCCCAGCCATGTTTAACTTTTTCAGAAACTGACAAACTAGTTGTTTTCCAAAATTGTTGTACAACTTTACATTCCCACCAGCAATATATGAGAGTTTCAGTGGCTCTAATTCTCAGCAACACCTGGCATTGTCAATCTTTCAAACTTCATCTGAAGTGGGTGTGTACTGGTAGCTTGTTGTGATTTTAATATAATTTCCCTAATGACTAATATTATTGAGTATCTTTCCATAGGCTTACTGATCTACCATTTGTACGGATTTAATTTTTTAATTAGATTGTGTTCTTGTCACAGAACCATAATGGTTCTTAATATATTCTAGATGCAGGCATACCACATCTTATTGTGCTTTACTTGATTGCTCTTCGCAGATTTATTTTTGCAAGGTGACAGTTTGAAGCAACCCAGCATTGAGCAAGTATATTGGTGCTATTTTTCCAACAATATGTGCTCACTTCATGTCTGTGTCATATTTTGTAATTCTTGCAATTATTTCAAACTTTTTCATTACTATTGTCAGTTATGTTGATCTACGATCAGTGATCTTTGATGTTATGATTGTAATTGTTTTGAGACAATTCCATATAAGACAGCAAACTTAATAAATGTGTGTGTTCTGACGGTTCCACCAACTGGCCATCCCCCATCTCTCTCCCTCTCCTTGGGCCTTGCTATTCCAAAACACAACTAAATTGAAATTAGGACAATTAATAACCCTACAATGGCATCCTAAGTGTTCAAGTGAAAGAAAGACTCATGTGTCTCTCATTTTAACTCAAAAGTTAGAGATGATTAAGCTTAGTGAAGAAGGCATTTTGAAAGCCAAGACAGGCTGAAAGCTAGGCCTCTTGTTTTAAACAGTTATCCAGTTTGTAAATGCAAAGGAAAAGTTCTTGAAGAAAATTAAAAGTGTTACTCCAGTGAATACATGAATGATAATAAAGTTAAACAGTCTTATTGCTGATATGAAGAAAATTTGAGTGGTCTGGATAGAAGATCAAACCAGCCACAA
Source organism: Homo sapiens (assembly GCF_000001405.40). NCBI lineage: Eukaryota > Metazoa > Chordata > Mammalia > Primates > Hominidae > Homo > Homo sapiens. The sequence goes on from NC_000018.10 coordinate 62,170,927, forward strand.
CATTTCCTCAAGCCAAAGCCTAATCCAGAGTTTAAGACCCTAACTCTTTTCAATCTATGAAGGCTGAGAGAGGTAAGGAAGCTGCAGAAGCGAAGTCAGTATCTATAAAAAAGCATGATGACATTCTGTTTGGAATGGAGTTAAATCCACAGACCAACTGGGGAAGAACTGATAACAATATTTAGTCTCTCTGTCCAGGAATACAGTATAACTCTCCATTTATTTAGGTCTTCTTTAATTTCCCTCAGCAATGTTCTGTAGTTTCAAATTAATAGGTCTTGTACATCATTTTTAAATACCATCTTTACAAATTTCATATTTTTGGTACTATTGTAATGTTATTTTTTATTTCAATTTCTCCTTGTTAATTCTTAAATCAACATTGATCTTTATATATTGACCCTGTACCCTGCAACACTGATCAACTGTTACGGTGGCTTTTGTGTATATGCTTTTTAACTTTCTGGAGATAATTAGGTTATCTATGAATAAAGACAATTGTACTTCTTGTCAATCTTTATGTATTTTATTTACATCTTATGCTTTTTATATTATCTAGAACCTCCAGTATGATGTGGAATAGAAGTGATTACAGCAGAAATCCTTGCCTTGTTTCCAATATTAGGATGAATGCTGTCAGTTTTCCAGGTTTTTGTAGATTCCCTCTAGTAGGCTGAGGAAGTTTCCTTTTACTCCTAATATGCTGACAGCTTTAAATCATGAATGGATGTTGGATTTTGTCAAATACTTTTTGTTGTATCTACTGAGATAATTATGATCATCTGATTTTTCTGGCCTGTTAATGTGGTGAATTAATATTTTGGCCTGTTAATGTGGTGAATTAATATTGATTAAATTTCAAATGTTAAACGCATCTTACATTCCCAGAATAAACCCCACTTAGTCATTAAGTATTATCCTTTCTACATATTGTTGGTCTTAGTTAAAATTTTACCATTTTTTGCAGCAAAGTTTATGAAAGATATAAGACTATAATTTTCTTTTCTTATATCTTTCTGTGGTTTTGGTATCAGACAATGAGTTGGGAAATGCTGTTCCTTCTTGTACTTTTTGGAAGAGTTTGTGTAAAATTTGTATTATTTCTTCCTTTATCGAATAACAAAATTCACCAATGAAACCACTGGCTTGGGGTTTTCTTTGTGACAAGGTTTTCAACCATATATCCAATGTCTTCACATATATAGATACAGATAAACACATATAGATATTCAGGTTATCTATTACTTCTTAAGTAAGCTTTCGTAGTTTTTAAGGAATTTATCCATTTGTCCATTTCATCCTAACTGTCAAATTTATTGACTAAAATTGTCCATAATATTTACCTATTATCCCTTTTTCCTGTCCTGCAGTCCAGGATCCAGTCTAAGGGCAAGTATCACATTAGTTATTCAAAATAAGTCATTTTTCAAGTACTTAATTCCTTTCAGTTAGATCTTAAATTCTATCCAGAGCTAAAGTACATATGGCATATTTAGATTTACAGATGTTCACTTTGATTTAAACACCTCCTCTTTATCATGGAAATAAATCTTAGTACTCTAATATGTACTTACACATATGTACTTAACTTAGTACTCTAATAATGTACTTAACTTATAAGTACATTAAGATGTATTTGTAAATGCAAATGTGCATTTGTAAATGCAAATGTATATTTGTAAATTGTAAATGTAAATGCAAATGTATATTTGCATTTACAAATAACTCCCTGGGCTCATGTTCTTTCTTGTCCCATTTGCCACTGCACTGCTTTGCTAAGTTAAGTATCAAAGTTTATGTGTTAAAAGATAATATAAATTTTCCAAGGTTTACTGAAGTAACAAAACATTTTATTTCAGAACTTTGACCATCTTAAAGTTATAATAGCCAACACAAAAATCTAGTTCTGTTACATAATAAGAGTGGATTCTAGTAAAGCCACTGTTACTGTTTCCTTATCCATAAAAAAAGACACTGTCAGCCCTACTCCATTACAGAAGTATTATGGGAAATAAGTAGACTCCCCAATGACACCATACGAACACAAAATATTAGCAATACTAAAAATAACTAGATTGTGAAGCAACCCAACTCATATTTTTAAAATCAACCTGTAAATAGTTGACTTTACATTATGCTGAAGAAAGCAATAGAAGAGACAAAGATATATTTTCCTGCCAAATTGGTAATTAAGATTGGGACTTCTTATTGGTGATCCAAATCATGCAAATAAACTCTGTAAATAACAAGCATTTTGACAATAACTCTATTCAGCCATTTATTAGGTTACGGTCTACAAAATTTTAAAACGCAACTTGGTGTCTATTCTGTTTATTTATTTTTGAGACAGTAGCCTCACTCTGCCACCCAGGCTGGAGTGCAACAGCACAATTTCCGAGCCTCAGACAATCCTCCCACCTCAGCCTCCCTAGTAGCCGGGACCACAAGGTGTGCCACTACACCTGGCTAATTTTATTTTACTTTTTCTAGAGACTGGGTCTCACTGTGTCACCCAGGCTGGTCTTGAACTCCTGGGCTGAAGCAATCCTCTCACCTCAGCCTCCCAAAAAGTGCTGGGATTACATGTGTAAGCCATTGCACCCAGCCTTGGTGTCTATTTTGGATGCACTTGGAGATCATGTCCTTAGCGGATTCTGGCATTAGGTACATTACTAAAATTACCCAAACTTTGTATTTCTTACCTGTAAAATGCAGATAATACTGATGAACTATAAAAATGGTTGTGAGGATTAGAATAAACGTATGTCAAGTACCTAGCCCAACACTTGGCACTCAGTAAATGATAACACTTCAGTTTTGCTTCACAAAGATAAATTAAACATTATGAAATAAGAATAGTCATATGGTCACTAAATTCTGCCAATTCAACCACCTAATTAATTCTCTCCCTTCATCCTTTCCAATTGGAACACAAGGAAGAGCAACAAATAGGTGGCAAAAGCTAAAAAGCCTTCCATAATTTCACTATTAAAACTGATCATTTCTCGGCCGGGTGCGGTGGCTTACGCCTGTAATCTCAGCACTTTGGGAGGCCAAGGAGGGCAGATCACGAAGTCAAGAGTTCGAGACCAGCCTGACCAATGTGGTGAAACCCCATCTCTACTAAAAATACAAAAATTAGCTGGGCATGGTGGCGGGCACCTGTAATCCCAGCTACTCAGGAGGCTGAGGCAGGAAAATCACTTGAATCTGGGAGGCGGAGTTTACAGTGAACCAAGATCATGCCACTGCACTCCAGCCTGGGCGACAAAGCGAGACTCCAACTCAAAAAAAAAAAAAAACTGATCATTTCTCATCTTCTCATTGTCTGCCTTAGAAACACTTCCATGGTAGCTCCTAGTTCACTGCTGTAATTACTTACTTTTTCAGTTTTACATACCAAATTATATGATCTTTTAGACACACTCCCATTCACTTCTATATTCACAACATTCTTCCACTTGTGACTGACCCATTAATAGCTCCTTAGTAAATGTTTATTGCCTATATGAAGAAATGGCATATTATAAAGCAAAGGCAATTGAGTCAAACTTTGAGTTCACAAAAGAACAAGCTGAAGGCCAGAGACATGAAGTGAGGTCTCAGCTCATACTGTTATTTAATATGCAGCAGTAAAAATCTAATTAGGCGAGATGAATGAGTAAACAATTATAAAGACTTAACTACCATCATAGACACATTTACTTTTAACCATTGCATTATCCAATAGAAGCTTATATTATTCATATTTTCTCTGATCCTATTAAATTCCCAATATTATTAATTAATTAAATCGGTTAAATTAATGCTAATGCATTATTTTTAAAAGTGGTTTAGGTAAGCACAATATTTTTAAAAACATACATAGCAACTAGCTGAACAGAAAAATGAATGTCCTATACAATTACTTAGTTCCTATAAAAATCATGGCTATGAGACAATGAGACCATTTTTAAACTGTCATGCAATTCAATCCCCTCCCCCTCAAAAAAGCTTTTAAGAGGATCTGAAAACAACTCCCCTAATCAAATTAATAAAATTTCTTGATTACAGACTCACAGTGTTCACTACTAAACATGAATGACATAAACATTATATATATTAGATATATATTATAAATATATATTTTTATATATAATAAATATATATATTTAATATATCTAATATATATAATGTTTATGTCATTATATATATAAAACTCAGTGTCCAGTTGAGTTTTGTTTTCAAAGGAACTCGTGTTTTCACTTCTCCACATTCACTGCCATCACCTAAGTCCATTATTTTTCACCTGGACCTCTTCAACAACTTCCAAATGGTTTCCCTACCAAACTGCAGAAAACTACACAATGTAAGTTTCTCCCTTCATCTAAAGTAATTACATATTTTACTCTACAAATTGTAGAACATTTCACTTGTTCACTATACTTCATTCTAATTGTTCTTCAGGAATTTTATACACAGGTACTGACCCCAAAACTCAGATTAAAGGTTAAAACTCTTTAACCCATTCCCCATAAAATTTCCATTTTCTTCCCTTTCAATGTAAATTAGATTACATCTTTTCCCTTCTTAAAGTCTGTGAGTAGCTTTCCATTGTTCCAAGAGTAATATCCTGTGTTCTTCCACTACCTCCGTGGCCCTGCATACCTCTCTCACCTCATTATGGCATCCCACCTTGGGCTCCCAAAGTGCTGGGATTACAGGTGTAAGCCACCACACCCGGCCAAATGCATGTTTCTAATATGTATCCTCAGACTAGAATATAAGCTAGAATGAAGGCAATGACTGTGTTTCTGTTCACTCATGCTCACCACCTAACGGCATAGTGCAGTCACTTTATGATTCATTGGTGGAATGAGTATATATTTGAACTTTATTTATTTTCCCCCAGTTCACTAAAAAGTACAGTTAATGTAGCATCAAGTCAAAGAGAAATTTTACTTATTTTGGGGAATATGGCAGGAAGAGAGCTAATAAAAAGTCCTTGAAAGCTTCTAAAATTCCCCCTAGGTATCTTAGGAACCATCATTAGCTAATTAATCTTTCAATTAGGAAGTACAGGCTCTATTGTCTCAAATTTCAGATAAAGAAAAGGTAAGAAATGAACAAGAAGTTTCAGGCAATTTTTATTTTTAAATAACTTATTTAATGAGATATATAACTAGGCTATAAAAGAGTATCTAAAATTCCAGAAAGGAAAATCAAGTGAGAATATAATTGATAATTTTCTCTAACATTATGTTAGAGAGAATTGCTTTAACAAGTAATGACTTATTATCCTTATCTCTACCAGAATACAATGAGATATTAATGAGTTTAGAATCCCATATCTCTTTTTTACAGAATAATTTCAATTAATTCAGGTAGCAGGAATGAGGGAGATATAAAATTACAACTAGGCAAACATCACAGTAATTATTGCCACCAAGATCCATTGATAAATGCTAAAATCAATGGATCAAAGTTTCAGGGAAACAGGATATTTGCAGTCTTAAAGAAACGTCTCCAAATATTTATTCCTTACAAAGGGAAAAATACTAACAATGGAGAAAATAGTCAGACACCATTTAACCAAGTGGTCATGGTTAACACAACCAATAGTAAGACATACTAACATCATGTAACCCTGACCAGATGCACCGAGAAAGGCAAAACATGGTAGTCTTGGCAAAAGAACATGTGGTATTCTTGTTAAAAATGTATAATCTCAATCTAATAATGGTAATATATCAGATAGACCCAAATTGAGACAGCCTACAAAATAATGGACAAGTACTCTGTAAAAGAATGGAGGAGGTTAAAGAGACTTACCTAAACACAACAAGGGAAACCGGATGAGAAAATAGTGGAAAAACTAGTTAACTTCAACTAAGATCTGTAGTTAATAGTATTATACAAATACTAATGTACTGGTTTTGATAATTATATGATGTTTACATAAGATGTTTACATTAGGTGAAGTTGAGTAAAGGGTGTACTGGAACTCTGTACTGTTTTTGCAACTTTTCCACAGATCTAAACATTATTTTTAAATAAAAAGTAAAAAAAAAAAAATTGGAGTCTGAATCTATACTCAAAAGATACACTGTTGTAATTATAAACCACCGCAAGTTTTATGGATAGCTCTGATTTCAGGTAACCTTTGTTCTTGTCAAACATGATTTGCTAAACTTACAGACTATCAGTGATTTAATGTTCACATTGGCATAAACCATATTAAAAAGCTTATGAATTAAAGATGGTGTCCCATAGGTCCCTATGGTTTTGTTCACTTTTCTTCATTTCTTTTTCTTTCTGCTTCTATAATTGCAATTGCCCCATTTTCAGGTTCATTGACTCTTTCTTCCACCTGTTCAAATTTGCTGCTGAATCCCTCTTGTGAACAGTTTGTTTCAATTATTGTACTGCTAAGCTCCAGTATTTCTATTTGGTTCATTCTAATAATTTATATCTCTTTTGATGCTCTTATCTCGTTCATACATCACTTTCCTGACTTCCTTTAGTTCTTTGTCTATGGTTTCCCATAGCATTTTGACATATTTAAGACAGATGATTAACGTCTTTGTCTACTAAGTCCAATGTCAGGACTTCCTCAAGGGTGGCTTCCACCAATTTGTTTATTTTTTTCTGTGAATATGCCATCCTTTCCTGAGTCTTTATATGCTTTTTTGTAACTTTCTGTTGAAATTTATATTTCGAATATTATAATGCAGTAATTCTAGAAATCAGATTCCAGAATTCTGGCATTTTCTTTTGATTTTTGAAGGGTTCAGCCTTTTGTTTAGTAACTTTTCCAAACTATTTTTGCAAAGACTTTATTCCTTTTGTTTATGGTCATTAAAGTCTCTGTTTTGTTATCTTACTGATCAGCCAATGGCAGATTTAGATTTCCTTAAATGCCTAAAACAAAAACAAATAGTACTCTCCCAAGTTTTTGTAGTCTGGCTCTCAGCTGAAGTACTCTCACACTAAGCTTGGCCACCTACACTTCTGCCTTAGCCTTCACCTTCTGCTTGTCTAGTGCTCACAGATCTTCCAAAGGTAGAAGCGTAGGCACCTCTCAGGATCTTTCTGGGAATGCATTACATGTAATTTTTGCGGGGGATAAAGATGGGACAAAATTCAGCCTCTACATTGGTCACTCAGGAAACCACTAGACAGATCAAAATGCACAACCACAGTATTTTAAGAACAAAGTCCATACTAAATACAAGCAAGTCACACCAGAAATGTGGGCCATAGTCCCCACAGCTGCTGCCATTGCCACAATGGTGAATGAGGATGGTAATCCAGTGGATTAAATGCCACAGCACTCTGAAATTCAGCTGCCCTCTTCTTCATTATGCAGTCTCCTGGTTGCTGTAAATGTCAGACCAGATTTTAGAATCCCAAAACAGTTGATCCTGTCACTCTGCCCCCTTATGCTTGTTTCAGTGGAGGAACTAACCCTTATAATAAACCACCGTACTCTGCCATTTTCGGTAATGTCACCTAGAGATTGTGTTCTTAACCACTTCAACATTTACTAAAAATACACAAACCTACGATGTGAAGTAAAACCAGCCAAAACTGTAAGACAGAGCTGGTAGTCCCAGCTACTTAGGAGGGTGAGGCGAGAGGATTGCTTGAGCCTAGGAATTCAAGGCTAGCCTGGGAACATAGCAAGACCCACTTAAAAAAAAAAAAAGAAGAAGAGGAAAGAAAAACTGTAAGATAGTACTTGGAGCCTGCACACAAGATTATCAGATAAACTATTAAGCCATATAATTAGCACTAGTTCATTTGCTTATTATTCTGGGGTATATATTTTTTCATCAAGATTTATGTCATTTTTAATTGTAAACTCTATGTGACTTTACAAAATCCCATATGAGAACTAATTTTCAAATTTTCTCATGGCAAGTAGACTAGAGGTTATTAGTTCTTTAGATGATTCCTGCCCACTTGAGTTCAAAATCTTTTATCTGTATCTCACATCCTTTTTCTGTTCCAGAAACTCTACCAGGATACCACAGGGCAGCTAGTCACCATATCTCCTTAGGCTTCTCTTGGCTGTGATAATTTCTCAGACTTTGCTTGTTTTGATGACCTTGTGAGTTTTGAGGAGTACTGGTCAGAGATTTTGTATAATGTCTTGCTATTGGGATTTATCTGATGTTTTTCTCATGGTAAGTCTGGGGTTATGGGTTCAGGAGAGGAAACATACATACATAAAGTACCATTTTCTTCACATCACATTAAGGGTACTGTCAACATGACTTACTAAACTGTTAATATAAAACTTGACCACTTGGCTGAGGCGGTTTGTTCAGTTTGTCCTCTGTAAAGTTCACTGTAAAGTTTCTCCATGTAAATGTTCCCCCATTTCATACTATAGTTTTTGGTAGGAAGTCACTACGTGCAGCCAACACTTAAAGAGTGAGGAGTTACACTCCACCTCCTGAGATGACGAGGCACCTACATAAATTGATGTTCTTCTGTATGAAGAGTATATATGTTAAACCCAGTCAATTGTGTAATTAAAAGCCATCTGTCGGTCAGGCCTGATGGCTCACACCTGTAATCCTAGCACTTTATGAGGCCAAGGCAGGTGGATCACTTGAGCTCAGGAGTTTGAGACCAGCCTGGGCAATGTGGTGAAACCCCATCTCTACAAAAAATGCAAAAAAATTAGTCAGGCATGGTGGCACATGCCTGTAGTCCCAGCTACTTGTGGGGCTGAGGCAGGAGGATTGCTTGAACCCCGGAGATCGAGGCTGCCAGTGAGCTGAGATCACGCCACTGCACTCCAGCCTGGGTGACAAAGTGAGACCCTGTCTCAAAATAAATAAATACATACATAAATAAAAGCCATCTGTCATTCTACAAGATTACATTAATATTATAATCATCATCATTTCCACTCCTGCTTTCCCCACCTTACTTGAAATTAATTTTTACCAGTATAGATGCAAAGCCATTATTTCTTTTATAAGCTTATTCTAATCAGTACTACCAAAAAAGCCTTATAAATGATCTCAAACATTCAAGACCTATATTCTATTATATGACTCTATTACAATTTAATTGAACACTATCCTGCTGATCAACATCACTCGCAGTTGTCATGATTACAAATAATATGGCAATTAAGCTGCTCTCTTATGGTAAAGGTGGAGATTTTTAGAATTTTTACAAACTGTAGAGTAGTGACCCATAACAAAATAATTTCATGGACTGCAATTAGCCTTCTTTCCTTTTTTTAAAAAATGAAATAGAATACAGTACAATAGGATTGGATAAAATATAGAATATATCACATCACAAAGTACTTCAGAAGTAGTACATGATTATTTTGAAAAAGTGTGTTTTTTTCCTGTGTATCCACGCATCAATATTCTTGCATGTACATAACCTGTACTGAAAGTTTTATTTTAAATTATTCTATGGACCAATAAGATTGAAAGCCACCTCTATAAGTGGAATTGCTCTAATAAACAAAATTTTCAACTTTACAAGTGACTGGCAAAGTGTCCATACTAATTTACATACTCTCCAGCAATGTACGAAAGCTTCTATATCTCTAAATCCCCCTAATTGCTTGATACTGTCATATTTACCTTAAGACAATTTGAACAGGCCAAATTGGCATCCTGTTATTTGAATATGTATTTGCCTGATTACTAGTGAGTATGAAAATTTTTTCATGTTTTTATTGGCCAATTGGGTCTCTCTTCCTTTCAACTGCCTATTCATATCCTTTGATCAGATAGGATTAGGGTTATTGACCTTTTATTTGACTTGTACATTACAATTATATGTGTGTGTATGTTTATATAGTGTGTGTATGTTTATACATAGCTAGATATACACATTTATATATAAATGTTGTTCATAGGGCCTTTTGTTAAAATAAATTTTTCAACTTTAATACAGTAAAATTTGTCAAACATTTATCCTTTCTGGTGTGAGTTTTTTGTGTCTTGTACTATAGAAGAAAACTTTCCTGGTTCTTATGTCACATATATTCTTCTAATAGTTTTAGATTTTTGTTTTTTACCTTTCATTATTTAAAATTTATTTGTGTTGGTTTGTGTCCTCTGAAACAAAAATAATTATTTGTATATGGTGTGAGGTAGACATCAGCTTATGTTTTTAACCAGCTCACAAGTATTAGTACTGCTACTAGTGTAGAATTTACTATGATAAAATTACACATCAGAAAGAAAAAGGTTTTAAACCTTTACATTCAAATCTTGGCTTTTGCTATTTGTAATAATAAAAAATTGGAAACAATATCTAACCATAGGGAACAGATAAATTGTTTATTCATAATGAAATACCATATTTCTGAAAAGGATACATCTCATAAATATCAGTATTAATAAAAAAAATTTTAAACATCTATTGCCCTTTTCTCCCCAACACAGTCAAACTTCTTGAAAAGGCTGAATGTGACCTCTTTTTTTTCCTGACCACCTAAATCTCAAACAACTTAAACCTTATTGTCATTACTTCATAAGAAAGTAAAGACAGTTAACAGTGCAAAATCTAATAGCTATTTTTTAGTCTTCATTTTCTAAGCAACCTAAGCTTCCTGGGCTAAGTCATCCTCCCACCTCAGCTTCCCAAGTAGCGGGGACCACAGGTGCATGTTTACCACATTCAGCTAATTTTTGTATTTTTTGTAGAGCGGGGGTCTTGCCATGTTGCCCAGGCTGGTCTTGAACTCCTGGGCTCAAGTCATCTACTCACCTCGGCCTCCTAAAGTGCTGGGATTACAGGTGTGAGTTGCTGGGCCCAGTCGCCTTCTCCTTTTTATTTTTATTTCTTTTTAGACAGAGTCTCGCCCTATCTATCGCCCAGGCTGGAGTGCAGTGGCGCGATCTCGGCTCACTGCAACCTCCACCTCCCGGGTTCAAGCAATTCTCCTGCCTCAGCCTCCCAAGTAGCTGGGATTACAGGCACACAGCATCATGCCCAGGTAATTTTGTATTTTTAGTAGAGACAGGGTTTCACCATGTTGGCCAGGCTGGTCTCAAACTCCTGACCTCAGGTGATCCACCTACCTCATCCTCCCAAAGTGGTGGGATTACAGGCATGAGCCACCATGCCCGGCTGCCTTCTCCTTTTTAATAGGCTGTTATCACTTGGCTTCTATGAACATTACTGCTTTCATTTTTCACCTACACCTCTGACCAATGTTGAACAGTCTCTATCTGATCACTAAATTTTGGAGTTACTCAAAACTTGGTCCTCAGCTGTCTTTTCTTCTCACTCTATACTTTCTATCCTGGCAAGTTTCATCATATCTGTGGCTTCAGTTATTACCTAATATGCAAAAGCCTCAACAAATTATAGCTCCAAATCCACATATGTAACTCGAACCTTTATAAATCTACATGGACGTTTCAAAGACACTCAACTAAGTAGGTTTAAAACCAAATTCATAACATTTCCCATGAGCCTTGTCTACTACCTACTAAATCCTTAGTGTTCACAATCTCAGTAGGTGGCACCACCTTCCCACCAAGTATGTAAGTCTGAGAAATAGGCATTGTTCTTTACACCCTATTCTTCCCCTTTATTTAATCTAACAATTGTCCACTTTGTGTTTCTTGAATCTGTTCATTTGTCTTAATCTCCATTGACACCTCTATAATTTAAGATGTATACCATCTCTTATGCGAACTACTGCAATGCAGGAATAGGTCACCCCTATATACTCTAACCCTTCTCTGATCCATTTCTTGCCATGTAGCCAGAGTATTACTTGCTTTTCTTTTTTCAAAAGAAAATCTGAACATCTTACCCCTTGTATAAAACTCTCCAGTGCCTTCTGTGAAGCATTCACTGTCTTTAAAGTCAAAAGACACGTTTGCAACAACACGGATGTTCCTGAAGCCTGGTATGCTAAGTGAAATAAGCCAGGTGCAGAAACACAAATACTGCATGATTTCACTCCTATGTGGAACTTAAGAAAGTTGACCCCACTGAATTAGAAGCAGAATGGTGGTAACCAGAGGCTGGGGTAGTTCCACAGCGGGGGGCAATTGTAGAGATACTGATCAAAGCATTCATATTAGAGTTAGATAGAAGGAATAAGTTCAAGAGCTCTGTTGTACAGCATGGTGACTCTAGTTAATGATGATATATTGTATTCTTGAAAACTGCTAAAAGGGTAGATGTTCAAATTTCTCATCACAAAAATGATAACTATGTGTAAGGTAATGCATTTGTTACTTAGCTAGATTTGAGCATTTCACAATGTATATAAACTGAAGAACATCATGTACACAATGAATACATAAAATCGTATATTAAAAAATAAATTTAAAAATGAAGTCACAGCTGGAAAAAAAAAACTCTCCAGTGCCTTTTCACCTACTAATCTAGACTAAAATCCTTAATGTGACTAACAAGGTCTTTTATAGACTAGCCTCTGCCTTCTTTTCTAAACCTGTCTCATAGCACTCCCCTTTACTTTGTAACATCTCACATCACTGGCCCCTTCTTTTATTCAAGTATCCCACTGCTATAAGACCTTTGTAGGCTCAATTCCTCTCTGCAGAATGTACTTGCAACCTATCTTCCACTCTCTCCTAACATTCCATTTCAAGCATCACTTCCTCAGGGACTATGCAGGTGAAGTCAGAAACGAAAACTTTTACTTCAGTTTGTAATTACATAGCTTTGTCTACGACTATTTGAATTAATGTCTGTCTCTGTCACTTCACCACAATTCCATGACAGCAGGACGGGGCATCTCCAACACCCATCAGAGTCTTATGCACTTAGTAAGGACTCAAATGTTTGCTGAATAAATTATTTAGAATTATCATTTCAAGGGTAAATGCAATATGCACTACAGCCACTAGAGGATGCCCTGCTTCTGTTTTTGTTCCTCCAGAACAAGATGTGAAGACTGAAAATACTTTAAAAAAAAAAAAACTAAACCTTTTATGATAAAGTAATTTACTATTAATGTAAATAAAATTGCAGTTATTACAAAATATCAGCATTCACTAACTACTTATTTTAATTAGTTTAATTGCTTAATACTAAATATTACTTAATACTTCTCTTTAAAGAAAATCACAATTTATTCAGATTTATTGAAAAAGAAATACCTCCAAAACAAACACATAACTATTAAAATTTTAAAAAGATATATGCATGTACCAATACAAGTTATCTAGTTTATCTGTGGATGTTTACCACACACTGAAAAACAATAAAACATGAGGTATTACTAAAACCTCAAGTCAACCAAAACTTGCATTCAGAATATTACTTGTGGTTCTTTTAAGACTATTAAAACCTAAAATAATTTTTTAAATACTAAAATGATTGACGTGCTTTGAAAAAAGGCATCTTTTACATCTTCATTGCTAAGGCACAAGCTTTAATAACTATCATTAGTCAGATGAAACATTAGTTGTAAGGGCCTAGATTAATGAAAATCTTACTAAGTAGAAAGGAAATTTCCCAACACTATTAATAATACATTATTATAAGTAGTGATCGGTAATTTTTAATATTCCAGTGTGTGTTACTTATACATTATTCACGAATAACCAAACCTCTGTGTATTGTGGAAAAGAAAAGTACATACTGGGAAGACTGGGCAGTTGATTTCTAATGGGCTTACAAGATCAAACACACAAGTTCATGGTTATAGGATAGGAGGCAGAAATAGAAGCAGAAAACCACAGATTTGTATGGGAAGAATTCCTCTACATGCAAGTTCTTACAACTCTGAGGAAACATTTTAAATCTATTTTCAACTTGTGTTTTAGAACTGAGACCCCAAATTAAAGATACTCCCTTCAGCCCTACTGACTTAATTGCTTTTTCAGGCTTGCACTGCCAAAACGATTGATATTAGTTTTATTTTTAAACACTTGTCAAATGTTCTCAACACATACTAATATTTCAATAATTAATAAGTGACCACAGTAATAGTTATTGTGTAGCAGGTACCAGGCACTGGGACAAGAACATTCTCAATTCTGTGTACTTTCCTTATCCCCTTTGATAGACGAATGCAAGTGAGGCTGAGAAGTTAGGTAACTTTTTCAAGGTCTCACAATAAATAATGAGTAGAATTGGGATCTGAACTTAAGCTTTTCTATCTTATAAGCATAATCCTCTTCAGGAATCCTAAATGCAGGAGATTTCTCAATTTCCCAATCATGGAGATGGAAATATTGTATATAAACAATCCATTTCTAATCATGCCCTTCCCATGCCATTCACTAATCCTCCATTCCTGGATTCCAGAAATTGGTTCCATTTTAATCTCTCTGGAAAATCCAACTAAAATACGGATCAGCAATCCCTTTTGCTAAGAAATCTCTAACAGGATACAGTATTTGCCATTTCAATTCTATTTGGGGGGATTTTTTTCCCCATGTTTTACTTTTAATATATGGCACAGAAAACTATTTATCATTAAAACATTGGGAACTAATGTCCTATAAAAAAATAGTTTAAATTCTTGGTACTTTTTTTTTAAACTTCTAGCAAAAATAAAATTTTAAAAACCCAAATCCCCATTCAAATGAAAATTTTAGTTTATTGAGCCTGGGTATATTGAAATTAAAGCCTACTCTTAACTGTTGGCATACTTTTACATGTAAACCAATAACCTGACCTAAGGTTATGTAAGAATCGTCTATTTTAATTTTTCCATGGAGCTAACGGGAGATACTTTACTGTGGAATGTTTACTACACACTGAATGTAATATGTCACTTACCTGTACACTAAGAAAGGAAATCTAAAGCCTGGAAAAGTGGTCATTTGTGTGTGAAAAAAATAGGAGCCATAAGAAATAGCAGTCTAATTGTATTGACTGGAAATTCCTTTACCTTTTCAGATCATAATCAAGGAATGACATAAAAGATAAACGTTGATCTTCTAAACTTAGGATATGTACTTTATATGCTAACATTTCATCAAAAAAATCAAAACTCTCTGAAGCATTCAACTTTTAAAATAGTTCTAAGTTCCAAAACCTTGATTCTAGCCTGCATGAACGAGTCAGAAATGTTGCAGGAGACAGTGGATAAAGAATCGTTTGGGACATAAGAGAAATGATGTTAATTCCTTTGACTCCTTATTAGCGGAATTGATTTTTTTTTTTTTTTTTTTTTTTTTTTGAGACGGAGTCTCGTTCTGTCGCCCAGGCTGGAGTGCAGTGGCGCGACCTCGGCTCACTGCAATCTTCGCCTCCGGGGTTCAAGCGATTCTCCTGCCTCAGCCTCCTGAGTAGCTGGGATTGCAGGCTTGCGCCACCACGCCCAACTAATTTTTGTGTTTTTAGTAGAGAAGGGGTTTCACCATGTTGGTCAGGCTGGTCTCGAACTCCCGACCTCGTGATCCGCCCGGCTCGGCCTCCCAAAGTGCTGGGATTACAGGCGTGAGCCACCGCGCCCGGCGTGGAGCTGATTTTATAACAACCACTCTTGGCTTAAGTTTACTTATCTGTCTACTGGTGAGACAGCATTAGATATTCTGAAGGGTCCCTGTTGTGTAAATCGTGTATTAAATCCTAAGCGTTTATTGAGTACCTAACAATTTGTTTTCCAACTCGACGATGTTCCCAGATCCAGGCAAATGCCAACCTCAGCGTTCCCTTTTCCGTTTAGTCTCTCCAGCCCCCGTCCCCACCCACAGGCAGGACCACCTCCGGGGCTGAGAAGTCGTGCTGTCGCTAGGCCTCCCGAGTGTGCAAGCATGTGGCAGAGAAGGGAAAAGAAAGGAAGTCACATTCCGACTACAGGCCTGGGCACTTGCTATCCATGGGGACAAAATGTCACCACTGGCAGCAAATAGCGAGAAAAAGTGCAGCGCAGTAGGGAAACAGCGCGTCCGCGGGCGCGACACCACAGTTTGGGCGCCGACACCCTCCGCGCACTGGTCCCTGAACTTTACCTGGAGCTTATCCCGGTCAGGCCTGATCTCGAAAACGAGGGCTCCTCAGCGCGAAGGCAGGACCCAGCTCCATTAAAGCTCTCGGGCAGTGGTCCCCTCTACCCACTGAAGCGATAGCCGGGAGGGTATTCCTAAGCCACCACTACAACCACCCCTCAATTCCGGAACGCCCCCAATACCTGCCCGGCCGCTGCTGCTATCGCGATAATTCTCGGGCCAGTCTCCCGTCAGTCCGCTCCACGCCTTCCTTCTCTGACCAATCATGGAGGAGTCGTGGGTGGAGTTTTGCTTTTGAGCGGAGAGCGGGGCCTTCAATCTTTGCTATCTGGCGCTGGGAATGGGCGGAGCTGAAGTGGGCTGGGGCGGGGCTGGGGCGGGGCTAGATCGGGGAGAGGGGCAGGGGCACGCTCCAGTTCTCGCGAGACTGGAGACCAGGAAGACGCCTGCAGAGCCGGGCTGCTGGTGCAGCAGAGGCTGAGGCATCAGGTGCAGCTGCATCCGGATCTCCTGCCTTGGAGCGTACTCCTTGTCTCTAAGTCGGGAGGCAGGACGTGGTCAGGCCGGGGCTGTGGAGGTGCGCTGTGTCCCCTGAGGCCTAGAGGATTCGGGCTGCGGCCCGTCGGAACCAGTCAGGGAGGCGCCCACACTCCTGACAGGATAAGATGGCGGCGATGGCGCCTGGAGGTAGTGGCAGTGGTGGCGGCGTGAATCCATTTCTCAGTGATTCGGATGAGGACGATGACGAGGTAGCTGCAACAGAGGAACGGCGGGCAGTACTTCGGCTGGGCGCCGGAAGTGGCCTAGATCCTGGCTCTGCGGGCTCGCTGTCGCCACAGGATCCCGTGGCCTTAGGAAGCAGTGCGCGGCCAGGGCTCCCTGGGGAGGCGTCGGCGGCTGCAGTGGCCCTGGGGGGCACCGGGGAGACCCCGGCCCGATTATCAATTGATGCGATCGCTGCTCAGCTGTTGCGCGATCAATACTTGCTGACCGCCCTGGAGCTGCATACCGAGCTGTTAGAGAGTGGCCGGGAGCTGCCTCGGCTGCGCGACTACTTCTCCAATCCAGGCAACTTCGAGAGGCAAAGTGGAACCCCGCCGGGGATGGGGGCGCCAGGGGTCCCTGGAGCAGCCGGCGTTGGGGGCGCTGGAGGTCGGGAACCGAGTACAGCGTCGGGCGGGGGACAGCTCAGTAAGTGGACGCAGCCTGTCACACTCCGGCAGGGTATTTGGGATTGTACGGAGTTACTGTAGGGGAGAGGGGGTATTTCTGCGTGGGTCCCGATAGGGACATTTTAAGGAACGAGAGTATTGGGGTGGGGGCGCTCTTTTGCGGTGGAAGCAAGAGGATCAGGCAATGACTGTTCTCTCTGCCTGCTTCCAACCCTTGGCTGGTGTTGCACTTGGCTCCTGGCTCCCCTACTGGTGTCAGTATCTATAAAATATCAAGAGTTTCTAGTTCACTGGCTATTACGGGACTCCAGAAGGTTCCCTTTTATACTAGTTTATTGCTTTAAGCATTTTCCTTTTTCTCCAGTTACCTGAATCACACTACCAGGAAATAGTGTTACCTGAATTGCCTGCAGTAGTTCTTTGAGTCTGAGCCAGGAGAGAAAGAATAGGACACACTGCTGCTGTCTCCGAAAAGTCAGATGTACTTAAGACCCTTTGTCTTTGGGACGACTTTTTCACCGCCAAAATTGGGTTTTCTGCTGCACAAAATTTGTTCTGTTGAGATAAAGTTGATGTAATTCAGTTTCAATGCCTTAATTTAAGTAATGTCCAAAATTACAGGAAATCCAAGGAGCAAGGCAGACAGGTTCTACCAGCAGTCTGTCTCACCATCCCACCACCTTGCAGGCTTTTCTCTTTGCATTAGATAGGAATTGACCTTTTTACCTTGGAATGATTTTTAGCAGCATAGAGTAATCGTTTACCCCATATATTCGTAAGCATCTCTTATGGCTTGAAAACTTACTGTCAAAGATGTAGTGTACTGTATGTAGGATTCCCAGTGTCTCCCTTTTGGGAGGTATCTTAAATATTCCCTTACTAATGTATGGAGATGTTTTAGTATGAGGCCATATATTAATTCTATATTAACAAGTATTCATATAGAATTTTTAAACTGCAGCCTAATTGATTTTTTTTTAATCACTATGCTTTTGAATAGTGCCAGAGACTTAAATTGCCAAACGTAGACGTGGTGGAAGCTTAGGGAGTGCATTTTCTATCAAGGTGAATCTTAAATATATTTCCCCCTTGGATATGGGATTTTCTCAGTAGTTATAATTTCCTTACCCAATATGTAGGATAATCTTCTTTTTCGGGAAAAGATTTTCTCATTGCTGACCTTTAAGACTATAAAATGAGACAGTAGTGTAACAAAATTGTTATGTGTGGTGGTGGGTCTTTTTTTGTTTTTTTTTTTTGTTGTTTTTTTTTTTTGGTTTTTGTGTTATTTCTAAGATTTCTAAATTATCTCATGATTTTTCACCAGACAAGGTCTAGCTAAGATGTCACCTTTGTACATGCTTCCTCCAGGCTTAGGTAGTTGCTTGGTTTCTTTCATTGTTAACACTTTCAAACCTCCATCATAGCCTTTAGCCCGTTTGTATGTGATTGTTGACAATACCATTTTTCTCCATTGGTCAGTTCTTCAGAGACATTTTTATAATAAATTTCTCACACTTTGCTCAGTCCCTGGCTGTTGATGAACATAACTGAATTGTATCTGCTGTGTTTTCAACCGTATTAATACAGTGAAATGGATTATTCCTTAGTTGGTAACTTTATTCATTTAATTTTAAAGAATTTCTTGACCTTTTCACCCTGTCTTATTAGGGCTATCATAGCATTGTTTCTAGTGAAAATTCCTCCTTGCAAACTTTTTGTATTGAAAGAATTATAATTGAGCTCATTAAATAGTTTAGCAGTGTTTTAGAGTAAAACCTTACTTCTAAGTGCCTTTGCATTATACATTTTTATACTTTCTTGAAATAACTAGAGTCTTATGATCAAATATCACAATTAAATATTCATGTGCACCTGTGCTTTTCTATTATCCTCATTTATTTGTACCTGTTTTAGGTACTGGATATATAAGTGTTTGTGTTTGTCTCTATGTGTGTGTGTACACATCAAGTTTATTAAATTTTTACTTAATACTAAGCAAATGAACAACAGGACAAAAAATTCAAAATTATCCATAATCCCACCAATGGTATTTGCTTTTCCTGTCTTTAATGGTAGTTGCCTTACCTGTCTTTTCTGTGCATGTGTTTTAAAAAACAAAAAATGGATTAAACTGTTTAACATAGTCTTATACAGGCACTATACTTTTTAGCATCAACTTGGATGTAAAATTTGCATACAGTAAAATTTACACGTTTTAAGTGTGTGCAGTTTGGTGAGTTTTGACAAATCAGTCACTACCACAATTAAAATACAGAACATCGGCAGGGTGCAGTGGCTCACGCCCGTAATCCCAACACTTTGGGAGGATGAGGCAGCCAGATCACGAGGTCAGGATTTCGAGACCAGCCTGGCCAACATGGTGAAACCCCTTCTCTACTAAAAATACAAAAATTAGCTAGGCGTGGTGGTGGGCACCTGTAATCCCAGCTACACGGGAGACTGAGGCAGGAGAA
Organism: Homo sapiens; assembly: GCF_000001405.40. Lineage (NCBI taxonomy): Eukaryota > Metazoa > Chordata > Mammalia > Primates > Hominidae > Homo > Homo sapiens. Next base: position 62,190,490 of record NC_000018.10, read on the forward strand.
TTGCTTGAACCCAGGAGGCAGAGGTTACAGTGAGCCGAGATCCCACCACTGCAGTCCAGCCTGGGCGACAGAGCAAGACTCCATCTCAAAAATAAATAAATAAATAAAAGTAAATAAAATAAAATACAGAACATTTTTATTATCCCCAGAATTCCTTCATTCAATATCCTTACTTCCATCTAGACCACCACTGATCACTTAGAACAGAATTTCTCAACCTGGGCCTGGGTACTTTCAACATTTTGGGCCTGGTAATGCTTTGCCGTGGCTGCTGGCCTGTGTATTATAAAATGTTTAACAGCATCCCTGACCTCTACCCACCAGATGCCTTTAGCAACCACCCCCATACCTATGCCACCCCAGTTATGACCACCAAAAATGTCTCCAGCATTGCCCAGGGAAGGGGAGGGCATAATTGCCCCAGTTGAGAACTACGTCTTTAGATAAGTTTTGCCTGTTCTAAAATTCGATATAAATAGAATCATAGAACGTATTTTTTTGTGTATCTGCCTTCAGCATGTTTTTAAAAGTCATCTATGTCTTTGTGTGTATTTCTAGATCATTCCTTTTTGGTTTTATCCCCAAAAGGGGGGGATAAAAAATTTGTGTCTTTTAAGACATTTGTGTTTTTTCCAGTTTTGTGTTATTGTAAAGAAAGCTCCCATTTACGTCTTTATGAGAAACTGCCAAACTGTTTTCCAAAATGGACCATTTAAAATTTCCACCACCAATGTACAAGAGTTCCAGTTTCTGTACATCTCCTAAACATTTGGTATTTTTGGGCTTTTTAATCTGTCATTTTAGTGAGAATGTAGCAGTGTCTCATTGTGGCTTTAATTTCTATTTCCCTGATGACTAATGATTCTGAGGTCCTTTTCCTGTGCCTTTTGCTTAGTATATTTTTTATGAAATGCCTATTCAATCTTTTGCACCGTTTTTTTCACCTTCAACTTCCAGGGTACATGTGCAGGGTGTGCAGATTGGTGACATAGGTAGACATGTGTCATGGTGGTTTTCTGCACAGATTAACCCATCACCTAGGTATTATGCCCAGCACGCATTAGCTATTTTTCCTGATACTCTCCCCCTCACCCACCATGTCCATGTGTTCTCACTGTTCAGCTCCTACTTATATATGAGAACATACGGTGTTTGGTTTTCTGTTTCTGTGTTAGTTTGCTGAGGATAATGGCTTCCAGCTCCATCTATGTGCCTGCAAAGGACATGATCCTGTTGCTTTTTATGGCTGGCTGCATAGTATTCCATGGTGTGCATGTATCACATTTTCTTTATCCAGTCTTTCATTGATGGGCATTTGGGTTGATTCCCATGTCTTTCCTATTGTGAATAGTGCTGCAATGAAGATACACATGCCTGTATCTTTATAATAGAATGATTTACATTCCTTTGGGCATATACCCAGTAATGGGATTGCTGGGTCAAATGGTATTTCTGGTTCTAGATCTTAGAGGAATCACCACGCTGTCTTCCACAATGGTTTAACTAATTTACAGTCCCAGCAACAGTGTAAAAGTGTTCCTATTTCTCTGCAACCTCTCCAGCATCTGTTGTTTCTTGACTTTTTAATAATCACCATTCTGACTGGCCTAAGATGGTATTTCATTGTGGTTTTGATTTGCATTTCTCTAATGATCAGTGATGTTGAGCCTTTTTTCATATGCTTGTTGCCGCATGAATGTCTTCTTTTGAGAAATGTCCATTCGTGTCCTTTGCCCACTTTTTAATGGGATTGTTTTTTCTTGTAAATTTGTTTAAATTCCTTGTAGACTCTGGATGTTAGACCTTTATCAGATGTATAGGTTGCAAACATTTTCTCCCATTCTGTAGGTTGTCTGTTCACTCTGATAGTTTATTTTGCTGTGCAGAAGCTCTTAAGTTTAATTAGATCCCATTTGCCAATTTTTGCTTTTGTTGCAATTGCTTTTGGCATTTTTGGCATGAAATATTTGCCCGTGCCTATGTCCTGAATGGTATTGCCTAGATTTTCTTCAAGGGTTTTCATAGTTTTGGGTTCTACATTTAAGTCTTTAATCCACCTTGAGTTAATTTTTGTATAAGTTGTAAGGAAGGAGTCCAGTGTCGATTTTCTGCATATGGCTAGCCAGTTCTCCCAGCATTTTATTAAATAAGGAATTCTTTCCCCTTTGCTTGTTTTTGTCATGTATGTCAAAGATCAGATGGTTGTAAGTATCCAGTCTTATTTCTGAATGCTCTCTTCTGTTCTGTTGGTCCGTGTCTGTTTTTGTACCAGTACCATGCTGTTTTGGTTACTGTAACCTTGTAGTATAGTCTGAAGTGAGGTAGCATGATGTCTCCAGCTTTGTTCTTTTTGCTGAGGATTGTCTTGGCTATACGGGCTCTTTTTTGGTTCCATATGAATTTTAAAAGTTTTTTCTAATTCTATGAAGAATGTCAATGGTAGTTAAATGGGAATAGCATTGAATCTATAAATTACTTTGGGCAGTATAGCCATTTTCATGATATTGATTCTTCTTATCCATGAGCATCCATTTATTGTGTTCTCTCTATTTCCTTTAACAGTGGTTTGTAGTTCTCCTTGAAGAGGTGCTTCACTTCCTTTGTTAGCTGCGTTCCTAGGTATTTTATTCTCTTCATAGCATTTATGAATGGGAGTTCATTCATGATTTAGCTCTCTGCTTGTCTGTTGTTGGTGTGTAGGAATCCCTGTGATATTTGCACATTAATTTTGTATCCTGAGACTTTGCTGTAGTTGCCTATCAGCTTAAGAAGCTTTTGGGCTGAGACAGTGGGGTTTTCTAGATACAGGATTGTGTCATCTGCAAAGACAATTTAACTTCCTCGCCTCCTATTTGAATACCCTTTATTTCTTCCTCTTGCATGATCCCTGGCCAGAACTTCCAATACCATGTTGAATAGGAGTGGGGAGAGAGGGCATCCTTGTCTTGTGCCAGTTTTCAAGGGGATTGCTTCCAGCTTTTGCCCATTCAGTATGATATTGGCTGTGGGTTTGTCATATATGGCTCTTATTATTTTGAGGTATGTTCTTTCATTACCTAGTATATTGAGAGTTTTTAACATAAAGGAATGTTGAATTTTATCAAAGGCCTTTTCTGTATCTATTGAGATAATCATGTGGTTTTTGTCTTTAGTTCTGTTTATGTGATGAATTACATTACTGATTTGTGTATGTTGAACCAATCTTGCAACTCAGGGATGAAGCCAACTTGATTGTAGTGAATAAACTTTTTGACGTGCTGCTGGCTTCGATTTGCCAGTATTTTATTGAGGATTTTTGCATTGATGTTCATCAGGGATAGTATTTTGCCCTTTTTTAAATTAAGGTTTTTTACATGTTGGTTTTGTTTCATTATTGAGTTGTAAGAGTTCTCTATATGTGCATTATCAAATGTGAATTTTGCAAATATTTTCTTCCAGTCTGATTTCCCTTTATTTTCTTAATGATGTGTCTCAGACCAGGCGTAGTGGCTCACACCTGTAATCCCAGCACTTTGGGAGGATGAGGTGAGCAGATGGCTTGAGCCCAGGAGTTTGAGACCAGCCTGGGCAACATGACAAAACTCCGTCACTACAAAAAAAATACAAAAATTATCCGTGCATGGTGGCCTATGCCTGTGGTCCCAGCTATTTGAGAGGCTGAGATAGGAGGATCGCTTGAGCCCAGGTGGCCAAGGCTGCAGTGAGCCATGATACCACTGCACTCCAGCCTGGGAGAAAGAACGAGACCCTGTCTCAAAAAAAACCCCAAAAAACAGTGTGTCTTGTGAACAAAAGCTTTTGATTTCATCAAATCCAGTTGACTGTTTTTTTCTTTAATAATTTATGTTCTGTATGTCCTTTTGAGAAACATTTGCCTACCCCAGAGTTGCAAAGATTTTCTCTTACAAGTTTTATAGTTTTGACTTTTACAATTAGGTCTATGGCGGCAGGAACCGTATTTTAATGAAGGTATCATAAAGGAGAAAAGAAATATTTCTTAAATATTCCTCCTATAAACATGTAGACATTTATAGTACAAACTTTAGTACAGTTTTAAAATACTTGTATAAAACTGTGCTCAGTACTGTATTTGGAAGATTTCAACTAAGCTCCTGATCACACAAATTATATTGTCTAGGACAGGGCTACTGCCTATTTTTAAAGGTCCTCTATATATTCAATTTTAGCATGTCGATTGATACTACTTGGATGTGATTTTATAATACTCAATAAGCACTTGTTGGTTGATTATAAACGGTTTAAAGATTGGTAGTATGGATTATCTAAAACATTATTTTGATTTGTTTTTGTATATATTTTGATTGATATGTGTCTGATCTGAAAATTCAGAATACTTCAGAACAATAAATGTATAATAAAAAGTGGTTTTCTTTATTTAATGATGTTTAAGAACAATGCAATCCTATTAACCTTTATAATTTTAGATTTAGTGAATTATCTCCCTAAAACTGTTGACTTAATACTGTAATATAGTTGTACTTTTAAACATACTTTAAGAAGTCTTCATACTGTTTAATTTTTTTCTTGATTATAAGAATAATCCATATTTACAAAACATTCAAATATGAACAGGATATATAGCTTTATAAGTTTGATGTTTTCAATAGAATTTCTATTAACTGAATAAAATTACTTTTAACAGATATTCTAAGGAAATCTCAGTTTTGGATAAATTCTTGTAGCATCGTTGTAATGTTCCTACTAAATTTACATGATGAACCAATTAGATCTTTTATATGTAATATTATTTGCTGGAATATACACACACTCTGTGTGTGTGTGTGTGTGTGTGTGTGTGTGTGTATACACTGTATTTTTGCCAGGTGAGCCAGGATAGCTTCCATTCAGTACTTTGTTTTCTAGTTACATTGCAAGATAAAAATTGTGGTAATGACATTGATGAACACTGAGCAGGTTATAGTAACTTAGCAAGAGTAATGCTTTTTCTGCTTGAAGCATTAGGGCTCTAATCAAAATTAGACTGTAATTTCTTATGATTAGCCCAGTTCTTTGCACAGTAGAGATGTAATGTGATCAAGTGGAGAGGGCAACTAACATGCCTTTTGGTGATAGATTTCTTTTACCATGCCTTCAGATTTTTATAAGGCAGCTAACAGGAGGTAGTCATTTATGTTTGAATGTAATCATTTCACCTATGAGCTTGCAGCCTTCCAAAATCATCTTCCTTTTTTTTTTCTTTTTTTTTCGAGACGGAGTCTCCCTCTGCCAGGCTGGAGTGCAGTGGTGCAGTCTTGGCTCACTGCCATCTCCACCTCCCGGGTTCAAGCAGTTCTCCTGCCTCAGCCTCCCGAGTAGCTAGGACTACAGGCGCATGCCACCACACCCAGCCAATTTTTTTATTTTTGGTAGAGACCAGGTTTTACCACGTTGGCCAGGCTGGTCTCAAACTTCTGACCTCATGTGATCCGCCCGCCTCGGCCTCCCAAAGTGCTGGGATTACAGGCGTGAGCCACCAAGCCTGGCCTAAAATCTTTCTTTCATGATCCAACGTATCGTTTCTCAGAACTCTGAAAGCATATATCTAACTATGCTCGGTGTTCCTTTCTTAGCATCGCCAACACTAAGATGTCACGATTGCTTTCTTACAAACTTTTCATCCCTTCTACTTTATAAAGTAGTTCCCCTCTGTTAAGTTGGGATTGGATTTAGTGTTTCCTCTGCTTTCTGAGAGAGAAAATACCAGCGCAATTTTTCTTTTCTTTTCTTTTCTTTTTTTGAGACATAGTCGCCCTCTGTCGGCCAAACTGGAGTGCAGTGGCACAATCTTGGCTCGCTGCAACCTCTGCCTCCTGGGTTCAAGTGACTCTGGTGCCTCAGCCTCCTCAGTAGCTGGGATTACAAGCCCGCACCACCACACCTGGCTAATTTTTGTATTTTTGGTAGAGATTAGGTTTTGCCATGTTGGCCAGGCATGTCTTGAATTCCTGGCCTCAAGTGATCCACCTGCCTCGGCCTCCCAACGTGCTGGGATTACAGGCGTGAGCCACTGCGCCCGGCCCCATCACAACATTTCTAAAATTTATTAAGTTCACTGCTTTTACCTGAATTAGACTTTCCACTATTCTCTGGGCCATAGACGTTCCTAAATATATCTACTGTGTAACTGTCATTTTTCTTTCCTATGTCTTTCCAATTGTTTCAAATTTATTCCTGTAGTTAGATATAATCCCTGCTTAGCATGGTGGCCTGAATATAGTTGGTATTCAGTATTTTTACATCGATATATTTATTAAACATTGTGGTCAGTTAAGGATTACAGCGATCTAAAAGTTTAATGCATATCCTTGAGCTTATGTTCTTGATGGAGAGGTAAGACTAACACATGAAAGAATTTGAGAATAGTCTCCTGTGGCAAAGATAATGTTTACAGAATATAAACATTCTGTTATAGAAAAATCTTTGTTGATTGTGAAAATGAAATGGGCCTGTGGGGAAAGTAAAAGTTAAGTTTGACCCTCCAGAGTGGGTAAAATTTTGAATAAATAGTAACTTTATTATTTGGCTATATTTAGACTCTTTATCCTGAGTAAGGAAAGGAAAAGGAAGTACAGGTGAAGGAAAGATAATAGCTCTTGTATTTTTTCATGTTTAAAACATCATCTGGGAACATGACACTCCCTGCTTACCATCATCTGCTTACCATATAATAGGGTGTTTCCACTGGGGTAGTTGCAAAAATACAATATGACATTTCAGCCTCTTGTGGTACTCTACAAGGAAGCAAGATAAGGATATTAATCTGGGAAAACCAACCTTATTTCTGTGAAAAATTAAAATTATGCTTTCTACTTTTCAAACAAGGAAGTTAGAGCTGGATCTTCAAAATGTTTGTTAAAAACCTAGATTGGTTGTTTGGCATTTTTCAGTCAAAAATTAAATTGAGTGAATTTGTTTTTAATTTAGCTTTTAACTGTGCTGTTCCACCCTATCCTGCAGCTCCCAGCCTCCCAGCCTTGTCTAAAAATACACAATACTTATATCTGAATTACAAATATCAGTTGAGAAACTTCACATCTACAGTATACTTAGTTTCTACAAACTAAGGAAATCTATATAGGAAAACCTGAACAAGTTGACTGTAAATTGATTAATTTTCTTTAAGGATAGATTCCTCATAGATTTCTGAGAATTGAATACCCATTACAATTGAATATAGCAATGGTATTTACCAAGATTCAGCAAAAGATAGCGGGATCAAGAAGAATGCCCTAGAGCTGATATGATTGGATTATACTAAGATACAGGACAGACATCTCATGTTGGTGTGAACAAATAGAGAAATATGGGCTTCATCATAGTAGCTGTGGAAACATTTTGACTGATAAAACAACACTAGGTCTGTGCCAGACTATACCAGCTATAATTTTGAAATCAGCCTATTGTTTGAAGACCACTGGACTTATACCAATGTCTGATCTTCAGTTCTGTCTCTGCCACTTACTAGCTCTTTCAGCTTGGGTAAATCACTTCTTAATGCAGAAGGCAAGCCAGATAGTACAAAATTGATCATTTAAAAAATAATTAGAGTGACAAACCATAGCACCACACTAAGTCACAGATGAATAATCTGCCTAAAGCATCACTTCATTTCATCAAGGCGCCCACACTGCATAGCATTAAACTTAATCAAAATTAGGATAGTCACATCCTACATGTGATTGTAGGATATCTGGGCAAAGCCCAGGATCAACTAAACCTCAACTGACAGCCAAATATAGTCATCAACTGTTCCTCTCTGTGAAATAAACTAACAAGGCCAAATTAGCTTGTGCTCTCTTTTTTTTAATCTTCAGGGTTTGCTGCATGGTTACTTATAAGTTGCTGATCTAGTCATGGAGCATGACTAAACCTCAAGGAGGAGTAGAACACAGTTGCAATCATGGGTGTAGCCTTCTTCCAGATTTTCTCACCTATTATGTCAAAAATCCTCAGCCGTCAGAAATAGTGTTCATTTGTTTTTGAAACCAGCTGGTCCTGTTGTGGGTGGATAAGATTGCTCAAGGTAGTATCGTTGACATTTCTGTTACTTCAAACCACCTATCAGTGTGTGCTTGTGAGCTCCCTTAGTTTAGGCTTTAGCTCACATTTGTACCATCAGTTTTAGTCTTATCCTATAGCTTTAATCTCTTCCTCCATCCTTACTCTTACTTGATTTTAAGAGTTATTCATTCATAGTTATTTATTCATGTCATTCTAGCTAAAGCCTTTTAAATAAAATTGCTTCCTCCTGTCCGAAGCAACTTTTTCAAACCTTTTTTAGTAGCAAAAAAATATATATTACAGAAAAAATTTATAAACCTCACTAGGAATTTTTTAATTTCTTCTCTTTTTGTACGGTATATTTGTCAAAGTATAAAAGTGACTTTAAAATATTTTATTGTGGCTATGTATAATAAAGTTATCCCTTTAGTTTTGCTTCTTCCTGCCCTTTCAACCATGTTGTCCATATGCAAAACCTTTATTCTACTCACATTGTTTCATTTTTCCCTTGAAACATGTGTTATATTTTCTTGAATATTTATATTTATTATATTATATTAATATTCTATTTTCTTGCCTGGTATCCTTGTCCACATTATTTTTTTTTTCTTATGGAATACTTGTCCTGTCTTCCATATTTCTTCTAAATCCTGTGCATCCTTAAAGGAAGATCCTGTTTATATTCCTGCCTTTCCCTAAAGTTTCTCCAGCCCATGGTGATCTCTAAATCTTCTGTACTTGAGGGGTTTTTTTGGCTGTTCCACTTATGGAAATTAATTATATACAGACCTGTGAATATGTGTTTCTAATTAACTCTTAATAATATTATTGAAATGTTTGTGTGTAGATGTTTTAGCTGACTAGATTTTTTAAAAGATGTTAGCTCATAGGTCTTATATTGTCCTCTTTCATGCCTAGCATAAATGCCTAAGGTAGACAGTTTATAGAAAATTTATCTGTGTATCAACAGTACTTAATATTGTGCCTGGCATACAAGCTTTCAGTAAATATTGAAGTTACGTTAAAGAATTGATCTTTAGGTAGTAGTTTCCTAAACATTTATAAGTTGGGAATATTTTCTTGTGAAAATTAACCTTTTACTTTATATCCGATTTCCTCAACTCTGTCTGAGCAAGATTCCATCAAAGCTCTGTTTCTGAGGCCATTCACAACATCAAACCCAACTTACCTGGAATCTAGGCGATCAGAACCTGGATGCTCTTACATATTATTCAAGAGAACCAATGGTTTAGAGCTCAGGCTTTGCTGTCGGAGAGCTTGAGTTCATATTTCTATTCTGCCACTCCCTCATTGCATGACTCTGGATAGTCTTTGTTTCCTTTACTGTAAAATGCAGATGGTAATGACTCCTTTAGCACAGGGTTGTTATGAAAGGTTATCTGTGTAAAGTATGTGGCATAAAATAAGTGGTCAAAAAGAATGTTAATAATAATAATTACTATTGTTGTCATCACTAACAATAATCATTCTCTTTACTAATAGCTTTTCATATGATAAAGTCATCTTGTATTATAGAAATTTTAAGTGACTAGCTTGTCAATAAAGTTTCAGCATGTAAGTTTCTTCCCAAGTGTAAATCTTGACTTTGAAGTTCCACTCTTTCTGAAACCCTGTGACAAAGAGAAAAAGACAGTGGGCTGCAAACTGGGAGGCTTGAATTCTACTTCTGGCTTGCTCACAGATTAATTTTTTAACCTTTAAGATAAAGTAAGCCAATTGTATTATTGTTATCCCTGTATATGACTTAATTCCAATGATTCATAAGCTTCCTTAAGGCAAGGACAAAGTTTTACCGAAGTTTTATCTTTGTACTCCTCACTATGGCTTAGTAAATACTGCATAAGTACATAGCTTCAGTTCTCTCATCTGTAAAAATGAGGGGATTGTACTGTCTTAATTCCTTTTAGCTCTCAAATATTTTGGACATAGAGGTCAGTGAAAAATTAGCCCCATCTTTGGAGAGGAATTGAGGATCAGGAAAATATAAATGTGAGTGCCGCAGTTGCTAAAAGTAAAAGGCTGTCCCCAACTTTTTTTTTTTTTTTTAATGGAGAGATAGACCAAGATCCTGGTCTATCCAGAAATTAGCCTTTCTATTCTGGTGTATCATGTGTATTCTAAAGTGTTTCACATCTTTCCTTTCTTTATCACCAAGGTTACTGCTATACCAAGCCTTCCAAATAATTTCAGAACTGACCTTGAGTGGGAGGAGGCAGAGTACCTTTGTGGTTTTACTCTGACGTTTATAAATACAGTGCCCACATAAAAGAAACTTTTCATTAGTATTGAATGAATTTTATATTATTTCCAAAGTAGAAAATTTATAGTCTTATTTTTTTAACTTTCATATTTTAGAGTAGCCTTATAGGTTCTCTTTCTTTGACATACATCTCTGAGATCCCACCTTAAGTGAATAACTGTTTTTTCTTTGCTTTTTTTTTTTTTTTTTTTTTTTTTTTGAGACTGAGACTAGCTCTGTTGCCCAGGCTGGAGTGCAGTGGCGCGATCTCGGCTTACTGCAACCTCCGCCTCCCAGGTTCCAGTGATTCTCCTGCCTCAGCCTCCCAAGTAGCTGGGTCTACAGGCGCATGCCACCATGCCCAGCTAATTTTTTGTATTTTTATTAGAGACGGAGTTTCACCGTTTCAGCCAGGATGGTCTCGATCTCCTGACCTTGTGATCCGCCTGCCTCGGCCTCCCAAAGTGCTGGGATTACAGGCGTGAGCCACCGCCCCCGGCCCTTGAATAACATTTTAAAATGTTTACACACAACCTCAGGTTTAAATAGAATTACTTTTAAAGTAAGTCTGTTATTAGCAATATCTTTATATTTATTGAATTTATTATTATAAATTTCTTTCTCATGACAGATTTTTTTAAGCATGGTTGAATAAATCGTCTTTACTGAAAGAATTGTAATATAAAGCGAATTGCTTGATTTTTTTTCCATTTAATTGTGAATTGGATACTTTCATGATTTTTAAATTATAAAGTGCCCATATTAAAGTATATATTAAATGTAATTATGGGGGAAAATGCCAAAAGTAAAAACAAAAAGCTCAAATAATACAAAGAGAAATATGTAGTGAAAAATGTACTTCTGCTTCTCAGAGTCAGTTATTATTAATAATGTATTGTGGATGTTTACAAAAACATTAATGCAAATGTAAGCATATATAAACATGATTACTTAGACTTATATATCCATGTCCTTTAAAAAAATTATTTTGCTATTCCTGTCAGTGACCTAGTTCACAGTAGTTGTTCAATAAATATTTAAATTACCCAATACTCTTTTATTAGTCGACAGCTGGTCCGTTTTTCTGATGCATTTGGTTCTTAAAGTGCCATGTAGTTTTCAAGGATCTGAGACTAAGTTTTTCAATTATAGTAAAAACATTTTTCAGCAGTACTAAAATATTAAATGTAAATATAAATAAAACTACTTTTGTATGTGATTTAAAACATCAATCTGCACGACTGTGTATAATAGGTTTAGTTCTCAGACTTGATAAAACTTATGAACAGGTTTTACCAGTTTACCAACTATGATGAAAGTACCTGATTATTTGTTTCTGAGTTATAAAGTGAATTGTTAAGAAGTTACACAATAGGCATCCTGGTATTTGAAGAAATGCTCTGTAGTTAAAATACTTCATATTAGAATATGGTAGATTCTTAATAAAAGAGGCTAATTTTCCCAAACTCTTCTTGTATATTAGGACATTTGGAAAACAAAAGGCATTTGCTTCTCCTGGAAAAGAATTGTGGCTTAATCTAAAGAAGCACATTTACCTTGAAGCTTTAATATAACCTGTTACTAGTCTTAAAATCCAAAGTACATATAGGGTAGTCCAGTCAAAGTTAAAATTACTTTCTTCCATAAATAATTTTTCTTTCTGACAAGATGGAGTAGATTTTAATGAATTGAGAGATTGTTTTTCTTTTGTGACATCATATTTATTATATTAAAAGATATCAGAGCTTTTTTTTCCTGGAGAATATGAAGTTGTTGGCTTGGAACTAGAAAAAATTAGAAAATATATTTTTCAACGGCCATGATAATGCCAAGTTGAAAATTAAAGTGTGTGTTTGCTTTCCCCCAAGAGTCTCCCTGTTGAATAAATGAGTTCTTTAAAACTTTTAGAGAAATAATAATGGTGTTATTGAAGAATAATGTCTCATGACCAAAGTAGCTCTAATCTAGGCTTGTATATATGATTTAAAATATTAGAAGGAAGATGAAAAAGACTTAGTAAACTAATAACAGATGGATACCTAATAAGAAATATTTATCTGAAATTAACAGCCAACACCATACCTAACATTCTATTAAAATCAGGAATAAAACAATGAAGCCTGGTATCACAGCACCAGAATATTGGTTGATAAAAGTTCACCATTGAGTGTACATGTTTTCCTATGCAGGTTAGAGACTTCAGAGTAGCTAATAAGGAGCCACGACATGGGCCTAAGAGAAGAGAAGATAGTACTCAAGTGGAGTTTCTGCTTAGGGCAGCAATGGCCAGATCAACTAATATATCAGGAATATCTAGATATTAAATACAAGATCAAAAGACATGAATAGATAATTCACACACAAACCCCAAAAATAAATGGTCAATATATTTTTGAAAGAATGTAGCTGGACATGGTGGCTCACACCTGTAATATCAGCACTTTGGGAGGCCGAGGCAGGCAGATCACGAGGTCAAGAGATCGAGACCATCCTGGCCAACATGGTGAAACCCCATCTCTACTAAAAATACAAAAAATTAGCTGGGCGTGGTGGCGGGCGCCTGTAGTCCCAGCTACTCGGGAGGCTGAGGCAGGAGAATGGCTTGAACCTGGGAGGCGGAGGTTGCAGTGAGCCGAGATTGCGCCACTGCACTCCACCCTGGTGACAGAGTGAGACTCTGTCTCAAAAAAAAAGAATGTCCAAGCTCACTAGAAATCAAAGAGATACATAATTAAACAAAATATAATTTTATAGCATGTTAAATTGGTGAAGATTAAAAATAATACTGAACATTGACAAATGCTGTTACATATTATTGTTGGAATTCAGATTGCTATGTACACTTATTTTGGAAAGCGATTTAGCAGTAGCCTTAATCAACTTTATCAGTAGCCTTAATAATATTGCAATTTCTCACTATATAAGCTTCATTTTTAAAAAACAATACATATGTGATCCCAGCACTTTGGGAAGCCAAGGCAGGAGGACTGCTTGAGGCCAGGAATTTAACACCAGCCTGGGCAACATAGTGAGACCCATCTCTACAAAAAAATTAAAAAGTTAGTCAGCAATGGTGGCACATCTCTAGTCCTAGCTACTTGGAAGGCTGAGGCGGGAAGATCACATGAGCCTAGGAGTTTTGGGTTACAGCGAGCTATGATCATGCCACTGCATTCCAGCCTCAGTGACAGGGTAAGAGCCTATCTCAAAAAAACAGCAAGATATAAGATTGTATATATAAATTTATTCTATTTTTTACACAAATATCTTTACATACTTATATATGGGGGAAAATTCAAAAAACAATATTTAGAAATTCAAGCAAAAAATTTGATGATATACTGCCCTTATCCCCAGTTTTAGTGGTGTTAGGATGATTTATCTAGTCTTCTATGTACTTTTATTTTATAATTATTTATAGTACTTTTTTAATAATTCGAAGGAATAATCATTTATAGTGTAATAAAAAATATTGGAGAAAAGTAGTTAGATTAATTTTATTTTAAAGAACTGGAAATTTTAGGTATTGCATAGTAATCCAGGAACTTCATTTTATTTTATTTATTTATGCATTTATTTTTTGAGACAGAGTCTCCCTCCGTCACCCAGGCTGGAATGCAGTGTCTCAATCATGGCTCATTACAGCCTCACCCTTCTGAGCTCAAGTGATCCTCCCACCTTAGCCTCCTAGCTGGGACTGCAGGAATGTGCCACCATGCCCAACTAATTTTTCGATTTTTTGTAGAGACAATGTCTCACTACGTTTCCCAGGCTGGTCTCAAACCCCTCAAACAGTCCCCCGCCTCAGCCTCCCAAAGCGCTCTGATGATAGCCATGAGTCACCACACCCAGCCCTCCATTTTATAATATGTCATATTAGTTATTTACCAAGGCAGACGTACTGATAACCCAATGGTTTATTCCAGTTTAGCATTTTATATTTTCAGTTATTTAAAAGGTCTATTAGTAAAAAGCCTTATAAAGTTTATCCACAATATTTTGAAATTTGTTTCCTTTCTTTTAGTGATTCATGGTCTAGCTTTGGTTCAATTTCAAACAGAGGGAGAAAAACACAAAATTTTTGTTTGTTTATTTAAGACAGTAAGAATAGCTATTTTCCAGGATTCAACCTTGATTATTAATGGATCCTGATCAGTGTTAGCTCATTTTACCCCCATACATTCAAGTTTTATTTCTTTAACTTTTTATTATGAAAAGTTCAAAGCATACAGACAAGTTGAAAGAATTTTTTACCCATACATCCACCACCTAATTCCAGTTAACCATACTTGGTTTATCTCATATCAATACATCTTTTCAGCCATTTCTCCATCAACAGTACATCTTATTTTTTATGCTTTTCAAATTAAGTTGCACATATCAGTACGCTTAATACTTTATCATGCATGTCATTAATTAGAGCTCAATATTTTAAAATTGTGGAGGTTTTGAGGTAATATTTAAAGAGAGTAAAATATATAAATCTTAAGTGTACCATTTGATAAGTTTGAACAAAGAATGTACCTGTAGTAACCCAAACTCATATTATATATACAATATTACCATCACCCTGGAAAGTTCCCTCAAGGCCCTTTCCAGTCAGTTCCTACCCCTTCTAGCCCTTTACCACAAGAACCACTATTAATTTTTTCCTACCGTAAAGTACTATTGCCTGTTCTAAAAACTTCATATAAATGAAATATTGTAGGTACTCCTATAAGGCTTCTTTCAGCATAAAGCGTTTGAGATTCACTCATATTATTGCACATGTCAGTATTTTATTTTTAAATTGCTAAGTAGTAGTCCTGAGTTCAGCACATTTTTAATATTAACTTTTTGAGATGTCTGTGGTTACTGTATTTGGTATTTCTTAGCTTGTGCTGAAAGAAACTATGTTATAATGAAGAGTACTGTAATATTTGGCTTTCTGTCATCATTATTTTTGTTTATGTTGTCTTAAAACTTAAATTGGGCTGGGTGTGGTGGCTCTCGCCTATAATCCCAGCACTTTGGGAGGCCAAGGCAGGAGGATTGCTCGAACCCAGGAGTTTGAGACCAGCCAGAGCAACATGGCAAGACCCTGTCTCCATAATTTTTTTAAAAAAATTAGCCAGACCTGGTGGCTCATAGTCCCACCAGCTAACTGGGAGGCTGAAGTGGGAGGATCGCTTGAGCCCAGGAAGTCGAGACTGCAGTAAGCCATGATTTTATCACTGCACTCCAGCCTGGGCAACAGGGCAAGACCCTGTCTCCAAAACAAACAAACAAAAACTTGAGTTGATAGATAGCAAGTTTTTTTGTTTGTTTTTGTTTGTTTGTTTGTTTTTTGAGATGGAGACTCCTTCTGTCGCCCAGGCTGAAGTGCAGTGGCACAATCTCAGGTCACTACAACCTCTGCCTCCAGAGTAACTGGGATTATAGGTACCTGCTACCATACCCGGCTAGTTTTTGTATTTTTAGTAGAGATGGGTTTTCACCATGTTGGCCAGGCTTGTAAAGGAGAACCTGCAAGCTATTACTTAGCAGGTATAATTAAACTGCAGGGAAATTAAATGTTTCTCCAGATAGAAACAGTGTTTAAGAAGAATGATATATGTAGAATTTCATTTAGTTCACCTAATAGGGATTTAAAGGCAAGTGGTACATTGATAATGACATAGCCCTATTTGAAGAGTCAACCATCTTGATTATTGTGATGTACTAACTGTTTTAAAAGGTGATGGGGGAGCCCAAGGTGGAGTCCAAATCTGTATTCCTATAACTTCCATTCATTTGTCAAGATTGTGCTTTCTATACACAAATAATCCATTTCCTTAGATCAATATGTATACTTTAAGTACTGTGTAAGTAACAATTTAACAGAGGGTTGACAATAGCCTCTTATTTGTCCCTTTTTAAACATTAGCTGGATAAAAAAAAGTTTTGTGTGTGTAAAATTTAATAGAGAAGCAGTTAAAATGTCCTTCCTGCTACTTTACAACCTACCTAGCCTCAGCTGTCATGACTTGCCTGCTCCCGCCCCACCCACCACCCCCTCTCCCCGCCCCGCAGCTTCTGTACATTGTAACTGCTATTCATACACAACTTGTCCATACTTGGAAAACTCAATACACTTGTTTGTTCTTTCCTTCTGCCTTTACTTTTTTGTAGAGGCAGGGTCTTGCTATGTTGCCCACCAGGCTGGTCTTAAACTCGTGGGTTCAAGTGATCCTCCCACCTCAGCCTCATTTAAAGTGTACAATTCATTGGTTTTTAGTATATTTCCATTCATTTTTAGTATATTTACAGAATTGTACAACCATTACCTAATCTACTTTTGCAGCCTGTTCATAATCCCCAAAACAAATCTCTTATCCATTAGCGTACACTCCATTTTCCCCCTCAACCCCCAATCACTAATCTCTATGTCTATAGAGACAGACTTTCTATCACTATATATTTGCCTATTCTGTGCAATTTATATAGATGGAAATCATACAATATGTGGTTCTCTTATAACTATCTTCTGTCAGCATAATGTTTTCAGAGTTCATCCATTGTTGTAGCATGTTTCAATAGTTCCATCCTTTTTATTGCTGAATAACATTCTATTGTACAGATATATACCACATTTTATTTCTTCATTTATCAATGGACAGATATTTAGTTGTTTCCACTTTTTTGCCATTGTGAATAATGCTGCTATGAATAATTATGTACAAGATTTTGTGTGGACATATACTGTCCTTTCTCTTTAGGTGGAAGTAGAATTACTGTCCTATGATAGATAACTCTGTAGCCTTTTAAGAAACTGCTAAACTGTATTCCAAAATGTCCATACCATTCCCACCAGCTAGATGTAAGGATTCCAATTTCTTCACATTGTCACCAACACTATTGTCTTGTCTTTTTATTAAAGTGAAAAATAATTCATATACCATCAATTCACCCTTTTAAAGTGTACAATTTGGTGGTTCTCTGTGCATTTACAAAATTGTACAACTGTCACCACTCTAATTCCAGAACATTTTTATCACCCCAAAAGAAACCCTGTACCTATTACCAGTCACTACCCATTCTCCTATGATGCCAGCTAAAATCTACTTTGTGTTTCTATGGATTTGCCAATTTTGGACATTTTATATGAATGGTCATACAGTATATAGCCATGTAGCCTTATGTGTCTAGCTTCTTTTATTTAGTATAATGTTTTCAAGGAGGAACTGCCAAACTTCCAAAGCAGCTGTACCACTTTACATTAAGAAGAGTGATGTATGAGGGTTTCAGTTTCTCCACATCTTCTGCAACTTACCATCTCTTTTACTACAACCATCTAGTTGATTTGAAATGTACCTCATTGTGGTTTGATTTTCATTTCCCTAATGAATATCATTTCCCTTTTGAGCATCTCTCCTTCATTCATTGGCCATTTCCATATCTTCTTTGGAGAACGCTTTGTCCATTTTTTAATTGTGCTGTCTTTTTTATTGAGTTATAAGAATTCTTTATATCATGTAGATATGGCCCTTAACAGATACTTGATTTGCACGTATTTCTTCCATTGTGTAGATTGTGTTTTCACTTTCTTCATGGTGACTTTTAAAGCAAAAAAAAAAAAAAAAATTTAATTCTGATGAAATCTAGTTTATCAGTTCATTCCTTTATCACGGTATTAGTTTCCTATGGCTACTTTAAAAAGTTGACAAAAACGTCATAGCTCAGAAGAACGCAAATTTATTACCTCATGGTTCTTTTTTTTCTAATTTTTATTTTAGGTTCGGGGGTGCATGTGCAGGTTTGTTATATAGGTAAAGTTGTGTTACGGGGATTTGTTGTACAGATTAATTTGTCACTCAGGTACTAAGCCTAGTACCCAGTAGTTATTTTTTCTGCTCCTCTCCCTCCTTCCACCCTCTACCTTCAAGTTGGCCCCAGTGTCTGTCGTTCCCTTCTTTGTGTCCATGTGTTCTCTTCATTTAGCTCCCACTTATGAATGAGAATATGTGGTATTTGGCTTTCTGTTCCTACGTTAGTTTGGTAAGGATAATGGCCTCCAGCTGTTCCCACAAAAGACGTGATCTTCTTCTTTTTTATGGCTGCATAGTAGAAATCTCACAGTGGGTCTCACGTTGAGCTAAATGGTCTAAAATCAAGGTATTGGCAGTTCTGGAGGTTTTAGGCTCTAGGGGAAGCCTTTTCCAGGTCCTAGAGGATGCCGGAATTCCTTGGCTCATGGCCCTCCTCCACTTTTCAAGATCTTTGTGATTACATTAGGTCTATCTGAATAACCCAGGATAATGTCTCTTTTTTAAGGTCAGCTGATAAGCAATCTTAATAATAACCTCACTTCACCTTTGCCATGTAAAGTAACATATTCACACATTCAAAGGAGTAGAATGTGGACATCTGTGAGGAGCCATTTTTCTGCTTACAACATTGCTAATGCTTTGTGTTATATCTAAGAAATGATTGCCTAACCCAAGGCCATGATGATTTGCTTCTGCATTTCCTAATAAAAGTTTTGCAATTTTCACTTACATTGGGTCTATGATCCATTTTTGCTTGTGATGTGAAGTAGTGGTCCAATTTCCTTTTTTTACATGTAGATATACAGTTGGCCCAGCACAATTTGTTGAAAAAACTTCTTTCCTCCAGTGAAATGTCTTGGTACTATTGTCAAAAACTACTTGACCATAAATGTAAGGGCTTATTTCTGGACTCTGAATTCTATTGCATTGTTCTGAATCTGTATGCCAAAACTGTGCTGCCTTGATTACTCTTAAGTTTGAAATCAGGAAGTATCAGTCCTCCATCTTTATTCCTTTTCAAGATTGTTCAGCTATTCTGAGACTTTTTTGTTTCCATGTGAGTTTTAGCATCAAGTTCTCAATTTCTGCAAAAAAAAAAAAGGCAGCTAGAATTTTGATAGGAATTGCATTGAATCTGAAGATTAATTGTAGAATATTGCTGTTCTGATATGGATCTTCTTATCTGTAAGCCTGAGCTGTCTTTCTGTTGATTTAGATCATCTTTAATTTCTTTGGACAATGTTTTGTAGTTTTTACTGTATACATTTTGCATGTTTTTGTTAAATGTATTCTTAAAATTTTTTTGATGTGTTTGGAAATGAAACTTGTCTTTGTTTTAATTTTGGATTGTCATTGCTAATGTATAAAAATCCAACTGATTTTTGTGCATTGGTCCCATGTTCTGCAACTTTGAAAAACTCATTTGTTACGTCTAATGTTTTTCAGTGGATTCCTGAGAGTTTCTTATATATAACATCATGTCATCTGTGAATAGCAGTAGTTTTGCTTGTTCTTTTCCAAACTGGATGTTTTTGGTTTCATGGTTTTTTATGAGGAATCAGCAGTCATTCACATCATTGTTTCCCTCTATGAGAACATTGTTTTTCTCTGTCTGCTTTTAATATTTTCTCTAAATTTTTGGTTTTTCGCTATTTGATTAATAGGTGCCTAAGTTTCTCTTCTCTTTACTTACCCTCCTTGATGTTCTCTGACCTTGAACCTGTACCTACCCCATCTCTTGCCTCATCAGTTGTGGATTCCAATTCTGCATATGTTAGACCTTTTTTATTGTTCCACATGTCCCTAAGGCTCTGTTAATTTTCTTTTCAATCTTTTTTGTCTGTATTCTGCAGATTGAATAATTTCCATTAATCCATCTTTGAGATTTCTGACCCTTTCCTCTCTCATCTCCATTCTGTGATTAGGCTGTACAAGGCATTTTTAATTTCAGATACTTGTATTTCAGTTCTAGAATTTCTATTAGCATTTTTTACATTCCATAGTTTTTGCTAAGATATTAACTCCTTTCGTTTATTGTATACATATATTCCTTTACTTCACTGAGCATAGTTATACTAGCTATAATAAAATCTTAGTCTACTGATTTTACCATTATGTCCTGGTATCATCTAGGAGTTGGTCCCATTGATTGTGTTATTTCTTGGAGTGGATCACATTTTACTGGTTTTTGTGTATCAAGTAATTTTTGACTGTGTGATGGATAATGTGTGTGTTAGGCCGTGAAGACTGGATTCTGTTCTTTCAGTAGGCACTTGTTCAATCTGTAAACTCTTTCTTAGGTGGCAGCTCAAACTTCTGTTTTGTTTGTTTGTTTTGTCCTTGCCTGGGCTGCTTGCAATATTCCCTGTGTGTGCATTATTTGGGAGTTGGCCGGAGATTTGGGCAGGGAAACTTAGTTAAAGTAACTTGATTGCTGTGAGCATTTTTACTTTGTTCTGTTGTTGTTGTTTTAAAAGAATTCCTGGATCTTAGAATTCCAGGTTTATTAACTGGAAATAATCATAAGTATTTGAATTCCTGTTCCTTATTTTAACAATTAAATTAAAAAACTTTTATATTTCTCTTTATTATAGATCGAGCTGGGAGCATTAGTACCCTTGATTCTTTAGACTTTGCAAGATATTCAGATGATGGTAACAGGGAAACAGATGAAAAAGTGGCAGGTGAGTAAAATTGTAAGGACAGATTTGGATTCTTTGACATTCCAGAAATAATGAAATGGCTTGAGGAATTTTTTTCCTTCTACAGTTTGGTATGTGACTATAACATATATAGTTATTATACAAAGTTATGTTACTAATTACTAATTTACTGCAAGTTTGGGGGTTCCCCAACTTTTTCTTCTTGTGGTACTGAGTTTCTGGTTATGTATCCCTATAATTTGCTAAGTTATACTTGGAGCCAGCAGTTTACAACCACACAGTTGTAAAACTAATGTATGACAGGTCCAAGACAAAGTTGAACCTTAGCCTCATTCCTTTGATCCTCCAAACCAGGGCTGATAGTCATATTTGTGTACCAATACAACTCTATTGATTGTTAAAAATTGGTTTTGAACCAGGCATGGTGGTTCACACCTGTAATCCCAGCTATTTGCTATTTGGGAAGCTGAGGTGGGAGGATTGCTTGAGGCCAGGAATTTGAGACCAGCTTGGGCAACATAATGACACTTAATCTCTTAAATTAAAAAAAAATAAATAAGCAAATAAATAAATAAATAAAATAAAAAGGTTAAAATACTTCTGTGCTTGTTGCTAAAACTTTGCCTTGAGTTCCCTGAGTGCTCACCAACCATCACAGCATGTCTTCAGAAATTTCTGACTTTGCTATGATCCAAAAAAAAGAGGGTTAAAGAGGGTTAATGATTGGTCCAGTAAGGGCCTCCAGGACACTGCCCATCCCAATAAGAAGGACAACATCCTTTTTAATTGCTTGGTTGCTAATTTCAATCTTCCTCCCTTCCCATCCCCCCATCCTCTCTCCCATACCAGTCTTGCCTTCTAGGCACCACCATTGGATCTGTAGGGACTTCAGAGGATCAGTTTGTACCCTGTGTTCTGCCTACACCAGATAAGCCCCATTGGAATTTGCTAGGGGTCCACTTTGGAATTCACCCCGTTAGCAGCCTTGGCTCCTTGAGTGTAAATATCTGCTACCGTTCTGGTGCCTCAAGTCTGTGTCTGTCTGCCATTGAAATCATTCTTGAGTGCCTTGCAGGAATTGTAGTTTTCATAAGACTTAGGCTTTGAGAGAGATGGAGAAAGCAGACAGACATCAGTTGGGTATCTTGAGCTCCATCAAAATGGTAGGTACTTCTGGAACAAAAGGGATGCCACATGGGACACACACGGTCTGTGAAAAAAATATGGGGTCAGAGAATACCCATAATGTGATTTCTGTTTTGACCAACTCTGTTGAATTTTTCTTCCATTTACTGGGACAAGTTTTTTAAAACATACCAAATGCTTAACCCTCGTGGTCATTATGAATAAAAATGAGTGCTAATTCTTATATAACATTTGTTCCATTCTAAACACTGTTCTAAATTTATATTAACTCACTGAGTTATAGAACTGTTATCTTGTTCCTCTCCCCAGGATATTGAGGCTCTGAGAGAAATTATGTAAGACTTAGTAGCAGAGCTAGGATTCAAATCCACATAGCCCAGGAACAGTCTACGATTGACTATTATTTGCTACCTCTTGGCATGAAAGATTAGGTTTGATCTAATTTAAAATGTCATTCCAATAAATGATTTTCATTCCTTGCTCAAGACTAGAGATATTGAATATTTTAAAATCTCAGACAGTGTTATATGAGTTAGAAAAAAAATGTAATTGTTTTTCTGAGAGAAGATTCAGCAATATAAATAATAGCAGAATATCCATGTAATGGGGAAATCACTAGAATAGTTTAATGTGGCTCTCCATGTCAAATCATGGTTGAGTTATGAGCATCATTTATTGACAACTGTATCAAAGTGGCAAATCACATTGGTAATATCTAAAAATTTACAATTCAAATTTTAGGATGAATTTATCCTAATTGTATCACTCATTAAATAGCACTTGTTATATATATTAGCTATTTATATTATAAAATATATGGCATTTTAGTTTATTTAGAGACTATATCTAGTGTTGTATAGTTTTATTGTACAAATTGTTACATATTAAAAAATAACTCCTACCCAGAAGTTATCCATATAATTATGTTTTTTCCTTTAATTTCCTTATTAAAACTTATATTTTAGATTGAGTAAAATTGAAGAGGTTTATTATTATTTTCATTATTTAGATATTTTAGTACTTCTAATTAGGGGGAAACTGACATAAACGCAAAATGTTTAGCATAAATTTATGATCATTAGGCCGGGCGCTGTGGCTCACGCCTGTAATCCCAGCACTTGGGAGGCAGAGGCGGGTCGATCACCTGAGGTCAGGAGTTCGAGACCAGCCTGACCAATATGGTGAAACCCCATCTCTACTAAAAATACAAAAATTAGCTGGGCATGGTTGCGTGTGCCTGCAGTCCCAGCTACTCAGGAGGCTGAGACAGGAGAATTGCTTGAATCCAGGAGGTGGAGGTTGCAGTGAGCCAAGATTATACCTCTGCACTCCAGCCTGGGTGACAGAGTGAGACTCAGTCTCAAAAAAAAAAAAAAAAAAAAAGATCATTAATTGTTTGGTATAATCTCTATTTATGTCAATATAGGTAGAAGAGAAGAAGAAAATAGAAGTTCCTCTGACCAAATTTCACTGTGTACATAACGTTTTCTTTCCCTGTGTAACTTTTTATTAGAAGGCAGAGTAAAAAGGTTCATATTCTCTGTCTGACCTAAATGCTTTTTGAGAGACAATGAGCAAAGGGTAGTGGACCTGGATAAGCCTCAGATTTGCACAACTAGGAGTGAAATATATTAAATATGTGATAGTTTTGGCCTGTTTTTTTTTTAATTTGAGACTATCATAAGACAGCAGACCTTACATTTTTAACCTATAGAATATACTATTTCTCTTAAGTTTGGAGAAATAAAATAACCTTTAATTGCTGTACTGTGCTCATATATAAATAAATGCTGTGATTCATGTTCAATAGGAAAAGGAGGAAGAAGAGCATATATAATCCCAAGAGAATATCTTTCAGTCTTTTAGTGCTCATGTACCATGGCTTGTTATTGAACCAAATGTGTGTGTAGATGAAACTTTTTTTAAAAAAATTTCAATTAATCATAATTCCTATTTCCAAAAAGATTGTGACTCTTTGCTTTTACTTGAAAAGCCTATCAAAAGGCCAGTAATTGGGAAAAGATAATTGTCTTTCATCTGCCATTGAATTACACGTAAACCTCATTAACTCCTCATGGTTTGGAGTCTTGTGCCTGCAGCTCTCCCAGGCTACTCCTGCAAGCTGGTAGCTCTGCAGTTCTGGGTCGCAGAAGTGGTCCTACTCCCACAGCTCCTCTTGACATTGCTCTGATGGAGACTCTGTGGCAGCTCTGACCCTGCAGTAGGTTTCTGCCTGGGCCCCCAGGCTTCCCAATACATTGTTTGAAATCTAGGTGCAGGCTGCCATGACCCCATAGCTCATACACTCTGCATGTCTACAGAGTCAGCACCACAAGGAAGCTGCCAAAGCTTACTGCTTGCACCCTCTGGAGCTGCACCACAAGCCTCACTTGGACCTGCTGGAGCCATAGATGGAGTGGCCAAGGAGTACTGCACCAGAATGCAGGGAGCAGAGTTTTGAGGGGACTTTGAGCAGTAAAACCATGGAGGGCACTCTGGTCCTGCCTCCCAAAACTACTCTACCCCCCTAGAACTCTGGGCCTGTGATAGGAGGGACAGCCTGAAAGAGCTCTGCAATGGCTTCAAGGTCTTTCTCCCATTGTCTTGATGTCTTACCTGGCTTCCTTCTACTCATATCCTTATCAAATGGCCACTTACCACACCCTTGGTTTGTTCTCTGAACATACGTTTTCAATCTTTACATGGACAGGCTGCAGATTTTTCAAATCTTTCCACTCTTTTAATTGTAAATTCCATCTCCCAATGATTTAATTTTGAAGCTTCTGTGACTTAAAGTGTTAGAATTTCTCATTTGAATCTACCCAAATTGGCAGAAGCTCTGAAATAAGCTTCTGTAGGATAACAGAATAAACTGTGTCTGTTACTATGATATGAGGCAAAAAGAAGAAGAATAAAGAGACATCTAAGAACAAACATCTGTATTATTTTCCTATAGCAATGCTGGGTAGAAGGAGCTTGTGGATAACACACTAATGAGTCTGTTTACCCACCTGGCAAATGAAGGGTCTCCTCTAACCCTTAATCAGCTGTTAATTTATGAGACAGATACTAGATTTGTTTTCGGCAGCATTCTTACCACCTTTCTCCTAGATTTAAAAGTCTGGTTATTTTTTCACATCTGCACACATATTCCTTCAAAGAGGAAGGGATCTCTAAAGGAACAAATGTTTATTAAGTACCTACTTCATGCCAGGCACTATGCTAGGTGCTTTATATAAAATATTTTATTTAATCTTGTTAGGAATGCTGCAAAATAGGTCATTTTTAGGTTTATAGTTTCTATAAGCCTAGAAAACTAATGCTTATACCAAGGTTGAGAAATTTGCCCAGTAGCTTCCATATAGTAAGGGGCATGATCAGGATGTATCACATAGAGGTTTTATTCCAGAGCCCACAATAGATCTTTTAGTACCAGGCTGTAGTTCTGACCCATCTGTATATTCATGTGGATAGCATATTCTTGTCTTTCTTATATGAAACTATTTCACAGAGCCATTTTCTTAGAAAAGTAAAATTTTAAAAACTTTTTTAGATATTTTCCATTTCTCAATTTAGTTTTCATATGAAGCATACATTTTTATATAAAATGATTTAAGTAGTAGCAGACACCAAACCAATGAGTTTAATATAGGTGATTTTTCATTTT
The DNA here is from genome assembly GCF_000001405.40 of Homo sapiens. NCBI lineage: Eukaryota > Metazoa > Chordata > Mammalia > Primates > Hominidae > Homo > Homo sapiens. The sequence continues at coordinate 62,216,035 of NC_000018.10, forward strand.
AAGTAAAAGCCTTTCTCTATGTTATTAAACAAAACTACTGTACTTAGTGCATATACAATGTACCTCTTCAATTTTCTAGTTTTTTTAAAGGTAACAAGAGATATCTGTATTCTAAATATCGAGATAGCCATTATTTAACTTATTTTAGGCATTTCAAGCATCTGCTACGTGTTAGGTACTATGTGTTAGGTTTCTATGTAGACATACAAGATAGATAACGTTTCTGCTCTTCAGGAATTTGTCTGAAATATGTCTATATCTGTCATAACAGATACAAGTTCAGTACGTTGGAAATGGTAATAGAGACCTTGTTGATTTTAGAACCCCCCTATATTCCTGTTTCAGGTTCACAAGATCCATCTTTTAGCATCAGATATGTTCTCATATCTCTATTACTGAATTACTTCTCTAGTTCACACCTTAACTCTGTTTTGAGATCTGGAGAACTAGAACTATGCTTTCTGATTTGTAGGGAAAGACATTCCTGAATGCTGGTAAGATCAGTTAATGTTTCAGATTTATCACATGTCACATCAAGTATCGGAATGTCCATTCATACTCAGCAAGTATTTGCTGAGTGCCCTCTCTATAGTTCAAGCATTATGCTACTCTTGGAACAACGGTCAATAGTACAGACATATGAAGCCTTTAGGAAGCTTACATAATCTAGTAGACATTCTAAAATGGTCTTTAGATTTTTGCTGTAGGATCACCTGTCCCTGTCCCCTGGATTAGAAGTAGGCTTCTCATTTCTTAGGTAATGGCCTGGCAGCATCCATATCCAGCTTTATCAGGATTAAATAAGCCTATTTGGCTTCTAATTTTGTTTCTCCCTAGGTACAGATAAATCTTTTCCTTCCTATTAGCAGTACATTTTGATTTTCTTGATTTAAACCATATCTAAATCTTATTTCATAATTTTGTCAGATTTAAAATAGGATAGGTGCTCCAACAAGGCTGTAAAGAAGATAAATAGCATTTTGAAAATAGATTTCTTGTTATTCGTCACCATGAAATTAAAATAGGCTCAGAGAGGAAAAAAAGAATACATCATTGTGGTGGGTGGTTATATTTAATCTAAAAATAAAAGTGATTATATGTTCATTAAATTTTAGTGGGCTGGAGAAGGAGGGTTTTATCTTTAGATTAACATTGCTAAAAGTGTATTTCATGAGAATGTTCATTTCATAGGGAAAAAACAAAAGTGGGAAAAAAGAAAAAGAGTTTCATGGTTAGATAAGTTTAGAAAATCATGGTTTTCTGTATGATTTTTCAGTCTTTAGGGTTTTAGGTTATTGTAGTAATTTATATATTAAGTCATAAAGGTCTGAACTATGACAATTGCAGAGACAGTGTAGATGAATGGTTATTTCAGGAGTTATTAAAGGTTGGAATCAGTATGGCTTAAACATTTAATTAGTGTGAGAGTAAGGGCAAGGAATAAGTGAATAGTCATCTTCAGGTTTCCCATTTGGCCAACTGGGTCAATAATGGTGCCATTATTGGAGAGACTGCAGGAGAACCACATTTGAAAGGAAGATGATGAAATCCATAGATAATATTGAACTAGTAATTTATGAGACATTCAAGTGGGCATGTCCAGGAGATAACTGGGTAGGTCGGTGTCTTGTGAAAAGATTTTTTAAATTTCGGAGTCTTCAGAGTACTTGTGAAACTTAAAACCACCAGAGTGAAAGTCATTCCAGTGAAGTGTGTAAATTAAGAAAATGTCTAAGGATGATACATGGATAAACACCAACTTTGAGATGAGTGATAGAGGAACTCAAGCAGAAAGAACAATAGTGGGAAGAATTTTTTTTAAGGCTGTGGGAAAGAGGATGCTTTGTTCCCACCAAGTTGAATATAGAAAAACAAGTATCTACAAACTATGGAGATTGCATCTTGCTTTCACTTATTTATTGCTAAGTCATGCCTAACAGTACTAAGTTTCTCAAGTCTATAATTGGCAGGGAGAATTTTCTAAACCTAGTAAAGGTGATGATAGTACTGCCTTAGGACTTTTGTATTATTTTAGGGACGGGTTTTTATTCTAACTCATATTCTTATGAAAATTGAAAAGAGAATTTTTTCTTTTCTTACAACTGTTCTGGGATACTAAAATAAGTATTAAAGACGGGAAAGTGTTATTTCAAATCACCTTATAGTCAGGAAAAAAATTCCAGAAAATTCTGACTTGAAAGAAGACAATTTTACATAGCAAAATAGATGACTCAGACCTATTGATTGGAACTCATCAATAATGAACTAGAATGGGAATGAAAAAATACTTCTTCAGACCAGTGTTATGGAAAAGATCTTTTAAAATACAGCAATATTTTGAGTGTGGGCCAAAAAGAACTAAGTCTAGCAAGCATTTCAAGATAATATTAGTGATGAATTGAGTTGGACAACAAAGTATTGATATTTTATTTCTACTTTGAAATTTCACATTCCACCTTTGGTGTCTCCACATAGTTGTACATCTCATAAGTCATGAAAGCATAATCTTTAAGCACTCAAGTGCCTCTAATATACTACAGTATTATCCAGTGCAGTTTGAGAAATAACTGTTTCAACTAATCTGGAGTTGCTTATACTGACTTTTAAGTGTTAACTATTTTGGTAAGATTATAATATGCGATGTTAATATACATCTACATCTTTGCAGTTATTACTTTAGTTCTAGTAAAATTGTATTCAGCAGAGTTGGACTATGAGCCACTTGGTTGGTCATTCCTGCAGCATTTTTAATAAACATACATATCCTCAAATATTTTTAGGAAGGATTACAATATTTGAAAAATATTTGCAAGGTTGTTCCGCACAATGTCTCTCTTTACAGGATAATTAATTTTTAGCTTTAATCTAATGCTAATAAAGAAGATACATTCATATATCTGTAAATACAACATTGCTATTAACCTTTCTTTTGAAACTTTCTCATGTAACTGCAATTACTTGATCATATTATGCCTTTATAGAAATGTACTATAGATTCAAACATACGCCTTTGTCTTTTAAAGTCTATATTGTATATTAAGAAACATGCAGCAGAGTGAATTCATATTGATAAGTATTATCTTTTCAAAGTATTGGTAAATTCTAATGACATTTGGCAATATATATGTAGATGTGCATAAAAATATAAATTCTTGCCGTCTGACATGGGTTTTTCTGGCTTTCTGTGCCTTAATCATTCAGTGTTTTACTCTTGGTCACCTAAACTTTCACCAATTGCATTTTGAGTTTTTTCCCAGTTTGTGTTTTAACCAGTTTTTTTTTCTTTTTTTCTTTTTTTTTTTTTTTTCATATTTCTATCATTCTGGCGTAGGGCACTTCTGATCTGCAATTGTTCTGTAATGTCTTAGAAAATTTTAAGTGATATCAAAAGCATGATATATATATTTATTTAAGATACAGTTAGATATTTTTAAATCAAAATCAATTGCCTAGAGTTTTAAAATGTAAAAAAAAAAAAAAAGTAAACCAACATGCTGTGTAAACCTATTCTGTACTTACCTTACACACTGAATGTGTCCAGTCTTACTTCAATGCAACTCTAAGAGTTTCCGGAAGTGTAAATGTTAAGGAAAATGTTTAACTTTGTTGCACAGAAGTATTTGCAGATCAGCATTGCTGACTACCAAAAAACATAAAGTAACATACGATGTCATCTGATTTTTAGTGGTGCTTCCATGTTGCTGCAGTTAAATTCTGTGCATCAAAATAATTGGCCTTTGTGTACTAGATGTGATTCAATTACATCTTGTTTTTATTGAAAATGTGCAAACTGAGTGAATCCTAATTTTTCCATATATTTTTATAGCTGTGGCTCTGATAACATCTCATTTGGCATCTTTTTTATGTGTATTAGTCAGTTAGGAAAAAATTGCATCTTTAAGATGAAACCTTCAGTTCCAGTTTTTATGCAGAATGATTTAACTACTGTAATTTCTTAATATTCATTTGTGGCAAAGATCACTTAATTTTCCCAGAGCTTTACTTCTCAGAAATATATTTTTTCTCAAGTCTAACATTTTAAAGAGCTTATTAAAATGTTTCCTCAATATTCATATTTATGTCATAATCACACTCTGTGATAATAGGAGAAATCCTGAGTTTCACTAGTACCTCTTAACATGAACAAATCTATTAGAAGAGTTATCAGAAACTTTGAAATTCTACTTAATCCTACTCAGTATCCTTAGAAAACTATACTTTTAGAAATGTACACATTCATTTGCTATAGAATTATCTTAATTAGGAATTAAAAGTGAAACTGTTTCTATCCTGTGGCTCTAAATGAAAAATAAAACCCTTGGGGTTTTGGATTTTTTTTTTTTTTTTTTGATATGTGTTTGATGTATCTGTGTTTGTTTTTAGAAAACATACTCTTGTTTGTAGAAAAATGTATAGGCATCACGACATTTGTTAAATATTGAAACCATATTCCTTCAACATCCTAATGAAGGGAACTATTCACTAACGTCTCTATACGTTGATTTATAACATTATTCTAGATAATGCATTTTAAGTTAACTTTTGTAAAAAAAAAATCCTAAGTTTTTCTTTTTAAGAATATTTGCTTGGGCTTCATCTAATTTTTACCTTATCCCCTGAAATTATGTCACCTGCACACATCCATTACATTTCTTACCTAGACTGAATAAAGCAGAAGTACCCAGATTATTAATATTTTTATTTATCTAAATGAGAGTATGCCATAGATTTTATTTTTAAATAGAGCTATTCCTTGTCAGACAGCTAGAACATTTGATAATAACCCCCTGAATTCTACTAAAACTATGGAAAACATTCACCAGTTTGCTTGCAAATCAACTCTGCTGCATGCGTTCACAAGTTTCATAAAGATTGCATGCTTTCTGTTTTCAATACAAATTGTATTTTTTTTTCATACCCATCCTTGCTTTTTATTTTTTAATTTTTGTTTCCCTTTTCTTGGTTGGATGCCTGTGTGTGTTTATTCCAAATCCCTGTCCAGTCCTGGAGTTTGAACTACGGAAAGCCAAGGAGACCATTCAGGCCCTCCGAGCCAACCTGACAAAGGCCGCAGGTGGTGTACATAAAACTTTTTTGAGACTTTTCAACTTTGACAATGTAGAAGTAGCTGAGATATTTTAAAATGTAAAATAGTAAAATAGTACTTATGTTTTTTTCCACCAGAACATGAAGTTCCTTTACAGGAACGAAAAAATTACAAATCAAGTCCTGAAATTCAGGTGGGTGACAGAAGACAAATGTAAAATTAATCTTCCACATTAAATGGTAACATAAATATTGAAGGAGGAATACTTATGATTTCCTGTTTGCCTCTTATTTTGCTTCCAGGAGCCAATCAAACCTCTTGAAAAGAGAGCTCTAAACTTCTTAGTCAATGAATTTTTATTGAAGAATAACTATAAGCTTACATCAATAACCTTTTCAGATGAAAACGATGATCAGGTAAAGTTACTTTTTGTTTTTACAGTGATTTTTTTCTACACTTATAATTCACTTTTTCTTTTACGTAGTTTCTTTTTTTTTTTTTTTAAGTTATATATATAGTAAAATTCTACAAGGCTAGTTACTAGAACAGCAGTCTCTTGCCTGAAGCTAATTCTATTAGCTTACAGACTTTATTCTTTCCCTGTTGCTTTCTACATAAAGACTTTTCATTCTTTCTAGATTCCTTTTTACTACTCCTCAGTGACTATATAGTCCACTCATTTTTGCATATATTCATAAAGTATGCTTTTTAAAGACATACTTTATAGTATAGGTTCTTGTGTACTTATAAATCCAGTTTAACTATAAACCTCTTCAATTCCACTGTAACAATTAAGATGTTAGATAAATATATGACAGTATTTAAGAGAGTATATTGTAAATGAGAGTGAGAAAATCAGCTGTATCTCTCTGAATAGGGGCCAATTTTAGAACTTTATTATTATTTTCCTGATAAAATCTCTTTAAGCAAAAAAGATGTCTTATTTTAGTGTCATCTCTCAAATGGAATATTTTGACTTCTTAGTGCTAATGGATTGGTTTGAATCTTACACCTTAAAAAAGTAAATGCCAGTGAATTTATTATTTAGGAATCTGAAGGCCATCATTTTAAATCAAGATTATTCTGTTGGTTCATAAAATCTCCTATAGATCCTTTAGCAAAAATAGAAATTTTCTGAGTAAGATAGTTCAGTTAACCCCTCAGTTATTAGAATATATTTGGCAAAATTAAATGCAATAAGTATCTAGTTATTTTTTATTCAATGGTAGTGTCACTGAACATGTGCTATGTAAGAGACATTAAACTAATATTTAACATGAGTATTATACAATGCTATACTATGGTTATAGTTTAGGTTAATCATGTTTTTTAAATGATCGACTAAACAGTGAATAGGAAAGATTTTGAATATGTGAGAAACATTGAGAGGTCAAAAAGAACACAGAAAAAGAGGAAAAGAGGAGCAAAAAATAGATGGAATACATAGAAAACAGATAATAAAATGGTTAGATTAAAACCTAGCTCTATCAGTATTCACTGTAAGTGTAAATGATTAGTCCTTCTCGAATAAAAATCAGAAATTAGAGATGTCAACAATGCTCTCTCAATAATTAATAGAACAAGTCAACAGAAAATCTTTTAGGATATAGAAGGCTTGTGCTATGTTATCAACCAATGGGCATAATTACAATTTTATAAAAATGCTTCATCCTTCAACAGTGAATACATACTCTTTAAATTCAAATGGTTCACTTACAAAGTTAGACCATATTATGGGTTATAAAACAAGTCTTAAGATGGTGAAATTAACTAGCAATTAGTAACAAAGTTATTTCCAAATAACGCATGAGTTAAAAAAGAAAAGGGAAATTATGAAGTATTTTGAACTGAGTGAAGATGAAAACAAAACATATCAAAATTTGTGGGATATAACTAAAATAGCACTTAGAGGGAAATTCATAGCACTAAATGTCTATACAAGGAAAGAAAAAAATTCAAATCAGTGAAATCAGGCTCTGCCTTAAGAAACTAAAAAAAGAAAACCAAGTGAAACCCAAAGTAAGTAGAAGAAAGGAAATGATAAAGATGATAGCATAAGTCAATGACACAGGCAGCAGAAAACAATAGAGAAAAATTAATGAAACAAACAAGTAGTCCTTTGAGAAGATCAGTAAAATTGATAAACCTCTAGCCTAACTGATTAGGAAAAAGAGAGAAGATACAAATAACCAAAATCAACAATGAGCAAGGTTACATCACTACAGATTTTACTTATATTAGAAGAATAATAAAAGAATGTTATGAATAACTTTTCTTGTAAGAAGACAACTGCCAAAGCACACTCAAGAAGAAATAGATTATTTGAAGGGCTTTATATTTATTAAAGAAATAAAATTTGTACTTAAAAATACTACTACCAAGAAAACTCCAGGTCTGGATGGCTTCACTTGCAAATTTGACCAAACATTGGAGGAAGAAGTAATACAAACTCTTCTAGAAATTAAAGATAAGGGAATACTTCCAAACTCATTCAATGAGACCAGCATACTTCTGATATCAAAACCAGACAAAGACACTGCAAACAAATAAAATTACAGGCTCATTTCCTTTATTAATATAGATATAGAAATTATACATAACATTTTAGCAAATCAAATTAAACAGAATGTTAAAAGGACAATTCATTATGACCAAATGAGGTTTATCTCAGGAATATAAGGTTGAGTTCATATCCAAAAATCAGTCATTGTAATTGATCATATTAAAAAGAAAATCAAATAATCATCTGAGAAGATGCAGAAAAGGCATTTGACTCAATCCAACATCCATTCTCTTTTAAAACTTTAAAGAAATTAGAAATAGAGAGTCATTTCCCCAACTGATAGAGGACATTTATAGAAAACCTATCACTAACATCATTCTTTTTCTTTTTTTTTATTATTATACTTTAAGTTCTAGGGTACATGTGCACAACGTGCAGGTTTGATACATAGGTATACATGTGCCATGTTGGTTTGCTGCACCCATCACCTCGTCATTTACATTAGGCATTTCTCCTAACGCTATCCCTCCCCCAGCCCCTCATGCCCCAACAGGCCCTGGTGTGTGATGTTCCTCACCATGTGTCCAAGTGATCTAATTGTTCAATTCCCACCTGTGAATGAGAACATGCAGTGCTTGGTTTTCTGTCCTTGTGATAGTTTGCTGAGAATGATGGTTTCCAGCTTCATCCATGTCCCTGCAAAGGACATGAACTCATCTTTTTTACGGCTGCATAGTATCCCACACTAACATCATTCTTAATGATGAAAGATGAAGATGGAAACAAGAACATTTATTCTCACTACTTCTATTCAGCATCATACTGAAGATTCTAGCTAGTGCAATAAGGCAAGAAAAAGTAATTCAAGCACACATTTTGGAAAGGAAGAAATAACAGTCCTTATTCACCAATGACATGATCATGTGTATAGAAAATCCTATAGACTCTCCAAAAACGGTACAAAAACTAAGTGATTTTAGCAAGGTTGTAGGAAACAAGGTAAGTATACAAAAACCTATCATATGTTAGCAACAACCAATTGGAAATCAAATTTTTAAAATATCATGTTCAATAGTATTAAAAAATAGGAAATAACTTAGGAATAAATCTGACAGCTTCTACACTGAAAGCTACTTAACATTGAGATAAATTAAAGAGATTTAAATGAAGAGATATTGTGCTCATGGATCAGAAGACCCAATATTGTCAAGGTAACAATTTTGATTTGTATTTTCAATGAAATCTAAATCTCACTTCTTACTGGCATTTTTGTGGAAAGTAATGATTTTTTTCTAAAATTCATATGAAAAGGAAACAGCCAAAACAACTTTAATAAAGAAGAACAAATTTGGAGGACCTAAACTACCTGGCTTCAAGTCTTAAAAGATATTATAGTAAAGATATTATTTGTCATATTTGTATATAGACAAATAAATTGATGAAACAGAATAGAATCCAGAGATGGACTTCCACATAGATGATCTGTTGAATTCTGACAAAATGCAAAATACCTTCCATGCAGAAAGGGTAGTCTTTTTTTTACAAATGGTAATGGAACCATTTGCCTAAACAAAATAAACATCAAACCATACCATATACAAAAATTAACTCAAAATGGAGCATATACTTAAATATAGATCCTAAAAAGCTGTAAGGCTTCTAGAGGAAAACAGGAAAAAAAAAATCACTGCAGGCTTGGAAGATAGGCAAAACATTTATTAGATATGACACAAAAAGCATGATGTTCTCTGTCAGATTTGCTCTCATCAAAATTAATAACTTCTGCTGTTTGGAAGCCACTTTTAAGTGAATGAGAAGACCGAGAGGGTGAAAATATTGCAAGTAACATATCTAATAAAGGAGTTATATCCAAAATTTATAAAGAGCTCTCTAAACTTAATAATAGAAAATTAATCTATTTTTTAAAAGAATGCACAAAAATTTTAAACAGGTGCTTCACTAAGGAAGTTATATGGATGGAAAATAAGCACGTGAAAAAGATTCTCAACATTTGTATTCATTAGAGAAATGCAAATTCAATCACATTGAGATACCACAACACGTTAATTAGAATGTTTACCTATGAAGTTTTGGCAAGGATATGGAGCAACTAGAAATTATTTCTAGTTCTAAGCTCAAGGTAGATACATCTTAAATTTTGGTTGAATGATAGATAGATGGACATTTGAATTATGTGTAATGTTCATTTAATAAGTTTTTTTTTTTTAAGTTAAAAGTTGTTTAGTTCTTGTGGGCCAAGCACTGTGTTAAGGCTTTTATATACATTTAATTTATCCTTACAAAAACCCTAAGAGATAATAAATATTTTACTCATTTTACAGATGACCAGTTTAAGCCTCCCTCAAATTAATTTGTAACAGTGATAGTGGAGAAAGATACAAATTTCATACTTCCTCTGGTTTTCTCTAAAGCCCCCACTTGTAATACTCATATCTACCTCGATTTAGTCCTCAATAATAGCTATCTCATCATTCAAATAAACCGTCAAAGGATTAAGAATATCACATTTAGAATGTTCAAATTAATATGCCAATTTCTTAGAGGTTCTCATAGGTTATAATCTATCAAATTAGTACTAAATTATGATATATTAAAGGAAGATAGAATGGTGAGACAGTGTATTTACGTGCAATTGATTACTCAGCAATTTTATGAAGCTCTTCTAAAGATCTTTCTCTACAGAATGCTTAAGTTGCTGTGCTTTTTTGTACTTTTAATAAAACTGTTGCAGTTAATAAAACTGTTGAACACGTTTTAATACACAACAAATTGAAGAGTAGCTATTTGGATTCTGAAAATTGCCAGAAGTATTTGTAATAATATGAATTATATTCAAACATTTACAGCAAGAAGACATGCAGATTAAATTGTTTCCCTACCCATTAGAGATTACACTAATATGTATTAAGTTGGAGTAATAAAAGAAGAACAAAATTAATGATTTGAGTTTACTTATAACCTATAAATAATAGGTACAATTTATGTACTGAGACTTCCTTAATCTAAACATGTTTTATGATGTCATGCAAATATTTGAGCATGTTTTATGAGCTTAAAGTTAATATAAAACAAAGTAAAGAGAGTTTATATTTTTAAGAGATATAATAAAAAAATTGTGTAACATTTTGATACCTAAGACAATTAAACCTATTGATCTAGAAGGTCAGGAAACTTACAAGAATAATATTGGATACTGGAAAGTGTAAAATAAATGTAAGAATGTTATTTACTAACTTGGAACATACACTTTGATATTATAACAAAATTATGATTATGTTGGGTTTTCAATATATTCACAGAGGCTGGCTGTGGTGGCTCACACCTGTAATCTCAACACTTTGGGAGGCCAAGGTGGGAGGATTGCTTAAAGCCAGGTGTTTGAGACCATCCTAGGCAACAAAGCAAGACCCCATCTCTACAAAAAAAAATTTTTTTTGATTGGTTCGGCACAGTGGCGGGTGCTTGTAGTTCCAGCTACTTGGGAGGCTGAGGTGGGAGGCTCGCTTCAGCCCAGGAGTTTGAGGCTACAGTGAGCCATCTATGATTGTGCCACTGTACTCCAGCCTGCATGACACAGCAAAACCGATCTTAAAAAAAAAAAAGATATTAGCAATAATATGAATTTCAAAAATGTAAGATAAAATTTCCTCGAAGATTTTTTATGTTTTTTTTTTATCTTTTAGGATTTTGAATTATGGGATGATGTAGGATTAAACATTCCAAAACCTCCAGACTTATTGCAACTCTACCGGGATTTTGGAAATCATCAAGTAACTGGAAAAGATCTTGTAGATGTGGCCAGTGGAGTAGAAGAAGATGAATTAGAGGCCCTTACACCAATTATAAGCAACCTTCCTCCAACTCTTGAAACTCCCCAGCCTGCAGAGGTGAGAGATAGCAACTAATTAGTCAAGTCCACAGAAAGTATTTAAACTATGTAAAAGCGTACAGTGAGATCTTGAGTTTCTGTTTTTCTCCTGTTTTGATTTTAGAACTCCATGTTAGTACAGAAATTAGAAGATAAAATTAGTTTGTTAAATAGTGAGAAATGGTCATTGATGGAGCAAATCAGAAGACTTAAAAGGTTAGTACTTGATCATTATTCCTAAAAATCCTCTTAAGGTGTTTAAAAGTATTGGCAAGTTATGCAAATATATGAAACAATATTCCAGTTGCAAGGCATAATTGCTTCACATTTTAATACTTCTGAAAGAAAGTTTTGTAATTGTTTAATGTATTTAAAATAGTAATAGGTTTTTTTTCCCAAAACAAGTTACTAAATCAATATGGTGATCTTACAATCAATTATGTCTTGGAACTAAGAAATAAGATATTTTGATTTCTCCCTCATATTAGTGTTGTACATATTTCCTGTTCATTATTCCATTTAGTTCTTGTAATAATCCTGTGGGTTTGAGGAAGTTATCCCACTTTGCAAATGAATAAAAGAAATTTAAGTGCCAATCAAAAGCAGGGTTTTTAAGGCCATTTTTATGCTTCATTCTTGAGTTTATAGCTACAGTTTTAGGTATATGAAGCATCAGTGAATATTGCATAAAAAAGATTTATTACTTGCCAATCATTTGCTACTAATACTTTTAAATATGCTTTTAAAACATTAAACCCATTATGAGATTTATGCTAGTTTTCAAAAATACAGTTGTCCTCTGGTGATTTCTCTTAATTTCTCTTTCTACAGTGAAATGGACTTCCTCAAAAATGAACACTTTGCCATCCCAGCAGTTTGTGACTCTGTTCAGCCTCCTTTGGATCAGTTGCCCCACAAAGACTCTGAGGACAGTGGACAGCATCCAGATGTAAATAGTTCAGACAAGGGAAAAAACACAGACATCCATCTTTCAATATCAGATGAAGCTGATTCCACTATTCCTAAAGAGAATTCCCCAAATTCATTCCCCAGGAGAGAAAGAGAAGGAATGCCACCTTCTTCTCTATCAAGTAAAAAGACAGTTCATTTTGATAAACCTAATAGGTTAGTATGCATCCTATATTTTGAAATGCATCTTTCAGCTATTTAGTACATGTCAAACGGGAAGAGCTACTGTTTTTATTTAAACCGCTTTTTTGCAGATCAAATATATTAATTTTTATATTTGACATGAACTTAACACATAGCAAAGTAGTTGTCACAAAAAAGTCACAAAATTATTAGTTACTAAATTAAATTAAATCAAAAAGGAATTACCCATCAATGAGCTAGGTTCTATCTTAGCTAAGTATTTAAACCCATAACTAATATGTTATTACTATGTGCTGTAAACACTTACCCAGTGCTTTTTTCTCTATCCTTTAGTCGTTATCAGACTCAGAGGAATATTTTGATGCTGCGTAGTTGCCTATGTTAAAGAAGGAATAATTTTTGCTCCTACTTTTTTTTTCCTGTGTCTGCTTCCATTACAAATATTACATCATTAGTATTCTGTTAATTCATATGTTTAATTTATATTGGGTGTCAGAACTCGCAGATGACAAAAACCATGGTCCCTGCACTTTGTGATTATGTTTCCTAGTGGAGGGGACAAAAATATAATTTTAAAACTTTTAGATTATGATTAAAAAATACTTTTAAGAAAGGAATATTACTGAGCTCTTTTTATATGTCAGACAGAATCCTCAATGCTTTATGTATACTAACTCATTTAATTCTTACAAATATCCTATGGTGCATTTTCAGCCACAAGGTCATACTTCGTTTCCTATTAAATAGAGAGATGTTATGCCTACTATGAGCATATAATAGAAAAGCACAACTAATTTGCTTCAGACTTATAGGTTCCCATTATTACTAAGAAGTATTGGATTTTTATTTAAATAAAGCTTTCCACTCATGAACCACAGCTTCTTCTGTGTATAGTAGGGGTGTGTGTGTGTGTGTGTGTGTGTGTGTGTGTGTGTCTGTCTGTCTGTCTGTCTGTGTTGGTCACAGAACTGAAACAGACATGGCCCAAACCTCAAACCTTATAGTATGAGAGAGACAGACAAGCAATAACACTAAGGTATGAAAAGTAGTATAATAAAATAAGTCCAACTTGCTTTGGGAACATGTAATCAAGGCACTAACCTAGTCTTCAGAGCAGGAAAGTTTCATAGAAGTGTCATCCAAGACTTGAAGACTATGTAAGAGTTAACAAGCAAAGAGGTAAAAGAAAGAGTGTTCCCACATGCACAAATGAAACAGTGCTTTAGGGGAACAAAGAAGGGTTTAGTGAGGCTTAAGCAAATAATGCTAGTGAAAGGAAGGATAGAAGACAAAGTTGGAGAAGTAAGCAAAGTCTAAGAAGTCATGTAAGCTTGCGTTAATTCATTTTAGAGGTTGGGACATGATGGTATCTAAGCTTTAGAAAGGGTCCTCTGAGCTAGAGGTAATTGGAAGGTAGCAAGACTGGGAGCAAGGAAACTATACGGGTATATGTTGGAAGAACCCAAGTAAGAAATGATGGAGGCCTGTTCTATATTCAGACATTGGTAATGGGAAGGGAAAGAAGTATATGGATCTGCAAGATTATTAGAAGTTAAAAGATTGAATGGATTTGGGGTGAAGATAAAGGGAAGGAAGCCAGGGACGATGGGATGTGCCTCTAATCCCAGCTACTCAGGAGGCTGAGATGGAAGGATCGCTTGAGCCCAGGAGTTCTAGACCAGCATGGGCAATACAGCAAGACCCCATCTCAAAAAAAAGGATCAAGCCTGATTTGAGGTTTCTGACTTGGGCAAGTGGAAGGATTATGGTCCCCCTCTGAGGGAATATGAGAGGAGCATAAAACAGCAAAAGGCTCAAGCTTTGATACAGTACTCTATAATCATAGAAATTACTGAGCTCCATTTTGTGGTGTATACTAAATAAGCTTTATTATCTAATTTTTGGTGTTAGCCTTTTCTTTGCAGATTTAAGACATAAAGTACAACTCATAGTCATAATTTTATGAATAATACTACATAGAGACTGGTGTTGTTTTAGAAATATAAATGTTTTAACCTCCTTTATTAAACATAAATAGGCTAATATTTTCAACTGCAAACAGAAACTTTCTTTAAAATGTATCATGAATATTGAATGAGCTGTGCCTCCGTTTATCTTTAGACTTATTGTTTGTGGTTTTCTAATATTCAGATTTATCATTAGCATTATATATATCTGCAAAGCTTTAATTCCTCTCAGCAATATACCAGGTCAACCTTTATCCACTTTACCTTTGTGTTTACCTTTCTGGGACCATAGAGAATTGGGGTTGGAGAAAGTCCTCATTTCAGATTTTCAAATCATTTCTATAGGCATTGATCTACTATACCACTTTAGGTTTGATCCACTAACTATAAATGCCATTTTTTCACATAACATCAAACTACTGCAAGAACACCAGTTACTGTTGATTTTTTTTCTCCTAAGTGACCTGTATAAGTTTCTCCAGTGAAGTGTTCTTCAAGTCACTGGTGGCTCAGAAATCTGGTTAGCTTTGTGGGGTAGGATTAATGCTGGAATGGAAGTTATAATACATAACTTAAATTTCTCCTTAAATGTCAATGGTAATTATTTGATATTGTCTCTTTTTCATACATTTTCTTCTAGGAAATTGTCTCCTGCATTCCATCAAGCACTACTCTCTTTTTGTCGAATGTCAGCAGATAGTCGTTTAGGATACGAGGTAAATTATACCACCTATTTCCACAACTTTTTAAAAACATTCTACTGTTTTTCTTCTTTTTAAGTTTCTCTTCTACAGAAGCATCTGTGATAAGACTGTATTTCAAATGCAAATCCATTATGTAAAATAATGCTCTAAGATATAGTTCCTAAAATTTTAAACTTTTAAGGAAAGTAGTTGATTATTTCTGTTTTTTCTATTAACATTTTATTAACGTTAAAGTGACATTTTATAAACTCTATTTTTAATAGTATGTTTAATGACAGCATCTCTTAGATATAATTCAGAAAACCAACTTAAGTGTACACTGTTTATATATTAATTGTTTATTTAAATTACTCTATTATTTTCATTTCATTAGGAGTGGTTATGTCCAATAGTTGAGTTTATTAGCTTGCATATTAGATTTTCTCAACTATTTTGTATTTATTTTTGCAGATTAGTCTTGAGGGGGTATTTTATTATTACTGTTTTTTCTTACCTGTGTACTCACTCCTCCTTTTCTTGCTGTTCTGTGTTTCATTTCACTTGACTTGCCATGGGCTTCTGTTCCACAATGTCATTGAGAATATCACAGAGCTAGATAGAGGATGGTTTGGATGCACTCTGGCAATCCTCATTATAAGACTGGATCACCTTCCTTAGCCTACCCCTTGTATTTCCAAGTTCTTTGTACAGATTATCACTGTAGCTAATGGTAGTAGCTTTGTGAGCATCTCTTCAAAGACAAAAACGAACATTGAGGCTGCCCTACTCCTGTGCTATTACCCCTACTTGTTCCCAGAAATGAAGCCTATTAGGCCTCCTTGGCTTCACCCTTGATTTTAATGGTATTTTAAATCTGTTTCTAGCCCAAAGAAATATGGATGTTGATTGGAGCACTGTTGCTGTTGTTGCTGCTGCTGCTGCTGTTGTTGTTGTTGTTGTTGTTGTTATCATAAGTTAAAATATTGGAATGTGTGTTTAGGGCAGAGGTATCAGGGCCTAAAGAATGAACTTTTCCATATTATTATGCACAGAAGTTCTCCACTATCATTGTTTATTAATTCTTTGGTTTTCTAGGTGTCTCGTATTGCAGACAGTGAAAAAAGCGTTATGTTAATGCTGGGACGCTGCCTGCCACACATTGTTCCCAATGTGCTATTGGCAAAGAGAGAGGTAAGACACATGAAAGTATTTTCGTCCCAGTAATCCCATCATGTTGTCCATTTTTTGTCATTTTGAAGTTGAGTGTTATATTTTTATTTTGTTAAAGTCTATTACTTGCAATCATATTCTTACTTTTGTGCATGCATCTCTGCTCCTAGAGAATGGTTTTACACCTCTGTCAGGTGAGTTCAGTAAAACTGCATGGTATTCATGTTTTTCCAATTTTGCTTAAAGCATTGTTAGCTTCTGCAGCACTAACTATTACTGTAGGTCCATTTATGTGCCATGAACACTGTCTGGTTTTTACATTACCAGTTAACTAATTATCTGTGCTCTTGGTATGATATGCTTCATATGTCAACAGAAATGGACACTCTTTGTATTGAAAATTAACAGGGATGAATAATATAAAACTAGTCAGGAGGAATAATATAACACTAGTCATAAATGTACTTGTAGTTGCCGATTATAAATGTGTTATTATGCTTGTTTGGCAATAAATCACATTTCTCTTATAATAGGATAGTTGTAATATTGACTACAACAACTTTTTAAAGTACCTTTTTTATTTTTCTTGCAGTTAACCGGTTATTGACAGATGCTTTAAGTATCCAAAATACATTTGCAAATATATTTGACTCCACATAGCCTATGTTATGATCCATAAACACTATAGGAAGTTATCTTTATTGTTGTTATTTATAAATTATTATTAAATATAGTTATATTTAGTCAAAAGATTAATGGGAAGTTATTTATAATCTCATTTAAATGACAGTGGATGTTTGCAGATAATTTAAATTATTTTATTGAACTCTTTGAGATAAAATTTTTAGATCAAAAAAATTTTATAAAGAATAAATGAAGACAATTTTAGAGTGTGTCATGTAACTTTCTATTGTTATCTTCTTAATATTTACCACTGATTCAATCATAATTTCTGGGACCTACAGTATGATAGGTACATAATGCATTGGCAAAACCCATTTAAAGCTTATTTTCAATTATCCATTTAGCACAAGAAATTTGTACTGATCCTCAAGAAAACATGTAGAGCTTTAAAATTTTTTATCCCCATAGGTATTTTTAATAAAAACAATTAAAAAGATGGTTTTCCACTGATGGCTTTATTTTTACCTAATTATTTTAAAATAGTCATAAGATATTAATAAGTATGGAAAGTCTTATATGTCTTGAAGGATCAGTGTCCAATTTCAGATTGTTTTGCAGTTCTGCTTGGCAGAATGGTGTTTGAGCTTCTTTTCCTTTTTTAGCTTGTAACATAATCCATGTAATGCATTAATGTTTGCATCCCTTTTACTGTATTTCCTTAATATCATCTTTAGAGTGTTACAGAAACCTAATTATTATGAAATTCAGTTTTAGCTTTTTTATTTTAATTTTTCATATTATCATAAAAGACTACCATTAAAATGATTGTACTGCATGAAATATTTATAAATTTGCATCATCAGTAATCAGATACATTATACATACAGATTATCTACCTATATGCACACATATAACTAATTTGTGGTATGATGTTTACTTTTCTGGCTGATTTTAAATTTTTTATAATTAAAAAATATATATTTCATGAAAAACTGATCATCTATCTTTGTTCATTTAATTATTTGTATGTTTTATCAGAAAAGTTGCCATTTATAATAAAATGAAATTGTATTTCCTCAAAATTAAATTGGTAAATAATGAATTATGTCTTAGAGTGATTTAAAATCAATCCCTGGGCATAACAGAACAAAACATTTTTTCGTTACATCTCTTGATATTGAATTACTTTTTAATATTTCACCCGTTTCTTATTATAAATCTATACATATCTCTCCCTCTATGGGGAGACAGAGAGAGTTGTTGGTTTTTTGTTTTGTTTTGTTTTTTGGGTTTTTTTTTTTATTTGAGGCAGGTTCTCACACTGTCACTCAGGCTGGAGTACAGTGGCACAGTCATGGCTCGCTACAGCCTCAAACTCCAGGGCTTAAGCATTAAATCTACATTTTTATAAAACTCCTGTGATTGAAGGATTAATATTTTGACTTCTTATTTCTCAAGTTTGATATATATTCTCTTGTCAGCAAAAGCCTTTTTATTGGTATTTAAATAAAATTTAAATGTTCTTTAGTAAACTGAACTTAGTAATATCTTAGCTGATTAAATAAAGCATTGGAAACAGGGTTTAATGTTTTGATTAATATGTTTACATGGTGTAATTTTTTTAATGTAAAAAAAATGTACAATGAAAATTCCTTTATTCCTGTCCTTGAGCTTCTGTCACATGCAGTCAGTTTTGCTAGCTTCTAGAGTATTCTTTCAAGTCCTTTGACCATTTTTAAATTTGATTGTTTATCTTCATGTTTTTGAGTTGTAAGAGTTTTTTTATATATTCTGGGTAGTAAACCCTTATCATATATATGATTTGCAAATATTTTCTTTCATCCTGTAGGTTTTCTTTTTACACTCTTGACCATATCCTTTGATGGGCAAATGTTTTCCATTTTTATGAAATCTGATTTATCTATTTTTTTGTTGTGTTGTTTGTGCTCTAAGTATCAATTTTAAGAAACCATTGCCAAGTCAATCAATGTTATAGAAGATATATATATCTATATGTATATGAATATATATAAGAGCTAAAGCTATGAAACAATTAGAAGAAAACATTTGTTATATATATTTAGGTCAACGATTCATTTTGAGTTAATTTTTATATATGGAGTAAAACAGCGTCTAACTTTATTCTTTTCATATGGCTATCCAGTTATCCAGAAACATTTGTTCAAGATAAAAAAATTCCTCTTTTGAATAGTCTTGCTACTTTTGTCAAAAATCAGTTGGGCCTAGATTCTTCGGGTTTATTTCTGGACTTTCAGTTCTGTTCCATTGGTCTGTATGTCTAGCCATATGCCACTACCACACTGTTTTGATAACTGTTGTTTGTAGTAAGTTTTGAAATTGGGATATATGAGTCCTCTAACTGCACATCACTATTGTCTGTTCAGGGTCCCTTGCAGTTCCGCATGAATTTGATGCTCAGCCTTTCACTTCTGCAAAACAGGTCATTGAAATTTTTATAGAGATTACATTAAATCTGTAGATCTCTTTGGGAGTATTGTCATCCTAACAACATTAAGTTTTCCAGTTCATGGACATGGAATGTCTTTTTGTTTTAGATCTTTAATTTCTTTCAGTAATATTTTGTAATTTTTAGTATACAATTCTTTCACTTCTTTGGCTAAATTTATTCCTAGGTATTTTGTTCTCTTGGATGGTATTGTAAATGGAATTGTTCTTTTAGTTTTCTTTTCAAGAAGGGAAAGGTTTATCCTGGTTATCAAAACAACACTGGTCATTGTGTGTTGATCTTAAATCTTGCAACTTTGCTGCATTTGCTTATTAACTCTAATCATTTTTTATGGGTTCTATGAGATTTTCTACATATATAGAATCATGTCATCTGCACGTAGAGAGATAGTTTTGCTTCTTCTTTACAATATAGATGGCTTTTATTTTTTCCTCTTGCTTAATTGCTCTGGCTAGGATTTCCAATACAATTTGGATGGTAATGTTTTGAGAAAGCAATATCCTTGCCTTGTTTCTGATCTTACAGGAAAGCTTCAATCTTTCACCATTGACTATGATGTTTGCTATAGAATTTTTATAAATGCCCTTTGTCATATTAAAGAAGTTTCCTTTTATCCCTAGTTTGCTAAATATTCTTATCATAAAATGGCATTGAATTTGCCACATGCTTTTTCTGCATCTGTTGAGATGATAATGCGATTTTTCCCCTTTCGTTCTACTGTCATATGCCTGCATTATTTATACATTGCCTGATTTTATGTTAAACCACCCTTGCATTCATGAGATACATCCCATTTGGCCTTGGTTTATAAACCTTCTAATGTGCTTTTGGATCTGTCGTTAGTATTTTGTTAAGTATTTTTTTGTCTATATTCATAAGGGATACTGTTCTGTGGTTTTCTTATCTTGTGTTTTGGTATTTGGTATTGGTTTTGGTATTGGGCTAAGGCTGGCTTGATAGGGTATAGGAACTCTTCAGTCTGTTTCCTTGTTATAAGTCTGTTGGGATTTTCTACTTAATCAGTTTGGTGATTTCTATGATTCTAGGAATTAGTTCATTTCATCTTGATTATCTGATTTGTTGATGAACAGTTGTTCATAGTATTAACTTATATCTTTTAATTTCTGTAACATCGGTACTAACATCCTTGCTTTCATTTCTGATCCTAGTTATTTGCATCTTCTCTCTTTTTCAGTCAGTCTAGCTAAACGTTTGTCAATTTTGTTTCTCTTTTCAAAAACCAACTTTTGTTTTGTTAATTCTCTTTATTGTTTTTCTAGTCTATGTTTCATTTATCTCTGTAATCTTTATTATTTCTTTCCTTCTGCTGGCCTTGGGTTTAGTTTGATCTTTCTGTAGTTCCATAAGATATTGAATTACTGACTTGAGATCTTTTTTAATGTAGGTATTTATAGCTATAAATTTCCCTCTGAGTACTGCTTTTGCTGTATCTCATTAGTTTTGGTATGTTGTTTTCATTTTCATTCATCTCAATGTTTTCTCATTAATTCTTGATTTCTTCCTTGACCTATTGCTTATTTAAGAGCATGTTGTTTAATAGCCACATATTTGTGAATGTTCCATTTTTCTTGTGTTACTGATTCTTAATTTCATTCTGTTGTAGTCAGAGAAATATTTTATATGACTTTGATCTTTTAAATTTACTAAGAATTACCTATGCCTAACTTATGGTCTGTCCTGGAGAACGTTCTGTGTGCATTTGAGAAGAATATATATTCTGCTGATGTTAAGTGGAGTGTTCTGTATAATTTTATTAGATTTAGTTGTTTTATAAAGTTTGGGTTCTCTATTTCCTTATTGATCTTCTGTCTAGAATTTCTGTACAGTATGAAAGTAGGGTATTGAAGACTCCAACTATTATTGTAGAACTGTCTTATATTCCTTCGGAGATACTTTGTGCATGTATAAATTCAAATATGTGATCTTTTCCCCATGATTTAAACAAATGATACTGTATTCTATGCACTACTCTCTACTTTGCTGTTTTTATACTTAACATTAGATTTTACTTTTTATATCATGATATAAAGAACTTTCTATTAGTGTTTTCAAACTTTGACTACACCTTCAGTAAAAAAGATGTTTTACATCATGTGCCAGTATGTACTTACATATATAAAATTAAAAGTTTTACAAAACATAAAGTAAAGACAAGCAATACCAAACATGATTTTATAAATATTTTGGAAAAATAAAGAAAAAAATCCTTAAGTAAGCAATTAAAAAAGAAAAACATGCTGTTCATGACCCATTCAACTGATTTTGTGACCCACTGTTTTAAAGATAGTAGGATAAAGGTTTAATCAGAGCTGTCTAATAAATTAACTTTTTTAAATAGAAAGCACGATGAATATAGATATTAGCATTATTTGTTTTTCTTTAAAACAAGAAAAAGAAAAAAGTAACAACTTTACTCAATCTTCAGGTTACAATTATAATATTTTTTAATTCAGTGCATCTTATTTTAAATCTAAGATGCAATTGGTTGTAACAGTTATGTTTCTTTAAGAAAGAAAAAGAATCCCAATTGAATTATGGCGTGCTATCTATCATAAGATACACCCATATTTCAAAGATACTAAAAAGTTTAACAGAAATATGTACCTCTTAGGTTCTTTGAAATAATGGTAGTCTCTTTTTACTAACTTATATTTTAAAGTCAAATATTTATCTCTGCTGTAATCTTTATTATTTCCTTCCTTCTACTGGCCTTGGGTTTAGTTGATCCTTCTGTAGTTCCTTGCCTGTTCATTTTGGGAGAGAAAAGTAAAAGATGGACTGATTTTTTATATGTGGCTTACATAGTAGTTCATTTTAATGGATTGGTTCAGGAAACTTGAATCTTTTGAGCCAAATTATAGAAATAAATATATTTGTCATTTGATAAATGTATATAGTAAATAAGCTAAAGTAGTTGGTTTTTCACAATTTCTGCTTTGACCGCATTTGAAGAGGAAATTCTATAATTAAAAAATAGAATTTTTTAAAAGATTACTTCAAGTAGCATTTTTGGTAATCATACATCAAAATGTAACTTTCAGTTTCATTCTGTGCCAAGGAAATATGTTCTATCAGCTAGCTAAGTTGGAATATCAAAGGAGAAATCTGGGGCTGAGATGGGAGTGGAAATGAGGAGAGACTTAATGGAGACCAGCTTTCCTTTTGGGATATTGGAAGTCTTCTAAAATTATATTGTAACAATGGTTGTACAACTCTGAATGTGCTAAAAACCACTGAATAGACAATTGAAATGGATGGACTTTATGAAGATGAAACATATCTCAATAAAACCGTCATTAAAAAGGCAAAGGAGAAAACCACTTATCTCAGTAAAGCTGTAACAAAAAAGGCAAAGGAAAGAACCAATTCCCTAAAAGTTTTTAAAGTAGTTGGTACCTCTACAGACCTCCCGTCTTATGAGAAACTAGACTTTGATCTTTTACATTGCCACTCATGTTTCCTTCATGGAAACCTTACAAGTAATGATCGCCTCAGAGGATCATAACTCTATGAGATGTATACAGTAGTATAGTGGATAAGTGTAATAAAGTAGATAGGAAGTTTTGACTCCCTTCTTTAAACCTATGTGATGTTGGCATGTGTGCATATTTAATTTTGTGAGTACATCACATTTCTTTAGCAATAGTGAGACTTGAGGTAAGGTTATTTAGGTACTTTAGGTTTCCTAAAGATTGAGCCCTGGAAATTATAGATATTTAATATTAATAATTCTAAGAATCGGTATTTTTAGCAGCCCTTGAATTGTAAAACTTTTACAGAGGTGAGTAATCTTTTTTTTTTTTTCTTATGTGAGTCTTTGTAATGTCTTTCTTTATTGGGTTTCCTTTTTATATGAACAGGAACAAGCTGAAAAGTTTCAACTGAAAAGTTAAATCAGAGGTTGTACACTATCTACAGACCAACAAAGGCTCACAGATAGGTTTGTTTGGCCTATTCAGTAATGGTAAAAATGATGTGCTAGTTATCAAACTTTTAAAAACTGATATTTTACCTAAAAATACAAAATTTTGGCTTTTTTTGAAAACTCCTAGTCTGGAGTTTTCCTCCAGTCTAAGAGCACTAGACTTACATTTCCAAATGATCTTTTCAATTGGAGCACAGTTCCGGTCTGTCCCCTGTAGGTGGGACATGGGATCTCTAGTTAGCCACAGTTGCTGCCATACTTTTTTGCCCCTAGTCACTAAAGCCCCGTGTTAGTGCTGTTTATCATCATGTTTGCATTATTGTTTTCCTTATACCCTTTGTTTTACATGTTTACGTTACCTTCTTGACCCTCCTTGTCTTGTACTGATAAGCCTTTTGTTTAGGTTCCTCCACGCCTTCTGTGCTATGTATTAAATTTTATACACTTGTATCTTCGCTTATCAGTACCCTAATTTTCACATTATATCCAAATGTAATATATATTTGGATATAAATATATTTGGATATAATGTAATGTGACAATTAGGGTACTGATAAGCCAAGATACAAGTGTATCTTGTATCTTGACACTAGTAAGTAAAATAATGTCACATTATATTTGGATATAATCTAAATAAAAATCCAAATAAAATAATAAGTAAATATGATATCACATTATATTTGTATATAATCTTGACAAGTAGAGTACTGATAAGCCAAGGATATCTTAGCTGCTTTGGAACAGATATTTTTATATTGCTTATTGTCTTTCCTTCCTTCTTCAGTCGTTTCTACTCCATCCCCAATTGTTTTCAGCATATGTTCTTTCCTTTGGATTGTGCAAAAGAATTATCTTGATTTATTTAAATATGGATATTAAATATTGAAATTTAAATTTCAAAAGATTACCATTGACTCAAAGAAAACCATTTTCTTTTTTTTTTCTTTTTCTTTTTTTTTTTGGTGACAGGGTCTCACTCTGTCACCCAGGCTGGAGTACAGTGGCACAATCACAGCTCACTGCAGCCTTGACCTTCTGGCCTCAATAGATCCTCCTACCTCAGCCTCCCAAGCAACTGCGACTACAGGTGCACACCACCACGCCCAGCTAATTTTTGTATTTTTGGTAGAGATAGGGTTTCGCCATCTTGCCCAGGCTGGTTTCGAATGCTAATCCTCTTCTATTAATGAATTCTAAAAGTCCTAGAAATTCTGCAGTAGGATTATTATACTGATTTTTCTCTTTAATGATCATAGACACTCTGTTAAATATTTCACTTCAATACACATTACTGAGTACTCTCTAGGTTGCCAAATCATGTTTTAAAATATTTTCCTATTGCTTAAAATATGGCTATATTAGCTGGGCACAGTGGCACATAGTTCCTGCTACTAAGGAGGCTGAGGCAGGAGGATCTTGTGGAGTTCTAAATAAGGAGGGGGAGTTGGGCTGGCGAGACTGAGGGAAAGCAAAAAAAGAAAGTGGATAAGCTGTAAGTCTGCCTTTCTTTATGGTCCAGGACACATAGCCCTCCTGTGCAAATAACTCACAATCTTCCTGTGCAAAGCTATCACCAGACACCTCAGCTAATAGAAAAATGCAAGTTAGCTTACTGCAACCTTAGCTTTATCAGTACTGCACAAAGCCCTCTTCAGCACACAGCATGAGCACCAGCAACTCTTTGTCTCCTTGCAGTTAGCTCCTCTCTTGCTGACCTGCCCTTTGCTTTCTTGCAATGTATTTTCCTACTTTGTCTAATAAATCTGCCTTTCTTTACCCACAACTGTCTTGGCAAATTATTTTTACCACTCAGAGCAACACCAGCCCCAGATAGTCACTGCCCACAACAGATCTCTTGAGCCCAGGAGTTTGGGGCAGTAGTGTGCTATGATCACGCCTGTAAATAGCCAATTGCCTTCAAGCCTGGGCAATATAACAAGACCCAGTCTCTTAATAAAAAGAAAGAAATGCAAACACATAAGTTTTATTATGTGAAGCAAAAAAAATACCTCTTGGATCTAATATTACCCAAGCCATAGTTATTTTCTTACCATAGTTATTATTTTAATATTACATGAAATGTTAAATCTAATATGCCTAAGGATTTTTTTATTGCTCTATTATTCTGATTTACATTTAGTCTTTCAAAGATATTTTTAGAACACCTTGTCTTCTGATGGAAATTTAATCACCATTTTTTAAATGCTGTATTCAGAATTATAAGGAAAGTTTTAAGACTATACTTTTTCAGTGTGAGAGATGATGCCAAAGGGAGAATATTGATTCAAGTCTATTAACTTATGAATAGTCTGAAAATGGTAAATACAGACTTAGTAAATTCTGGTGTGGATTTATTAGTGTTTCAGAGGCTTGAAAGATGAATTCACAATAAATGTGAATAAATAACACAACAGACATATACTTACAGAATCTATTTTTTATTTTAATAGCAATACAAATAGAAGTTATAAATAAATGGATAATTGAGAAATTAGCATATTTGGGGGCAGTCTCAATCTAGCAATTATCCTAATCGTGTTCCTTGCTGGCTCTGTCAGAAACAGACCACTCTCTGCATTTTTCTTCCTCACTTACTGGACCTCTTCTCAGCTCTGTGTTGCTGTAAGAGGAAGAAGCCATCCGGCATCCTTTAAACTCTGAGTTGTAACTGCCATAGCCATAATATGCCAAGGTGGACCACTCTCCTTGGCATGGAATAGCAACCAAAAATTATTGGCAGTGACTTCCCATATGTTGTTAATTTGCCAGCAAGAAATAAAAGCTGATGGCAATATCAATTATTACTGTGATTAAGAAAAGTGAAAAATATTTTTTTCAAAGTCCTAAATTCACAGAAATTTAGGGTTCAAGGAGACAAGGACTCACAAATACTTTCCTTCTAATATGTCAGTTTGAATTGATTCATAGCAACTGCTGTGTTGAAACGGCTTTTTTAGGCCATCTTTGCTTTCAGAAGGAAAAATTAGCAGCAATAGATAAATTGCAGAATGTATGTGAAGTGTTTTCCATTTGTGCATTAATCTTAATTCCTACGTGTTTCACTTGAAGAAACTGAAAGAGAAGTTTGTGCTTTTCTTTAGTTTCCTTGGTACTAAGTGGTAAACTAAGGTAAGAACTCTTTCAGCTCCTGGGCCAGAGTTCTCAGTTTGGCACATCTGTAGCCATATTTCAGTTAAAATATTGTCCATATTAATGTATGACATAAACTTCCTCCTTGATTAAGGATCACTAAGCCTCATGATAAAAAAGCAAAAGAAAGTAAAATATAAGGCGTAAAGGATAAAGAGCAACACAGTTGTTTTTGTATGCTTGTTTTTGAGATAAAGAAGTTAAAGATTATACTCTACATTTTAAGTGTGTGTGTGTGTGTTTGCAATTATAGCAGCTATCTTACCTTCATTTCATAACTTTAAACAGTAATAGGCTAGGAAGAAATGGGAAAAATAGTATGAGAAGTATACATGTAGAGATGATGGGAAAGCAGGAAGGGAGATTAGGAGGAAACAAGATCTGACATGAAGACAAAGTACAAATAAAATTATTAGGGCTTTTCTTGGTTTTCAGGCATTAGAATAGCTTCTCACTTTTTTAATGCTTCCAGAATAACTACTTTTCATCCTTAAGGTTCTACTCTCAATAGTATACCCTGATGATGCAATGTCTTAGTCGTCTCATTAGTATCATTGCCTCTCAGCAGCCCATATGGAATCAACTAAGGATTAGGACAGTCCTTGCTATTAATGATCTCCTACCCTAATATTGTTAAATTTCCAGCCAGACAGAATATTTACTATTTTGTAAAAGGTTGTTTATTTTCTTCTACAGAATCAGGACTAATCCATCAAGCATTATATTAAGCCTCTAGGGAAAACATATAGGATCTACACATATGCTCTGTCTCTCATTCCCAGTGCAAAATTATTTTTCCTAATCATTTTTTATTCCTTTTCAATTATTCACTAAGGTAAAACCTACAGAGATGCCCAAACAGGAAGACTGAAAATGGCAGAATAAATGTTTCACATTCTTTTTTTCTCAGATATATTCTTAGCTCCTCTTACCTATATCTTTGTACCTTCAAATTTAAGATTTGCAATATATAAAGACTTTAGAAACAACGGAGAGAGACTTCTAGTCATACATTTAAGCTTCAGTTTCAACTCTTCGAAAAATCATCTCTTAGGAAGCATCTTCAAAGTGTGAAAATACTTCAACAGTGTAGACTTTTTATCATGCTTTTCTTCAGGTTACATTATTATTTTTGTTAGGTTATATTATTATAGACAGTAATAATCATGCATTATTACAATAGTGATCAATTTCTATTTTAAATCTCTTAACAGTTTTCGGTGAGTATCAAGACAGATGGGAAAGAAATGGGTGTAGTCATTCTTCCCTTCTTAATTACATCATAGTGATTTCTTTACTGTATTTACAAAATATTGTTTTTATAACTTAGAGGATTTCTCGCAAAAATATTTTATTACTTTTGGACCATTATTCTTCTTGGATTTGAAAATCCACTCAAATGAAAAACATTAATGTATTTTGAATGTACTTTAGTGTTAAGAATTTCATCTTAATTAAAATGTAAAACAATGTAATTAATTTCAAGTGTCTCTTAGAAATAAACTTTTAGCTCTTACTTTCCTACAAAATGCTGAATTTACCTCTGCATATTGAATGTGAAGAAAACAAAATATTGTTAAAATTTTGTATTTCAACATCAAATATTTCTACTGATACTGAGACAATTCAACATCTATGAAAATGGTCTTTTTAGTTAGGCACTGGGTCAAGTGCTAAGGGTACAAAATTGTTAGATCTAATCATAAGGACATTATATTGTCCTTACAGAAGTGGGAAAAGTGGTCTTTATTTTTTATTATCTTTTTAAGTTTTAAATTATAGTGGACTTCTGCAACTTTTGTTTAAAAACACTTTTAGAATTAAAATTACGGTGTCAGCATGTCACATGATGGAATGTTATTTAGTGTAAAAGCTAGTGGGCCCTTGGGAAGTACTAGATTAAAAACCAAGGCTAGTTGAATCTTAAGCAACTTTTGTTACATTGTGATTTACATTTCCTCCACAACCAACACATAAACGTTTTAGTGTAAACATCTCTTGAATTACCAACCTTACAAAATTAAAATTTACCCTTTTGTTTACTGAGGTTTATTTCACTTTAAATGTCCATTTAAGAATATTGTGGAGGAAAAAAGAATATTCTGCAATGTGTTTTTATTTGAATTTTTCCACCCTCGTATTTCTTTAGGAGTTGATCCCCCTCATATTGTGTACAGCATGTCTACATCCTGAGCCTAAAGAGCGAGATCAGCTTCTCCACATACTTTTCAATTTGATCAAGAGGCCAGATGATGAGCAAAGGTGGGTATGATTACATATGTGAAAAAGAAATACAATGTGACTTACTGATTTTAACTAATTAGGCATCAGGATTAGCATTTGAATCTAAAATGCCTTCTTTCCTTCCAGTATCTATTTTAGCAGCGCTGGAGCATTCCCCCATCATGGATTCACTCCTTCATGGTTTCAAAACCTACGAAAATGCATTTCAAACTATAATGTCATCATCAGGTTCCCTTTCCTCCTCACCTTCTCTTTTTAAAGGGACCTGGAATTTACTGCAACAAAAAAAACAGATAATAGGGAAATCACTCTAAGAAATTTACCTTATGCATAATAAATAAAACCTAAAACAAAAATAGCTTTCTAAAATATGTATAAATCCTACTAAGACCTGATTACTTATCACCTGCTATAATTACTGACAAGTCTCATTGTTTAAATCTTTGAAAAGGAATTCTATACCTTCTCAAAATGTTCAGTTTCGGCCAGGCGCCATGGCTCATGCCTGTAATCCCAGGACTTTGGGAGGCGGAGGCAGGCAGATCATCTGAGGTCAGGAATTCGTGACCAGCCTGGTCAACATGGTGAAACTCTATCTCTTCTAAAAATACGAAAAAATCAGCTGGGCGTGGTGGTGGGCGCCTGTAATCCCAGCTACTCAGGAGGCTGAGGCAGGAGAATCGCTTGAACCCAAGAGGCAGAGGTTGCAAATGAGCCAAGAACATGCCATTGCACTCCAGCCTGGGAGACAAGAGTGAAAGTCCGTCTCAAAAAAAACAAAAAGTTAAGTTTCTCAAGGTTGCTACACAGATATAGGTACTGAAGGCCATTATCTAAATTATCTTGTATTTTTGAGGGACTAATTCAATTTCTTGTAAAAATGTAAATGTTCTCTGAAAATTGCAAGATAGTTACTTTTGTCTGAAAAAAATCTGCCATTAATACACTTTTCTGCTTTCTAGTAGACAAGCATCTACTAGTAATTGATGATTAGATTATGCCCAAACCCTCTAGTGGAAGGGGGAGGGAGTGAATGTATTCTAGCCAAATCATCTGTTGACTAGAAAACGGCTCTTCTCCTCTGCTCTCCAAGTGCAACAAGTTCCAGATAGGTAGCATAGCAGCAAATTGTACATACCTGGTGACCCCCTCAGGCATTCTAATGTTCTCCAAATAGAAACCTAACTAACCTTCAGTAAGGCAGATTTTTTTAAAAAAGCCCAACTTCATCTGCCTGTATATGTTCTCAGTGATATTTTTTATGAATCCTAAGACCTATAAAAGCTCAAAATGCAGATTTTGCATCAAACCATTTATCGTAAAACATTGAGGTGCAGTTTTTATACACAAAACTTTCTATCTTTTTAAGAATTCTGTTTGTATGGCTTATTGCCTAATAATTTTTGATATTCATGTAATCTCAGTAAGCGTCTTTTCTTAGAAATATGTGTATATATATTCTATTCTGTTAGATTCTGAGCTACTTTTTAATGTTTACCTTACAGTGAGATTCTCCCAACTGAAAGCAAGTGGAGTTTATTTTTTTCAATCTTGATTGTTGAGAGAGAGAACTTCTGGTTTAAGGTAGTGATAGGTTGACATTTCTTGATATTTCCTTCCCAAATTGGAATTTGCTATTGAAGACATTTAAAAAGTATAAAAAACTAAGATATAAACACTAAACATTTGTGAAAAACACAGTTAACAGTCAGCCATTTGAAGGGCCTGAGAAAATTTTCTGTTACTCTAATATCATTTAATGAAGCTCTATTAGGAAGGCCCTTGTAGTTTTCACTTTGAGAAAAGTATGTTTCAGTTGGCTAACAAGTAAGTAGAATGCACTAAGTCAGACAGCCATTATTTTTATCTAAGGCAGTCAGTTATTTCTGTCCTCATTCAGTCTGCTGTCAGTGTTTCTCTTTCTTCATCCATTCAGAGATTATTATTCCCAGTAAACAAGAAATAGAGGGAGATGGGCAAATGATATCTTTTATCCTTAAATATGTGGTTTTATCACAAACAAAGCCAGATAAAGACCAGAAATAGCCCTAGAAGTACACAGTAAGGGTTAGTTTTTTTATATACGATATTTGTCTGAATTAAACTCCAGCCTACTTCAAATCCTGTATAGCATAAATTATCATCATTGTCAAGAGAACTGGGCGTTGAGAAAAGGAGAAAAGCACACCTGGATTCAGCAGAACGACATTAAATTATTATGTCTTTAATATATCTGAGATATCTCAGGGAGTGAAGCCATTAACTGTGGCTCCTCCCTTTCTCTCAAAATGAACTGGAGCTGGATCAATTTCTTCTTATCAAAGATTAGTCTATAGAAACCAAAATCCACATGAGCCCCATAAAAATTGCACTTTACAGTGAAAATAACAGTTACTCTAAATTCAGAATAAAGGCATATCTTAGAAAATGATGTATTACAAGAACCAAAGAAACATTTTGAAACATCATTTAGTGGCCTAAAAAAGAGGCAAGAATTCCTGGCTATTATAAACAGGAGAATGGAGCCAAAATAAATGTAGGCTTAGAGGAAAAAGATTGTCTGGAATAAGGAGAGCTAGCAGAATGAAAAAAAAATTAAAATATGCAGTGTTTTCAAATTTATGTTGAAGACAAAGTAATAGATTTGAGACTATTGAAAATTGAATCCATGTTTATTATAAGCGATTTTTTTTTTTTTTTCCTGAGACAGGGTCTCACTCTGTCTCCCAGGCTGGAGTGCAGAGGCACAATCATGGCTCACTGCAACCTCCACCTTCCCAGGCTCAGGTGATTCTCCCACCTCCCAAGTAGCCAAGTAGCTGGGACCACAGGCATGCATCACCATGCCTGGCTAATGGTTGTATTTTTTGTAGAGACAGGGTTTCGTCTTGTTGCCCAGGCTGGTCTTGAACTCCTGGATTCAAGTGATCTGCCTGCCTGGACTTTGCCAGGTGCTGGGATTACAAGCATGAGCCACTGTGCCGAGCTGATAAATTTCACATATCAATAAAGCACGGTATTCACTGGCCATTTGCAGGATTGAAGGATTGTTTGCCCAAACTTTTGTGGTTTCAATAATTTCCAGAAACTCTTCAACCATAGCTCATAATACATCCTGATGGACAAAATGTAAATGTATATGTTCCTGCAATATCAGGCCCTGACTTTTCTGTAAAATGTTTTGGAAAGCTGCCATTACCTTTGTGCATGGTATGAATAGTGTTAATCAACAGATTGACAGCCTTAAAAGCATTTTGGCATTAATTACTGCTTCACTCAATGTAAGTTCACAAAAATGCATGTATAAAGCTCCTGTATATACATGTTTATAAAAATGCATGTATAAAGTTTCCTCCGTAAACTTTGCTGCAACCCTTTAAACTTTTTCCTTATAAAGGCATTGTGATGAACTTAGCAACACATTTTATTCCAGTCATTTTGTTTTAAAATGAGCAAATTTGTTAATAATCCTCAGAAAGTTGGCTCCAGTAAACTCCCTCAACAGTTAAATCCCAGTTTCTCTTTAATTATGAAAGTCTTTGAAGTTTGAAGTTATGTATTAATTAACAGAGGAAACGTTGCCCAAATTTTTGTAATAAGCAGAGGGAACACTGGCCTCACCCACAATGTTCTGCAATATTTTCATTCTTACTATTCCAATTACTCATTTGTTTTAGTTACCTTTGGACTTCTAATTCACATACTGCTTTGCCTTTATATGCCATGCTTGATTTCTCCTAAACATTCCCCTTTTTCCCACAGATGAACTAGATACATTATGATCTTTTAATGGTTATGCTTTATTAAAAAATGTTTATGCTTTATAAAAAAATAAAATATTTAATATATGAATTTGTGCATCACTGGGTTATCAGTAAACCATTGCTGTGTGGCTAAAGAGATACGGTATGTTATTTTGGCTAGTCCTGAGTCTAATACCCACAAGTAAAGATGCCTGAGTTGAGCATCTACTCAGAGTGATGAGGAGGGCCACAGATCAGGGTGACACATGAGAAGAAAGCTGAATGGGTTTTGATCAAGCAATGATGATAGCTATCTACCTCAAATCATAAAACATTTAAATATTAAGTGAAGCTGTACAAGTAGGGACTTGAACAAAGCATCCTGGATGGGTGGATAGATGGATTAAGCACCAATTGGATAAAATAAAGCAGTTGAATGTTTTCCTATGTTATAATTTTTATCTTAATGAAAAAATGATTTTTGCTTATACTTTGCAAAATAATAGAATTGTACTTAATGATTTTGTAGCTTTATGTAATTTCAGTACTTGCTTTTCTGACTGATATAATTTTTCCTCTTCTGAGAATGTTGGAAAATCATAAATAAGAATGAACTATGAAAGATATCAAGCTTATATTTTAAAATACAAAGAACCCCTCAACTAGGAGAATACAAACACTTCTATAGACTTTGAAATTCTATTACTGAAACTTCTTTTCTGCAATTATCAAAATATACCTGACCAAGTAGAGAAACTTGCTCTTTTCAGTATCCAGCTAAGGTTAATTTATACCAGCAGCCCTAACATGCAAGTCAACTAGGAATAAGGGAAATTAAATCACTATATTAGTACCATTCATTGCAAACTAAAAATTTCCCAAGGACAACTTGGTGGTACTATAGGAAAATTAGTATTTTATTTTTTCCTTTAAAAATACCATTTCCTATCTTGGTAATTTAGTTAATAATTAAATATAGTTATTATTACATTTTCATTTTTAGATTTTCAAGGCAAAAACCTGGTCTTAGAGTCTATTTTCATAAACCTTGCATGTAAAGCTAACAGCTGCCACCTGGTGGCCAAAAGTACTTACTAGCCTTACTTCAGGTCAAGGTGCATCAGGGATCAACACTCAAGTCCACGCTTTTTTTTTTCTGTAAGGTGAAAGTGATCTACTTTCACCTTACACAAATATAAATTTACTAAAATAGACTAATATATTCATTATTAGCTATGTGTTATATAATATAAATAACATGAAAAAAGCAAAAACTTTAGGTTAGCAAAATATATTTGATATAATCAGTTATTTTTCTTAATGAATCTCAGGCTGCTTTGATCGTATCCCGAGAAAAGCTTAATTTTATGCTCAATAATGATGCTTTCACCAATTCTTTTCTAGC
This sequence comes from Homo sapiens, assembly GCF_000001405.40. NCBI lineage: Eukaryota > Metazoa > Chordata > Mammalia > Primates > Hominidae > Homo > Homo sapiens. Next base: position 62,250,007 of record NC_000018.10, read on the forward strand.
AACCATAATTGGTACCATATGTCTACCTGTATCATTTACTAATGAAACAATCCTTGTACTGTGATTTTCCACAAGTAGGAACAACATTTATTTTTACTATCATAGTAGCCTATTTCCAATGTTGTTAATAACCTGTGGGCCTTCTAATCTTTTCTGTTTTGGACTGTATTTCAAAGCCGTCATATTTTCTAAAATTTTCAATATTAACTCTTCTAAGAAGTTTATTTCAAGGGGCCTAATGTTTTTTCCTATTAAAGTTTGTAGTCTTTAGTATAGTGATGGTGACTTATGATTTATAGTCATTTCATGTGAAGCTCTATACAAGTGTGCACCTCTTGTAAGTGTTCAAAACGCTTTTTAAGAAAATTTAGCTATTACAATTATCAAACATGTATGGCTTCTCATTTTAATACACTAATGAGGGCAAAAACAATGATCAGCTATTAGGAAATGTTCATTAGGAGCAGGCAGCTGAAGTGCTTGCTAATATCTTTTTCCATTTTCCTTTCATTCACTTTATTTGCCTTCCTAAAGTAGAAGGAAATAGGAATGCAAAAGAAAAGTTGAGAAGTAGAAACAGAGGGTAATGATATAAAGGGGAATCAGATAGATAAAAACTACAAGGATTGTGGTGAATTAGAAGCTGCTTGCAATGTACAGTGAAGACACATTGGCTCACCGTTTCCCCCAGTGTTTCCAAAGAGCTTTGTTATTCTTCTTAACTTAAGCAAACAATTAGTAACTAATCTGACCAAACCAAATAGAAATTTAAAGTCATTTTGCAGTTAATTTAAATTGACATATATTGAGATATAACAATGAGCAATGCCTAGACGTAAAGTACTGATTTTATAATTAATGTGAATTACATAAGCATTCTATTTTGGTTTTCCTTGAAGTTGGCTACTTTAAAACATCTATTAAAAATATACTTTTTTTCCCATCAGGTTTTACTGTTTTAAAGTGTTAGACAATCAAAGTGGAAGAACTTAAAATTCTGCATTTTAAAGTCATTTTAGATGGAACTTCATTCTGAAGAGTGCAAAGTCTTACTTAGAATTTTATGTTTTTTTTAGTTACAAATCTATCAATTCAAATGAAGATAATGTATTAGTTATTGGTTAACTATTGTTTTGTAACAAAGTACCCCAGAAGAAAGTGGTTTAAAACATCTTTTATCTTACAGTTTCTGTGGGTCAGGAATCTGGGTCCTCTGCTTCAGGGTCTCTTACAAAGCTGTAGTCAAAGGTCCGTTGGGGCTATAGTCATCTCAGCTGGAGAAGGGATTTAGCTGGAGAAGGGTTTGCTTTTAATCTTAATCACACAGTTGGTCATTGTCAAGAATCAGTTCCTCAAGGATTCTTAGTCTGAGGGCTTCATCTCCTCACTGACTGGTGGCCAGAAGCCACCTTTAATTCCTTCCCATGTGGGTCTCTCCAACATGGCAGCTTGGTTTATCTAAGCATGCCTGCTGAGAAGGCAGTAGAGTCCAACAAGATGGACATCACAGACTTTTGGAACCTAATCTCAAAATTGACCTCTTATCACTTTGGTCATATTCTATTCATTAGACACAAGTCACTAGGCCCAGTCTGCACTCAAAGAGATGCGATCATTGAGAGTCATGTCAGAAACTACCTACCATAGTTATCTTAGGTATAATACCAAAAAATCTGATTCTTAAAATACCACTTTATTAATATGATACTGTAGTTTTTAATTATAGAAACACTGGGAGAATAATCACTGGTTGTTTTAGTGTCTAGAAAGTGAAGTTGTGTAGAAACTGAAGCATTGGGCATATATAATCTCAGAATGTATGTGTGGGAAGGTAATTTGGAAGGTTATGAGATTCAGCCTCATACCTATACAGAAATCCCTTCACAACATCTGTCACAGATGGTGTTGTCACTGCTGGAGTGGCTAATCTTAAAGAACTTAGGTTCTTGGTGGCAGCTTAGGCCATTGTTAGCAAGGTATAATTTTTTCTTTTTTTCTTTTTTTTCTTGAGACGGAGTCTCACTCTGTTGCCAGGCTGGGGTGCAGTGGCGCTATCTAGGCTCACCGCAACCTCCGCTTCCCAGGTTCAAGTGATTCCCCTGCCTCAGCCTCCCGAGTAGCTGGGACTACAGTCGGGTGCCACCACGCCCGGCTAATTTTTTTTTTTTTTTTTTAGTAGAGACGGGGTTTCACCATGTTGGCCAGGGCGGTCTCTATCTCCTGACCTCATGATCTGCCCGCCTCAGCCTCCCAAAGTGCTGGGATTACAGGCGTGAGCTACTGCACCGGGCCAAAAGGTCTAATTTTTCAAAACCAGACTGTGCAACATGGTGAAACGCCGTCTCTACAAAAAAACACAGAAACTATCTGGGCATGGTGGTGAACACTTATAGTCCCAGCTACTCGAGAGGATGAGGTGGGAGGGCTGCTTGAGCCTGGGAGGTGGAGGTTGCAGTAAGCCAAGATTATGCCACTGCACTCCAGCCTGGGAGACAGCCAGACTCTATCTCAAAAAAAATAAATAAATAAAAAGTCTAATTTGATTGTATAAAAATCTTGTACTCTATGTGAATTTATAGAGATGAGACTTTTTTAACCCTTAGTCCTAGTTGTGCTTTCTCATGCAAATACAAGCCGTTTTTTATATTATTTTTCAGGCAAATGATACTGACAGGTTGTGTGGCATTTGCGCGTCATGTTGGACCAACACGTGTAGAAGCTGAACTTTTACCACAGTGTTGGGAACAGGTAAATAACTGTATTGAGTTTTCACCTAGCTATTATAGCCTGATTTCTTAAGAAGATACATAGTTTCCTTTTTAAAGGCGTTTAAGAAATATGTGGGATATAAATTATGCTGATGTTTCTGTAGCCCAGCACAGTGATTTATTAGTACTTACGAATGCTCTGGGGTGCTTTCCTTTATTCATTCAGTCAACAAGTACTTATGAAACACTAATTTCAGTGCCAGGTACTGAGGTAGTCACTAGGGATACAGTGGTGAACAAAAGACAAAGACATCCTAATGGGAAAATGAGTAAACAAAGAAATGGTCTGCTATTTTGTAGTAATTTATATTATGAAGAAGAAAAATAAAGCAGGATAAGGGTGAGAGAGTGATGGGGAATGCTCTCCTATGAAGGGTGGTCAGAGAAAGAATCTCTGAGGCAATGATGTTTAGGAAAGAATCTGAATGAACTAAGATGCAACAAGAACAAAGGCCCTGAGGTGGGAGTATACTTGAAGAAACAGCAAGAAGATTGTGTGTGTGTGTGTGTGTGTGTGTGTGTGTGTGTGTGTGTGTGTAAATAGAAATATATATTGTATACTTGTATATATTACAAATATATAAGGTGTAAATCTTTGATGTGGGAGGTTTTTGTATTTATACTTGAACTCATTATTTTACTAACAATGATTTTGCTTTTACATTGAATTTAAAATTCCAGTCCTCTGTATAACTCAGAATCATTGACTTTCTAGACTTAATGTTTAGATCATTCAGCACCTTATTTTTCCACCTTAAAAAGATGTGTTTCCTGCTTATGGAGACAAATTACATGGCTTTATTTACAATAGCACAGTCACTTATTCTTAAGAAAAATATTAGTCTCTGGAATATCACTGAAGTATTAGTCATTTATAGTCCTATTCCCAAGTTCTTTGGGCATTCATTTTTTCCACCAAAATAAAGTAGAAACCCTAGATTCAATAGACAAAGTAAACATTACATATAATAATAACTACCTGTCACAATCCCTTATACCATCTATAAATTACAGTGCATACTAATTTAGGGTGAGGTTCTAATCACTTGGAGTCAAAATAACTTGGGTACAATATATCCATATAACTTTCAATTTACAATTCTATACAGTTAATTGTGCACATTTAATTTTTTATATTTTTTCCATTTTCTTTTGTCTTTTTCTTTTCAAGTGTACAATTTAATGGTTTCAGTGTTGTGCAAGCTTCACTACAATCAGTTTTTAAACATTTTTGCTATCCCAAAGACAAACCCTAACTGCTTGAATTCGGTTCTCCTCTTTCAAGATTATTTTGACGGTTCCAGGTCCCTTGAATTTTCTTATGAATTTTAGGATCATTTTTCAATTTTTGCAAAGAAGCCAGCTGGGATTTTCATAAACAATGCATTGAATCTATAGATTTATCTAGAGAGTATTGCCATCCTAATTTTATATATTAAGTCTTTCATTCTATGAATTTAGGATGTCTTTCCATGCATTGGGTCTTTTAAAATTTCTCTCAACAGTAATTTGTATTTTTCCGAGTAGTGTACGTTTTGCCCTTTTGTTTTATTTATTTCTAAGTATTTCATGCTTTTGGATGCTATTGTAAATAGACTTTTTTCTTAATTTTATTTTTAGTTTGTTCATTGCTAATATATAGACATACAATTGATTTTTGCATTTCAATTTTGAGACTTACTGAGCTAAAGAAAAGCAAACGAAAGTTTATGCACAGCCATACGTTGACATTCAAACATTCTACTTTTGAGGTAACTACATCTGGATTAAATTTAATTCAAAGATGTCAGTTATAAACATCTCTACTGCCACCTCTTCTGTAACCTGAGTAAACTTGGATATCGGGGATCTATCTAGCCGCCTACCTCCAGTTTGTTGCCCAGTAGATTATTATATAATTTTTTTTCTTAATTTTAGGCATCCAATACATTAATGAATTATGTCACCTTTTCATATGGGAATATGAGAACAAATATACTCCTTTTCCAGTCAAAGAAAGATTTATATTCTATGAAGAAGACATATGGGAACAAAACCCAGTATGTGTCATTTTTTTTGTTATTTTTGGTTATGGTTCAGTGTAGTCATCACAATAGCAAAACCCCATCATTTTGCATTTGCAAACAGAGGAATGGATTGAAGTCTGCTTACTTTATAAATAAAAGCATATTTCTAGCAAGGGTTCTGGTCAAATCATTGATTAACTTCCTTCCTCATCCCTTAGGTTGAAGAAAGAAGACTGGCACATATTATAGACCGTATCTATAAGATCCAGAAGCTGAGTTTTCCAAGTTTAAAAATATTCTACTCTTGCTAGGGAAAGGTCCTGGTTTCTCCTGTTACTCTAAGGAAGGCCTACTCTTAGGCAAGCCCATAATCTCTAGATACCTTGCCAAATTTTCATCTTGGTTTTCCCTTTTTTCTTTAACAGATGACCCCTGTAACCTCATATTTAGGTTCTCCCTCACTCCCTCATTCCCGATCCAGGTATAGTCAAACAGGGATTCCCAGAAGTGGAAAAGGAAGAAGCTTTATTGCATTCTTAACAGGATTTGTGGTGAAATGTAATTCTCTTTTGAAGGAAGGGAGGGTATGCTGTTTATGCTTGATTTATTTATTTTTTTTGCTCTAGATTAATCACAAATACCCAGAAAGACGACTGCTTGTGGCAGAATCCTGTGGAGCACTGGCACCTTACCTTCCTGTAAGATTGTCTTTTTTTTTTTCTTTAAACTATTTTTCCAATAATAGAAAAACCTTTTTTTGAGTGTCTTATAGATTTTAATCCAAATGTCTCCTAGATGTGCTGTCTTAATAAAGAAAAGAGATGATCCAAAAAAGAGACTCACATTAGTACAGTATGGCATTGCAGACACATAGGTACATTACCACTGATTTTGGATGAGTATAAATATATTAAACTATATCAGCAGTTCTCATAGTGTGGTCTGAGGACCCTGGGGGTTTCCTTGAGATCCTTCCAAAAAGGTCCATGAGGAGAAAACTGTTTTCATAATAATAAGACACTTTTTGTCTCTTTCACTGTGTTGAAATTTGTATTGTTGGTGCAAAAGCAGGGATGGGCAAAAATGCTGCTGCATTAGCACTAATCAGGGCAGTGGCACCCAAATGTACTATTATAATAATGATTGTATTCTTTACTGCCATGCTTTTGCAGAAAAAGCCAATTTCACCTAAAAAGGAGCTTGCTGAATCAGTAAAATTATTTATTTTACTAAATTTTGACCTGTGAAGCATGCATCTTTTTAATATTCTGTGAGACAAAATAGAAAGTACTCATATAAAAACCCTTTGCTGCATACTGAAAAATTATAGCCATTTGCAGGAAAAGCACTTAGGCAGTTGTTTGAGTTATGAGCTCAACTAGCTGCTTTTTTTTTAATGGGACACCAATTTTACTTCACAGAAACACTTACAGTCAAACTGGTTTTTCAGACTTGGGTATGTGGCAGACATTTTCATGAAATTGGATGGAGTGAGAATGTCACTTCAAGGAAACCAAGTAGACAGCATTCATTGCCAGTGGATTTATACTCCTACTAACAGTACCTTGGAGTTTTTATTTTCCCATACCTTCACCAGGAACTAGGCACGGTGAAATTTTTTTAATGTTTTTCTAGTGGAAGAAAATGCCTTATTGTTGTGATAAATCATACAGATTGATGCAAATGGTTTTGAGCATCTTATTATTTATTGTTCCAAGACAGATGAGCATCCCTTGCTCTCAAAGGATAAATAGGCTGTTCTACTCTGATCCTAGAATACTAAGCAGTATTAATAATAGATACAATGTTTCCTCAGCGGATCTATGTTTGCCTTCTGCGTACCCCATTGTCACTGATAGCAGCAAAATGTCTCTACATTGGCAGTTTCTCAGTGTGTTCATGACTTAAATAGAGTAATGCCTCCTGACCAATGCTCTGGTGGGGTCCCTGTGGCATACTAAAACTGATTGCCACAGTTGACCCTTGCCTAAATCAGCATAAAGCAAATGCCCACTTGAAGCTTATTTTCCTCTGTCATATTGCCTTGTGTGGATACCAACCAACAAGTCCCTTTAAATAGTTTAAGATATTTTAGGGCAATTTTTAGCCTAAAAAGTAAATAAATGAGGCTGTACCAAAAGATGTTATATATTCACCAACCTAAATGTGTTTTAAGATATGCTAAAATTGCATGTATTTTTGTTTCTAAAAAGTGAAAACCAGACTTTTTAAAAATGTCTCTCAAGCCTTGCTCTACATACCAAATCATGCTGTAAATTTATGCAAATAGCCATGTCATCTGCCTTTATTTTTATTTTATCGTAGTTATTGTATGTAAAAAGGACCTAAACAAGTTTATGTTTTAAGAATTTTATAAATTGCAATATTAGTACAAGTAGGAGAGGAGGAGCATGAATTTGTATATTGGTAGCTCTTTATCCTAACCTCAGCCATGAAGCTAAAACACTCTTTATCATAACTGGAAAATATTCTGTGTGAAATCAAGGCACAGCAGTGGGTGTACATTATATTAACTATTAGCATAAAAAAGAGCAATGCAATTTTTAAGTACTTTTAAAGTTCACTCTCTTATTTTATTATCCTTTTTTTCCCACTTCTTCAAAGAAATAGGAATGCCAGGATTTTAGGTTTCCTCACCATATCCCAGACAAATTTTCTAATTGCCAGAGAGATTTTTGTAGTTCCTCCTGTTAAAACTCTCAGTGCTCTTCTCTGAGTGAAACAAATAGTGACACGAGAGTCATTGTCCATTTGTAGTAGAGTTTGTAGTAGACTTTGTTGATTTGTTGAAAGTGCCTCCTAGTGTGAACTGCAAGGATTTGAGAGATTTTTACATATTTAGTAAAGATATAAAAAACATGCTGAGAGATGATTAATAAATACCAAATTCAAAGTAGATATTACTGCCTCTAGAGAGGAAGGGATTTGGGCATGAGTGATATTTTTGCTGTATCTGTAATGTTTTATGTCTTCAAAAAAAAAAGGTCTGAAGCAAAATCTCTGTACATCAACAGTTAGTCAGCATTTTTAATAAAAATGTTAATACCTGTTTAATCTGGATTTTGACCACACTGATGTTTGTCATATTATTTTCTATACTTCTGTGCTTAGGTGTAAATAAATAGTAAAAACATGTTTATTTTCAGAAAGAAATCCGTAGCTCCTTGGTTCTTTCAATGTTGCAACAAATGTTAATGGAAGATAAGGCAGATTTGGTAAGAGAAGCTGTTATCAAAAGCCTTGGTATCATTATGGGATACATTGATGATCCAGACAAATATCATCAGGTATGTTTTTCAGAATGAACTGATTTTACTCCATTATAAAATTCCAAGTATTATAATATTCCAAATCTCTGATTTAGATACTTTATAATGTATCATAAGGATGGCAGGTATGTCAACTTTAGTCATCTGGGGATGGCTGCCTGGTTTCAATTTTGCAGCTCAGAGGAGAGAATGCTACACTTCAGTTATAGTATCTGCCACAGCTTTCTGGCAGGAAATTGGCAAGAGGTATTCTATGTTTACCACTCCCTCTCTTTGGTTTGCTCATCAGTGGATACATGGCAAGGCTAGGATTATGGATGGCCTTCTTTCTTGCTTAAAAATATGTTCTTAATTTATTGAAATTTTTATTACTTTTTATTAAGTGTTTTATTTTAAGTTTATCCCTTTAAAAATCTACATTTGCCTTTTTCTCATTGACAGGGTTTTGAATTGTTGCTGTCAGCCTTGGGTGATCCCTCAGAAAGAGTAGTTAGTGCTACACATCAAGTATTTTTACCAGCTTACGCTGCGTGGACTACAGAACTTGGAAATTTACAGTCTCATCTTATACTTACACTACTGAACAAGATTGAAAAACTTCTCAGGGTAAGTTCTTCTTTTGTTTATATAGTTTGTAGAAACTTAAAAGGTCTGTCCTAAGCCATCTTGGAACAATGTTAGAGAACAGAGACAGAAAGTGCCCTTAGCTTAACATACTAATACATTACCAGTTAAAGATGCTGTTGGACTGGAGCCAAGAAAGAGATTTGAGGAAGTTTTGCTTTGCTGAAGCTGGAGGAAGAGAAAGGGCATGATGTGCATTTGTTAACTGAAATGCACCTTCATGGAAGTAACTCCTACATTATTCAGAAAGCCAGCTCTTTCTTGACCCTTCTGAGTACTTAAATATTTTACACAAACCATCAACTCTAGTTCCAGAATGCAGAGAAAATGAGTCTCTAAAGCTTTCTTACATAGTGTCAAAATTGCTTTAACTGTGGTTATTCCACTCCAGTAGTTCATTTCTCATTTTTAAAATGAACTTTTAATTTTTCCCACATACAAGAATTAAAGAAATGTTGATGGAACAATAGAAACTTCTTGATCTAATTTTTGTATTAAAAGTTTCTTTTAGAGACTAGAAGAGAAATTATTATTTGTGTAGTGCATATTATGTGCCAAATCTATAAAAAGAGATAGGAAGTAGGAGAGGGGAAGTATTATAGCATGAAATGCTGCTGGGTTAGCGTTTGAGCATTTCTATATGCCAACAGTGAATAAGCTAAAAAAAAAATCAAGAAAGCAATCACATTTACAATAGTTTTATAAAAAATGCTTAGGAATATATATAACCAAAGAGATGAAGGATCTCTGCCATGAAAACTATAAAACACTGATGAAAGAAATTGAAGAGGAAATGTTAAAAAAAAAAGATATCCATATTTAGTTGTTCATAGAAGAATTAATATTGTTAAAAATGTGTATACTACCCAAAGTGATCTACAGATTCATTGCAATCCCTATCAAAATATGGAGGACATTCTTTAAGATATAGAAAAAGCAATCTGAAAATTCATGTGGAACCACAAAAGACCCTGAATAACCAAAGCAAGCCTGAGCAAAAAGAACAAATCTGGAAAAAGTGCACTATCTGACTTCAAAATATACTTCAAAGCAGTAGTAACCAAACATCTTGGTATTGGCATAAAACAGACATATTGACCAGTGTAATAGAGTAGAGAACCCAGAAATAAATTCACACATTTACAGCCAGCTCATTTTTGACAAAGGCACCAAGAACATATATTGAGGAAAGGACAGTTTCTTCAGTAAGTCAACTGAAAATGGATTAAAGACTTAAATGTAAGACATGAAACTACTAAAAGAAAACATTGTTTCAGTACGTTGGTCTGAGCAAAGATTTTTGAAGAAAGATCTCAAAAGCATAGGCAACAAAGCAAAAATAGACAAATGGGATTATATTAAAGTAAAAAGCTTCCGCGCAGCAAAGGAATCAGCAGAGTGAACAAACAGCCTACAGAATGGGAGAAAATATTTGCAAACTCTCCATCCAACAAGGGATTAATAACCAAAATATGTAAGGATTCAAACAACTCAACAGCAAAAAAAAAAAATCCAATTAAGGAATGGGCAAATGATCTGAATAAACACTTCTCAAAAGAAGACATATGGCCAAAAGTTATATGAAGAAGTGTTTAACATCACTAATCATCAGGTAAATGCAAATCTAAACCAAAATGAAGTATCATGTCACCCCAGTTGAAATGACTATTATTAAAAAGACAAAAAAAAAAAAAAAGATGCTGGTCAAGGTGTGGAGAAAGGGGAACCTTCGTACACTGTTGGTAGGAATGTAAATTAGTACAGCCACTATGGAAAACAGTGTGGAAGTTCCTCACAAAACTAAAAACAGAAATACCTGTAATCCACCAATCCCACCACTGGGTATATATCTAAAAGAAAGGAAGTCAGTATATTGAAAAGATATATACTTTCAAGGACTTACATGTTGAGTTTCAAGCACTCACATATTTCTTACAGCACTATTCATAATAGTCAGGATATAGAATCAACCTAAGTGTCCATCAGTAGATGAATAGATAAAGAAAATATGGTATATATAAACAATGGAATATTATTCAGCCATTAAAAAAAGAATGCTATCCTGTCGTTTGCTGCAGCAGGTAGCCTAGAGGACATTATGTTAAGTGAAATAAACCAGGCACAGAAAGACAAATATTGAATGTTCTCACTCACATGTGGGAGCTTAAACAGTTGATCTCAAGGAGGTAAAGAATGAAATGGACCAGAAGCTGGGGTCTGGGGGAGTAATGAACAGAAAAATACAGTTAGATAGAAGAAATACATTCTAGTGTTTGATAGCACAGTAGGGTGACCATAGTTAACAATAATGTGTTATATATTTGAAAAATAGCTAGAAGAGAAAATTTGGAATGTTCCTAACACAAAGAAATGATACACGTTCGAGGTGATGCATATCTCAATACCTTGATTCAATCATTACACATTGTATGCCTGTATCAAAATATCTCATGGTACCCCGTAATATGTACAATTATTTATGTATCAATTCTAACAAGAAAAAAGATAAAGTGATTCCTGTCCCTTACTTTAATTTCTTTACCCTGTCTTATAAAATTTCAAAAGATAAGACCTTCTCTAATGAAAAAGTAAAATTACAAAAACTATTCCCTACAAATGGAAATGACTGATGTTTACCCTATAGTTTTCCATGTAAAAGATTCTACCACTCTAGAGTGCCTTACTGCTTGTTTGAGTCCAACATAAAGGTCCTTAAATCTTTGATTTGCCACAGTAAGGAAGAACATCATACATAAATCCAATTAGCAATGTAACTTCAAAAGACTAAAATTAGCTTCCACCTCCTTATGTTTCAGGAAGGAGAACATGGACTGGATGAACACAAACTCCACATGTATCTTTCTGCCTTGCAGTCCTTGATCCCATCTCTCTTTGCATTAGTGCTACAGAATGCACCTTTCTCCAGCAAAGCCAAGCTTCATGGTGAAGTGCCACAGATAGAAGGTACTGAACTTAAATTCTGGAAGAAAAATGTAGAATATTAGCAGCCTAGCTTCCCAAAGAATTGTTTTTTATTAAAAGTCTAAAAATCACTTTATATGACAGCATAATTTTTAAAATGTATTATGTGTGTAGAATCTCATGGTCATAAGATTATACGTATGGTAAACAATATGGCTTCATCTTTTATGGATAAGCCCCATTGTCTTATTTTATAATACTTATACTTTCTTGTTGCTCTTAATCTATAGCCTTTTTATAGCCTTTCTGGGGAGGCTGAAATAAATATTTCCTTCCGTTAATAGATCTGAGTCAACAAAAGATTCTTTTAATAGTTACTAGTGCCAGTATATGAAGCTTGTCATTTCTGCTTTCTTTATATTTTCTTCCCCAACTTTTTAATTTTATTTTTAATAGAGGAAGGTAAATATAATTACTTTTTTCTACTATGTCCTTGATAGAAAGAAATATAAAAGCATCTGTGGCAGAATTTGTGTTTTTCCAAAGAAGAAATGTGACTTACTTTCAGAAGTACATAAAATTGACAGGAGAGGCCAGTATTTTCTTATCTTACTCTCCGAGTAGCTAGTAAATGACCTTTGAAACTTGACAGGCAATTGATAACCCTGTTGCACCTTAACGTCCAGGACAAATGGCTATAGACAAGCTATTGCTATGTATCAGGCACCTTTGCAGCCTTTTCAGAGTTGTGAAATTATCCATGTCTCTTACTGGTGTCTAATGGACAAAGAATTATAACATTGAGAACATCAACAGACAATCTTCTTGAATTTCATTTTTCATGTAAACTGTAGGCTACCTATAATATTTGGAGTATGATGCAGTGTGTCCAAAGATACATGAAGCCACATGATAAAAATAGTGTATACTATTTGGATGTCAGTTTTATTTGGAAAATTGAGAATGAATGGTGTGGAGTTAATTTAACATTTTTAAATTGAGGAGAATGAAAATTCAGACTTTAGATAAGACTTCATAAAGCTCTCCCAGCTGGCCACTTCAGGTTCTACCCCTTTACTCTTACTCATTTAGGCATTTCATCTGCCTAGGGATTTTCCTATCTTTCTAATTCCCTTTTTCTTTTTAGCTTTCTGTATTCGTTTACTATGGCTGCCTTAACAAAGGACCACCAACTGAGTGGCTTAAACAACAGAAATTTATTATCTCACACTTCTGAATTTTAGAAGTCTGAGATCAAGGTGTTGGCAGGGTAGTCTTAGGGAAACTGCGAGGTAAAGGCTGTTCTGGGCTCTCCCCTGGCTTCTGGTGGTTTGCTGGCACTCTTTAGTGTTTCTTGGCTTTTAGATGCATCACCCCAAACCTTGCCTTTATCTTCACGTGGCACACTTTCTGTGTGCTTGTTTCTGTGTCCAGATTTTCCCTTCTTATAAGGACATCGGTTGTGTTGGATAAGCGACTACTTCAGTATGATTTCATCTTGTCTAACTACATCTACAGCAACCCTATTTCCAAATAAGATCCCATTCTGAGATACTATAGGTTAGGACTTAAACATAAAAATTTGGGCGGGGGGCAGTTCAACTCATAATACTTGTTATCATTCTCTCATTTATTTAACAAATGATTCTTAAATGTCATCTATTGCCAAGCATATGCTGGAGATTAGATAGAACAGTATCATCCTGAACATATCCTTCTAATACTTATGGGATTCCCTTCTAACATTTATGTGACCTTTTCTTGTGATTGTCCTTTATTTTTCATTCTTGTTGACTTAGTTTAACTTTCTGACTTTTAACAGTAGCTATAAATGTTAATGTTACTATACCTTCATTTAGGTTATAATGTATTTATTATAAATAAGGATTTATTATATCCTTATTTAGGGTATATCCATATGTCTATATGTCCGTTTATATATACACACACATAAAATTTGGGTTATAATTTGTTATGAATGAAGATTTGTTTTCTCATAAAAATGGTAACCCACACAAATATTTTTAGTACCAATTTATTACACAACATGAACAAATATTTATGTCAGGCATTGTTTTAGACACTTAGGACACAATCATGAATAAAATAGATAAAAATTTCTGCTCATAGAGCTTACATTCTGCTGTGGGAATAAAATCTTTTGAGATTTGTTGGATTTGTTCTCATATCACAGGAATTTCTTGATTTTCCTAAAAATGACTTAATTAGTGTATTTCAATTTTATATTTAAAATTTACAATAAGAAAGTAATTAAATATGAGGAGAAAGGACCTTATTTTCCTTTCAACAGAATATCTAAGTTCCCAAAATGCCAATTTCCATATGATTTATTTTGCTTCTTTTATGTGTAGTGACTAGGTTTCCTCGGCCTATGTCGCCTCTTCAAGATGTGTCCACTATTATCGGAAGTCGTGAGCAATTGGCAGTGCTGCTGCAACTTTATGACTACCAGCTAGAACAAGAGGGTACAACAGGCTGGGAGAGTTTACTGTGGGTTGTCAATCAATTGTAAGTTACCACCTCCATATTAATTTGAATAGATGATAACTCTTATATTTAGCCTTGGCCCTAAGAACAAAATATAACAAAACTTTTAAAATGTAACTCGGCATCATTTTTGGTAAACACCTTTAGGACACAGAGGATTCACACCATTGGATATGTAATTTATCTGAGAAGAAGATGTTGCTGTATTTTATCCGAATGATCTATCTGCCATCTTGTTTGTCCAATCGTGGTGATGGATTTTAAACTACATCTAGACTTCTCATTTTTGAGGCTAAAATGATGCCATGTAAAGCCAAGCTCTTGTGTGAAGCATCAGATCCATAGATTTGAGTCACATTAACTCTGTACTCGGAATTCTACCATTAAGGTTTCATATATTTTCTGGCAAACAGTTAAAATTTACTTTTTTAAGTCTATACAGTATAATGTAATCTTACAACCTATTCAGAGGGTCCCAGACAATGCCTTTCCTTTCAAAGAACGAAATAGAACAGGTTATTAGATTTGCATTGTTTCAGAAATTGGCAAGGAAACAGTAATTTATATGTATCCCCTGCCTATTTTTCTTTCCTTTCATATTCAGGTTGCCACAACTTATAGAAATAGTTGGCAAAATTAATGTTACTTCAACTGCCTGTGTCCATGAATTCTCCAGATTTTTCTGGCGCCTTTGCCGGACATTTGGCAAAATTTTTACAAACACTAAGGTAAAAACTTGTATTCCATGTTTTCTTATATGAAAAAGACATAGAAATGTAATGTGTTAACACTGTAACAGGGTAAATAAAAGCATGAACCATTCTTTTATCTAATTCGCTTCTTTAATATCCTAGAATACTATGATAGTAAAAAAAAGTTCTAGTTGGTAATATTCTTATCTTTACTGATTTTCAGAAGATGATTTAGCCTAAGCTTAGTTCATATCCAGACTTGGATATAAGCTTTACTCATTGTAGATATCCTCAAAGATTTTCAATATAGGAAGTGTCAGCTAGGGAACTCAACCACAATCCTTTGAATGTGCTGCTGGTACTTACTGTCTATCACAGGTTCAGGAAGCAGCTGTTTGCTCAGCACACTTTGGTAAAAACCTCAAGCGATTATGGAACCACAGCAACTTATATATAAAACTTGCTGCGAAGATGCCACCTCTTAGAATAGCATGGACACTGGAGATAAATTCTACATGTTTCAGTCATTACCAAAAGTATCATTTGTCACATTTGCCTATCCAGGTTATTTTGTAGTTTCAAATATTAACATTGGAATGTCATTAGATCCTAATTTATTCATTAATCCTATTAATCCATTTGTCTTCATAACATTTTGTTAAGCCAGTACTTTAGAGAGCTAATAAAAACATAAAAAGGTGTAGTTTCTATAATCAAATGTTAATAAACACATTTAAAAGGTAAGCATTTTAATTATTAAATTTAATTTAGTGTAGCTCTTTACTATTAAATCTATAGTTGAAACATTTAAAGTAAATAGTATGCTATAAGGAACTGGACAAAATTCAGAAGACTTGGGTTATGGTCCTATTATCTGTTGACTAATGTTTATGATCTTTACTATTTAAGTTAAATTATGTGGGCTTAGTCTTTTCATGTGTGAAATGAAGAATTTGCTTCAGTGTCTTTTAATTCTCTTAGCGCAATTCAGTACATGAACCTTTTAACATTGGCCTTTCTCTCAGTTTAAGCTAAATATATAAATTAATGTGCCTCACCTACAGAGAGGAGGGCAAAAACCAGACCTTGATGTTATTGTAGGAAAAAGAAAATTAAAATTATTTTGTATTTTTCACTAGCATTCAGTTGTTAAACAAATATAATTTGATTTTCCTGTTATCAATATTGGCAAAAATTGTTTGATATCTCCAAAACAAGTAGCTATTTTTTTTTTTAGAAAAGCAAGTAGGAATCTACTTATGTACTTAACAGTAAGTGGTTGTCTTCAGTGGCCTGAAATCTGTGATAATTTTAATAATAAAAAATTTAAACAAACCTCTGTTCTAACTTAACATATTAAAGTTAAATTCTGTATTTCATATTTCAATTTGAAAAGTTGTAATAAAAGATGAACATAAATATCACAGGATGAATATGTTACTTACTAAACACCTGAAGTGACTGGAATTTCCTTTTCGTTTTTTAAAAATACAGGCAAATGCTTTTTTCGATAATTCTAACCATGTAATATCTACCTAAATAATCCTTCTATAACCAAGTTCAGTTTTAGAAGGCAGTAATTTCAACCACTTAAAATCATATTGGAAATTATTTTAATTTAATAAAAGAAACCAGAGGCCATTCACTTGTTGACTTGAGTTGATTTTTTCAAAAATTTATCCTTAAAGTTTTTATTTTCATTAATTTGACTCTTCTATCCTAAGCCTCATGATTAAGAATTATTACATTTCTGACCACTTAACTTAGTCATCTATAAAGCTAAATAAATAAATGAATAGTAGTAGCAACAGTAGTAAACATTTCATTTAATCAATTTGCCCATTGAACCTGAGACTTTTTGAATCTTCTCTTTGGGTTGCTTAGGTAAAACCTCAGTTCCAGGAGATTTTAAGACTATCTGAAGAAAACATTGGTGAGTTTGTTCATTATTACTTTTAAAAACAATTGCATTTCTTTATGCAGGAAAAATACTATATTCTCCATATATGTAAATTGTATAAATGAACTAGCAACTACAATTGAAAAGGAAAACTTATATTATGGAGTTCTTGGTTTTATAACTGTGTCACATCTAATATCCTTCCCATTAGTGGCAGTGAGATTAATCCCTGTCAATCTGATTGTGAATATATACCTTCATTGTAACCAAATTGATATAAGGCTGAGCTTTACAACCTGGGTACTCAACCTTTAGAGGTCTGAAGTAGTATATTCAAGAGACTGACAATTATAAAATAAGCTGCATCTAATTCCTAATTAGTTCTATAATACTTTTAAAAATTAAACATAGTGGAAAAGAACGGTATATAAGCATATATGTTTTCAAAATGAAACATGAGAGAAACTACAGACTTGAATGGGTAGCTCCAGCTACTTCATTGATAGTTTTCACTCATCTACTTTAACGAGTCTAGTTATGGTACCATTGGCCTAAGGACTTGTTTATGTATGGATCTTGTGTCCCTATGTATTTTTCTAGTTTCTAGGAATAAACTGTGGAACATGTGTAGCACCCCCACCCCCATTTTTAATTTGGTTGATTTTGAATATATATCTCTCTATATATAGAATATATATATAGTCTAGGTATATATGTATGTGTGTGTGTGTGTGTGTGTATAGAATATATATATAGTCTAGGTATATATGTGTGTGTGTGTGTGTGTGTGTGTGTGTGTGTGTATACATATATATATATACACACACCTTAGTGGTTTGAGTTGAATGGTCTAGAAAACACCATTTTTGGCAGTCCTCAGAAGTAGTCAGAAAATGAATAAATTAATTCTTTTAAGCCTGAAGACATTGAAGAGATTTGGGGTGTGGGGGCGGTGGACAAATAACTCCTAATGTTTATTTTTAATGTCTTTTTAAAGGATTGATTTTATAATGCCTAAATTGTTGGTAATATATGTTTATTATTAATTCTTGTGATAAATTAGTGAAGAAAAAAGGTAAATATTTTAAAAACTGACAGCTTTTGGAATTATTAGTTAGCCATGAATGTTTAGCTGTTGAAATAAATAGGAAGTGATTATCAACCCCTGTAATAATCTATGAATATACTTTAAGCTTATGTTCTAACATTAACATCCACACTCCCTCCCCAAAAAAGGTACTCTCACCAAGAGAATAAACAAACCTCAAATACTAATTAATGTGAAAATGGAACTGTCTTTTTTGCAAAATTTCTTCAGGGCAGTTAAATAAATCTTTTCAACTCAATTTCTTTATGTAGTACCCTCAGAAAATAATTTAAAGCCATATAAAAAATAAGTATAGTATAGTAAAAAACTATTCTTGGGAATATAACAGCAAACTAAAGCACTTAAAACAGTGCCTCATGATCAGTAAATAAAAGCTGTTGGTGCTGTGAATGATAATTGTCCTCTCACAACTTTTCTTTTGAAATTGTCCACAGAGGGTGTATAAGAAAATCTCTTACAAAGCAGTTACAGGGCACAGAACTATGGTTGCATACTTTCCCCTTTTTCTCTGCTTTACTTAGCATGATTCCTTCCCCCTCCATGAAAATAATCAGGGCTCTGTCTGGCTGAAAACCCTACTGAGGATGCAGGAGGGGCTCAGGAACTCAGGCTAGTACTGAAAACTACCTCATATCTAGAAATAGATCAAATAACATATATCTATGTGCTTTTAGGTGAGTGTGTTTACATTTTAGTAAACTGCAAATTGAAAGCATAAAAATTTTGGACAACCTGCCTATAGGGACGCTTAGAAGACTTTCAAGAAGAAAGTTCTGATTTCCAATTATGGAAATCAAGAGTATACCATCTCATTTGGGTTATTAAAATTCTTTGCCATTTATCAGAAATGTTTATGCTAGTGGCTCTTCAGGAAACACTAAGTTGTATTTTACAACCACCAATAAACATATGTTTTCCAAAGTAATGATAATACTTACTTGTAACCTAGTAAACAGTTGTAATTTTAAATATAATCGCATTATGATTTTTTTCTTTACACTTAAAATATACTTATGTTTTTTTAAATTATTTTAATAATTTTAGATTCCTCAGCAGGAAATGGGGTCCTCACTAAAGCTACAGTCCCCATTTATGCAACAGGAGTCCTTACGTGTTATATTCAGGTAAGGGAAAAATTCTTACTCTCTAGTAAAAGGCTTTCCATTTAGAAAAATGCCTAGTATTGTGTCTTCTTAATGTAAGTGACATTGCTACCAATAAAGAAAAACAATTTACTTATTTTATTCAATAAATAATTTATAATGGATAGCATATTTGAATAATAAGGGCCTGAGTAAAACCTCAGTTGAACAAATAAATTTAGAGATTATGAGCTTTTTGATATTTTGTTAGAAGTGTTAGATTGTACTTACTTAGCAGAGTTTCTTTGTGTTCCATGATAAGTTTTTCATAGATAAATGATAAGCAGAACACATACGTTAGGTGAACTAAGCTACAAAGCACTGTAGAACACTATACCTTATCAACATTTTTAGCTAAGTACTTTTTAATAAGGCAGGTTGAGTATCCCTTATCTCAAATGCTTAGGATGAAAGTGTTTTCAGATTTTGGATTTTTTTTTTCAGATAAAGGAGTATTTGCATATACATAATGAGATATCTTGGGAATGGGACCCAAGTCTAAACACAAAATGTGTTTCATATACACATTATACACATAGCCTGAAGGTAATTTTATACAATATTTTAAATAATTTTGTGCATGAAACAGTTTGTGTACATTGAACCATCAGAAAGCAAAGGAGTTGCTGTCTCAGCCACCTATGTGGACAATCTGGTTGGTTGGCATCACGATCATCATTCCTGACTTTGCATTTATATGCTACCAATAAGCAATCATTTTCTTATACTTTTTCACATGTAAGTACTTAACAATAAGAAAATATGACATATCATCAATACAGCGAAAAAATAATGTGCTCAGGGTAACAAAGCACAGTAGCATCACCAGAATACCTGTATCATCTGTTGAACAACAGCCACAGCAAATGATGACAGGCTTTCACACACAGTATCAGTTTGGTACTCACAAAGTTTCAAATTTTAGAGCATTCTGGATTTTCAGATTAGGGATGCTTAACCTGTACTTTATTTTTCTTAATTGTTACTGCATAACAAACTACCCCAAAACATAATGGTCTATTATAACTGTTTCATTTGCTCATGATTCTGCAATCTGGGCCTCACTCAGCTTTCTCCTCTTCTGCTGTTTTTGCTGGTGGTCACTTCTGTTGCTGCAGTAAGTGGGTTAGCTGAAGAGGTCTCTACATAAGTCTCAGGACCTCTCTCTGTCTCCACATGGCTTCTGAAGCAGCAGAGCCAGACTTATCACATAGTGGCTAACGCCTCCCAAGAATGAAAAGGCAGAATCTGCTAGGCTAAGGCTTAGGCCTGGAATTAGCACAACATGGTTTCTACTGCAGTCCCTTGCTAAATAAGTCACAGGCACAGCTCAGATTCAAGCAAAAGTAGGGAAGTAAGCCAGGGTGTGAACCAGGAGGTGTGGTTCAGTGGTGGCCACCAATGTAACAGGCTGCCACACTCTACTTAACATTGTTTTAAGTAAATAACATATGATGTGTCTCAAAGCATAGTAGTAATTTTTAAGTATGAGGCAGTCCCACCAGTAAGGTGGAAATACTGACTCGGGATAAAGCACTTTTAGAAG
Source organism: Homo sapiens (assembly GCF_000001405.40). Lineage (NCBI taxonomy): Eukaryota > Metazoa > Chordata > Mammalia > Primates > Hominidae > Homo > Homo sapiens. Next base: position 62,270,513 of record NC_000018.10, read on the forward strand.
TTAGAATGTAAGAATGAAGAAGAAACACCTTTTCCAATGGTTTCCTGAATTTTTACCCACTACTAACTTATTTATTTTGCTCTTTAAATTCAAAGTACAGCAATTCATATTTATTGTACTCTTCTTTCTTTTTTTTATTTTTATTATTATACTTTAAGTTCTAGGGTACATGTGCACAACGTTCAAGTTCGTTACATCGGTATACATGTGCCATGTTGGTTTGCTGCACCCCTTAACTTGTCATTTACATTAGGTATTTCTCCTAAAGCTGTTCCTCCCCCTGCCCCCCACCCCACAACAGGCCTCGGGGTGTGATGTTCCCCGCCTTGTGTCCAAGTGTTCTCATTGTTCAATTCCCACCTATGAGTGAGAACATGTGGTGTTTGGTTTTCTGTCCTTGTGATAGTTTGCTCAGAATGATGGTTTCCAGCTGCATCCATGGTGTATATGTGCCACATTTTCTTAATCCAATCTATCATTGATGGACATTTGGGTTGGTTCCAAGTCTTTGCTATTGTGAATAGTGCCGCAATAAACATACGTGTGCATGTGTCTTTATAGTAGTATGATTTATAATCCTTTGGGTATATACCCAGTAATGGGATCGTTGGGTCAAATGGTATTTCTAGTTCTAGATCCTTGAGGAATTGCCACACTGTCTTCCACAATGGTTGAACTAGTTTACAGACCCACCAACAGTGTAAAAGCGTTCCTATTTTTCCACATCCTCTCCAGCACCTGTTGTTTCCTGACTTTTTAATGATTGCCATTCTAACTGGTGTGAGATGGTATCTCATTGTGGTTTTGATTTGCACTTCTCTGATGGCCAGTGATGATGAGCATTTTTCATGTGTCTGTTGGCTGCATAAATGTCTTCTTTTGAGAAGTGTCTGTTCATATGCTTCACACACTTTTTGATGGGGTTGTTTTTTTCTTGTAAATTTGTTTGAGTTCTTTGTAGATTCTGGATAATAGCCCTTTGTCAGATGAGTAGATTGCAAAAATTTTATCCCATTCTGTAGGTTGCCTGTTCACTCTGATGGTAGTTTCTTTTGCTGTGCAGAAGCTTTTTAGTTTAATTAGATCCCATTTGTCTATTTTGGCTTTTGTTGTCACTGCTTTTGGTGTTTTAGTCATGAAGTCCTTGCCCATGCCTATGTCCTGAATAGTATTGCCTAGGTTTTCTTCTAGGGTTTTTATGGTTTTAGGTCTAACGTTTAAGTGTTTAATGCATCTTGACTTAATTTTTGTATAAGGTGTAAGGAAGGGATCCAGTTTCCACTTTCTACACATGGCTAGCCAGTTTTCCCAGCACCATTTATTAAATAGGGAATCCTTTCCCCATTTCTTGTTTTTGTCAGGTTTGTCAAAGATCAGATGGTTGTAGATGTGTGGTGTTATTTCTGAGGCCTCTGTTCTGTCCCATTGGTCTATATATCTGTTTTGGTGGCAGTTATTATACTCTTCTTTCAAGACAAATTTGAATCATCCTGTAGTATTAAAATACAGTTATACAGTATCACATATTACCTTGCAATAGAAGTTACAGCTCTGTTAAAGTGGCACAGTATCCTTTTAAATTTTTCTTTTCTACACTAGTTTCTAATACTACCCTGATATGGATACTTTTCTGTTTGTAAAAGATTTTAAGTCATGTATGTTAATAAATTGTCTCTATTGTTCATAAATTTGTGGAGATCAAAGATATTAAGTCCTAACAGTGCTAGACGCAACAGTATGCCTACCATTCTCTAACTTTGGAAAGTGTCCTTGTATAATGTGCGATGTCAGTATTTTATTCTCTCTCTTTTTTACCCTCTTGAAGTTTTGTTAATATTTTTATTTTGACCATAAATAACATTTTAAATCATAATAATTAAATGCCAAGAACAAGGTTTGGCTCATAATAGGCCCTCAGAATAGATCTGTTGAATAAATGAATAAGGGGCATTTCTTTTGAGTCATTATGAAGTCTAAATATGTTATTCATATCTGTAAAGAGATAAGAACTTTTCAGCTTATTACAAAATAAATAGCATATTGAGGTAGCAATCACAGATTGCCAGTGTTTCTTATTTTAGGAAGCACATACCAGCAGTTAATGTTTATCTCACTAAACAAAAATTTTTGTTAGGGTAAATTACATTAAACAAAAATTATCTTGAATCAAATACATAAGCAGTATTACTTGTTTTGAGAGTCCAAAAATGATAAATAAGATTATAGTAAATTTTTAAAAATCGAAAGAATTCATACTTATTTAGAAGTCTTATTTTATAGCTCTTATTTCACATTTAGGTTTTTCTCAGATTTTCAGCTTGTTTTCCAAAGTTATGTCTATTTTATATTTGAAATAGTAGGCAACTAAAAATGGGTGAAATCACCATTCCAGCGTTGTCCTGATGCTGATTTGTCAGTTAAATTGTGTGTCCTAAAACTGTTATATTCACCCTTTTTTCATGTTAACCATTACTTTTGTCAATCCTTATCTCTACTTCATTCTTAACTAACCTGATTATGTAGCAAAAAAAAAAAAGGATAGGTGGTAATCCAGTCTTCCTCATGATCTATTGATACATTCAGAAGCTATTTACTGTTGACCTTCTGTGTCCCTAATGTTGACTTGACTTTATTATGTATTTATTTTCTGACAGACTATCAGATTCCCTTCCCATATACATTTAGGTTAATTTAACATAAAACATTATTTTTTTTACTCTCTTAATTTAGCGGGTTTTCTTTTTCTAACATATTTTCTGATTATGAAAGTAATAATAGTTCGTTGAAAAAAGTTTGAAAAACACAGATTATTTTTTAATCAAGGTGTGCATCTGTTTCTTAAAAGAACACAGTAGTCTATATTTTACTAAGTGTGCAGTTTTCACCACTAGGATATTGCAAAGATAATTTCTTAGAAATCAATTTTCTACTATTTTTTCTACAACGGGGTAACTATTCTAGTAGTTTGTATTATATAGAGCCAAAATTTATGGGAACAAAAATTCGTAAGGTAAATTTTAATAAAAGATTATACTTTTTAATGTTCTAAATCAGGACCAAACATCCAAACTTTTACAGTGACGGAAATAATTTACAGCTGAGTTGTCCAATCAGCTAGGCACTTGCCACGTGTGTCTATTAAGCCTTTGCACTGTACCCAGTTTGACTGAGGAACTGAATCTTTCACTTTACATAATTTCTTATTTAAATTTAAATATAAGTAGCCACATGTGGCTAGTGGCTACTACTATATTAGACCACAGGTCTAAATTAAAGTATCAAGATAGTCTGTCTTCATACCATTCTGATGATAGATATGCTTAATAAATATCTTTTAATTAAAATAGCTTCCAAATTTGGATATTTTCCCCTTATTTGGTAACATTTTCTAATTATAGATAGGTAAATATGGTATTTAGTTCTACTTGATTGTTTGGAAATTCAGTATCAGTATTTTTCCTCTGTAGGAAGAAGACCGAAAACTGTTAGTTGGATTCTTAGAAGATGTAATGACGCTGCTTTCATTATCTCATGCTCCTCTTGATAGCCTGAAGGCTTCTTTTGTGGAATTGGGGTAAGAAATAACAGCTTATAGTTTGCTAAAAGGCATATAAAGTTTTTAGATTGGATTTATAGAGTACATATTTTAAGTCTAAAAGAGTTGACATGCACACCAATTCTCTTGGTTTTGAAACTTAAGGGTTTTTTTGTGTATTTTAGTTTGTTTCTTGGTTTTGCTTATTTGTTCATTCTTAATATTTTATAATCAATACATTGTAATTTAAAAAGTAGGGGAAAGGGTGCAGACATATGTTTTCTTTGAAGCAGTTGGAGAAATAAAATGAAGTACAGATTTGAAGAAAATTTAGTTTCCCAGAACTGAAAAAGGAGCCCCAAGTGAAAGCCAGCTTGTTTGGCTCCTGTTTTCACTGTTTGATTTGCTTAGTCCTGCTCATCATCACATCATCTGGCTGCTAAAATAATTTTATCTCAGTCTTTACTGAAAACACACTCATGCATTTGTTAATAATACCACCTTTCATTTGCATAGGCTTCACAGCCAACATACCCTTCCGTATAGATGGTTTGAGTTGATTTTATTTGATTCTACAACAACCATGTGACATACATAGGACATGTACTGCTTCCCCAATTTTTATAGATGCAGAAACCAAGACCCACAGAAGTTGTAATTTACCCACTTGACTCTTAGTCCAGTGATCTTTCCTTTTTCCTCATGGAGAAATTTGTTTCTTCATAATTTTAACTTGCATGCTATTAAAAAGAGTGGAATTATCTGTCACAATTGTGAATTCTTAGAGAAGTTACAAGTGTGATTTCTGAATATGCTAAAAGATTGTGGTTGTATAAGGAAGGTGACATCTTTTTTGGAGAATCTTAGTTGTTTGTTTCTATGTTTTTTGAGACGGAGTCTCGCTCTGTCACCAGGCTAGAGTGCAGTGGTGCGATCTCAGCTCACTGCAACCTCTGCCTCCTGCGTTCAAGCAATTCTCCTGCCTCAGCCTCCTGAGTAGCTGGGACTACAGGTGCGCATCACCATGCCCAGCTAATTTTTGTGTTTTTAGTAGAGACAGGGTTTCACCATGTTGGCCAGGATGGTCTCGATCTCTTGACCTCGTGATCTGCCCACCTTATCCTCTCAAAGTGCTGGGATTACAGGCGTGAGCCACTGCGCCTAGCCGAGAATCTTAGTTGTAACCTATGTAACCAAACAAAGTAATTCCATATGTTCTGCAAATATTATTATCATTAATATTCCTTATAAATATCGTGTTTTTCAGTTCACTAGTAAGGGACTGTGGCTCTCAATTTTAACACTGTTTTTTTTTTTTTCTTCTAGTGCAAACCCAGCCTACCATGAGTTACTATTAACTGTTTTGTGGTATGGTGTTGTCCATACTTCAGCACTCGTGAGGTGTACTGCTGCTAGAATGTTTGAGGTATGTCAACACATGCCTCTGTTGGTTTCAATTATAATGATTTTTTTTTTTTTGCGAAGAAGAAGGGAATTTTTTTTAATAAAAAGGCTTTGCATATCATGTTATGTTGATATATATTTTATGGCTTTGAACAGTGTCTGGTTGTGTACTGTGTGATGGGGCAGAAATTTAGCTTTAACATATTTAAAAATGTTTTCTCAGCTTACTGGTTCCTTGAATGTTATTCAATTATCACTTTTATTTCTCAAACTATCTTTTAAATCTTATTTTAATTTCTAACTTATATAACTCTTTCTGACTATACTTTTTGATTTACTGAGGTAAATAAACTGAAACAACATAGGATATCTTTCAAGTTGTAAAATATAGTTGAATTTATCAGTAGCATTAGAAAATCAATTATTGAAATTATGGAAATGTTTATTTTATTGGTTACTCCTACGTCACTATTCCCTAACATTTCATATGTAGAATAACATCCCAATACATTAACTGCCCATAGAGTTGCAAAAGAGAGGAGACCAGGTAATTTACCTAAATTGTACTAAATTGCTACCTACCCAAGTTAAGTATGAAATTGAAATAACTATGTTTTGTACCCATCATATAGCAAATTATGTCATAGCCCTAGTATGTGTGTAGGTGGGGAGCAGTGAGGTTGAGGTTTAGAACTTTATTTGAGCACTAAAATTGGTTTACTGTTTCTTATTGATTTCCAGTCTTGCAATAAATCTAGGCTGCCTTGGTTCAGTTTCCATCTCTGCTACCTAGTGACTTTGTAAATTACTTGGACAAGGTTGAGCCTCTCTGTACCTTAGTTTCCTCATGTACAAAAGAAAGTTGATAACAAAAAGTATCTGTCTCAAAGTATCAGTCTCAAAGGATTTTTGTTAATATTAAACTAATTAATGCTTGTAAAGCCCTTAAAACAGTCTCTGGAACATAATAAGTGCTTATATGTTTACTGTCATTATCATTATTTTTTCCATCCATGCTATTACTTCACAAAATATATGATAGTAATAGGGAACATATACTTATCCAAACTAAAATTGCCCCAATATTCATGTGTTTCTTAAAATACCTAAACATTTATTTCTATAAAAAGAATTGGTTAATTCAAATCTTGCCGAATATCAGAATTTCTCCACAATTTAAGATAAATTGCAATTGGAGATGGGGTACTGATATATTTAAAATATATGCTTTCTAAAATTTTCAAATACGTAAATTAGATTTGTGAATTCCAGAAAATTCCATTGTTATCAGGAAGTTGAAAATTCTCCATCCATGTTATTCCCTCAGTTATCATACAGAAGCAACTTTTAAAAAGCCGTAATCAGGTTTTTTGTGATGATGAATGCCAAAGCCACTATTTGGTTTTATGTCTAGTACAAGTTCCTTCTGGATATAAATCGTTTTGATTATTCGATATGCTGAAAAGGGGGCATTACCATGAAAGAAAAGTCATTCATCAGTCTCTCCTCTCCCCAAAAAGAAAAAAGTATCTTTTTAAATGAAGAGCTATTTCTTTAATATACTCTCTTCCTATGATTTTATTCTAAGCTCATAAAAGCTATTTCTTTTTCTTAAATCTTTCATCTCTAAAATGTGAGTGTGCACTGGTGAATCAAACCATGTAAATGAAAATAAGTAAATAGAATGAATCCTCCCTTTTCACTTGTTTTGAGGTTTTTTGCTTGTTTTGTTTGGTTTTCTGCCTTATTATACGTGGCTTATGTCTGGTTTTGGTTTCTCTGTTTGCTGTCAGTGCTGGTCTGGAAACTATATCTATCTATGCTTAAGCAGTTTTCAGTGTCCTCTCAGGTTGTTGATGAACTTCTGGATCTTGTTTGAGAGACTATTTCAATGTTTTTCAAATTCATTAATGATACATTTCAATGAGCATGTCAGTAAAAGTTATCAGTAAGAGAAATTAAAGTTCCTTTTTTGTCAGTGGTTCTTATTTGAACAAAATTGTGTTAAAAGAATAATGGGTCATAAGATTTATTTTGATACTGATGCTTTATAATTTAGAATTATGCCTGCTTACCCTAAAAAAGTTAATTCAAAATAAAAACATAAAAAAAACACATTCTTTTTTTAAAAGGTAAGACCAGAAAGAAAAGAAAATGAGAAATGAGAAGAAAATGAGGCATACATATACCAGGAACCTAATAGGGTATGGTCACTGAAATTCACTAATAAATTGAGTTTAATTTTTAGACAGCAGGACAAAAAGAGGGAACCCAATCAATCATATTATTCCCATTGTTAAATAAGGGAATATAAATTACTTTTTGAAGTAGCAAATTAATAAAATTATTTTATAAGAGGAATTTATCATGTTATAATAAATTTCCCAAAAGATGCAGAAAAGAGCTTCATATATATTTTAATCATAAGGAAATTGAACATGTAACATTAGAGCACAACTCAAAGAGGTCATGGACTTTAAGTCAGATGGGACAGAGTTCCTTTGCAGGCCCTGCAACTTAGACTTGGACAAGTTACTTTCCGAAGCCTCAGTTTCTTCATCTGTTAAAATATTGATGATATTTGTACTTACTTCATCAAGTGAAAAGATCAAATGATATATTGTGTTAAAGTGTATAACAATTGATAGCTCTTAAATGTACTTTGTGATTTTCTAGCTTAATAAAGAAATTGAACTTAAAAACCCTACACCAATGAAAAATTAATTTGTCCTCTACATTACCTCTTTTTTAATGCTTTTGACAGACTCAAGATAGCAGAAATTTCAAGATGCTGATTCAAATCTAAGCAATCTTACTTATAAAATGATACAGAGAAGAAAGTTTTATTTAACAATATTTGAACTTCCTTGTCCTATTTCTTTCTATCCAATATCTGTAATGTTTAAGATATTAAAAGTTCTTTGTCATTTTATTCCTGGTTAATTATCTGTTTTTTTATAAAAATTATTTCAGAATATTGAAGTAGATTCTAAAATGAATCAATTGGTAAATGGTGAAAAATCATTGCAAAATTAAGAATCTTCACATAAAGTGAGTTACTTTCTCTGATGTGTTATATAGGAGGAATACCTTCACATATGTACACAATGGTAGATTTTTGTTACAAAAAATTCTGTGACATCTTTGATCTTCTGTGAGGACTAAGTACTAGCTACTAGGTAAACAGATTGGTGAGCATTTAGGATTAATATGTGCTTACATTCTGAAATTGAGAAGGGGATTGCCCTTCTCGGTTGAACTCATAAAATTCAGTAATATTTATCAAACAAAATGTATACGGCTCAGTATTGTTCTCTTGTATTGCAATTTAGCATTGGTTGCTAAATGAATTGTTTTGTGATTAGATTATAGAGATCTAGTTCTACTCATCTTTTTTATTTTACATTTTATTTGAATTTATAAGAAATCTAAAACAAAGACCTATTTAGATATTAACTGAAGTTTTTTAAATTAGATCATTTCTTCCAAACATATTACAAATCATATATTCTTGCAGTAATCAAAATAATTAAACTCTCATTTCTTGAATGCCTGTTTGTCAGGCACAGTATTTAGGTATGTTATTTGCAAATTCATAGCACAACAGCCCTTTGAGGTAGATAATAATATCACCATTTTCAGATGAGAAAACTTGCGTTTCAAGAGGTTATGGAAAATACTATGTATCTAAGACCACATGGCTTATATGTGGAGAACTGACGTCTGAACCCAGATCTGATTCCCAAGTGTAATACTTTCCAATAGGCAGCCTTATATCTCTGTACCTCAAAAGAGAAGGCTATATTATTTAAAAGATTAGGAATTGTCCTATATGGTTTTAAAATACACTTGCTATAGCACAATAATAAGTGGTTTAGTGGTGACTGCTACTCCTGTGAGTTTGGTTTAAAAACAGCCCAGTTTGTACCCTGTTGGTCATGATAAAAGCATACCACCCTTACTTTGAGAATTTTAACCATAGAGCACAATATGTGTCAAACAAGCTAAAAAAGTATTCTTTTCAGTTGCATTTTGATGGACATTGAAATTGCTTAGACTCTTTGACCAAAAGTACAAACTGCTGTTAAACTGGTGACAAAATCTGTTTTCATGGACGCTAGGCTACTTAAGCTTTATTTTCCTCCTAAGCATTCTCTGCCTTTGTAAAGCACTCTAGCAGCAGTATTTGCTTAGCTTCTAATTTTGGTTTTGCTTTTGTGTTTTCTCTCTTTCTCTTGGTTGTTCCTTCCTTCTTCCCGTGGCGCACTGTGTTTGCTCTTTCCGTGCATCACCTGTGAATACCCCCTGTGCTGACCAATCAGCTGTTGGTGAAGGGGGTGAATGAAACTCTGGTAGCTCAGAGGGTTGTTCCTGCTCTCATTACTCTCTCCAGTGACCCTGAAATGTAAGTGTCATCCCTGCCTTTTATATTCGGCATCCCTTTCAAAATGTGCCTGTCAAGAAATAACCATCAGCTCTTAAATTTATTGAAGAATCTCTTTAAATTAATAATACTGGATTATGCTTATTTGATTTTAAACTTTATCACATTATTCTTTATATATCATGGTTCTTTTTAAATCAACCCTCACCATAAGTGTAATTTGGAGGCCACGTATTGAAAAAATATATTAGTAACATTAGTGCTCAATAAATACTTCCAGAACCTAAAATATGCTGATGGACTGTTTCTTTCAAGCCAAGAAGGGATGCTCTCCTAATCTCACTAACAGGTTGTTACCAGTAAGTGTAGTAGCATGAACCAATGGCCTAACATTTTAATGTCTCGTGTGGATGACTAAACCAAGAAAGGCCAATGAGTCTGCCTGCCCATCCTCAGTCACAGCTAACCCAGTTCTTATTCCAGTTTACCAAACCATTTTTTATTGCATGTTGACTGGTTTACAGCTGACTCTTCGAGGCATGAGTGAAGCGTTAGTTGACAAGCGGGTTGCTCCGGCCCTTGTTACCTTGTCCAGTGATCCTGAATTGTGAGTTTCACAGACTGCGACCTTAAGTTATCCTGTCTGTCTTTTTGAGCATTCTTCTTGGTCTGCTTTTTTTAAATTTATTTAATTTGTCATTGCTAGAGACTAATACAGTATATTTACCTTGTACTTACTTTAATATACATTTTAATAATACTCGTTGTTCATCTCAAATCTTCAGTTTCTTTCTGTTTTAATTCTAACAGCTCTGTCAGGATTGCCACAATTCCAGCCTTTGGCACTATTATGGAAACAGTAATTCAAAGAGAGGTAGGAATAATTGAAATTTATTTATGTCTGTGTAATATTGATGTGGTCATGATACATGTATCTGGTGGTAGGCTGCAGGGAGCATCTTACCTTTTATTTTGTGCCCTAGTTAGTTACAGGCCAGAGGAGGATCTCACTGTGAAAACATGGTAGCCTAACCAAGGTATATTTCCATATCCTAAGGAAATCTCTAGTCTTTCCTCTCAGTCAGAACATTAAGTATAGGCCAAGCTTTCAGGGATGTCCAAGGGAGAGAATATAGTCATGGGTTCTTAGTTTCTCTTTCTGATTGGGCCAGTAAAGCCCCTTCCTCTTCCCTCTTTTCTACTTATCACTAGAGACAGAAACTAAAAACCCCGGCTTCAGGCTGCTAAAAGCCTTAAACAAAACAAAACAGAACAACAACAAAATAAGGTGTATTGGACAAGCTTGCTAGATGTTCTATTGTAAGCTGAGCTGGATGTTGCAGTTTTGAATAATCCTTCAAATCAGGTCTAGTTCCAAAGCCTTCTATTACCCGGTAGGCTTCTGGCCAATCTACATAAATTCTTGATTGCCAGTGTTGCACAGATTTGAGGACTGTTTTCCCAGATAACATCATTAGGAACACAAATGTATCTCAGTTATAAATGAAGGCAAGAGGGCACTTGTATTCTGATAACTGTGTCATTGGTATGAAGCTGTAAAAGTGATTTAGTAGACTGGTATCCTCTTGTTGCAGAGTAGATCTCTGGGCAGACCCTCTGTCATGCCTGTTTCAGGAGACCACCAAGGTCTTCCTTCTTAAAGGTGTATTTTAATTCTGAAACTAATTTCAAGTTTTTTAGATTCTATTTGCAACACTAACTATAAGACACTTCTCAAAATTGATATCAGATTTTTATTTCTTTGTTATTATATTGGATATGTCCTTATACAAATGAAAAAACCCTGTAGATTAGCACATATATTATTTGTGGACATATTACCCAAAAGAAAAAAGTTTTAATAAAACTCCTTTGTCATATAGATTTTTCATGACAAAAACTAAAGTTTTGTTAGTTACAGAAAGAATATTTTCCATTTTTTCACTTATATATTTCACTGGTGAAGCCACAGAGGAAAAGCACATCATTCTGCAAAGCTTGCAGTCTTGGCAGAATTTCAACATGTTCTCAAAACCTAAAATAAAAATGTCTTTTAGGGAAATGTGAGTAAGATGTAAGTCATTAATGACTCATTGCTTTCAGAAGGTGAATAATTGGGTAACTTACAGTGTGATTTGTTTTAAGAATTATAATTTAGATACAAAATAATCATAAAGTTACCTACTTTTCCCTAAATACGGTGGGATTTTTTTTCTTTTGTTGTTATAATTTGTTCAGGAATATTTGTATTTTTTAATTAAGAATTTGTAAGCATAAGCAAAAGTAGGAAACCTTCTCTGAGCCAAAAGATTAAATAACTATTTATTTAATTCCAAATTTCTACTGTCATTGGACTATAGGTTGCTTTAATCCACTGCTTTAAGTCATGTTTAATGTGTGTCTTTCACTTTAACAACACTACTCAGTTTTCAATATTCTATGAAATGACTGTACAATATCCAATTTTAAGTTGCTGGAAAGAGTGAAAATGCAGTTGGCTTCTTTCCTGGAAGATCCTCAGTATCAAGACCAACATTCTTTGCATACAGAGATCATAAAAACATTTGGTAGAGTTGGCCCTAACGCAGAACCCAGGTTCCGAGATGAGTGTAAGTTGCATTTTTCTACCTTTTTCCTGAATTGTAATGTAAGATCAAAGCTAGACACTCCTCTGAGGCCTTGTCATGTATTAAAATTTTGGTGCATTTGTCATGTGTTAAAGCCTTGTGTACTGAAAGCCTTGTGTACTCTTGTGTACTGAAAGCTAAACATGAAACAAGTTAGTTATTGTGAATTAATCAGTATTGATATTAGTGGATGGTTTTGTATTATTTTGTTTTGAGACAGAGTCTCGCTCTGTCACCCAAGCTGGAGTGCAATGGCATGATCTCAGCTCACTGCAACCTCTGCCTCCTGGGTACAAGTGATTCTCCTGCCTCAGCCTCCCAAGTAGTTGGGATTACAGGTGCCCACCACCATGCCCGGCTAATTTTTGTATTTTTCGTAGAGACGGGGTTTTGCCATGTTGGCCAGGCTGGTCTCCAGCTCCTGATCTCAGGTGATCTGCCTGCCTCAGCCTCCCAAAGTGTTGGGATTACAGGCGTGAACCACCGCACCCGCCCTAGTGGATGGTCTTATACTGTATAAGTATACAGATGGTCTTATACTGTATACTGATTGCTGTAAGACATATGAAGAGTAACTCAAACTTAATTTCAAGTTATTTTAGAAATATTTCTTAATAACTGCTAATTGCTAAATACTGTGCTGCCTTAGAGTTTATTTTTTATTTTTAAGGAAATTTTTGTGTGTTTCTAGACATGTTCTTATGAAAAACAGACATTTCTTCCACTTAGCATGCCATTCAGCACGATACATAACTTTGTTTTAATTCATAGCTTGTTGATCTGCTACATGATCTTCCACAATTGTCTGCCTTTTTTCTCTAGATTTTACAGAGTCTCTTTTACTGTGGGCCTCAACATTTATGGCCACAATTTCTTTGGATAGCATCAAAGCATTAAGAACTTATGACTCCAAAAGCATATCAGTTATCATAGCTCTTTTATTTTTAGCAATTTGACATGCTCTAGAGAGGGCCACAAGTTGGGTCACTTAAATCAGTTTAGTTTCTAGTACATTATTTTATTCTCCGGCAGACTGTTACATATCCAGGCTGGCATATGACTCTTTAAGATAAGAGTCATCAACAAAAAATACTAAGTCAGGATTTGGACTGCAGTGTCCAAAAAATCGATTGAAGGCATGCACACTGATCAAACTATAGAAACACAGTCATGACATTTTTTTTCACTAGGTAAGTGTCTTTATAATTAGCCAACTAACAGAAGAAAGTTGATATTTTAGTTAGCACTAGGGATAGTTCCACATGTTGCAGTGTCAAATTTACAGGTGATTCTAGGTAGGAACTCTGAAGGTGCTTTGACTTTTCGAGGCTGTAGTTGCTCTGAGGCAAGGAGACCAACTCTTGGCTGCTGGATTAAAGGATAGGCTCAACAGGCAATGGGTCTTTGGTGTGTGCCATGTTGTCAAGTTAAATGGGTATTTGATATGTTGTCATGTTAAACGGGTCTTTGGTGTGTGCAGTGTTGTTGCATTAAATGGGTCCTTGCTGTGTGCCGTGTCATATAGTTAAAACTTTTCTAGAGCATGATTTGACCTTTCTATGTATATTCAAAAGAAAGACTCATGATAATCTGGGAAGAATCCATCTGGATTCTTATAGGATCTGCTCCAATTATTTTGTTGATTCTTCGGAATCTTTTTTCAGTAATTCTGGGACTATAGTTATTTTTCAAATTAAACATAGTGTCAATATCTTAATTTCTCTTTCTAGAATTTTCAAGAATATCTAAAAATAACCCTTCCATTTTATTTGACAGTTTTATTGTAGAATAGATACCTACCTATCAAATTTGTAGGAGTTGTTCAAGAGGAAAAAATGAATTTTCTTCTCATAATGGCCCCCAAATAACAATTAAAGGTTGTTTTGGGAACAGATTGAGGTGAGAAATTCCCACTGCTTGAATAGTTCTAGTAAACCATTATCCTTAAAGCCTCCTGCAACTTACTGTGTACCCACAAGTATGTCTTATACAGTCTTCTTTCACATTTTGGTACAACCAGATTTTTTTAAGATAAAAATTAGCCTTTTTTTCCACCTTTGTACTTACTTCCCAGTCAAGTGGCTTCTCTTTTGCTTTAGAACTTACCCTGAGGAATTTAGTACTCTATATTAATAAGATAAATATTGAAGTAGAACCTGTATGAAGAATGCGATAGTGTTATTCCTAAGTATTTATAGACAATTGGCTTTGGGAGTTTGGAGGATGGACAGAGAATTTCTGGGTGGTAACGTCTCCCTTGGAGTGGCATTTTGGGTATTTAGGTATTTGCCCCTCTATTTCTTGGCTAATAGAGGACATTAGTTCTTTCAGTGGCCCTTGTTCTTTCCCAATTGTTAGTTATCACAGGACCTTTGGTCTTGTTTTTATTTTTAGGAACCAGTTGTTTTATCTGGAACACCGTAGAGTTGTTTTTTGTTTTCAGCTATTTTACTTAGTAAGACTCTCTGAAAATGTTCAGTCGTACATTGGAGATTTTCTGAAGTGGCAATTTTCCATTTCTGATTTTTTCCCCTAAGTTTCTTGTTTGAGGTCTGGGCCCATTTATTCAAACAAACAAACAAAAATAGGACAAGATTCCCTTTATGACTATTGGATCTACCCCAGAATATTTTTGAACGTTTTCTGATATACAGTTTTTTGTTTGTTTGTTTGTTTGTTTGTTTGTTGTTTCTGAGGCAGAGTCTTGCTCTGTCACCCAGGCTGGAGTACAGTGATGCCATCTCAGCTCACTGCAACCTGCGCCTCCCTGGTTCAAGTGATTCTCCTGCCTCAGCCTCCCGAGTAGCTGGGATTACAGGCATGCACCACCACATCCGGCTAATTTTCTGCGAAATACGGTTTTATAAAATCTCCTATTATCCTTTTTTCATTTACAATTTTAAATCCTTGTTCAATCTGCCCTAAAGAAAAAGGCTTCTGCAGTGACTTTATGTTATGTATTTCCTCTTTTTCTTTCCCACTGAAGGTCAGTTTTAGAATTAGCCTGTCTAAGTCAGGCATGGTGCCACGTGTCTATAGTCCCACCTACTCAGAAGCTGAGGTGGGAGGATCACTTGAGGCCAGGAGTTCAACACCAGCCTGAGCAACACAGCAAGATAAGTCCCTACAAAAGATGTTTAAAAATTAGCTAGGCATGGTGGCACGTATCTGTAGTCCATCAACTCGGGAGGCCAAGGCAGGAAGATCACTTGAGTCCAAGTGTTTGAGGCTGTGGTGCACTATGATTGCACCTGTGAATAGTCATTGCATTCCAGCCCAAGCAACAGAGCAAGACCCCATCTCTTAATAAAAAAGAAAGAATGATATCCATCTGGGTTATTATTAAATCATCTCCTGGTCCTTCATCTCCTACTGCTTTTAACCATCTGTCTACATCTGAGGGGTTAACTGTTAAGTGAATTAATTAATACATATGTGGTACCCCAGGACAATATGTGTGTAGTGAAATCTGAATTCTATAGTAAAGTTCTGTCTGTCTTCCTGAGAATTAGGAAGATCCTTAATTAGAGGCTTTAACTTCCTTGAGACTACAGTTTAAATGAACTTCTATAGATTTCTTCTAGTCAAGCAATTTTAAGGGGATATTATGCAGTGTGATTGTTGCATTTCTGAGAAAAACCTTGTAAAAAGGTCAGAGACTCAGGAGAAGATGAAATAAAGGAACCATATATGAATAGATAAAGTGAAAGAATGATAAGTTTCTGAATGTTTGGGCAGAAATGAACTAGTGAGTCTTTGAGAGAGACTTAGAGTCACTATTTTGTTGAGGCCTCAGCGTGCCAATTAATGAAGCTTTCAACTGAATGTTTGGAGTTTTTGTTTCCTAATTTGTTCTAGAGCTCCTCATAAATATACTGTTATTAATTTTGACAAGTCAAAAGGTCCCCTAAAAATGATCATTGTTATTCTGAGTTTTTGTGGGGTTTTACTAAGCTAAGCATGAAAGTTGTGATTATTGCCCCAGCTTATTTAGGATGCAGGAGTTTTTCCAGTAGAAGATTATGACTTTATATACACAAACTCAGTGCAAACAAGAAAGGGGTCACTACAGTTGGTCAGCAGTTGATGCTTATGGGTGGCGTTTTGTGATCCTCAACCAAGCAGAGACTAGAAAGGGGTTGTGTGATTGGTCTTGTGATTAACAATTTAACAATCACTGACCCTGAAGCCATTTCTTCAAAGAGCCCTGGTTTTAGTGGGAAATGGTACCCAGAAAACACAATCTTAGGCTCTAGAGGTGCTCATTGCTACTGAATTGGTTTTTGTTTCTTGGACCATTGCTTTTATTTAGCAGTAGGTTGAAATTTTATGTTACTCTTTGAGGGTATTAAACTCATTGAATAACTTGAAAACTCAGCCGCCAGTGCTGTTTGACATTGGTCTTTGCTAAGAATTTGAGAAACTAAAGCTGATAATAGTATTCTGAAGGAGTGAAATAATAGGTTGTTGAAAAAGAATATACTCTTTTGATTTCATAGCAATGGTAATATTTTATTTTTATGGAGAAACTTAACTGCAAGTATAAATAATACAAGAGGTATGTTGTTTATAATTATTTGGGCTTCATTTTTCAAACTGGGAAACTGAATTACAGTGAGGCCAAATAATCTATATACATCCTCATAATTAGGTAATAGTGACAGTACTAAAATTTGTTTCCCCCAAATGCCAGATCACTTTTTATTTTGAAAAACTACTTTCTTCCCTAGTTAAGAAAAAGCAAGTATAAGATATGGGTAATCTTTTGAAGTCATTCAGAATTAAAATGAAATTTCATAAATTAAAGTGATAAATTATTGTTAAAGTGTGTCAGGGTTTTGTATGCATGTTTTGGGTAAAAATTTAACCCTTTTTTTTCTGTTTTCAGTTGTTATACCACATTTGCATAAGTTAGCCTTGGTGAACAACTTACAGATTGTGGATTCTAAAAGACTGGACATTGCTACGCATCTTTTTGAAGCCTACAGTGCACTTTCCTGTTGTTGTATCCTTGTTTTATTAAGGTGTATCTACATTTATGTAACCAATCTTAGAGTGGAACTTGGTTGGTAAAGATTGAAAAGTAGAACTTCTTTTCTTCAACTTACATTAAGCGTTGTAGAAAATTGAAGATTTGATTTGTCTCACTCCACTCCTTCTTCTAGCCATCTCATAATTTTAAAAGATAAGTTTAAGTCCTCTGTGCTTTTATGTTCTATAGTTTTGAGAATTTTGATGAAGTTCTTAACCTGAAGTTTTTATTTATATTAGTTAGCTACATAACTGAGCAAGAAATAAAGGGCAGAAAGAATTACAGCTGAGACTTCTGTTAATCAAAAGGAAGCCTTGTATATATGACTTGGCATTTAGGTTTTTCAGTGAATGTTTAACTCTCAGTATCCAGTGGAATATTATGAGTATCTCTTAGAGAGATATCACACATTGGACAAGTACAGGGCCAACAAAGCTAATGATCTCCAGTGATTGTAGAACTGGGAGAAAACTTAGAGATCATGTAGGTCCATGTCAGTGACTGTAAATGATTAAACTAAGGCTTAAAGACATGAATGCCTTCTGTTTTTTATAGTTAAAAGCAAAACTGTGACTGGAACAAAGAACTTTAGCCATTCTGTTAAATGTTCTGTTTACTATCCTATGCCTATAAAATAAAACTAAGAAGGAAGTAAAGATAACGATGGGCAAAGTGAACTCCCAACTTTTAGGCTCTTTTATTTAAAAGGCAGAAGGGTTGAAGAAAGGGGAAATGAGAGATTGAAAAAAGAGTGAAAGGCTAAATGCTAAAGTACATGCTAAACAAAAAACAGAGAACAAAGGAAGAGTTTCAGGATTATTATATGTGGTTCACATTGTTATATACCAGTCTGATGAGTTTGATGTAATAAGCAACATGAACAGGTAATTTTAAATGAGATAAATATGCCATAAAATATTACTAACAGTCATTGACACTGGATTCTGGACTAGAATGTACCAATAAGAAGTTATTTTTGTTCAGAATAAACCAAATAGAGAAAGTAGAAAAGTAGAGCTATCTGTGAAGTAGCTATGTGTCTTTGGAAATACTAAAACTGAAAGTTGGATGCATGGTTCAGAGCAGTTTATGTTGGAAATCTATTACAAATGGCCTAATCGTGAGGAGGATATGAGCCATGTTTTTTAAAATATAGATGGCACCATATTTTAATAATTTAATAATTTTGTAACCTCAACTATTCATGTCTTCTATAAGTTTAGTTCCACTAAAAGCAGAACTTATCATTCTTGATTTCTTGTTGGCATTTTCAATTTAGGGAAGATAGAGGAAGCAAAAAGAGGAACTGATATTCTGAATTAGCAAGTAAGAATTCTTTAGTATTGGAGAAGTGATAGGACCCTTGCAAGAAAGCAACAGTGGTGCATCGCAGAGTTTGTATCTCAAAGAAAGAAAACATTGGTGTGTTTAATTGGACTTTGTGAAAATAATATTTAAAACTTACACAAAACGTTATGTATAATCTTATATAGCAGAGAGTTTCTAAAGGAATATGCCTCAAGGAAAATGGGAAAGTTAAAAGATCCAAATGTTTGGCTCTGTAAAACCAAATTTTCCAAGTAGGGAAGGCAGTGGTTTCCAAAGGGCATAGAAATCTATATAAAAGGAATATTATTGTGTGTTTAGACATGCATAGAATATCACTAGAGTAAATACAGTAAAAAGGCGACATACCAATATGGTAAGGGGAAGAACCATCTTAACAACAGTCCCTGTTCAAGTACTAAAAGTGTTAGTTCTACATGAGTCAGAACTTGTACTTGAGTCAACAGTGCTGTGGCCCCTAATAAAATCACATTGTTCTAATCTGTTCTGTTCCATTGTATTCTAAGCTGATCAGAAGAGTGCTCCTTTTAGCCTACCATCATGTTTTAATACAGACATTAGAAAAACTATAGTGTATAACATTTTGGCATAATAATAAGTCGAGAAGTCATGTTTAAGGAAAGTTTGAAGGAATTTAGGAATGTTTAACCTGGAGAAGAGATGGCTTGGGGATGAAAAGATATTTTAAAGGTTTTTAGGTAGAAGGATGATGAGGCACACTGTGCAGCTAAGGTACAGAGCTAATACTAACAAGCAGAGATAACAGAGGCTGATTTCTTTTATAAGAAAAACTTCCTAATTGAGCTATCTAAAATGCAGTGATCTCCCTTAATAAACTAAGAATCTTCTTTCATTGTTAGCAGTCAGAGGCTAACCATCATTCACCAGTGAGGTAAAGGTGTTTCCTAATATCTGATGGAACTAATTACCTTTAACTTTCGAATCCTTGAGAAAGATTGATCCATAGGGAAAAGGTAGGCCCCCAACAGAGAGTAGAAAGAGGAAAAGAAAAGTGACTTCCCTCTTCTAAGTAGGGCCATATTCAGCTTCTCATTCCATGCCCATATTTCTCTAGATCAGACTCTTAAACTACTAATTCAAAGGTCATTCACAGTTATATTTTGGTGCCACTTATCCCCATATCTAGAAAGCAAGACTACATAATCATTAGGTTGTAGCCCTCTATATGTCTATAGGGATTTGGTTTGACCAAATGATGTTTATATTTTTAATACCTGTTAAATTTATAAATCACTCATTATAGGATCCATGTCTGTGAACAATTTTTATTTATAACTGTATTTTCAAAGCAGTAGTTACACTGATTTTTTTCTTAGTGAAATTCATTTTTTCAACTAAGTCATCTTTATAAGGGAACTCATTTAAGTCATCTAATTTAATCATCTTTATGGCCGGGCACGGTGGCTCACGCCTGTAATCCCAGCACTTTGGGAGGCCAAGGCGGGCAGATCACCTGAGGTCAGGGGTTCGAGACCAGCCGAACATGGTGAAACCCCATCTCTACTAAAAATATAAAAAATTAGCTGGATGTGGTGCCGTGCACCTGTAATCCCAGCTACTTGGGAGGCTGAGGCAGGAGAATCACTTGAACCCAGGAGGCGGAGGTTGCAGTGAGCCAAGATTGTGCCACTGCACTCCAGCCTGCGTGAGAAGAGCAAAAAATTCTGTTAAAAAAAAATATCTTTATAAGGGAACTCACTTACTGGCTTTTTTGTGGTGTGATATTAAATAGGAGCTAGCTTTACAGGCTAGAATAAAGGGAGAATGTATCAGAATTGACGGGAATGAACAAGATGAATTGTTTTCTGGAGAAAGTTTTCCTGATACCTTTTAATGTCAAGATAATCAACTAAAACTCAAAGATGACTGAGAACTACAAGTAATCCTAAACTTAACAAATGCTCTTATTACAGTAAAAGCTCTGTTATCCAACTCAATCAGGACCTATAGTAGGTCAGTTTAACAGGATGGTTAAAGCAAGAAATCAGGAAAATGGTATCTACCTTAGATAACTTATTTTAACTTAAAATGTATATATGTTATTTTCTTTTACCGGTCTTTTGATATAGGCATCTCTTTTGTGTGAATCTGTTGATTATAGTTAAACATCTTCTTTCTCAGGTAAATCACATCTGTAATGCAGTTGTCTATGATTTGCAGGTTAAAGTTCTTTAAAGAGGATCCAGAAATATTTCTGATATGCACTATAGAGTTTTTCTAGATTTTTATATTTTTCTCAATCGTTTACAATTGTCTTATACGTAATAGTTAAACAGCAATGTTTTAAGCAATTTGCATTTATCAGTTTTTCCCAAAACTTTCAACTTAGTTGTCATGGAAAACTTACTTTTTATACTTTTTTCATATTCATTGAAACATCTGATTGGGTTACATGACTTAATTGTTACGCTCACTTTATACATTTCCATGACATTCTGTAATTTAAATGATGAATACCACTGACATAAATAGCTTTGTGTGAATAAACACAATTGACTCCTGATAAATAACTTACTCTGCAAATGAGGATTCATGCTTGAGGGGAGCCTGTTTACCCTGAGTGATCACTATGCCATAGGTATGATATAAGAAGGCTTCTCTTTTATATGTAGTAACTCGGTTGTTCTGTTGGACATACCAATTTGGTTTTGTTTAATTCCCTTAACTACCTTGTCCCAAGTCATTTCAGAGGATTTAATGGTTAATCACTTTTTACCTGGTCTCAGATGTTTACGGACTGACATGGAACATCTCTCTCCAGAGCATGAGGTGAGCCACTGTGATTACCAGTGCCATATTCATGTTTTAATACCTCATATATAGACTTGCAGTCTTCTCTATGTGAGGCTTATGATATGCTGTAATTTTTTTAAATCTAGCTCAATGTCATTTTATCGATTTATTTACTAGATGCGATATCTTCAGCAACTCCTTTCACATCTTTAAGCCTCTCTTTAATTGTCTACAGTAGGGATAATACACTCTCCTTCACTTAATATAATGAGACTTTAATAAGATAATGTATGTGAAAATTTTTAACTATAAAATATTAGTTCTCTCTGACCATCAACTTTCTTAAGTGCAGTTTCTATTTTCCATCTTCATTTCTTCATAACTATTTTATTTCATTCTATTTGTCTCCTGTTTCCCCTCGTTTCCTCCAAATCCCTGTTTATCATTTATTTTCTATTCTGTATCTTCAACCTATTTTTCCATCAGCTTTTCCTTTTACGATGTTTGACTCTCCACTCCTAAATAGCAAAACCTTCCTTTCATCCCTCTCCAAGTCTCTTATTCTTCCTGATCATCCACATTTACTCTCTCAACTTTTACAGTGTCTATTGGTACATCATATTCCCTGCATCACACTAATCCATTGAAACTGCCATCTTTAAGATCACTCATGACCAAGCTGCCACCCTGATAGGACTTTTTTTTAGTTCTTATAGCTTCACGTCTCTCTGCAGCATTTTCTGATTCAAAACTCCTGTGGCTCCTGGGACTCCACTTCTATTCCTGTTTTTTTCTTACTTCTCTAGTCAGTTCTTCCCAATCTCCCCTCCTTTCTTACCTCACCTTTTCATTCATTAGAATTACTCTCCATGAACAAGTTCATCCATACTCATCATCTAACTTGCCTTTACTATATGTTAATATCACACAAGTTTCATCTTCTGCTCTAACCCCATGCTGGAGCCATAGAACTTCATGGCTCACTGCCATCTGTCTATTCCACCTGCATGTCCTACAGGCATCATTTAAAATTCAGCATGGCCAATCCCCTCAACCAGAATTACTGTCTGTCTCCCACTTTGGCTAATGCCATACTGCTTTCTCCCCAAGTCATATATCTGATAGTTAACATAGAGTATGTCCAATTAGTTCTTTAATTTCATAATGTCTTTCTAATCTCTTCCGTTTCTTTATACCTGTGCCACCCTGTTAGTTGAATCTCATTCAATGAGATTATTGTTATCTCATTGAAACCATTGTAGAATATCCTAATTTTTCTCCAATCTTAGCTCTCTACTGTTGTTTCTCACTACAGCCAAAGTACTTTTCCTAAAGTATAAATCTCTTCGTGTTATTCTCCTATTAAAAACCCTTTACAAGTTTCTTACATACAAGGCCTTTTATCATCTGACACCTGTTCATCTTGATAGTTTCATCCTGCGCCCTTTCTCCTCCATCACACACTCTGCCCCAGCCATGCCAAACTAATTCATCTCCACCATATAACATCGTCTTTTCTTCCATGCCTTTGCCTATTCTCTTCCCTCTGTCAAAAGAATGCCATTTCATAATGCAAAGTGTAGAATATACACTCAAAGGCTATATTACATATCTGTTTGTATTAGTCAGGGTTCTCCAGAGAAGCAAAACCAAAATGATATATTAAGAGATTTATTTTAAGGAATTGGCTTATGCAGTTGAGGGGGCTGGCAAGTCCAAAATATGTAGGAGAGACCATAAGGCAGAACACTCAGGCAGGAATTGATGTTTCAGGCTTCAGTCCAAAATACGGAGGGCAGGCTGATAACTCAAGCAGTATTTGAGGCAGATTCCTTCTTCAGGAAACCTCACTTTTTGCTCATAAAGCCTTCAACTGCTTGGGTGAGACCTACCCATATTTTTTAGGGCAATAATCTCCTTTACTTAGAATTAATTTATTGTGATGTTCATCACATCTACAGAATACCTTCACAGCAATGCCTGGGTCACTGTTTGATTAAATAACTGGGTGCTATATCCTAGCCAAATTGACACAAAAGACTATGACTATCAGTCTTGTTTAAGAAACAGTTATACTGTCACAAAGTTGATGGGGGAAAAAAGAAGGAAAAATTTTTAAAATAATAATAATTAAACTAACACCCATGTAATTACTACCTAGCTTAAGAAATAGAAAATTACCAGTATCTTAAAAGTTCCATATATGCCCCTCCCTAATCATGTCCCTCTCATGTGCTCCTCCAAGTTTAACACTTGCCCAGAATTTTATATTTTCATACTTTGTTTTTCTTATTGTTTTACCACATATTTATTTATCCCTAAACAACATATTGTTTAATTTTGCATATTTCTCCTATCCTGTATATATGGAATCTCCTGTATGTATTCTTATATGATTTGCTTTTTTCACTCATTTTGTTTATAAATTTCATTCTTATTGATATTTGCAAAAGTAGTTATTTTATTGTCCTTACTGAATAGTATTCCTTTGTATGATTATGCCATAGTTTATCCATTCTTCTTTCTGGGAAAATAGGTGATATTTCCAGTATTTTGTTATTATAAACAGAATTACAAGCATCTTATGATGCACATGTACAAAAGTTTGTCTGTGAGATACAAACTGGGAGTAGAATCAACAGATTGTACAGTGTATACACTTTCAGTTTTGCCAGCTAATGCTAAATTGTTTTCCAAAATGCTAACAATTTATACCCCTATAGGCAGTGTATGGGAGTACTCTTTTAGTTCTTATGTTTGCCAACACTTGGTATTGTTAAACTTTCTAATTTAGTGGATATAAAATTACCATTATGTTTCTGATTTGCATTTCTCTAATTACTGTCAAGTTTGAGCATCCTTTGGTATGCTTATTGATGAGTTGTGTTCTTCTATTAAAGTCTATTTAGGTTTTCTGCCTATTTTTCATTTAGGCTGTCTTAACCGTTACTTTTTGGAAGTTCATTATATATCTGGAATATACCAATACTTAGTCAATTTTATGTTTTATGAATATCTGTTTCCAATTTATGACATGTCTTTTCATATTTTTGGCATCTTCGAACACTGATTCTTAATTTTTTAATAGTCAGATTTATTGATCATTTATAAAAGACATTATTTCCTATACTTCTGAAATTTTTTTAAATTGACTTTATACAATAAAATTATTAATTTTACTAGAATTGGTTTTTATGTATGATGTGAGCTAGCATTCCAATTATATTTCTTTTCCTATATGGACAATCTGTTATTTCAGTATGTTTTTTGAACCGTTCATCCTTTTTGCACTGATTGGCAATGCTGCCTCTGTCATACATGAAGTTCCAGTGTATGTACGTGCCTGTTATTGGGGAACATTCTTTCTCACTGGTTTCTTTGTCAATTATTATAAAAATGATATGTTGTCTTCATTACAGTTGTCTTGTTTAAAAGTCCAGAAATTCAGTAGGACAAGTCCAGCATCCTGTCCTTTTTTAGAAATGTTTTGACTGTTCATGACCCTTACCTTCCTCATATAAAGTTTAGTATTATATTGACAAGTTCCAAGAAGGATCTTATTTAGATTCTGATTGAAATTGAATTGACTCTGTAAATTAATTTGGGGATTCTTCTCTATGATTGAGTCTTGCTATATAGAACATGCTATATCTTATATTTATTTAGATCTCCTTTCAACACGCTGGGACTACAGGCGTGAGCCACCATCCCCAGCCTGGTGTGTTTTTTTTTTTTTTTTCTCTTTCTTTTAAAGTTAGTTTTGAATAGGGATTTATCAGTTTCATTAATCTCAAATATTGCACTTTTAGCTGTGTTGATTTTTCCCTACTGCTTTTTTTTTCTGTTTTACTTATATCTGTTTTCATCTGTATTTCCTTTTATTTTGTTTAGGTTTGTTTTTCTATTTTTCTAACTTCTTGAGGAGGAAGCTTAGGTTATTTTTAAACTTTTCTTCTTTTCTGATATATGAATTTAAGGGTTTTGGCTTTTTGTTTGTTTTTTTGAGACAGGGTCTCACTGTCACCCATGCTGGAGTACAGTGGTGCTATTTTGGCTCACTGCAACCTCTGCCTCCCAGTGATCCCCCCACCTCAGCCTCCTGAGTAGCTGGGACTACAGGCATGCACCACCATGCCAAGCTAATTTTTTGTATTTTTAGTAGAGACAGGGTTTTGCCACGCTGCCCAGGCTGGTCTCAAACTCTTGGGTTCAAGCGATCCACCCACCTTGGCCTCCCACAGTGCTGGGATTACAGGCTTGAGCCACCATGCTCAGCTATGAATTTAAGGTTTTAAGTATTGTTTTAGCTGTATCCCATGCATTTGCTATATTTTATCTTTATTATCATTTAGTTCAAATTAGAGTTTTATTTCCAGTATTTCATAACTGACCCATGGGGTTTGTTTAATTGGGGGGCAGGGGGAATTATCTTGTGATATTTTTGTTACTGATTTCTATCTTAACTACAGTCAGAGAACAGTCTGATTTCAGTCCTTTGAAATTTGTTACAGTTATCCTAATGACCCAGAATATGATCAATGTGGCATTTGAAAAGAATATACATTCTGTCATTATTAGGTATATTGTTTTATATATTTCAATAAAATAAGGTTAGTTAATTTTATGGTTCCATTCTATCTTTGTATCAGTTTTTTTGTGACCTGCTTGTTTCATCAGCTGTTGAAAGACGCGTTGAAAGTTACAATTGGCAGCCAGGCGTGGTGGCCCACGCCTGTAATCCCAGCACTTTGGGAGGCTGAGGCAGGCAGATACCTGAGGTCAGGAGTTCGAGACCAGCCTGACCAACATGGAGAAACCCTGTCTCTACTAAAAATACAAAATTAGCCAGGTGTGGTGGTGCATGCTTGTAATTCCAGCTACTTGGGAGGCTGAGGCAGGAGAATCATTTGAACCCAGGAGGTGGAGGTTGCAGTGAGCCAAGATCACGCCATTGCACTCCAGCCTGGGCAACAAGAGCGAAACTCCATCTCAAAAAAAAAAAAGTTATGATTGGGGATTGTCTACTTCCCCTTTTAGTTCTTTTCAGTTTTGCTTTGTATGTTTCTTAGATGCCCTTTATCAGGTTGAGGAAGTTTCCTTCTATTCCTAGTTTTTGAATGTTTTTATTATGAAGGGATGTTAGATATTGTCAAATGTTTTCTTCTGCATCAATTGAGATGATCATGAGGTTGTTTTTTCTTCTGTTGATACAGTGTATTACATTAATTTATCTTGGAGTACTAAACCAACCATGCATTCCTGGGATAAATCCCACTTGGTTATGTTGAATACTTCCTTTTATATGTAGCTGGATTAAGTTTGCTAGTATTTTGTTGAGGATCCTTGCTTCCAGGATAAATGCTAAATCTAAGTCCTTAGGACAGAACTTAGAAGAAGCAAGCCTGTTTCACCGCAAATTTCCCTACCTCCATTAGGGTATGGTGGGACTGAATAAGAGGAATAATTTAAAGACTTTAAAAGGATCAGATTCCCAGATTCCCTTTGCAACCTTGAAGAGAGACTGGAGCTTTACTCTGTAGACTTGAGATATCGGGCATAGCTGAAAACCATACTGAAAAGAGGGAAAATAAGTGACAGCTAGTTAATGATGGGACACCTCATTACCCTTCAAATGCTGGCTGTCAGGTTTATACCTACAGGAGAAAAAAGATCAACAGAAAGTTAGGTTTTTGCCAGATTTAACTTAAAGTGAAGTCTACTGATGCATAAAGAGATTCTAATCCACATTTTGGTGCTCCAGTCATTAGTAGACATCCCAAGATTACCAGTCATTTAGAAAAGCCTAGAATACCAAAGATAGAGATGAAAATATAGAAGAAAGAAGGATACTGGAGGAAACAGAGACAATGCAAGGAGGATAAAAAAAAATACAAAAAATTCCCCTTAAAAACCAAAAAGCAAAAAACTAGCCAAACAAACAGATGCTATAACCTGTGAGACAAGAGAGTGGGGAAGCAGAGAATACATTCAAAAAAGCGTAACCTAGAGTTTCCCACATGATGCATGATAAAAGTTTCATTCTCTCAGAATAATCCCCAAAGTCCTTATCATAATCTCAAGGCACTATAGGATCTGGCCCTCTCTTCTAGTACATCTAAGACTTCATCTTCTATCCTGTCTCCCTTGCTCACCCTGCACCAACTCTGTCTTCTTTCCTTAGGACATGGCAGGTCTAGTCACACCTCACAGCCTTTGAGCAGCCTCTTCCTAGCATCTGCAGCATTTATTCCTCCATCTCCTTCATGTTTTTACTTAAACATTATCATCTCCATGAAGCCTACCCTGAACACTTCCATGTGAATTGTACCGTTCTCCACTTTGGCCTTCCTAGTACCCCTTATCTTACTCAATGTTTTTTCTAAAACCCTTATCACTTTCTAATACACTACATAATTTACCTGCTTTTTGTGTATCTGTCTCTCTTACTAGAACATAAGCTCCACAAGTAGGGAATATTGTCTGTTTTATTTGCTTTATCCCCCCCCGTCTAAAAAGATACCTAGCCCGTAGTAGGTAGACAATAAATATTTTTTTAGGGACCTCCATGCCCAAACATGGGCCAAGAATATTCAGAAGAGCCATTCATTTTCTGGTGTGGTTGCCAGATATTAGAGCAGCAGTTTAGTTCTCTCTAACCTTTCTATCACTCACTCAGTCTCCCTGCAGGAATCGTGTTAACTTTTACACACCCAGCATATCCCTCATTATATTTTAATAGCCATGGTGCTGTACCTAGTCTCAGCTCTAGACATTAAAATAAGGGATCTTGCTTTTTGCAACCTGGAGAAAGCAAAGGGGCGTAGAACAGGACAGCTTTTACTGGGAAAATATGTGTGTGACCATAGTGTGTGTGTATGTTAAATATATAGATGTATATAAATTTTACTTTTAACATTAGAAGATGGTGAGTAAGCTAAGGGAGAATAGAAAACATTTAGAAAGAAGACTAGTGAAAATCAAAATAAATTATTGTTATATGATTGAGATTTTTTAAAGCTACTTCTGAACCTAGTCTAGCAATCTAATATGAATTCCTTTAACAAAGTAACTGCCAAAACTAAATTTTTAATTAACATATTAGCTTATAGGAATATTAAAAATTAAAACATTAGATTAAACCATAGTATTTTACTATGTAAACTGTATTTCACTAAGGTAAATTTTTTTAATCAGGTTATTTTAAGTTCCATGATAAAAGAATGTGAACAAAAAGTTGAAAACAAGACCGTCCAAGAGCCTCAAGGGTAAGACATTAATTCTTTTTTTAAGGCTACATGTTAACTTTAATTTTTCTATCTAAATTTGCTGTCAATCAGTGTAATGTGTCATTTTGTGTTACGTTATAGTCCTTTGTTTGGAAGACAAGAAAATGATTTAAGTCATTGGTTCTCAAATCCTGGTCCATAAACTATCTCATCAGAATTATCTGGGGAATTTAAAATTCAGGTCTCCACCCCATGCCCTGCGCCTTCTCTCAATATTCTCAGTCAGCCTAGGGATCTGCATGTTTAAAAGCTTCCAACAAAATTCTTTTATGTAGCTGGGTTGTTCACTCACCAGTCAAAAGAATGTCTAGAAACTTGTGACAGGAGTTGTAAGATGAACAACGTACTGCATAAAGGACTATCAACTTGGGAATGTTCTAGTCACATGCTTCTAATCAAACTAATTGGAATCCAAGGATTCAGTAAAATTAAAATATAAGCATAGACGTGAAAGAGTATTATAACGTTGGAGTTTCAGGAGTGGGAGTTATTTACAAATGAGCTGTACGTACTCTTACTGAAATAACCTTGAGCATCTTAAGTGGACTCTATTAGACATAAAAAGCTCAAAAGTACTTTTTTTAAGGCTAACTACTGGGAATAAGTGTTTCATCCTATCAGTCTAGAAACACACACACACTCACGCATACGCTCCTCCCTATTCCCCATGTGCAACACGCATATATCTTTGATGTGTTAGAACCCTTACTTTATAAAGCCTCTTAGAATGGAAGCAGTCTTCTCCATATATATCCATTTTAACCACAGAGGATTAAAACAATAGACACATTCACATCTTCTATATTATTAGTGGTTTTTTATAGAGGTTTTTTACAGGTTTTTCTAACAAACACAAAAATAAACTGAAAATATAATGAATTTCTATACATGTTATAACTGTAACCCAGCTTCAATTTCATCCATACCTGACCTACTTCTCCCTCCCATTCTCTGATATGTATCTTTTAAAGATAAGTATTATTTAAAAAAACATAAACACAATATCATTATCACACCAACATAACAATAACAACTTAATATCATCAACTGTCTGGCTTTTGTTCAAATTTCTCCTTGTTTCATAAATGTCAGTGATTTGTTGTTTGTCTTCCTTAGTTTGTTTCTTTGAGTCAGGGTCCAAATGAGTTCTGTACATTGTAGTTGGTTGCTATGTTGTCTCCTTCAATCCATAGATAGAATGTCACCCTTTTATTCCTTTTTTCTCCATACAATTTACTTATTGAAGAAACTGAGTCATTTGTCCTATAGAGTTTCCCACAGTCTGAATTTTGGTGATTGCATTTCTCTTCTGTCTTTTAACATGTTCTTCTCTATTTCTTGTATATTTGGTAGCTGGGTCTAGATCTAGAGACTTAATCAGATTCACGGCAAGCTTCTGTTCTCCTCAGGTTTTTACACATATGATTCCGTCTGCCAGGAGTATTCTTACTCTGCCTGGCTAGTTCCTACTCATCCTTCAGGACAGAGCTTAGATGTTGCCTCTTCAGGGAAGCCTTCCTTGACCCCACCCTTCCTCTGAAGTCTATTGTAGATCAAAAGCACAAGAGGAAAGTATTTTACTTGAAGCAGTGAAAGGAACTGCTTCTAAGATGGAAGGAAAAGCAAGAGTGGGTGCAGATAAAGATATCTGTATCTGTGAAGAGCTCTGCCTTTTGTTGTGGGGAATACAAAGATGTTGCATATATGGATTTCACCTTCAAAGAGCCTGTGGTTAAAAGCAGTATTTTTCAAACTGCAGATCATTGACGTTAGTACATTGTTTAATTAATTCAATTGGTTGTGACACGTATTTCATCCCGAGAAATAGAATCAAATGGAGAGTACATCCCAAGTGGTAAAGATGAGTCTTTCTTATGAAACATCAGTTACCTGTGTAAGTACTACAAGTCATCATGTAAAATGTGGCACTTACTATGGATCTGTGTCAGAAAAGTTTGAAAAGCACTGATCTGCAGGCAGAAAATGTATGCATAACTATTTTGGTACCCTTCTTATATTCATTCAGCAGTAAGTAAAATTCAGAGTGCTTACCATGGGCTGTTCACAAAGATGAGCTTGAGCAAGTCATAGTCTCTTCCCTCGGGGTATTCACAGCTGAAAGTGGGAAAAAGAAGCAGTTAAAAATAAAGATAAACACTAAAACAATGCCTGCAAATGGTTCCAAGGATAAAGGAATACAGGAGTCTTCAGATATGAATGGCTGACTAGGGAGGAAAAAAGGAAGAGCAAAAGAGGATTACATGCAGAAAAATCAGCACTGTGCAAAATGACAAAAGTTACAGAGGAGCGTGTTTGGGAACTGTAAGTAAAGCTAGAGTACAGAGTACATGTGGGAGAATGGTAGAGATAAGTATATAAAGGTAGGCAGGCACCAGACAATAAAGAATTCTGTGTGCCACACTGGGAGATTTGGACTTTATGTTATAGGCCAGGTGGTGGCAAACTTTTTTGTAGAGATAGTAAATATTATTTTAAACTTTGGAGACCATACAATCTCTGTCACAGCTACTGAGCTAGACTCTGCTATTGTAGCAGGAAAGCAGCCTTTGGCAATATGTAAATAAATGTGCATGGTTGTGTTTCAGTAAAACTTTATTTATAAAAACAGCAGGCTAGATTTGGCCTGCTACCTGTAGCCAATACTTAGGAACTTTGGTTGTCTAGCGTTAGTGTCCATCAGAATCACCTGGAAATTGCTGAGTACCATCCCCAGAGTTTTTGATTCAGAAGATTGGAGTGGAGTCTGAGAATTTGTATTGGTAACAAGTTCCCAGGTGGTGCTAATGCTGCAGGTCTAGGAACCACACCTTGAGAATCACTGCTTTAGGAACCAGACTCTAGTGAATAGAGAAGTGGGTGGAAGAGATGAGAAAGCTGTTACAGGAACCCATGATAAGATGAAGTGTGGTCTTGGATGGGAAAGTAACAATAAGTAATGCTTATGAACCAGATACCATTCTAAACATTTTTCATATATTTGCTAATAATTGTCATACTAAGCCTACAAAGTAGATACTTTTACTATTCTCATTTTACAGATGACAGAGAGGCAGGTAAGTTGCTCAGAGGCCACCTAGCTACTAAGTGGAGGAACCAGAACCCAGGCATTACGGTCCTTGAGACCGTGACTTGAACCACCATGTTATAATGCCAGTGTATGGCAGTGAATATGAGAAGATGGATTTGAGATCCGTATTTCAGATGTGAACTCAATTTAACTTGGCAGCTGATTAAGAGTGAAGGAGAACAGAATCAAAAGATTCCTACATTTCTGATCTGAACATTTAAACGGATGATGATAAAATACAACAAAATGGAACTATAGGAAGAACTATTCTGAAGAGGAATATTTAAAATGTGAGGCACAGGTAGAGAAACACTATAGGCAGTTCATTGAGATTTAAGAACCATTAGCAGCATATGGGTGGTAATTAAAGGCTTATGGTTGGAGCAGTGGTAGATAAATGATATCACTTGAAAAGGGGGCTCTGATGGGGAGAAGGTGACCAGGCATGGAATTAGACACCAACATTTCAGATGCATATGGAAGAACTTAACTGAGAAATAGAAGGCAAACCAGAATGGTGTTAGAAATCAAGTGGAGATTTTATTTTTGTTTTTGTTTTTGTTTTTTTCAAGATAGAGTCTCACTCTGTCTCCCAGGCTGGAGTGCAGTGGCACCATCTCGGCTCACTGCAACCTCCGCCTCCCAGGTTTAAGCAATTCTCCTGCCTTAGCCTCCCTCCCGAGTAGCTGGGATTACAGGCGTGCACCATCATGCCCAGCTAATTAATGTATTTTTACTAGAGAGGGGGTTTCACCATGTCGGCCAGGCTGGTCTCAAACTCCTGACCTCAAGTGATCTACCCGTCTTGACCTCCCAAAGTGCTGGGATTACAGCTGTGAGCCGCTGTGCCTGGCCCAAATGGAGATTTTAAAGAGAAGAAAAGAGATAAGTAATATAGGACATGAATAGTTTTAAAGAAGATAGGGATATTAGTTGCAAAGAAAAGATCTGAGATTTGCTTGAAAACTTCCAGTGAGGATACACATTACAAGGTAGCCCATTTCATTTTAATAACTCTTTTTAAAAAATTATCTTTTCCTGGATTAAAATCTCCCTTTCCAAAATGCCTAGGCCCTCTAAAACAAGTCTTTATCATCTGGTAGAGGGGTGGGAGAGTGTTACAAACCCCTTTATAAAACTGATAAAAATTTACACTGTGTCTTGGGGTGGGGGCGGAATTGCTGTAATGCAATGATTTTTTTTTTTTAACTGAAAAGCTTTGTAGTATAGACCTGGGCCTCCTACCTCAGATGGAAAGAATCAGAAGTACTGGATTAGGCCTAGGGATCTGCATTTTCAGAAGTTTTCCAGGTGACTATGATGTGTATCAGTAGACCTACGCAGATATATACACCCCTGCAGATATACATTATATATCCAGTTTTTCACATATGATGTATGCAGGTATTGGTTAAGTCACCTAAATCTTCTTCAAGCCAAATATTCTTCATTCCTTTCATTTTTACCTCTTATAGTTTCCAGACTCCTTAACATCATGGTTGGCCTCCTCTTAGAATATCATTAAAACTTGGTATCTCAACTATGGTCTGACCCATACATCCCCTTTTTCTAGATGTAAATTTAAATCATACTTATCTTTTGACTTACACTGAGTTTTCTAAAGAAAGGAAGAGCACTGAAAAGCTAGAATGTTAAGGAAAGGCACCATAGGACTTCAGCTGGGCTTTGAAAGATGGGTAGGCAGTGGATAGAAAGATTTGAGAGTGGTTGAACAATAGACTGGACAAACCTGACTGAAGGGGGTCAAAGAGACAGTCAGTGACAGTGGTATGGAAAAACAAGAAATAGATTGCTACATTTCCTGAATGCAAAGCACATTTCATCTTGTAGGTGGTATGTAAGCATTAAAGATTTTTGAGCTAAGATGTGATATCAAGAAGTGACTTTTAGAAGTTAATCTGGTAATTAAAGATGGAAGACTGTTGGAATCACTGAGTTGTGAAGTATTAGCCATGGAAGTAAAAAGAAACAGTAGAGGAGATGCTTCAAAGAATAAGGTCACAGGACTTGTGATTGGTTTGAAATAGAAGTAGAAGGAGCTATTAAATTCACTGTTAGAAAGAGAGGAAAATAGTAGAACCACTGGCAAAAAGAGGGGGGAGTTAAAATGGAGAGTTATTTCTAAAGTTAGGGCGTGAACAGAAGCTTGAGATGTTGGCTTTATCTAGCAAATAATAGTAATGTGGGACTGACCCTCAGGAAAAGGGATGCGATTCAATTTGAAACTTGGAGAGTAAGTTTTATAATTGAAGAATCAAGAGCCAAATACTGAACCTTAGGGAAGATTACTTTGTGGGAAGAGAAGCAGCAGGAAAGAGAACCCACTGTTGTACTGTCAGAAGAGCAATGTGGAGAAGCTTTTCAAGGTGGGAGTTCTGGTTTGGTTTTTAACTTGAGTAATTCACAGTGCACACCCTTATAGACTACATAGACCCAGGTGTGCTCCGTGGCAGCACACACCTCATGCAGTAGATTCAACAGACATGTTGAGCACCTGCAGCTTGCCACACGTTGTCTTTGACATGTTCAAACACATTATCTTACTTAATCCTCAGAATATTTTACAACAGAAATTGCAAGCTGTGTTTTACAGATGAGGAAACTGAGTCAGAGAGAGCTAAAGCATGTTGGCCAAAGGCACAAGGCAATAAACTAGATTCCAAGTCTATTACAGGACAGTTGTCAGGTCATTGAAAAATTGTGCTTGATCAGTATTCTGTTTCTGTTCAGTACTATGATAAATTAGCAATCTTTAGAGGTCATTTAGATTGTGTTTATTCCCTACAGAGCAGGTTGGTGAAAAAGAAAGAAGAAATGGACTCGAAACTGTTGATTGAAATCAATGCAACTGGCAATTCAGGACATCCCCCAAAAAAGGAATATCCCCCTAAAAAGGAATATACCATAGGATTATTATCAGCACAGCACAAAACTTCATTGCAATTTAATTTACTCATTTGTGAAAATACTGATAATATTTATCTTCCAGGATTGCTGTAAGAATTAAATGAAGTGATAAAGAATAACTACTAACAATTACATCATGCTATTATGTGCCTAGCACTATACTGAGCACTTTACAGTTGTGTTAATATAATCCTAATAACCCTAGGAGGCAAATACTAGAATCATCCTCGTTTTACAGATGAGATTAAATAATTTACCCGAGCTGGTAAACAGAGCCAAGATTCAGTCCAGTCCCAGACTTGTTCCTAACCACTACACATACTGCTTCCTTTACTATAGATAATGAACATGAAAGCTCCTAACCTAGTATGGCATATACAAACTACCCTCCATAAATATTAGTTTCCCTTTTGTGACGCCAATTCAGAGTGTGTTCGTTAATGATATGCTACTAAATAAATGAAAAATTTTTATTTTTTTAATTGCTTTACATGAATTTTAAATTTTCTTTCCTAGCTCAATGTCAATTGCTGCAAGCTTAGTGAGTGAAGATACAAAGACCAAGTTTTTGAACAAAATGGGCCAGTTGACAACATCAGGTGCCATGTTGGCCAATGTATTTCAGAGAAAGAAGTAGAAGCAGGAAAGAAGCCCCCAGTAAACACTAAGATGGACCTCAAGCCGACTGGTTCCTTGTACTTGAAGTACTTGCCTTTTTTGTTTCCTCAGTTTTATGTTCTTGCATTATAATTTTATCCTAACCTCCAAAGATATTTGCACTGCTTTTAATTACTGCTGTATATTTGTTGATTTTGGAGTTACAACTGTGGTGATAGAAAATTGAGTTGATGGTCTGTACCAAGTCCCTTGTCTATGTTCTTGTCTTTCAGAATAATTTTTATATAAATATATATATAGTGAAGAAGTTTTTTTTAATTTTTGGATGGGATATTCGCAAATATCTGTATTATACACTAAGCTATTACAATGGTACTTAAAATAATGTAAATTTGAAGTCATTGTTATAAAATAATAAAGTGGAGATTACTTAAGTATTTAAATTATGAAAGAATAATGCAGACTTTTTATTGTTTCTTAACTGACTAGAAAGAGCCACCAGCATTACTCTGTGCCTTTTGGACATCAGTTTGTGTGTTCTGTAGGAATTGTGTGCATTCCATTCACACAGTATTTCTTTAGGATGCTGTGATGATTTGAATTACAAATCCTACAGTCAATAGCTAAAGACGAAACCTTCATTTCAGAACTCTCATGAATATTCTTTAAGTGCTATTTAAACCTCCCCAGCACTTAGATGCATATAATGGACTTACCTGAGGAAAGACAGCACATAGGCATGGGGAGAGGTAACCAAGGTGAATTTTACAAACTGGTGTATAGTAGATTTAAATGCTCAAAAATAAATGTAACTGAGAAGAGTTAATAATTGTGAGATTTTTCCCAAATTGAGATACAGAAGAAAATATAGTTTGAATCTGAAATTTAACACTTATTTATGTAAAACACTTTATTTAAGATATTTTCTAATGATTTTAATTTTAGAGAGTACCTTTTCATTCTGTGTGTTACAGAGAAGTACTGAAAAGTTAAGGACACTTGGGGGCTACTTTTTTCCCTCTAAACTAAAAAAGACATTGGCTGAATTATAACTAGTTAGTTATCACCTCGTCCCTTAAAGTCAGTGACCTCCTGTGTTTGATGTATATTACATAGAGTCTTAAGTCAGTGTACAGTTCCACTGGAATTTGACAGTTGTCTCTACAGTCATGCAACTCGAAGTAGAAAAGAGTGCTGGACATAGGAAGGGGGTGCTTGGTTTGAGGGGTTAATGTGAGGCCTTTTTGAAAAATGAATATTTTGATAAAAAGAATTCTTGTTTTAGCACAGTTGATGCACATAAGTGATTCTCATATTTGTTGTATAAACTGGTTTAATACATTTGGAACATAGTTGGATTACATTCATTTCCTGGGAAAGCTAGCTTACCATACATTCAAGTTTATAAAACAATTTGCCATAGGCAAAGCCATTTAAAAAGTTCATTCTGAAATTATTTCATTTACCTACAGTGAAATAATTGTGAACTAAGTAGTCTTTCTGAAAACTGTTGGGTTCTAGGCATTCCTGAGAAATTGAAAGTGGCTACCTTTCATGTCAAAAATGTTGATCTATTATAAATAAAATGTTTTTGCATATGTTTTTGATTTGGTTTGGGCTATGCATTTTACTTTCGTTTTGAAACACTATACTTTCTATTAAGCAAAAAAATGAGAAAAGCCTATATTCATGAGAATATACTAATATTTTGTAAATATAATTTATATAAATTTACCTATTTTGGTTTATTTTTACTAAAAGGGGACCATGTTGCTATAAAACTAATACATTTCAGAGGTACCTGGAAGAAAAATGTTTAAACTCTGATTTGCTTCAAACTATAGTAGAATATGTGTATGTTTGTTATCAGGTGAATGGGTAGAATGTATTTTTATTGTGAACATTTTTCTTAATTAATGAATATATTTATTTAAGTGCTAATGTTTTTTTAAAGGCAATAGTAGGCAAGATTCACAGTGTATTTCAAGTGAGAGTCTCTTTTCTTAAATATTTTAATATCATTAAGATTTCACATTGTGGTTTTGTTTTTTGTTTGTTTGTTTGTTTTTAGTAAAATATGTCTTGTCTTTACAGACAAGACAGACACTAATCATTGAGACTGAGATTTGGACTGAGTCCAAAATAGGGCATAAAACTCCCATACTCATTCCTTTTAAACAGAAGTAAACTTACGGTACAAGTTTTTAAGTGTTCAACTTAATGAAAAACTAAGTTTGCAAAGTAATGAAAAGCTAATTTGAAATTATACCTGTGTTTCCAGAGTAATCCAGAGATTAAATTTTTTCAGAAATCCAGAAGTGCCATAATTACTAATTTAGCTGAATTCTTCCAAGAACAGTGCTTGAATGATGGCAGTATCTATCTCTATACATAGGTGTCTATGACCTTCATTGGTTTGCATTATTCACCCCTTTAGAGAGATTATTTTGCTAAACATCAAATTGATTTTCAACCTGAACGAAATTGTGAGTAATTTAAGTCATGCCATCCTCATTATCCATAGCTTTTAGGATATGTCACTACTATAGGATATGTCACTACTATACACTATAATTCTAATGGGGGTCTCAAGTCAAGGTGCTATCACATTCTTGTTTTTAAAAAGTTGGCTCAAATAGTCTCTCTTAAAATTTAGAGAGGTGAGATCAGGATGTATTGAATTGTCTTTTCATCATCCCATTTTTCAAGACAACCTATTTTGGACCATTATTTGAACTCCAAGGATGTAACTTTCTGTAGTTACTACCCTGCTGATCTTTGAACTGCAGTAGCTAACTACAGCTAACATTCTGTGCTGGTTATATTTTCTTAACTATTCTTTGTGTAAAGATTGTACTAATTTTTTCAGTTCATTAAAGAAAGTTACACTTTAGCTCTTCAATGTTACACTTAAAGAGCTTTGGACTGTGCGCTGTGGCTCACGCCTGTAATCTCAGCACTTTGGGAGGCCAAGGTGACGAATCACTTGAGGTCAGTAGTTCAAGACCAGCCTGGCCAACGTGGTGAAACCCCGCCTCTAAAAATACAAAAATTAGCCAGGCGTGGTGACGTGGGCCTGTAATCCCTGCTACTCGGGAGGCTGAGACAGGAGAATCGTTTGAACCTGGGAAGCGGAGATTGCAGTGGGCCGCTATTGCACCACTGCACTCCAGCCTGGTCCACAGAGCAAGACTCCATCTCAAAAACAAAAAAAAAAGCTTTGTAAGTAGCAATTCTAATTCATAATTCATGAAATACTCCAGATTAGCCAGGTAACAAAATTCAACCTTCAAGGTTGGATGTTAATTCTCTTACAAGAAAACTACAAAATAAATTTAGCCTTTTGTATGAGTAGACATCTATTTCAAAGTTCTACTGTAACTTTACAGTGTGCTTAGTTTTGATACTATTTTTTTCAGTACATTAAAAAGAAATAGAGACTGGCCGGGCACGGTGGCTCATGCCTGTAATACCAGCACTTTGGGAGGCTGAGGCGGGAAGATCACTTGAGGCCGGGAGTTCAAGACTAGCCTGACCAACATGGTGAAACCGTCTCTACTAAAAATACAAAATTAGCCGGGTATGGTGGCGCACACCTGTAATCCCAGCTACTCTGGAGTCTGAGGCAGGAGAATCACTTGAACCCAGGGAGTGGAGGTTGCAGTGAGCCAAGATCGTGCCACTGCACTCTAGCCTGGGCGAGAGTGAGACTACATCTCAAAAAAAAAAAATAATAATAGAGACAAACTACTAATCAAAAATAATGTATCAGGTAAGTTTCTGCATATTGGTAAAAAAATTGAATTTTAGACAATTTTCATACTGCGTAAGAATGTGTTCTGTATGCATTTTGTGTGTGAGCCTACACTGTGATCACAGTCTCCAAGTGGCACATCTCATCATTCATATTTTCTCTTCAGAACCAAGTACAGGAAACTGTTTTGATTGTCTTTTTTGTGGTTTACTTTGCATGTTTAAGAAAAATCTTAAAACATCCTATTCTCTGTTAAGACCACACCAATCATAAAGTACATAACAGTTAATATAAACTTAATATTGCATCAAAAACAAATATATTTTATTTTGATAGTATATAAATAATATCTTCAGTTCAGTGTTATGAGGAATGTAAACTGTTTGCTTTTCTCCAGAGAGGCGTCAATAAATCTGGGAAATTCTGTCCCCCGCATATCTACATGGAGAACTATATTACTATTTTAATTCCTTTTATTCCATTACAGACTAATCCACCATATTTATTTCAGTTAGATCATTGCATGAATAGATTTCTGGAGGGACTTTAATGTAGTAAAATATATGTAGTTTATAAACTGGTATTTTGTGTTGTGTGTTATGTATATTAAATTCTTGGTCAGTGATCTTTTTAGGGTGTCATTTGTTGATAGTAATCTGCTTTTTATAATTTTAACAAACTGCTTCCCTCCTGGAAAAGTAACCCTTTCTTAATTGTTGGCATTTTAAACCTTAGATATTTTCAGGACATGCATCTTCAATGAAGCTGGAAATGTTACAGATAATCTCTCTATAAAATGTACATTGCTGAGTAATATAAATATAATAATTTCTCATTGACTTTATGATTTCATAGATGCTTTATCTTCATTTCTGATCATTACTTGACAGTTCTTTAAATTCTTAGCTTTCTCTGTTCATAAGCCTTCCCATCATGTATTAAATAATGAAACTTAAAGGTGAATACTTTCATAATGTAAATTGTTTTCTAATTTATTTTTCATATGGATTTTCTAAATATGGTCACCTTTCTGTCAAATTCTTTTCTTACCCCCAAAGAGCATGAAAATGTGTTCTCTATTCCTCACAGGACTTTATTTATGGAAATTACATAGTAATAAACCTGAAAGTGCTTTAGCACTTAGGGAGTAGGAAATAAAAGTAAAATCCTAAGCCCCCCAGCCAACTGAACAGACCTCCTCTTGGCCAAGGGGACCCCAGAGAAACCTTCAAAACTAAGGTACCAGCATGACAGGATGGGAGGTCAGACACACCTCAGTATGCCTCTTCCTTAACCTTTAACCAGAATTCTTTCCTAAGGAGGACGCAGAAACTAGCTCTGGAAAACAAGAAACCAACAACTTATTCCTTTATTGCCTTTAGCGAATAGTCTGAGTCTGCTACTGGATGCCCCCTCCCTCTTTGCAGCCACCTCTTTGCAGTTTCAGTGCGACTGCTCACCAATTTCACAATGCATACCTTCCTTGAACCTGACCACCATCTCCAGACAAGTTTTGGCCCACTTGAGGAGGATGTGCAATGAGGGGTTTTGTGTCCTCTGCTTCACCTTTTGATGTCAGAGGGCCAAAAATGCCACCCTTGGCTCATGTTAATGTAGCCATTTTTTTAACATGCTGTCCATGAAGAGGCATGAAGCTTATATGTGCATGTTTCTCCTTTCATTAATATTCGTGACTTCTCCTACAGCTTGTTGAAGTTGTATATGGCCACGCCAGTCAATATCAATTCCTGTTCCCTTTACCCCTCCCTCAAAGTGCTTGCTCCTGGCTTCTGCCAGAGGCTACGCTTCCCAACCTGCAGGATGGCCAGCCTGAAGGCTGCAACCCTTTATGAGAAAGGAAGCTCTTGTTTCCAAGTTTATGAACCTCATGATTCTTCACTTGACAAAAGTATTATGAAAAGTTCAGGGTGGAGTTAAAATTTTTAAATCACTGAATAACTAAAGCATGAATAAACATGGATAACCCTCTTCTCCATATTTTTGTTAGATCTCATGTTCCAGTAAGTAAATAGGTTATCACGCCAGGCATAATTGATAAAAATTGCAGTAGCAGGCAGAAACCACTTTGATAGTTACTTTTGCCTACTTTAACCTCTCTTTTAGAGTTTCTAACCTAGTAAAGATTAGCAAGGTTTTTTTTTATTTACCAAAACTTGTGATAAAAATGAGTAGTCAACGTAAAATTTTCCATTACATAATTTATTTAGGTTTCTGAAAAATATTTTACCCTTTATAACTTCACTCATGTCTGTTCGTATATATTTGATTCTAAGAGTAACTGGCTTCCTTTGATATGTAGTTTGAGTGTGTTGGCTCCTTCCTTTAATCTTGCAACCAAACTTTTCATACTAGTAAGGAAAATCAGAATTGACATTTCTTGAAAATAATTGGCTCCTAGTGTTATCTTTAAAAAGAACCTCTTCAGTTAACCATTGACCAATAATGAAAAAAGTTAGAATCTAGGTTTCTTGCTAAAGCTATAAATGTGTTCAGATCTTAGGGGATAAATGCTACATATCAAATGTGGAGACCATTT
The DNA here is from genome assembly GCF_000001405.40 of Homo sapiens. Lineage (NCBI taxonomy): Eukaryota > Metazoa > Chordata > Mammalia > Primates > Hominidae > Homo > Homo sapiens. Next base: position 62,311,827 of record NC_000018.10, read on the forward strand.
TGTTTTCTTTGCCATACTACTCAAACCCTTATGGCATTGTAATGTAATTATTATCCTCAAGAAATCATGGAGAGGCGACAGAAGACTAGAGCTGGGCAAATGTGATTTTCAAAAATGAGAAGCCAATAGATTTTACAAAATATGGATTACCATTTGATTTTCAATCTGAATAGGCTCTTCAGGTGGGCCTTTTCTGACCACCCAATCTAAAGTAACCCCCTGTAATTCCCTCATATCACCTTGGATTTTCTTGTTTATGATTACTTCTACCAGTACTCATTTTCTTGTTTTGTTTTGGTCTCTTTTTCTCACTAGTCTCATCTCCGTAAGAGGAAATGATGTCTATTCATTTCAACCAGTGTCTTTTCAGTAAAGAATGCCTTTTATATGCTAGGTACTCAACAAACATTGAATTAATGAATTATTGAGCTTGATGCCAATTCCATGCAAGATTGTCGACTAGATTAAAAGGATGGTTTGTGAGCATAATTAGACATCCCTGAAAGTCCCCCAAACTCATACTTGAGTTTGCTAAGACCACGTGTCAAACTAATCCAATGTTCTTTCGATAGAGCTATTATATATCGGTCAGGAGGCTGGTGTAGTATTGTGCATCTTGACCTCAGCAAGTATTTGACTGTTTCTCATAATGTCCTTGTTTATATCTGAGGTAGAAAATGTGGGCTAAATAAGAGCACAGATAAAGAGTGTCCCATCTATGTGTGGCCTAAAAAGCTAGGCTGAGCTTATATTCATATCTGGCTCTCTGGCAGCACCCCTGATCAACAAGCCTCACCAAGTTTACCAAGGGATTTGTAAATGCAGAGAAGCCATTTTTTTTTCTAAAGATGGTCAAGTAATTCATCATTCACCATATATTTATGGAGTACCTATTTTATGCTAGGCATAGGGATAGAGGGAATAAGACCAACACAGCCTACTTACAGAGCTTGCAAGCAGGCAAGGAAACAAATAGGTTGAGAGAGAAGGACTAAGGAGGATTTACTCTAATTAAGGTGATTATGGTTTACTTTGGAAGGCTTTGCTGAGGTGACATTTTATTTGATAACTAGGAAGAATAGGCTTTAACCATGTGAAATTAAGAAGAGGGGGAAAAAGGCAGTGTGTGCATAGATCACAAGGTGAAAAATTGTGCTGTGTTCAAGGAACTGAAAAAAAAATGTGGCTAGAGTGAGACAGTATCAGAACATGAGATTGGAGAGAGGCATGTAGCTGGATCATATAGCACCTTGTACACTATGGTTAGAAGTTAGAAAGGGAAGTCTTTGAATAGTTCAAGTAGTGAAATGATTGATCCAATTCATATCATGGCTAGATATACTTCTGCTATATAAGAATATGTTGCAGAAGGTCAAGAGTAGAGGCTGAAGGCAGAAGCGAATACAGTAGTCCAGGCAAGAGATGATGGCTTACACGAAAGTGGAAGGAATAGGGCAGATTTGAGATACACTGTAGAAGTAGATGGGCATGATAGATTGGATATGAAGAGTGAAGGGAAAGGAAAAACCAAGGACGTCACCTAGATTTTTGGCATGAATAACAATAGGTGATGACAATAGTTACAAAGTGAAGTAAAGAACAATTTTGTCTTAGATGTATTAACTTTAAGATGTCTGGGAGTTGCCTGTGGAAATGTCAAGTAAGAAGTTAGCCACATCCAGATCTCAAGACAGACAGGACTGAAGATTATGGAGTCATCAGTATTTTGATAAACCCGTGGAACTAGGTGAGATGGCCTGGGGAGAAAGTAACAGTGGAGAAGAGGATTCAAATCAACTCTGAGACACTCACATACTTGGAGATTAAGCAGAGCAAGGGGAACTACTGAAGGAGTTGGAAGGAGTAAACAATCAGGTAGGAGGGAAACCAGGAGAGAGTGGCATCATGGAAGCAAAGATGGGAGCATTACACCAAAGGGGCCAATTAGCTGTATCAGTTGCCACTATCAGTCAAGATGGGAAGGATCTGAGACCCATTGGAAGATGAAAGCCACTGATGACTTCAGTACTAGTTTCAGTGGATTGGTGGAAATAGCCTGATTGGAATGACTTAAGGAAAAAGAGTAGAGATAACAGCTCTTTCAAGAAATTTTGCCTTGGGCCGGGCATAGTGGCTTACACCTAAAATCCCACCACTTTGGGAGGCCAAGGTGGGAGGATCACCTGAGGTCAGGAGTTTGAGACCAGCCTGTCTCAGGGTGAAACCCTGTCTCTACTAAATATACAAAAATTAGCCAGGCTCCACGGAGGGTGCCTGTAGTCCAAGCTACTTGGGAGGCTGAGGCATGAGAATCGCTTGAACCCGGGAGGCAGAGGTTGCAGTGAGCCAAGATCACACCACTGCTCTCCAGCCTTGGCAACAGAGCAAGACCCCATCTCAAAAAAAAAATTTTTTTTTGCCTTGAAGAGGAGCAGAAGTACTGGTAGCTGGAAGGGTCAAGAGAGAGTTTGCTTAGTTTTGTTCTATAATGGGAGCAATTAAATCATATTCGTGCACTGATGAGAATAAGCTGGTAAAGTGGGAGGGAGTGGTGATGGCGGCAGCAGCAATTGTCAATAACAGAGGAATCCTTGAGAAGGCAAGGTGGGTGAGATTCGGAGCACAAATGGAGGACTGGCTTCCACTGTAATGAGAGAAAGCAGAGAATAGATAGACTTGCAGGTAATTGGTAGATTTAGTGGTGGGAAGATTAGGGGGTTTCCATCTGATTCCTTCCATTTTCTCAGTGACGTATGAAGCAAAGACATTAGCGTGGCTGTATATGGGAAGTATTGGAGATTTGAAAAGAAGGAAGGTAGTAATGGTTGTCTTCAAGAATGGCCGAGTAGATTATGGAAGGAACTATAGGATCGCCGAGGAATTTTGAGAGCCCATTTGAAAATAGTAATTACGAATTTAATGAGAAGCCAGTTAGCACAATTGTTTTTACTTTTCTTGAGCTAGGAGCAGCCATTCTGGAGCAGATGCAGAGAATAAAGTATAATCAGGGCTTGGGTTTTCCAGGTGTGTAAGATGAAAAGCAAGGACACAGGCATTAAAGGTGTTTGCAAAGGAAAGATTATAGTGATTGGCCATAGAATCTAAACCGGTATGGGGAAAATGAGATATTGGGGTAAATGTTGAGGGAAAAATTATCTGATGAGTGGGTCTCAATAAAGCCAAAAAATATGTTCTAGTGAGAATATGCCAGTAAAGTGAACTGGAAGGATGAAAAGCAAATAAAGCTATTTTACCTATAGTCCCTAAGATAAAGACGTTTTTGAGAACCCTTTTTTCTTCCATACTTTCTTTTTTTTGAGACGGAGTTTCACTCTTGTTGCCCAGGCTGGAGTGCAATGGTGCAATCTCCGCTCACTGCAACCTCCGCCTCCTGGGTTCAAGCAATTCTTCTGCCACAGCCTCCCAAGTAGCTGAGATTACAGACATGCGCCACCATACCCTGCTAATTTTTTGTATTTAGTAGAGATGGGGTTTCACCATGTTGGCCAGGCTGGTCTCGAACTCCTGACCTCAGGTGATCCTCCCACCTCGGCCTCCCAAAGTGCTGAGATTACAGACGTGAGCCATCACACCTGGCCTTTTCTTCCATATTTTCTACTTCTCTCATTTGTTCTACTTTCTGGAATACTTCCTGGGCTTTATTTTTCAACTTTTGTGTTGTTTTCTTTTTTTTTCTTTTGGCATTTATGTTTATTCTAAGAGCTCTAGTGTGTTCTCTGATACTTTTTCTTAGCATTCTGTTTTTGTTTCAAGGATGCAAAAACTGCTTTAATCTCCTTAAGGATACTAATTAAGATTATTTTTTATTTTCTAGCTTATTACTTATCTCTGTTTCCTTCAGTGTTATTGTTCTATTTATTCATCATTTTCTCTTTTGTAATGGACATTTCCTCAAACATCTGGTCACCTTTGGTTATTCATTCATATTTAAAGGTGAAATAAGGCTGAGCACGGTAGCTTATGCCTGTAATCCTAACACTTTGGGAGGCCAAGACTGGCAGATTACTTGAGCTCAGGAGTTTAAGACCAGCCTGGGCAAAATGACAAAGCCCCATCTCTACAAAAAATACAAAAATTAGCCAGGCATGGTGGCACGTGCCTGTAGTCCCAGGTAGTCAGGAAACTGAAGCAGGAGGATTGCTTGAGCCCCAATATAAGCAATGTACTTCTAAAAGAAACCACAGGTTAAGGAAGAAATGACAATGGAAGCTAGAAAACTTATTTATTAAATAATAAAAATATCAAACTTGTGAGATGATACTGAGCTAAAGCCATGATTAGAGGGAAATGTACATACAGCTTTAAATACATAGATGCAAAAAGAAGAAAGGCTTAAGATCAATTATAATCCCAGCACTTTGGGAGGCTGAGGTGGTTGGATCACCTGAGATCAGGAGTTCGAGACCAGCCTGACCAACATGGTAAAACCCCATCTCTACTAAAAATACCAAAAAATTAGCCAGGTGTGGTGGCGCATGCCTGTAATCCCAGCTACTCGGGAGACTGAGCCAGGAGAATCGCTTGAACCTGGGAGGTGGAGGTTGCAGTGAGCCAAGACCGTGCCACTGAACTCCAGCTTGGCGAGAGAGCTAGACTCCATCTCAAAAAATAAAAAAAAAAAAGCAAAAAGATCAATTATCTAACGTTCATTTCAAGAAGTTTGAAAACAGCAAAGTAAGCTGAAATAAAGAAGCAGTACAGATTAGATATTAGTGAAATAGAAAACTCAAACACACAGTCCAGATCAACAAAGCTGAGTATTTTATTCTAGCTAAACTAATAAAATTGATTAAGCCTAGCAAGACTTAGCAAGAAAAAGAAAAGGCATAAATTACCAATATGAAAGATGAAAAAAAATCTACAAACCCCAAGATATTCAAAATATAATACAAAGATATTATGAATAACTTTATACCAATAGATTTGAAAGTTTAGATGGAATAGATATTATATTTTAAAAATATTCCTACTTTTACAAAAAAGGAAAACTACTTACCAAAACTAACACAAGGAGAAATGTAAAATCTGAGTAGTTCTATATCTAGTAAAGAAATTGAATTTGTAATTTTAAACCATGCCACAAAGAAAAAACAATGCTCAAATAGCTTCATTAGTGAATTCTACCAAGTATTTAAGGAAAAAATAGTACCATTCTTGTATACACTTTCAAAGCTCTCCACATATTCCACAGTCCTGGCCAGCAAATCCCTGACTTCAAAATCTGACAAGATCCAATTCAGAAGGAAAGTAACAGGCCAATCTCATGAACACAGATGTAAAAACTCCTAAACTAAATATTAGCAATCTGAATCCACCAATGTCCAAAAAGAATAAAACAGCTTTACTATGTTGAATTTATAAAAGGTATTCGAGGTTGATTTAACATTCAAAAATCACCATATTAACTGAACAAATATGATCATCTCAATAAACACAGTAAAAATACTTGATAAAATTCAAAATCTATTTATGAAAAAAAAAACCTCAGCAAACTAACAATAGAAACTTCCTTACTTTGATAAGGATTATTAGCTACGAAAAACTATAGCAAACATCATACTTCAGAGTAAAATACAGAATTAGGAATGAGTCAAGGATACTTGCTGTTACCACTTTTATTCAACTTTGTACTAGAGACCTTGTTCAGTGCAACAAGTCAAGGAAAAGAAATAAAAGCTACAGGAATTGGAAAAGGAGAAATAAGACTGTCGTTATTTACACACAACACAATCGTGTACACAAAAAAAAAAATCTTTTTAGAATCTACAGATAAAGGCTAGGCATGGTGGCTCACGCCTATAATGCCAGCACTTTGGGAGGCCAAGGTGGGAGGATTGCTTGAGCCCAGGAGTTTGAGACCAGCCTGGGCAACATAGTAAGACTCCTGTCTCTCCAAAAAATTTTAAAATATTCAGGTGTGGTAGCACACACCTATGGTCCCAGTTACTCAGGAAGCTGGTGTGGAAGGATCATTTGAGCCCAGATGTTTGAGGTCATAGTGAGCCATGATCGCACCACTGCACTCCAGCCTGGGCAATTGAACAAGACCCTGTCTCTAAAAGGAAAAAAAAAAGAAAAAGATTAAAAAAGAAAATCCACGGAGCAGGAGAATATATTTGTAATACATACAACCAACAAAGAAATCATATCGACATTATACAAAGAATTCCCACAAATCCATAAGGAGGACAAGAACCCAAAAGAAAAATGGACAAAAGACTTGAATCAACACTTTGCAGAAGAGGATAACCCAATGGCCAATAAACATATGAAAAGACACAGGAAATAAAATGATACTAATGATACATCATTAGATGTAATGTTACATTATTACAATGATGCATCATTTATAATGATGTATCATTAAAATGAAATAATAATACTCTACACCTACTTAGAAAAGCCAAAATTTAAAAGTCCAATAATATCAGATGTTGACCAGGATGTGGAGCAAGTGCAACTCTTCAGACACTTCTAAATGGGGGTGGAATTTGTACAACCACATTGGAAAATTGGCAGTACCTACTAAAATTGAAATAGGTCTCCCTATGACCTAGCAAAACATGCATTTCCACAGAAATGCATACATATATTCACCAAAAGACATCCATAAATGCTCATAGCAGCATTATTCATAACAGCCCCAAACTGTAAATAACCTTAATATCCTTCATCAGCAAAATGAATACATTGTGATACATTCATACAATGCAACACTATCCAGTAGTAACAAGAATGAATCTTGTAAAATATTAAATAAAAGCCCTACACACAATACTACGTACTACAGTATAGACTTTATGAAGTTCAAAAGCAGACAAAACTAATTCATGATATTATAACTTAATCTACAAGGAGGAAGGATACTGACTCAAGTGAGCATAAGTGGGCTTTGGGGGTGCTGGTAATGTTCTACTTTGTAATTTGACTGCTGGCTATATGTATGTTTTCATTTTCTGATGATTCAGCAAGCTTTACACTTTGTGTGTTATAGTTCCAATAAAAAATATTTTAAAAAACAATTCTATCTCAATCTAGATAACAGCATCAGTTGTCTATTAAGGACAGTCTGAACCTGACCAGTCTGAAGGTAGAACTTTGCCATCAGCCTATAGGATAACGCCTGTGCTTCTGTTCACTGATAAGGTGCATACAGCCACGTCCTCCAAATGTGGCATAAGATCATTAGAGTTAAAAAAAAAAAAAAGGAAACAAAGGAGATACAAATTATGTCCCTGTTTCCGCTAGATACTACTTTATCTGTAACAAAATATCCAAAAAGTGTGTGATAACTACTAATATTACTCATACAGTTTAGAAATTCATGTATTTTGAATACCAAATCTGCACAACTAAAGAAATTATTGTCTACCAAAGTGAGGCAAGACAGGTGTCATGTATACAGTTTAAAAGTTTTCATGTTATGTTGGGTATTATTATGGGATAGTGTTGCACCTTGATTAATCTCTGAGTCAACACAAATTTATCATTGGTTTACCTTTGTAAAAAAAATATATATATTTCTTACTACTAGGAAATACGAGAGGAAAAACAAAACATTACAGGGTGGTTGCTGGGTGCAGTAATCACACCTGTAATCCCAGCACTTTGGGAGGCTGAGACAGGCAGATCACCTGAGGTCAGGAATTTGAGACCAGCCTGGCCAACATGGTGAAACCCCATCTCCACTAAAAATATAAAAATTAGCTGGGCATGGTGGCGTGCACCTGTAATCCCAGCTACTCAGAGGCTGAGGCAAGATAATCGCTTGAACACAGGAGGCAGAGGTTGCAGTGAGCTGAGATCGCGCCATTGCACTCTACCCTGGGAGATAAGTGTGAGACTGGGTCTCGGGAAAAAAAAAAAAGGCCGGGCACAGTGGCTCACGCCTGTAATCCCAGCACTTTGGGCGGGCAGATCACGAGGTTAAGAGATCAAGACTATCCTGGCCAACATGGTGAAACCCCGTCCCTACTAAAAATACAAAAAATTAGCTGGGTGTGGTGGCGCGTGCCTATAGTCCCAGCTACTCGGGAGGCTGAGGCAGGAGAATCGCTTGAACGCAGGAGGTGGAGGTTGCAGTTCGCCGAGATCATGCCACTGCACTCCAGCCTAGGAGACGAGAGCGAGACTCTGTCCAAAAAAAAAAAAAAAAATTACAGGTAGGTAATAAAAACATTTTTATTTATTAATAAGTTTTCACTATATGCAAGATTCGTAAAGTCTTATGTTTGCATAATTAATTTAAGTCTTTTATGTATTCTCTTTAGCTCTATACCCAGTAACAGCAACTATATATATAGCACCACATGAAAAAAATACATAAACTGAACAATTCTTATTCTTGCTGCGATTGATAAGCATCTCATTAACAAGATTGTGCCTGTGCTTTCTGGTGCTTAAATGAAGACCTGTTAAAACGTAAGATAATCCTTGCAAGCCATCCACTAGAAACAAAAATTATGGCTACATTTTCATTTTACTTTTTTAATTCTGAAAACCAAACACTTCGTGCAGAATTGAGAAGTGGGGATTTCCAGCATGAGGTGCACACTATCCATGTAGAAGAGTTTTCATATCAATCTATGATTCCTGAATAGGTATAATGTGCTCTTTTTTTCCCCCAGAGAAAATAAAGAAGTTCATTGTCAGTTGATTACTTTTTAAAAATGGAAAACATTTAGCTTTAATAAATATTAAAGCTAATATTTTTAAATATTGTTTAAAAATATTTTAATTTTGAAAATTGTTTAAAATATATTTTTACATTTGTTACATATAACTAAATTTTATTGTATATGTGCTTATAAGTGTGTGTGTGTGTGTGTGTGTGTGTGTGTGTGTGTTGAGACAGAGTCACCTTCTGTTACCCAGGCTGGAGTGCAGTGGCGCAATCTCGGCTCACTGCAACCTCCGCCCTCCTGGGTGCAAGCAATTTTTGTGCCTCAGTCTTCTGAGTAGCTGGGATTACAGGTGTGCACTACCACGCCCGGCTAATTTTTGTATTTTTAGTAGAGACGGGGTTTCACCATATTGGCCAGGCTGGTCTCCAACTCCTGACCCACGTGATCCACCCACCTTGGCCTCCGTGCTGGGGTTACAGGCGTGGGCCACCACACCCCGCCAAATGTCGGTTTTTAAAATCACAAACAACATTGAAACTAGTTTTTGCAAATGAGAGCAATCACCTTAGCTATGTGTTTATTCTTCAGTGAATATAGAAAAACAGTATTTGAGATCAATTACTTCCATGTTTCTCATGATAATGCTCTATGTATAGGAAAGATAACATCCTCAAGCCTATTTTCTTGGATTTTATTATTGTATTGTATTATACATTAATATTTATAAAATATTGGAATTATTTGAGTGATAGTTCTGTAGAGATATCTTTAAGAGTAATTTAATTTTAAAAAATTTTAAATTATTAGTAGATTTAATGTGTTAACATAGGCATTCTGCTGTTCAAAAGTGCTTCCAAAATCAGCACACTCACCTCTGGGGCTTTCCAAGCAGAAGTTTTAAGTCCCCTACTCTTCTTAGAAAATAGAAGGGGGTAATGTTGGAAGTGTGCCAGGAGTAAGCCTTGGTATTTTTCATGAAGTGCCACGGTGAAAGTACCTTCTCCCACAAGTCAGTTCCTTTTAGCAAAATAATAATCTCATCTAGCTTTCCTAACCGTGCTTTTCCCAGAAAGCCTGTCTCCTCATTGAAGATGGCGACACACTAGATAATTCAGTATTATTTTGTCTGTGCTTGTGACCATTCCTGTACTTACTTCATTTAGAGTTTTAACATCTATTTACCAAGTTTACACAACTGCCAGTTAAAAATGCAAAAGTGCATTTTCCTCAATGTAAATAGTTTAGAAACATCAAAAATAAAAGTGTGAGTTTCTCCTTTTCCTTCTGCCGCTCACCTGATGTTAAAAATGTGGTGCTTAGTGAAGCAGGACTCCCACCCCCGAGTCAGAGAACCAGGATTGGAATCACAGCTCTGCCACTGATTGGCAAGTGACTCCAGGTAAGTTTTTAATCTCACCGTACCTCAGTATCCTCATTTGTAAAATGGAAGTAGTAATTGTACTCTTTACACGCCTGTTGTGAGGATTAAATGGATTTTTAAGTGTGACTATGCTATTAGTGTTTCCTATTATCCTTTCTAGAAACTTTCTTTGCTTATATAGATAAAATCATGTTTACGGTTCTTTAGAAACATGGGATGATATTGCTCTGTAACTTACTTCTTTTACTTCATAATCATGAACATCTTTCCAAAACTACATAATATTCTTAAGTAGCTGCATTATATTCAAAACTGTGATAGGCAATAATACTTTCCACCATTTGTATATTAACAGCTATTCACATTTTTTCTTTTTGTGGTTTTATAAAAATGCTATACTAAACATCCTTTTGTCTCTTTCTTTATGTATTGATATGTTTGATTCCCAGATACAGAATTGCTTCATCAAATGATATTTGCAATTTTTAATTTTTAAAATCAACACTGCCAGATCACTTTCTAAAAAGCACAAAAGCAACTCAGCAGTGCACCAATTAGGCTGTACAGTAGGGAGTTAAAAAGCCAGCCAAGTAGTATGACTATGGTAGCACAAAGGGAGGGAGGGAGAAAGTGGCAGAATTTTATCTGAAGGTAGACTGTGATAAATTATGGATGTGCATTGTAAACCCAGAGCTGCCACCAAAATAATAAAACAAGGATGCATATAAAACAAACTAACATGAAGAGAAAACAGAATCCTAAAAATGCTCAAACCAAAAGAAAGTAGGAAAAGAGGAAAAAAAGGAACAAATAGAAAAACGGATGGAAAAAATAGAAAAATAGCACAATGGTAGACTTAAACTTCACCATATCTATAATCGCATTACATGTGAACAATCTAAACACTCCAATCAAAAGGCAGAGATTGTCAAAATGGGTAAAATGGGAAAAAAGAGCCAAATGTAATGCTGTCACTTTAAATGATATAGATAAATTAAAAGTAAAAAGATAGATTGAGATAGATCATCTAAATGCTATTCATAAGAAAGGTGAAATGGCTATATAATTAATATCAAAGTGGACATGAGAATTTGATTTTACCACCAATCAAGGAAGACATATAATAATGATAAACGTCTCAATTCATCAGGAAGACATAATAATTCTAAATGTTTATACCTCTAAGTAGAGCTTCAAGAATATGAAAAAACTGACAGAAATAAAAGGAAAAATAGACAAATACAGTTATTGTTGGAAATTTCCACACTTTTTCTCAGAACAAGTAACGGAAAATCAGTATGGATATTTCAGCCTATTTGACCTGATTGACACTCATAATGTACTTTACTGACAACAGCAAAATACATAGCTTTTTCAAGTGCACATGGAATTTTGACCAAGATATGCCATGTGCTGGGCTAAAAGTAAGGCAAGTGAATAGTTCTGGCAATCCAGGAATTCAAAACAGGTTATATTCTATTGGCATGGGACAAGTATCTTCATATAAACAGTTACCTTATGATATGGTTTGGCTCTGTCCCCACCCCAAATCTCATCTTCAATTCCCACGTGTTGTGGCAGGGACCTGGTGGGAGGTAATTGAATCATGGCTGCAGGTCTTTCCCGTGCTGTTCTTGTGAAGTGAGTAAGTCTCATGAGATCTGATGGTTTTAAAAATGGGAGTTTCCTTGCACAAGCTCTCTCTTTGCCTGCTGCCATCCAGGAAAGATGTGACTTGCTCCTCCTTGCCTTTCACCATGATTGTGAGACCTCCCCAGCCACATGGAACTGTAAGTCCGTTAAACCTCTTTCTTTTGTAAATTGCCCTGTCTTTATCAGCAGCATGAAAACGGACTAATACATGATACAAAGGAGGGATTATACGTATGGATCCAACATCGACCTAGAATGTGAGGAAAGACACAATCCTAAGCAAGTAATGACAAACAAAAACAACAGGATGCTATTGAGATGGAGCAGGAACCCATCTTAGGAGCCTGTGGAGCACCCCTAAGCATGGAAATAAAGGAAAATCTTGAGTTCCTTCAAGGGAAATTCCAGGTACCTAGCTAGCCCTAAGAAGTAAATAAGTAACTTGATAAGCAAGAAGGTAATTATAGCTTAAAACAATAACCAAGGAAGTTAGATTCCCTATAGAAACGAAAGATAACATCTTAACATATGTCCCTGAATTGTTTCTCAGAAACCCAGACCCCCAACAAAACAGATCCACTGGCATGCAGACCTCAGACAAGGGGGAAATGAGGACGGAACTGACCACCATTCTTTCTTCTAAATTTCTTCCTGAAGGGCAAGGAGGAAGTCACACCCACGAGCCAGAGCTAACATTCATTTTTGCTGACCCCAAATTTTTAACAAAGCTTCTCTTCCTTCACTGATGGCAAGTCAGAAAATCTTTGAATGTATAACCTATAAGCACCCTCACTTTAAAGATTTTCAAGATATCCCAGCTTGTTAGACCAAACCAATGTGCAACCTCCGTGTATTATGATTTTGCCTGTAACTTCTGCTTTCTTGAAATTAACCCTGCGTTTAAAAATCCTTACTTGCAAGCCAACTGAAGGTCAGGATTTAAGCAAGAGCTGCCCCATTCTCCTTGCCTGGAGCTCTGCAGATAAGCGCCCTCTTTTCTCCCAGTGCAAACCTTAGTGCGGATGGCTTGGCCTTACTGCACCAGAAGAACGGACCTCAGTTTTTAGGTAACACTGTGCCCCAGACATCTGGCCACTTTATGTCTGAAAGGGCCAATGTGGTGATGGGGGCTGGGGGACGCCTCAAGGCTGGCGGAGCCTGGTGCCTTTCTAGAATTTGGTGGGTGCAGGACGGGTGAGGGGCGGAGGCAGAGGATCAGGAGAAGAAAAAGAGATAGTGGCTGCTGGCCCCAACATTTTGAAGCAAAGAACAAGAGGAGTATTTTACGAAGATTGGCGGATGGTGTATTGTGTTGATGCCTTAACTGCAGTCGACGAAATCTCCAGGAAGGATCCTCCTCCCGTTCATTCTCGACGGTGGCGCATCCACTTTCGGAAGGCCGGGCCTCGAAGGGTGGGCGCGCGGGGCAGGAGCAGGACCACCCCGATGCCCCCATTCCTTCCCGGGAGGCGGGGCCCACAGGCCTGGGGTGCGGCAAGGCAGGAGCCAGTGCCGTGAAGGGCAACCCAGGGCTGGTCTCCCGCCAACCTGTCTGCAGCCCGAGCACCTGGGCCAGGGGCGGAGACCGGACCAAGGAGGCACCGGGCGCGGCGAACACCCCCGGGGCCCCTCCCCGAGCGGGGCCCCGCGTCCCACCGCAAACCAGGGGAGCTTGGGCACCACCTGGCTGGCACCGCCGGGCCCGGCCGGAGGGGGGCGCAGGAGGGCGGCGCGGGGGCAGGTGCGGGGCGGGGCACGGGGGCGGGACCACACAGGGCCGCGGCAGCCGCGCCCGCTGGGCCACAGAGGCCGCTGAGGCCGCGGCGCCCGCCAGCCTGTCCCGCGCCATGGCCCCGCGCGCCCGGCGGCGCCGCCCGCTGTTCGCGCTGCTGCTGCTCTGCGCGCTGCTCGCCCGGCTGCAGGTAAGGAGCGCCCGCGCCTGCCGGGCCGCGCGGCCCGACGCCTCCTCGGGAGCCCCGGGAAGGGCCGGGGCCGGCGGCATCCTGGCTCCTCCGCCTTCCGAGAGGAGCCGGAGTTTTGGGGAGCGGAGGCCGTGGGAAGCTGGGGAGGCGCTTCCAGAGTTGGACGGCGGAGGGCGGGAAAGGGCAAGCGGAGGGAAACTGGGGCGCAGAAGGAGCAGGTTGGCGGGACCGCAACACCCGAAACGGGCTCTTCCAAAAGCCCCTCTTAGCCGCAGGCTTTGATGCTGTCATTTTCTCCAAATGCTTCTTGAGCACCTACTAAGCGCTTGCGCCGGGCGGTGCCGCGGGAGACAGCGCCGTGGGCACCTCACTTGCGGCAGATAACCGTTCCCGATACGATTTCTCCCGGGTGGCCTCCGTCCCAAATTTCCACCCGGAAAGAGACATGATTCCCTCCGTCCCTGAACTGCGGGCTTGCCTTTGCCTCCCCTGAGCCCCTTCGGGGACACCCCTGCCAGCTCGCCTGGAGGCCCCGCACGGCGGGGAGAGACTGCGCGCGCGCCCCGGGGATGCTGGACTTGACCCTCGCAGACCCGAGTGGCTTCCCGGTCCTCTCGGAACAGGTTTCTCAGTACAGTTAGCAAGCGAATGCAGCCAGGCACGGACTTTCTGCCTCGTGGAGGAGGGCCGCAGAGGGAAGCACACCCAGCACAACAAACGCTTTAAAAATCGTTGATACGAACTTGAAAGCTCTCACAGGGAAGGGCGAGTGGTGGTTTTCTTGGTTTCGGCTGGGTCAGATTTCCCCTCTGTTAACACTAGGTTAGGCTGCTGCCGTCCCTCCGCAGCCGGGCACGGAACCCGGAGAGGCGTGGGGAGGGACGCATGGAGAATCGTGTTTGGGTGAGAAGAGAGGGGAAAAGCCTTGACAGAAATAATGTGGGTGCACTGAAGGCTGAAGCAAAAGATTCTAGGGAAGATTCATTCCCAATTGTATGGGTCTGTCAGTATGGTTGAGGGAAACGAAGGCGGAAAAGTCTAAAGGATTTTTTCATTTTAAGCACTTCAGGTGTTGCTTAATTAAGTGTTCAACAGGTTGAACGGGGTGCTACCTTATTTGAACCAAAGGACCAGGGTTTCAGCGAACAGCTAGCCACCTAAGAAAAACCTGCCTGACCACGCAGTTGCAAAATTATCTCTCACTGCTGTCGCAAAATGACATATTCATATGTGCATAAAAGGCGTTCGGTTCTAATATGAACAACAAATGCTATCAAAATAAGTTTATTTTTCAGGGAGACCTTTCAACAAATGCTGTTTCCCGTCTTTTTGCCTTTAAGCCCCTTTCATTATGCATGTTTAAAAATGTAAACTTTTGCATTGGTCATTTCCAATTCTAGGGGAGCGAACCTTCTAGGAACCTTATGAATTCCTTGGCTGGGCCACGAATTCAATTGATATAAGACAGACTAACAGGAGAAAAACTGTACTTAATTACATACATAGGCACAGGACTCCTACAAAATAAGAGACTTGAGGAAGGGTCAGATGATTGAAGCTCATTATAGCATCCATAGGGGCTTCTGCAGGGTGCTGCAAAACAGATTTTGGGGCGGGTTTGGGGAGGAAGCATATGGTGAGTAAAGGACATCTTGTCAGGCACATAAAAGATTCTCAGGCAATAAAAATGGTCTCTGACCAGCCCTTCGGAGAATAGGTGAGAGCCTGTGTGGGCTGGTGTCAACCTCCTGTCTCCTCTCCTGTAATCGGAGTTAATCTTCTCTGGGTGAGAATCTTCTCTGGGTGAGAAGATTCCCACGGCGGAGATTTGAGACATTTGAGTTCGTTTTGGAGGATCTTTCTTTGGGCAGAGTTCAGAGAAACCTCTGCCCGTGGCCACTACCACCTGCCCTGAGTTCAAAATAATCAGCACACCATAGTGGCATATTTTGGGGTGGCATTTCCTGAACTCTTTCACAATCAAGTGACATTGGAATGCTTTTCTGCTTATTTTACTTGGTGCCCAACCTTCCCAGTAGAAATGCATTTTCTCTCAAAGGTGAGACTAGATGCAGCCTTAAAATAATATTTCCTAGAGATACTGTGGTTATCTAGGAAAAAGCTCTCTCTGTATTCAATGACTGCTTGTTTGGCCAGCCTATTCCATTAGCTCAAAATTTAGGAATGGCATTGACAGTTCATTGAAGATGTTAATGATCAAACACCAGGCAAGACTTCAGGAACTGCCTAGTGGGTAAATTGGTTTTGCAAAATAGTTGGCATAAATGGCTTCCAGAAAGTGCCTTATCTGTAGGGATCGTATTTAGTTTCATTTTTATTATATTAAATAGGTTCAAACTTACCTGAAAGGCTATAAGTTTTGCCCTTTAAAACATTTCTATGATTATATCTCTGCCTGCTTGTATTTGTGAGGGAATTCATTTTCAGATAGAATAAAACTATTTGCCTACAGATAAAAACATTTTGAATTTTTATGTAGCTAGTCCTGCTGTTTATTCCAGGTAACAAAATATAGATGCACACTGTTTTCATTAAGGTAATGGATTGTACACGGTCATGTTTATCTGGGGTTATAAGATGCAAGAGCAGGTGCGTGCATACGCAGGACAACAGACATTGGTGGTGTCAAACACTGTGCTAATGAGGAATAAGGGGAAGGCGCATGGGTCACAGTCTAGTGGAGAGCGCCAGATGGGAAAAGCTGTGATGATAAGAGAGCAGCAAATGATAAGAAAAGTACAGAGGGTGGCAGAGGAAGGGAGAGAGGGAGGAGGGGAGGGAGAGAGGGAGGGAGGACCGCTGGAGGAATCCCTAAGGACTTCGGGATGAAGGGGTTTCCCAAGTGGTCTTGGAAAGATGTGTGGGAAACCAGAGGTCAGGGAAGAAATGATTCTAGGAGGTGGGAAGAAAGCTCCCTATGTTGGGAGGATGGTGTGAATGCTTTAGACCTAAAAGAATCTTACAGAAAGAAAGAAAAAAAAAAACAACCATATATTTTTATGACCTTGCAGATAGCACAAATCACCTAATTCAGGAAACCCCCACCAAACAAATTGGGCATTGAACTTTTATAGTTTTGAGGTAACTCTTGGATGGCCCTTACTGAGGTGGTAAAGTCGACTAATCAGAAGCAGGCCACAGGGCCCTGGAGCGCCCATGGGGAGACCCCTCCGAAGAAATCCCCCAGGGTGTGACTCTGGGTCATAGGGTGGGTGGGTGCTCTGTGCCACCTTTCCTCCTGCCCCCCATCCCATCCGAGAGGGGAGACATGGATATATGCAGTCATGCCTTGTTTGGGGAGCACAGACACAGATCTGTGGGCTTACAGTTCATTTTGCTGAGAAATATTTCAAATGCCTCCCCTGTTATTTCCTTTCTACCACTTCCCCCTAAAATGGCAAACCTGTAATAGGAACATACTCCCTGTGTTGATAAGGAAATAGCTTGCTTTTTCAGTTATCTACCAGAACTTCTTACATCAGGAAAACTGAAACAATAAAAATGTGCCTTTGGAGGTCAATAAATCAGTGTTTTATGAGGACATGAAAAGGGGAGTTCCAAAGCAGGGCCTCCTCTGCAAAGAGTGTTGTTTTAAGAAGGGGTAGTGTGGACTTCATCTGCCATGTCAATATTAAAATTTCCCCCATTGTATTTTCCTATTTTTGAAGTTCATGGAAAAAAAAATAGTGTTTTTCCCACATGCTGTATCCAGTGGTCTCTAGGAATGTTGTCTAGGCCATTTTTTGGTTTGTTTTTTGTTTTTTTGGCTGATGTGAGTCTGCAGCCCATCCTGATGGTACGCAACTGTCCAGGTGGTTCACTCCCTAGGGCATCTGCCCCCTGGCCAGGTGGCCCATGGCCTGACTGCTGTCTCCTCACAGCATCCTGGCCTTAGTCCACAGGGAAGCACACCTGCCTCTGAGCACACAGGCTGCTGACTCCAGCTCAGTGCACCCCAGGACTGGCATGGGTAGGATTCTGCCCAGCAGGTGATTTTTCCTCTGAGTACCCTTTCATTCTCTGCCCGGATTGTGGGACGGCCTTTCTGTGTATTTCCCTCTAGTTGCAGTGTGGGGCTTTCTATGGTGTCCACTGCTGGAAACACAGTTTAAGTTCAGCTCACCCTTTGTGCCCCAAAACGCTAAGCTTGAAAGAACCAAGAAGGAGCCGTGGGTTTCAGCAAAATAGCCTTGATCCCTCTGAAGTTCTTAGTGAACTTTTGAGGTTTAAAACCGAGTGGGTGTGGAGCAAGATTACGCACAGCCCCATATCTCTGTCCTGATTCTGAGAGACACTCTATTTCCTGCCTGCGAGACCAACCTGGCAGCGCTCCCCAGGCAGGCTGCCTGTCTGCCTGGGTCACCAGAAGCTCCTTGTCAGAGGGCTGACTGGTGCTGCTGTTCTCACTGTGTCACGTTCCAGTCGCAGTGTGCTCTCACGCCAAGAAGCCCAAAGCAGCCCCAGTCAGCAGTGGGAAGTACATTCTTTAGGGCCGTGTGATGATGACTTTATATGTGTGTTTGTTTTGTGAGCCACCGTCGACTTTCAGCCTTTGAGTGCTTTGGGTCACTGCTTGCAGGCCACAGCATTCGATAATGAGAAAATAAACCTGAATTTGTGTTCAATGCATTCAGTGACTGCAACAAATGGAGTACCCACAACCTGTAGCACACTCTGCAGTGGACTGAGGAAACAGAGACCAAGGGCCACAGCTCCTGTCTTCAGGAGATTGGCAGTCCAGGTGTGTGCAGATGATTAAAAGACAGCAGGATCCGGTGTTCTGGGGAGGGTTTTCAACTTGTCGTGGGCACACAGGATAAGGAGTGCCTTCACCTGAAAGTGTCAGAGAGGACTTCCCATCCTTCCTGTGTGGTCACATGTGTCTAAAGCTCTGCAGACCGCATGAGAGAACAGCTCTTAGGCTGGGGGTTCCAGAATGACCAGTGCTTTGTCTGGCGGTGAGAACAGCAGGGACTCGCATCAGAGTGGAGTGTTTGCAGGGAACCGAAGGAAGGACAGGATTCCTGGACTCAGGGGTGTGGGGAGAGAGGAAGGCAAAAGCCAGCACTCAAAGGCTTTAGGTACAAGCAAATAGTTCAGATTTAATATTGAGCTGTGAGCTGGAGAGGGCCATGATCAGTTTTGTGTATTAGGGGAAGAGTGTCCAGGGGCGGGCCGGAGGGGGCCAGTAAGGAGCCTACTGCCTTGGTTTGGGAAAGGGCCTGAATCAGGTCAGGGCAGTGGCGAGAGAAGGAGAATCTGAGTACAGGGGCGATTTCAGAGCCAGTGGGGCTGTGCAGGGGCAGAAGGTGCAGGGGCAAAGGACGGATGTGGCTGGTTATTAGAAAAAAAAAGACATGGCAGGCAGGTCTGAGTGCAATGGTGTTTACAACCAATTAATCACAACCAGTTAACAGATTTATTTGTTCCTTCTCCACTCCCACTGCTTCACTTAACTAGTAAAAAAATAAAATAAGGCCGGGTGTGGTGGCTCACGCCTGCAATCCCAGCACTTTGGGAGGCCAAGGTGGCAGATCATGAGGTCAGGAGTTTGAGACCAGCCCGACCAACATGGTGAAACCCCGTCTCTACTAAAAATAAAAAAATTAGCCCGGCGTGAGGGTACATGCCTGTAATCCCAGCTGCTCGGGAGGCTGAGGCAGGAGAATCGCTTGTATCCAGGAGGTGGAGGTTACAGTGAACCGAGTGGCACCACTGCACTCCAGCCTGGGTGACAGAGCGAGACTCCATCCCAAAGTAAATAAATAAATAAATAGTAAATAAATAAATAAATAAATAAGACACGGCAGCTGTCAGGACAAAAAAGCTGGCTGTTTGGGTTATATTTTTCACTTTATTAAGGAAATTGCTGTCTTAGTCCAAATCAAAATGTTGTTCTGGTTCAAGTGAAGAAGTGTTGTTGTTTTTCCCAAACAAAAAAGAAGGATTACGTTTAGGCTCTTGAATCTCCCCTTTTTTGGGTTCTCTTATTGGGAGGCAGAGACAAAGTTCATTAGACCCTGTAGAGGCAAACATGGTAAAAGCCCCGTGGCATTGTGCTGTGCAGGGAACTTGCAGGCTCTGACATCTAGAGAGCCATTGCCAGACCTAGAGATGTCTTGGAATGAGAAGTTCAGCGTAGAGACAGAGCTCTTAACACACACTGAAGAGAGATAAACAGCCAGTGATCCCCAGAGAGTCACATCAGAGCAGAGGCAGGTGTGACCTGACCTGTGGTCTTCCCACACTGGCCTCAAATATGTCACCTAACCCCAAAAGAAGCAGTGTTTATGTTGGACCAAGAGCTGCGCAAAAACTGTTTGCTTGCATGATACACATTTTCCTGGCACATTGCCGCTGCCTAAGATGAGCGTTTCCCTTCCTCTGTGTCCAGTGCCTCTTAGACTTCCCCATACCCCCAAAAAATCCTGACCCAGCAGGTGACACGGAGGCCCGTCTGGCACCAGCAAAGGGACAGAGCTGCCAGATTTCCAAGTATCAGGAAGACCTGACTGTAAAAACCACCCTTTTAGTTCATCAAAGTAATAATAACTTATTACATTTCCTGTTGAGAGTGTTGAGAGTACAAGAGCCACTTCCTCAAGCTATCAGAAATTTGAAGACTTTCCATGAAAAATGAGGAAGAAAAACTCTGTTTAGCTCTTGGTGAATGTGATGGCTAAGCTGGGCAATGGGGAAAGATTGTGTGGCATTGCCAGAAATCCTACTGGCACCACTGTGTTGGCTGGTTTGGGGTTCGCATCACATCCCACAGATGGGAAATGGACCACTTCCCTAAAGTATTGACTTTTTAAAAATATGTATTACTTACCTAATGCAGTTAGCACCTAACTTAATAGTGTATCACGTAGTAGCACAAACAGCTGGCAAGTTCATAGCCAGTAAAAGAGACGTTTAAAGGCCCCTGTCTTCTCTCAACTTCATAGTCAGATATACAAGCAGGATCACATCTAACACTTTCATGGTAATTGAGAATCAATTCCATTTTTAAAGCTTAGTCGAGATTATTCACTTCTGCCCTTGCTAACCCGTTTCCTTGTTGAATAATTCCTAATATCAGGAACTTCCCTCTAACAGACCTAAATCTAACATGTCACAATTTGACCCCATTTCCTCAAATTTGTTCTTTAATGGGGTAAAAACCAGTTGGTCAATGTCTTCTTTATTTTAATATTTCTATTGTTGAAGATTGTTAGCCCACAACTTCCCCTTCCCCAGGGTTATTCATTCCAGTTCCTTTAACCTCTTTGTAAACTTTTTTTTTTCTTTTCAATTCAACGAGATACTTTTTTTGGATTTACTGGCAAAAAAGCCAACAACCCCAAACCAAACAAAACCCACCAAGTATTTTGGGAACATCAGACTCAGGACGTTGCTGCCTCTGACTTCAGAGAGGCTGAGATCTGATGGGGAAGGTCGGATGTCCCATTCTTCGTTCCCACGGAGCCCCACAGGAGGAACACATGAGATGCCTCTAGGACACAGGCATGGGAAGGATGAGTTCCGAGTGGAGAATCGGGCAGGGGGTGTTTGATCTGGTCCTGGAAGGATGGGTGTGATTCTGAGAGGAAAAGAGAGCTGGAGGGAGAAGGGCAGAGGTGGTGACAGGCATGAGAAAATCATGTCCCGCCCTGATGTGTGGAGCCCAGGACTGATGACAGGTACCGGGGAAGGATAAAGCCAGCTGGGAAAGTCCTGGAGGCCTGGATCACAAAGGGCTTGCGAATAAACCTCCAGAACTGGGACTCTGCCCTGAAGCCAGGGGTTCTCCAACTGTGGGGTCTGGGCCCAGCATCAGTCTCCCCCGGGAACTCGTTAGAAATGCACCTTCTTATGCCCCCCACCTACCGAATCAGAAACTCTGGGGGTGGGGGCCAGCAGTCTGTGGCTTCACAACCTCTCCGCTGATTCTGACACATGCTCAAGTTTGAGAACAGCTGCTAGAGACCCCGGGATTCCATGAAAAGGTTTGCACTCAGCTCTGACAATATTAGAAGATTAATATATTACAAGTACCGGCCATCTGTTGAACCCCTCCTGTGTGCCAGGCATGTACTTTACACGGATTATATCTAATGCTCACTCCACCTTGCTAGTAAGTTGAGAAAACTGAGGCACAGAGAGACTGATTAACTTGCCTGAGTTTGCACAGCTAGTGAGTGGCAGAGCTGGAGCTCCTACCAGGCAGCGCTCCAGTGACTGTGGTCTTCACCCCTCAGGTAAACTGCTTGTATAGTCAACTCTGTGATGGGGTAGGGAGTAGAGAAAGGGACCTCCCAGAATGGTGGGACAGAAAGCTTTTTGGTATTTGGGGACACCCATGCAAATGCGTGCCCAGTCTGCATTTGTGGGGGTCTGTCTTGTCTGCTCAAGTATGTACTCACTGAGGGCTTTCTAGAACTTTTTTTTTTTTGAGAAGGAGTCTCACTCTGTCGCCTAGGCTGGAATGCGGTGGTGCCATCTTGGCTCACTGCAACCTCCGCCTCCCCCATTCAAGCAATTCTCCCTGCCTCAGCCTCCCGAGTAGCTGGGATTACAGGTGCTCGTCACCATGCCAGGCTAATTTTTGTATTTTTAGTAGAGACGGGTTTTCGACATGTTGGCCAGGCTGGTCTTGAACTCTTGACCTCAAGTGATCTGCCCGCCTCGGCCTCCCAAAGTGCTGGGATTGCAGGCATGAGCCACCGCGCCTGGCCTCTAGAACTATTCTTAAGCAGAAATGGCAATGCTGTGTCTTTAAGGCTAATCCAGATAAAAGGCACTCCAGGCACTCTTGGCACAGGGTCCATGTGCCAGTTGATCCCTGACTCAGGAGGAAAAGAAGTGTATGTCTTGAATCACCACCACTTCCTGAAGCCAAGGCAGCACTGGCTCGTCTATGCCCCACACCCCAGAGTTAGACTATACCGTACCACTGTGCTGTAGCCCTGGGTGTACCGCCTCAGAGGGTCGCATCTCTCCACGCGTGTTCATCCCACTCCCACCACCTGCCAGGCTCTGTGTAGGGTGGGAGGAGGGAGAAGGATGGCCTTGGAGCCCCAGGGCAGCAGACAGTGATAGGTTAAACCTTTGCCCTCATAAGCTTTCGGAAGTAGGTAGTTATATTTTTAAAGGTCCTTTATGTCTTAGTCTTACTACAATTATAGCTAATCTGGGGACTCTTCCCTTGATGAGAATAACCTGGGCTCCTCTTTTGACATGTCTCTACCATGGAACAAATCAAAATCATTTTCTATTACTAACTTTTTTTGATCCCTTAAAAGACACTTTCTAAGTAGTAAGAGAAAAGTTCAAATAAGAAAGAGGGTCAGAACACACATGGCCTCTGGGTCACGGTCAGTCTCAAGCTTTTACTTGGAGTGAGATCAGGAGACACTAGCGGGGTTTAGGGGGAGAATGACAACATGGTGTCACTAATGCACAGTGGCCAGAAATCTAGCAGCAGATCCCCAAAACCTATGACAATGGACTGTGAGATCAAGGGGGCAGTTAAATTCAGTGAAAACACAGCTGGAACCTCTGTCTTAAACCTTAACCTATTAACTTCTGTGGGTCACAAGGTTTAAAAGTGGAAAATTGCCCCTTTCTAATGGGCTGAAGTTTCTGTGCTCCAGTTGGGTCCAGTTGGAGGTCCCTGTGACCAAGCCACTGGGGTCGGAATTTTTTTTTTTTTTTTGTTACCCAGGCTGGAGTGCAGTGGCGCGATCTCAGCTCACTGAACCTCGCTTCTCGGGTTCAAGCAATTCTCCTGCCTCAGCCTCCCAAGTAGCTGGGATGACAGGTACCTAACACCACATTTGGCTAATTTTTTTTGTATTTTTAGTAGAGACAGGGATTTACCATATTGGCCAGTTTCGAACTCCTCACCTCAGGTGATCCACCTGCCTTGGCCTCCCAAAGTGCTGGGATCACAGGCATGAGCCACCACGCCTGGTCTGGGATCCAATTTCCATGTAAAATTGCAAAAGACCAAGCACCAGAAGGCATAACCAGTCATCTTAACTGTGTGGGGCAGTCCTCATGGGTAAGGGGACTCAAGGTGGTGGGCACCTGCCCCTCTGCACCCAAGGGGTGAGGTCACGCAGAAGAGGCCTCATGGGAGGCTCTCCATTTCCTGGCATGAGTGACGGGCACAAAGAGGCTGAAACAGCTGTGTCTCCTGTTAGGCAGCCCCGTGTTCAGTCCTTATTAGAAAAGAGAGTTTCAGCCCAGAAAGAGATTGCTAATCTTGATTTTGCAACCCTCTTCCCTCAGGGTATCTCGGATTTTGTCCCAAATCAGTGGAGTCTTTCCAAGGGCGTGCTTGGGAGTGTGAATTTGATTCAGTGCTAGAAGGAAACTGTTACAGTCTTCTGTATAGGGAAGTTATGAGGTTACAGTGGTCTTTGAGAAAAATTATTTATTAATTTATCAAGTATTTGAATATTTGCTACATGCCTAGCACTGTTCCAGTCTCCTTATCACCAGCCATCTCAGCAAGTTGATTAATCTCTCTTGGGAGGATGCAGGAAGGGAAGGGAAGCCAGGCCTCCAAGCACAGTGCCTGGCACGTAGTAGATATTTCACTAGGGCCAATTCTTCCTATACCCCCATTCATCAATAGATAAATAGATAAAAGGTGTCCAGGGATGGGAGAGGTGGTTCTCAATGTCTATTGTACAGTCAGAGATGACTATGCAGTGTTTGGAAATAGGAGAAAGTCCTGGTTTTTGGTTTTCAATAAAATCTCTAGCCTGCTCCTCAGAGACCGGCATTGACCTTGCCTGGGAGCTTGTTAGGAATGTAGTCTCAGGCTCTGTTCCAGACCCAGGGAATCAGAACCTGCATTTTAATAAAATTTTCAGGTGATTCTGCGCACATTGGAGAAGCACTGGATTTCACCCTGAAGGCTGGGCAGTGAAGGAAGGGAGGGCAGCAGGTAAGGGGAATGCTTCCTCCTTCCGTCACTTTGGGGACTCCTGGCCTGAGCAGTTCGTGCAGCCCCAGCATGGAGGCAGAGCCTAGAGGGACGTGGCCTCCAGCCGGGGGTGCACTCTCAGAAGTGACCACAGGGCTTGTTGGCTTCTACTACGGAAAAGAAGAGAAAGCAGTTCTTATCTGAAATGAATACAAAGTTAAAGAAAAAAACAAACCCCAAGAATGACAATGTAAAAAGGCTTTCACACTGGGAGAATAAAGGGGCATTCACTGGAGCCTGTGGAAATAGGGGTGCATCGTAACATAAGGACAAGTCAAAGCCATCCTAATTACTGTATTGAGGAAACAACCGGCCTTGCCCTTGGATTCCAGGTAGCCCAGGGCTGCAGACTCTTCACTCTTATCTCTCTGGAAGACAAAGACACTTGCAATTAAAGTTTTGAAACGCAAGCTTGTTTCTTCATTTTCCCTTGGGCCATATGTTTTCTTTTCAAGGAGCAGAGATAATAAATGCATTGTGAGGGGAGTAAGGCAGAGGGCTGAGTAAAAATCAACAGACCATTGATGGGCGCCTGAGTCAGTGCTGTGCGCTTTCTTTCCTTTAAGAAGCACATCTGGAATCAAGGTGGTCAGAGGGGGAAATGCTGATGGGCCCAATAACAAGCAACTTTCAAGACGGTGTATAAAGTCAATTGTGCAGTTTGCTAAATCAGAATGGTGAATATGTCAGGACTTCTAATCACAGTTACCTATATTTTTAAGTTTTTGTTTTTTATCAAACCCGACCTAAGTTAGATTTTTTTTCTGTGCATACTATATATTCCAAAAAAAGAACTTGTGACAAAATGGTTAATATGGCAAATTTTTATGTTATGTGTATTTTATCACAATTAATAATATATGTTTTAAAAATCTAGTGGCAAAGGTGGTAATTCCTGCCTGCTAATGAAAATAGCATGAAGTGCCTAGTATTTAAACCTTTATGGGGTAATGGCAATGTCCAATATGATCAATACCACACAATTCTGACGGTATGGGTGTATATTAACTCACAATGCGTATAAATTAGTAATCAGTTATGTGACCTTATACCCTACCCACCTCACACTGCACTTAGTCACACGGGCTATCTTGCTGTTTCTCCGTCAAGCCGTGCATGCTTCCTCCAAGGGCCTTGGCAAATATGTCCACCTGTAATCCTCCTCCTGGCACGTGCTGTACATTTGGCTTGTTCCCTGGCTTTAAGCAGGACTCCACTCAAATGTCATCTTCTCAAAGAGGCTTCCTGTAATCATACCACCACCTTACATAGATTGTTTCACTTTTTTCATGACAATTGTTGCGACCAGATTTCCTTATCTGTTTACTTATAGTTGTTCTTCTCCCCTGGACTGTAAGCCAGGACTCTCTCGGTTGAGTTCTATCCACTGTATCCAGAGGATCTGAAATTGTCCCTGGCGCATAGTATGTGTTCACTTAATTGGGAAATAAATGAATGTGTATCTGATTGGTCGACTTTCAGGTTGTGAATTCAGTCAGTGTTGTCAGCAGCTAAATCAAATCCTGTGAACAGAACTAGGCAAAATTAAATTACCCTATGAAAACGGACAAAGGACTTGAATAGACATTTCTTCAAGGAAGATACACAGGTGGCCAATAAGCACAAGAAAAGATGCTCCACCTCATTAGTCATTAGGAAAATGCAAACTGGAACCACAAGGAGATACTACCTCACACACATCAGGATGGCTATTATTTTAAAAACCAAAAACCAAACAAAACCAGAAAATAACATGTGTTGTTGAAGATGTGGAGAAGTTGGAACCCTCATGCAGTGCTGCTGGGAATGTGCAATGATGCCACCCCTGCGGAAAACAGTTGAGGGGTGGGTGCCTCGAAGAGCTAAACATAGAATTAACTTAGGATTCCTAGGTATAGACCAAAAAGAACTGAAAACAGGGATTCAGATACTTGTGTGCCAGTGTTCATTGCAGGATTATTCACTGTAGCCAAAAGGTAGAAACAACCTAGGTGTCCATCAGTGGATGAATGGATAAACAAGATATGGTCTATACATGTGGTGGAATATTATCCAGCCATAAAAAGGAATGGCGTTCTGGTACATAATACAATATGGATGAACCTTGGAGACATTATGCTAAGCAAAATTCGCCAGACACAAAGGGAAAAATACTGTGTGGTTCCACTTACATGAGGTATAGAGAGTGGTCAGACTCAGAGACAGACAGTAGAAAGGTGGTTTCCAGGAGCTTGAGGGAGGGGGAATGGGGAGTTACTAGTTAACGGTTACAGAGATTCTATTTGGGGTGATGAGAATGTTCTGGAAATAGATAGTGGCAATCGTTGCTACTTATTGCCCCTGAATCATACTTTAAAATGGTTAAAATGGCAAATTTTGTATCTATTTTCCACAATAAAAAATATTAAATGGCCCCAAAGTTTTTTTAAAAAGGCATTCAAAGGACAGGCATAAAAAGAGCCTAATTCAGTGTTTGGCAGTGGGAGACAGCCCTTTCTCGCCTCCCGAAATGAGCTGCATTCCTGGCCTCCTGCAGATTTTGCCATCCAGAGTTGCCACTTTGCTGTCGGCTCCTGCCTGCACTTTTCGTCTCCATCTCTGTTTCCTCCATGAGATCCTAGCCCAGGCTCTGTTCTTGTCTAAAACGAGTTTGCACCTTCTTGCGCTTTCTCATCCCAACAGTCTTTACAATATGTTTCATGGTGCTGCTAAAAAAAGACCCTCCCTTCCTTCTACAACTCACTGACTAGCTGCCCTTTCCTGGAAGCCCCGAAGCAGCCCCCACCTTTTCCTTCTACTGTCAGAACATACCTGCCCAGCCCCCCAGGCTCTCCGCCTGCACCTGCCCGAGTCTCCCATTTGCTCTGTCCTCTCCCTCCTCTCGAATCCTTCTGTCTCTGCCCCGCAACCTCACCCTCCCCAGCTTGTGCACTTCCTCTTGTAAGTCCTTCCCTATCTCTGTCTGTTTCCCTGCCCATTCAAAGCCAAGGAAGACGTGGACACCAGTCTGAGGCCAGGGTTGCAATTCTCCTTCCTCGTCCACGATCAGGGAGGATCTTTCCAATGCATTAGTTCTGGCACTGCTGTGTGGGGCTCTGACTGGTCACAGTTTTCCTTCCTCTCTATATGTGGCTGTGTCCTCCTTTACAAAAGCTGTGAGAGGGCAGAGACAGGTCCTGCCTTCAGTCCTACAGCAAGCCAGGACCTCATGCAGGTATGGGAGAGAGCTCAGTGAAGATGCCTTTGACAGTGTGATGACAGCAGAACTTCGTAAAGAGATTGATACTTCCTCCTGTTAAACTCTGACTACATCAAACTCTATCTTCTGGAGAAAAATCATTTTTCGAGATAAAGGCGAGTGACTCAGGCAAAGGTGAATGACTCAGACTCGCTCTTACCCGGTGATTAAATGAACTCAACAGCCTCTTTGCGGGGAACAGTATGTGTGTGGGGAGAGGACTGATTCGTTATTTGTAATTTTCAGTGAGACCAGTAGAAGCTGACCAGCTGTGATGAGTGCTTTTAAGTTGGAGTTTTGAATACTTTTTATCACTAGATAGACATTCATAGAATGCATTTTAGAATGTCCCAAATCCCTAGGCCTTGTAGTCCCAGCTACTCAGGGGCTGGCATGGGAAGATGGCATGAGCCCAGGAGGATCACTTGAGTATGGGAAGATTGCTTGAACCCAGGAGGTCGAGGCTACAGTGAGCAGTGATCACACCACTGCACTCTAGCCTAGGTGACAGAATGAGACTCTGTATCAGAAAAGAGTCCCAAATCCTTTATCATTCGTTTTGGGTTTTCTTTGAAACAGGGTCTCACTCTGTCACCCAGGCTGGAGTGCAGTGGTGCAATCACTGCTCACTGCAGCCTCAACCTCCTAGGCTCAAGCGATCCTCCTGCCTCAACCTCCTGAATAGCTGGGTCCACAGGCACACGCTACCACACTTGGATAATTTTTAAAGTTTTATAGAGACAGGGTCTCAAACTCCTGAGCTCAAGCAGTCCTCCCACTTCTGCCTCCCCAAATGCTGGGGTTACAGGCGTGAGTCACTGTGCTAAGCTTTTTTTTTTTTAATCAATTATAATATTGTTTGTGACAGTTATAGTTTCTTCATGATCTTCTCCAATAAACTAGACACATATTTTCATATTGTACAAATCACAAAATGTATGAGCCTAACTTTTGGCAGCAGAATTTTTTTTTCAAGAGCTATGTGTAAAATATATTTCTTAGAAATGAATTATATTTTAAACACTCAGGGCATTTTCTGTTAAACCCTGTGATTCTCTGTATCTACCTCTGTTGTGACTTAGGCCATGTACCTGACTGGTATAACTTAGGACCTCCAAGTTTTTAATGTGTTACATGATTGACAGGTTTCCCAGGTAGGGTGAACACACCCATGGGGTGTGCCACGTGATCCAGCAAGGTGAGCAGGGGATCCTAAAACACTGCCCCTTTATCCTCACGGTCTCTTATAACACACCATCTTGGTAGGCGCCTATGCGATGTTGTTCTGAAGCTTGAAATGTGAAGCTCTGGTTTGTACAAAAGAAACATGCCTGATATTTTCTCTGTGAATCTGTAAGATTGAAATTCTATCTGCCGAGCTTATTTAAAATGAGAATGTCTAGGATATTCGATCATAATTCGTTTATGTCCTAGTTAACAGAAATCACAGATATAATCTGGCAGCAGCTTTATCAGCAGACGGACTGAGTAAACTGTGTCTGCCTTCACCCAAGTGTGGCTCGTGGAACTGACTGAACCCCCAGACAGAAAAGCACTGAAATGACTCGGACCACTCATCGCCAATTTCACATTGATGCCTCAAGTTTCCAATCCCGTGATAAAGGACTTCTTTATGTGAAATCAAACATGCTTTTTAACGCATGCATTTTTTCCTAGTTGTCCTGCTAAAATACTCTGCTATGCAGCTTTGGTTTGTCATAATCAGGTTAAAAGTGCACAAGGATGGTTTGTGCGGGAAGATTGTCAGGCCTTGAGAACTTGTCTCTGGGTACCCAGTTTATCTTTTCCATCATTTTTCCCCTTTCTAGTGACACCCTTTTCCCTCTCTCCCCTCAGGGAATGACTGGATGGAAGTTACATATACTTTTACTAATTCCACTCAGCTGTGCCCGTGAATATCCCTCCTCTATTGGATACAGACCACTGCAGTGGGGTGTGATACAATCACATCTCCATTTCTCCCAGCAGCCTACTAGAAAGGTCTTCAGCTTTGAATTGAGGAGGCAGAACCTTTGTGTTTGTGCAGTCTGGCCGTTTGCCAGTGCCACATCATGTATAGGAGTTCTCACGTCTGCCTCTCAGTGCAGCAGGATAGGCACAGTTATTAATTAGCACTATTGTACAGGTGAGGAGACTCAGGCTGAGAATGGCTTTTTTTTTTTTTTTTTTTTTTGGTCCTGAGATTTTAGAAATGTAGTCAGTTTTATTAAAGAAATATCAGGCATTCTTCTCTCCGGGTCAAACTGGAAGCCCAGTTTCGAGGACTGCCCTGGGTAGAAAAATCCTCCTTCCCTGAAGCCCAACTCAGTTCTTGGGGACTGCCTGGCCAGGCTACTTCATACTCTTGTCACCAGCGCTCAAGGTACCTTGTCCCCTCCTCCAACCTGAGTTCTCCTGGCCCTTACTTCTGCTTTGCTAAAATTCCCATGTGCAGACTGGGTGTGGTGTCTCACGCCTGTAATCCCAGCACTTTGGGAGGCTGAGGTGGGCAAATCTCTTGAGCTCAGGGGTTCAAGACCAGCCTGGGCAACATGGTGAAACCCCGTGTCTACCAAAAAATACAAAAATTAGCCCGGCATGGTGGTGGGCACCTGTGGTCCCAGCTACTCGGGAGGCTGAGGTGGGAGAATCTCTTGAGCCTGGGAGGTCAAGGCTGCAGTGAGCTATGATCATGCCACTGCACTCCAGCCTGGGTGACAGAGTGAGATTCTGTCTCAAAAAAAAAAAAAAAAAAAAAAAATCCTATATTCTGTCATGTCAGACTTTCTTTGTCATTTAATTTTTTTGAATAGGAATCTGCCCTATCTGGTGTCTGGGCCTCACGTGATTCCTGCATCATTTCCACTCCTGGTTATGAATGTTTTGCTGCGAATCACCATGGTGGGACGTTTTCCTCACATTCACAGGCACAGGACTGTGCCATGATCCAGAATAGAAAGCTGGATAAAATAGAGATAAATTTAGCTGGAGAAAGCAGCTAAGGAAGGGGCAGACCAGGAATGATAGCCCAGAACATCTGAATTCAAAGGGTCTATATTTTGACTCATTAATGGAAACACTTGTGACCGGGAGAAACTGAGACCTTCTCGCCGGCCTGTCAGCCCAGGTGGCTGAGAAAAAAGACATTCAAAGAAATGGACAAGAACCAAGAGCATTTGTTTGTAGGTTACTCTGATGTATTAATTCTACCTTTTATATGTTTGTTGTTTATTTACTTCTAAAACAAAGTGCTTCAAAGAGAAATAATTCCTTAGGGTAAGATTGTCTTATTTAAAGAAGCTCTTTTAGTGTTTTGGGTACACAGGTTGCTAGTAATTTATTTGTATTCTGTTCTGGGTAGGATCAGTTTCGATAGTGACTTTCTTTAAAGATATTTTTTTCCAGGACAGCAGGGCTGTTAAGTGAAGTGTTGTTTTCACATTTAATCGTTTCTCTCTTAAGAAAAACCACATCTTTCGACTCTACTGTAAGATTCAGAAATTTGATACCATCCTTACTGAAGTTATAGCCAAATTCTGAAATATAGTCAAGGATGATATTTTATAAAACAAAATCTATGGAAAATCCCTCATTTGTTCTTCTAGGTTACGTTCTTTTCGTCTCGATTTGACAAGAGGGGCCAAGCCTCTTTCTACATCGTTCGATGTCAGCATGAATTTTCAGTGGAGCAAGAAAGTAATTTTAGTATCCATAATGACTTGCACTACAATTGGGTTAACAGCATGGAAAATAAATATTTAAGTCAACCTTCCCTGCAGGATTCTAAATACAGATCTGCTCGTCTCTGTGGCTCCACTGGCAGAAATGTTATGTTTCTTCAGCTTATGGTTTTTCAGAATTAGACTCAACATGGCTTTGCGTAGGGAAATAAATCCACATTGCTTTATAAAGGGATTTTTTAATTTCAAATTTATTATCTCCCCCGCCCTCCGAAAGCCTTGCACAGACTGTGGACATGGTTATTCTAGAAGAGTCCATCAGCCGTTAAGATAAACACCAGCCTGTATGCCCTGAAACAAATGCGTAGAAGACACAAAAAGACACAAGAAAGCGAAGCAAGAGAAGTCAAATCATCTTGCTGTTTTAACTCCTTTTTTTAGACTTAGCAAGGAATTTGTAGGGGGAATTTGTATGTGCAGAGAATATTTGCTATGAACAGACTAATGTTCCTTATTAATTCCAGTGAGTTCTGTCAGAATACAGGTTAGTTGATATAGATTCTGTGGACCAAAGAGAATATTTTCAGCTTATTGATTAAGAACTATACTCTATCAATCCATGGCTGCTTTTCTAAACAAGACCTCTAAGAAGTCAAATTATATTCCCCAAAACACAAGAGCAACCTGATCCCAGCCAGCCTCCAAGGCGGCTGTGATGTAGAATAGGCCCTCGATTAGATCACAAGTTCATTCTCCTTTCACCTCCAGAAGAATGCACCCCAAAAGATGGCCGGTAACATGGGTTACCTGTGCAGAAGAGTGACTGGGAGAGACTGGGACAGAGTTTCCTAAGCAAGCTATTGTTCGTTTTGAATTTTGTCTCATGGGACTGTATTCCCTATTCAATAAATAAAAATTTAAAAGTATTTCTGCTTTATTTGCTTCATGAAGACAACTGCGATTCCAAAGCTTTGACTCTATCAGTCTTAAAGGTGAACTAGAAAAATCTCAGTAAATAAAAGCCTGTACATCTCAACTCAGTCATCAAAGGCTTTTCCTTGCTGCATCTTAGGGAAAAAGAGGCAACTGTAAGTGGCTGACAAAATCACTCTATTAACTGAAGATCTGGGGCCTTATGCCCAAATTTCCCCATTCCCTGGGAGATTCCTTAAGAACACTTAAGCAGGAACATGTTTTTATCAAATGATTGCTTTACTAGGGCTGCTACCGATAATAATAGCTACCACTTTGCAACCCTGGGGAGCTTGGTCTTGGAGGATAGAGTCTGACTGAAGTTCTAGGCAGGTGAAAGGGAAAGGCAGAAGCCTAGAGGGCTACTGCCAAGGGGATCTGGAGCCATCTTCAGGCTCTTGCCAGCTGCTGGCTGGCAGGGCAGTTAATGGTGAAATGGTAGACATCAGAACCAGAATACTGTAGGCAAAATGAGAGGTCAGACTGGGAGGGGCAGGGACAGCCGTTCATTCATGCACACAAAAAAATGACACCCAGAGGATGAACCTGACAGGCCGTGCAGGCAGAGGGAGACTGGTATAAGGAAACAGATCCAGGGCAGTCTAACGGGAAACTGAGCCCAAGCATGTGGGACTCAAGACAGAGTCTGGGGATCAGGAGCAAGGAGAGAGCCAGTCTGGCCTGCAGCGTCAAGGGGACAAGTCGGTCAATCCTCAGGTACCTGGCAAAGCAAGACAGGCTGGAGTGACAGAAGCACTGGATTTCCTAAGAGTTACAAGCATGGGGCTGCAGTGCACAGCGCTCACCAGGCGATTTGTTGCTGGAACTGAGGCATGAGATTAGAATGAGACCAGCACAGGGCACGCTTTACGGGCTGTGTGGGGAGGAAAAGGGTCTGCAAGTGGAGGGAAAGAACACTGGAAGCAGAGAGCCAGAAAGGAAGAGGAAAAGGGGCAATAAAGGCATGCTTTGTCTTTGGCATGCACCAACAACCTAAAGAGTTTTCCAGATTTCCTTTATTTACTTGCAAACCACATTTACTTAAAAATATGTACTTATGTTGCATTTTAAGTTGTATGTATATTGCCATGTTGAAGGTTTGAAGGTATACTTCAAAGTATATCATGTAACTAGAGAACAAAGTAGGTTTCTGCTTAAGCTGGACCCTAAATGAGATTAAAAGCATAATTTTCTGCCTCACCATAGCAATTTTCCCAGCAGCAAAATTTCTGCTGCTGCTTAAAAGATCTGTAATCCTATAACTCTGTCAAGTAGACATGTCAGTTTTGGGGTGATGAAAATGTTCAGGAATTAGATAGCCGCGATGGTTGTTCAACCTTGCCAAAGTGCTAAAAACCACTGAACGGTAGGTATACTTTAAAAGGTTTAATTTTATGGTCCGTGAATTTTATACCTCAGTTTTTGGGCAGGGGTGGGAGGGCAAGAGGCACATTCAGGTGAAAAGTCATAGTGAGGTAGAAGCTTAGGAGAGAGAAATGGATTTTATATCTGTGACAATCAATTAAAAGTTAGGACAGCTGGTCATTTCTGGAAGCAGTGACTTCCTTGTTTCTTCGAAGAGGTGTAAAGCTCCTGAGTTGGAGGATAGGTGGGTTGAATGAATCGCAGCCATACTCCTAAACATGGAGTGAATTGTCTACATGTTCAGGTCAGATATACTCAACAGGCACCAGGGCTTGGAGCCCAGGACACAGCTTGTGACATCTGACAGTGCCCCTAAGCAGCTACTTCAGGGATATCCCATTTACCAAATTCCCCTAAAAAGTACCTTTCTGTGTGTAGAACACAAAGTATGTGCTCATTTTACTGAGTCTGTGGCTGCCCCCTTAGGGGATCAGAAGCAATTAATACCCTTTGTCATCTGAAATACAGTCCAACTTCATATTTATCCTGTTTGCCTTGTCATCAGCATTGCAACAATGCTCATGAATCCTTAGGCTCGGATGAATCCAGCTTTTTGACCCAGTTTGCATGGCCGCATGTAGTTTTACCACTTTGCCTCTTTCTTCTGTGCATGTACATTACACACAGAGGGAGACAGAGAAGGGTGGCATCTAAAACAGAGAAAAGCATCTCAGAAGGGAGAGGTGTGGTGGCTTCTTTTAAGCAATTCTTCCTCAGTCCGCTGGGCTCAATGCAGCTTCCCTAAGACTCTGTCACCCAGTGAATACATGGGGAGCATCTGATGTGTGTTACCCGGTGTCCACGGGGAGTGTTAGCAGGGCCCAGGAAGCAAGTCCAAGTACAACCTTCCTGTCACACATCACCTCAATAACACACTGGGACCTTCTCATCGACCTCAGCCTCCTCATAACCCCTTTGCTGGCCAGGGTGAGGTCAGAAAGGTCCGTGATGGCTGTGTGCCCCACACCCACTCAGCTAGCCTGGGCTTTCCTGGGTTTGGTGCTTTCTTTATAAAGCTGCCTTCTATAATGGAGCTATTTTGAGGATGCATGGCTTTTTCCAAGCCATATTATCTCTGCGCCCTCCATCCGAGCACTTTCATATGCAGATGAAGCCCTCCCCTGACTGCCTTTGTGACACTGGGCTCCAGCTGGACTGAAGGTCTCTTACTGCCTCCCAAGAGCTGTTTCAGGCCTCATTGCCCCTGTTTGAACTGCTCATATTGTCCAAAGTCTTCCTACTTCCTCCCACTACCTCCACCTGCCAGTTTCTGTTTCCTGGTCTGGCTGATTTCTATTTATCCTGGAAGGCTGATTACTTACCACCTCCCTCAGGAAGCCATCCTGGCTGCTTCTGCTTCCTTCCTACTACTGCTGAGGTAGGGCCCATCTGGTATGTGTTTCATTCCACTCTAAGACCCTTGAGGGGAAGGTTTGTGACTCTGTATTCGACGACACAGCAGGGAACTTGCATGAATCGCAAGTGTGGTGTGCATACGTGGATGTCTGTTCGGCTAAGCCCAGTTCTTCAGTTTCTGACATGACTGCTTGTCAACAGGAGTGTGTGTTGTTTTTTGCTCACACCAAGAATGCTGATCAGGAAAAGAACTTTTCTGTGGCAAACTGATAAGAATCTCTGGGTGATTATAGATGCCTGGGCTGCTCTGTTTTCTTTTGTTTTACTCAGATGGGCAGATTCAGAAATTGGTATTTGTCTTAGAATCATACCGTTTTGAACCAGAAGGGAACCAGAGGCTGAGGAAGCTTAAACAGCTCCTGCAGTCCTTCAGGCAACAGGTAGTGAGGGCAGAGCCCAGGAAGCCCCTACAACACCTTGCTTTCCCCGCTTTTTAAAATTCTCTGTGTGTTTAACAAGTTAAAAGGTAAGCAGGCCGGGCGTGGTGGCTCAGGCTTGTAATCCCAGCACTTTGGGAGGCCGAGGCGGGTGGATCACCTGAGGTCAGGAGTTCAAGGCCAGCCTGGCCAACATGGTGAAACCCCGTCTCTACTAAAAATACAAAAATTAGGTGGTGCGTGGCTATAGTCCCAGCTACTTGGGAGGCTGAGGCAGGAGAATCGCCTGAAACCAGAAAGCAGAGGTTGCAGTGAGGTGAGGTTGCGCCATTGCACTCCAGCCTGGGCAATAGAGCAAGACTCTGTCTAAAAAAAAAAACAAAAAAACAAAAAAAAACCCTGTAATCCCAGCTACTCAGGAGGCTAAAGTAGGAGAATCGCTTGAGCCTGGGAGGTAGAGGTTGCGGTGAACTGAGATCACGCCATTGCACTCCAGCCTGGGCAACAAGAGCGAAACTCCATTCAAAAAAAAAAAAAAAAAAAAAGTAATTTGGTGATTCCCTTTTTGTTTTACCTAGTTTTATCCAGAAAGAGCTGTGTGGACTCTCTGCCTGACCTCAGTGTTCTTTTCAGGTGGCTTTGCAGATCGCTCCTCCATGTACCAGTGAGAAGCATTATGAGCATCTGGGACGGTGCTGTAACAAATGTGAACCAGGTACACCTGCTTCTGAGCCACCTTGCATTGCCCCTCAAAAGTGGGTGAGGCTTTCATTATTTTTTCTGTCTGCCAGATGAAAAAAAGAAATTGGATAGACGCGTTATGGTAGTGGCAGGTGGTAATGTCTGTCACTCTGAAGACAAAAATCTTTCTCTCAATAGAGATTTGAAGGGATTTTAAAATCCCTTAGAAAAAAACAAAAACAACTTTAAAAACTGTTGCTTAATTTGGGCTGAAACACAATTTTCCAAAACACTATTTCTCGAGATGGCAAGAAGTTTTTAAAAACTAATATTTTAGCACTTTATGACTCAAACTCTCAAATGTGAAATGCAGCTCTTACTTAAAATTGTTTTCACAGAAATTTTATTTTGGAATAACCACACTGGAATTGTTGCTGCTAAAAATTGCCTAAACCCTTGTCGTACCTTTTTCCATATACCTGTTGAGGAGCAGAAGGTGGACTGGCTACCACCTGCCCCAAGTTGTTCTGCCAGAAGTGTGGCTGACTATTTCTGCAGCCCCAGTGAAAGCCACAGTCCACGGGGCCCGCACTCTCTCATCATTCTGGGGAGGGGAAGGTGGGTTACCTTATAACAAGATATTTTGGATATTTCAGCTACAATTATTTATTGGATGTGCAGAACCAAGATCCAGTAATGGTCAAGTGTGTGTTGGATAGGCGGGTGGGGCGCAGCGTGACACTTGGTCAAACGAAGCTAACCATGAGCCGGTAGTAAGTGTAGAGGAAGTTAACAAAAAGAAGTTAACAAGAAGTTGCCTATCCAGATGGAAGGCAGAGGGGAGAGGGGATGGGTGATGAAGTTCCTCTTGCCTACCCCTCTTATTCCCTGAGTGGGTTCCAGGGAATCTTTCAAGTTCTGCGGCCCAGTTTAAAATCATCATTCTATTCCTTTTTTTTTTTTTTCTTTTTTTCTTTTTGAGATGGGGTCTTGCTCTGTTGCCCAGGCTGGAGTGCAGTGGCATGATTTCAGGTCACTGCAACCTCCATCTCCCAGAGGTTGAGGCAGCAATTCTCCTGCCTCAGCCTCCCAAGTAGCTGGGACTACAGTCACCTGCCACCACGCCTGGCTGATTTTTGTATCTTTAGTAGAGACGAGATTTCACCATTTGGCCAGGCTAGTCTCAAATTTCTGGCCTCAGGTGATCCGCCCGTCTCCGCCTCCCAAACTGCTGGGATTACAGGTGTGAGCCACCGTGCCTGGCCCATCATTCTATTCCTTAGCAGACTTTTTGGGTGCAGAGGGTGGTTGGCTTTTTACTTAGAAGAATTAAGAGACTGCTGTGACCACAGGCTCAGCGGACCCAGGTGGGGTTATTTCAGCCAGCTGCGTGGCCTGAGGAGCCCAGGGTGCTGCAGTCACTGCATTGTGGCCTCTTCTCCTGTGTCATATTGTCTTTGGGGGGTGTCCTGGGATCATGGGCACCAATGATTATTGGTCCCATAGATGGGTGCAATTTTTGTTGCTGTTTTGCTTTGTGTTGCTGTTTTTGTTTGGTTTTTTGATGGTTGCATTTTTCTCCCTCATTTTTTTAAGGAAAGTACATGTCTTCTAAATGCACTACTACCTCTGACAGTGTATGTCTGCCCTGTGGCCCGGATGAATACTTGGATAGCTGGAATGAAGAAGATAAATGCTTGCTGCATAAAGTTTGTGATACAGGTGAGCCCGTCCTGTCAGTGTGTCAGTGGGAAGTGTAGAAACCTCAGACCTCTTTTTCTATAGAAACATTTTTAGAGGCAGCCAATGATGTTTCGTTTCAGGAACATGAAAGGAAGTTGTGACTACACATCCCAAGAAAGATGCGTTTTAGATCCCCAAGGCCTCTGTTAAAATTCTTCATTTAGAACATTTGTTCTGGAATATATTTATGTTGCCATTTAATCATGGGACACATCATAGACTTGACATAATGTTTCCATAATG
The DNA here is from genome assembly GCF_000001405.40 of Homo sapiens. Classification (NCBI taxonomy): domain Eukaryota; kingdom Metazoa; phylum Chordata; class Mammalia; order Primates; family Hominidae; genus Homo; species Homo sapiens. Next base: position 62,350,202 of record NC_000018.10, read on the forward strand.
TTCCCACCTATTTTTGTGTGGTTTAATCCTCCCTGAAATCCTGTAGGTAGCCATACTTATCCCTTTTATTTTATTTGTTTATTTATTTATTTATTTTTTTAATTTATTTGAGACGGAGTCTCGCTCTGTCGCCCAGGCTGGAGTGCAGTGGCGCGATCTCAGCTCACTGCAAGCTCTGCCTCCCAGGTTCATGCCATTCTCCTGCCTCAGCCTCCTGAGTAGCTGGGACTACAGGCACCCCCCACCACGCCCAGCTAATTTTTTGTACTTTTAGTAGAGACGGGGTTTCACCATGTTAGCCAGGATGGTCTCGATCTCCTGACCTTGTGATCTGCCCGCCTCGGCCTTCCAAAGTGCTGGGATTACAGGTGTGAGCCACCGTGCCCGGCCTATCCCCTTTAAAGATTGAGAAACGGAGATTCAGAGAGGTTGAATAACTTCTCCAAGGTTAACACGTGTGAAGCAGGACTCAAAACCAGCTCTACTCTTCACCTTTTTCCTAAACTATAAATATTTTATTAACACAGTCTGATCTCCTTACCAGACTGTCTTAAGTTTCTTGCCTGGAATGTTTTTTAAAGTATAGTTTATTTGAAGGAATCAGGAGCAAAATATGTCTCTTAATTCTCTTAAGAAACAGAGGTTCCTTTCTCTCCCTTCTTTCCTTTTTCCATTGAGCTCATTTTTTGAAGAAACCGTGATGTTAGTCCTGTGGAGATTGCACAGGCCACATTTTGTTGGTTGCATTCCCTTGGTATCATTTAATGTATTATTCTGTCCCTTATATTTCTTTTTTCTTTCTTTTTTTTTTTTTTTTTTGAGATGGAGTCTTGCTCTGTCACCCAGGCTGGAGTGCAGTGGCACAATCTCAGCTCACTGCAACCACTCCCTCCCGGGTTTAAGCTATTCTGCTGCCTCAGCCTCCCCAGTAGCTGGGATTACAGGCACGTGCCACCATGCCTGGCTAATTTTTGTATTTTTAGTAGGGCTGAGGTTTCACCGTGTTGGCCAGGTTGGTCTCAAACTCCTGACCTCAAGTGATGCACCCGCCTCAGCCTCCCAAAGTGCTGGGATTACAGGCGTGAGCCACAATGCCCGGCCTGACCCCTTCTTATAAATTGGTTGTTAGATCAATTTCTTATAAATTGGTTGTTAGCTCTAGAAGGCCAATCAGATTCTGCTTTGTTTTTTGTTTTGTTTGTGGCAAACTTCATATATAATATAGTTCATACATAGAATATTAGAACCATGTAATAGCTGAGCATTCCTCTTTCTAACATTAGCAGCTGCTGATGGTCATGGTTTAGATGTGTTTCCTTTAAGGGCTGCAGAAAGGTGATGTTCTGATTCTCTCATTTCTTTTTCATTTATTAGCTGGCATGCTTTATGAAGATAAACTTCCCTCATCAACTATTTATTGATAAAGTTACTGCATTTATCCTGTAGTGCAGTACATATAGAAAAGATAGAATAAATGCTTTTAACCTTATTTATCACTTTGCAAAACAATATCTTAATCATCCAGCATTCTCCCAAGGACTTATATTATGGAGCTATTTGAGGTGTTTTAGTTTCAGTCTATTGCAGTTATTGTTGCTGTTGTTTGTTTGTTTGTTTTTGAGTCTTGCTCTGTCGCCCAAGCTGGAGTGCAGTGGCACAATTTTGGCTCACTGCAACCTTGGCCTCCCGGGTTCAAACGATTCTCCTGCCTTGGCCTCCCAAGTAGCTGGGATTACAGGCACGTGCCACCATGCCCTGCTAACTTTTATATTTTTAGTAGAGAGGGCGTTTCACCGTGTGTCCAGGCTGGTCCTGAACTCCTGACCTCAAGGGATCCCCCCGCCTCGGCCTCCCAAAGCGCTGGGATTACAGCATGAGCCATGGTCCCTTGCCTGCAATAACTGGTTGTAATGGTGCTCAGATTGTCACATTTCTATGAGGTGGCCCAAGGTGTTTTGATACAGCCCAGGCATCTATTGCTTCCATGCTTAGCTTGCACAATCCTTGTCTTAAACTACAATCAGACATTTCTCTAAGGTTTCATGATTGTTTTTAGAGGAACATTTTATTTAGTGACCTCAGTCTGGACTCTAGAGAAGACTCACTACTGGATTGATCCTTGTGTATAGAAGTTTTTTCCCCAATGGACAGAATTAGAGAATAAGTGTTTCTTTTAACACCATAATTTTTCTAATGTGCTGGAGACAGCTGGCAGATTTTGGCTAGGGAAGGTAACATGGAAACTCCACTGAGCAGAAGCATCTGATCAAGCCTTTTTTATTTCCCACTGCTTAGTAATGACCTTGACTCATTGCTGTCTCTTGGAAATAAAGATTCATTCTGTCTACTGCCAAAGTTGATTAAAGCCAAAAATCTGGTACATTACATACAATATTTTAAATTATGTCAAAATTATTCATCACCACCCAGGCTTACATTCGGATGGGATCCTAGGAGTAGTTGGAATTTTCCAGAGAAGTGGCATGTGTCTGTGGACGTTCCCATGTGTTGTGGACATGTTTTTGCATTTTGGCCTTGATGTTGCAGAGCTGACTGGGGCCTTGGAAGAGTGGGCACTGCAGGAAATGGGGACTTCTCCAGGGTCACCAAGCTTGGGTCTATAAAGATTGGAAATAGGAAATGTCCCCTCCCTACTGGCTGTAACTTGAGACCATAAGAGACAGCGGGTTTCTGGTTTGTTGGCTTGTTTTTCCCTTGGAATTCCTATAAGTATTCAGGAATATAAGGTGCAGGGGCTGTTTGGACAATCCAGGTGAGAAGGAGCCCTAGAAGGGTACAAGGTCTGTTTTAAATAATGTTATTGTTTTGTATCATGTTGGGGGGTATGGGGTCATGTACTTATGTGCAGTTGACTGTGGTTATGCACAGTAGTTATGTTCTATAAAGTCACCGTGAACACTGAATTAGCAAATCCTGAGCCATTACTCCTAGTGGATTACAGGGTGAGGTTCCTGCAAGCCTCCAGTCACACTGTCACGGACTGATCACCACGTAAACTTGTTTCATGTGTGTTTCTGTTAAAGACACCTTATTTGATACATGTTGTTGATTCATTAACATTGCACTCATGGCCAACAGCACTGTAATTCATGCCTGAGTGAAGCTTCTCTAACACACTTATTTTCTCTGTAAGGCACACCACAGTTTTCTTGCACTTAGAACGCTAGACAGCTCTTCAGCACGACAGTTGGGGGCTGTTGTAAGCAGGGAAATCACCAACAAAAAGCTCGTTTACCTTCTGTGAGCTGAAACAAGAAGGCAGAGCATCGATTACCCAACCTCAGCCAGAAACCTGAGTGTGGAGCAACTCAAAATGTACACGGTTCTGTCCCTGAAGGACTGCAGAAGTACCAAGAGGATTGATTTTGGGGTGCAAATAAATTTTATTGAGCAGGTGAATTCACAAATATGAATCTGCAAATAATGAGGACTATTGATTGATCAATAATTTGATTCATATTTGTGTGTGTATGTAGTTTATAACAGATACGTGTGTGTGTGTGTGTGTAGTTTACAACAGATCAATTCCCACGTACCTGCATTCCAGAAAAACTGGAAGGGGCCAGGAGATTTGGAACAAGAAGGCCATGTGTTGTGAAAACAGAAACAAGCATGTTACCCTGAGTGCTTGAGGAGAGTTTGACTCCAAGCATGTCACTGGGCCTGCCTCTGTACCCTCTCCATGCATGTAACTCCACAACAACCCGTTTTCACCCTGGGATGCCTCAGGATCCTACAATGAATCCTAAACCTCCAGAAACCCTGTTCTCTAAGGTCCAGTCTTGCGTTAGTCTTATACATATGGCATTTGAATTTACAAAAAACGAGGAAGCTCAACTCTGTGACCCTTCTGCATTCGCCAAAACATTCAATGATCATCAATTCCCAAGTCCTTATCTTTCTACTAACATGAAAATTGACTTTTAAAAAAAGCCCACAAAACTCTTAATTATGAGAGAGAGAAGAACCCCCCCGTGACGTTTTCGTGCCAGTGCAGGAAGTGCGAGGAGGAACTTGGGACTTCTCGAGCAGTGTCCTGGTGATTCACTCTGCAGGCCTGCCAGGCGGGCTGCTGCTCTGGGCTGGATGTTGGATAGCGCAGTCGTGGGCGGTGTGTTTGGGCTGCCTGCCCCTCCCTGGCCACTGACCTGTCTCTTGTCTCCCGCAGGCAAGGCCCTGGTGGCCGTGGTCGCCGGCAACAGCACGACCCCCCGGCGCTGCGCGTGCACGGCTGGGTACCACTGGAGCCAGGACTGCGAGTGCTGCCGCCGCAACACCGAGTGCGCGCCGGGCCTGGGCGCCCAGCACCCGTGTACGGGTTGGATGTGTGCGTCTGTCGGCTCTTGCTGAGCCATGCAAAGCCAGCTTTGAGACAGTCTTGATAATAGCAGCAAGAAAGCTCCAGGGTGCTAGGCAGCATTGGAGGAACCTGAGGGATGGGGAAAGGTGGGGGCTGATTTTCCACGAGATACAGGCCCAGGCAAGACCTGAGAATGAATCCTCGGCTTAGGTTCTTCAAAGGGACTGCGGGCAATTTGCCTACATGCTCTGGCCATGGCCAGGGGTTGCTGGGGCTCCTCCATCCGTGGAAACCTGGGATCCCCACTTAGGAGCCAGCAGGATAGTGCAGGGGTGATTGGACGTTTTTGAAAAGTGTGCACCCATTAGAATTTTGGAAAAACCATGCATCCCCCACCCCAGCACGTTTTTAAGTTGACATCTAAAAAGTTTTGTTACAAGTTTGAAGAACTGATAAGGACTTAGTTACCAGGGAATTATAACTGCGATAACACTGAAGAAACGAATCCAGGGGAATGTAAACACCATGGCCATTTGTGCCCACTATGATTCATTTTTAAATGCGCCAATTGTATTTAACTATTGGACAGTTTACATAGTTACTTTCTCTCCTTTTGTTTCCTATCCATTCCACCTTCCCCATAGAATTTTATCCTGATATATTTTTTATGCTTGGAGGGTTTTTACTAATCACCTTTTCACATTCGAATATGCACATATTGAAAAATATGCACCTATTTGAAATCTTTATTTATTTTATTTATTTTTTTTTTGAGATGGAGTTTTGCTCTTGTTGCCCAGGCTGGAGTGCAATGGCACAATCTCGGCTCACCGCAACCTCTGCCTCCCAGGTTCAAGCGATTCTCCTGCCTCAGCCTCTTGAATAACTGGGATTACCGGGATGCACCACCACGCCTGGCTAATTTTGTATTTTTGGTAGAGATGGGGTTTCTCTATGTTGGTCAGGCTGGTCTCGAACTCCCGACTTCAGGTGATCTGCCCACCTCGGCCTCCCAAAGTGCTGGGCTGGGATTATAGGCATGAGCCACCACACCTAGTCAAAATCTTAATTTTTAAATATTTACTTTGACTGAGGGTTAAAAACATTTCTTCTGGACCAAGTTGTCACTGCATTTATTATTACACAATTGGTCACAAATGAATATATCCTATTTTGCTATATTATAATCATAAAAGTAAAAACTTCTGACCTCCATAATGAGTGGGATTGTTTTTCCAATTCATATATTTGTGGCTAAATATTACTTCTTGCTAAAATGCAACAGCATTCAACATCAATTCTGTTTCTACTTTTTGTTTTTATGTATGTAAGTGCTGAGAAATTTGTTCACATAAATAACTGAATGGCAAAGGAAACACTTTGGTTATAGGTGTGTCCCTCAATTTCTTTCAGTACCTTCTGATTTATGTGGCCAAGCTCACCTACTGATGTGATATCAGAAGTTATTTTTAACGCTCTATCAGTTGAGAATTCAATTGTGTCCTTCAATTTTGTTGAAAGTAAAGGAATAGAAATCCTTTTGAGTTGAAAAAGTATTTCTTAGAGTAATTTGCTTTCCTGACTTCTAGGAAGTATAACAAAAGCGTTTTTTTCCACGACTTAACAAATGATTATTTATGCCTATTACTCATTCCCTTAGAGGCACCTGGTTTTAACCCAAAATACTTGGACAGGGTTGGGAGAATTAAAATATTATCCATTTCAATTCATATCAAGGAAAATGTCCATCACAGAGTCTAACTGACACATTCGGTCTTTATTATCAAATGCATTGACTAAACCAGATGTGCTTTCTCTTACAAAAAGTCTGACTTGATTTTTTAATGGTTAAAATGGATCTCCCTATCACAGCCAACTCCCTCTGAATTCTGATTCTAAAATAGAAGAGGCCCAGAGCCTTTCCTTTAGGTTTTCACCAGCATGTCACATCAGGGATTCTATTAGACTTTCTCTCTGCCTTGTACCTTTGGAAATGGGTTCATTTTTGGACAAAATAGGTTGAGGATAGAGGGGAAACGGTAGATGAATGGAAATTTCACTCCTGTCCCACCCTGCATAATTTCAATTCAGAACAAGTCAGCCTGATCGCAGCTGCCCCATTTCTATCATCCTGCTTTTGCCCTTAATAGAGCGGGAAAGGTGGGAACTGTGCTGGGAGGCGCAGGAACTCTGCCATCCCCAATGTCCACTTGTCACCTCGTTCAGCATCTCAGAGGTTTGGCAGCATAGCAGCAAACTATGGGGTGGGTAAAAAGTATATCTTTTGTGAAATGGGAAAAGTGTGATTATGAAAGGGAGCAAGGAAAGGAGCCTGCAGGATGCTTCTGGCAGGTCAGTGTTACTAAGAGTCATATGGAAGTCAAGCTATGGAAATTAACACCCTTAACCCTTTGTATGCCTGTTAGCCCCCGTCTCTTCGATTTTGAGGGCTTCTCACAACTCTAGATTGTGCTTCTCTTTTAAAAAGCTGTTCAAATTAATGTGAGTTATTAGATGTCAACTGGGCTCTTCTTAATAAAGATTCAAGGCAAATCAAATTGCTAGGTGAAGGAGCGGGTACCCTACCTAGCCAGCCAAATTGCAGAAATCAACAGTATACTTCATACTTGACTCTGGACAAAGAAAATTTATTTCCTTTTTTTAGTGTTTTATTCACGAAAGTAAATCACAGAAGTGCTACTAATTTCAGGAGTAATTTGTGGTTTGGGCACCAGCCAGTTGCCTGATTATGATATCACATAGTAGCCAATGTTCTTCTTGGGACTTACCGAAGAATCATCATGTGTGGATTGCAGTAGAGGGAATAGGCATAGGAAACCTGAGACATTTATTTTGACAGTGTAGTTTTTGAAGAATATGAGAGTCAAGTCAGTTCACTAACCAGGATCAGCTCCTACTTTCAACACTGTCCATTAAGGAAGGGGTCTAAGATCCATTGTGCCACTGTGTTTATCAGTAAAGTTTTATTGGAACACACCCTCGTGCATTGCTTTTAATGTATTGTTGGACTGCTTTCATGCTATGAGTAGCTGCAGCAGAGACCATAGGCCTGCAAAGCCTAAGATATTTACTCTATGACCCTTTATAGAAAATGTTTGATACCAACCCTTGGTTGCAGGGAAAGAGACCTGTAGGGTTCTTCCTCGTCTTCTTTTTTTAACTGAGAAAACTTTGTTGACACTCTGATATTTGGACTGAGGAGATTAAGCTCATCAGAAGAGGTCAGGACAGTGACCTTCAAAGCAGTAATGTGTCTGCCATTCCCTGCAGACAGAGGCTGGGCTAGCTGGCAGGTGCATGGGGGAAAACAAGAGACAGATAGCAGGAGCAGTCAACATCGGCTCCCAGACTAGGAAACAAAGTGTCGGTGACCAGGGGAGTGGCTCAGAACAACAAAGGGTCATGACCAGAGCTAGCCTGACCTGGACATCACATACCAGTGTTAGTGGCCTGACATCAAGTCAGTTACCTTTCTGAGCGTGGTTCCATAACTCACTGCTGGGGTCAGAACTGCTCTGTGGGCCCAAGCCTGTGGGAGCTGAAGAAGTTAGACACAGGGGTGGGCACAGGGGTGGGAGGTGAGGGCAGAGAGGGGCAGCGCCTCACCTCCAGTCCTCTGGAGTCCCAGCCTGGATGATCTCTAAGTGACCTCGTTTGTTTTTTGTTTGTTCTGTCTGGGTTGTTTTTTTTTTTTTTTCTCACAGTGCAGCTCAACAAGGACACAGTGTGCAAACCTTGCCTTGCAGGCTACTTCTCTGATGCCTTTTCCTCCACGGACAAATGCAGACCCTGGACCAAGTAAGTAACAACAAAGGAGTCAGAAGAGATGGTTGGTTTTTAAACAACTCAACCTCCACTGTCTCGTCTGGGTTGAAAACGGACGGATTCTGTTGGGTTAGGCTTCCTCTTGAAGCCACGTTCAAAATGGAAAAAGTCTGTCAATTCAGCCTGGGGAAAATAAACCAGTCAAACTAATTCTTCAGCCCTATGTGTGACAGGAACTTCGTGTGACTTTTTAGATTTGGTAATCTGTGACTTACGGTTGCAGCTTTTTCTAACCTTGTTTGGTTGAAAATGATTTATAACATTTATTCAGTGGTCACGCCTACTTCTCCCGATTTCCCAACATCACTGATTTATTCATCCAGTTATTTGTGTGTGTGTGTACATATAGAAGCCTCCTGTTTATATAAATGTTTGCATGCTGTCAACATCGTGGGGTTTTTTTTCACATATTATATCCTGAAGCTTTTTCTATATTAGTTCACCAGTTCATGATTTTCTTGGCTTTTCACAGCTGCATAGTATTTCATTGTAGAGATGTACTGTAAGTTATGTAATAAGTTCTTTATTGATAGTCATTTAGGTTGTTCCCAGTCTTTTACAGTAATACATAATTTTTTAATGAAGAATCTCATATATATATGATTTCTCACGTATGTGAGTAAATCTATAGTGGAATTCATGGGTCCTTTCATTGCATGTTTGTTGTTGCATACCAATAATCAACATAATGATTCTTTCAGTTCCCTGTATATTTCTTATTAAATGTTTATTTTCTGCTGGGCATGGTGGCACGTGCCTGTAATCCCAGCTACTCAGGAGTCAGAGGCAGGAGGTTTGCTTGAGCCCAGGAGTTTGAGAACAGCCTGGGCAACATAGCAAGACCCCATCTCACATTTTTAAACAATGAAAATTAAATTAAAATACATAAATAAATGTTTATTTTCTGATTCACTTATCCAAATTTTATGTTCAAGAGGATTTTCTGTGTTTTTCAAAAAGAGCAATCAGCAAAAGTATGTCACTTAACCATGTAATTGAAGCTATTGGAATATGCATTTTTTTTTTCTTGAGACATGATCTCGCTCTGTTGCCCAGGCCAAAGTGCAGTGGTACAAACACGGCTCACTGCACCTTCAACCTCCTGGGCTCAAGCAATCCTCCTGCCTTTGCCTCCACAGTAGCTGAGACCACAGGCACGTACACCGCACCCAGCTGATTTTTAAATTTTTTGTAGAGACAGGGTTTCACCATGTTGCCCAGGCTAGTCTCTAATTCCTGGGCTCAAGCAATCTTCTTGCCTCAGCCTCCCAAAGTGCTAGGATGACAGGCCTGAGCCACCCAGGCACGGCCAGAATATTCTTTCCTGAAGACTCTGCTCTGCTCCTTTGCTGACCGCAATCTCAGAGTAGCTGTCAGAGAACACAGGCAGCGTTTGCTTTTGTTTATTTGTTTGTCCCACCTTGTGCTGTTCTCCTCCCTGTGGAAGGCACAGGGGATTCAAATGTCCAAGAAGGCGTGGGTTCCTCTCCTGAAGGAGCTGGCAATCTGGGAGAGTTTTGCATTTGTTCACTTTTTAAAAAACAAGCTTATAAAACCAAAGCACTGAACCACCTTTTCCCCCACAGCTGTACCTTCCTTGGAAAGAGAGTAGAACATCATGGGACAGAGAAATCCGATGCGGTTTGCAGTTCTTCTCTGCCAGCTAGAAAACCACCAAATGGTATGTTTAAAAAGAGCCTGTTGGTTGATAGATGTGCCCCAGGGTGGTCAGCTGGTTTAGATCCCTCCCAGATGGCACGTGGATTTGCGGGCGTCCTCTCCCCCTTTATTTCATCCCGTGCATGGTCAGCTGAATATTTCATTCTCATCAGTATTTTAATTCCAGGTATGTTGTTTCCTTGATAATTTTCTACACTGGATTGGGGGTAACTAATAATGTTTTGATATACATAAAAAGAAAATAGAGCTGCAAACATAAATTAAAATGCTCAGACATGGTGGGATGATGGTGGTCACAAGTGAGGGTGTCTATGAGGAGATTTTAGTCATCTTCCCAAATTGTTAGGATCTAGCTATCATTATCTATGGAACATGTTGTAGATTAGATTAAATTAATCTTTTTTTTTTTTCTTTTTGAGATAGAGTGTCACTCTGCCACCCAGGCTGGAGTGCAGTGGCGTGATATCAGCTCACTGCAACCTCCAACTCCCGGGTTCAAGCGATTCTCCTGCCTCAGCCTCCTGAGTAGCTGGGATTACAGGCGCACACCACCATGCCCAGCTAGTTTTTGTGTTTTTAGTAGAGACAGGGTTTCACCGTGTTGGCCAGGCTGGTCTCAAACTCCTGGCCCCAGGTGATCTGCCCGCCTTGGTCTCCCAAAGTGCTAGGATTACAGTAGTGAGCCACTGTGCCCAGCCACATTAAATTAATCTTAAGTAGAGTTTCAGATTGCCAGAAAGTTGATGGTGGAGGCTGGTTACTTGGTGAGCAGGACAGTGTGGAGGTGTGGGTCCAGATATCGGAAGAGATTGCTTCAGTGGCAAGGAGACCTTTCAGATGAGGAAAGAGAACAATAGGCCACAGAATAACCGGGTTAACAAGCTTTGACCAAGAAATCAGGGGTTTGGCCTTGATGTTTTGGGAAACAGGAAGACATTAAAGCATTCTGGATGTGGAGTTACACAATCAGAGCAAACTTTTTTAAAGACCATTTGGCAGATAACATTAAATATAACTGAAGGAATAAAAAGTTATTTTAAAAAAGAGGAGAGGAAAAGTAGGAGTCCAGGAAACCAGGTCATGTAAATCAAGAGTTTTGAGCAAGGATTCTAGCAATGAAGTGATCAGGGAGGGATGAAGAGAACAGTTGGGTCCACGTGGTGTCGGGGATGAAAACTACAGAAATATTTCACAGGATGGCTGTGGTTCTGTTCTCATGACCAGCAAACCCCTGGTGCCCTGTTGCTATTAGGAAAGAGATAGAAGAAGCTCCTTTTGTCTGCAGGGGTCATTTTTCTGGGGATACTGAAGGGTTCTGGAGGTTAGCCAAAATGAGACTGGGTGATGTGGTGAGCATGATGAGAGCTGTTCTAAGGTAGAAACACCGTAATGGCCCTGGCTGCTCTCCCGTAGAGTGAAACCGGACTGAGCAGGGCTGGCTGAGATTGTGGATCTCACCCTTTGGAATGTGAGTGCTCGCGGACAAAGGGCAGCCAAGGGTGGGGACTGTCACTTCTGCTATCCCAGACCAACATTTTTGATTCTGAGGTTTGATTTACCGGGATTTGTTTTTCAACTGCGTAAAATTAAAGAATCTTTACTACCATATTTCTCATTTTCTTCCAATACAGAACCCCATGTTTACTTGCCCGGTTTAATAATTCTGCTTCTCTTCGCGTCTGTGGCCCTGGTGGCTGCCATCATCTTTGGCGTTTGCTATAGGAAAAAAGGGAAAGCACTCACAGGTATTGTGTCTATGGTGGTTTTTGCAAACCAATCTTAAAAGATAGATTTCTAGGTAAATGCTTTGGAAGTTGAGTAGATTGTCTACTTGCTGCCTATGGTGATCTGCTTAAACTAAAGCAAAACACGTTTTATCATTCTCTGGCAAAAAGAAACAAAACTCCAAAAACTTGAAAAAGCCAATATCCTGCCTAGTTGTATATAAGGGAACAGGAATACGCTGGCGTTCAGGAAACGGATGACTTGTAAGCTCTGTATTTGAGTTGTGTAGACTCTGCAGCATCACATATATGGGAGCTTGCATTTATCCTAGAATACATCAATTTTTAATGCATGCTTTTAAAATATACATAAAATATTTAGATGACCGGTAGGGGGGAATTTCTGACTGGAGTGTTACTTTGAAATAAGAACCTTCGGTGGGTGTGGTGGCTCACACTTGTAATCCCAGCACTTTGAGAGGCCGAGGCAGGTGGATCACCTGAGGTCAGGAGTTTGAGAGCAGCCTGGCCAACATGGTGAAACCCCATCTGTACTAAAAATACAAAATTAGCCAGACATGGTGGCACATGCCTGTAATTCCAGCTACTTGAGAGGCTGAGGTAGGAGGATCACTTGAACCTAGGAGGCAGAGGTTGCAGTGAGCCAAGATCATGCCATTGCACTCCAGCCTGGACAACAAGAGCAAAACTTCATCTCAAAAAAAAAAAAAAAAAAAAAAAGAACCTTCGATTATGAAAATAAGTTATATTGAATAAAATTTGGGTGCTTATTCTTAGAATAGACGGTCAAGTCTTATCCTGTTTCTTGGGAATAATTTTCCCACACAAATTTGTTAGTGTCTTTAAACATCACGTCATGTTTAACTTGTAGACTACAAAGCTAAAAATGTGTAATTTTTACGAAAGGATTCAAGGCATCATTAGATTTCCTAAGAATATCTCTTAAATCTTTCCTTTAATATTCAAGTCATTCTCTTTTGACTTGAATATTAAAAACCTGCTGTTTCACCATCCTTTTCCATTTTCAGTTGCTCTCTTATTTATTTATTTATTTACTTATTTATTTTTTAGACAGAGTCTCGCTATGTTGCCTAGGCTGGAGTGTAGTGGCACGATCTCGACTCACTGCAGCCTCCGCCTCCCAGGTTCAAGTGATTCTCCTGCCTCAGCCTCCCGAGTAGCTGGGATTACAGGCATTTGCCACCACGCCCAGCTAATTTTTGTATTTTTAGTAGAAATGGGGTTTGACCATGTTGGCCAGGCTGGTCTCGATCTCCTGGCCTCAGGTGATCCACTGGCCTCTGCCTTCCAAAGTGCTGGGATTACAGGCGTGAGCCACCACGCCTGGCCCAGTTGGTTGCTTATTTATAGGGCCCACCTTTGCCTTGCTGTGATTTGATCAGTTTTCCCACGTCACACTCTTGGACTTCAAGAGACCCTGCATATCTAGCTACTTCTCTAACCATTACATTGCCAAATGAAACACTAGACAATCAGAAGATTAATTAAAGAGGAAAGATGGGGATTGCAGATGCCAGTGTTAAGCAGTGAGCAATGTTTGAGTGATGACCCTTTTTTTTTTTTTTTTTTTTTGAGACAGAGTCTCGCTCTGTCGCCCAAGCTGGAGTGCAGTGGTGTGATCTCAGCTCACTGCAACCTCCGCCTCCTGGGTTGCAGCGATTCTCCTCCCTCAGCCTCCTGAGTACCTGGGATTACGGGCATTTGCCACCATGCCTGGCTAATTTTTGTATTTTTAGTAGAGATGGGGTTTCACCACGTTGGTCAGGCTGGTCTCGAACTCCTGACCTCATGATCCACCCACCTTGGCCTCCCAAAGTGCTGGGATTACATGCATGAGCCACCGCACCCAGCCAAGTGGTGACCATTTCTTAAAGAGTCTGTTCATTGTTGAATGCCTTTATTTAGTGCAGCTTCACCTCCTTAACAACATCATTACTAGGGATTTGGATAATGCATGTTCAGATGATGAAGGTCGCTTGTAGGCACGTTTATGTGAGATAAACAGACTTCCTGATGTTTTGTTCTTTAGGTTTTTCTTTTTGATACTATTTTACTGCCATATGGGCCTACCATTTAGTGAACTGGATGTCATGACTGTTAGCTCTTCATCCTTTCATCCATACATGTTTATTGATCATCAGGGACTGGACTGACACTGGGGTCTCAATATCGAGCAACACAGACACAGCCAGTGCCCTCCTGGAGGAAGCATCTTAGTGGGCAGGGTAGGCGTTAAGCCCACAGAGGGAAGCTGAGTATGCAAGAGAAGGTGCTGAGCACCAAGTGGCAGATGACAGAAGGTCAGCCCATCCCTGGGGCCAGCCAGGGTCTCCCAGAGGAGGAAATGGGTGAGTTAAGATCTGAAAGACAAGTCAGAATTCACTAGACAAGGGGCATCAGGAGAACCACAGGCATTCTATCGTGAGAGAGCTGCATGATGAGGGGAGCACAGTGCATTAGCGGGCTGGAAGGAGCTAATGGCACCGTAGCAGAAAGCCAGGGACCAAGTGGAAGATGAGGCTGGAGAGGAGGGCATGGCGAGACCATGTAGCGGCTGCTGAAGGAGTTTGCTCCTTGTCCTTAGCAAAGGGGACCAAGGGCGGCCCTCTGGCTTTAGAGTAGCAAACAAATGTGTGGTACAGTGAGAGTAGATGCAGGCGCACCAGTTAGGAAGCTGTTTGCAGTTGTCCAGAGGAGAGGTGATCATGGCAGGTCTGCATGTTTATCAGCTCCGTGGACAGGTATTATTTTTTAGTGCCATTTGTGATTGTCTAGACTGATTCCTCCAAGGAAACAGCTGCAACTGTCCTTTTCTCTTTTGGTGGGGGGTAGGGAGGGCGTGGTTTACCTTGATATATAATTGCAAAATAAGAGAAAAGAAGCAAGAATAATGATGATAATAGCAATAGCTGACACATATTAAATATTTAATATGTGCTGACATGACTATATATATTTTGCGTGTACTACGTACATCTTCACAACAGCACCATGAGGTGGGCACTATTATTTCCCCTATTTTGTGATGAGACTGCTTAGCACCCTCCCTGGCACGCTTAAGTGCTCATTAGCTGTTACACTGAACTGTGATGATCTTCCCATGGAGAACCTGACAACTCCTAACTTTAGTCGGTTTTGTTTTTTATTGTTGTTGCTTTTTGAGACAGGGTCTCACTTTGTCACCCAGGCAGGACTGCAGTGGCACAAGCGTGGCTCACTGCAGCCTCGACCTCCCTCCCGGGCTCAAACAATCCTCCCACCTCAGCCCCCCAAGTAGCTGGGACCACAGGCATGCACCACCATGCCCGGCTAATTTTTGTATTTTTTTATAGAGGTGGGGTTTCACCATGTTGCCCAAGCTGGTCTCAAACTCCTGAGCTGAAGCGGTCCGCCCACCTCAGCCTCCCAAAGTGCTGGGATTACAGGTGTGAGCCACCGGGTCCAGCCCTAACTTTAGTCTTTATAGTGAACCCAACATTAAATGTTCATTAGAAGTGGGATAAAATTGTATCTTTGCATAATATAAATTCATAGATTTCTTAAAATTCATAAAATTTAACCTTTTAGGTTTCATCACTTCTGTAAGAGTGGGTGGAGATGTACTTTTTTGAACATATTCTTCTTTCTTCTGAGAAGCAGCCAGATATAGTGGAAAAGGTCTTGGGGCCCGCTGGTCTCAGTGGGTCTGACACCTAGCTTGCTGTGTTTGCCTCACTTTTATAGTACATTCAACCTAGTTCACTGGAAAAACCAGTCTCCTAGACATGTTTTCTTTGTTCTTCTATGATGTCTAACTTAGTCCCTCATAGCCAAAGAAAACTTGTTAAGAGAATGAGAATGTCTATAGTCATAGCAGCACCTCTGACAGCCCCCAAATGTGCCCAGAGGAAGTCACTGAAACGTTAGAGGATCATGTTTTGCTTTGCATAGAACAGGAAGTTCTGTTTTTGATGGGAGTAAGATGGCTTCATAGCCTTTATTTTTTATTTTTTATTTTTTTATTTTATTTTTTGGTTTTTTTGAGACAGAGTTTCGCTCTGTTGCCTAGGTTGGAGTGCAGTGGCACAATCTCAGCTCACTGCAGCCTCCGCCTGCCAGGTTCAAGCAATTCTCCTGCTTCAGCCTCCCAAGTAGCTGGGATTACAGGACATTGCCACCATGCCCGGCTAATTTTTGTATTTTTAGTAGAGATGTGGTTTCACCATGTTGGCCAGGCTAGTCATGAACTCCTGACCTCAAGTGATCCACCTGCCTTGGCCTCCCAAAGTGCTGGCATTACAGGTGTGAGCCACCGCGCCTGGCCCTTCATAGCCTTTAAATCAGTTGATTTACTTTTAAATGCTTTCACTCCCAGGAGTGCTCACTGAAAGACTTGCGGTGGACTCTGTTGAAAGATAATATTGAACTGACCTAGTGGTCATAATACTGAGCCTGATAGAGAAATAAAAATCTAGAATGATTGCACTTATATGTGTAGTGTTCCCCAAAAGTCAAATATACAGAGATATAGAATAAAACAATGGTTAGCAGGGACAGGGGGAAAGAAAATGGGGAGATGTGGGTCGGAGGATACAAAGTAGCAGATGTGCAGGATGAAGAAAGTTGTCCAGGAATCTAATGTACAGATGGGGACTGTAGTTAATCATGTTGTATCATATTCAAGATTTTTGCTAAATTTGTAGATTTTAGCGGATCTTGCCACACACACATAAAAATGGGTAACTAAGTGAGATGATGGGTATGTTAATTTGCTTCACTATAGTAACCATTTTACTATCTATATTTGTCCTATAACATGTTGTATACCTTAAATATACATAATAACCTTTATTTAAAAGAAAAGAAGTGGGAAATAATAACTTGAAGTCCTTATCCTTGCTTTGTGTTTTCTAGCTAATTTGTGGCACTGGATCAATGAGGCTTGTGGCCGCCTAAGTGGAGATAAGGTAGAGTGAACAGTTGTTGGTGCCTCTGTTAAGTACATTCAACAGTTAGGCTGGTAGAGCCATCCTAGTCACATATTGAGCACCCCCCCCCACCCCCACTTTTTTTGAGACGGAGTCTCGCTCTGTGCCTCAGGCTGGAGTGCAGGGGTGCAATCTCAGCTCACTGCAACCTCCACCTCCCAGGGTCAAGTGATTCTCCTGCCTCAGCCTCCTGAGCAGCTGGGATTACAGGAGCCCACTACCAAGCCTGGCTAATTTTTTGTGTTTTTAATAGAGACAGGGCTTCACCGTGTTGGCCACGCTAGTCTCGAACTCCTGGCCTCAAGTGATCCACCTGCCTCAGCCTCCCAAAGTGCTGGGATTATAGGCAGGAGCCACCGCGCCCGGCCTCAGCTCCTTTGCTTACAGGGCATTTCCAGGTTCAGTGATCAAACCTCAAATTCCAGGATGGATCCCTGCAGAGCAGCTCAAAGCCCAAGTCCAGGCTCATTCTAGATGCCTGTTTTCTTTGTCTTTGTTTCCACTTCTGTCATCTCTGTGTTCATGTCATTTTTTTTAGTACCAATCTTGATTGTCTGGTACAGATTCCTAAGAAGGATGAACTGCAACTTTCCTTGACTCTGTAGTTATTCTGGTAACATTTTATGTTGACACAGTTCAAAATTATAGGAAAGTAGTGAGAAAAGGACAAAGACCTTCCATATACCCTAGACATAGGCCCACCAGTTGTTTCTATTTTCTCTCATTGCTTTGTGATTTGCTTACTCTCTGTATGTGTGTATATGAACACAGGTATGTTTTCTTCTTGAATCATTTTACAGTGAATGGCAGACTGTGTGTCCCATATCCTTAAATATTTCAGTGTGTATTTAAGAACAAAGACATTCTCATATATAACCATAGTACATGTATCGGAATCAAGAAATTTAACAATGGTACAATACTATTATTCAACCCACATTTGATATTAAATTTTCATTAATTATTTCATTATGTCCTTTAGATCTTTCTTTCTTTTCTTCTTCTTCTTTTTTTTTTTTTTTTTTTTTTTGAGACAGAATCTCACTCTCTCATCCAGGCTTGAGTGCAATGGCGCAATCTCGGCTCACTGCAACCTCTGCCTCCCAGGTTCAAGCGATTCTTCTGCCTCAGCCTCCTGAGTATCTGGGATTACAGGTGCCCGCCACCACACCCAACTAATTTTTGTATTTTTAGTAGAGACAGGGTTTCACTGTGTTGCCCAGGCTGGTCTTGAACTCCTGAACTCAGGTGATCCACCCACCTTGGTCTCCCAAAATCCTGGGATTGCAGGCATGAGCCACCACGCCTGGTTAGATCTACTTTCTTTGATATAAAATGTATACATTTGAAAGCATAAGCTCAAACTGATTTCTCTAATTCCAGGCCAACTCAACATGATTCATTCTGGTCTTTCCCTTTCCCATATTTGAATCTTTCTTTCCCCAGCTGTATGAAACCTGGCTCCTATTATTCTCAGTATATTTCCTCATTTGCTCAATTCTAGAATACATAGAACGTAGTTTCAGAATTACTAGAGCATACCACAGTGATACACAGAGCTGCTTACTCGAGTTCAATATTTGTTTACAGTTGTTTTGGGGTTTTGTATTTAGATTGAGAATATGTAGTCAGAATACTGTGTTCAAAAGTCATTTGGGTTAGCTCCTCTCCTTGCTCAGATGTGAACATGCTTTTCATCTGAGATGCAGCTACATTCATTTGTTTCTAGTTGTATTCCATTCTAGAGTTCTCCTGCACTCGGTAATTTGAAATAACACAAAGTTCCATAGTCAGTTTTCCATCTGTACTTGTTATGGTGGAAATAATCAGTGTAAACACTGTTTTCAGCAATGTTTAGCTAAACTTGTCCTAATAACTCTAGGTATTAATGCCTCTGCCTTCTGAATGTAAATCGGCAGGAGTCCTCAGGTGACAGTTGTGTCAGTACACACACGGCAAACTTTGGTCAGCAGGGAGCATGTGAAGGTGTCTTACTGCTGACTCTGGAGGAGAAGACATTTCCAGAAGATATGTGCTACCCAGATCAAGGTGGTGTCTGTCAGGGCACATGTGTAGGAGGTGGTCCCTACGCACAAGGCGAAGATGCCAGGATGCTCTCATTGGTCAGCAAGACCGAGATAGAGGAAGACAGCTTCAGACAGATGCCCACAGAAGATGAATACATGGACAGGCCCTCCCAGCCCACAGACCAGTTACTGTTCCTCACTGAGCCTGGAAGCAAATCCACACCTCCTTTCTCTGAACCCCTGGAGGTGGGGGAGAATGACAGTTTAAGCCAGTGCTTCACGGGGACACAGAGCACAGTGGGTTCAGAAAGCTGCAACTGCACTGAGCCCCTGTGCAGGACTGATTGGACTCCCATGTCCTCTGAAAACTACTTGCAAAAAGAGGTGGACAGTGGCCATTGCCCGCACTGGGCAGCCAGCCCCAGCCCCAACTGGGCAGATGTCTGCACAGGCTGCCGGAACCCTCCTGGGGAGGACTGTGAACCCCTCGTGGGTTCCCCAAAACGTGGACCCTTGCCCCAGTGCGCCTATGGCATGGGCCTTCCCCCTGAAGAAGAAGCCAGCAGGACGGAGGCCAGAGACCAGCCCGAGGATGGGGCTGATGGGAGGCTCCCAAGCTCAGCGAGGGCAGGTGCCGGGTCTGGAAGCTCCCCTGGTGGCCAGTCCCCTGCATCTGGTAAGTGACTTCCCAGTCTCTCACTTCTGAGCAGAAGGGCCAGTTCTTGGTACAGGGTTTGGGGGCAGGTATTACCATTTAGGAAGGAGGAAGCTAATGGGAAAACCTCAGCTTGTGCTTTTTCTCTTAATAAGCATTTTTACAGGATGGCTTTGGATTCAGTCCACGTGTTTGGTTATACACTGCGCCCAGCGCTGTGTGGCTTCATCGTTTACCACTGGGGCAGTTTCTGCATCCATGCATATCCCATACCCTTTTGCATTCAGGCTTTTCATGATAGGATTAGACCTCAAGCCCCAGCACTGACCCCGGAAAGACAAAGTCAACATCGGCGTCAGGACTGGCTGAGCCAAGGCATTCCCTCAGATTTCTGCTTTTTGGTTTTTGTTTTCAAAGCACCTTAGGCCTCTTAAATCTCCCCCAAGAAAGCACTTATAAGTTTTAGGAGGACACACAAAATTGTTTAGTTAATCCTTAATTAATTAATATTTATTGTGAATAATGTGTTGATTCTATACCAAATGAATGATACAGTAAAACTGTCTTTTAAAAAGTTTCATGAGAAAGGCCCCTTTTATAACCACAACGTATCATATATTTATGGAACCAGGCAGATAATTTTAACAATTTAACATCATTATAAAGATGTATCACTGCAACACTGCCTGAGCATGAACAACCCACCGATTATAATATTATAACTTTTTCCCATGAGGGTAAAACACCATCTGTTTTATTACATAGTTACAAAGGACTTTGCAGCTGATAGTGAGGGCTCTGGCTCTGAGAATTAACTGTCATTTGAAGGGTCAGGGATCTCTTTGAGAATCTTCCGAAAGCTACAGACACTCCCTCCAGAAAAACGAATATATGGATATATACTATTTAAGGGGCTTCACAGAATCCTCCAACTCATATTTTTAAAAGGCCCATTCATAGGCCGCCCCTCTCCAGAGATGCTTTTTCTTCTCTGCTTCTTTATTTAGACTGCAAGTGGTGCTAGCAGCCGGTCTTCGAATTGTTTTATAAATCTGAGGTAGCTAGATCTGTGCCTTAAACACAGAGACTGTTTTGCCTCGTGGGAATGATGGTTCCTGGCTTTAATCTGTTCCTCAAGCTTGTGGTTTTGCTGCAGCTACATAGATTTACTGATGTATAAATTCAGTAATAGCAGTTCTCAGTCAAACAGAAAGGAGGAGATATGTTTGGGGATATTTTTCAAAGAACTGGTATGTTTTCTTCTCAGAAGATCTCAGAATTGTTCTTATTTTTTAAGATTGTAAGGAATCTCCATGACTGGGCTTTGCTGTTCGTTTGCATTGTTCTATTTCTTTTCTTTTCTTTTCTTTTCTTTTTTTTTTTTGAGACCAAGTCTCACTCTGTCGCCCAGGCTGGAGTGCAGTGGCGCGATCTCGGCTCATTGCAACCTCCACCTCTCGGGTTCAAGCAGTTCTCCTGCCTCAGCCTCCCGAGTGGCTGGGACTATAGGCGCATGCCACCACACCATGCTAATTTTTGTATTTTCAGTAAAGATGGGGTTTTTCCATGTTGGCCAGGCTGGTCTCAAACGCCTGACCTCAGGTGATCCACCTGCCTCAGTCTCCCAAAGTGCTGGGATTGCAGGCGTGAGCCACTGCACCTGGCCTGTTCTATTTCTTTTCTCTCAGTTTATTGTCTTCCCCTTGGTTGTGGAGACAGACAGGACCCTGGGCTGTGGGGAGCGAGAAAGCTGACGTTCTGTCTCTGGCAGCAGCCAGGTCCTGGCCACACTGTCAGGGGCAGACCGGTTTTTCAGTGGGTGACACCAGGAAGATGATGTTGCCTCTGTGTGAAAATCAGCAGCAGTTCTTGGAAGAACAGTGTTGGCCAGATTTAAAGAGAGAGAGAGAGACACATGGATCTTTTAATGCCATAAAACAAAAAGCCCGATCTTTGCTCTCCTGTAAGAGTCAAAACCGTAGCCTAGTCTGTTTTTCATCATCTTTTATTTCTCTAGCACTAAACCATCTAGGGATGGAGAAAAGGAATAAAAAGTGTGTCATCAACTAAGTGGTGTTAATTTGCAAAAAGTTTACACTGCTTTTTCTGTCTTCGTCTGGTGCTTAGCCATGCAAAACATCCGTAGAGAGTCTGCCCGTGGTCGACGCCAGCAAGCGGGCCAAATTAATTTTCGCCTGAGGAGAGGCAGCAGCCAGATTGATTTTGGAGGCTGTGCTATTCTCTCCACAATTACTTCTCCATGAACAGGCCTTATGGTTTCTGGTCAAAATAGTACTTTCTCATTCTTGCTTTTTCATGTAGTTTTTTAAAAAGTCACAATTTACGTTCTATAAAATGCGTGAAAGAGGCTGGAGCTTCGGTGAGCAGTCCTACAGAGGCCTTATCCCATGGTCCCCTCAAAGCCCCTGTGCTCTCAGGACTGTGCTGATGTGACATTTGTTTAAGGGTTTTTTGGATTTTTATATGAGAGGATTTTTTGTTTGTTTTTACTTACAATCACATCAAATAGTTCTGGAGAAATGACAGTGACTGGGGACTTTTCCTTTAGGGAAGAGTATCTCCTGTCCCAGCATCTTTGTGAGGAGAATGATTATTTTTCAGACAGCTCCACAAGTGTAGACAACTTTAAAAATCATGATACCCAGTGCTGTTAAGGCTATGTTAGCCATGTTATAAGTCCTAAGAAGCAAGGAGAATGATTAGCAAAGATCAGTGAAGGGGGAAGCATACTTCTGGTTATGTCTTAAATAACCATGCCTTAATTTAGGTCTGAAGTTACGCCTAATCCTGATGACGTGATGGTTGCCTTGGTTACAAGCCCTCTCACCTGGAGATTGGCGCATTCTCACTGTGCCCCTAGAGAGTTATTTCATGCGAAAGAAACCATAACTGCTTATGATTAATGTGTCTGTTGTTGGCTGGTGGCTTGGTTTTGGCTCCTGAAGCCACTCGTTAGTCTATCACTTCTGAGCTGGAGAAAGTTGGGGTGGTCTTTTTTTTTTTTTATCTTTTAAAAATCATTTTGCTTTTTAATTATTTCAACTTTTATCTTAGATTCAGGGTACATGTGCAGGTTTGTACCTGGGTATATTGTATGATGCTGAGTTTTGGGGTATGACTGATCTCGTCATCCAGGCAGTGAGCACAGTATCTTCAATCCTTGTTTCTCTCCCTCTCTCCCCTGCCTAGTTAGAAGTGCCCAGTGTCTATTGTTGCCTTCTTTATGTCCATGAATACCCAGTGTTTAGCTTCCACTTATAAGTGAGAACACGCAGTGTTTGGTTTTCTGTTTCTGTACTAATTTACATAGGATAATGGCCTCCAACTGCATCCATGTTGCTGCAGAGGACATGATTTCCTTCTTTTTCTATGGCTGCAAACAATTCTTGATGAACACAGAATACCTATTTGTTTTTCAATTAATTTATTGAAGGTCCAATTTATTGAAGGTCCACTGAGCCACAGAGCCTTGAAAAAGCCTGAAAAACAAGTAGGGATTAATGCCAGGGAGTGGACCGTGTGAAAAGGTATCAATCATTTGAGAAATCCAGGCCTTCCACAGTCTGCCCCATCCCTGACCTGCGGCCTGTTGTTTGTAATGAATCTTGGGGTCTTTCTCACCAGCCTGGATAATCTCACACCCTATCAACACCCCAGCTCTAGGCAGCCACAACCAGTTAGTGGGAATCCTGGCTGGGTGCAGTGGCTCACGCCTATAATCCCAGCACTTTGGGAGGCTGAGGTGGGCGGATCACTTTAGGTCAGGAGTTCAAGACCATCCTGACCAACATGGGGAAACCCCATCTCTACTAAAAATAAAAAAAATTAGCTGGGCATGGTGGCATGCGCCTGGAATCCCAGCTACTTGAGAAGCTGAGGCAGGAGAATTGCTTGAGTCAGGGAGGTGGAGGTGATCTGAGATCTTGCCACTGCACTCCAGCCTGGGCGGCAGAGCAAGACTCTGTCTCAAAAAAAAAAAGAAAGAAAAGAAAAAAGGGAATTCTCATAGCCTAATCTTTCTAGTATCTCAATATGTTAAGTGAATGGATGCTTATACACTCATTCATTCATCCATTCAGGAATAAATAGATGAACATGAGACCACTGTATCCTGTTTGTTCCCCCAAGTCACTCTCAGCCTCCTAGTTCTTTGGTCTGCTCTAGGGAGCTGGAGAAGGAGGGGGATGGAAGGGCCGGCACTGGCTGCCCTGGGCTCACCTAGTGTCCTGGGCAGAGGAGGCAGAAGTGACAGAGCACAGGTGAGCTGGTTCATCCTAGCATTATAGACTCTCCAAGGCCATCACCTGGGAGCCAGGAACACGGGACAGTGAAGACCTGCCTGACCCCTCATCCTCCTCTGTCCTCAGTCTCCGTCCCTGGTCCCACTCTCTCTTGAAATGACTGTTGTTGATCATCCATTTCCATTCTGAGAGTACAGAAGATTTTCCTATCCAAACTTACCTCCCCTCCTTTCTTCCCCTCCAGCAGCGGACAGCCTTCTATCTCTTTCTTCACACTCTTGTTAGAATGCCGTTCACCACCTTGCATTTCACTTTCAGCTAAATCTCGTAAGGGCAGATACTGGTTCATTGGCCCTGAATCTTGAAGTTAATATAGATATTTCATAATTTGGTTATCTGGTGATAATATTCAGCTTTCATTGCTGTAAAACATCAATGCACTATTTCAAAATATACAAAAAATGTGGTCACTGTGTGTACTCTGCTTCATTTCGTCCTGTCTCCCTTCTTTCTGCACTGATAGGGCTCATTTTGGAAGGCTTTGGTCTGTAAGACTTTCTAAGTAATTTTCAAGCATGATTCAGAATGGAACTATTAAATACTGTTTCCCTTCCCTTACCATCACATACCCAGTTTCTTCTAAATGCCTGAAACAGAACTTACATTTCCATAAAAAGGAAAATCACATGAGAAGCATATGGGTTAAATATAAAATAAGTTTTTTAAAAAATTCCAAAAGAACCCAATGTAGCCTGGGTAGTTTGAGTGTATTTGTGTATATTTTTAGTTCTCTTCCTTGGAAGAAAATCTACATTACAATTTGGTGGTATTATTTGGCATAGTTCTTGTGATTTAATATTCATGTGTTAGGCATTTTAAACAACATAATAAGCTTTTGAGAAGAAAGGTATGCATTGTCTTGCTTAAAAATGTAAATTCTGTCAGGGATTGTGTTCTTAGAACTAAGTTTGTTCTTTCTGCCTGAGAAATGCAGATTCCACGGAGCCTGCTATGTCAAGCATGGACAAAGTAGAAGCATCATTCTGATTATGATGGGAAACATCACTGATTCATTGTTTCTGTTGACTTACTTGCTATTTTTAACACTCTCAAGTTACCTGAACATTTTTCTGGTTAAGTCACATTAAATATTAATGTTAAGTCAACTAATCCATTCTTTTTTTTTAAGTTTTTTTTGAGACAGGGTTTGGCTCTATTACCCAGGCTGGAGAGCAGTGGCACGATCTTGGCTCATTGCAGCCTCCGTCCCCCAGGCTCAATCCATCCTCCCATCTCAGCCTCCCGAGTAGCTGGGACAACAGGCCTGTACCACCACACCCTGCTAATTTTTGTGTGTGTGTTTTTTTTTTTTTAGAGACTGAGTTTCGTCATGCTGCCCAGGCTAGTCTCGAACTCCTGAGCTCAAACGGATCCACACACCTAGGCCTCCCAAGGTGTATAGTCCCAGCCACTCAGGAGGCTGAGGTGGGAGGACAGCCAAGCCCAGGAGGTCAGGACTGCAGTGAGCTGTGTTCACGCCACTGCACTCCAGCCTGAGCGATTAAGCAAGACCCTTTCTCAAAGAAACAAAAACAAATGTCTGATTATGAAGCTTGTACCCTAACCCACTGCACTGTCTGGGATTACAGGTGTGACCCTCTGCACCCTGCCAACTAATCCATCTTAACTGTTGGAAACACTTCCAAATTCCCATATTTAATAAAAATCCCCATGTCATTCTGGCTTTCAAATCATACTTTTGGGTAGCCTTCAAATTTCATCAGTCATATTGTGTTCAGGGACCTGTAAGATTGGTTCGATAGCCTGAAGGTTACAGTTTTGTCAGTGATATTATAGACGTTAGTCACTGGGTGCTGAGTGTTTTGTGTGTATTATCTTCTTATTCCTCACAGAAATTCTATGGGACAAGTTCCTCGCCCAGGATCATACAGCTAGTAAGCGACAAAGCCATGGTTCAAGTATCTGATTGCAGGCCAGGGCACAGTGGCTCCCACCTGTAACCCCAGCACTTTGGGAAGCCAAGGTGGGAGGATCTCTTGAACCCAGGAGTTCAGGACCAGCCTGGGCAACATAGACCTCTTCTCTACAAAAATTTAAAAAAAATTAGCCAGATGTGGTAGCATGTACCTGTAGTCCCAGCCACTCGGGAGGCTGAGGTGGGATGATCACCTGAGCCCAGAAGGTCAGGGCTGCAGTGCAACCTTAAACCACCGCACTGTCTCCTCTTAAGTCAGTGCAAGTGATGCTGATTTCATTTATTTACTGTGTCTTGGAGAATCCTCAGTGTGTCACAGAATAGGGACAAGCACAGTCCTGGCATCATTGGCTACTCTGGCTGAGGGAGAGGCAGTAGCCAGGCCTGGCCTGGCCCAGAGGGTTCCACAGGAGGGACAGTAGGATGCACAGTGCGTGATGGTCCCCTGGTTATGGTGAGACCCCTCTCTTCTGCCAGTTGTCTTGGGATGTTACTATTTTCACTATCACTTTCTCTTGTGGGGAGAGCCTTTTCTTCCACATGCTTCAAACTTTATCTTTTTTTTTTTTTTTTTTGGCAAGCAAAATAAATGTCAAATAAAGGTCAGAGGCAGCCTCGAAGGGGAACACTGTCAGAAAGGGATCCCGAGGAGAGGAGGCAAGAGGGGAGGGACAAGGCCTGGTTTGGCTTAATGGACTAACAATGCCTATAAAAAACCTCTGGTCTTCATGTTTTTAATGTAGACTATTTTTTAGAGCAGTTTTAGCTTCATAGGAAAATTGAGGGGCAGGTACAGAGATTTCCTATATACCTCCTGCCCCCCACACATGCACAGCCTCCCCCACTAGAGTGGTACATTTGCTGCACTTGACGAGCGCATATTGACACATTGGGGTCCACTCTTTGTGTTGTACGTTCTATGGGTTTGGACCAATGTATCCTGGCATGCATCCACCATGATAGTCTCCTACAGGGTAGTTTCACTGCCCTACAAATCCTCTGTGCTCTACTCACCCCTTCCTCTCTCTGAACTTCTGGCAACTACTGATCTTTCTACTGTCTCCATAGTTTTTCCTGGTCCAGAATGCCATAGAGTTGGAATCATACATTCTATAGCCTTTTCAGATTGGCTTTGTTTACTTAGCATTATGAATCTAAGTTTCCTCCATGTCTTTTCATGGCTTGATAGCTCTTTTCTTTTTTTATTTTTTCAGACGGAGTCTCATTCTGTCACCCAGGCTGGAGTGCAGTGGCGTGATCTTGGCTCACTGCAGGCCCCGCCTCCGGGTTCATGCCATTCTCCTGCCTCAGCCTCCCGAGTAGCTGGGACTACAGGCGCCTGCCACCATGCCCAGCAAATTTTTTGTATTTTTTTAGTAGAGACGGGGTTTCACTGTGTTAGCCAAGATGGTCTCCATCTCCTGACCTTGAGAGTCGCCCGCCTCGGCCTCCCAAAGTGCTGGGATTATAGGCGTGAGCCACCGTGCCTGGCCAGCTCTTTTCTTTTTAACACTAAATAATATTCCATTGTGTGGAGGACATGGGGGATTTGTTTATCCCTTCATTTACTGAAGGACTCTTGGCTGCTTCCAAGTTTTGGCAATTATGACTACAGCTGCTGTAAACATCTGTGTGCAGATTTTTGTGTGGACATAAGTTTTCAACTTCTTTGGGTAAATACCAAAGAGTATGATTGCTGGATCATATGATAACTGTATGTTCAGTTTTGTAAGAAGTCATCAAACTGTCTTCCAAAGCAGCTGTACCCTTTTGCATTCCCACTAGCCAAGAATAAGAGTTCCTGCCACCCACCCCCATGCTCGCCAGCATTTGGTGTTGTCAGTGTTCTGGATCTGAGCCATTCTAATAGGTGTGTAGTGGTGTCTCACTGTTGCATAAATTCTCACTTCCCTAATGACATATGATGTGGAGCATCTTTTCATATGCCTGTTTGCCATCTGGATATCTTTGGTGAGGTGTCTGTTAAGGCCTTGGGTCCATTTTTTAATCGGGTTATTTGTTTTCTTATTGTTGAGTTTTAAGAGTTCCTTGTTTATTTTGGGAAATAGTCCTTTGTCAGATGTGGCTTTTGCAGATATTTTCTTCCAGTCTGCGGCTTGTTTCTTCATTCTCTTAAGCCTCGGATCTTTTTAGGCCATCTTGGGTAAGCCTCATCTGAACCATCCCTCCCCTTTTCATACTCCCTTACTAGCCACCAGCAAGGGAGAGGTCCCTGCTAACTGCAGAGGTCCCCGTTGAGTTTCTAGGCATTCAGTGGGAAGAGTTACCCTCCTGGGATACGTATCAACTGCAGAAACCATGAGAACCATGTTGAAAAGGAGACCCACAGCACCCACCTGATTATACAGCTGCCAACATGGTGACCTATTGATGTCACCATCGCAGATCAGATGTGAGCTCTCTGATGTGAACAACTAATCTGTTCTGCAATACAGAAAGCAAATGTTAAGGAATTCTTACTTTTAGCAAGGACAGTTCAGGACTGAGGTATCTATTAGATAAGGATATTACCAACTAATTCTAAGCCTTGATCTACTCTCATGCTACATTCAACTCACAGCAGACTTGCGTGATGAGAAATGAGACTGTGGGGTTTAATGTAGAATTATATAGATGAGTGTTGTAACCGAAGACAATCATATGATTGAGGACTTCGGCAGAGCAAACAGAAGTTGGTTAGATTTCCAGAGAAAGTGCCCTTTCAGTCTTTAAGACGCATTGAGATCCTCTAACAAGACAGGGATGGAAAGATAATACTACTCTTCAGTGTATTTCATGAATCTCTGTGTCCTTGGGAGTTCCGTGAGCACGGATATTACTTTCTGGGAGGAGGAATGCCACCATTGCACCTGTGACTGACTCTTTGCTATTTCCCTAGCATTTTCAAATCTATCATCTTGTTTGACCCTTATGCTATCCTGCTGAATATTCATGTGCTCATTTGTTCATTTATTTAACAAATGTGTATTATTAATATTTGCTTGCTCTACGCAGTTGCACACTGCCAGGCCAGCACAGCTTGATACAGATTGGGAGAGTTAGGTGGTTTGTTCCAAATTCTCACCACTAGTGAGAGCCAAGTCTCAGGACAAGACCCAAGAGCTTCTAGACTCCTATTCTCTGCCCCACATTTCTGCCCCTCCTGAATTCAGGCAGCCATTAATGCCTCCATCCCTCTAGCTACCACTTATTCACCTCTGCTCTTCAGAGACTGAAACACCACAATGACATTGATGTCATTAGATTGCTTTCCGGTGAATCTGGATTATGACGTGCCATGGAAAAAGAAGGCTGTTTGGCAGTTTTCATCCTTGAACAGTGTCAGTCGGTAAAGGGGAAAAAAACCAATCACAGAAACCTGGCGTGCTCACGTGCAGAGCACCTGCAAGCTGGTGTTTGTGATGCAGCCAACCTGGCCTGGAGAGAGGGCTTAGTCAATTCTGTATGGAGAGTGTTGCTTCTGTTACTGTTATTATTGTAGTAGGTACTCAATCTATCTCCACTCAACCCACAGATTAACCCACACCCGCCCAGGAAGCTGACTGAAGCCCATAGCACACTGATTATTCACAACTCTTGGGTCACTCTGGAATACCCAGACCCTTCTGCTGCCACCTGCTGAATGGCCATGTTTTCTAAAGTCCATGGGTGCTCCCAGTTCTGTGAGTGTGAGCTGATCTTGTCATTCAAAACATTAACTATTACGTTAACTGGCAAGAAAAAATGAGTTTGATAATCATGATTATTTCTATGAAAACTACTGAATACTTTGGGATGATTCGGGGAATGAATTGCTAAAACCTTTTTGGTATTGAAGTTGAGGTGAATGACACAACCGTGAAAGGTGGAAGGAAGAAAACTCTAGAAGGCTCCTGCACTTAGACTGCTTTTTGGCAAGTGACTTTTGGTTCTCTTTCCACGTTAAAGAACCCAAAACTAGAAATTGTAGGTAAAGCATTCAAGATACAATTGGTACAATCAGTAGACCCATTCGCAAAGGACAGGCCCGTTTTCCATCAGAAAGTTGGTGTTTTGCAGCAAGGGGTGGGTGGCTTGAACATGAGGGAAACATATCACAGGATCAGTATTTTAGAAGCATAAGTGGAGAGCTTCTACAACTCAGTTTTACTGAATATTTAGTAGAGAAAATCTGATTAGCAAACACTTCTGTAATATTGAAAAATGTCCAACTTATAAGATGTCACTTCCGAAAACGGTAGTGCTAGATTAGAGCCTCAGTGGGGAAAGTTCCCAGAGTAATGCTCCTAAGAGTTGCCCGCGCCTTCAGGACTGGTGACATAACTGACATAGCCCAGTGGAAAATGAAAAATTTTCCCCTTTTGCAAAAATTAATAAGAATTTCATGATGACAGCAAAGCATTTAACCCAGCGTGGAGCTCTTCAGAGCATAAGACCTTGTGCGGCTGCACAGGCCCATGGCGACCACTCTGCTGCCACTTAAGAATTGCCACGTATTGTGTGATTGGCACATCAGTATAACTTTTTTAAAAAAGGTTTAGTCTCTATCAGTTTACTATATCTCACAAGAGTCACCATGCATGGATAGACTTGACCAATGGTTGTTTTTGTCATTAATTTTAGGTTTGTTAAAGAAACACTTGAAGAATAAACTTGTTTTAGAATCTCCTAAATCTTTCTAGGTAACTGTCCTTTACATCTTAACGGTCAGGAATTTTTTTTTTTTTTTTTTTTTGAGAGAGTCTCACTCTGTCGCCCAGGCTGGAGTGCAGTGGCATGATCTCGGCTCACTGCAAGCTCCGCCTCCTGGGTTCACGCCATTCTCCTGCCTCAGCCTCCCGAGTAGCTGGGACTACAGGCGCCTGCCACCACACCCAGCTAATTTTTTTTATTTTTAGTAGAGACCAGGTTTCACCGTGTTAACCAGGATGGTCTCGATCTCCTGACCTCGTGATCCACCCGCCTCGGCCTCCCAAAGTACTGGGATTACAGGCGTGAGCCACTGCGCCCAGCCAATGGTCAGGAATTTAAAGGCCTAGTTTTTGCCCTTCCACAAGCCTCACGGCCTTCCAAAAATAATATTCTTTTTTTTTTTTTTTGAGATGGGGGTCACTCTGTCACCCAGGCTGGAGTGCAGTGGCATGATCACAGATCACTGGAGCCTCAGCATCTCTGGGCTCAGGTGATCCTCCCACCTCAGCCTCCCAAGTAGCTGTGACTACAAGCGTGTGCCACCACACCCAACTAACTTTTTTGTATTTTTCATAGAGGCAGGGTTTCACCATGTTGCCCAGGCTGGTCTCCAACTCCTGGGCTTAAGCATTCACCCACTTCGGCCTCCCAAAATGCCAGGATTACAGGTGTCAGCCACCGCGCTTAGTTCCCCAACAATAATATTCTTGGTTCAGTCCATGAAACAAAGGATTCTGAAATGTTTAGATATTCTACTTAGGCAAAAGGGTTTGAGGTCCATCTGAAAAAAGAAAACAAAAATGAATATAGGTCCTATAGAATATTTAGGTTATCAGTATCAAAGATACTGTTTGCCATGGAGCAATGGCATGGAATGAAATTCTCAAGATGAAAGACTTTACACAAACCATAGGTTTTACCTGGATTCAGACTCATCAGAGGTTCTCACAAGAAAGAAGTAAACAACAATGGATTCATGATGATCTGTTGAAAAATAAAATTTAAAATGGCAGAGAAATAATATATACCATGACATAAGCAGATAAATCAGTGAGGAGGATAAAGAAGAGATGAGAACGAATTCAAAACCATAAATCCATCATACAGTGGCTGGAGATATCCTCTGTGCAGTTTTACGTGATACTGAAGAGCAACAGAACCAGCAGGCGATGATGTCGTAGTGAGAACACCTCATGATGGATGGTTTTGCATTTAATCTCATCTCTTCTTTATTCTCTTCATAGACTTATCTGTTTGTGTCATGGTGTATATTAAAACTAGAGGAACTAGGTCAAGAATAATCATACGACTAAGCAACTTTAAATTGCTTATTTTATTAAATAAACATGGTATGTTTTTAATCAGAATAGAATTTTCATTGTATGTGCTTTTTTTAAAAAATTGAATGTCCCATTCCATGTACTTTTTAGTTTTCACTTTGACTTTTTCTATTAACCAAGTAGTGATTTCTCTAGGAGGACTTAACTGTGTTGCTACGCCTACTTCTGTTGCTGCTACGGTAGAAGCCTTTTTATCAGCCCCTGGTCAGCAGTTGCTGAGTTACTTAAAAATGTCATCTTACAAGTTCATCTCTTAAATATTTTTTTACTTAAAACATATACCTTATAGTTGACACACTGATTATTTTATAGTATAAGTCTGTATGTACTGGCTGATTATAGTTTCCTGAGTCCTTTTTTTTTTTTTTTTTTTTTTTTTGAGAGAGTCTTGCACTCCACCCAGGCTGGGTGCAGTGGCGCGATCTTGACTCACTGCAACCTCCGCCTCCTGGGTTCAAGCACTTCTCCTACCTCAGCCTCCTAAGTAGCTGGGATTGCAGGTGCCCACCACTATGCTGAGCTACTTTTTGTATTTTTAGTAGAAACGGGGTTTCGCCATATTGGCCAGGCTGGTCTTGAACTCCTGACCCCAGGTGATCTACTCGCCTCGGCCTCCCAAAGTGCTGGGATTACAGGCGTGAGCCACCGCGCCCGGCCTCCTGAGCCCTTTTTACATTAACCACACCACCTTAATTTCCAGTTTCGATTTCTTCAATGTGAAATGAGAAATTACAGATATTTGAGAGCAAAATCCTTCTGGAGTTTTATTATTTCCTTTTCCTATTCTTTTTCTTCCTTTCTCACTTCTCTGTGGCCCTGGGAACTGTCTCATTGTCATATTTGTGTTCTAGAATATTTTGAGTGATAATGTCGGTGCTGTGTGTTTTGTTTTGGTTTTCTGCGGGGGGAGTGGAACCAGCTTGCTTCTGTGCCGCCATTTTGAAACCAGAAGTCCTTCCTTTTTCTTTCTTTTTTCTTAGTTTCCTTGCCTACACCACCACACCAGTTGAACAGTTTGTGGTGATTGTTTCATTTTGTTTGTATGTTTGTTTGTTTGTTTGTTTGTTAACTTTTATTTGGGTCCTTGCAAAGCATTCACTTTAGTTTTCATAGAAACATTTCCCATTTTTTCTCACTAATATTTCACTGCTTTACCTAATATGTAATTAAATTTCCTGATGAGTTTATCTGGTGACAACAGACTTGAGAAGTAACTTGGTAAGTGGTGGGAGCAGAAGGGCGTAGATACAGTGGTGAGCAGACCCTCACTGGAGTACGCTGCATGCCTGGCAATGTGTGGAGAGGGGGTGGAGAAGGTGCTGGGTAGGTGGTAAACAGGAATGCCAACGGGCCTCCCTCATGCTAATTGGGGGTTCTTAGACAAGTCCTGCCACTGCCCATCTTGAAGGACATCCCACACAACTGCCCATGGGAGAAACAGCATGAGGCACAGACCTCCTTCCAGGACTTTGGATTTGTTGCTCATACTTGAAATCCTTGTGTCTTCATGGGCTTTTCCTTGTGTTTTGGTCTTGGCTTCTCTAGAGGTTACCCAGTGGGTCAGGGGAAGGCTCCTCAAAGGAATTTCCTACATGCGTATCGGTATTTTAGTCAGGCCATCCAAAACATGCCTTCCAAATTCGAGGAAAATCTCGTGTGGAGTGGTAACAAAAACTTCATTTTATTTGTATGAATTATTACTAAGCTGAGTCACAATGGAGAAGAAAAAGGGGTGAATCGTGAGGAGCCATTTTGACATTCCTGGCCCCTGATCAAATGGAAGGATTCTGTTTGTGATGCTGAGTGTTGGGGTGTTTCTAGATCTGCTTGGTTTGTGGCACTTTCCTAGACCAAAGTCTAGGAAATTTCTGTCTTTAAAATGGAAGAATCGTAAGAGCTAGCAGGTTGCCTAACATTTGTTGGACTTTGTTTGTTTTTCAAAAGGCCCGTTGCTGAAAGACTGGCCACATCTAGTCACCCACAAAGCAATGATGCTAGAACCCCTTAGGGACAAAACACCCTTCAGAGTTCAGAAGGGAAAAGTGATTTATAGGACTTTTTTTTTCTATTTTAGTTTTGTGAATCTGTTTTGTTTCCGGGAGTAATTTTAATGTTAAGGAAGTGGATTAATCTCTACTGAAAGCTGAGCCCACGTGGCCCCATGATCCTCCAGGGCTGAGTTGTTAGGGACCATGAGGAACCAAGGCACCCACGGTGATGGGGCCTCAGATGTGAGTCCAGAGAGGAGAGCAGACTGAGGTCTCCTTCCTTAGCTGTGCTTGTTCTGTGTTGAACACACACACACACACACACACACACACACACAAATACACATACACTCTCTCTCTCTTTTGTAACATCTGAATCTTGTCTGTGATTCTGTAATCTTGGTGTGCTCTCTTGCCAGTATCCCAGAGTCCCACCTCACAAGCAAATGGTAAAGCATGAGTCTGCCCCTAGGCTTGCTCGTTTCTCATCTCTTCCTCTCCCCTCCTTTTCTGTTCCTCCTCTCCTCCTCCTCCTCTTCCTCTCCTCCTCCTTTTCCTCCCCTCCTCCTTTCCTGTTCCTCCTCTCCTCCTCCTCCTCTTCCCCTCCTTTACCTCCCCTCCTCCTCTCCTCCTCCTCTTCCTCCCCTCCTCCTCCCCCCTTCTTGTTCCTCTCTCCTTCCTCTTCCTCCACCCTTTCTTTCCTCTCCTCCTCCTCTTCCTAGCCCTCTCCTCCCCCTTCCCCCCTCCCTCCTCCACTCCTTTTCCTCCTCTCTTCCTCTCCCCGCCTCTTCTCTTTACTTCTTTTGTCTTTTTTCTCTTCCATTCCTCTTTTCTCTGCCCCGCCTTCCTCCGCCTCAGTGGGCCTGGAGGGTTACAGTGTGGTTCCCTGTGGCCCCGGGCTGTGGGAATCCGGGGAGCCGCCCTCCACTCCCCGGAACCTTCCTCTCGGCAGACCCTGCCTCCGGGCGCTGACTCACCCTCCCCGTGTTCTCCCTTCCTCTCCCCGCAGGAAATGTGACTGGAAACAGTAACTCCACGTTCATCTCCAGCGGGCAGGTGATGAACTTCAAGGGCGACATCATCGTGGTCTACGTCAGCCAGACCTCGCAGGAGGGCGCGGCGGCGGCTGCGGAGCCCATGGGCCGCCCGGTGCAGGAGGAGACCCTGGCGCGCCGAGACTCCTTCGCGGGGAACGGCCCGCGCTTCCCGGACCCGTGCGGCGGCCCCGAGGGGCTGCGGGAGCCGGAGAAGGCCTCGAGGCCGGTGCAGGAGCAAGGCGGGGCCAAGGCTTGAGCGCCCCCCATGGCTGGGAGCCCGAAGCTCGGAGCCAGGGCTCGCGAGGGCAGCACCGCAGCCTCTGCCCCAGCCCCGGCCACCCAGGGATCGATCGGTACAGTCGAGGAAGACCACCCGGCATTCTCTGCCCACTTTGCCTTCCAGGAAATGGGCTTTTCAGGAAGTGAATTGATGAGGACTGTCCCCATGCCCACGGATGCTCAGCAGCCCGCCGCACTGGGGCAGATGTCTCCCCTGCCACTCCTCAAACTCGCAGCAGTAATTTGTGGCACTATGACAGCTATTTTTATGACTATCCTGTTCTGTGGGGGGGGGGGTCTGTTTTCCCCCCATATTTGTATTCCTTTTCATAACTTTTCTTGATATCTTTCCTCCCTCTTTTTTAATGTAAAGGTTTTCTCAAAAATTCTCCTAAAGGTGAGGGTCTCTTTCTTTTCTCTTTTCCTTTTTTTTTTCTTTTTTTGGCAACCTGGCTCTGGCCCAGGCTAGAGTGCAGTGGTGCGATTATAGCCCGGTGCAGCCTCTAACTCCTGGGCTCAAGCAATCCAAGTGATCCTCCCACCTCAACCTTCGGAGTAGCTGGGATCACAGCTGCAGGCCACGCCCAGCTTCCTCCCCCCGACTCCCCCCCCAGAGACACGGTCCCACCATGTTACCCAGCCTGGTCTCAAACTCCCCAGCTAAAGCAGTCCTCCAGCCTCGGCCTCCCAAAGTACTGGGATTACAGGCGTGAGCCCCCACGCTGGCCTGCTTTACGTATTTTCTTTTGTGCCCCTGCTCACAGTGTTTTAGAGATGGCTTTCCCAGTGTGTGTTCATTGTAAACACTTTTGGGAAAGGGCTAAACATGTGAGGCCTGGAGATAGTTGCTAAGTTGCTAGGAACATGTGGTGGGACTTTCATATTCTGAAAAATGTTCTATATTCTCATTTTTCTAAAAGAAAGAAAAAAGGAAACCCGATTTATTTCTCCTGAATCTTTTTAAGTTTGTGTCGTTCCTTAAGCAGAACTAAGCTCAGTATGTGACCTTACCCGCTAGGTGGTTAATTTATCCATGCTGGCAGAGGCACTCAGGTACTTGGTAAGCAAATTTCTAAAACTCCAAGTTGCTGCAGCTTGGCATTCTTCTTATTCTAGAGGTCTCTCTGGAAAAGATGGAGAAAATGAACAGGACATGGGGCTCCTGGAAAGAAAGGGCCCGGGAAGTTCAAGGAAGAATAAAGTTGAAATTTTAATTTGCATTTTTTTTGTCTAGATAAGAATAGCGTGAATAGATCCTCTTTTATTCGTAAATAATCGTGCATCTGTGGGTTAGCCTTGTAGAAGTGGAAAACATTCCATTTTCCAATGCATTTAAATGTAAAGCCAAATCTGCATGTTGTGAATTTAAGAAAACTTATTATCCTAAAGGTGCCTTTCTCTTGGCATCATCCCGCTTGTGAGAAGCCTAGAGGACGCTCCAGGTGGAAGGAAATCCCCTGGGTGGTTTTATCTTTTGTTACCCAGTGAGCACTGGTTCCCCGCAAATACTGGGGAAAAGCAAAAATACACAAGCAAGTTAAAATTAATTTTGCACATCTGGGAGGTTATAAAAGAAAGCACTAATAGTAGTCACTGCCCAGACTTTACTGGCCACAAATGCCCAGCTGAAGAGCATGACTGTGGATCACTGGTTTTTCCCTCCTGCTGGAAATGCTGGGGTGGTAGCGGTCGATTAGGATTTTCAGTGGAGAAGCACAGGACAGTTCTGTAATTTATGGGACTCCTTAGCCAACATAAAGAACTGCAGGAAATAACTGCACAGCCAGGAGGATCCGTTGGTGGGAATTTACCGTCATTCCTGCCCTTTTATTTAACATCATCCACAGAGAGATGTTATACAAATGGAGGAAACCATTATACCTTTTGATATGGAATATATTACAGAGTTACAGTTCACAAAGTAGAATGCTGAGCTGAAAACCCGAGTTTCTGCTGTGACTGTCATCTCACTGAGCACTTCGCTTTTCTTTGCTTTTATTTTTTCCTTCTATAAAAAGGCAATAATGATAATTTATAATAGTTTCCCTACCCAGAGATATTAGAAGTATGCTACAGTGAATGTTAAAGTACCTTGAGATCCTTAAATCAAAGGTGCTATATACATAAGTAAGACTCTACTTTCAGAAAAAGGTAATATTATTTCCTGCACTGATCCCTACTAATTCTATATTGATCCAAAGGCAACTCAATGCTAAAAAATGTATAGAAAATATAAGTCTGTGTCTGTGTACTGTAGAGATGTATGTGACAAGTGTAAACAAAATGAACTGAAGCAGTAATGAACAGTTATTAGGGGGAACATGATAAAGAGATTATATTAAGCTTATGTTTCACCATAAAATCCTTTTTATGGCTTACTAAAACCGAGCTCACTGTAAAATCATGATCCAACTTATTGCTAATCTTTATGATATGCTTATTCCTAATCTTTATGGTATGGTGTCAACCGTTCATTTGTATCTTATTGCTCATTCCCTGGACCACAGACTAGGGACAGAAAATACTTGCTTTAATAATATATATGCTGTTGATTTCACAAAAATTTATTAAAATACAGCCTGGGTACCCAGTGAAAGAGCTGAAATGGAAATGGAGTATCATGTTTCCTACTCACATTTTACTCAGCTGTCGGAAGGAAGAATGAATTTCTCAAGAGCAGTTTGAATGTGTTAGATCAGAACCTTCATGTGGTGGGGAAAATGGGATTATTTCAGTGTAACAAACCACCCAAAGACTTAGTGGCTTAAAATAGTCACCATTGGCCAGGCACAGCGGTTCATGCCTCCCAGTGCTTTGGGAGGCCAAGGCAGGAGGATCACTTGAGGACAGTAGTTAGAGATCAAACTGGGCAATGGAGTGAGACCTCGTCTCTACAAAAAATACAAAACTTATCTGGGCACGGTGGTGTGCACCTGCAGTCCTGGCTACTCAGGAGGCTGAGGCAGGAGGATGCTTGAGTCCAGGAGTTCAAGGTTACTGTGAGCTTTGATTGGGTCAGTGCACTCCAGTGTAAAAAAACAAAAATAAAAACCACCACTTATTTAGCTCCCAATTCTATGGGTTGGATCAGCTTGGGTGGTTCTTCAGGCCTGGTCCCTCCTGGCCTGGTTTGCTTACCCATTTACAATGACCCGGCTAGTTGGCCGGGCCAGGCTGTGTGCTCTCCACCTGTCTCCCATCCTTCCAGCCACCTAGCTGGGCATGCTCTCATGGTGGTGTCGAGCCTGAGAACAAGCAGAAACCTGCCAGGCTTCTTGAGGCCTAGGCTCTAACTGGCATGCTGTCACTTCTGCCACATTCTGTGGGCCAAAGCAGGTCACAAAGGCAGCCCAGATCCAAGGGATGGGGGAGCAGCATATCCCCCCATGGGAAGAGTTGCGGAATGAGAGGGTAGGGGGTGGACACACAGAGGGGAAGATGGCCCCCTTGCCATCTGTCCACCACAGGGCACTGCGTGGAGTAAAATGCTGCAGAGAAGAGTGCATTCTGGGAAAAAAAGAGGAACATATCCCAGCCCCTAACCAGTGAGTAGCTCCTTCTCTGGTGATTGAATTCCCTTAATGCACAGCACTATAGATTCCCACAATGAAAGGGACACCCACGTTCATATTTAAGTGCTGTGTCAAAATTCTTTCCAGAGCCAAATATAGGTGATTTGGGAATTGAGCCTACTGTACTGCTTCCACATTCCTTTGGCACAGAAAACTGAAAAGTCACAACTTCTAAAATCAAGAAAACTGGTGAGATACCTTGGGGTAGAGAAACCTGCATATAAACAGATAAAAGATCGAGTGTTCACCCTTCACCTCAGCTCAACAAACAAACTCTTGTTACGATTATACAAGGGTGAGCTTGAGCAAAGGTGCTGTCTTTGGTGGAAGAAACGTAGTTTTGAGTTGTTTGCTCTTTGACAGTCTCTGATGGCATGTGAGTCTGGTGCATTGCTGTGGGCTGCGCTGGGCACAAGTTGCATAACCCGCTTTTGGAAGAGGAGACAAAGCATTCAAAGCCCTAAACACTCTGTTGGTGAATCATCATGTTTATTGAGTGTGCTTTTAGTGGCAGGGCCCTGAGCACCTGGGAAAGGAGATGAGGAGCGCTGGAGGGTTCGGAGCAGAGAAGACGAGACAATGCTCTGCTCCAAGCGCCAGAGGAGGCTTCTGGGAAGGGGCTGTCTGTGGAATTTCTGACCCCCAGAGCCCTGCTGGTGAAGTCTTGCAACCACTAAAGCTTTGCCAGAGAAGAGGAGGGACCTGACACTGGGCAGTGGCGGTGCCAGCAGTGAGCACAGGCGGGGTCTAGGTGGGATCACTGAAGCCAAGCCAAGTGGTGCAGGGGGAGCCGCCCTGGACCAACACCCCCATGGCTGCCCCACTGCGGAACTGCCTACTGCGGCAAAACAATCCTATGTCCCCCAAGGTTTCAACAAAGAGGAGGACCGAATAAATGTCCCAGTGGGCAGGCACACCCACAAGACTTGCTGCTCCTCCTGACCCACCCGCATGGCTCTGCACAGCTGTGAGTCCAGTTTTCTCTCTTCCTACCTCCCTCTTACCCAGTTATCCTGACCCCAGGGTGAGGTTGAAACTCATGCTAGGCTAACATCTCTTTCCTTCATCCCATTCATAAAACTGGCATACAGGAATGTTTTAAAAAAATCTTTAAGATTACCAGGAGTATAAAAGTTAAAATGACAAAATTACAGGCCTGTTACCAGATCTTCGTACTAACCAAGGAGCTGGTGACACTACCCTCTTCCCTGTGTGATAGAAAATGCAGACGTTTTGCAGGCAGACCTGGTTCATGACTCAGCGCTGTGACTTGTGGACTTATCTTGTGCAGCTACATCACTTCTTAGCCTTGTTTTCAACATGCGTAAGCAGAAGGTACTAATATTAGTCTTTAGGGCTGGTTTGAGGATGACGTGAGATGAGAGACAACCAAGCACTCACTGGCAGTTCCTAGAAGATTCCAGTAGTAGAGATCTGACTGTCCTACACTACTTTCCCTCCCTGTCTCTGACACTTGTTCATTCCTGGGCTCAGGAGCCATCTCAGTCATCATGTCGGACCACGTAACTATAACCAAGCTCTGCTGCCCACCTGGGACACCTTCCCACTCTTTGCAACTAGGTCGGAGGGACGCACCTTCTCCACAGTTGACAGGACTGTTATGGTTGACCCAAAAGTTGTCATCTTCTGACATGACACACTGAGGGAAGTAGACTTACCCAATATAACTTCACATTATACTGTCTTAAAAGACTATGATTAAAATGGGCATCAGTGTAGGCAACATGTAGGGCGCAAAGAATAGCCAGATGTGAAGGTTGAAAGGCTATGTGGGCTAGTTTGTCATGGTATTCCTGGTGCCTCTCCCCGTTTGGGAAGAATAACACATTGACCACCGGCTCAGAGGAGGTGGCATTATAGGTCCAGGCCCCTTCAGGAGGGCACTGGAGTCAATGAAAGCTTTTGCTCTCACCCAGGCTCTTGGTTTCTCACGGGCAGGGGTAGCCCAGGAAACAAAGGCTGTATAGACTTTAAGTCGTGAGAAAAACGACATTCTTATGGTGAGGCTCTTAGAGACTGTCTCCATTTAAGCAGCAGCAGTAAAACATCTTACCCTAAAATGAAGAAGCAAATCCATTTTTATTGGCTTTTATAGCCTCTCTCTTTCAATGACAAAGAAACCATTAAAATGAATGTTTAAAGTTCTTAGAAGAGCTTTCTCTAAATATTTACTCTGTCAGTGGAAAAATAAACATTTTTTACATCGGGTCTATTGAGTTTGTTATATACAGTAAAATTCACCCTTTTTAGATATATAGTTTTATGAGTTTTAACAAAAATACATAGTTGTGTAACCACCACCATCACAATCAAGATATAGAATATTTCAACATCCCAAAGTTCCCATTTCCCTTTTCAGTCAATCCCTTCCCCACTACCCCTAGCCCCTGGCAACCATTATCTGTTCTCTCTTCCCATAGTTTCACCTTTTCCAATTTGTCGTGTAGAGTTACACAGCTCATAGCCATTTGAGTCTGGCTTCTTTCCACATAATGTCCTTGAGATCCATCGGTGGGTACACCAGTAGTTCCATTTTTTTTCTGAGTAGTAGTCCATTGTATGGATGTACTGCGGTTTATTCACCAACATATGGGTTCTTTCCTGTTTGGGGAGATTACAAATAAAGCTACTATAAAAACTCGTGTGGATGTGTGCTTTCACTTATCTTGAGTAAATATCCAGGAGTGGGATTACGGGATCGTATGGTAAATATCAGTTTAACTTTATAAGAAACTGCAAAACTGTTTTCTAAAGTGTCTGTACCATTTTGCATTCCCATCAGCAATGCATGAGAGTTCTAGTTGCTCCACATCCTCACCAGCATTTGGTATCATCAGTTATTTGCTGGTTTGCTTTAATGCTTGCCATTCTTATAGGTGTATAGTATCTCACTGTGGCTTTCTTTTCAGTCTGTGACTGAATACCTTCTCGTGTGCTTATTTGGCTATCTTTGTCTCTTATTTGATGAAGTATGTTCAAATCTTTTGCTCATTTTTTTTCTTTCTTTTTGTGAGATAGGGTCTTGCTCTGTCACCGAGGCTGGAGTGCAATGGTGTGATCACAGCTCACTGAAGCCTCGATTTCCCAGGCTCAAATGATCCTCCTACCTCAGACTCCTGGATAGCTGGGCCTAGATATGTGCTACCGTGCCCAGC
The DNA here is from genome assembly GCF_000001405.40 of Homo sapiens. Classification (NCBI taxonomy): domain Eukaryota; kingdom Metazoa; phylum Chordata; class Mammalia; order Primates; family Hominidae; genus Homo; species Homo sapiens. Next base: position 62,391,806 of record NC_000018.10, read on the forward strand.
TAACTTTTTAATTTTTCTGTAGTGAGAGGGTCTTGCTATGTCATCCAGGCTGGTTTCAAATTCCTGACCTCAAGCAATCCTCCCACTCTGGCCTCCAAAGAGCTGGGATTGTTTGTTTTTAATTGTTTTCTTATTGAGTTTTGAAAGTTCTTTATATATTCTGGAAAGTGGAATAAGCATGTTTAAAGTTTTTAGAGCATTTCTGTAAGTATCTGTTATGATTAGAAAAAAATGAAGACATAATTTTTCATTTTTTAAAAAATTATGTTTCAGGAGATGTACACCAGTAGTGTTTATTCAGAGTACATTTTTCCACATTTACACAGTGGGACTCCCAATGTCAGGGCCCAGTTCTGAGCTGCCATGTCCTAGAATTGTCCTATATCCTTATGGAATGCAGCAGTCACCCTCCTAGGGGCCCATTCTCCCGTGGAAACTGAGTTTTGTAACACACATGCTGATATAAATGTGTTTTATTGGTCGGGGAACTGTGAAATGTCTTTCTTTTTTTTTTTTTTTTTTTTTGAGACAGAGTCTTGCTCTGTCGCCAGGCTGGAGTGCAGTGGCATGATCTCGGCTCACTGCAACCTCTGCCTCCCATGTTCAAGGGATTCTCCTGCCTCAGCCTCCCCAGTAACTGGGACTACAGGAACCCACCACCACGTCCAGCTAATTTTCGTATTTTTAGTAGAGACGGAGTTTCACCCTGTTGGCCAGGATGGTCTTGATCTCTTGACCTCGTTATTCACCACCTCAGCCTCCCAAAGTGCTGGGATTACAGGTGTGAGCCACCGTGCCCAGCCCATGAAATGTCTTTCTATTGATATTTTCTGATTATTTTATATATTAAGGAGAATATTATAATGAGTGCTGGGTGAGGGAAAAAATAAAAACAGAGTGCAAATGCCATCATCCTCTATGCCTGGCAAGGGAGACAGCAAGCATCCCCGGGACAGATTTTGTTGGCATGAGGAAAGTTGTTTAATCACATCAGTGTAAGTCCAGTTGGTTTGTGTTGGTCTGGTAAATATCATATGGTAAATATCTGTTTGTTGTGACCAGAGCACAACAAACATGCCTCTGCAGTTGTCCCTTAGTCCACAGAGCCTGTGCTGGGTGACAAGAAAGGCCCCAAGAGGGTCAACAACTGGGAGCTTCTCTGAAGGATTAAGATTCCCCAGCAGGGAAGGATACCCAGGGTGCTAAAGGTGCACCTGGGCTGATGGCCTGACGTGGAAGGTTTGTGGGAGAGATTTGGGGCTGGACAAGTGGATGCTCCTGCACATCCAGCCGCCTCTGACTCAGCTCTGGAGACAAAGGCAGAGCATGTGAGTGAGGGAGGTCTGATTTTAACCCTGAAGCCCAAGCCTCCCCTCGGGGGTAGAGAAGTATGTGTATGCATAAGACCAGTGCCCAGCAGTGAGCAGAGGCCATGACTGAGGCAGGAGACAGGGACTGTAGTCCCTTCAGGCTACTGAAGTCACTAGCCTTCCTCACCCTCTCTGGGGCATTTGGAAGGAGAATGTGTCTGCTTTGGACCAAGTAAGATGTTGGAGTTTGTAGACGACTGGTGGGGGAGGCTTCAAATGTGAGCAGTTTGACATATGGGAGCTCCAGCTATTAATATTAATTGGAAAAATGATGAGCTGTGACTGTGTTTATACTTGCAGCTAGTGAAGCCGACTATGCCAGAGACAGGCAGATGTTGGGAAAAAAGGAATCAGGGCATTATGAACCTTACCCGAACCAGCCTTCCCAAGAGCAGGTACTCTTGAAAATATAAAACTCCAGTCGAATTTCATCAGCCTTCACATAAAACTTCACGGCTCTCTGTTGTTCGTGGAATACAGACCAAAGGCTTTCAGATGGTCCTCATGGCTCCCCACCCTCCAGCCTCATCTCACGCTACTCTCCCCACCTCCAGCTGCACTGGTCTCTCCAGTGCACACACTGCCTACCTTGGGGGCTTTGCACATGTGATTTTCTCTGACTGCAGCATTCTTCCTGGTTTTTCCCTTGGTTAGATCCAATTCACCTCTCAGTTCAAACAGCACTTCCTCAGGGCAGCATTTCCTAACTGCCCTTTCTCCCTGAGACCAGACTGGTCCCCTTTTTAGGGGTGCTTAGAGATGCTGGAACTTATCCTTTGTGGCATTATTCCAGCTTGTAATGATAAATTTATTTTAGAATTTGAATAGGACCTGTCTCACCACCACACACACACGCACACACACACACGCACACACACACACGCACACACACACACGCACACACGCCACTGTATCCAGCAGGCAGCATGATTCCTGGCATATGTGGATGCTCAAGAAACATGTGCTGAATGAGTGAATGCAGGTGATATGCCCTGAACCCTCAGGAACACCCTTAAACCTCACTGCCTCGCCGTCATCCCAACTTCCTTACTGCGTTTTCACACGCTGACCAAAGTCCAGACAAGGCTACTATGTCCAAAGGAGAGATTTCAAAGCAGAATTCATAAGGCAAGCTAAAGGAAACAAAACTGAAGAAGCGATTTCATACAGGTGAGCCCAAGGCAATACCCTGTGAAGAAGCAACAGCACATGGTAGACTGAAATATGAGATTGTTTAGAAATTCCTTCAAGAAAAGCAAAATCTTGAGCTGACAAGATCAAGAACTCATGCTCATATCTGGGTTCCCAAAGGAAGCAGGAAAAATAAGAACCTCTAACAATGCCTTAGGGAGTCAAGGAAAATGAAACTGGCTGGGTGCGGTGGCTCACGCCTGTAATTCCAACACTTTGGGAGGCAGAGATGGGCAGATGGCTTGAGGTCAGGAGTTCGAGACCTGCCCACGGTTAGGATGACTTTGTGGATAGGCGGTCATGTTTATATCTAGTAATTTTTGCTTCCTCCAAGGCATTCTGCTTTCAGCTGTAAAAAAATGCTATGAACTAGAGTTAAACTGATTTGGATAGGCAGAGTCAATGACGGAAATATTCTTTTCATACCACAAATCTTTTCATTAGAATCAGATTTAGTCCCAAATTAAATAGTAAGTCATAGAACTTTGCATTGAAAACTTTATATCTATGATGGTTAATTTTATGTATAAATATGACTAAGCCACAGGATGTCCAGATATCTGGTTAAACATTATTTCTGCCTCTATGAAGAGACACACATTTGAATCAGTAGACAGAGTAAAGAAGACCCACCCTCACCAGTGTGCAGGCATCATCCAGTTCGTTGAGGGCCAAATACAATAAAAAGACAGAGGAAGGTTGAATTTTCCTCTCTGCCTGACAACTTGAGCTGGGACATCCATGGATTCTGTCTTACCCTCTGTGCACCTTGTTCTCAGGCCTTCAGACTTGGACTGAAGTTTATACCATCAGCCCTCTGGTTCTGAGGCCTTTGAACTACACCAACAGCTTTCCAGACAACAGATCTCCAACTTGCAATAGATCATAGGACTTCTTGGCCTCCATAATTGCACGAACCAATTCCTTATCATTAATAACTCAATCAATCTCTCTATATATGTGATGGTTAATACTGAGTGTCAACTTGGTTGGATTGAAGAATGCAAAGTATTGATTCTGGGTGTATCTGTGAGGGTGTTGCCAAAGGAGATTAACATTTGAGTCAGTGGACTGGGAGAGGCAGACTCACCCTCAATCTGGGTGGGGACCATCTAATCAGCTGCCAGCACAGCTAGAATATAAAGCAGGCAGAAAAACATGAAAAGACTAGACTGGCCTAGCTTCCCAGCCTACATCTTTCTCCCATGCTGGATGCTTCCTGCCCTTGAACGTCAGACTCCAAGTTCTTCAGTTTTGGGACTCGGACTGGCTCTCCTTTCTCCTCAGCTTGCAGACGGCCTGTTGTGGGACCTTGTGATTGGGTGAGTTAATACTTAATAAACTCCCTTTTATATATTTGTCTATCCTATTAGTTCTGTCCCTCTAGAGACCCCTAATACATTATATATTACATATATACATATAAATACATATATAATACATATAAAATATCTATCTCTATGTATGTATATTTCTCTATATACATATATTTATATGTGTGTGTATATATATGCATGTGTGTATATATATATATACACACATGTATCTACATGTATATATATGCACACACACATCTATCTATAGATCTACCTCTCTCTTTCTTTCTCTATCTATGGTTCTATTTCTCTGGAGAACTCTAACATTACATCCTTAGATTGTAACTTGTTGGCGCTATGCCCCCAAAGAGATTCCTTTCTGTGATAAGATGACACTGGTTATCCTTTTTTAGCACCTAGAGCAAGTGCAAATACGTGTGCAATGTCAGAAGGATGGGCAGCCCACTCAGTAGCTGATGGGCATTTGTCCATTATTGCTGCCAGGCCCTGTGGATCTGTGTTCATGACCATATGTTCATTATAAATAATGAAATCACCATCATGACATGGCTGAGAGATCTTTAAACCTGAACAAACAATTACAAATACAAACCCACACACACCATGTCTGAGCATCCATGGATGGTGTGGACAATGAGCAGGCATCCATGGACTAGAGGACATTCACCAAGAGGGACAGATGGTGACCACTGTTCTTCAAGAACACTACAGTCAGTCATAGGCCCTGTCACCCAAGCCACTTCTGTTTCCTGCTCAGAGAAAAGCAGCTACAGTGTAGCACCTGGGCTAGTTATTTGAAAAGCAAAGGAGTCACTCCCCCTTTGCTCCACTTGCCCGCCTTCCCCATGCTTATTTCCCTTAAGAGTTTTAATGAAAGGTTATTCAACATCAGCATACGCAGAGAGTCACAAAATGACTCATTTTAAAATACATCACTTTATTGAGTCAGTATCATGTACATGAGGGAAGGTTCACCTTTTTACATCTACAGTTCTATGAATTCTGACAAATGCATGTAGTCATGCAACCACCACCACAATCACGACATAGACCATCTCCATCACTGTAAAATGTTCCTTCCTGCTCCTTTGTAGTCAATTGTCTTCCCCACCTGAGCCCCTGGCAACAACTGATCTGTTCTCTATCCCTATAGCTTGGCCTTTCCCAGAATGTCACATAAACGGAATCATACTGTATGTAGTTGTTTGGATCTGGCTTCTTTCACTTAGCATAATGGCATGTTTTTGCATGTATCACTTGCTTGTTCCTTTTTATTGCTAAATAGTGTTTTTTTTTCTTTGCCTCGTTGTATTAGAATTTGTTTATCCATTCACCAGTTGAGTGACAGATGGATTATTTCTGGTTTTGAGAAACTATGAATAAAACTGCTGTCAACACTCACTGTGGGTTTCTGTAGTGACAGAGCTTTGTGGACATAAGTTTTCACTTCTCTTGGGTAACTAGGAGTGGGACTGCTGGATTGTGTAAGTGTCTTAGACTGTTCCAGCTGCTATAACAAAATACCGTAGGCTAGGTGGCTTATAAACAGTAGAAATGTATTTCTCACAATCCTGGAGGCTAAGTCCAAAATCAGGGTGCCAGCCTGGCCGAGTTGTGGTGAGGGCCCTCTTCTGGGTTGCAGACTGGCAAAGTCCTGCTGTACCCTCACATGGCAGAAGGGCAAGACAGCTCTCTGGGCCTCTTTTATGAGGACACTAATTCCATTCATGAGGGCTCCTCCCACCTCATGGCCCCACCTCCTAATACCATCTTCTTGGTGATTAGGTTTCAAAATATGAATTTGGGAAGACACGGACATTCAGACCACAGCATGTGTGTTTACAACACAGCAATGCATGGAAGAGCCAATGGCTCCGCATCCCCCCGGCATTTGGTGTTGGCCACAGACTGACTCTATAAGCAGTTTAAAATAGTTGCTAATGATAAGAAGTTTGTTTTATTTGTTTGTTTTCCTAAAAGCACAGCTTCTATAGGTTTTAGATCTATCCAAAGAAGTTAATAATGAGATAAAGTATGCTTCTGGGTAATTGCACTCTTACATGATGACTTTTTCCCTCTTATCATTTAATTAAGACTTTTACAATCAACATCCTTGATACCAAAGCAGTAGGTAGGATAGCAATTGGTTCTGTGTTCAAGAAGTGTTTTTAAACATTCAAATGAGCTTGCATTGTCATTAAAAGAAAGCTTTCCACTTCTTAGTGCTGTTTTGAAATGAATGTAAAGATTCCTGTGCTCTGGGAAAAAGCAAACCCATAATTAGAACAATGGCAGCCTTGGACTGTTCTCATTTCTCTTCCAGGAAATGGTTTTTTAAAAGTTATTGGTCTACATGATGCATATGGATTATCTTCTTTCAGAATGACGCACAGCCAATTTAGAATACTGAGTTGCCCCAAATTTCCCTATAACTCCCTTCACTGCCCAATCCAACCGATTTTGTTTTCTACTCAGTACAAACATGCTACAAACTAATTTTAAATCATTAGCATTGTCCAAATGGAACATAATTAGAGAATTAACACTGTTACAAAAATAATTACGTAAACCAATATAAAGACTAGTACTCATAGCTTCAGGTGTTCACTGTGTTTGGAGCGTCAGTTTTACAGTTCTTCATTCGCCTAGGAAATTGAAAATAAAATGTGTTCGTTCAGCAACAGTGTGACAGCGGAAGACACAGAGGAGGAGAGCCACTTGGGGTAGGACTCCTCTGCCCTCTTTGGCCTGTTGTCCAGCAGCGGTTCACAAGCCAAGTCAACACTATTTGTAAACTCAGCACTTTACAAACAAAACACAGAGACTTCTGTGCAGGCTTTTGCTAATTGTCCTTAGCAGCATTGTTGAATGTTTGAATTATCAGATAGACCGGGGCTGTGGGCTTAGTTTCCCTAGAATGGCTTCTAGATGTCTCTCTTGAGGTCCTCAGGCCTGAGGGCTGTGCAGGGAAGAATGAGAAGCTGTGATTTAGGTCCTTGATTGGAAACTACTGAAGCCCCATAGAAACAGAAAGGTAAAAGATGAAAACTTTGCAGGACGCAGTACTGTTCACTATAGCCTCCAGGATTCCAGCAAAATTATTTGTGTCCTCAATGATTGACCCCAAATAAAAGAGAACAGTAGGAGGAGAGAATGGGACTAACATTAGTTAAACTTAACTACTATGTGCTGATCATTGCACTAGAGTCTGTTTCATAAATTTTCAAATTTAATCCTATCAGCCATCTTATGAATGAGATATGATCTCCCACAGGTACTTATAGCTGGGGAACCTGGAGGTCAGAGAGGTTAAGTAACTTGCTCATGTTGCTATTGTAGTGGCCAAACTCAAAGTCCCTCCAGACCTGACTCCAAAGCTTGTTCTCTTCCCACTACCCCACAATAGCCTCCCCAAAGACCTGACAGCATTCCTTAAAAATCCTACCCTCACCAGCATTGCCAAGAAAATCCAAGATGCCCAGTTAAATTCTCAGATAAAGAGCTAGTACTTTCTTAGTATTTATATGTCTCAAATATTGCATAGGACCTACATATATACTAACAGTCATCCTTTGCTTATCCTAAATTCGAACTTAACTGGGCATCCTGTAGTTTTATTTGCTAAATCTAGCAGCCTAGCCCTCACTGACGCTTTCTGGCCACATGATGGTGATGTCAATGTTCTGAAGTTTGCTCTTCATTATTAAATCATTCAAAAAAGAGTTCTTCCCATTTTGAGGGATGGTGGAGTGATGAGGAAGTGTTCTAAGGGAGGGGTCCATTTGAGCATAACCATGTGTGAGAAAATAACAGGCACTTCCTTCTTTATGGATCACTGCACTGGAATAGGCTGGAAAGTGCTGGGCTGGCTGGGTAGATTTGCATGATGCCCAGGTGTCTAATGCAGAACTTTCCAAAGTGTGTTTTGTGGAGCCCCAGTTCATGAGCTACATATTTTGTGGACACGTAACTTTAGGAGAGGCTATGAATGGCACTCCCCTTGGAGAATATCCCCTGGGCATGCTCTGGTATTAGAGAAAGCCTAGAGAAGAGACTGTATTAATTCTCTAGACCTTAGACCTTATCAGTCTCCCTGGAGACAACAGGTGGAGCCCCCTTCCTGTGGGAGGACAAGAAACCCAGTGCTGACTTGGGTCCCATTCTCAGGCTGTTTCTGAGACTCTTCAAGCCATGTTTACAGGTTCTTTTTTATTCTGGGGCCCTTGGTACAGAGTTGAGTCAAAAGTGCTCAGTTGCCAGCACAGAGCCTCTGTGGTCTGTAAATCCTCAGCAGTGTCAATCCTATAAATCCCGGGCTGGGCTGCACTCCACCTTCCCTACTTCACCCTTGCCACCTTGTCACCTGCTTCTCCAGGCTGCTGTGCTCTTCCATGCTGATTCACACCCTGCTTCCTGTTTACCCTTCCCCAGCACAGAAAAGGCAAATAGCACTGGACAGCCCACAACTCTAGAGTCAGCAGCATCTCTGTCTGGCCGTGGGGTGCTGGTAAACATTTAGCCACCTGCTGGAGGGGCTGAGCCCTAGCGTTTGCAATTCCTGTGATTTCAAGCTCCCGGCTGTGATGTTATTGAATGGAGTTGGGAAGAGATGCACAATAGCACATGTTTATATTGTATTTTCCTCGGACTGGTGCAATAGACCTCAAGAGCACTGATGAGAGAAAATGTAGTAAAATAATTATCAAGCAATGAACTCTGAGTATTTATGACCTCTGTTTTTAATATAATTTATTTAATTGTAAACGTATATAATTTAGTTTTAATTTAATTTTTTTTTAGAGACAAGGTCTCACTCTGTCACCCAAGCTGGGGTGCAGTGATGCAATCATGGCTCACTGCAGCCTCCAACTCCTGGGCTCAAGGAATCCTCCTGCCTCAGCCTTTCGAGCAGGTGTGTGCCACCACCATCCCTGAGCCCAACGTCAATCATTCTTTTTGAATTTTTTGTAGAAACAGGGACTTTCTCTCCCACCCAGGCTGGTCTTGAACTCCTGGCCTCAAGCAATCCTCCTGCCTCGGCCTCCCAAAGTTCTGGAATTATAGGCGTGAGCTGCCACACCCAGCCTATAATTTAGTTTTAAATGATGGCCATGTTTATCAACCAGCTTGCAAAATTCCTGAAAATTTTACAATCGGCTCTTACAAGTCCATAGAGCTAGTTCCAGCACACTACTGTGAGTTTCAGGGTAGACCTCTCCTTAGCCTTCAGCTGGGCTCCAAATTGCAGGGCCTGTAACTTCCATCCATCACCCACTTCTCCCATCTCCACCACAAGCAATGGGAATGTACTTGAAACCATGTTTACCCTACTCGGAAACGACGCCCAACTCCTTCCCCTGAAAAACTCTGCAAGATGCAAACCTGCCACTTGTGAAGATCAGCCTTGAGATTATCACACAGGTCCCTTTATCTTGAGCCACCATCATTCAGAACAGAATAGTTGCTTCACTTTGCATAAACAAAAGGGCAATCATGTATTTTTCTCAAAGCAAAAGAATAGTCTGCTCCCAAAGGTGAATTCTAGTTTCTAGCTGAAAGTCAGCACAGTGGAGAACCACTGAAGCTTTGGAATTTGGGGTGACCTTTCCCCAGCTCCCAGGATTTCAAGGATTTCAGCATCCAGTCTTAGATAGGACTCCAAGTCCCTGTCCTCCATCCCTGCTGAAGAAAAGCTTTTCCCAGACATATAGCCTACCATGGGTGTTGTGTTGGTTTTTTTGTTTGTTTGTTTGTTTTTGTTTTATTGTTTTTTGGAGACAGAGTCTCCCTCCGTCGCCCAGATTGGAGTGCAGTGGCACGATCCCGGCTCACTGCAACCTCCTACCAGGTTCTAGCGATTCTCCTGCCTCAGCCTCCCGAGTAGCTGAGATTACAGGCACACGCCACCAAGCCCAGCTAATTTTTGTATTTTTAGCAGAGGCGGGGTTTCGCTATGTTGGCCAGGCTGGTCTCAAACTCCTGGCCTCAAGTGATCTGCCCACCTCGACTTCCCAAAGTGTTGGGAATACAGGTGTGAGCCACCGCACCGGGCCAAAGGTATTATGGTTAAATTGTGTCCCCTCCCCAAAAAATACGTTGAAGTCCTAACCCTGGCACCTGTGAACGTGACCTTATTTTGAAATAGAATGTTTGTAGGTATAATCAAGTTAAGATGAGGTCATACCGGATTAGTATGGGCCCTAAATTGAATGATGTCCTCACAAGGAGAGGAAGACACACAGAGGGAAGACAGCTGTGTGAAGACAGAGGCAGAAACAAGATTGATGTAGTCACATGTAGGACTTTGAGCCTCCTAAACTGTGAGAAACCCAGTTTTTTTTTTTAGCTTGTTACAGCAGCCCTAAAAAACTAATACATTTGGGTACCTAGCTCTGACTGCAAAGATCTATTACTCCCTCCCAGAACTTAAAAAGATTCAGACAAAAGAGGATACCACTAGGACAGTGGGGTTTCTGCTGTGGTCCCGCGTTTGTTCTGGAAGTCTCAGGTTTGCCCTCTGAATCCACACTGTGTCCTTCTCTGTCTGCCCTGCTCTGGGCCAAAGCTGACATACAATGGACCACACCAACAGGACCCTCTGCACTCTCGCTTCTGGTTGTGCCACTAGGAGGCCGCAGCAGGAGACAGGAGAGAGAGAGGGAGGCCAGGGCATGGATTCTGCCAGCTCCCTCCTGCAGGTCAGCTGTAGCTGAAGATCGCAGCTCTCATCACGCTTCTCCCAGCTTCTCTGTGTCCAGGTTCCACTAGCCCCTCCCATCCTGGCCTCTAGAATGAAGGGTGGTAATGTACCCACTGGCCCCAGTGTCCCCTAGTATACCACACTATTCTTCATGATTTGCCTAAACCCTGTGTATGAGTCTTCTCGGGCTACCATAACAAAATACCACAGACTGGATGGCTTAGATGAAGAAATGTATTCTCTCAAAGTTCTAGAGGCCGAAGCCCAAGATCAAGATGCTGTCAGGATCCGTTTCTGGTGTGGGCCATCTTCCTGGCCTGCAGGTGGCCACCTTCTCATTGTGTCCTCACGTGGCCTTGTCTCTGTGTGCATACACTCCTGCTGTGTCTCCTCCTCTGCTTATGTGGACACCAGACCTATTGGACTAAGGTCCCACCCATATGGCCTCATTTAAAGTAAATTATCTCCCTAAAGCTCTATCTTCAAATACAGTGACAATGGAGGGTAGGAATTCAACATATGAATTTTGGGAGGACACAATTCAGTCTATGACACCCTGCTCACATCTCAGTTAAGACTGAGACAAAGTCTTATGGGCGGGAGTTTTCTTGGGAAGTGGAGTGGGGGACCAGGGAGTGTGAAATTGGGGCGGAGGGAACATCAGTGCAACAGCAGAGCAACCAGCACTTGATCCCCCAGGACCTTCTGCAGAAGCACGAAGATTTTGCATCAGAACTGCCCACCTGCAAGATGGGTGGATTTCCGTACCCCTTCAGTAGAGGCTGTCCAGCGGGGAATTAACTCTCTGCTGGTTTCTGGCTGTACTTGTGTCATCTGTTTAGCATGAGCTCCCATGGCCTCCAAGTCTCTACAGTGTCAGGGAAGTCCCAGGGCAAAGATGAAGGCAAAGTCCATCTGGGGTGAGGGATGTTAGCACCAAGCAGGTGGGGCCCCAAACTTCACTCCACCCATGGCTGGAGTCAAAGGTGGAGCACAGAGGATCAGAGTCAGAAACAAGGGCAGGAGATGCAAGTTCTTTTATTAAATTCTCAAATTACCCAATTTGTGTGGGCCATCTCTTTCCTACCTGGACCTTGACACATTCAGAAGTCAACAGGACACTGTCCGAATGGGTTTTGGTTAGTAACTTCCTTATAGCGTCTCTCACTGTGGCTCACCCATCTGTGTTGTTCTCCTCATCCATTCAGGAGATGAGATTTTTTTTTTTTTTTTTTTTTTTTTTGAGACAGAGTCTCACTCCATCGCCCAGGCTGGAGTGCAGTGGCGCAATCTCGGCTCACTGCAAGCTCCGCCTCCCTGGTTCATGCCATTTCCCAGCCTCAGCCTCCCAAGTAGCTGGGACTACAGGCACCCGCCACCACGCCCGGCTAATTTTTTGTATTTTTAGTAGAGACGGGGGTTTCACGGTGTTAGCCAGGATGGTCTCGATCTCCTGACCTCGTGATCCACCCGCCTCGGCCTCCCAAAGTGCTGGGATTACAGGCGTGAGCTACCGCGCCCGGCTCAGGGGATGAGATTTTTAATGGCCTCTATTTATGATTTTGGAGGGTGAAGGAAATTGGTCTGGAGATGTCTTGGGCCCCAGTGAAGGAGTTTACACCTTCCAAGATGTTTGAGAACCACTTTACCACAACACACCTCTGGGATGTTTCAGTCCGAGCAAATGTCAGCATTTGGTAGCAGCAGGTGAACATAAGCACCATCTACAGGGATTAGGGAATCAGAAGGAAAGTACTTTATAGTTGCCAAGATAAGAACATAATTTCCTATTAGTTTGCCCCCAGTAAATAGAAACAGCCAGCAGAAAATCCCTGGCCAAAAGCTCCTTTGCTCTATGCCGACAAATTTCATGATGTCCCGGAGGATGTGAAGAATTGAGGCAACGTCCAGCCTAATGCCACTCACAGGAAGGCGGGGAGGGCGGGGTCCAGGGGGCTCCTGTCTCTTGTCTTTCTCCTGTGGGCTCTACTGCTCCAAAGGACCTGGAAGCCTGTGGAGGAATCAGCTGAACCTGAACCTGTTACATAATTAACCCCCTGGTTGTTCTGTCCTGACCTTGACTTATCCTTTTTCTTTCTTTTTCTTTTCTTTTCTTTTCTTTTTTTTTTTTTTTTTTTTTTTTTGAGACAGGGCCTCATGTTGTCACCCAGGCTGGAGTACAGTGGCACCATCTTGGCTCACTTGGAGCCTTGAGCTCCCAGGTTCAAGCCTCAGCCTCCCAAGTAGCTGTGATTACAGGTGTGTGCCACCACGCATGGCAAATTTTTGTATTTTTAGCAGAGATGGGGTTTTGCAGTGTTGCCTAGGCTGGTCTCAAACTCCTGAGTTCCCACCTGCCTTGACTTCCCAATGTGCCAGGATTACAGGTGTGAGCCATCATGCCCAGCTGACTTGTTCTTGATTTTGTAACTGATACAAATGTGAATTCACCTCTATTCCAAGTTTATTAGTAAAGGAAGAAGGAAAAATAATTCTTCCAGAATTCAGGCCTAAGGGCCTAAGGGCTAATCCTGGGTTAATGCGCCTGAGGTGGGTGTTACACCTTCCATGCCCTCGCATGAATCAGACCTTCCAGTATTTATGGCCTAGAGGAGTCCCTTCCCACACTGATGCTGGGCTTGGCCACGTGACTTGCTTTGGCCAATGGGTACCAGCACAGGTGACCCAAGGAGAGGCCTGATAAGTACTTGTACATGGGGGCCTGACCTTTGGGGATTCTGTCACCACCATGGAAAACACCTGAGCCATCCTGCTGGTGAGGCCCCATGGAACAGCACTGAGGCTCCTTGGCCTATAGCCCTAGAATGTGAATGAGGCCTTAGACCTGTGGTCCCCAACCTTTTTGGTACCACAGATCGGTTTCATGGGAGACAATTTTTCCACAGATGGGCTGGGGGATGGTTTTGGGAAGAAACCTTTCCACCGCAGATCATCAGGCATTCCACTCTCATAAGGAGCCACAACCTAGATCCCTCACAGGTGCAGTTCATAGTAGGGTTCGTGCTCCCGTGGCCCTGGTCCGCTGATCTGACAGGAGGTGGAGCTCAGGCGGTAATGTGTGCTCACCCACCACTCACCTGCTGCTGTGTAGCCTGGCTCCTAACAGGCCGCTGGTACCAGTCCATGGCCCGGGGGTTGTGGACCTCTGCCTTAGACCATGCAGCCCTATATGAGCCTCCAGGTTAGACTGCAGCCTCATGAGTAACCCTACCTAAGACTTCACAGCTGAGCCCAGACTTGTAAGTAAATAATAGAGGCCACTCTATGCCACTAGCTTTGGGGTGGTTTGTTATTGAGCAACGACCGAGACATGGCTCTTGATCTGGACTTGCCTCCCTCATTCACTGAAGCTGTACCCTACTGGGCTCTTGCCATGTACTGGACTGAGTGATGGGCAGGAGGGGCGCAAAGGTGGATGTGTGTGTTCCATCGAGCAACTCGGGGTTCAAGGAAACACTGCAGCTCAAGCTGCAAGCAAGGTCCTGGGGACCCATCCAGGAGTTCCATTAATCCTCAGCGCTGAGAGATCATGCAGGCCTTTAAGATCTCTAAGGCCCTCTTCCTGCCTCCCTGGCTGCCTCTCAGTACTGTTTTTATCTCTCTGCTGTGCCACCCCAGGCATGGAGCCCAGTGGGCTTCCATTACCCTTCAGCCCCCCTGAAACCTCCCCAAAGGCAGATGTGTGCATAACAGCCCTTACCACGGGCTCGTGACAGTGGTTGTTTGGACCTCAAGATGGCAGTTCCTCGGCTCAGGCCCCATTGCTTAAAGGCTTTGCCATCTTGGACAAGTTGCTTACCTCCTCCATGCTTCCCTTCCTCGGCTCTAGGCCAGGGAGCCTCAGTGCACTTCCATGGGGCCTCTCCAGCAGGACAGCTCAGGTGTTTTCCATGGCGGTGGCAGAATCCCCATGGGTGGGTTGGGGGGGTGGTGTGGAATATGGCTAGAACCCCTTTCAAAATGGCCATTGTAAGGAATAGATGAGATAAACCAGATATTTATTAGGCACCCGAGTGCCTAATATTCAACAGTATTACGGCCCTGCAGAAATACAAATAACATAAATGAATATTATCTGGGCCTCCAGTGCTGGGATTTCTCACAGGGTGGATTTCTCCACAGCCTGTTATATTTTGTCACGGCCATGTCCTTTCCCATCCCCCAGCCACTTCATCCTGAGGCCACACAATTCAGTTTTCTGGGCTCCTTCGCCCCTTCCATGTGACTCAGTTCTGTGATTTCACCAGTAGCGGCCGTGCAGCTCCCACCAGCCCCTGCTCAGCTCTTGGCCAAAGGCACCAGAGTGCTGAGTGCTCCCTGCTCACTGGCCGTCCACCCCAGTGACCAAGCAGGTGGGGCTGCGACACTTCTATCCTCTCTTCCCTCCCTCTAGTTGGACCTGAGCCGTCGGAATTTATTTTCCCAGAGAAATGAATGATGCACTGCCCTTCAAGCAGAAGCTGTGACAGTCACTTCAGGTTTTTAAAATAAGAGAATTGGCCGGGCGCGGTGGCTCACGCCCATAATCCCAGCACTTTGGGAGGCCGAGGCGGGCAGATTGCCTGAGCTCAGGAGTTCGAGACCAGCCTGGGCAACATGGTGAAACCCTGTCTCCACTAAAATACAAAAAATTAGCCAGGCATGGCGGTGTGCACCTATAGTCCCAGCTACTTGGAAGGCTAAGGCAGGAGAATTGCTTGAACCCAGGAGGCGGAGGTTGCAGTGAGCCAAGGTCACACCACTGCACTCCAGCCTGGGTGACAGAGTGAGACTCTGTCTCCAAAAAAAAAAAAATAGATAAATAATAAAATAAAATAAGAGAATTTCCACTTTCACCTATGAACAATGCCGGCCTTCTCCCTAGTGTGATCAGCACCCACTATCCCAAGGTCCTCCCTGGCAGGACACTGGCACCACCCTTGCCCACACCACCACTGCACCTCCAGCTCTCTCCCCATCCTTGCCTGGTGAATGCAGCCTGTAGAGCTCAGAACTGGCCAGGTGTGAAAGCCAGATACCCGTGCAGTCCTCACATCCTGCACACTAATGCAGACTGTGTCCCTTTTTCTGAGGAAGGAAATTAAAACTGGGGGAAGGACAGAGAATTCCCATTCCAGGAGCCTGGGAGCTCTGATAGGACCCAATTGATATTGACTGAGATGAAAGTGGCCACATCACCTGAGGCTTGTCTGCCTGGATTTTCCCCCCATTAACCAGAAAAGAAAGGAACCTAAAGCCTTGTGATAAGAAAATTCATTTTCTATAAAGCAGGCTTCTTGGAGGAGATATATCAGGACGTGATGTGAATGCTGACACCCTGACACAGTCCTGTGTGGCTTAACCACGGGGCTGGTTCTGAGAGATGCCGCGTTAGGCGATTTCATCGTGGTGAGAACATCATAGAGTGTTCTCACACAATCCTAGGTGGTGCAGCCTACCAGACACCTAGGTTCGATGGTACACCGCATTGCTCCTAGGCTACAAACGTGTACAGCATGCTGCTCTGCTGAATACTGTAGGCCACTGTGACATGATGGGAAGCATTTTTGTATCTAAGAATAGAATAGACACAGTCGAAATACAGTATGAAAGACAGAAAATGACCCATCTGTCTTGGAGCTGGCAGGACTGGAAGTTGCTCTGGATGGGCCAGTGAGTGAGGAGTGAATGTGGAGGCCTGGGACGTCACTCTACGCTGCTGTAGACTTTAGAAACAAGCTACACTTACTTACACTGCACCAACTCTTCCAAAATATTTTCCTTTCTTCAATGATCAATTCATCTTTGTTTACTGTAATTTTTTTACTTAATAAGCTTTGAAATTTTTTAACATTTTGACTCTTGTAATAACACCTAGCTTAAAACACAAACACACTGTACAACTGTGAAAAAATACTTTCTTCATGTTATTGTTCTATAAGCTTTTTTCCTTTTAAACTTTTCTTTTTTTTTTTTTTCTTTTTTTGAGACAGAGTTTCGCTCTCGTTGTCCAGGCTGGAGTGCAATGGTGCGATCTCAGCTCACTGCAACCTCTGCCTCCTAGGTTCAAATGATTCTCCTGCCTCAGCCTCCTGAGTAGCTGGGATTACAGGCATGCGCCACCATGCCTGGCTAATTTTGTATTTTTAGTAGGGAAGGGGTTTCTCCATGTTGGTCAGGCTGGTCTCAAACTCCCAACCTCAGGTGATCTGCCCGCCTCGGCCTCCCAAAGTGCTGGGATTACAAGCATGAGTCACAGCGCCCAGCCTTAAAATTTCTTTTTTTTCTTTTATTTTTACTTTTTAAACCACTGGCAGAGCCGCATCACCACAAACACGAGAGGAATGCCTTGCACCGAGACGACATTATGACAACTATGACGTCACTAGGTGATAGGACTTTTCCAGCTTCATTATAACCTCATGGGCCATGGTTGTATCTACAGTCTATTGTTGACCCGCACGTTGTTTTGTGGCATGTGACTATATTTGCTTAAGAAGCCAATCATGCCCCATCTCCAGACATGTATGAATTTACCTGACAGCATTCAGGAAATATGTTCTATTACTATACTTTTTCTAAAGCAAATCAAACATAGTTCTGAGACTCTGCTTGACAAAGGTAGTGTGAATTCACTTCGTCGGGTTTTGGGGTGCCACTCTGCTTCCCTCAAGTACTGTAAGAGTCTGTCCAGAAATTTTGGGGAAAGGTCTTTTTGGCATTCAGTCCATCCTGGATGATGTATGAATCCTCATGCATTGTCTCAGGTCATGTGGTCCCTTCGAAGGTGGACTGCCACGTCCTTTCTGAGCAAAGCTTGGATGCAAAGACCATTAGCCTCATAGCTTAGGGCTTGGTCTCTGGGTGTCCCATGAGAATCCTGTTATTGACAGGGTGCTGCAATGGAAGGGGATGGAAGGAGAAATCCACCCCACTTGGGCTTGGGAAGTCTAACTGCTCTCTTTGAGGCCACACCACTGCTCACTTCCTAAAGCCCCAGGCCCCTGCTCAGTCATGGTCTCCTGAAATGCCCATGTCCTTGGCCCTGAAACCTGGGAGTGTAACTTCTATGGCAAAAGGGACTTTGCAGATGCAATTAAATTAATACTCTTAAAATGGGGAGATTATACTGGATTATCCAGGTGCATCCTAAATATAATCACACGTATCCTCAGAAGAGGGAGGCAGAGAGAGATTTGACTTCGGAAGAGGAGAAGGCCGTGTGATGAAGGAAGCAGAGAATGGAGGATGCACTTTGAGGATGGAGGAAGGAGCCACAGGCAAAAGAAGGTTGGAGCCTTCTGGAAGTTAGAAAAGGTGAGGAAATGGATTTTACCCTAGAGCTTCCAGCAGGAACCAGCCCTGCCACTTCAAACTTCCAGCCTCCAGAACTGGAAGATGATAGAGTTGTGTTGTGTCAAGCACCATGTTTGTGATGATTAGTTATAATGGCACCAGGAAACTAACACAGCTCCTTTACTCCCTGGACAACTGAGCTCTTGGGCCTAGACTTTTTTTTTTTTTAACAGATCGAAGTGTTGATAAGATGAGAAAACCCAGCCCTCTAGGACCCAAAGACTGGGCTGCCTTCTTAGAGTGCAGAAAGGAAAATACCTTCATTTCTTTCATCAATGACTTCACGGCAGGAGGTAAGACATGGTTGGTTTCTCAATCACGATATCCTGTCCCTCAGGAACATTTGAAGTCTTAGTCATCGGGGCTCCTGGAAACCTACTGAGACTGGAAAGATGCAGCACTGGCCCATAAAGCTTGGGGTCACACAGGTCTGTCACCAATGCTTGAAAAACCCGTCCTTGGCTGGGGGGCCTCGGTCACCTGCACTAGTAGAAAGTCTGTGGACCCATTTTTCGTGAAGAGGAGATCTGCTGACCTTCTATAAACAATTGCCCAAGTGGAGGCAGGGCTCATCGAGACTCACCCAGCAGAGGAAAATGAGTCCAACACTGCGGCTGGGCAAAGTGGGACTGAGCATGGGTAGGGAGCAGTGTGGGCCTGAGGCGCTCTGCAGGGAGGATGTGCAACGTGGTGTTCTATCCACATGGGGTGTGCCTTCAGGCTGTGCATGGGCAGGACAGGGCTCTCCCTCCATACTGTCAGGCTGCAAAATGTAGGACATTGGTAGGTAAGAATTCCACTTATTTGGGGAAAATCTATATTCCATAATTTCTATGTTACTCATGCTTTATTGTGCCTTCCCAAGATATTTTGTATTTCTAAGGGGTATGGAAAGAGTCCATCCTCTTTAGTTTTCTCATAAAAACACTAGGCAATCATCCAGTTAGACAAGTACAATTGTCCCTTGGTATCCATGAGGGATTGGTTCCAGGACACCAAACTCCATGGATGCTCGAGTCCCTTACAGAAAATGATGTAGTATTTGCATATAACCTACACACATCCTCCCCTATGCTTTAAATTATCTCTAGATTGCTTAGCATACCCAGTACAATCCAAATGCTACATACGTAGTTGTCATACTGTATCATTTAGGGAATAATAACAAATAAATTCTGTACATGTTCAACACAGACACAACCATCCATTCGGTTTCTTCCAAGTATTTTTGATTCCTGGTTGGTTGAATCCACAGATGCAGAACCCAGAACCCACAACCCACAGATATAGATGGACTGCTGTCTATCAGTTTCCTACTGCTGCCGTAACAAATGACCACAAACTTCATGGCTTAAAACAACACAAATTTATGATCTTGTAGTTCTGGAGGTCAAAAGTCTGAAACTCACAGGGTGATATGGTTTGGCTGTGTCCCCACCCAAATCTCATCTTGAATTGTAGCTCCCATAATTCCCACGTGTCATGGGAGGGAACAAGTGGGAGGTAATTGAATCATGGGGGCAGGTCTTTCCCAGGCTATTCTTGTGATAGTGAATAAGTCTCACAAGAGCTGATGGTTTTATAAATGGGAATTCCCCTGCACAAGCTCTCTTGCCTGCCACCATGTAAGACGTGCCTTTGTTCCTCCTTTGCCTTCTGACATGATTGTGAGGCCTCCCCAGCCATGTGGAAGTATGAGTCAATTAAACCTCTTTCCTTTATAAATTACCCAGTCTCAGGTATGTCTTTATTAGCAGTGTCAGAATGGACTAATACACTGGGCAAAGATCAAGAAGTCAGGAGGGCCACACTCCTTCTGGAGGCTCAGGGAGAATCTGTCTTTCCCATTTGCAGCTTCTAGAGGCTGCCTGGGTTCCTTGGCTCCAGGCCTCTTCCTCTGTTTTTGAAACCAGCAATCTCATCACTCCAACATCCGCTTCTATTACCTCATGCTCTGAGTCTGCCTCTCCTGCTTCTCGCTTACTTGCAGGGCTTGGATAATCCAGGATAGTCTCCCATCTCTAGATTATTATTATTTTTTTTAGATGGAGTCTCACTCTTGTCGCCCAGGCTGGAGTGCAATGGCGCAATCTTGGCTCACTGCAACCTCCACCTCCTGGGTTCAAGCAATTCTCCTGCCTCAGCCTCCCGAGTAGCTGGGATTACAGGCTCCTGCCACCAAGCCTGGCTAACTTTATTGATTTTTAGTAGAGATGGGGTTTCACCATGTTGGCCAGGCTGGTCTCGAACTCCTGACCTCAGATGATCCACCCACCTTGGCCTCCTAAAGTGCTGGGATTAGAGGCGTGAGCCACCACGCCTGGCCTCCCATCTCTAGATTCTTAATCACATCTGCAAAGTTCTTTTTTCCAAGTGAGCCGATATATTCACAGGTGCCAGGGATCAGGACATGGACAGTTTTGGGGGGTCATTATTCTGCCCACCATAGCAAACAAATTTACTATGATGTTTTAAAACCCAGCTATAAATATCTGTTCATGGAAACTTCTCAAGCGAGTCTAGTGCTATCTGCAGGTGCCTGGCACAGCCCTAAGTAAATGCTTGCTTCTTTCTGTCATTCGTTTCCCTTAAGTTCCAGCTGTCCTTGTACATTTGCTCACTCATGAGCCTTCCCTTCCCAGTCCTTAGAAGCAGCTTCTGGAGATGACCCCATTGTGAAGTTTCTAAGGCTCCCCACAAAGGGCCTCTGGGGCCTGCGGATGAATAAGTCCTTGACCAGCCTCCACCTCCCTCTTCTAGGGTCTGACGATTGGCTGGCTAGTCCATTGCCAGAAAGAAAACAATCTTATTCCTAGGCAATCAGAAACACACATGGCTTCCAGAAGATGGGGCCAGACATGTCCTTACTTACATACAGAGCCCTCCTCCCTGTGAGGGTCTCTGCTTTCTCTGCCCTCTCTCTTTTTTCCTCCCATCCTCAGCCCTTCCTCAGGATCCTGGCTCCATCCTGGTGGCAGCCCACAGAGTCATGGGGAGCATTCCTCCTGCACTATCCAGGAAGCCAAAGCAAGGTTCCTCCCTGTTCCCCTGCTTAGCACAAGTCATAAGATTTTCAGGCTCCTTTGGGCAGGATGTGAACAAGACAAGTCCTTCTTGCTGATATTAACCATTAATATGTATTATCATTTAAGTGATCTTCCTAGCTTGGCTGTCTTTCTAAGACCCTCTCCTCACTGGGATACGAGGAAAAGACAAGAAGGCTGTAAGAAGGATGGAAAATCCTATCCTCCCACAAACCATAATCAACTGAATGTATAATAATTGAATGAGTAAATGCATGCATGAAATGCATCCAACATCTTTGCCTTCCTATTATCTCATACCTTGTAAAAGACAGGAGACTTTGGCAATGAAGACTGCCTTTACTGCAGAGCTGGACCAGCAACCCCATCTGTAGCCCCTCTCCTGTGTCTAGTTCATACCACATTTTTGCCCTGATTTTGGATTTCAATATACTGAGAAATAAGCTTAACTGCTAGAGCCATCTGTCTTCTCTTTTAGAACGCTGGAAAATATGAGATATCTAAAATGTCAAGCTGGAAGGTTATTTCATAATTGATGTTCCAGCTGTCTCAGGATAATTTCTCAACTGTAATTGTCAAGGGCTCCTCAATTGCTTCTGCCAAAATCTTTTCATTACCACACCAGTCAGATTTCCAAATATTCATTCAAATTCATAAAACATGCTAGCACCTTCCTGTGTAAGATGATGTGTAATAACTATTAGTTAGCTGGGCTAGCATGTGCTGTAATGTCAAACCTATGCCAGGAATATCCTATGATCTTTCAGGGAAATTCTAGGTCCCTGAGCAAAACTTTTGAAACAATTCTTTCTTGAAGGAAAAAATTCCCAGAAATATCCTCAGTGGGGCTCCTTAGGGAGTTGCCTGGGTAGTAACTATGCCTCTATTTGTGTAACCAAAACGTATTTTTAAGGGGGATTTAATCAAATAGTTAAAAAGTAATGCCTTAGGAGAGCAATGTTACGCCCTCTGGAAACCACATGAAGAAGATACTATCTATAGTCTGAGATGCTTTGTTAAGGAACCACCAGCTCAGATAGCCTTGATCACCTTGATCAAGGCCACCATGATCACCTTCTACTAGGAATTAGGATTTTTGACTCTAGACTAAACCCTTAAATGGGCAAGACTTCATTAACTACCAAAGTATTTGAATATCAAGCTATGAAGACATTGAAGTCAATTACTTTGGCTGTGGCAATTATGGTGTGTCAAGTCAACTGTGGTATATAATGACAACTTGTTATCCTACAACACTCTTATCATAAATGGTACCCTCCTTAATAACGAAACTCAAATCCATGTCTGCCTAATGACCAGCCAGCAGAAGTCAGCTCGGTCAGCACCCACACTGCAAGCAAATGAGCCTCATTTACAGCTCTCTAGTTTTTGTACATTTTTCTTCACACTTTGACAATTTTTCATTCATCACTATGACTGAGAAAAGGAAATATAATGCATAAAATATAAAATCTCCACAATAAGTCAGGAGAGCAACCATTTAAGAAATGAAGCACTATATTCCACACTGTGTTGGCCAATGTTAGCAATAGGCTCAAACTCCTGACAAGACCAGATACAGAGATGCCTTGTATGACATCAACAGGATTTAATTTCTAAAGGTTAAAGAAGGAAGTCAATTCGGCTGGAGTTCAAGTGAAAAACCATCAAGATTCTCAGTGCAAGCTTCCAGATCAGAGCTGCCCTACAGAATTTTCCATGTTGACCAGACGGTAACCAGTGGCCACATGGCTGCTGAGTGCTTGAAATGTGGCTGGTACCACTGAGCAAATACCTTTACAACTTTAATTAATTTTAAATTATCTTCTTTTTTCTATACCTCAACCCCTTTTCTCCTTCCATCCCCAATGCATTCTTTTAGCATCTGGGTCATAAAATCCTCATGGGAGAGAGATGTACACATTGGGTATAAAGTCTGAGAAAATAAGGGTCCCATTACCCTTCCTGGAAACCTAACCATCTATTGCTGAGGTGGGCTTGTATGTAGCCTAATCTCTGTATATGTCAGAGATCATCTTACCTACACCAGGTTCACATTTTCCATCTTAGAGTTATACAGGACATTGTATATAGGACCTGCAGGGATATGGGGTACACTACCAGTACACCCAGACATGAATGAAATGCTGCCTCAGCATCCTAGACTCCAGGCTAGCACAGTGTTGTCCAAAGAACGTTTCTGAACTCCAGGCTGAGGGACTGGAGCAAGATTCACCCTGACATCTCTAGGAGTTATGCTGACAAGCTCCTCAGACAGCAAAAGGGCTTGTCTTCCACCTGGCAACGGAAGTCAGGCATGGATGGACATGAAGGAGCCTCCCGGTTCCAGTGGTTCTGTTAAGCTACAAACGTAATTTTCAGTCACAAAGAAAATAGCTGACGGAAGCCAATCGCAATCAACAAATTATTTTGCCTTCTGGTTGGTCATCGTTGTAATGAAAATATTTCCTTTCAATGCATGGAAAGCAGTTTAGCAGAACTAGCAAAGAAAGATGGCATGATCATTAGCTCATTTAATATTACAGCTCATGGGACAAGCATAGATTCAGAAGCATTAAATAATATTCTAGGTAAATTATCAGAAGTCAAGAAAGAGGAAAGCTAGAGTTCATGACACATGTTAATTTACTTAGGGAATCTTCAAACATGAAAAAGAAGTAAAAATAAAGTGAACACCTATGTAGCTATCAACCAAGTTCAACAATTATCAACACCTGGCCATTCTTGTTTCTTTACTTCAACCTACTTTCCCTTCCATCCCCAGCGAATTATTTTAAAGAAAGTCTCAGCTCTTCCCCTAAGTGTTTCTGCTGGCAATACTAAGTGGTACAACCTGAGGTAAT
Source organism: Homo sapiens (assembly GCF_000001405.40). Lineage (NCBI taxonomy): Eukaryota > Metazoa > Chordata > Mammalia > Primates > Hominidae > Homo > Homo sapiens. The sequence continues at coordinate 62,415,668 of NC_000018.10, forward strand.
CTGTGAAAATGGTTTGCTATTCACTTGATCTGTAGAAGCCCACACAATCATACAAATCAAGAGGTTCAAATTTTCCTGTTCACTTTAAGAACACTCGTGAAACTGCCCAGGCCATCAAGGCTATGCATATACAAAAAGCCATGAAGTATCTGAAAGATGTCACTTTACAGAAACAGTGTGTACCATTCCAACGTTACAGTGGTGGAGTTGGTAGGTGTGCCCAGGCCAAGCAGTGGGGCTGGACACAAGGTTGGTGACCCAAGAAGAGTGCTGAATTTTTGCTGCACATGTTTAAAAATGCAGAGAGCAATGCTGAACTTAAGGGTTGAGATGTAGACTCTCTGGTCATTGAGCATATCCAAGTGGACAAAGCATCTAAGATGTGTTACCAGACCTACAGAGCTCATGGTTAGATTAAGCCATACGTGAGCATTCCCTGCCACATCGAGATGATCCTTACTGAAAAGGAACAAATTATTCCTAAACCAAAAGAAGAGGTTGCCCAGAAGAAAAAGATGTCCCAGAAGAAACTGAAGAAACAAAAACTTATGGCACAGGAGTAAATTCAGCATTAAAATAAATGCAGTTAAGGCCAGGCACAGTGGTTCACGCCCGTAATCCCAGCACTTTGGGAGGCCGAGGTGGGTGGATCACTTGAGGTCAGGAGTTTGAGACCAGCCTGGCCAACATGGTGAAACCCCTTCTCTATTAAAAATTAAAAAATTAGCTGGGCGTGGTGGTGCGTGCCTGTAATCCCAGCTACTCAGGAGGCTGAGGCAGGAGAATCGCTTGAACCTGGGAGACAGAGGTTGCAACGAGCCGAGATCGCGCCACTGCACTCCAGCCGGAGTGACAGAGTGAGACTCTGTCTCAAGACAATAAATGAATAAATGCAATTAAAAGTTTTAAAAAGTCCCAGATATCACATAATTTTATCTTTTAAAAAGCCTTTAGTTTATATCACTAAAGATAAGGCAATTTTTAAACATACTACAGTATCATCACATCTAAAAATATTAGTAATAATTCCTAGATACCATCAAATAAACAGAAAGTCTAGCTGTCATACCTGTACCCTCCTCTGTTGCCTCCCTCTCCCACAGTAATATTTTTTAGTTTTGATTTGTCCTTCAATTATTTTTTTATGTAAGCAAATAAATATAGTAAATATTTGTTGTTTTTTCCTTCACAGAGAAGAGGTAACCCATTATACACATTTTCTGCATCTGGATTGCACTTAAAAATTATTCTCACTTGACACCAATACATAGAAAACTTTGTTCTTTTTTTCAGCTACATAGTACTCCAACATGTGAAGGTACTTTATTCAACCATTACTCTGTTGATGGACATTTGGGCTATTCCCAGTTTTTTGCTCTTACTAGCAGTGTCATCATGAAAAGCCTTGTGTATATGAATTTCTTATTTTGAGAGCATCTTTGGAATAGATTCCTAGAAGTGGGATTGATGAGTCAAAAGGCAAATGCATATAATGTTGCTAGCTATTGTCAAACTCTCTTCTATAAAGATTATACCACTTAATATTGCCAGCAGAAATGAGTATGGTGTCCTTCTTTATGATTTTTTTGGCCCTCTGAGAAATGAGAAGTAGTATCTCAGTGAGGTTTCAATTTCCTTTTTTTTTTTTCTGTAATCTATATTTTGAGAACTTCATTCTAAGAGAACAAGACTCCTTTTGGACAGTAACACCATTGGAATTGTCAAAAAAGAAAAATCTTCCCTGGTTACATTATGTGTTGAATAAAGAAGTTTTTCTTGCAGATAGGCTTGAGTTGTCAAGTTTTCATTCAGAGCAGCTCAAGCATGGGGAGTTTATGAAAATGGAATCGTTGAAATTCATAGAATGAGAAGCCTCAAAGAGCTCTTTTTACCAGCATATTCCATTGAATACCTTTGGAGACATTCATACCCATCAAATACTCAGAGCATACTTTTTGAGAAGATTAAACCTAACTTAGAAGTTGGAGGTTCTTGGCACAATAAAGAAAAGCAATGCTTAACCCTGAAAGATTAACTGGGGAAAAACATGATACCTTCAGTCAAAACTTTATGGAACTTTTATTTTAAAAAACTTCATTTCACCCTACCCATGACCAAGTACCCCCCAAGAAATGTTTAGAACATATCATTTATATGAGCTGTTTGAATTTAAACACTGAATAAATGCTTGCAAAAGCATATATTTGTCCTAACTTCTATTTTATTTTTAAATCAACTTTGGCATTTTCACACTGTAAAGTGAGTTTTTTATGTGAGGGCTTGCTTTACAGAAATTTCAATATCCCATGTTTACAAAGAAGCACTCACTGAGGATTCAATTCTCTTGCAATTAATTTTCCCAAGTTGCCAGCTAGCAGGCTACCAATCTATGGAGCGTTCAACATTTAGGGATGAACTTTCATGGGCCCTGGGGATGCAAAGATTACTACTTTGTGGTTCCTCGGTAGAGGAGCTGAAAAGTAAACATGTAAATTAAAACAGCCTATGACATAGGACCAACCAGGGTGTGTTGTCATTGTTGACATGTATCTCTACCAGAAAAGTTCACTCTTCTTTATAAATGACAGCATTATTGAGCTGTTACCAACAGTAATTCACATGACCAATGGTGGACAACCAGGACTCCAAGATGGTGTCAGTTGCACCAGTGAAAGAGAGGAAAGTCATGGATGCCTAACTTGGGGAGCTGCCAAGCTGGCTATTGATGTGGGGTTTCACCCTGAAAGGCATGATTGGAGCATTTCAAAGAAGTTACTACCCGCATTAGAACAAGTGCCTCACAGGAAGGAAGGGAGCATTGCAGGGGTTTCTATAGCTGGCAGCTTACAGCTTTTCCTCTATGTTCTTTCTTACAAAGAGCTCAACTGTGAGCAACTCTGCAAGCATCACCTAAGAGGGGCCAGTGAAGGGTGCACTCTGCCCTTCTGACCATGACCTCCTTGGCCCATCACCCCTTTGTGAGAAACTCCATCACTGCTGAATCCTTTTATATCCTAATTGAGAACTAACGCCCAAACAGAAGATGACTGGTATGTGTAAAGAAATACAAATAATAAAATTCACATACCATATAATTCATCTCTTTAAAGTGCACAATTCAATGGGTTTTTTGTGTGTACATTCAGAGTTGTGCAACCATCACCACATTCAATTTTTAGAACAATTCATCACCCCCAAAAAGAAACTGTGCATCCACTCACAGTCACTCACTATTTCTTCCAACCTGCACCCCCCACCCCCAGCCCTGAGTGACCACTAATCTTTGCATTCTCCCTAGATTTACCTATCTGGGATATTTCATACAATGAAATGAAAATGAAATCATACAGTATGCAGTCGTGGTGACTGTCCTCTTTCATAATGTTTTTGAGGTTTGTCAATGCTGTACTATGTATCAGTATTTAATTCCTTTTTCTTTCCAAATCATAGTCCATTGTGGATATACTATGTTTTCTGTTGCTTACTGTTTGATATGGTTTGGATTTTTGTCCCCACACAAATCTCATGTTGAATTGGAGGACGGGCCTGGTGGGAGGTGACTGGATCATGGGGGCAGATTTCCCCCATGTTGTTCTCATGACAGTGAGTGAGTTGTCACAAGATCTGATGGTTTAAAAGTGTGTGACATATTGCGGCACTATTCACAATAGCAAAGACTTGGAAACAACCCAAATGTCCATCAATGATAGACTGGATTAAGAAAATGTGGCACATATACACCATGGAATACTATGCAGTCGTAAAAAAAGGATGAGTTCATGTCCTTTGCAGGGACATGGATGCAGCTGGAAACCATCATTCTAAACAAACTATCACAAGGACAGAAAACCAAACACCGCATGTTCTCACTCACAGGTGGGAATTGAACAATGAGAACACTTGGATATAGGGCGGGGAACATCATACACCCGGGCCTGTCATGGGGTTGGGGGAGGGGGGAGGGATAGCATTAGGAGAAATACCTAACGTAAATGACGAGTTAATGGGTGCAGAAAACCAACATGGCGCATGTATACCTATGTAACAAACCTGCATGTTGTGCATATGTACCCTAGAACTTAAAGTATAATTAAAAAATATATATAAATAATAAATAAATAAATAAAAGTGTGCGACACTTCCACCTTTGCTCTCTCTCTCTCCTGCTCCACCACAGTAAGATGCGCTTACTTCCCCTTTGCCTTCCATCATGAATGTAAATTTCCTAAGGCTTCCTGGTCTTGCTTCCTATTAAGCCTGTGGAACTGTGAGTCGATTAAACCTCTTTTCTTCATAAATTACCCAGTCTTAGGTAGTTCTTTATAGAAATGTGAAAACAGACTAATACCCTATTCTGTTATTAGGTGACACTAATATACAGTGAAATGCACACATGTGAAGCATGGCTATGCCACATTTTTGTTATCCATTCATCTGTTGGTGAACAATTGGGGTGTTTCTACTTTTTGACTGTTAGGAATAATGCTGCTGTGAACATTCATGTAGAAGCATTTGAGTGGATGTTTAGTGGAACTGCTGGGTTGAACAGGCTAACTCACGGAAGGAACGCATCATTGTATTCCTCTAACAAGCACAATAGTAGAAATTTAGTGAGTCATCAGCTTCTTGCTCAAAAGTGGCAACCAATCAATTTTCCTGCACTTTGGAATTGGGAGGGGCCTCTGCTGTTGGCTGGCCCATGTTCTTGGTCAGTTGACCATCCAGCCCATGGTTGTGGTGTGATATTATCCAATTCACATTTCTCCATCTCATTTATATGGCACCATGACAGAGCCTTTGCCAACATCCACACACATGAACTCCATGAATTCCCCCGATCTGCTAATCTAGTAGTAATCCAGAAAAAGAAAAAATGTGGTTAGTTTGGCATCACCTATTCTAAATTCTACTCATGACTAAGGCTGAAAAACTGACTGCTGAATGATAGGTACTAATCTTTAACCAGGAAGTAACACTAACTTGTTCATAATTCTTAGACTCCACATTTCCCTCTTTAAAAAAAAAAAAAATCTTTACATCAGACCCTTTGGGTGTTTGTCGTGTCTCTCTCATTGCCCTAATTGTTCAGCCATCACCCCGCAACAGCTCCCAGCCCCCTGCAATATGACTCATCTGAGCTCGAAGTTCTGTCTGCTCTATCTCACGCACTCAGGATGTTAAAGCTGTAGGCTCCTCCCTCTCTGGGTTTCATAGCTCTCTAAGCTTATTTTTATTATACGCTTCCTGGTAGAAAGATCATTTTCCGTGATACAGAAACAAAAGCGTTATTGAGCAGTTCTGAGTAGTTCTGCATTCTTCTTGGCAGATATTTACACTACAGTCTCCCTTAGGTCTACGAGTTGTCTTCCTTGTTCCCTGGCTCTGATAGATCAATAAAGCCCTCTGGGTTGGCCCCAGCATTTGTCTCAAGCCCTGATCTCTACAGTGTTTAGAACTTCCTCCCGTGGTTCTTAAAGGTCCAGGCCCTTCTTTTGAGAATGTCTTTGGATGGCTGGCTACAGGACCATTTACCTGTGGGAACTATCTTGGAATAATTTCTGGGTAGTGAAGGATTCTTTCTTCAGGGTTTCCAAGGATTGGCTAGCTGCTCTCCTTCTGAGCCATCACCACCTGCTTTCCCCCAGACTTTGCTCTCCCACATGGGCACTGCAGGAAGGGACCCAGCTGTCCATCTCTCTTGCTCTACTCCAACCCTTAATAAGGCTGGAAATACTTTGGAAGTCATCAAGGCAATTTTGTGCTGGACAGGGCAAGAAAACAAACAGGGGATTAAAGATAATGGAAAATGATAAGAAAGCTTTAACATCTGTAAGAGTCATTCCTGAAACCTACTGTGACAGATTAACTCTAGATTGGCTCTTTCTCAATCATCCCGTAGAATCGGAAAGTCAGTTCTCCCAATCTGGGTAGCTCCATGTTTGTTTGTAGGGTCATTCATGAGTTTTCCTATCTCCCCTCTCCTTCTTCTTATCTATGTCTTTCTGGCTTAGATGAAAAATGTAAATAGTAGAGTACTTGGCCTACAAATCAGAAATCCCCTCCAGCTCCCATACCTTCTTTCTTCACCTACTGTAGTTACTTTAATCACTAGGTCCCTCCTCCCATCTTGCCTGCATATGACTTATCTGAGAGCTCACTGAGCAGCCATGCTGATATTTACCAATGCCAGCTCTCACCAGGATCATTTGGAATCCTATTAACACTACAACACACGCACACACACACGAGTCAATTCTTGCTATTCCCAGTGGCTATGGTCTACAAAGTCACCCTGAAGACTTAATTGGCCAATACTGAACCACTGCTCTTAGGGGAAATAGAGGCTTAAGTTCCTGTGAGCTTTCGGTCACATTTCTTTCATCAACTGGTCAATACATAACCTTGTTTTATGTGTTCTCTGTTTAAAGAATGCTTATTTAATATATATTGTTGATTAACATTGAACTCATAGCCAACAGCACCATAACTCTTGCCTGAATGAAGCTTTGCTAACACATGTATTTTCTCCATCAGGCATATCACAGCCTTCTTACACTTAGAAACTCTAAACAGCACTTCAGCAGTATGTGTGCAGGCCATTTTAAACAGAAAAATCACCAACAAAAAGTACAAAAATGTGAAAAATGTGGTATTTCATAGGCCAGGAGAAAGACACTTGTTTATAGTACAAGAGCTGAGACAAGAAGGCAGAGTGTCTCACCTTGTGTGACCTCCGCTGGGAACGTGCATTTTGGGTGACTCAATTTTCTTGGCCACTTCTGTGTGTTGCAGATGACCATAAAAGTGCCACAAGTATTAATTTTGGGGTTACAAATAGATTTTAGTGAGTAGGCAAGTTCACAAATTCAAAATCTGCAAATGATGAGGATTGACTCTACACACACACACACACACACACACACACACACAAATATATCTACCCAGGAAAGTTATCTTTTGTTTGCAATGCACCCATTATTGCACAAGCCATGATATGAACTGGGGCCTGTGGCATATGGTTCACCAGTGTACGTACCATACCTACCATATGGCCTGACCTTGGAGGCCCTTAATAAATACTTGTTAGATAAGTTAATGAAGGACTGAAGGTCCAATAAAGTCAATTACACACACACACGCATGCACACACACACGCAGACACACAAAGAGTATATGCCGTCTACCATTTACTCCAGGAACATAGTCTGTACAGATTAGATAATCTTATAATAGCCACTAAGTCCATTTGAAAGATGCCCATCGCATCTTCACCTTTATTAGGCACAGAATTTTTATTATGGTGATCATTACATTGGTGTAGCTCTTTGTGGTTCAAAAACCACATTCATGTAGTTTCCAAGCCTATAGTGGTATTGTATATAAGTGGATTGTTCATTCAACCATCATCTAGAATCACTGGATTTTTAAAAAATTTTGATAAAGCCTAGAGAAACACTAAAATAAACAGATTAGTCCATATACCCAGTTCTGTGTGTTTTGACCCATTAGTAATCTGACTCTGCTTCTATATCCATTTGGACTTTGTGGGGCCCAAAGAGAGGAGATGAGTTCACTAATATATTCGGTTAAGAGTTCAAGATCACTTGGAGAGAAAATAGGCATATCTCCACCTAGTGGTCAATAGCAAAATGTGGGGCCATGGAAATGGGTTTGGACCCTTAATTGCTGGTTTATGCACCTAAATCTGGGCTGCTTTTCTTGTGAGTCAAAGCTTGGCAAGAGAAAAAAGAACTAGATTGGTCAGGGAAAATCCGCCAATGGAAAACATTCTATGAAGGTGGTCTAATGTGAGCTTTGGAATCATAAACTTGGATTTAAATTCCAGCTCCACCACTAAAAAGCTACGTGATTTAGAACAAGATGCTTAGTTATTGAAGTCTTAGCTTTTTTATCTGTAATAGGAATAATAATAATACAGCATAAGTTTATTTTAAGGATGAAATAAAATAATGCATAGAAGCTAGCATAGTGTCTGGCACATAGGGGGCAGGCAATACATGATAGGTATTATTACATCTGTTTGAAAAAAAGGCGCAAAGTATTTTCTCTAAGGTCAGAACTTAATTGATGCATACATGCATGTGTTATCAGCACAGGGGCAACATGCATTGAAAAGCATATGGAATCAGAGTGTTTAGTATATGCTTTAGTGCAATAGGATTTATTTTATTACCTGTTGAATAAATAATGTGTTGTAAACAAGGAGATGTCCTGGATAAAGCAACTCAGAGGAAAGTTCCTACATATTTCAGATTGACCTTCCATTTCAATGGAAATGCACAGATAGTAGCAAGCAGGTCATGGTTATTTCCTGTATGCCCACTACAAATAAAAGGCAGTGAGTTCATGACAAATATAAAGTGGAAGGTGTTCCAAATAAATAATGGACCTTTATTGCCTTTCTAAGGAAAAGTCACATCTTTAAAACATATTTCTAATCCCATTCAGATAATATTCAGTATAAGATATCATGGTCTCGTCTGGTGTTGTCCACGTAGCTTCATATAATGGAGATTCGGGTCAATGGGAGGCAGGAACTCAGGGAAATGGCAAACTGCAGGACTGGGGATTCCCTACTGTGATCTCCTCTCCCACACCCTGTAACTGGTGTGAGCTTGTAGTTTATTTTTTTTCTTGCCTGCTATTTCTTGTGGGTTGAATGCACCCCTCCAAAAGATATGTTGAAGTCTGAATCCCTAGTACCTGTCCTAGTACCTATGAATGTGACCTTCTTTGGAAGTAGGATCTTTGCAGGTGGAATCAAGATATAAATTAAGATGAGATCATCTGAAGTAGGCTGGGCCCCAACCCAATATGACTGGTGTCCTATAATAAGAGTAGAGACAAGAGCGCCATGTGAAGACAAGACACGCACAGAGGGAAGATGATATGAAGACAGAGAACACCGTGTGACGACGGAGGCATCTACAAGCCAAGGACTGCCCACAACACAGAAACTAGGAGAAAGTCCAGGAACAGATTCTCCCCAAAGAACATGGCCCTGCTGACACCTTGATTTCAGACTTCTGGCCCCTCAGAAATATGAGAGAATAAATTTCTAGGTCGGGCACGGTGGCTAATGCCTTCGTGATCCCAGCACTTCGGTAGGCTGAGGCAGGTGGATCACCTGAGGTCAGGAGTTCAAGACTAGCCTGGCCAACATGGTAAAACCCTGTCTCTACTAAAAATACAAAAATTAGCCAGGCGTGGTGGCGCGTGCCTGTAATCCCAGCTACTCAGGAGGCTGAGGCAGGAGAATCACTTGAACCCGGGAAGCGGACAGTGCAGTGAGCTGAGATCATGCCACTGCACTCCAGCCTAGGCGACAGAGCAAGATTCCATCTCTAAAACATTAAAAAAAAAAAAAAAGAAATTCTCCCCAAAGAACATGGCCCTGCTGACACCTCAATTTCAGACTTCTGGTGCCCCAGAACTATGAGAGAATAAATTTCTATTGTTTCAAGCCACCCAGTTTGTGGTGCTTTGCTGTGGCACTCTAGGAAAAGAATCCACTCTTCCAGCAGAGAGAAGTTACAGCGTGCCTTGGGGGCTGAATGTTGATCTGAGCAGTGTTTAATTTCCTGGAATTCTCACCATATAAAATTATAGCAGGCTGCCTCTACACAAGAGGGGTGAGGGGATTGACACCATCTGTGTTCGGGCCACACTGAGTAACAGGTGAAGAGGAAAAAATGAAAACATTTAGGATCTCTGCAATGCTGGTCCCACCTGGGTGGGAAAAACCAGGATTTTCCTCTCTCCAGGGCTGAGAGCCAGTTTCTGAAGCCTGCTTCTGTCTTCAGGGAGAGGACATTCATGTAATCTGCCAATGCCGGGTTTTTTTTTTTTTTCTTTTTACAGAAACTTACAGGACACGTGCCTTCCTCTCTCCCCTCCTTCCCTGCTGTTTTCCCAGCTGCCAGGAACTCCACCTCCGTGTCCACTCTCTTCTCTCCAGTCAAGAGTAAACGAAACTCAAGTTATTGGGCTTTGAAATATCCTAGCTCAATTCACATGCGTCCTGTTTAAATCCGTGGTGTGTTACCTCGGCTTATTCGGATTTAGGAAATGCTCCATCATCCTGTTGACTCAGCGCCTAAAATAAGAGGCAGATGCCAGGCCACTTACGCAAAAGGGACTCCCTTGGCAGCATCCTGCTTGTAGTTAAGAATGATCCCACTAGATGGAGCTCCACTTAAGGTCCGACCAGAGGTTCTTGCACTTTCCTCTTAGTATCCAGCAATTACAGGAGCAAAATCCCAGAATGAGCAAGAAGCCCAAGAAGGCAGATTTAGAAGACAATGATACTTACCCTTCGCGTTTGACTTAATTTTCAGATTAGACAGAACTTCCTACTGCTTCCCTCATTAATAAGATCATCCACGATCAAATTCCTTCTACCTCCCTCCCTCAAGGTACAAAATGAGCTTGCAATAAACACATGACCAAATTGTAAAAGTGCATGGCAACAGGTGAGAAAATGCTTATTTGGAGGCTCTCAGGGCTTTGAGGCTGAATAGAGGAGGTAACTGTCAATCGAAGTTAGTTTGGTCCTCAGCACAGCCAGTGATCAGGCAGGCAGAGAAGGCATTGCAGCCTGGCACTGGCTGGACAGTCTGTGCCAGTTAACAGCCTCAAAGAGTGGCCAGCTGAGAAGGACAGGATGATTTTGACACCATGACGGGATCAAGTGCATTTCCAGTTGAAATACTCAAGACAGAAGAAAGAAGAAAAAACCTGAACCAACTTTTCCCATCAAAATCACTGTGTTTAAATATGGGGGCAAAACCGTAGGGGGCTCAACGGTAATAAAACTCTGAGAGGTGCTCTCAGGCTGCCCTTGCTTTATGCCTTAAAAGAGACTTCCAGTTTGTATTGTCTATAGAAGACTTTACTTTTTGTAAGTGGCAAAGTTTCTGTTAAACACCAGCTTCATGCCATCCTCCTGATTCTCATTTTCATCAACTGTAAATTGGAGAAATATAGTTCTTTCCTTGTGGTGCTATGGTGAGGCTTGAAAATAAAATGTGAAACTTCCTAGCAAAAGATGTGGCACATAGTAGATTCTCAGTAAAGAACTCTGTCTCCACTTCTTGCTGCTATTCTAGGAAGTTTGGAGGACTTCCTCCAAGATGTTGCTGTAATTATTACACACAAATCACCAAAGCACACTTGCTAAACACCTTGGTATAGATTTATGCCAGAGGCACAACTATGGCAAGTGCTCTCATCACCATTTTCACCGTCTTCAAAACTGATTACAGGCAAGACGTAGTGGCTCATGCCTGTAATCCCAACGCTTTGGGAGGCCAAAGCAGGAGGAGTGCTTAAGGCTGAGTTTGAGACCAGCCTGGGCAACATACTGAGATCCTATCTCTACAAACATAAAAAAAAATTAGCTGGGAGTGGTGGCACATACTGATGGTCCCAGCTACTCAAAAGGCTGAGGTGGGAGGATCGCTTGAGCCCAGGAGTTTGAGTCTACAGTGAGTTATGATTGTGTTACTGCACTCCAGCGTGGGTGACACAGCGAGACCCTGTCTCTTAGAAGAAAAAGTTGATAATTGACTCAGAAACAGTGGAAAAGGGAACATGGGGGCTCCTTTTGCCCTCTGATTTGCCTACTGAGTGGTTCTGGGAAAGGACACAAAAAAACAAAGCCAAGTGTGCTAACTTCCCCAAAATAACCTGGGCCCTTCAGCCTCAGAGGGGGGCTGCAATTTCGGAGCCATCCAAATGGAATTGTGAAATGGATGAGTCTGATATCGAGTGTTTTCAATCTCCCTATCTGTGTCTCCTTCTTTCTTCTCTCATCTAAGTTGCAGGCCACCATTTTTTTTTCCTTTTTTCCTATTAAAACTTGATCTCAGGAAAATAAAAATTGATTATCACTAACTTTAAGGAAGGGGACATTGGTGCACCATTCTCTCTATATTTACATGATTTTTCCTCAATTATTCATTACCAAGAAGATGGCAGAAGTGTTTAGAAAGGCAGTGATCTTCTTTGCCCCTGAAATCATCCCAGAGGACAACTCTGCCCTTCACTTTATCTACCCTAAAAGTTGAAATGATTGATGTTCTTGGAACCATGGATCCCACTCAGGAAGTCCCCCGACCCTGGAGCACTCACGTCTGAGAAGGCCTTAAAAGTGATTCAGTGAATTCAAAAATACCACTGTGGTGGAGACAAAGTACAGACGATCCGGTCCCCCATTATGATAGTCCGATACAATTTTTTGATGTTACCATAGATTTATTGGAGTGTTAAATGCATTTTCAACTTATGATATTTTTGACTTACAAAATTTTTGACTGAATTACCAGGGAGCTATCAAGGACATAACCCCATTATAAGTTGAGGAGTGTCTATAATCAACGAGGCTTCCAAGATTCTGCCTCCAGGAGAGACATGTGGGTAGGAAGGGTTGAGGACCACTGTTAACTGACTTGTACCTCATACATCCCAGAGTCTTAGGACAAAGACATTCTGATTGGTCTTTCAACATCGTGGCTATCAAGTTCATTCCAGAGAGTGACTCTCCAGAATTATGGAGTTATAATGACCATCCGTGTTAGTTGAGATGGAAGTTCATATACAGAGTCTCAAGAAGCAGAGACACATAGTTGAAGAGTCCTATAATAGTACCCTTTATTTGTCACCTCTCAGGTACCAGCTCATATTCTCTTGGTTACCCATGCATCTGAGACCCGTGTATCTGAGGCTATGAGTTTGGCTTCAGTTGCAGAGACTGTCACCTCACATATACACAATGACTCTGTTTTGCTCTATTGCCATGCCTTTTCTTTTAAGCCCTGGGGCTTCCTTGTTACTGCTGAGATGCCATGCAATGCTCTTGGCACCTGTATATATGCAAAGCATAGTATCAGGGAGTTAAGACCCATGAGGCAAACTTTTGACCAATTGGCAACAAAATCAGCAGCTAAATACTTCTCCCTTCTTCTTTCCCTCTGAATGGACTATGCTAAGACACTGTCACTCATGTAGCCTTTTGGAAGACATCATGCTAACCTTAAGCAATCAACGCCCTTAGTACAAAGTGGTGCCCATCTTAGTAGCACATTCTCTTGAATCTTGACTGACTCTTTTTCTTACTTACTCTCTTTTTCTCACGTTTTCTTTGCTTTTTCTATACACCTTGCTACAGTATGAATGTTTGTGTCCTCCTCAAAATTAATATGTTGAAATCCTATCCCCAAAAGCGATGGTGTTATGAGGTGAGGCCTCTTGGGAGGTGCAGAGGTCATGAGGACTCTGAGGTCATGGGATTAATGTCCTTATACAATAGGCCCAAGGGAGCTTGTTCGCCTCTTCTATCATGTGAGAACACAGCTCAAAGATGCCATCTATGAACAAGAAAGTGGGCCCCCACCAGACACCAAATCTGCCAGCACCTTGATCTTGGACTTCCCAGCCTCTAGAATGGTGAGAACTAAATTTTTGCTGTTTATAAGCTACCCAGTTTATGGTACTTTGTTACTGCAGACCAAATGAACTAAGACACTCCTCAAAAACCATATTCACAAATGAATTTTGCCTCAGGCTCAGTTTATAGAAACTCAGGCTAAGATAACTATTCCTGTGGAGCAGAGTCAGAATTTTATATTGCTATAAAAGATAAACAGTGCTTTCTCAGGACAGCTTGAGACTCCTGTAACCCAATTTACCCAGTCAGTCTGTCAATCATCCTCCTCAGTCCCTGATGGGATTGATGTGATCTGCCTGTACTTCTGCCAGAAGAAAATTCAATACTTTCTGGGAGATCATAAAAACACCCTAAACCTCTTCAATTTACATACCATGTGTAGACAGTTTTTAATCCAAAATTATCAGGTCTGTCAGATCACAAAACCAAATAACCAAAGCCAAGAGAAAAAGCAGACAGAAGAAACAGACCTATAGGTGATCCAAATATTGGAATTATCATACATGGACTTTAAAGTTTCCATTTGAAAATCTGTTTTCTTGATATAGATTTTCTATATATTCAAGAAAATAGATTTTCAAATGGGAACTTTCATCAGAAAACTGGAATCTATGTTTTTAAAAAGCATGAAGTAAAATCTCAGAACTAAAAACTGAAACAACTGAAATTAAAAGTTTAATGCAAGAAGTTTATAAAACAATAGCAATGGCAGAAGAGAGTTAGTGTAGTGGAAAATAGGTCAGGAGAAAAGTATCAATTCTGAAGCACAGGATTAAAAGGATTAAAAAAACACAGAAAAGAGCATACTTGACACATGGGACATGGTGAAAAGGTTTAATACATGTCATGAAAGTCTCAGAGAGACAGAAAAGAGAGAAGGGGGCACATGAAATATTTGATGAGTTACTGTCTGAAATCTTTCAAAAAATGAAAAAACATTAAGCTACAGGTTTGAAAATCTCTAAAAACTCCAAGTAGGATAAATTCAAAGAAAACCATACCTTGAGCACTTTAAAGGTGGCTGGTACAACTAAGGAAATGAGGTTTTAATTGTATTTTATTTAAATTAATTTAGATTTAAATAGTCATATACAGCTAGTAGCTACTTACTGGACTGTGAAAGCCTAGGACAGTTGCTAAAAGAACAAAGGAAGGGGCTGGGCACGGTGTCTCACGCCTGTAATCACAACACTTTGGGAGGCCGAGGCGGGGGGATCACGAGGTCAGGAGCTCAAGACCAGCCTGGCCAACATGGTGAAACCCCGTCTCTACTAAAAATACAAAAATTAGCCGAGCACGGTGCCAGGCGCCTGTAATCCCAGCCATTCAGGAGGCTGAGGCAGGAGAATCTCTTGAAACCGTAAGGCGGAGGTTGCAGTGAGCCGAAATTGCGCCACTGCACTCCAGCCTGGACGAAAGAGCAAAACTCCATCTCAAAAAAAAGAAAAAAAGAGTAAAGGAAGGATATAGAACAAAGAAAACTCAAGCTGGAGAAATATAAGCACTAAAGTTTCTAATGATATTCATGTCCAAGTTGAGTCATACACAGCATATATTGTTGACATCTTTTATAAGAGCCAGGTCTTATGGTTTTTTTAGGTTTCTGGTCTGTATCCTCTTTAGTGACCATTGCCCAGTATTGAATAGCTACAGAAAATTCACAGCTTAGCTCTGACCAGCTTTTAGGGGACATGCCTTCCCCATAGAAAAGACACCATTTCTGAATAATCACATTTGCAAACCTGGATTTACCTCGATCTAATCGTGATTTTGTCCTTCTTCCTCCAGCCCTGAGGCTTGAAGTGTAGTCTGCCGTGTCCCCAAATCCACCCAAGATTGATGCTTCTAATCCAGGGTGCAAACACCTTCTACAGTTGCCCTAGCAAAGCCCCAAGAGTTAGGACTATACCCTTAGAGCTTCCTGAGTGCTTTCAGGAAAATTCACAAGGAATGCCAATCTGCAGAAACAATTAATTTTGTCAAAATCTTCCAATATGAGTCCATCCATTTTCTCTAACCCAGAGGACAGAACAGTCTCTCCATTCTGAATAAAAGAGGCCTGATTTAGATGTTCCTCCAGGTCAAGAGAAGCTGGACTTACTTTCTTCCAAAAAAGGTGGAAGAGGAAGAGAACTAACAACGGTGTTTAATCTTCTGTGTCCTTGGTATGTCATCACATGACATACAGGTATCCACAGCTCAAGGAGTTTTCACTTCTGTTCTCTACACCTCTAGAAAGTTATAGCAAAGCAAGGAAAAGCAGGACAGGGGCACTGAAATGAACAGAGATAGAGGAATTTTGTAGGAGAGTTTTCAGAGGTAAAGACTTGAGAGGCTTATACTTGAAGTTTGCAAATCCATGAAAATTATGATTAATTTTGAAAATCAAGGACTGTTTGTTTGTTTTACCAAATTTCAGGCTATCAGATGCAGAGAGTAAAAAGAATGTAGTTTGGGGCAAATAAGAGTGAGTCCTCTTGCATTAAAATGAGTCCATTGATTACTATTTTTTAAAAATTCTAGGCCGGGCATGGTGGCCCACCCCTGTAATCCCAGCACTTTGGGAGGCCGAGGTGGGCGGATCACGAGGTCAGGAGATCGAGACCATCCTGGCTAACACGGTGAAACCCTGTCTCCACTAAAAATACAAAAAATTAGCCGGGCGTGGTGGCGGGCACCTGTAGTCCCAGCTACTTGGGAAGCTGAGGCAGGAGAATGGTGTGAACCCGGGAGGCGGAGCTTGCAGTAGCCAAGATCGCACCACTGCACCCCAGCCTGGGTGGCAGAGCAAGACTCTGTCTCAAAATAAATAAATAAATGAATAATAAATAAATAAAAATAAATTCTAGTATGTGGTAGGAATTCAAACTAATAAAGAAGCTCCAGAAAGGTTAAACTGCAATTAAAAATAACAGGTCCTTAGCTGGCCATTAAAAGATGTAAGAGATCGTGGGCGTTGGGGCAGCCCAGGGAAGTGCCATGGGTGCAGGGCTTTGGGCCAGGACAGAAACTGCTCCCCTTTGGGGTCAGTTGAAGCAGGGATCTGGTCATCAACTCTCAGTCCTTATGTATGAGGCTTCCCGGGCAAGTCCTGCCCTGGTTTACCCCATTCTCCTGGAGGCTGCTGGAAGCATGAATCTTGTTTCCAGAGCACCAGGGTGGAGGTTTGGAACAACTGGGTACTTGCTATTGGAATTCCTGAAAAATGGCAGCAAATACCCATAAATAAATGTTAGGAATTAAATACAGAATGCTTGGCATTTCACATATTTTTAAAACATTGTTTACCAATTTCTTTCCTCCTTGCCAGTTGTTAGAGTTGCCAAACAGCTTTTTAAGGTTTGGCCTACGCCCCACCTCTCAAATTATGACCCTGGCTCGAGGAAAACATTATCTGGATCCAAACTAGCCAACGGTATATGTTTGCTTAAATAACCAGATTTTATTCCACACCTGTGTCAAGCATGCAAGGAAAGGGTGGCCTTAGGCTATAGGACACAGATTTGGCTTTGACAGCTGAGAGGTCAAAACAGGGAGAGCAAACCCAGAGCTCCACTGACCGGCTTTCCCTGATCCCCTCTTCATAGCAGGCTTTGCCAATTGATCTGAGCCCTTCTTCTCATGGGGCAGAAACAAAGTCTCACAATCTTCAGTGCAACTATCTAAGAATGGCACGTTTAGAGTAGGCACCAAAATGAAACTCTGATTATAGCTTAATGTGGGTCCCTAGTGGGAAGGCCAAAGCCTTATGCCAATTGCTAAATTCTTTGACGGTGCAGGATAGCTCTTTCCAATGAGACAACTGGTTGCCCTTAAAATACCTTGCAACTCCATTGTCGACTGGTACCAGAAATTTGGTCATCAGAACATCTACTCCAAGAGTGCATAGTCTTGGTCCTTGTAGGGAAGAAACTTGGAAGTCCTGTACGTGTGTTTACTCATGTAACTCTCATAACCTGCTATCATCCACATTTTATTTTATTATTTTATTTTATTTTGAGACAAATTCTCACTCTGTCACCTAGGCTGGAGTGCAGTGGCGCAATCTCAGCTCACTGCAACCTCTGCCTCCCGGGTTCAAGTGATTCTCCCACTTCAGCCTCCTGAGTAGCTGGGATTACAGGTGCCCATCACCATGCCTGGCTAATTTTTTTTGTATTTTTAGTAGAGGCAGGGTTTCACCATGTTGGCCAGGCTGGTCTCAAACTCCTGACCTCAAGTGATCTGACTGCCTCAGCCTCCCAAAATGCTAGGATTACAGGCATAAGCCACTACGCCCGGCCTATAAACCACATTTTACAGATGGAAACATTGAAGCTCAGAATGAATTGCCTTAGATCATACAGCCAGTAAGTGACAGAGCCAGAATGAACAATACTAGGGTCATTGCACCCCCAAAAGCCTTGCTTTCTCCACATATCACACAGCCGCTAAGTGTGAAGATTTGATACGGAGCCAGGGGAAGAGAGCCTGGGAGGCAGCAGGAATTAAGTTCCTTCTTCTCAGAGAGAAGAGGCCCATAGGAAGCCTGTAAAGATAAATTGCCCAGATTCCACAGTCCTGCCTAGGGCTGGACTTGGGTGAAAACAAGAGAGCATCAAAGTAGAAGCTGACCTTTCCACAAGAATCAAGGTACTTGTGTCCATTGGGATTCAGCAAATTGCCTTTTGTCAGCCAAGAAGAGAAGCAGGTGGCAAATATCTGCCATGTGATAAAGGTAACCGTAGGAATGTAGGTACCGATGTTGGTGCTTGTTTTAATACCAAATTATATCTTCTTCTTCTCTTGATAGACATGAGTGTCACCTTTAACTGGCAAATCCCCCCAGAATGCTGGGCCCGCTCTAGCAGTGGGCCTAGTGTATTTGACACCTGCAGTAGATCGTCTTTAACAATGCCTCTACCATATGACAAAATTAGTTTTAATGATAATCACAAAATTAAACAAATAATGATAATGGCAGGGAAAGAAATGCAGACAATGAAATTTCTTTTCTTTTCTTTTTTTAATTAAAGACAATTTTTTTGGCCAGGCACGGTGGTTCACGCTTGTAATCCCAGCACTTTGGGAGGCCGAGGCACATGGATCATTTGAGGTCAGGAGTTCGAGAACAGCCTGGCCAACATGGCGAAACCCCATCTCTACTAAAAATACAAAAAAAAAAAAAAAAAAATTAGCCGGGTATGGTGGCATGTGCCTGTAGTCCCAGCTACTCAGGAGTCAGGAGAATCGCTTAAGCCTGGGAAGCGGAGGTTGCAGTGAGCCAGGTCGTGCCACTGCACTCCAGCCTGGGCAACAGAGCAAGACCCTGTCTCAAAAAAACTTTTTGCCACCATGCCTGCCTCTGTTTTTTTTCCTTTTTTGGTGGAGATGGGGTCTCACTACGTTGCTCAGGCTGGTATCAAAATCCTGGGCTCAAGCAATCCTCCTGCCTTGGCGTTCCAGTGCTGAGATTACAGGTGTGAGCCACTACGCCCAGCCCCAGTTTTTCTTTTATTAAACTTCACATATATAATCATGGCAGATAAATAAATACTACATTGCCAAAAAAGGAAAAAAAGTAAATACTTTTAAATTCTGGTCTTTTTCTGAGAAAAGGGGAAGAACTTTTACCTACATATTGCTAATGCATGGGACATTATAGTTTTTGGTTCTGAGACTTCTGCAAATTTGTCAGTGATTTAATCAAAGTTGATTTTCCTTGCAGAGCCACATTTAATATGCAATGTAGCCAGGTTTATTATTCTAGCTTCACTCACTGTTGGCAGAGGGATACTTTTGACTCATCTTAATTTCTGAAGTTTTGTTTCCCCCGTAGCCAAAAGCATACAAGAAGTTCAGAAAAGCCATAAACATAAGGATAAATTTGCAGATTCCATTGCACAACAAATTCCGGAAATGGCAATACACTTCAAGTCTTTGTTTCTTCAGGATGGATTATTGTAGCAGCTTTCAAATGTCTCCACAGTTGAACATTTTTCACTAAGAAAACCATCACCGGGAAATGTATTATACGTTTCTATTATACTTGGTTTTCAAGTTTTCTGCAAAAATCAGGGAAAGCAGCTGAATGACAGCAAGCAGGGACTTACTTAAACCATTGTGTTCTGTCCAGCTCCTGGTAAAATTGACTGAGGTGTCCAAACACTGCCTCTGAAACTTCTTCTGGCAATTTAAGACTGGCACCTTGGATCATTTCATCCAACACTTCTTCTTTGACTGTTGATTCTCTTTTCTATGTAACTGTCCATTTTCTCCCTGACAATCACCTTTTCTTCTGGTGGAGGTAACAGCCCCCTCTCCACATTTCTCCGTGCTGATCTGCAAGGAACGATTTTAAAAAGCTTGGTGTACCTGTTCAAGGTGCATTCTGACAGTCTGAATATATTTTTGCCTGGTTGCAGAGGTTGCAGAGAATGACAGAATTGAAGTCATTCAAGTTCCTTGTCTCTGCCTACAATCACTCCCATTGTCTACTTCTCATCCACTGTTTGGAACAGACACGTGTAGCGGAGTGCTTGTGAATTGACAGCCAAATTAACTTCCATGTGGAATACAATGTTTACTAAAGGATAAACAGTAAAAATGTGCTAATTTAAGCGGAAGCTATACTATTAAACTCAACAGTAACCACAGCTGTTTAGAACTTAGACCAACAAAAGATGATTGGAGGAGGAGTACTGTGTCCCTAACATTATATAGAATTGCCAACACGTAGAGCCGTGCTTAGATCGTTTTATTAGTGTTGTTAAATTCTCTGCAGACAATGTCCCCCGTCATTGCCTGCACCAGGGCAGACTGTCCACTGCCCTCCCTTGCTATACCATAGATCTTAATCTACTGCAGCCTTTAACCAGAAAATTCAGTGGCCTCCCGTGCACAGCTTAGATCTCCGGAACATCCAACCCTTCTGACTATCATAAGAATTCTTACTGATTTCATTATTGACTGGATTAAATAGATTTAAAAGACAGAAATCTCACAGGTTTTTTCCTCCTGCTCAAGTGACAACCCCTTTCGCTATGAAGGAACCCACCAATAACACATCCCTGTCATCTCTCAAGCCCAGCTCTTGCTGGGGAAGAAGAGGGTTCTTTCTGGGGTCTCCCTCTGGCTCCCTGTGTACTCTTTTATCCCTGGCATCTGGGAAGCGGAGTCCTTGTTCCCTTTCAGCTACTAATTAGCTTTGGGATCCTGGCGAAAATGACTTTTCCTTCTGCTTCCTCATTAAAAACAAAACAAGGCCAGGCGTGGTGGCTCACTCCTGTAATCCCAGCACTTTGGGAGGCTGAGGTGGGTGGATCACCTGAGGTCAGGAGTTCGAGACTAGCCTGGCCAACATGGTGAAACTCTCTACTAAAAATACAAAAAATTAGCCAGGCATGGTGGCGGGCGTCTGTAATCCCAGCTACTCGGGAGGCTGAGGCAGGAGAATCGCTTGAACCCGGGAGGCGGAGGTCGCAGTGAACCGAGATCACGCCACTGCACTCCATCTCAAAAACAAAAACAAGCAAACAAGCAAATGGGCAAACATTTAACTGAGTGATTTCTCAGGCCCCTTCAGGGCTTGGCTAGGAGGTCAGATGGCCTTGGCTGGGCCATCCTGGGCTGCTGCAGATGGTGTCAAGGAAGTGAAAGTTCAGATCCTGAAACCGCTGCTCCCTCCCTCAGGCGTGGCCGCAGGCAGTTCCTTGTCCCCATCCCGGGGACATTGCTGACTTTTTAGCTGGTTTCCTTGTTTGGCATCCTCAGAACCATTAGGCCCTGGAGATTTCCAGATGTCTTTTTTAACAATCAGAGCTGGATTTCCTGGGCAATGCCCGCCTCATGCAAACATTCTTATTTTTTATGGCACTGCCCTCAGAGTGTGCAGGAATGAGTTCTAAAGGACAACTCTGGCTCGGCCCAAGGCCATGCTTCCATTCCATACACCCCCTCACACAATCTCACTCCAACCTGTGACGCAGGATGGGGTAGAATCATTATTCCCATTTTAGAGATGGGGAAGCTGAGATGCCAAAGCTTGGAATGAACCACCCAAGGTGATACAGCAGCCCTTTGGGGCAGAACTGGAACTAGAACACCCTCATCCCCATTTCTCCTTACTCACCCACCCCAGCTCCAGCTAGCTTAGCTCAGGCTTGGCCCAGGCCCAGTAATCCCGGTTACACAACTGATATCGGGCACGTACTCAGCTAGAGAGTATAAATAGACCCAGTGCCTTGCCACTGAGAATTTATGATTCAAAAATCACAAGGTTTTACATTGAGTAACCAGATGTCTTTAGAAATATGGCAAAGGAGTAATAGCATAGAAACAGCTCATTTCTATGACTTTGTTTATTTGTGTGTTTTAAATTTGTCACCTATGTCTGGCAACAACACATTTAGGAAGCTGTCCTAAAAAAAGCTATTCACCAGGGATGACACATTTGTGGCACATGCCCTGAGGAGTCCCTGGGGATGTCTGTGGCACGTTGCGACTCTATCACAGCTCTGCCCACTTGGCCCAGATGAGCCTCAGAATCTTCCCTAATCCAGCACTCTGCCCAGACACGTATCTGACAGGGGATTTCAGCTAGTGAGCCAAATTCGATTTGCTGTCCCTGCCACACATTTCAGGCTGCTTATTCCAGGAAATGTGAAATTCCGGTTGTTTGCCCTTTCAGGGAGCTGCAGCCTGGTAACCTTACTCTTCTCTCCATTCACACCACCCCCCCACCCCCCAAACAAGCACTAGGGGCAACGAGCTGCTGGGAAGTGCTAAGCACAGCTTAAAACAGAAGTTACACACCTGAGGTCTGTAAAACCTCGGCAGAAGTGGCCGCAGTTGACTGTGGAAATTATTTCATTGGTAAAGCACTCCTTCCTGAATCCTTCCCAGGATTCCTGGGCAGATGTTCTTTGTAAAGCCCCCTCCCCCAGCCAGAGATCCTCATGTGCCTCATCGCCTTGAGAATCGCAGCTGTCTTGAAGATCTTTCCTATTTCTGGGAGGACTGAGTCTTGAAGGTGGAGTCAAATCGTTTGGAAATGATTTATGTGGACATTTCGGCCGGGGTGAGTGGTGAGGAAGGAACCCTGAGCGCCAGCCACACCCTTTACCCTTCCTAGGACGTCCAAGTCGCATACCCATTAAGTTAGTCCGTCTTAAAGGTCAACATGGGGTAAGTCCGGGATTAGGACCTGAAAGGAGCCATGAGCCCTGTGCTGGGGCTAAGTTGCATTCCCCCAAAATTCCACGTCCACCCAGAACCTCAGAATACAGCCTCATTTGGAAACAGGATCTTTGCAGATGTAATTAAGGGGGGAGATGAGATCACACTGGATTAGGGTGAGCCCTCAATCCAATGAGAGTGTCCTCATAAGAGAGGGAAAGGGACGCACAGAGACACGGAGAAGGCCACGTGGCGACGGAGGCAGAGACCGGAGGGATGCCGCTCCAAGCCCAGGCGTGCCGAGGAAGAGGCAGGGGACGATTTTACCCTGGGACCTTCGGAAAGAGCATAGCTCTGCCAACACTTTGATGTTTGGACATCTGACCTCCAGGACTCTGACACATACATTTCTGTTATTTCAAGCCACCCAGTTTGTGGTCATCGGTTCCAGCAGCCTTCTCAAACTAATACACTTTCCAAATAATATACCTGCTCCCAAGTCTTCACTCAGGTTCTGCTCTTGGGAGAGAGGAAACCCAAACTAAGACAGTAGGTATAAATACCCTCATATTACAGGTGAGGAAACTGAGGCACGGCTTCACTCACAAAGCAGCTGTGGGACCCAAGCACCCAGCAGCTATGTTGGGGCTCAGATGAGGCTGAGTCCATTCTCTACGCTGTCTGCTGTGGCGCATCAGTGATTCTGAATGTAAACTGAAGGCCTACGGCAGCTTTGTCAGCTCAGCAGCCAAGCAAATGACCCGAGAAAAATGGGGGCAATCACAGGCTACTTGGTGCTGGAAATGGGGTCATTAAAACATAAAATTATCAGACCCTTTTGTAAGCAATGGTTGCCGTGAGAAGGCCCATGAGGCAGTAGGGGGTGGGGAACTAATCTCTTTCTTTACACCTTGGGGAAGCAGACCTTCAACAGGCTCAGTCGCCAGGTCCTTTGTCGCATACATGGTCATTGGTTGGGAAGATTCAGTTAATCAGGGCACTTTGCCTGAGAAAATCGCTTTAACAATTTTTTTTCTTTTTTATTATTATTATTATACTTTAAGTTTTAGGGTACATGTGCACAATGTGCAGGTTAGTTACATATGTACACATGTGCCATGCTGGTGTGCTGCACCCAATTAACTCGTCATTTAGCATTAGGTATATCTCCTAATGCCATCCCTCCCCCCTCCCCCCACCCCACAACAGTCCTCAGAGTGTGATGTTCCCCTTCCTGTGTCCATGTGTTCTCATTGTTCAATTCCCATCTATGAGTGAGAACATGCAGTGTTTGGTTTTTTGTCCTTGCGATAGTTTACCGAGAATGATGATTTCCAATTTCATCCATGTCCCTACAAAGGACATGAACTCATCCTTTTTTGTGGCTGCATAGTATTCCACGGTGTATATGTGCCACATTTTCTTAATCCAGTCTATCATTGTTGGACATTTGGGTTGGTTCCAAGTCTTTGCTATTGTGAATAGTGCCACAATAAACATACGTGTGCATGTGTCATTATAGCAGCATGATTTATAGTCCTTTGGGTATATACCCAGTGATGGGATGGCTGGGTCAAATGGTATTTCTAGTTCTAGATCCCTGAGGAATCGCCACACTGACTTCCACAATGGTTGAACTAGTTTACTGTCCCACCAACAGTGTAAAAGTGTTCCTGTTTCTCCATATCCTTTCCAGCACCTGTTGTTTCCTGACTTTTTAATGATTGCCATTCTAACAGGTGTGAGATGGTATCTCATTGTGCTTTTGATTTGCATTTCTCTGATGGCCAGTGATCATGAGCATTTTTTCATGTGTTTTTTTGGCTGCATAAATGTCTTCTTTTGAGAAGTGTCTGTTCATATCCTTTGCCCACTTTTTGATGGGGTTGTTTGTTTTTTTCTTGTAAATTTGTTTGAGTTCATTGTAGATTCTGGATATTAGCCCTTTGTCAGATGAGTAGGTTGCGAAAATTTTCTCCCATTTTGTAGGTTGCCTGTTCACTCTGATGGTAGTTTCTTTTGCTGTGCAGAATCTCTTTAGTTTAATTAGATCCCACTTAACAATTAATAGCTAGGAAAAAAATACGAAGGTACTTTTTCCCATTGTTTGATATATTTTTCAACATAATATTTCTTACTATTTTTTGAGAGCTTCTGAATACAACCCATATTTCATCTTCAGGGATAAAAATCCTCAAATCTTCTTGCCTTTTCCTTAATTTATAATTATTACTGAAAATAATAGAAAAGCATTAGCAACCTGGCTGGGCTCAGTGGCTCACGCCTGTAATCCCAGCACTTTGGGATGCCGAGGCAGGCGGATCATGAGGTCAAGAGATCGAGACCATTCTGGCCAACATGGTGAAACACGGTCTCTACTAAAAATACAAAAATTAGCTGGGCATGGTGGTGCACGCCTGTAGTCCCAGCTACTCGGGAAACTGAGGCAGGAGAATTGCTTGAACGTGGGAGGCAGAGGTTGAGAGAGCCAAGATTGTGCCACTGCACTCCAGCCTGGAGACAGAGCAAGACTCTGTCTCAAAAAAAAAAAAAAAGAAAAGAAAAGAAAAGAAAACCCTTAGCAACCATGTTGTATGTTTACACAGACTTTAATTACTAATCAATAGTTCTTTACTCTCTTTGGTAAAGAAAAATACCTTTCCCAGCTGGGCGCAATGGCTCATGCCTGTAATCCCAGCACTTTGGGAGGCCGAGGCGGGTGGATCACCTGAGGTCAGGAGTTTGAAACCAGCCTGGCTAACATGGTGAAACCCCATCTCTACTAAAAATACAAAATTAGCCAGGCATGGTGGCAGATGCCTGTAATCCCAGCTACTTCGGAGGCTGAGGCAGGAGAATCCCTTGAACCTGGGAGGCAGAGGTTGCAGTGAGCCGAGATCGTGCCACTGCACACCAGCCTGGGCAACAAGAGCGAAACTCCATCTCAAAAAAGAAAAAAAGGAAAAAAAAAGGAAAATACCTTTCCCAATTAACCAGTGTCCTTGTTGATGATTATTTTAATCTCCATGGCATTGTTTACTCCCCTTTGGTGGCCAAGGGAGAAGCCATTTTCAGAGGACTGATAGATTCCAGGCACAGCAATCACCTGGTCCCTGGGCTTCCCAGCTGGCAGGGCTGGCATTTGGGAAGACGAGGAATGGTGTAATCCACAGGAGCAGGCTGAGAAGGTGGCCGGGCAGAGCATCTGATCCCAGCGTCTGACACCAGTGGCCCATTCCCTCCACCTTCGCCGGGGCAAAGCCCACTTGTGCCTCGTGCATTTGCCTCTTGGTTCCTAGTCCTCTCTAAGAATCACTCTGAGGCACTGCTGAGCTGAGGAATCTCTGCACCAGATGTCATGGGATCCATTCAACCTGCAGAGGATAAAATGCAGATAGAGGAAGGTGGTCTCTGAGTTGGAAGAGAAGACACTGAGGCCTCTAGGTGCAGGTTTTAAGGAAAGGCGGTATATTAATATTTCATGCCATGCCACACAAAGGGTCTGCTGACCCAGGTGGATTGAAGTCTTGTGACTGCCTGGTAGGCTCTACTACCTATCTCATAAACAGAAGGTGCTAAACAGAGGCACAGAACCTGGCTGAATTGTTGCTACCAGCTAAAATGGGTTCTAGACCGCGGAGACCGCATCTGCCCGGCGAGCACAGAGCCTTGTCCCTTGCCACTCCGCCGCCCATCCACACCTGCTGCCAGCTCACCATGGATGATGATACTGTCGCCCTCGTCATCGACAATGGCTCTGGCATGTGCAGGGCTGGCTTCGCAGGCGACAGTGCTCTCCAGGCCGTCTTCCTCTCCATCATGGGGCACCCCAGGCACCAGGGTGTGATGGTGGGCATGGGTCAGAAGGACTCCTACGTGGGCGACAAGGGCCCAGAGCAAGAGAGGCATTCTGACCCTGAAGTACCGCATCGAGCATGGCATCGTCACCAACTGGGAGGATATGGAGGAGATTTGGCTCCACACCTTCTACAGTGAGCTGCATGTGGCTCCTGAGGAGCACCCCCTGCTGCTGACCGAGGCCTCTCTGAACCCCAAGGCCAACCACGAGAAGGTAAACCAGATCATGTTTGAGACCTTCAACACCCCAGCCATGTATGTGGCCATCCAGGCCTTGCTGTCCCTGTAAGCCTCTGGCCATACCACTGGCATCGTGATGGACTCTGGTGATGGGCTCACCCACACTGTGCCCATCTACGGGGGGGTATGCCCTCCCCCACACCATCCTGCATCTGGACCTGGCTGGCCCAGACCTGACTGACCACCTCATGAAGATCCTCACCGAGCGCGGCTACAGCTTCACCACCACGGCCAAGCGGGAAATCGTGCATGACATCGAGGAGAAGCTGTGCTATGTTGCCCTGGACTTTGAGCAGGAGATGGCCATGGTGGCCTCCAACCCCCTGCTGGAGAAGAGCTAGGAGCTGCCAGGTGGCCAAGTCATCTGCAATGAGCAGTTCCGCTGCCCTGAGGCACTCTTTCAGCCTTCCTTCCTGGGCATGGAATCCTGTGGCATCCATGAAACTACCTTCAACTCCATCATGAAGTGTGACATGGACATCTGCAAAGACCGGTACGTCAACAGAGTGCTGTCTGGCGGCACCACCGTGTACCCTGGCATCGCCGACAGGATGCAGGAGATCACCGGCCTGGCTCCAAGCACGATGAAGATCAAGATCATTGCTCCTTCTGAGCGCAAATACTCCATGTGGATTGGCAGCTCCATCCTGGCCTCGCTGTCTACCTCCCAGCAGATATGGATCAGCAAGCAGGAGTATGACGAGTCCAGCCCCTCCATCGTCCACCACAAATGCTTCTAGGCGGACTGTTACTTAGTTGCGTTACACCCTCTCTTGACAAAACCTAACCTGAGCAGAAAACAAGATGAGATTGGCATGGCTTTATTTGCTTTTTTGTTTTTTATGGTTTTTTTTTTGGCTTGACTCAGGATTTAAAAACTGGAACGGTGAAGGTGACAGCAGTTGGATGGAGCAAGCATCCCCCGAAGTTCTACAATGTGGCCGAGACTTTGATTGTACATTGTTCTTTTTTTTTTAATAATCATTCCAAATATTGTGAGATGCATTGTTACAGGAAGTCCCTTGCCCTCCTAAAAGCCACCCCGCTTCTCTTTAAGGAGAATGGCCCAGTCCCCTCCCGAGTCTACACAGGAGGTGATAGCATTGCTTCATGTAAATTATGTAATGCAAAACTTTTTTAATTTTCGCCTTAATACTTTTTAATTTTGCTTCATTTTGAATGATCAGCCTTCGTGGTGCCCCTTTTTTGTCCCCCAACTTGAGATGTATGAAGGCTTTTGGTCTCCCTAGGAGTGGGTAGAGGCAGCCAGGGTTTACCTGTACACTGACTTGAGACCAGCTGAATAAAAGTGCACACCTTAAAAATAAAATAATAAAATAAAATAAAATGGGTTCTAAGAAGTACCATTTTGTATTCTCATGACATGCACCACACTTATACTTTATTTTCATGATTCCAGAACCATATTTAGATCAACTAGAGTGATTTATGGAATATATTCAAAATAGAGGTTAACTCGTTCCCTGGGTGCTGTGTGGAAATTCAGTCACCCCAGAAGCATGGTCCATTCCTAAATCAGAAGAGACCCACGGAGCTGCCTGGGAAAGGGCCATATGCAGGGTAGGACACTGAGCAGGAGCCCAGGGGGAGGTGCCCATTATCCGGTCTGGGTCTAGGTCTGTTCTAGGTAATTAGACAGGCATGAGCGGGGCAGGAGAGGGCTCTCCCCCAACACACTAGGAATGTCAAGTGATGGCTCAGCAGTTACCACATTGCTGCTCTAAAAATGGTAATTGGGCAGCCAGGGAGAGACAATCTCTGGATGGTCCACACCTGTTAACATTAAAAGCGTTAATTGCCGAAACCCAGGATCTAACCAGGGACCTTTAGATCTTCAGTCTAACGCTCTCCCAAGGTGGGCAGGTCACAAGGTCAAGAGATCGAGACCATCCTGGCCAGCATGGTGAAAACCCGTCTCTGCTAAACATACAAAAATTAGCTGGGCATGGTGGCACGTGCCTGTAGTCCCAACTACTCAGGAGGCTGAGGCAGGAGAATCTCTTGAACCAAGAGTTGGAGGTTGCAGTGAGCCAAGATCGCGCCACCGCACTCCAGCCTGGTGACAGAGCGAGACTCCGTCTCAAAAAAAAAAAAAGTGTTAATTGAATGCAGACCCCAGGGAGAAGCAGCTTCTGGGGCATACACGTTAAGTGACAAAATGGCAAAGTATGATGCTGCGGGGGACACACGCCACCAGAGAAAGGAAAAAGCCTCAGATGGGCAGGCATGTAACTCCCTAAACACACTGCACGTGCTCATTTCCAAAGGGTAAGGAAAGCACTGCGCATGTGGAAAGCACACCCTAGGGGAAGAATCATGGGAAAGAGGCGAGCCTATGAAGTCCCAGGATCAAGGTTAAAGGGGCTGTTTTTCTCTCTTTGACCTTCAGGCGCTCACTTGGGTCTCTCCCAAGGGTTCTTTCCTTTCTTTTCTGTTCTAAAGCCTTTTTAATAAACTTCCACTCCTGCTCTGAAACTTGCCTCTGTCTCTTTTTCTGCTTTATGGCCCTCAGTTTAATGCTTTCTTCGGAGGAGGCAAGGGCTGAAGTTGCTACAGACCCATATGGACACACTGCCAGTAACTTGGGGTAACTCAGATCTCCGCCATCGCTAACAGATCCAGCCCTTCTGCAGACCAGCTCTCAGCTAACATACATCCCTGGTTAGCTCACCCCCGTGATGGGTGGGCTGTGTTCTGTGATCACCCAGGTCTTATCTATTCCTAATGTTCCCTGATCCTGTTACCCTCTGACCACTGGACAGATACCCAGTGGTTCACTTGGATGGTTCAAAACTGTTCCTAGCCCTTAAAAGCTGGTAAATTAAAAAGAAGAGAGCTTACAGATGGCCAGCTTCTTCTCCCCTAAATAGCAAGCCTGTAAAATAGTCCCTTTTCCTGGGGATAGTGAACATGGATCAGTTAGAAATAAGGGATATTCAGGTTGGGAGAGGACAGAAGCACCTACAGGGAGGCTGCTGAAGATGAGGCCCTGTGGAGTTCCCCTCCATTAATTTTTCACAAAACTGTAGAAGCAAACTAATAATCATGTTGTCTAATATATGACCATGTCACCTGCAGCTGGGAGGGGGCGGGGAGAGAAAATGACTACCCTCGACTTCCAATTATGCTATGATAACAGTTTAAATTTTATTGAGTAAATAATTATCTCTGTGGGTTTAACAAAAAACAAAACAAAACACAGCACAACACCATTAGTCATCTGTCTGAGGTAAAGCTGAAATATATATTTAACACATGCGTTTCTTATTCAATGCCCTGATTCAGAGCAAGGCGTGAGCCACTCATACCTCCAGGGGGTAAATGACTAGCTATTTTGGTAAATTAGGTTTTTGTTTTCATTTCCTGTTAGATTCTTTGTCTTCAGTTTTTAATTTATTTTGAACCAAAGGCAAGAGTGAAGGGGGGTATGTGGGTTTCTCATAATGATCTATAGGAGAATTTGACATGTGTCAGGTGTCAGTTTGGCATGTGCATGGCCCAGTTCAGGAGGAAACAGGGGTACATTAGTGTTGCTTGGAAGAAGTAGGGAGGCAGACAACAGGGCTTCGGACACACCGATTTATCCTTAAAAGCAGCAGCTAGTAAGCCCTCTTCTGATGTGCGCTGGGTCAGAAGCAAAGGCTTTGAGGACAGTATTAGGAGATAAAATCCTGAGATAAAATTGATATTTTTCCCTACTGATTCTAAGAAGTCAAATAGAAGCCTTATGTGTGTGGCTGGCATCAATTTCGCTGTCTGCTTGCCCAATGATGACAGTTTTTTCTCTCTCTTTGTTTACTTTCTTTTTAAAAAATCTTCATCCTTTTTTTGGGGGTGGACAGGGTCTCACTCTGTTGCCCAGGCTGAATGCAGTGGCACGATCATGACTCACTGCAGCCTCGACCCCCCAGGCCCAGATGATCCTCCCACCTCAGCCTCCCAACTAGCTGGGACCACAGGTGTGCACCACCGTGCCCAACTAATTTTTTATTTTTTGTAGAGAGGGGGTCTTGCTATGTTGCCAAGGCTGGTCTCAAACCCCTGAATTCAAGAGAGCCTCCCACCTTGGCCTCCCAAAATGTTGAGATTACAGGCACGAACCACTGTGCCAGGCAACAGTTCTCTCTAACTAGATAACGAAGGGATGGGGTACTTCCAGGGTGCTGGCCCCTTATATAGGCTTTCCTATCATGGAGTCTCTCTTGGCTCATGACAACATCTGGATTCTCTTGCCTGTGTGGTACAGGTTTAGGCAGCTGAAATTGCCTTGGCAAGAAACAAATGTGATTATGAGGACACCACTCCATAAAGAACCCTTTTGTCTTGGTTGGCTGCTGAGTTAGTCTAGTTCCCCATGGGAGAAGAAGGAAAAGTATGTCGATTTGAGGCTTTCTTCAGCTTTATTGGCCAAGCCATCTTGCTCTAGCTTGAATCTCCTGGGGATGTGAATTGATTGCTGAGGGTCTGCTGTGAGTGTTGGCTGCTAGGGGCTGAGAGCTGCTCCACTCAACTGTCCTGGCATAGGGGGATTATCTTGCCTGGGGGGCTACTCCTGACACATATTAACAGCCTGCTTCTGCAGGTAGCAGTTTGTGAGCAGAGGATAACCTTTGCTTGGGTACAATGACAGGGCACAAAATGCCACTCCCCTTGTGTCAAGATGGGACAACTACGAGGTGCGGTCTGTGTTCTGGAGCGCCCCATGGGACTGGGCTGGAGCCAGTCTCCATTGAGGACCAGACCCTTGCTTAACTTGCTTCCCTTGCCCTATCCTGTTCCCTCACTCTCCTTCAAAGGGCAATGCTTCCCCAGTCAATAAGGTTCGCAAGAATTCCCATCTTAGCTCTGGTTCTAGGAAACTGACCTAGGACAGTGATATAGTTTGGCTCTGTGTCCCCATCCAAATCTCATCTCAAATTATAATCCCCATGTATTGAGGGAGGGACCTGGTGGGAGGTGATTGGATCACGGAGACAGTTTCCCCCATGCTGTTCTCATGATAGTGCGTGAGTTCTCATGAGATCTGATGGTTTTATAAACGGCAGTTCCCCTGGCCTGTTCTCTCTCACCTGCCGCCATGGAAGACACTGCTGCTTCCCCTTCCACCACGATTGTAAGTTTCCTGAGTTCTCTTCAGCCATACAGAACTGTGAGTAAATTAAAACTTTCCTTTATAAATTACCCAGTCTCAGGGAAGTTCTTTATAGCATGTGAAAACAGACTAATACAAACAGGGTGCTTGTCAGAAGGCAAGATTCCTTGACTCCAACCAGAAGAGGAACTCAGTAGGCCGGAGTGAGGCTTTGGAGGCTGCAGTTTTATTAAGCACACAGGTGATTCTGATGAACATGAGCCCAGGTCCACACCTGGGGAAGCACAAGGGCCACACCTGATGAAGTGAGTCAGGGATTAGTCTACTGAGGGCTAGAGTCTGTGCCAACCTGCAGGAGGGGCTGCAGGTATTATTACTTGGGGCAGGCACTCTGACTTCAGCTCTGGGTTTACTTGTGATGCCCTTTGTGATGGTTAATATTGAATGTCAACTTGATTGGATGGAAGGATGCTAAGTATTGTTCCTAGGTGTGTCTGTGAGGCACCAAAGGAGATTAACATTCGAGTCAGTGGACTGGGAGAGGCAGACCCACCCTCAATCTGGGTGGGCACCATCTAATCAGCTGCCAGTGCAGCTAGAATAAAGCAGGCAGGAGAAGGTGGAAGAGCAGACTTGCTGAGTCTTCCGGCCTTTATCTTTCTCCAGTGCTGGATGCTTCCTGCCCTCAAACATCAGACTCCAAGTTCTTCAGCTTTTGAACTCTTGATCTTACACCAGTGGTTTGCCAGAGGCTCTTGGGCCTTTGGCCACAGACTGGAGGCTGCACTGTCGGCTTCCCTACTTTTGAGGTTTCGGGACTCGGACTGATCCACCACTGGCTTCCTGGCTCCTCAACTTGCAGACAGCCTATCGTGGGACTTTACCTTGTGATCGTGTGAGTCAATTCTCCTTAGTAAACTCCCTTTCAAATATACATCTATCCTATTAGTTCTGTACCTGAAGAGAACTCTGACTAATACACCTTGACCTTGAAGGAAGCAGAATTTTCTTTTTGAGTTGAGTGACTGTAGCCCCCAAAGTTCCTAGGACAGTTTTGTGCAAGAAGTCATGAGGGCCTGGACAAAACCTCACAGCCTCTGGCTGGAATTCTGCATTTAGGGACGGAGGCCTGATTCTCCCACTGGGAAGAAAGGTGCTGAAGCTCTACCCTAGCCACGTTGGGAAGGCAGCGTCTGCCCTCCTTAACAAGACGTTTCCTACTAACTGCAACATGCAGGTTTGTATGAGAACAGTGCTGAGTGCTGACTGAGGCAGCTGACACCAGGAAAACGGCACGATATCCAAGAAGCAGCTTGTTGCCAAAGCTTAAGGCAGCAATAACAACTCTGATTTATAACAGGGACTATTTGTACATAATTACTAAATATTGATCACACATTCAGCAGTGTGCCTAAATTAAAGACAAACCAAATCTCATAACAGCACCAAAAGAATCTTAGTGCAAACAGTCATCATGTAGCCCTTTTCTGCAATAATTTAATGGGCTTTTATAGAACTCTCAAGTGTACTCAAAAGTGTGATTGCTTCCTGGCACCATCCTCTATGACCCTGCAAAGCCCCCAGGACCTGCCCTCCATCACCTCTGAGACCACCCCCACCTCACCTAATTTGCTGTTTACCCACCCATTGACTTTTTTTTTTTTTAATTTTTGCAATTCTATTTTCTTTTCTTTTCTTTTTTTTTTTTTTTGAGATGGAGTCTCACTCTGTCACCCAGGCTGGAGTGCAGATCTCGGCTCACTGCAAGCTCTGCCTCCCGGGTTCAAGTGTTCAAGTGATTCTCCCTGCCTCAGCCTCCCGCGTAGCTGGGATTACAGGCACCCAACACCACGCCCAGCTAATTTTTGTATTTTTAGTAGAGACGGGGTTTTGTCATGTTGGCCAGGCTGGTCTCGAACCCCTGACCTCAGATGATCCACCCACCTCAGCCTCCCAAAATGCTGGGATTACAGGCGTGAGCCACCACACTCGGCCAATTCTGTTTTCAAATTTCAATTTTGTCTTTTTCAAAATCTAGGTAATTTTTGTGATCTCTTATTGCTTGATTATTTTTGAGATTCCTTTTTTTCAGGTTTTAAACATTTTATCCACTGTTATTTTGTATTTTGAGTCTGATAATTTCATTACCCGAAGGAAGGGGGTTTAATTCTGTTGTTGATTGTTTTTGCTGATTCTCACTCATGGTAACCTGTTTGCTTGTGTTTTTCATGTTATTTGATTCTGAACTCATTTTGTTGATCTTAATGTATGGGAACCCTGAGAACCTAAGATGGCGATGCTTTTATCCAAGGAGGACTTGGGTTTGCTTCTCCTGAGAGCCGGGAGCACTATCCCAGCCGAACGAGAGTCTCCCTTTCTCTTCCCCACTCTGTTTCACTGCAGCCCATGGCTTAGCCCAATCAATGCACGGCTAATCCTGGCATCTCAGCTCTAGGCAACTCTGTCTTTTATATTTGCTTGTTCCCCACCAATCTAAATAACAAACAAAGAGAGGCTGTCTAAAAGAAAAGATGTTTACTTGGGAACAGAGCATTGCAATGTGAATACCTGTGCCATAGGTAAACCATGTGCATATTCAGGGAGGTAAAGGAAGAGAAGGATTTTTAAAGGAAAAAATGAAGGGGATTACATAATTGTTCTGAAATACTTATCCCTGGCTAAAAGATCAACAACAAGGGTGACACCCGTCCAAGGCTGGAGAGGCAGTTGCTGGGCAGACGTCCTTACAGAAGCATTTGTTGTATAAGGCTGTGACGGTCTTGGTACAAAGTTGTGGTCTCTGTAGTCTTTCGTGGTCAGGCATACAAGTGTGAGAATCCTCTCTTCATGGCCTTCCTTGGATCTGTTTGTCAGAGTTTTCTTAACCTTAGTGACTCCATTTTGCTTCTGACAACTTTCACATCCCCAATGTTCCCACTTTGGAATCATCTCACTTTTTCCTCCCATACTTAATATCACCCCAACAATACAATAAGGAGTCTGTTTTTTGCAGGAGTTAGCTATTGTATGCAGCACCGCTAGACTTGCTTTCCCTCTGTTTCCATTGAGTTGTTGCTCTGTGTTGGGGGTGGGGTGGTGCAACCACTGTGTCATCCCTCTCTGTTATCTCTGAAACACAGAGCTTAGTAAGTAGGAAGGGTCCTTTATGTCACTACTGATTTGCTGGTTAATAGCTAAACATCAAGTCAGGCAAATTAACATGCTTCCCAGTTATGCCCTTTCTAGTCCTATGTGGTGTGGCCTTTGCTAATTATTTGCACTTCCGTTATTCTGGAGCGCTTCCTCCCTTCACTCATAAGTGATTAATGCAATGTTGCCGGTACAGCTTCGCCCACCACCACCTCCAACTGTTGCCAACTGTGGTTTGGAGAGGCTGGGCCGGCATCCCGGAGGCCTGTTTGTTTGTCCTAGTATTCATTACTAGTTGGCTCTCCTCCCATCTGCTGCCAATGCAGAGTTATTTATATCAAATTGGAGAAGCCTTGGTGAGCTCCGCTGTGATAACTCACATCCTCAGAATGCCTTTCATCCCAAAGGACTTTACACGTGGTATCCTCGCAGGAAACCCTTTCCCGCTGACCCAGGGGTAAATCCTGGCTTCCCTGGGAAGTGGCAGCTGCTGGTCCATCTGCTTGGCTGATAAGGCCTTTGCACTCAGATTAAGAGCCCTGGCCCACAAAACGTGCGGTGGAACTTGCCCAAAGAGGTCGTGACAGCTGAGTCACAGGGAATAGCACTGAAACTGCGATCCTGGGGCATGGAGAATGTCTATGAGGGGTGAGCCAGGGTGCTGAGTCATGCCTCTCCGCCTGGCACTGACTTGCTGAGTGTCAGAGCTTCCAGAAGGTGACACTGCTTAGAAGTCACCAACCTTCCCACTGCCAGCCTGGTCCATGAGCTCTGCACTTCTGAGGCTGACATGCCATCCCCTCCAAAGGATTTACTGTCATCAGTATCACATTTGGGTGATAATTCATCAGCTCTCATTTTTTCAACCAATATAGGTTCATTACATCCAGCGTTTCACCGTTTGACACAGGATAGAGCTCAAATGAAGGGCTTGTGATGTTCTGGCAGCAGTCTAACTCAATTAACAGATTAACACGAGTCCACAGGCACAGGTCTCCAAAGAAATTAGATCGCTCCGAAAGAAATCAGGCTGGGGTGGGAAGGTCAATCATCATTTTAAATGAAACTGAGAAAATTATTGACAAATTTGTGCTCTTGTTGGGGCTTCCAGCAAGTAGTATCAGAGGGATGACTTTGGGAAAAGAGCCAAAGAGAAAAATATATGGCCTGGCAAAATTTTTTATGGAGAAAATATTTTTTTAATTTCATTTTTTTTCTATTTGTAGTTTTTTATTTCTTTTCTCTTTTTTTTTTTTTTTTTTTCTTTTTTGAGAGTGTCTCACTCTTACCCAGGCTGGAGTGCAGTGGCACAATCAGACAGAGTTCACTGTTACCTCAACCTCCTGGGCTCAACCAATCTTCCCGCCTCAGTCTCCCGAGTAGCTGGGACTACAGATACATACCACTATGCCTGGCTAATTTTTTTTTTATTTTTAAATGTTTTTGTAGAGATGGGGTCTCGTTATATTACTCAGGCCAGTCTTTAATTCCTGGTCTCAAGCAATCCTCCCACCTCGGCCTCCCAAAGTGCTGGAATTATAGGCATGAGCCACTGTGCTCAGCCAGGAAATAAATTTTTAAATCAAATTTATTGACAGGTTGGCCATACACTGTCTAATCAGTGCAGGGAGGTGATCATGCAGTTGAGGGAAACTGCTACCAAGAAGCCTACCCCATCCCATAGCCTCCAGGAAGGAGTTTTTGCCAGGGGAATATCAATATTGCACCACCAGACCAGTGTTGAAATTCAGTGGGTGCAGGGAGATGGCAGGTGTGGGCGGTAAATTTCAAAACACTTATTTTGAAACGCCCACGATGCCTGGATCACAGATCCTGTGGCTGGCAGAATAACCAGTGCTGTTTACACATCCGTGGAGGGTGAATCTTCTTCTCCGGCTATCAGAAGAGCATTGCATGCTCTGTAAGAGCAAAACTCTGGTTGCTTGGACTTTGTCTCTTAAATGCAGCACTTGCCACAGTATATTCTCACTGGTTAAAGTTTTCCCCCTCCTCTTACAGATTCCTTTCTCACTCTCTGAAGTTTAGTTAGAATCAATATCACAAGTTGGACTTTTAACTCAGGACAAGTAGATGTTAACTGTTCTGTCACTTTCATTTCTGGAGAAAGGGAAATAGATGGGGGTTTGTAGAATCTCCAGGACTGGCTGAGCTCTTTAGTAGAGAAACTAGTTTTGTAGACTAACAGTTGATGCCCCAAGATAAAACAATATACATCATTTATATCCCACTTTTGTTCATTTTGGACGTTTTAAGAGATTTCTTTTTCATTTGATTTTTATCATAGTATATTATAAAATCAGGAATAAAAAAATTAAAACCTTTGAAATTTGATTGTTATTTCTGTTTTTCATGTTCTCAAGCCTTTTGATGCCCTTTTCACCTTAATTATCATATATATAATATATATAGAGAGAGAGAGAGAGAGACAGGGCCTCGCTTTATCACCCAGGCTGGAGTACAGTGGTGTGATGATCTTGGCTCACTACAGCCTTGACCTCCCGGGTTCAAGTGATCCTCCTGCTTCAGCCCCTCAAGTAGCTGGAATTACAGGCACATGTCCCCATGCCCAGCTAATTTTTTAATTTTTTAATTTTTTGTAGAGATGGAGTTTCATCATGTTGCCCAGGCTGAGCTCAAACTCCTGAGCTCAAGTGATCCATCTGCCTCCCAAAGTGCTGGGATTACAGGTGTGACCCACCTCACCTGGCTGCCTTCTTAATAATCTGCAATTGACCTTGCTTCTTATTTCACCGAGAAAATAGATGGCATCCGAAAAGAACTTGCCTGTCCCACCTCCCCGTCTACTATCCTCCTGTGTCTGTCCCGAAATACTGTCTGTTTGCTCCATCACTGTAGTGAACTGTTCCTCCTCCATGTACAAATGGTGCATCCCTTCCCACTTACTCAAAAATGTCGCTCCTGTGATCATCTAATCTGCTCTTTTTTCTGCACTAGATTATTCCCATGAGTACACAAACGTGCTGTCAGCGTTCTCATCTTAAAAAACCCTCTAGGCCAGGTGCAGTGGCTCATACCTGTAATCCCAGCACACTTCGGGAGGCTGAGGCAGGTGGATCACTTGAGGTCAGAAGTTCGAGACCAGCCTAGCCAATATGATGAAACCCTGTCTCTACTAAATATACAAAAATTCGCCGAGCATGGTGGTGGGCACCTGTAATCCCAGCTACTTGGGAGGCTGAGCCAGGAGAATTGCTTGAACCTGGGAGGCAGAGGTTGCAGTGAGCCAAGATTGCACCACCGCACTCCAGCCTGGGTGACAGAGCGAGACTCTGTCACAAAACAAAACCCAAAACCCTCTTGACCCCATGCCCTCCTCTAGGTACAGACCCATTTCTCAGCTTCCCTTTACAGGGACTTCTCCATTGCCACCTCATTTCCTCCCGTTCTCACTGAAACCCTCTCAAACAGGGCTTTTGTTCTCACAACAGTGAAACCACCAATGCCAATGTTGATGTTGATGGTGATGTCCAATGTCTGGGCTGAGGAAGGCCACAGCATCTGTGGCCAGTGGTGTCTCCTCCAGGTCAGTTCTGCAAAATGCCTTGGGTCATTTTTCCTGCTTCAAGAGCTCTTGTCCAAACCTGGTTCTTCAAGCCTCTGTGTCACTGGCACCCTTTCAATAAGTTCTATTTTGGTTTAAATGAACTAGAGTTGGTTTCTGAGGCTTGTAGTAAAGAGTGCTGAACTAATAGACTGGGGAAATCAACTGACTTGGTTCTGTACATAGAGTCATTTCTAAACTAGACAATTTGGGAGATTTCCCTGGGCCCTTCACCAGGAGTCGGGGAAGTGTTGTGGTTCCATCTGTCAATGGTTGAAGAATGGTCTATCACCACCATCCAGACCAATCAGCCTCTCCTCTGGATGCTGCCCCTTAGTGACAGCTTTCTCCCTTTTAGGGTCGACTATCATGTTCATTCTGTCCAGATTTGATCATTCAAAAACTTAAGCAGAGTGGGTGCGGTGGCTCACACCTATAATCCCAGCACTTTGGGAGGCGGAACCCTTGAGCCTAGGAGTTCAAGACCAGCCTGGGCAGCATAGTGAGACCCCATCTCTATTAAAAATACAAAAATTAGCCAGGTGTGGTGGCTTGTGCCTGTAGTTTCCAGCTACTCAGAAAGTTGAGGAGGGAAGATTGCTTAAGCCTGGGAGGTCGAAGCTGCAGTGAGCCTCAATCACGCCTCTGCACTGTAGCTGTGAGACAAAGTGAGACTCTGTCTCAATAAATAAAGTGTACGTACAAAGGAATATTATGCAGCAGCAAAAATGAGTGAACCTGAGCTACATGTTCAACATGAATAAGTTTCATAGATATCCGGTGGGACAAAAAAGTAGTCTGCAAAAGGATGTATACTGTATCCTTACAAAAGCTAAAAATCACGGGAAGCAATGCTACATTGTACCTAGGAATGCATGCATCTGTACCGAAGTATAAAGAAATACATGTCAATGGTGAGCACTAAACTATGAATAATTAGTATTTCTGGGAACAGGGGTGTGAAGGTGAAATGTAATAAACGGGCACGAAGGCTCACTTTATTTGTAAGGTTTTATTTAACAAGCTGGGTGGTGGGTACGCCTTTTCACATATCTAAAATATTTTGTAGTAAAAAATTAATGAAACAAAGGGATTAGGAAAGAGGGGTCAGCCAGAGAGGTTTTCCCAGGTCACTTAGGGGCGCCTGTGGGTCTTTCATGCACTTTTTTTTTCCAAAAGTGGCCTTGAGATCAATTAGGGCACGGATTTGGCCAACATTTCCACCAGCATTGCTCAGTTTCCTGGTGCATGAAATAATGATTCTGTTGATACTAAATATCTGCCTCCTGCAACTTATATGGCATGATTTGTTGCGAGGAAATGTGAGCAGCTAACAATCAGCTTGGTTCATTTCATCTCTTCCTTTCCCATCTCCTTCCTGTTATGGGTTTATTTAGGGAAAAAAATAGGTAACTGCTTTCTGGCAACGCTTTCTTCTCCCTGGGTTCTTGGCCATGTACTCACTAACCTTCTCCAGTAGGAGTAGGAAAATAAACCCCCCAAGACATTTGAATAAAAGGGGATGCAGCTATTGTCAGCTCAGTGACACAGAAATATTGGGAAAGTTAGTTCTATATCCTCTTCATACCAGGACACTGGTTGTTGACCTCTCACTCCATGAAGAACTGTCTGCCCAGATGTTGGGCAGCTGTAATACAAGCGAAAGACTTCACTAGGATGTGGAAGGGAGACAGTAATAAATTAGCAGTATTTATCAAGATCCCTCCAAATGCTCACGCCTTTTAACCCAGCACTTCCACTTTTAAGGCACCAACCAAAGGTAATAATCAAATATTATCAAATATTTATATCTCCCAAACTGCAAAACAAACCTAAAGTTCTCAAACAATGGGATAGCTAATAAACGTATAAAATAGCCAAAAAAATACCATTATATAGCCATTGAATATGATATGTATAAGCTTTTTAAGTAACATGTAGAAATATTCATAGTAGCCCTTGGAAGAAACAGGATATGAAAGTGTAATCTACAATATCAGCCCTATTCTGTAAATGTCTCTACTGTCTATCAATCTACACAGATATA
Source organism: Homo sapiens (assembly GCF_000001405.40). Classification (NCBI taxonomy): domain Eukaryota; kingdom Metazoa; phylum Chordata; class Mammalia; order Primates; family Hominidae; genus Homo; species Homo sapiens. The sequence goes on from NC_000018.10 coordinate 62,456,283, forward strand.
TAGAGGGAAAACAGAAATGAAATACACAGAAACATTAGCAGTAGGGATCTCTGGGTAAAGGGATTACAGCAATTAAAAAATACACACTCTAATGATTTTTCCACAGTTTCATGTATTGAATATATATTCCTTTTTAAGAAAATAGGGGGAAAAGTTATTAAAAGAAAAGGACTCTGAGCTTCCCGGAGCAGGATCTCAGTGTACTTGCCCTTCTGACATACCTGAGGGATTGAACTTACTCAGCAGATGCTGTGATAACCTCAGGGGCAGAATGTGTCGAACCTGTGTGTATATGTGACGGGTCACCCCACGTCAGCTCTCAGGTGATTGTGGAGCCTCACCCACTCAAAAAGGGGGTGCCCCCACCCACCCACCCTCCCACTCTTCTTCAGAACCTTGGCCTCCAAGGAAGATGCTATTTGGATCCAAGGTATGAAAACCCAGGCACACTCTCTGGGGCAGAAACAGGTGGCTTCATGGTTGTGACTTTAGAACTCTCCTAAACAACCCATCCTTCCCATCACTTTCCCAGAAAACCATCCTACTTGATCACCAGGGCCCAGAATTCCACTGGGGACATTCATTCATTGGTTGAAGCTTTGGTACCTAGGAATCATCTAGGACATTCGTGGAAAGGATTTAGACTAGGTGACTTCTGAGATCGCCTGTTAAGATTCCATGGTATCATGCTTCTTTCTTTTAATGTGAATAAATTCCAAATCATTTCTTGAAAAATGATTTGGGCCAGGCACAGTGGCTCACACCTGTAATCCCAGCACTTTGGGAGGCTAAGGTGGGCGGATCACTTGACGTCAGGAGTTCAAGACCAGCTTGGCCAACAGGGCGAAACCTCGTCTCTACTAAAAATACAAAAATCAGCCAGGTGTGGTTGCACATTTTCACATGCCTGTAATCCCAGCTACTCAAGAGCCTGAGGCAGGAGAATTGCTTGAACCTGGGAGATGGAGGTTGCATTGAGCCGAGATTGTGCCACTGCACTCCAGCCTGGGAGACAGAGTGAGAGTCCATCTCAAAAAATAATAATAATAATAATAATGATTTAGATAGTGAATTGGAGCATCTGTAATCTGAGGAAGGAGGAACAGAAACAGAGCAGAACTGTAAGGAAAATGCAAACTAAGTATGGGTCCCTCACCTAAGCCTGGGCCTCCCTACAGGCTGGCTTTTCTCCTCCTCCGGGGTGAGCAGCAGGGAGGAGAAGCAGTCTCATGGTCACTTACCTGCAGCTTCTGAATGGAGGGTGAAGCTTCAACACTCACCAGGGTGCGCAGTCTGGGTTGAAGTTCGTCTCCCCATCATTCCTGTGTTGACATCCTAATCTCCAGTACCTTAGAATGTGGACTTATTTGGAGACAGTGTTGTTGCAGATACGATTAGTTAAGACGAGGTTATACTGGAGTATTATGGGCCCCTAATCCAATATGATTGATGTCGTTATCAAAAAGGGAAATTTGGAGACATACACACACAGGGAGAATGCCATGTGAAGACTGGAATTTTGCTGCCACAAGCCCAGGAACTCCAGAATCTAGCCGAGAGCCTCCAACCAATCTTTCCCTGCTGCCTTCAGAGACAGCAGGGCCCTGCCAACATCTTCATCTCAGACTATGGCCTCCCAAGCTGCATGATAATTCATTTCTGTTGCTCTAAGTCACCCAGTGTGTCGTTCCCTGTTACAGTAGCTGTGGGAAACTAACACAGTGAGCCTGCAGGAGACGCTGGTGAGGGGCAGTTCATCAAACCCCACCCAGTTTGAGCCAGCCTTTGGAACTGGCTCCCAGCTGCCTGCAGCCCTGCCACCCTGGCCTCTGATTCCATCCAAACCCTCAATCAAGAGAAAGAGTTAAGGGAATCTCACATCACCCAGGAGCCTTCTGCTGGAGCACAGTTTATTTAAACTGTCTGGTCCATCTTTATTACTACTGACACGCCATCATACAAGTGACTCATAAAACTGGGTATAAAAGGAAGGCAGAATCATTTTTAATCCCTCTAATGTAATATAATGGGAAAATTAATCATTTATTGTAGCAGACAATTGAAAACCACTCAGAGTGTTCTCTTCATCCTGAAACTTGGCAGTGGAAGGTTCGTTTCCCACAGTTTTCTGAACTCTGTGCATCTTTTAAATCTTTGGTAAAGGAAACATCAGATCATTTAAATAAGCCTTCTTTTTCCCCCTAAGCTTCTACATTAAAGAAGCAAACCAACAGTCAGGAATGCAGGTGAGGCTGGCATCCTGCAGATGTCAGCGTTCTAGGATCTCTTTGCAGTGTGAAAAGAGAAAAAATCACCTGCCTGTTCCCCAGAAAATGTGGCTGGAGTCTAATTCATTACTCATACTTAAAAATTACTCTCCAGTTTCTCCTGGGGAAATATTTTGCAAAGGGAGTTGAAACTGCACAATGACCCAAGGGATAAACATATTTTAGCTAAATTTGCAACAAAGTAGGGCAAAAGAAGACACAGAGACAAAGCCACTGGGGCTACCCAGACTGGCTGGGCCCCTGATCCTGTGGGATCCCTTACCAGGGTGGCCTGAACAGTAACATTGCAGCTGCTCACTGCAAGTGCCTGTGTCTAACAGTCAAGGGTCATTTCCCCGGGAATATGCTAATTATCTCTTTAAGACTTGTTCCCATCTTTCTTTCAACAAGGACTTCCTGGTCACTGGTAAACCCACACTGGTCTCTTCACTGCTCAGGCACAGCCCAGAGAAGCAGCCAAAACAGATGCCACCAGCCACCGTGCTGTCTACAGGACCCCAGCCAAGGTGACGAGGTGGCATGTGGCCACTGGCTGCTGAGATTGATGCCACTTGAGCTATTTAGAAGGCTCCTGCTGTGCTGTGCCAGTCATCAAGTTTACGAAGGAGAAATTGGGATCTGCTCCAGGCAAAACCAAAACACCAAAACTAACATCATCAACAAAGAGTTGTTACAGATACTAAAGAAAAAAAAGTCTCTGGCCTTGGTGGCGTATTACGGATTCAAATGGCAGAGCACAGTAATGTTTCCAACGAGTTTTTGATTCAAGGATAAATGTTGGTTCCAAGAGTCTGTTCTTACAGCATCAGAGCCCAAGAGAGCTTCCAGTAAAGAATGTAATTGGCTGACGTGAGGTACAGGAACCCAGCAGCTCCTTGGTGGTTTTCAACAGTCCCTTCTTCCACTTTTGTTGACAGGGTGTGAAAATTGGTTGGAACGCCCTAGAACCATCAACCCACCAACGCTGGGCCTGCTCTTGCTCATGCCTCCTCCAGGATCTCCGTGGGGCTGGGGCGGGTGGAGAGAGGGCTCTCTGCAGGGGCTGCTGGGCCTCATCCCATGGTCCTTCCTGCCTCCCACATTGAATGCCTGCTGATCTGGAGGGCACAGAGAGCCCTCACCTCCTTTTCATTCCATCAACAATTTATCGGGTGTCTGCTGTGTGCCCACTCAATGCAAAATGAAAGACTTGATTATAGTCAGTTCTGAAAAATGTCTTCTGTCACCTAGATCCACAGATTTCATATCGAAGCATGCCTTGGCATTCAAAACTATTCATTTTCTGAGTTTTGGAAAGTGATATCAAGAGATAGCAATGGATATTCTTTTCTCCAAACAGCTCTATTTCAAAACATTTTATTTCGATGATTCAGTCTATGAGCGATGAGGAATAAGGGCATAGCAGAAAAAGGGGGAGCTGATCAGTTGCTTCCAGAAGAGCTACCAAACAAACATCCCAACACAGTGTTAGCAATCTACCTAAGTCTTTACTTCCAACTTTTAAAAACATTAATTGAACATAGAGTTCCTCCCAGGAATGGGTTTTATTGTATTTTTAAAAAATGTTGGCCGGGCCTGGTGGCTCACGCCTGAAATCCAAGCACTTTGGGAGGCCAAGGCAGGCGGATCACAAGGTCAGGAGATTGAGACCATCCTGGCTAACACGGTGAAACCCTGTCTCTACTAAAAATGCAAAAAAAATTAGCTGGGCATGGTGGCAGGCGCCTGTAGTCCCAGCTACTTGGGAAGCTGAGGCAGGAGAATGGTGTGAACCTGGGAGGTGGAGGTTGCAGTGAGCCGAGATCGTGCCACTGCACTCCAGCCTGGGCGACAGAGTGAGACTCCATCTCAAAAAAAAAAAAAAAAAAAAAAAAAAAAAAAAAAAAAAAGTTTTATTGCTTTGAATGTTAAAAATAGAAGAAATACAAATCTTTAAAAACAATGCAGAAGTTCTATTTCGTAACAAATCAGCCATTTTATGTTTCCTACTAGTTTTTAAAAAACGTATTCGTGTTATATAATTCTACAACATAGGTGAAATTTTATTTTCCTTTTAAATCATAAACATTTGTGTTTCTACATAATTTCATACTTTTATCAATGTTTACTGATTCATTGTATTCCATCTAGTACACATACTACAATTTACCTGCAATCTTTTGCTATTACAAATATCTACAACAAGGATTTTCATGTGTATATGGTTTTTTCCTTTGTTGGAATATTTCCTTAGGAAAATTCATAGGATGGAGATTATTGGTCTAATGGGTATTTTTTCTTTTATTTGTTTTTCATGCATTGAAATGTGTTTTGTTTGGAAAGTTTCACAACAGCATTTAAGGTCACAGGGAACACTTGTGTGTTGCAAAACCAAGGCTGGGGATCCCAGGGCCTGGCATTGACTCTATCAAGCTTTCCACTGGTCTAGAGACACACCAGGCTGTCCTTGAAGCATAAAGGAGTGCTTTTCAGAGGCAGATAGAAAAAGAGAGTCACATCTGAAACAATACAGACATGGTATACAAATGACTACACTAAGAAAAATGATCTTTTGCCTTATTGATTTTTTTTCTGCTGCCGTACAGCATGTGATGAAAATGAAGTTCCCACTTTTCATTTTATCTGTGACTCATCAGAAAATCTTTTCAACTACATTCAGGACTAGCAGTGGGCCTTGTTAATAACAGGCACTCAACACATATTTGTTGAATCAAATTGCAGGGAACTGAATTTTTATAGGACTTTATTCCATTATTCTGTTTTTGCAGTGGACATATAGCATGAACATGAAATAAACCATTGTTGTCATAGCACGGAGATTTGAGGGTTTGTTACTGTAGCATTCCGTAGACGCTCCGGGCTGATATGCTACCTGTCAAGTGCTTTATTTGAAAAATGGCTAAATGCACAAAGCTATTTGTAGTAGTATTTATAATTACAAAAGAAAAGAAACTATACCTTTGTCTACCAGATTGGGCAAAAAAGAAAAAAAAAGAAAAGAAACTACTGTGGAAATTAAGTAAATAATGGAATTCCACTTCATTTATTATATAATCATTAAAATTAATGTTTACAAAGACCTTGAAATTACATGGAAAATTTTTATGTTATAAGATTAATTTTAAGAGGAAGACAAAATTGTAAATGTACATAGTTAACATTACATTTCCAAAGCTAGGCATATGGAAAAAGAATGAGAGCAGTGCAACAAAATAATGATGATGATAGCTTTATTTTTATTTTTATTTCAGACAGGGTCTTGCCCTGTCATTGAGGCTGGAGGGCAGTGGCATGATCACAGCTCACTGTAGCCTTGACTTCCCAGGTTCAAGCGATCCTCCCACCTCAGTCTCCTGAGTAGCTGGGACTGTAAGTGCCTGCTAGTACACCCAGCTAAATTTTTTTTTTTTTTTTTTGGTGGAGATGGGGTCTCCCTACATTGCCCAGGCTGGTCTTGAACTTTCTGGGCTCAAGGGGTCCTCCTACCTCAGTCTCCCAGAGTGTGTCCAGACTCATAGGTTTAAATTTGAGATAATAGATTTGATTTTTTTCTCCTTTTCCTAATTTTCAGTATTTCTAAGAGTACACATTGTTCTTATACTTAATAGAAATGTTTTGTAAAAGATCATTTTCCCTGAGTATCACTTTTTTCCTTTTTTTTATTTTTTTTCTGAGATGGAGTCTTGCTCTGTTGCCAGGGTGGAGTGCAGTGGTATGATCTCGGCTTACTGCAACCTCTGCCTCCTGGGTTCAAGTGATTCTCCTGCCTCAGCCTCCCAAGTAGTTGGGATTACAGGCGCACACCACCACACCCAGCTAATTTTTGTATTTTTATTAGAGATGGGGTTTCACCATGTTGGCCAGGCTGGTCTTGAACTCCTGACCTCGGGAGATCCGCCCGCCTCAGCCTCCCAAAGTGCTGGGATTATAGGCGTGAGCCACCACACCTGGCCTCCTATTTCTTTTATAGTAATTCATTTCTTGATTTAACCGATATTTGTTAAGCACGTATTATGTGCTCCTTATGCTGGGGACACAGCCATGAACGAAAATCTGGCAAATTCATTTTCTGTTTTAATTGAAGTCATTTGCTAACACTTTTTTTTAAAAAAAATCTGCAATCACTGTTAAAGTTGTGGGTCTACACTTTGCAGCTTTAGTTAATAATTGTTATTAAACTCTAGAAAATAGGTTCCAGTCAGAATACTGCTAGATATTAAGTGTTCCATAAAGTTGCTGATTATGGACATGTATAGTTTGTGACAACTACACATATAATGGAATCCAAGTTTTATAGAAACACTCAGCTTGATTATGTAAACCTAGAATTAGAAGCCAGACTCCAACTAGCAGAAAAGCACAGTCCCACTGGGGCAGAAAACAGGGGAGCAGAGATTTCCTCTGTTGCTCTTAGAGTTGTCTGGCTCTGCCCTCCAAAGCCAGCAAAGCAAAGAGCTCTGGTTCACAAGATTTTCCCTTAAAAAAGTGTAAAACACTTAGAAGTTAAAAATTAAAAAGAATTAGTGGGGCACTCAATCTGTTTTTTAATAACCTTTATTGTTTTACTGATTATAAAAAATAATGTTCTTCATAGAAAATATGAATAATGCAGAAAATTAAGAAGAATATAAAGCCCATCTATAATCCTGCCACACAAAGATAACCACTGTAATTATTATGGCGAACCTCCATGCAGTCTTTCTTTTAGGGTGGCGGTTTGCAAACTTTTTCTATATAGGGCCAGATAGTAAATATTTCAGGTTTTGCAGGCCGCCCCGCCGCTCACCATTGCAACTCCTCAACTCTGTCATTGCGAAGTGAGGGCCGCCATAAACAATACATAAATGAATGAATGTGGCTCTGTTCCAATAAAACTGCATTTACAAAACAGGCAGCTGGCCTGATTTGGCCCCACTCACAGTTTGCTGACCCCTGTTCTAGACCATTCCATTTGGAGAGAGGCAAGCATGGACTTCCAGATTCATATTTCTCCATCCCCTCCTTGTTATTTCCATTGCCATCATCCTAATCGAAGGAGTCCGTTACTGTCCACCATGTCCATCCGTCAATAAGTATTTATTGACAGCCAACTACTTAGTACCCAAAGGGTGGTGTATGCTGGCCGGGCGCGGTGGCTCACACCTGTAATCCCAGCATTTTGGGAGGCCGAGATGGGCAGATCATGAGGTCAAGAGATCGAAAGCATCCTGGCCAAAATGGTGAAACCCCGTCTCTACTAAAAATACAAAAAATTAGCTGGGCGTGGTGGCACGTGCCTGTAGTCCCAGCTCCTCAGGAGGCTGAGGCAGGAGAATCGCTTGAACACAGGAGGTGGAGGTTGCAGTGAGCCGAGATCCCACCATTGCACTCTAGCCTGGGCACACAGCCAGATTCTGTCTCAAAAAAAAAAGAAAAGGGGGAGTGTATGCTGAGTTCCTGCCCTCCTACCTAGAGTTATAGGCAGTAAGCAAATGATTACAAATATGCAAATAGTGAAGCGTGCGCATAGGAGAACCCTAGGATGCTCTGGGAGTGTACAATGGGAAAACCTCATCCAATTAGAGGCTCCAGGAAAACTTCCCTCAGAGGGTCAGTTAAGCTAACATATGAATGATGAGTAGGGTTTACCAGGGCCACATGGTAGGAGGAGAACATGCCAGGGAGATGGAAGAGCGAACATGAAGCCCAAGATATGGGAGAGTCCCAACAGCCCAAGGGGCTGAAGAAAGGCCTTGTGGCCAGAGCCCAGAGACATAAGGTGGGAGGAGTAGGCAGGAGCCAGAACATGCAGGTCTTTTAGACCAGCTAAAGCACTCTGGACTTGATCCTCTGGGTAGCTGGAAGCCATTAAAGAGTCTTAAGCAGGGGAGTGATGAAATCAGCATTATTGCAATAGATCCTGAACTCAGTGTCCTCCCTCCCCAAGCCACTAGGAAATCTCCGTCTCATTCCTTTTTGTGCAATGCTGCAGAATACTCTTTTGTGCATCCTCATCTTTCATGGCCCTGCTAAAATACATTTAATAGCACCCCCATGGATGTGACATCAAGCCCAGATCCTTAGACCCAGCACTTAGAGCCACCCCATCTCCTGACTCTCCTCCTCTTTTCACCTTCAAACAAGGTCATGTGCTATTCCCTATATGTATTCCCTATTTTTCCCACCATGGAGAAAGCTGCTTTCTCCACTTAAAAAGTCTTCAAGGTGTTTTTGCCACTTAGAATGTCCTTTGTTGTCTTAATCCACTTGGGCTGCTATAACAAAAATACCAAGATTGGGTAGTTTGTGAACAACAGAAATTTCTCATAGTTCTGGAGGACGGGAAGTCCAAGATCAAGGCACTGGTAGATTTGGTGTCTGTTGAGGGCCCACTTCCTGGCTCACAGATGGCCATCTTCTTGCTGTGACTTCACATGGCAGAAGAGGCATGAGAGTTCTCTGGAGCCTCTTTCATAAGGGCACTAATTCCATTCAAGAGGGTTCCATCCTCAGGACCTAATCACTTCCCAAAGGCCTCACCTCTAAATTCCAGCACCTTTGGGATTTGGTTTCAACATATGAATTTTGGAGGGACATAAACAGTCTATGGCATTACTCTAAATTCCACATCAAATGTAGCCCGTAGTGTACCTGTGCATGGTTCAAGTTCAATTACTATGTGTCGAGTGAACATCTGATTGCAAGAATCAAAGGGTAGATGACTTCTCGTCTGAAGTTCCATAATATAATACCTTCCCTATTTCACCAACATCATTGTATGCCTCGTATTATAGTCATTTGTGCATTTATTTTATGTCCTTTCCTTAATGGTATAAAAGAAAGGGACCATGTATCAACACTAACAAGAAGAACTGCCATTTGGGCCAAGTGCGGTGGCTCACACCTGTAATCCCAGAACTTTGGGAGGCCAAGGTGGGAGGATCACTTGAGCCCAGGAGTTTGAGACCAGCTTGGCCAACATGGCAAAACCCCATCTCTACAAAAAAATTAGCTGGGCATGGTGGTGTGCAGCTGTAGTCCCAGCTACTCAGGAGGCTGAGGTGGGAGGATCACCTGAGCCTGGGGAGGTCAAGGCTGCAATGAGCTGAGATCGTGCTGCTGCACTCCAGCCTCGGCAACAGAGTGAGACCTTGTCTCCAATATAGAAAAAAAGTGAACCGCTATTTGTTGAGAACTTTAATTTATGGCAGCTGTCATGCTAAGTTATTACATATATTATTTTATTTAAGGTTTATGGCAATGTGGAAGGCTTTTAGTAATAGTATTACTATTTTACAGATGAAGATTGAGTTACTTGCCCAAGGTCACAAAGCTAATAAAAGATGCTGCTAGGATTTGAGCTCAGGTGTAACTAACTCTAAAGCCTTCTCTTCTCTATGGAAGTTTCCATCATTGCTTATTACTTACAGTAAGTTATGGTTGTTAAACAGAACAAGAGGAGAAGGACTTGTTAGATACACCTACAGAATAATTCTGTCTAAAGCTGGACCTTCTTCACATTTCCTGCCTGCCAATTTCCTATTTAGCAAGAGTTAATCAATCTCTTTTTTGTGAAAATGGTGACCCACAGAAAAAAGATCCATCAAAGTTTAGCAAATAAAAATACAAGATGCTTGATTAGATGAATTTCAGGCCGGGCACAGTGGCTCATGCCTGTAATCCCAGCACTTTGGGAGGTAAAAGAGGGCAGATCATTTGAGGTCAGGAGTTCGAGACAAGCCTGGCCAACATGGTGAAGCACCGTCTCTACTAAAAATACAAAAATTAGCAGGGTGTGGTGGCATGGACCTGTAATTCCAGCTACTTGGGAGGCTGAGACAGGAAAAGCGCTTGAACCTGGGAGGCAGAGGTTGCAGTGAGCTGAGATCATGCCACTGCACTCCAGTCTAGGCAAGAGAGTGAGACTCCATCTCAAAAAAAATGATAATAATAATTTCAGATAAACAATGAACTTTTTATCATGTCTCCTAAATTTGTTGTTTATCTAAACTTCACACTTAAGTGGCAACTTTAATCAACAATTGAGGAAAAAGTAACAAGAACCTCATTATGTTCCATAACACCAGAAAGGAAAAATAAAACTGGTTAAAATTGTTATTTTTTCTAAAAAATTTAAGTTTTAAAACTTAAAACGTTTAAAACCTAAAAGAATAAGCTCAGGCTGCTATAACAAAATACCAAGACTTGGTGGCTTAAACACCAGAAATGTATTTCTCTCAGTTCTGGAGGCTGGAAAGTTCACGAACAAGGTGCTAGCAGATTTAGAATCTGGTGAGGTCTGTTTCCCGCCTTTAGATGATGCCCTTCTTACTGTGTCCTCGCATGACTGAGAGACAGATCTAAGAATTTACCTGGACATTATTTATTTTTATTTTTTAAATTTTATAGTGATGGGGTCTCACTTGTTGCCCAGGCTGGTCTTGAGCTCTTGGGCTTAAGCAATCGTCCTGCCTCAGCCTCCCGAAGTGTTAGGATTACAAGTGTGAGCCACTGCAGCCAGCCTGTCTGTACATTCTTTCAGATGTTTTTAAATATACAGAATCACATTATCCAAAAATGATTTTATCACAATTTAAATTTTTTGTTTTTTTTGAGACACAGTCTCTCCTTATCATCCAGGCTGGAGTGCAATGGTGTGACCTCAGCTCACTGCAAACTCCGCCTCCCGGGTTCAAGCGATTCTCATGCCTCAGCCCTCAAATAGCTGGAATTACAGGCGCCACTACCACGCCTGGCTAATTTTTGTATTTTTGGTAGAAGTAGAGTTTCACCATGTTGGCCAGGCTGGTCTCGAAATCCTGACCTCAGGTGATCTGCCCGCCTCAGCCTCAAGGTGCTGGAATTACAGGCATGAGCCACTGTGCCCAGCCTAATTTCTTTCTTTACAATATTTATGACTTTTATTTCTTTTTCTCCCCTTAGTGCACTGGCCAGAACCTCCCCTTCAATGTTGAAGAGAAGTGATGATGGTGGTCACCCTTTTTTCCCTCCTGATTTCAGGGAAAAGGTATTCTATATTTTTCCATTGAGTATAGTTTTTGCAAGAGGTTATTTGTCGGTACCCCTTGTATTGATTTCCTAAGGTTGCTTTAACAAATTAGCACAACTTGGTGGCTTAAAACAACAAAAATTCATTCTCCAACAGTTCTGGAGGCCAGAAGTCTGAAATCAAAATGTTGGTGGTGTTGTTTCCTTCTGGAAGCTCTGAGGGAGAATCTGTTTCCTGTATTTCTCCTCGTTTCTGGTGATCGTCAGCAATGCTTGGCATTCCTTGGCTGATGGATGCATCACCCCAATCTCTGTCTCCATCTTCACATGGCCTTTTCTCTGTGTCTCTGTGTCTTCTCCTCTTCATTGGACTTAGGGTACTCCCTAAATCCAAGATGACCCCATCTCAAGGTTCTCAACTTAATTACAACTACAGAGACCCTTTTAAACTTTTTTAGTTTTTAATTTTTGTGGGTACATAGTAGGTGTATATATTTATGGGGTACATGAGATACTTTGATACAGTCATGTAATGTGTAAGACTCACATCATGGTAAATGGGGAATCCATCCCCTGAAGCATTTATCCTTTGCATTACAAACAATCCAATTACACCCTTTTAGTTATTTTTAAATGTACAATTAAATCATTATTGACTACAGTCCTCCTGTTGTGCTATCAAATACTAAGTTTGATATGGTTTGGCTGTGTCCCCACCCAAATCTCATCTTGAACTGTAGCTCCCATAATTCCCATGTGTCATAGGAGGAACCCCATGGGAGGTAACTGAATCATGGGGGCGGGTTTTCCCATGTTATTCTCGGGATAGTGACTCTGGTGATTTTATAAAGGGCACACGCTCTCTTGCCTACTGCCATGTAAGATGTGACTTTGCTCCTCCTCCTTCCATGATTGTGAGGCCTCCCCAGCCATGTGGAACTTTGAGTCAATTAAATCCCTTTCCTGTATAAATTATGCAGTCTCAGGTATGTCTTTATCAGCAGACTAATACAAGGTCTTACTCATTCTTTCTAACTATATGTACTTTTTGTACCCATTAATCATCCCCACTTCCCCCCAACCCCCACTCCCTCACTACTCTTCCCAGCCTCTAGTAACCATCCTTCTACTCTCTATCTCCATGAGTTCAATTGTTTTGATTTTTAGTTCCCACATAATAAGTGAGAACATATGAAATTTATCTTTCTGTGCCTGGCTTATTTCACTTAATATAATGACATTGAGTTCCATCCATGTTGTTGCAAATGATAGGATCTCATTCTTTCTCATGGCTGAATAGTACTCCATGGTATATATGTACCACATTTGCTTTATCCATTCATCTGTTGATGTATGTAAAGCAACTTAGGTTGCTTCCATGTCTTGGCTATTGCGAATGGTGCTTCAATAAACATGGGAGTGCAGATATCCCTTCAGCATACTAATTTCCTTTCTTTTGGGTATATACCCAGCAGTAGGATTACTGGATCATATGATAACTCTATTTTTTTCTTTTCTTTTTTTTTGTGTGTGTGTGTGTGAGATGGAGTTTCACTCTGGTCGCCTAGGCTGGAGTGCAATGGTGCGATCTCAGCTCACTGCAACTTCTGCCTCCCGGGTTCAAGTGATTCTCCTGACTCAGCCTCCCATGTAGCTGGGATTACAGGTGCCTGCCACAAGACCCAGCTAATTTTTGTGTTTTTAGTAGAGACAGGATCTCACTGTGTTCGCCAGCCTGGTCATGAACTCCTGACTTCGTGATCTGCCCACCTCGCCCTCCCAAAGGATAACTCTATTTTTAGGTTTTTGAGGAACCTCCAAACTGTTCTCCATAGTTGTTCTAATTTACATTTCCCCCAACAATGTATGAGGGTTCCCTTTTCTCCACCTCCTTGCTAGCATTTGTTATTGCCTGTCTTTTGATAAAAGCCATTTTAACTGGGGTGAGATGATACCTCATTGTAGTTTTGATTTGCATTTCTCTGGTGATCAATGATGTTGCACACCTTTTCATATGCTTGTTTGACATTTGTATGTTATCTTTTGAGAGATATCTACTCAGGTCTTTTGCCCATTTTTAAAATTGGATTCTTCAAATTTTTTCTATAGTGTTGTTTGAGATCCTTATATATTCTGGTTATTAATCCCTTGTCACAGGGTTAAGTTTGCAAATATTTTCTCCCATTCTGTGGGTTGTCTCTTCACTTTGTTGATTGTTTCCTTTGCTATGCAGAAGCTTTTTAACTTGATGTGATCCCATTTGTACATTTTTGCTTTGGTTGCTTATGCTTGTGGGGTGTTACTCAAGAAATTTTTGCCCAGACCAATGTCCTGGAGCATTTCCCCAATGTTTTCTTGTAGAAGTTTCATAGTTTGAGGTCTTAGATTAAAGTCTGTAATCCACTTTGATTTTATTTTTGTATATGGCAAGAGACAGGGGTCTAGTTAAAGTTTTCTGCGTATGGATATACAGTTTTCCCAACATCATTTATTCAAGAGAGTTTCTTTTCCGCAGTGTATGTTCTTGGCACCTCTGTCAAAAATGAGTTCACTGTAAGTGTGTGGACTTGTTTCTAGGTTCTCTATTCTGTTCCATGGTCTGTGTGTCTGTTTTTATGCCAGGACCATGCTGTTTTGGTTACCATAGCTATGTAGTACAATTTGAAGTCAGATAATGTGATTCCTCCAGTTTTGTTCTTTTTGCTCAGGATAGCTTTGGCTGTTATGGGTCGTTTGTGTTTCCATACAAATTTTATGGAAATGTTATGGATAGCTTGTATGTGGTTCCATACAAATTTTATGGATTTTTTTTCTGTTTCTGTGAAGAATGTCACTGGTATTTTAACAGGGATTGCATTGAATCTGTAGATTTCTTTGGCTAGTATGAACATTTTAACCATATTAATTCTTCCGATCAATAACATGGAATATTTTTGTATGTCCTCTTCTGTAGAATTTTTGTGACTTTCCTTTTTCTGTGTCCTCTTCGATTTCTTTTATCAGTGTTTTATAGTTATGATTGTATAAATGTTTCACTTCTTTGGTTAAGCTAATTCCTAGGTGTTTACTTTTATATGTGGCTATTTTAAATGGAATTGCTTTTTAAATTTCTTTTTCAGATTATTCACTGTTGGTATATAAAAATGCTACTGATTTTTGTATGTTGATTTTATATCCTGCAGTTTTTCTGAAAGATACTGAAGTTTTTCATTTCAGTTTTACTAAAGTTTCTTGGTGGAATCTTTAGGTTTTTCCAAATATAAGATTATATCGTCTGCAAACAAGGATAACTCATTTCTTTCCAGTTTGAATGCCCCTTATTTCTTTCTCTTGTCTGATTGCTCTAGCTAGGATTTCTAGTATCAGGTTGAGTAACCGTGGTGAAAGTGGGCATCTTTGTTGTGTTCCAGATGTTAGAGGAAAGGCTTTCAGTTTTTTCCCATTCTACATTATACTAGCTGTGAATCTGTCATATATATATTTTTTATTATGTTGAGGTATGTTTCTTTTATACCCAGTTTTTTTAGGATTTTTTTTAATCATGAAAGGTTGTTGAATGTTATCAAATGCTTTCTCAGCGTCAGTTGAAATGATCATATGGTTTTTGTCCTTTATTCTGTTGATATGACATATCACATTGATTGATTTGCATTTGAACCATCCTTGCAACCCTGGAATAAATCCCAATTGGTCATGAATGAGTGATTTTTTTAATGTATTGTTGAATTTGGTTTGTTAGTATTTTGTTGAGGATTTTTACATCAATATTCATCACAGATATTGGCCTGTAGTTTTCTCCTTTTTTTGATGTGCCTTTGTCTGGTTTTGGTACCCGGGTAATACTGGCCTCATAGAATGAGTTTGGAAGAATTCCCTCCTTCTATATTTTCTTGGAGTAGTTCAAATAGGATTGGTATTCTTTAAATGTTTGGTAGAATTCAGCAATAAAGCCATCGGGTCCCGGGGTTTTCTTTACTGGAAGACTCTATTACAGCTTCCATCTCATTACTTGTTATTGGTCTGTTCAGGTTTTGGATTTCCTCCCAGTTCAATCTTGGTAGGTTGTATGTATCTAGAAATTTGTCCATTTCTTCCAGATTTTCCAATTTATTGGGATATAGTTGCTTATAGTAGCCACTAATGATCCTTTGAATTCCTGTAGTATTGATCATGATGTCTCCTTTTTCATTGCTAATTTTACTTATTTGGGTCTTCTCTCTTTTTTTCTTAGTCTGGCTAAACATTTGTCAACGTTATTTATCTTTTCAAAATACCAACTTTTTATTTCATTTATCTTCTGTATCGTTTTCTTCATTCAATTTCATTTATTTCTGCTGTGATTTTTATCATTTCTTCTACTAATTTTGGGCTTTATTGGCTCTTGCTTTTCTAGTTCTCTAAGATGCATCATTAGGTTATTTGAAGTTTTTCTTCTATTTTGATGTAGGCATTTATGGCTATAAATTTCCCTCTTAGTACTGCTTTTGCTATATCCCATAGGTTTGGGTATGTTGTGTTTCCATTATCATTTGTTTCACGACATTTTTCAGTTTCCTTCTTAATTTCTTCATGTTGACCCAGTGGTCATTCAGGAGCATATTGTTTAACTTCCATGTGTTTGTATGGTTTACAAAATACCTCTTGTTATGATTTCTAATTTTATTCCATTGTGGTTAGAGAAGATGGGTGATATTATTTCAGGTTTTTTTGAATGTTTTAAGATTTGCTTTGTCACCTAACATATGGTCTATCCTTAAAAATAATCCATGTGCTGAGGAAAAGAATGTGTATTTTGCAGCCATTGGATGAAATGTTTTGTAAATATCTGTTAGGTCCATTTGTTCTACAGTGCAGATTAAGTCCAATGTTTCTCTGTTGATTTTCTGTCTGGAAGATCTGTCCAATGCTAGAAGTGGGGTATTGAAGTCTCCAGCTATTATTGTATTGGGGCTTATCTGTCTCTCTCTCTTTAATAATATTTGCATTGTGTATCTGGGTGCTCCAGCATTGGGTTCATATATATTTGCAATTGTTATATCCTCTTGCTAAATTGACCCCTTTATTACTACATAATGACTTTTGTCTCTTCTTACAGATTTTGTCTTGAAATCTATTTTGTATGACATAGGTATAGCTACTCCTGCTCTTTTTTGGTTTCTATTTGCGTGGAATATCTTTTTCCATCTCTTATTTTCAGTCTATATATCTTTATAGGTGAAATGTGTTTCTTCTAGGCAACAGATCATTGGGTCTTGCTTTTTAATCCATTCAGCCATTCTGTGTCTTTTGATTGAAGAGTTTATTCCATTTGCATTCAATATATCCTTGACATTGAAAAACAATTAATACAATTCAGCATATCAACAGAATAAAGAAGAAAAATCATTTGCAATAGATCACAGGGTCTTGCTTTTTAATCCATATATATCCTTTATGTTTGTAGGACATTTTGGCTGGATATACTATCTAGGGTAAAGTTTTTTTTCCTTCAGCACTTTAAATATGTCATGCCACTCTCTCCTGGCCTGTAAAGTTTCCACTGAAAAGTCTGCTGACGGATGTATTGAAGCTCCATTTTATGTTATTTCTTTCTTTTCTCTTGGTGCCTTTAGGATCCTTTCTTTATCCTTGACCTTTGGGAGTTTGATTATTAAATGCTTTAATGTAGTCTTCTTTGGGTTAAATCTGTTTGGTGTTCTATAACCTTCTTGTACTTGCATGTTGATATTTTTCTTTAGGTTTGGGAAGTTCTCTGTTATTATCCCTTTGAATAAACTTTTTACCGTTATCTTTTTCTCTACCTCCTCTGTAAGGCCAATAATTCTGTGATTTGACCTTTTGAGGATATTTTCTAGCTCTTGTAGGCATGTGTCATTCTTTTTTATTCTCTTCTTTTGTCTCCTCTGACTGTGTATTTTCAAATAGCCTATCTTCAAGCTCACTAATTCTTTCTTTTAGATCAATTCTGCTATTAACAGACTCATGCATTCTTTATGATGTCAATTGCATTTTTCAACTCTGGAATTTCTGCTTGATTCTTTTTAATTATTTCAATCTGTTTGTTAAATTTATCTGATAGAACTCTGAATTTCTTCTCTGTGTTATCTTAAATTTCTTTGAGTTTCCTCAGAACAGCTATTTTGAATTCTCTGTCTGAAGGGTCACATATCTCTATTTCTCCAGGATTGGTCCCTGGTGCCCTATTTAGTTCATTTGGTAAGGTCATGTTTTTCTGGATGGTCTTGACGCTTGTGGATGTTCTTCAGTGTTTGGGTTAGGTGTTTTTTTACAGTCTTTACAGTCTGCGCTTGTTTGTGCCCCCCTTTCTTGGGAAGACTTTCTAAGCATTCAAAGGGATTGGGCCCCAAGTGCAATAACTGTGGTTCTTGCTGACTTGTAGAGGTACCACTTCGGTGGTCTTGGATAAGATCAGGAAAAAGATCCCCGGATTATGAGGCAGATACGCTTGTTCTCTTTCCTTACTTTCTCCCACACAAATGGAGTCTCTTTCTCTCTGTGATGAGCTGCCTGGAGCTGGGGGTGGAATGATGCAAGCACTCCTGTGGCCGCCACTACTAGGACTATGCTACATTAGACTTAAAGCCAGCACAGCACTAGGTCTTGCCCAAGACCTGCCATAACCACTACCTGGCTACCACCTATATTCACTCAAGGCCCTAGGGTTCTGCAATCAGCAGGTGGAGAAGCCAGACAGGTTTGTGTCCTTCCCTTCAGGGTGGCAAGATCCACCAGGTTCTAGGCAGGTTCAAATGTGTTGTCTGGGAGCCAGGAATTATAGTCAGAAAATCTTAGAAATCTACCTGGTATTCTATTCTACTGCAGCTAAGCTGGCCCTCAGATCACAAGACAAAGTCCTTCTTCCGGCTCTTCCCTCCCCTTTCCACAGGCAGATGAGTCTCTCCCAGTGGCCACCACCACCACTAGCCCACAGGGAGTTCTGCGAGGCCACCACCAATGTTCACTTAAAGCCCAAGGTCTCTTCAGTCAGCTTGTGGTGAATGCTGCCCAGCCTGAGACTCACCTTTCAGGATAGTGTGTTCCCCTCTGTCCCAGAGCAGGTCCAGAAGTGCTGTCCAAGAGCGTATACCTGGATTCAGTAACCCCAAGAGTCTACTTGGTGCTCTGCCCCACTGTGGCCAAGCTGGTTTGTACCTAGGGTGCAAGACAAAATCCCCTTTAATTTTCCCTCTGCTTTTCTCAAGCAGAAGGAGTCTTTCACCATAGCATCACAGTTTGTAATGTCCTGGGACTCACCTGAAGCCAGCACATCTTAGAGCCCAATGCCCACAGCGTACAATCTGGGCATTGCCACTCGTTATTCAGGGCCCAAGGGCTCTTTAGTCAGCAGGTAATCTTCCATTACTGGGTTCTTTCTTTCAAGGCAGCAGGTTCCCTTCTGGCCCAGGGTATGTCTAGAAGTGCCATCTGGGAGCGAAGGCCTGGGAAGGGGGCCTCACAACTCTGCCCACTGCCCAATTTTTTTTTTTTTTTTGAGACAGTCTCACTCTGTCACCCAGGCTGGAGTGCAGTGGCATGATCTTAGCTCACTGCAACCTCCACCTCCCAGGTTCAAGCGATTCTCCTGCTTCAGCTTCCTGAGTAGCTGGGACACAGGTATGAGCCACCACACCCGGCTAATTTTTTGTATTTTTAGTAAAGATGGGGTTTCACCATGTTGGCCAGGCTGGTCTCAAACTCCTGAGCTCAAGTGATCCACTCACCTTGGCCTCCCAAAGTGCTGGGATTACAGGTGTGAGCCACCATGCCCAGCCCCAGTGCCCTATTCTATTGTGGCTAAGCTGGTATCCAAGATGCAAGACAAAGTCCTTTTTACTCTTTGCTCTCCTCTCCTCAAGCAGAAGGAAGGAGTCACTTTCTTTGCTGCAAGCTGTGCTGCATGGGGTTGGGGAAGGGGTGGCACAAGCACTGCTTTAGCCATTCCAGCTGGTGTCTCACTAGGTCACATGCCACCCTAGTTCACTGGCTCTAACCCCCACCCAGCACTAGGACTGTCCTAGGAATTGCAGTCCTTGTGTCCTAGACTGCCTTTCAAGTTTACCCCAGAGCACATTAGTCTGCAGTGGTGAGGCTTGCCAAGAAACTCAAGTTCCAACTGCTGGGATGGACAATTCCCCTCTGGCTAAGGTGTCAATGCTCTGTCCATGGGCAGGTGCTGGCTGAACCAGCATGGCTTTGCTGTCTGCTGTGACAGGAAAGCATGGAGTTCAATGCCAAGTCTCCTAGTCCCTGTGCTCTCACTCCCCAAAATGTGCAGATTCTCTCTCCAAGAGATCTAGGCAAGAGATGCTAGGGCAAGAGGGAGGGGTGATGTAGATGATTCAAGATTGTTTTCCCTACCCTCTTCAGTGCCTCTTTCAGTAATAAAATGGCAAAACCAGGTACTGTGATTTCTGACCTGATTTTTGATTCTTATAATGGTGCTTTTTTTGTGTGTAGTTAGTTGTTAAAATTTGGTATTCCTGCAAGGAGGGTGATCGGTGGAGGCTTCTATTCAGCCACATTGCTCCATCAACTCTTTTTTTCCAAATGCCATCACATTCACAGTTCTGGGAGATATGATTTGGACATACCCTTTTGGGAGCCACAGTTCAACCCACTATATTATCTTTAAGAAAACTGCCTTCCATTCCTAGTTTGCTAAGAGGTTTTAAATAAATGGGAGCTGCATCTTATCAAATTTTTCTCTCCATTTATCAGTCATCCATCATATGATTTTTTCTTCTTTATTCTGTTGATGTGCTGAATTATATAATTGGTTTTCAAATGTCAAGTCAATATTGCGTTCCTAGAATAAGCCCAACTTGGTTATGATGTATTATCCTTTCTATGTGGGATTTAATTCCCTATTTTTAAAGGATTTTTGCATTTATGTTTTTGAGAAAGATTAATCTGTAATATTCTTTTTTTATGCTGCCTTTGTTGGTATCAAGATTATGCTGTCTTCATAAAATAAGTTGGGAAATGCTTCCTCTTTTTTCCATTTTTAGGAATAATTTGTGTAAGAGTGATATTATTTTTTCTTAGATATATGGAAGACTTCACCAGTGGGGCCATCCCCACTAGGATTTCTAGTAGTGGAATCCTAGAGTTTTCTTTGAATGAAAGTCATAAATTCAGTTTCCTTAATAGATATTCAATTTAGATGAAATTCGTTTCTCACAGTTCTGGAGACTGGGAAGTCCAATATCAGGGTGTCAATAGGTCGCATGTCTGGAGAGGGCTGTTCTCTGCTTCCAAGGTAGTGCCTTGTTGCTGCAGCCTCTGGAGGGGAGGAATGCTGTGTCCTCACATGGCTGAAGAGCAGAAGGGAATGAACCACTCTCTGAAGGACCCTTTTATAAGGGTCCTATTTCATCTTGCATCAGTTTTCATAAGTTATATTTATATGGAAATTTGCTCATTTAATCTAAATGTTCAAATTTATTGGTACAGAGGTATCGATGACATCCTTGTTATTACCTTTTTCAAATCTTAGATCTTTAGCAATGTCCTTTTACAGTCCTGATATTAGCAGCTTGTGCCTCTTTTTCTCTTTTTCAGTCTTGCTAAGGATTTATTTGATTATTAGTCTTACCAAAGAACCAACTTTTGGCTTCATTGTCTCTCTCTATTTTACATTTTTGTGCTTTATTAATTAATTCATCAATGATCTTTAGTTTTTTTCCTTCTACTGTCTTAGGATTTAATTTGCTCTTCTTTTTGAACTTCTTAAGTTGGTTAGTTAGGTTAGCAAATTTTCATCCTTTCTTCCTCTCTAGTATATTTAGGGCTATAATTTTTTTCTAAGCACATCTTTAACTACATCTCATAAGTTTTGATTTGCCACGTATTTGTTTTCTTTCAATTCCATTTTTTTTTTTTTTGCTTCTGCTGTGGTCTGAATGTGTCCCCCCAAAATTCATATGTTGAAACAATCACCAAAGTGATAGAATTAAAAGGTGAGGCCTTGAAGATGTGATTCAATCATGAGGAGCCATAAAGAATGGGGTTAGGACCCTTATAGAAGGGCTTGAGAAAGTGGGTTCATTCCCTTCTGCTCTTCAGTCATGTGAGGACACAGCATTCCTTCCCTCCAGAGGCTGCAGCAGCAAGGCACTATCTTGGAAGCAGAGGGCAGCCCTCTCCAGACATGCAACCTATTGACACCTTCATCTTGGACTTCCCAGCCTCCAGAACTGTGAGAAATGAATTTCTATTGTTTATAAATAATCCAGTGTATGGTATTTTGTTATAGCAGCACAAACAAAAACATCTTCCATTAAGATTCTTTTTTCCTTCTATAATTCTCAAAAATTTTATCTGTACTGGAGAATAAATTTCTAGGAGTGTAGGTAAAATAGGCTTGACCACAAGTCGATAATTTTTTAAGCTGTGATAGTGGGAATATGGAAATCTGGAGTAAACATATTTCATGGCAAGATGCTCTGGTCTCATTCTCTATCAAAACCCACTTATGCCTAGTGTTCCATTATTGGAACACAAACCTGTGGGAGTTATTTATATCCTACTGCTCAGTTATCACCAAGGTCTGATTGCAAAAATTCAAAACATTGCATCCTGAGGCATAAGTAGGTTAACTTGAACCAAAGTAAGTTTTTCTGCTAAGTATTCTCTTTGAGGATATTATTAGCTGATTAAGCTTATTAGCCTGGCTTATAATTTGTTCTGTATGTAAATCTTAGTTTTGAATTTTTCCTGACTAAAAACAATCAGAGTAAACATTTTAGTTAAAATAAATCAAACTGAAATTAGTTTCTTTGACAATAAATTTTGTTTAATCTCAGAAAGCTTCGCTTAAGAAGTAGAAGTAGGATGTTTTCCCAGAGATAATACAAAGATAAGTAAGGTTGTCTTATATCTTAAATCACATTTCTCTATACAAGATGATTATTTTTCAAATGCTAAATAAACAGACAAAAGTAATATAGGTAATTTGGACATACTAAATTCAGCATTTAATTTTAGAAAAAGTTTATTGTTACAAAAAGTTTTTGCTTTTAAAAGTTTTTTAAGATTTTGCTTTTTTGGAAGAATTTATTAAGTTTGATGCTTAGTGAAATAGTTTTAGTGCCCAAGTTATTGAAGTTAATCAACATAGCATATCAAAGATTGTAGTTAATCAATATAGCACATCAATACTTGAAGTTCATCAACATAGTATATCAAAGATCTACTAGGTGCTATAGAAATAAGTATCTCAGTTACTATTTTTCAAATGTATTTTTATGGAAAATATCAAACATATTAAACAACAGAAATAGCAATATAAAATCCCTCCACATTCATCACTCAGCTCCAACAATTTTGAGCACATGTCCAGTCTTGTTTTATCTCTACTGTCCCACTGTCTCCAGTGGATTATTTGGTATCAAATCCCGGATGCCATATTATTTCATCCATAAACACTTTGCTATGTAACTCCAAAATATAAGGACTTATGTTTAAAAGTTAACCAAAATACCATTATCACAGCTAAAAACTTAACTTTTTAAGATAATCAAATATCCAGTCATTGTTAAAATGTCCTCACCTGCCCCATAATGATTTAAATTGAGATAAAAACTAAGGTGTATATATTGCATTTGGTTGTTGTATCTCTTAAATTGCTTTTAGTCTATGAGTTGCACCATTCCTCCCCATGCCCACCCATTTTCCTTTCCTTGCCATTTATTTGCTGGAGGAACTGAGCTGTCTGTCCTGTAGCATTTCTGATACTCCAGAATTTGCTGATTGTATCCTTGTGGTTCATTTAATATGCTCCGTTGTTCCTTTATATGATGCAATAGGAAATACACAATGCACAACCCCACTTGTGAAGCATTCTTGTCAAAAATTTAAATCAAATAGGCGCTTAAATAGATTTGATTTAAACATTTGATAACAATGCTTCACAAGTGGGATTGTGCATTGTATATTTCTATTGCATCATAGGAAGAAGAAAATGTCTGAGATCTGTAAGTCTGTGACCTTTAGTCACTGAGGTTTCCTAGAGGCCCACCTAATGAAACTCCAGTCTCAGGTTTGTAAGTCTCATCTTTATGACACTTTCTTTTGAGTTTCTATGGGCTCCTTGGCCACCCCTCACACATTCTTACATTAGATGCCTTCACCTTGGTGTCTGGCTAGAAATATTGCAGAAGACATAACGCAAAGCTAGATAACACTTCTCATTTCCTCTTTTAGATTACAAAATATTTCAAATATAAAAGAAAGTATGAGAGAGTGATATCAGCAAAAATGGGAGAGTAGGGAATTCCAAGGGCCCATCCCTCCACAGAAACATCAAATAAACAAGCAAAAACTGTCACAATCAACATTGTCAGAAGTCTGGAAAATTGTCAACAGCATTAGTCTATAGTGCTGGTCTCCAAAAACCAAGTGAATGTTGAATGAAGGAAAAGATGACTTAAACATGGTAGAATAGCTTTGTGGTGTTTTAACTTAGCTTTGTCCTACTCCTCTCCCTTTCCTAGCATGCTGGCAGTTTTAAGATGCAACCCATATTCCTGATGGGGGTGCCTAGTTCCAGAGGGAGCAGAGCAGACCTAGTTCCTAAAGAATTGTGTTTGTCTGGGGATCCCTTGAAGGACTGACACAGGGTGTTTGCTTTGGTTTTATCTAACTTAGAACTCTTTCAGTGCAGAAAAGTTGCTAAGCAGAGGGGTTCCTTGAAAACACCAATAGGCAAATGAATGAGCTGTTGCTGCCTTGGGTAAAAGACTACAGTTGGGTCAAACAATAAACATGCTACAACCTAGGAGAAAAAGCCAGGGAAAGAGTTACTTTGGGGAATAGGGATTTGGTAATCTCCTGCATATAACAGGAAATCTAGAAAGTCATGTGCATGCCCAGGGCAGGGTGCATACCCAGAAAAGACCTGAAAAGCCCCTTAGCTCTCACCTCTGGCTGACTTTTAGGCTCAGTGTGAGCAGGAAGTGAAGGCTAAGGCAGAGCTGTAAATGGCCTGGCTAAGTGTGGAAGGAGTATCCCTAACACAGACCCAATCTGCAAAGACCAGGAGACTATTATTTTTTTTTCTTTTAAGAAAATCTCTGTGAAACCACTAGCTGACCAAAAGCTAAAGAAACAACAGAATTAAGAGGCCATCCACAGCAAACAATAACAACAAACCTTGAGGAAGGTGAAGAATCTTATATCCACTTACCACATTTAAATATATAACATGCCCAGTTTCTAACCAAAAAATCACGTGGTGCACAAAGATACAAGAAAGTATGGCCAATTTGCAGGAAAAAAAGCCAAATGAACAGAAAGTATCCCTGAGGAAGCACAGACATTGTCTTACTAGGCAAAGCTTTAAATCAACTGCCTTAAATATCCTCAAATAGATAAAGGCAATCATTGACAAAAAAATTAAAAGAAACCAGACAAATAATGCCACAAAAATATCAATAAAGAAATTGAATTATATAAAGGAAGCAAATAGGAATTCTGGAGCTGAAAAATACAATAACTGAAATGAAAATTTTACTAGAGCTTCAACAGCAGATTTATGCAGGCAGAAGAAAGAATCAGTAAACTTGATGAGCTCATTGAAATTATCTAGTTTGAGGAACAGAAAGAAAAAAAATGAAGACATGTGAATAGAGCATAAAGAACTGTGGAATAATTTGCAGTATTCTAACATATGCATTATGAAAGTCCCAGAGAAAGAAAGGGATGGAAAGAATATTTGAAGAAAGAGTAGCCTCACATTTCCCAAATTTGATTTTAAAGAAGCTCAAAGAACTCCAGACACATAATCAAACCATCAAAAGACAAAGATGAAGAAAATCTTGAAAGCAGGAAGAAAAAAAATCTTAAAAGCAGGAACAGAGAAGAGAGACATTCCTAGATAAACAAAAAAGCTGAGGGAGTTTTCTGCCTATAGACCTGAAAAAGTCCTTCAAACTATAATGAAAATAATTCTAGTACCTAGACAGTATCTCAAAGCTATATGAAAAATAAAGAGCAATAATAATAAAAAGAAAGAACAATGGTAAAGATAACTATGTAGGTATTATATTAGTATATGATCGTATTTTTGATTTGTTATGCTTCATTATTTTTGTTTAAGGGTAGACACACAGACCAATAAAATAGAATGAATAGTACAAACCTATACATCTGTGGTCAACTGATTTTTGACTAGGATGCCAAGACCACATGGTAGGAAAAGAATAGTCTTTTCAACAAATGGTGCAGGGACAACTGGATATTCACATGCAAAATACTATTAATAAAATTGGATTCTACTTCACACCATAGATAAAAATTACTTAACATCGATCAGAAATCTAAATGTAAGAGCTAAAACTATAACACTCTTGGAAGAAAACATAGAGGTAAATCTTCATGACCTCACATTTGTCCATGAATTCTTAGAAATGACACCAAAGCCACAAACAACAATTAGACTTCATCAAAATTTAAAACTTCTGTGCTCTAAAGAATTATATCAAGAGAGTGAAAATACAATTCATAGAATAAGAGAAAGTATTTGTAAATTATATGCCTGAAAGGGTCTAGCATCCAGCACAACCTAACAACTAAAAGACAACTCAATTTAAAAATGGGCAAAAGACTTCAATAGACATTTCTCCAAAGAAAATACACAAATTACCAACAAGCACATGAAAAGATACTCAATATCATTAGTCATTATGGAAATGCAAATCAAAACCACAATGAGATAACACTTCATGCCCACTAGAATGGCTATTTTTAAAAATGGAAAATATTTAGGCATTGATAGCACCCATCAGATGGCCAAATTATTATTTACTGGACCAGGCCTTTTCAAAATTATCAAGCAGATAGTCAGGGCCCGTAAAGTGTGCCAAAGAAATAATCCCCTGTACTGCAGGCCATACATTTCAATCCCTGTATCTTTAACCTCCTTGTTAAGTTTGTCTCTTCCAGAATCAAAGCTGTAAAACTACAAATCATTCTTCAAATGGAGCCCCAGATGCAGTCCATGACTAAGATCTACCACAGACCCCTGGACCAGCCTGCTAGCCCATGCTCCAATGTTAATGACAGCGAAGGCAACCCTCCCAAGGAAATCTCAACTGCACAACCCCTACTATGCCCCAGTTCAGCAGGAAGCAGTTAGGGCGGTCATCAGCCAACCTCCCCAACAGCACTTGGGTTTTCCTGTTCAGAGGGGGTACTGAGAGACAGGACTAGCTGGATTTCCTAGGCTGACTAAGAATCCCTAAACCTAGCTGGGAAGGTGACTGCATTCACCTTTAAACACGGGGCTTGCAACTTAGCTCACACCTGACCAATCAGAGAGCTCACTAAAATGCTAATTAGGCAAAAACAGGAGGTAAAGAAATAGCCAATCATCTATTGCCTGAGAGCACAGTGGGAGGGACAAGGATCAGGATATAAACCCAGGCATTCGAGCCGGCAACGGCAACCCCCTTTGGGTCCCCTCCCTTTGTATGGGAGCTCTGTTTTCACTCTATTAAATCTTTCAACTGCAAAAAATAAAAATAAAAAAATTAAAAAAAAGGAAAATAACAATATTGGTGAGGATGTGGAGAAATTGGAACCCTTCTACAATGCTGGTGGAAAGGAACAAAAACTAGTGCAGCCCTGTGGAAAACAGTTTGGCAGTTCCTCAAAAAGATAAACTTAGAATTACCATATGATCCAGCCAGTCCACTCCTAGGTATATAAGTAAAACAATTGAAAACAGGTATTCGAACAAATATTTATACACAAATGTTCATTGCAGTACTATTTACAGTAGTTGAAAACAATTGGAGGTTCCTCAAAAGCTAAACATAGAATTACAATCTGACTTCTAGTTATAGACTTAAAATAATTGAAAACATGGACTCAAACAGAAATGTGTGTGCCATTGTTCCTTACAGCACTATTCACCGTAGCCAAAAGGTAGAAAAAACACAAGTGTCCATGAACACGTGAAATAATCAACAAAATGTGGTATCCATACAATGGAATATTATTCAGCCATTAAAAGAGTTATGGTTGCACAAATCTATGAATGTAATAGAAACATTTGTATGCCTAAAAACCTTATACTCAGGACCAAAATTGAAGTTCATTCACTAACCCCTGAATGACCAGTATACAGCTTACTTTGACTATTAACTCTGGGAGAGTGCTAATGAAAAAAAATGGTGTATAGGGAGGGTACATTCTCACAAGAAGTAGACTCAAGGTGCTGAAGTTCTGGGCAAATTTCTAGCATCAGCCATGGATTTGATGTGAGGCTGGGGTCTCCTGGAATAGCTCTGGTTGCTCCTGAAGGGAAGGTTCATGAGCTTTGCTTAAAGCCATTCTAATTTGCTTTCAAACCTGTTTGATTTCAGCTAGGAAAGTGTTGCAGTTAGCAATCCTGATTGTGACAATTATAAGCCCAAATATAGCATTTACTCTGCTGTAGAGATACAGTGGTAGTGTTGAGACTAGCTCAGGGCAACACTGCATCATAAGGACGGTGAGAGATTTAATACCTATAAGGCTGTTCTCTTCTCACTCTCAACTGTTCCTTCCATGTTTTAAATTAAATATTTCCCCCTTTTCTATTCTTCCCTTCCTTCCATTCCACAGCTTCTCTCCTTGGCGCTGTTTCCCATCCACCAGCTCAAGATCATTCCAGTGTATCTGATGAGATCTCAGACTTTCAGAAAAGCGATTCTTGGAATGCCATCTGGCTAACCATTAGATATGTCCAGACGGACACTTTGCGGATTGTCTTCAGGAAGGAAGAAAAATAGAAGGGAGTCTCAGAACTATTTATACAATTATCCTGCAGGCTTTGGCCTGGAAAACAAGAAACTAGGACTTTCAGGTTTTTGATTGCATTTCTTCTTTCCTGTATTTCATAAAGTTTAAATTATAACCATCTGTTTCAGAAGATATAAAAATCCTGATTCCATCTTCTTCCACGTTAACAGAATACTAACCCTGTAGGGAACCTTATATCAACGGAGGCACTCAATGATAACTATAGTAAAATCACAGGGAAAAACAAGCACCAAGCTGCAGTTCATTGCCTGTCCTGCCTACCTCATTGGCCTCCTGCACCTGCTGATAAAAGGGGCATCTCTCTCTAGAAGGCATCTCATCAGGCAGATGTTTCCCTGTGTAGCTGTATTGACACTGACACTATGTTTTCTGCTTATTTGATGATGGTGTTGAGAAGGAAGAGGATGGCAATGATGATGAAACCTCTTTTTCTTCCAACTCTCATTAGACCATTATTCTTTTGCTCATCTTTAATTCTCAAAATATCCCCAAATCATTCCTGGTGAATTCATAGGCATTTCACACTTTGTGATTAATTTAATTTGCTTGCAGCCTTACCGCCTATAGGACAGCGTGGGTGTGAAAAACACCACTCTAAAATTCACCATCTGCAATGAGTCTTACCCTATTCCCCACTCCGTCACTTCTCCCCTCTCGATTCTGTATGTAATCCTCTGTATCTTTCCAATAAGCTGGAGGCAAGACATGACATTATGGCCACATAAAATCGCCTTTTCTTATGGTCCAGGGACGCTTTGTGCTGTTTTTGGTTAATGTGTTAGACTCCAATCTTCTCTCTCAATAGGCTTTCTGTCTTCTCTAGGAAACAGTTTATTTTTCTTTTCTTGCCGTTAATAAACCTTTATTGAGCACCAACACAGCAACACAGTTGAGCCCCAAACCAGCAAAGCACTGTGCTGGATACTGGAGATATGGAAGTAAACAAAACCCGGTTTTTATCCTACAGCAACCAAAACCTAAAGGAGAACAAATCATGCAAAGAAATACCTAAAATACAATGAAACAAGAGTTCACAAGTGAAGAGTTCGGTAGTGTGGAGGAGGAATGATTCACAAACTATAGCATCTTTATTTTTTTCTTCTCTCACATGACTTTCTAATATTTGATGGTGAATTTCTTCTTATTTTACTATTTCATATTTCTTTAAAATCTCTCTGTTTTTAAGGCATGTGTTTTTCATTTTTTATAACACTCTACCTACCTTTGGGGGTCTCGCAGATAAATATAACCTTTATTCTGTCTGTTGGATCTGTGTGGGATATAGAAATCAGGTAAAAAGAAAGATTTGCAGTGGGTAGAAACGCAGCCTCTTGCTGGCTTACAAAACCGTGCAGGTGCCGCCAAGCGCTGGGATAAAATATGCAGTTGAGTCACACACCATGGTCGTGGCAGATATGCTGCAGGCTCTTAGGAGGAAGAGACAACAAAATGAGTCAGAATGAATGAGAGGAAAACCTCCCCCTCCAGCCAGAAAGAGAAAGCCTGGGAGGCTAGACAAGTTTTATTAACACGTCTTTCAAGAGAATAGCAGAGGCACGCTCTGACATTACTCAATGTCGGCCTCACTGTCAAGGTGAAGCATGTTTAAGAAAACATGCTTTTGAAAACAAGTGGGATCCACTCAAAACATCGTTCCCTCCTATTAGGACACTAAGCCCATCAGGGGGCTAACACAAATGTCTTAGAACAAAAAGCAAACATTTTAAAGAGGTTTGCTGAGGGCTGGGAGATGGAGAGGAGCGAGGAAATAGAGAAGTATATTACCTGAGAAAGATCAGAGAACATAAAATCTCTTTTTATCTTGAAAAAGGAATCATGTGTTTGTATAAGAGGAGTAATTAACTGCTTATTAATGAACTGAATGAAAGGAATATTAGAATTTTCTGGAAAATATTTAAGGCCTTGGCTGAACTAACAAAATGACCCACCCCTGGGGGGTCACCCCTTGACTGAACTAACAAGAGGACCCACCCACCATACCTGAGGGGGGTGCACCTTGAGAAGGACTCCTTGCACTGACTGGGTATTTCAGGTGAACTAGCGACTCACCTCTGGGAAAAGAGCCAAGAAGCTTAACTGCCTTTTTAAAGATAGTGTCAGAGGCAAAGGTGAGTCAACACAGCAAGCTCTCTGTCCCTTGGGGCCAACGTGCATAATGCTATTGTAGTAACTGAAGTGAAAACCCAGGCTGTCATTCCACCACTTTTGAGGCCAAGGCAAGAGGACTGCTTGAGGTCAGGAGTTTGAGATCAGCCTGGGCAACATAGTGAGAGCTTGTCTCTAAAATAAGGAAAAATTCAAAAATTAGCTGGACACGGTGGTGCATGCCTGTAGTCCCACCTACTAGGAAGGCTGAGATGGGAGGATCCCCTAAGCCCAGGAGGCTGCAGTGAGCCATAATGGCACCACTGCATTCCATCCTGGATGGCAGAGCAAAACCCTATCTTAAAGAAACAAACAAACCAAAGATTATGCTGTGTCTCACACTTTTGCTCCCAAAGATACTCTTTGTTCCCCGGGAAATTAGTGATTCTGTGAATCAATGGTAATATTTTCACTTTTTGTCTTTTATAAATTCATTTATTAATTTTATAGATATTCTCTGTGTTAAAAACAATTTTAGTTGCTAGGGGTATAGCAGTGAACTAACCAGAATGATATCATCATGGAACTTACTGTCTAGTGAATGAATTGTGACTTCTCAAACTACTTTGGTATAAAATACAAGGATATATCTTTTGTCTCTTGATTATGTGTTCTGAAATTCTCTTCTTGAATCTTTAGCAGTAAGCTTGTTATTGGCAAAGATAATATTTTGATACTATGTTAAGTACATGCCAAGGACTTAACCTTTATGCCCAGGTAATTTGTAAACATTTTTTTTTTTGAGACAGCGTCTTGCTTTGCTGCCCAGGCTGGAATGCAGTGGCACTCGCATGGTTCCTGACCTCTTGGGCTCAAGTGATCCTCCTGCGTGGCTGGGACCGAAGGCCACACCTGGCTAATTTTTGTAATTTTTGTAGAGACTAAGTCTCACTATGTTGCCCAGGCTGGTCTCGAACTCCTGGCCTCAAGCAATCCTCCCACCTCAGCCTCCCAAAGTACTGGGATTACAGGTGTGAGCCACCACACTTGCCCATAACTTTAAGAAAGAAGAAAACTGAAGTCTTAATGGGAAATGAAGTTTTTAATTTTCTTTCAAATTATACCCAAAGCAAGTGTAACTGTGACTCAATATTTGATATATACTTTAGGAGGGGCAATGCATTTTTATAATGTGATAATTTTTTAAGTTGTTAAAACAGCATCCAAACTAATATTATACAGCAAGTTGTGGCCATAGGCCAGGAGGTCCTGGACACAAATCTATCAGAGCAGAGTGTGCTTTGCCTCAGAGCTGCCAAACACAAGGAAAGGATAGACGGCAACCGCTACACCACACAAATTTATCCACACATTTAACATCCATGCATTTATCCATGCACTAAGCCTTGCATTGGGCACTGAGGCCATGAAGAGGCAAATGAATTGGTCCACAAATTCAAAAATCTCACAGCTAAGCAGAGAAGCAGCTTGGTGGGTAGATAAATGCCTGGGCTAGAGCTGTAATGAAAAGGTGGACCTAGGGCAAAATGAGCACCATGCAGGGCTGGTTAGCTCTGTCTGAAGGAGGGTGGGACGCAGGTACACCAGTGTTGGAGCTGATCTGCCAGGCAGAGGAGGGGAAATGTATATTCAAGACAATAGGTGCAGAGGCCATCTGACGTGGGGAGTAGGCCTGAGAAAGACTCTATATTCATTTACCAGGGCTGCCATAACAACATAGCACAGGTTGGCTTAAACAGCACACTTGTTTTCCCACAGTTCTGGAGGCTGGAAGTCCACAATCACGGTGCTGGCAGGGTGGTTTCCCTTGAAGCCTCTCTCCTTGGCTCCCAGCTGGCTTCCCTCTTGCAGCCTCTGCCCATGGTCCTTCCTCTGCACGGGCATCCCTAGTGCCTCTCTTGGTGTCCTAATCTGTTTTCCTTATAAGGACACCAGTCAAATTGGACTTGTGCCTGCCCTAATGGCCTCATTTTAATTTAGTCAACTCTTTAAAAGCCCTACCTCCGACCACAGTCACATTCTGGGTATTATTGAAGGCTAGAGCTTCAAGATATAAATTTAGGGGGAACATAATTCAGCCCCTAACAGATTCTAAAGCAGTAGTTCTCAAAGTGTGATGCTATGGGCCCCTGGGGGTCTCCAAGGCTCTTTCAGAGGGTCTGCAAAGTCAAGATTATGATCATAAAAATACTAAGATGTTATTTGCCTTTTTCACTGTGTTGCCATTTGTAATGATGTTTCGATAGCAATGGGGGATACAACTACAGCTGCCTTAGCATGAATCAGGACAGTGGTGTCCGATGGTTACCATTAGTCATGGTATTCTTCACTGGCATCCACGATGGGTTTTGTCCTAAGCAAGTTTTACATTAAAATGTCCTTGATAAAGCAATATAAGCTTTTTTTTTTTTTTTTTTTTTTGAGGCGGAGTCTTGGTCTGCTGCCCAGGCTGGAGTGCAGTGGCGTGATCTCAGCTCACTACAACCTCTGCCTCCTGGGTTCGAGCAATTTTCCTGTCTCAGCTTCCCGAGTACCTAGGATTACAGGCATGCACCACCACACCTGGCTAATTTTTGTATTTTTAGTAGAGACAGGGTTTTGCTATGTTGGTCAGGCTGGTCTCAAACTCCTGACCTCAGGTGATCCGCCCACCTTGGCCTCCCAAAGTGCTGGGATTACAGGCATGAGCCACCGCACCCAGCGGAACTATTAATTTTATTAAGTCTTGACCTTTAAGCACATGTCCTTGAGTGTTCTGTGTGATTAAACAGAAATTATACATAAAGCACTTCAGCTGGGTATCCAACTACCACGGTTAATCTCAAGGAAAAGCACTTGTAGTTTGACTTGCAAGGTGAACTAACTGCTTTCTATATGGAACGCTCCTTTTACTTGAAAGAATGGCAACTAGGGTTATTCAGACTTGGCTGTTTGGTAGACATTTTCTGGAAATGAGCCAAGTAAGTTTGTCACTCTAAGGAAAAACAACTGATAGATTTGCTTCTTTTGAGATTTTAAGCAAAAATTAGATTTTTGCAAGTCTTGTATCAGGCATCATGAGTTTGAGAGCTTCGCAATACTTAAAGATTTTGCAGGTGAGATCAGTGGTGATGTGAATGGATGTAGTTTTGATATTGTATAATAAAATGAGTCAATATTTAGACGATCCCCACAACTCAGTGAACGAATATTTTCCAAACAGTCCATGCATGATGTTATAAAATAATGCATGAACATGGATAAAAGATCCTTTCAAATTGCAAAATATACGGATTAATGTAACTAATTGGGGAAATTTCACTCATACAGTTTTATAGATTCCACATTGCAACTAAACTTAAGAAACTGCTACTAGTCTACTTTTGGTGAGGTTTCAAATAATATTCACAACTATAAGAAAGGCTGTGACAATTCTCCCCTCTTTTCCAAACTCATATCTGTACAAGGTCAGATTTTTTTTCACGTAATTAAATTAAAACTCAGCTACTCGGGAGGCTGAGGTAGGAGAATTGCTTGAAGCTGGGAGGCAGAGGTTGCAGTTGAGCCAAGATCGCACCACTGCACTCCAGCCTGAGCGACAGAGTGAGACTCTGTCTCCAAAAAAAAAAAAAAAAACAAAAAAAAACTCCACAAAAAACGTATTATAACAGATCGAACACAGAAGATATGAGAATCCAGCTGTCAAATAGATGCTAAGCTTCATATTAAAGAGACCTATAAAAATATAAAATAATGCCAGTTTTCTCACCAAATGTGTTTTGTTTTGGAAAGCAGAACAACAAATGAAAACGCTATTTTTCATAAAAATATGTAATTTACGTTAACATACATAAATGGATGAGTCTTTTATTCATGTTCATGCATGATTTAGTATTGCTTTGAAATGATTTAATCAACATTTTCAAAAATTTTTGATAGGGTAACTACACAGCTATAATTCACACAAACCAAACCTCTTTGGAGTTCCAATAATAATTTTTAAGAGTATAGAGAGGTCCTGAGTTCAAAAAGTATGAGAACTACTGCTGTAAAGATACAATTTCCACTGATAAGGCACACTACGGCATGTGGAGAAATAACAGCAAATGATTAACTGAAATTACAAGAAATTTTAATTCACTAAAGGCATCTGCCAGACTGCCACCAGGACACGGCTGCCTACTGCAATGGACCCCCATCACTGGGGACCTTGGTGCATGGACCTGTTCAGAGGCATCCACACAGCTTTACAACAGCAGCACGGCATATAGATTCTAAAGACATTGCATAACCTGGGAACAATATAAACAACATACATTTACATTATACATTACAATATGCATTTCTGGCCTCAAAAGGACAGGAAAAAGTGACCCGGAATGTGGGCTTCAGATGGGCAGGAGAGGTGGTGTGTTTTGGTCACAAATGTTCCCTCATGCCTATGACAATGCCTGACTCATAATTGGTTCTCAATAGACTTTTATTGTGTAGAAAAATGAATGTCATGCTAACTTTTATACATTATGTGATGGTTAATATTAGGTGTCAACTTGAGTGGACTGAGGAATGCCTAGATGGCTAGTATTGTTTCTGGGTGTGTCTGTGAGGGTGTTGCCAGAGGAGATTGACATTATGGTGGGTGGGCTAGGAGAGGAGGGCCCACCCTCAATGAGGGTGGATGCCATCCAATCAGTGGCCAGCACAGCTAGAACAAAGCACGGGGAGGAAGGGAGGATACGTTTGCTTGCTGCATCTTCTGGCTCTCTCTTTCTTCCTGTACCAGACCCTTGCTTCCACTCCTCCTGCCCTTGGACATCAGACTCCAGGTTCTTCTGCCTTTGGATTCTGGTACTTGCACTAGTGGCATCCCAGGGTATCTCGGGCCTTCAGCCACAGACTGAAGGCTGCACTGTTGGCTTCCCTGGTTCTGAAACTTTCAAACTTGGACTCCACTACCAGTTTCTCTCTTTCCCCAGCTTGCAGATGGCCTGTTGTGGGACTTTGCCTTGTAATCATGTGAGCCATTTCTCCCTAATAAACTCCCTCTGGAGAACCCTGACTAGTACACATTATAATTAACAATCAGCCATCAGGTATTCATTGGACAGCTCTTCCTAGTAATAAAAATTGGGCTAGAAACTATAAAACCATATGGCCAAATCATAAAATATGATATATGTTATCAAGGTGTTTATTGTAAGTTGGGAACAGAGACAATTACACAGGGAGAATCACCATGAGCTGGAGTGACCAAGGAGCTGTGATTTGAGCTAGGATGAGAAAGGGAAGCAAAGACAGATCTGAAAATCTACATACTGAGGAGAAATGGGAGATACTTTTGATTAGAAAGAACTGGATGAAACAATGAAAGACCTTAAAAATTAGGTCATTGACCTGAAAATAATTTCAAAATCAAAGCTGGAAGAGAACTTAAAAAAACGATTCAGTCTCATCTCATATTTTAGAGATGAGGAAGCTGAGGCCTGGGAAGCAGGTGACTTGCCTCAGGGAACAGGTCAGTTTGCAGTACACCCTTGATTCGCAAGAAAGACAACCTTCCATTTGTTCTGACCTCACAGTGTGCAGATCTAACTGAGACCTGTTGCAATAAGCAGTTGAAGACATGATGGTCCCTGGGCCAAAAGGGTGACATTCACTCCACATCCGCTAATTGTGGAGGGAATGAGCACAGCATTATTTCAGGAACATTCTCCTGTAGCAGGAATGCTGGCAGATCTTTGAGCTTCCAAGACAGAATATCTATAATCCAAAATCAAAGTCCTCGACTCTGGAGGTAGCAGTGAGATTGGAGATGAAGAATTAAATCTGAAATACAGGAATTAGTGACAGTTTGCAAACTGAAATAAAGGATCCAAAATGCTCAGAGGTGACCTCCAAGGCATTCAGATTCCCAGAAGGGAGACCTGACAACACGCATTTGAAGGTAGTGATGGGAAAACAGCCAAACCGTTTTCTGATCTCACTTTTCTTTTTCTTTCTTTCCTTCTTTCTTTTTCTTTCTTTGAGTCAGGGTCTCACTCTGTCACCCAAGCTGGAGTGCAGTGGCCTGATCACGGCTCATTGCAGGCTTGATCTCCCCAGGTCCCGCCTAAGCCTCCCAAGTAGGTGGGACTGCAGGCCTGTGCCACCACCCCGGCTATGATTGCACCTTTCTAACAACAGCTTATAATTCTTTCATTTATTTATTTATTTTTTGAGCTGATGATCTGTTTAATCTCAAGTTGGCAACATTACCCCCACCTCATACCCCAGCACCTGGATCACACTCTTCCAACAGAATACAGGGAAAACATGTGAGAAACAAGAAGGTAAATGGATGAAGGCGAATAGCGTCAGGAATCACACAAGGTGTTGTAGAAGCGGGTAGTGGTGATGTTTGACGGACAGTGTTTTGTGTCATCTGTGCCCCAGCTTCCTGTTCTTTTGTATGAAGAGTCAAGCACCATTCACACACTCTCCGTATTCACTAGGCACTTGTCTGTGGGTATCGTTGTGTTCCCGGTGTCCAGAGCAGGGAGTAGGGCATTGCGACCTCAGGGCACACCCCGTCACCCAAGGTGGGGCATTCGAGGCATTTATTAGCTGTGGTGAGAATGTGCCAGAGACTCAGAGATCCTGGCCCTTCCAGGAACAGCAGAAGAGCCTCCTCCTACATCGACCCCCATGGATACCTCCATGCAGCACGCCCTGGGGACAGCATGTTTGTAGGTGCCCACCCACTGGGTGCATGGCTGTCCTCTGTCCCCACCAGCACTGGGAGTTCCTTCTTTGGCCAGCCTGCTGCTCTCGGAAGTGATTCGGTCTCTCCACCCCCACCCCATCTGCTTATAATGCTTAGTAAATTTAAAAACAAAAATATATTCATTTTAACTGCGTTTGCCTCCATTTTTGCCTTTCTCCTTAATTGCAGTGTGTTCTTTCACCTGCAGCAACATCGAAGTCACTACAAATGGCCATAGGACAGTTATACAGTAGTCCACACTTATCTGTGGTTTCACTTTCTGAGGTTGCCGTTATCCCCAGTCAACCGCAATCTGAAAATATTACATGGAATGATCTGGAGACAAACACCTCATGAGTTTTAAATTGTGCACCATTCTGAGTAGCATGATGAAATCTCATCCTACTCCGTCCTGCCCAGGATGTGATGTGAATTGCTCCTGCCAGTGTATCTGCACTATCTTCGCTACCTGCCGGTTAGCTGGCTAGTCATCAACACCACTGTCTGTTCCTGCCTGAATGTCATGACTGGACACCACCTATATTGTCATGGCTGCATGATCCAGGATCACCCAATGCAGATGATCCTCCTGAAGTGTCGTCGGCAGGTCGATGGTAGCCTAACCCTAGGTCACAAAGCCTGTGCCATTCACCTCAATTCATCTCATCACATAGGCATTTTCTCATCTCCCATCATTCCAAAAAGAAGCGTGAGGACTGTACAGTAAAATACTTACAGAGAGAGAGAAACCATATTCACATAACCTTTATTACAGTGTGTTGTTATAATTGTTCTATTATTGGTTATTGTTAATCTCATTGTGCCTAATTTGTAAATTAAACTTTTATCATAGGTATGTAGGCATAGGAAAAAACATATCTAGGATTTGATACTAGCTATGGTTTCAGGCATCCACTGGGGGTCTTGGAATGTGTCCCCCAAGGATAAGGGGGGACTACTGTACATCAGTAAGATGAAGAATTAAGATAAATACTCAGTTAATTTCAAGGAGAACACATCACATGTTTATAAAGGTTATTTATATTTTATTTTATTTTTATTTATTCATTTTTGAGACAGGGTCTCACTCTGTTGTCCAGGCTGGAGTGCAGTGGCGTAAATGCCACTCACTGCAGCCTTGACCCCCAGGGTCAAGAAATCCTCCTACCTCAGCCCCCCATGTAGCTGGGATCACAGGTGCGTGCCACCATGCCCAGTTAAGTTTTGGAGTTTTTGTAGAGACGGGGTCTCACTTTATTGCCCATGCTGGTCTCAAACTCCTGGGCTCAAGTGATCCTCCTCCCTTGGCCTCTTAAATCGCTGATAGGCATGAGCCACCATGCCCAGCCTATGAAGGCTTTTGAGGAGGACAGCAGGGTGGTTCTTCTGAATGGTTGGCTTAGTTGAATTAGCATTCACTTAATTCCTCAATGCTGTTATCTGCTTTAGAGATAACAACATCAAAGGTGATGTTTAAGCAAAAACAAAAACTTTTAACTAACATTATGAAGGCAGTATTGTACAATAGTCAACTAATAAAAAGGGCACCCTAGAATAACAATAATACTTTTCTGGCAAATTGCACTTTTCATTCTGACGCTGACAGTATGCACTACAGATAATTGCTTTGGATTTGCAACTTTTATAAACCTTATTTTTGGATACAAATAATTCTGTGGAATGTTGAGAGTTTAGCAGGACTACTGGAGATTAGGAAGGCTGTGTGGTAAAGAAATTGTTTTAATCTATGACGTCACTCTGCTGCCATGCATACGAAGCATATAAAAGTCTTGGACTCATTTCCATCTCTTTCTCTCAGTACAAGATTCAGTCTAGATTGTACCCATGGTTTCATGCTTATATATGGTATCTTGGTAAGCACATGGTATCTACCTTGTCATATAAACTAAGAGAAGTTTGATCTAAAACTGCACTGTCTGATACAGTAGCCACTAGCCACATATGGCTATTCAAGTTTAAATTTAAATTAATTAAAAGTAAATAAAATGTAGAAACCAGCTCCTCATTCTCACCAGCCACATTTCAACTGCTCAATAGCCTAATGTGGCTAGTGGCTACCGTACCAGACAGTGCAGATATAGAATATTTCTATCGTTAGAGAAAGCGCTGTTGACCGGTGGTTATCTAGAACACAATGCGGAGTTCTCATTTTTAAACTGTATGGCCATATAAACATCATACTTGATTTTTAAAGAATGTTAATCATTTGAAAAATTAATTACATGACAAAATGAGTTTTAGTTTTGGAATTCTGTTTCCAAACTCATGTTTTTGAAGTAATTAGCATGAACACAGCGAAAGCATTTATTTGCATAGCAGCTGTCTTCCAAGTTGCTTATTTTACTCTGCCAACATTAATTTATTCATTCAAAAAATATTTATTGAGTGCCTGCTGTGTGCCAACCACTCTTCTGGGATCTAGAACAAAAGAAACAAAAATCCCTGGCTGTGGGGAGCTCATGTTGTACCCAGTGGGGTGAGAGGCAAATATTTCAGTTTGTAAGGCCAGGGAACAGCATGAGGATATTCCAATTCCTAGGTTATTGCTCACTAAGAAGTCACAGAACGAGGCCAATATTAAGAACATAATTTCCAATTTTTAAAGACATTCTCAGGCCAGACACACTTGTAATCCCAACACTTTGAGAGGTCGAGGTGGGAAGATTGTATAAGACCAGGAGTTCAAGACCAGCCTGGGCAACATAGCAAAACCCCCATCTCTATAAAAAATAAAAAAGTTAGCCAGGCATGGTGGCAGCTATAGTTCCATCTACTCGGAAGGCTGAGGTGGGAGGATCACTTGAGCCCAGGAGGAGGCTCAAGGCTACAGTGAACTAAGAACATGCTGCTGCACTCCAGCCTGGGATTCAGAGCAAGACCCTGTCTCAAAAAATTAAAATAAAATAGACATCTTCATCAACAACAGAAAAGCCTTGCAAATAATTACCCTATCTGCCAGACAAACTGCGTGAGGATCTGTGGCACATTTTCCAGTGTCACCTTCTTCCTTCATGGATCATAGCATTTACAGTTGGAAGTGGCTTTAAACTCCACTCTTCCAACTTTCCTCCACAATATCCAACCAAGTAACCATCTGGCCTCTGGCTGAGCACTTTGGGTAGAAGAAAGCTCACCATTTCAGTGGGGGCACATATTCATCAGTCCTAATTTTTTATGATGATGATGATGATTATTATTACACCATATGTTATTACATCATATATCTATAGTTGAAAAATTTAGAAATAATGGATACAAATAAATGTGAAATCAGTTGTATTCCCAACACGCAGAAAGATAATCACCAATAACACAATAGCATTTTGATATATAAGCTTCAAGACTTTCTCTGTGTCTGTCTCTCCATCTCTCTCCATCTCCGTGTGTGTGTGTGTGTATATAATAAAATGGAACCATTTATATCCTACTTGTTTCTATTTCCCCCATAGAGTACAAACATATTTTCATTCAAACAAACATAGTTCCAAATCACCATTTTAATAATGTATGGCATTCCATTGAATGAATATATCATGATTTATTTAAGCCCTTATTGTCAAAAGTTTACATGGCTCTAATTATTACACTATCATAACCAGTACTGTGTTGAACATCTTTGTACATAGATCTTTGTGCAGCTGATCAAACTTCTATAACCAAAATCTAGAAGTGGAATTCCTCGGTCAAAATTTCTGCATATATTTAAGGTTTTTTGTACATATTGCCAAATTCCGTTCCAGAAAAATAGAATGGAATTTTTATTTTTGTGGAACCAAATTTGGCAATATATTCCATTTTCCATCATGAGAATGCCCCTTTCCCCAAGCCCTCACCCATGATATTGTTCTTGGGAGAACTTTATCTTTTCTGTATTTTTCACCCATTGGTTCTTAGCTTGCCCCTGGGACAAGCTTTCAAGTGTCTGAAAAAACTGTCATGTCCCTCCAAAGACTTCTCCCTTTTTAGACTTAACATACCTCCAATATGG
Organism: Homo sapiens; assembly: GCF_000001405.40. Taxonomy (NCBI): domain Eukaryota; kingdom Metazoa; phylum Chordata; class Mammalia; order Primates; family Hominidae; genus Homo; species Homo sapiens. The sequence continues at coordinate 62,497,243 of NC_000018.10, forward strand.
ATTAATAAATTATTGTCAGCCTGGCACCTGGAGGATCAATAGTTCCGTCCTTGATGTTTTATTGCTCAACACTCTAACAGATGACTTGGAGGAAGCTATAAAAAGCGTGCTTGTAAATTCTGCTCAACGTTTATTCAGCACCTACCAGATGTGGGGCATGATGCGTTGGTCTAAGGACATAAATACAAATGGGCTGTCTGCCCTGCCCTCAAGGAGCTCATGGGAAGGTCCAGAGTGAGAAGTGGAGATGGGGCTGGAGATGGACGTGGTGATTTCCAACACAGCTTGCACAGCAAATGATAATATTTGTCTCAGAAGGCAGCACCCTGCCAGAGGACAGCAGCCACTCCTAACCTGTCACAGGCGTGAGGCACACTGGTCAGGAGATCGGCTCTGCTTCTCAAGCAACTCTGTGTGCCAGGCCCTGTTCTCCAAAACAATCCCTTAGAAATGACTTTTTAGGCTGGGCGCGGTGGCTCACGCCTATAATCCCAGCACTTCGGGAGGCTGAGGCGGGCAAATCACGAGGTCAGGAGATGGAGACCATCCTGGCTAACACGGTGAAACCCGGTCTCTACTAAAAATACAAAAAATTAGCTGGACATGGTGGCGGGCGCCTGTAGTCTCAGCTACTCGGGAAGCTGAGGCAGGAGAATGGCATGAACCCAGAAGGCGGAGGTTGCAGTCAGCTGAGATCGTGTCACTGTTCTCCAGCCTGGGAGACTGACTGAGACTCTGTCTCAAAAAAAAAAAAAAAAAAAAAAAGGACTTTTTAAATATTTTGAAAATTAGCCAGTGTGGTGGTGCACACCTCTTGTAGACCCAGCTACTCAGCTACTTGGGAGGTTGAGGTAGGATTGCTTGAGCCTGGGAGGTCAAGGCTGAAGTGAGCTGAGATCACACCACTGTACTCCAGCCTGGGTGACAGAGACCCTGTCTCGAATTTAAAAATATATATAGTGTACATATATATATATATAAAAGTGTTTGCCCTTTCCTCCAGCACAGCCACCAGCAGAAATATGTTTTCAGGGCACACAAACACAAGATCCCTAGTGTGGCTATGTCTCTCTCTCCTCAGTTATTTATTTCTCTGACAATTTCCCAAGAGAAATTTTGGCTAATATAAAACCAAATGCATTTTGAAGAGTTTTAGGGACCAAAGACATTAACCTTAGAGAGAGATAAGCTGCTTCAAATCCTTCTGGGAGCGGAACTAGGCAGCACCTAAGGAAATACCTAAGATGGTAATTCCAAAAGTTTGCTGTGAAATACAAATTAGACTGGAATAGAAAAAGAAATGTTCAGAACTTGAAAATATTCAACACTTGGTTATTGATAAGTGATTCCATTACGAATATTAAACATCCAGAAATGTCTTCTAAACGGCACCCTAAGACCAGCTACCTGCTATGTCCTATTTCCTCCTGTCCCATAACAGCTCAGGTCTTGATTCACTTTATCCTCAGAGAATGAGGTTGTTGCTCACACCAGGACACCCTCATATCTGACAGCACTTGAAACAAGGAACAGCTTCTCTCCACTGTGGCCTCCTGGTCAGATGTCCTATACTTTGAACTGTTGGGTGGTGGCTGCCAAAATCAATGGCCCTTCTTTGCAAAGAGGGACAAATAGCTCATGGTTTAAAGAGTGAAATAATGAAGCATATCTTGCTTTATTTCAGATTTATACAATTTAATCTTTGGAATGGCGTCTGACGTTTTTGTTTGATGTCACAATTGCATGTGGTTAATTGAAGCAGAGTGGTTGATCTTTGCCTCTAATGTATTTCATGAACCATGCCCCATTCACTAGAGTTCAGGGACTGTACCAGGGGGTGGCTCTGCCTTCCTCTGGTTCTCCTTTCCAGAATCTTATGGCTAAAAGAAGGAAGAAAAGCAGTGTTCCTCTCCTCCTTCCCCAACGGGATCACTGCCACGCAGGGTTACCGACATTCCAGGTCTTCATTTCCCAGATCAAGATCTGTTCATGATTCCGACAAACAGCTACCTGCTGGCCTTCTTGGGCCCAGAGGTGCACACACCGGCAGTGCAGCAAGACCCACTCGGGAGTCGGACACAAGGAGAAGGCCCTCGCAGGCCCTAGAAGCGTGCTGGAGGCCATTTCGGCAAGACTGTGGACTAAGCGAGTGCTTGGCAAAAGCCACTGGCCTGTGGGCTCCTTGCTCTGTGAGGAGGGGGCGGGCTGAGGGGGACCAGGCCAGGCTCTCAAACAAAGAGCCTATCAGGCACAGTGACTTTGGGTCTATAGGTCACACTGCACAGCTCGCTCGCTCTCTCTGTCTCTCTCTCTCTCTCTCTCCACCCCTCCTCCTCCTTCCCCCTTCTTCCTTCCTCTTTATCTAAACTTTCACTGGGATAATTGTAGATTCACATGCAGTTGCAAGAAATAATACAAAACCTGGCCCTGGTGGCTGGAGGTCTGCACACAATGGCCCCTCGTGGAGTAAGGCAAGAAAGGTGGGAGTCGGGGGGCAGGCTGCAGATGGGACAGGGAATTCTCAGTTGGAACCTGCTCTCTGTGTCAGGATGAAGTTGTATTTAGCAAGGACATGCTATTTAATGGTTTGTTAGCTTGAGGAATAACTTTTAAATATTTATACAGATGGTATGTGGGCATCCCTTTGTACTTCTGCCCCACGTCCCTGCAAAGGTTAGGGTAAGCTTGGGGCTGGCAGTGCTTGTTTTCATCAGTGAATTATCCCTAGAGAAAGTCTGAAGGTTCTGGAACCTAACCACAATAGCCCATTAGGTCCCTGCAAAGGTGTTATCCCTCCCTTGCAGAGCTTCTTAAGAGTCGGCAGCCAAAGAAAGAAGTGCTCCAGGAGTGTTGACGGCAGTGTGTGGAAGACTGAGGCTTAGGGAAAGGTTTTCGTGGTAGTACTGAAATGAGGAACTCTTGTTCCCTTGGGATAAATCATCTGTACTCAGTAAACTGATCTATTTCTCTGCTCTGGTGTTTTCTTCTTTTGTGATTTCCCTTAGCATCCTAGTAAAATTTCATACAAAAAGCTCCTGTATGTCTTGGCTGACCTGGGAGGCTAAGGGGAATGTAGGTTTGTGGGCTTGGCCAGCTGGGGAGTCCAGAGCCCAGGGACTCAGGACAGAGCCAAAAGAACCATGGCAGGTGGAGCCACAGGGATATTTTGTAACCTCTGCTACCTAGCCCTTATACAAGGTCGATGAAGGACCCAGCAGCTTCAGGAAGGCAGAAACTGTATCTGTCACCACTCTAGTGCCCAGGACATGTGTGTGACAGAGGGCATGTGTTATAATTACCTAAATAATATATGCATACATAAAAATATGGATAATTAATAATTAATGGTTAATTTAAAATATTACATTATTAAACAATTTTATTGAATTTACGTGCACTAAATTTACTCCAAGAAAGTTTGGCCACATTGTCTAAAGAGAGATCAAAGCAAATTGTTGGCTGGGTGCAGTGGCTCATACCTGTAATTTCAGCACTTTGGGAAGCTGAGGTGGGTGGATCACTTGAGCTTAGGAGTTTGAGACCAGCCTGGCCAACATGATGAAACCACATCTCTACTAAAAATACAAAAATTAGCCAGGTGTGGTGGCGCGCATCTGTAATCCCAGCTACTTGGGAAACTGAGGCGGGAGACTCACTTAAACCTGGGAGGTGGAGGTTGCAGTGAGCTGAGATCATGCCACCACACTTCAGCCTAGGTGACAGAGCAAGACTCCATCTTAAAAAAAAAAAAAAAGCAAATTGTTATATTGCAAAAACTGAAAACAGAAAGATGATTTGAAATGGCTTCAAGCAAGTGCATTCAAATTTCTTCCTGGTTTTAGCATGTGGAGCACCATGTTCTCAGTTGTTTACAATGGACTTGATGGATCTGCCCATCCTCAAAATGTTTGACTTGTATTTGTAGAAGGAGTTCATCCACCAAGATAATACAAACCATTGCTTCTAGGACAGGTCTGGCAAGTAAGGTTGCATAGGCTGTCTCTCTTTATGGATTTATTTTGAGTTCTTAAAAAATTTTCTGGGCTGTTGTCTCAGTATATATTATATGTTTGCAGTTTTTGTGCTTAATGTTCATAGCTCCACTCTTCTTATCAAATTTACCAAACCCTATGTATCTGACCTTTGGCCAGGATGTATTGACATGTCACTTACCATGCCTCTGTGCAAGGTAGACTACAGCCCATTGTGACACATTCCTATCCATACTGATTCAAAATGACAAGATATATAGATTAATGGAATAGAATTTGGAGCCCAGAAATAAACCCATATACCTATAGCTAGTTGACAAGGGTGCCAAGACAATAAAATGGGGAAAAATAGTCATTCAACAAATTATGCTGGGATAACTGGATATTCACATGCAAAAGAATGAAGGTGGACCCCTATTTTACAGCTTACACAAGAATTAACTCAGAATGGATCAAAGACCTATATTTAGAAGCTACAACTATACAACTCTTGTAAGAAAACATAGGGGTAAATCTTCATGACCTTGGATTTGGCAATGAATTATTAGAAATAACACAAAGGTACAAGTGACAAAAGAAAAAATAAATGGGACTCATAAAAATTTAAAACTGTGCATCAAAGGACACTGTCAACAAAAGATGACCTAAAACAATGGGAGAAAATATTTGCAAATCATATATCATATAAAGGGACTTGTAACCAGAATATATAAAGAACTCTTAGAACTCAATGATAAAGGCTGGGTGCGATGGCTCATGCCTGTAATCCCAGCACTCTGGGAGGTCGAGGCAGGCGGATCACCTGGGGTCAGGAGTTTGAGACCAGCCTGACCAACATGGAGAAACCCCGTCTCTACTAAAAATACAAAATTAGCGGGGCGTGGTGGTGCATGCCTGTAATCTCAGCTACTCAGGAGGCTGAGGCCGGACAATCACTTGAACCTGGGAGGAGGAGGTTGCAGCGAGCTGAGATCGCGCCATTGCACTACTCCAGCCTGGACAACAAGAGTGAAACTCCATCTAAGGAAAAAAAAAAAAAAACTCAATGATAAAAAACACAATCAAATTCAAAAATAAGCAAAGGACTTGAATGGACATTTCTCCAAAGGAGATATATAAATGACCAACAAGCACATGAAAAGATACAACACCATTAGTCATTAGGGAAATGCAAATCAAAACCACAATAAAATACACTTCATACACATGAGGAGGATGGCTACAGTTGGGTGGGGGGAGGGAAACAGAAAATAGGGGCTGGGCGCGGTGGTTCACGCCTGTAATCCCAGCACTTTGGGAGGCCGAGGCCAGTGGATCACGAGGTCAGGAAATCAAGACCATCCTGGCTAACAAGGTGAAACCCTGTCTCTCCTAAAAATACAAAAAATTAGCCAGGCGTGGTGGCAGGTGCCTGTAGTCCCAGGTACTCGGGAGGCTGAGGCAGGAGAATGGCGTGAACCCAGGAGGCGGAGCTTGCAATGAGCTGAGATCGCGCCACTGCACTCCAGCCTGGGCGACAGAGCGAGACTCCGTCCAAAAAATAAAAATGAAAATAACAGAAAGTAACAAGTATTGGCGAGGATATTGAGAAGTTAGAACCATTGTGAAGTGATGTAGCCCTTGTGGAAAACAGTTTGGTAGTTCCTCAAAAAGGTATACAGAATTATCATACGATTTAACATCCTGGGTATATACCTCAAAAAACCGGAAAACAGGTACTCAAATAATTGTACAGTAATATGCATAGCACCACCATTCACAATAGCCAAAAGGCAAAGCAACCCACATGCCCGTCAACAGATAAATAAAACGTGGTAGGCACCTACCATGGGATATAATTCAGCCATAATACCGCAATGCTACATGCTTCATTCTACCATGGGGATGAACTCAAAAACAGTATGAGAAGTGAGACGACAGACACCAAATGTCATTGATTGTAGGATTGCATTTGTATGGCATATTGGGAAGAGGTAAATCCCACAGAGACAAAAATACTTTAGCTGTTGGCAGGGATTGAAGAGAGGAGGGGAGTGGGGAGTGAGTGCTTCATGGGTACAGGATTTCCTTTCAGGTCACACAAATGCTTTGGAGCAAGCTACAGCGGATTGTTGCGCAGTACAGTGAACGCACCAAATACAACTGAATTCTACACAGTTGAACATCCCTAATCCGAAAATCTAAAATCTGAAATGCTCCAAACTCTGAAACTTTTTTGGGGGGTGGGGGGGATGGAGTTTCGCTTTTTCGCCCAGGTTGGAGTGCAGTGGTGCGATCTCGACTCACCGCAACCTCTGCCTTCCAGTTTCAAGGGATTTTCCTGCCTCAGCCTCCAGAGTAGCTGGGACTAGAGGCGCCCGCCACCACGCCCAGCTAATTTTTGTATTTTTAGTAGAGACGGGGTTTTACCATGTTGGCCAGTCTGGTCTGAAACTCCTGACCTCGTGATCCGCCTGCCTCGGCCTCTCAAAGTGCTGGGATTACAGGCGTGAGCCACCACATCCGGCCTTTAAAAAAAAATTATAAAGAAAAGAGATTTATTTGGCTCACAATTCTGCAGGGTACACAAGAAGCCCGCTGCCAACATCTGCTTCTGATGAGGACCTCAGGAAACTTGTGATCATAGCGGAAGGGGAAGGAGATAAAGCATCGCTTGGCTAGAGTGGGAGGAGGAGGGAGGGAAGGAGGTGTCAGGCTCTTTTTAACAGTCAAATGTTGCAAGAGGCCGGGCGCAGTGGCTCACGCCTGTAATCCCAGCACTTTGGGAGGCCGAGGCGGGCGGATCACGAGGTCAGCAGTTTGAGACCAGCTTGGTGAACATGGTGAAACCCTGTTTCTACTAAAAATACAAAAATTAGCGGGGCATGGTGGTGGGCGCCTGTAATCCCAGCTACTCGGGAGGCTGAGGCAGGAGAATCGCCTGAAACCGGAAATCGGAGATTGCAGTGAGCCGAGATTGCCCACCGCACTCCAGCCTGGGCGCCAAAAGCGAAACTCCGTCTGGTTGCAGGAACCGGTAGAAAAGGAACTCAGTCATTACTGTGAGGACAAGGACAGGACCCAAGCCATTCATGAGGGACCCACCTCCCTGACCCAAACACCTCTCACCAGGCCCCACCTCCACCCAAACGCCTCTCACCAGGCCCCGCCTCCAACACAGGGTCAAATTTCTCCCTCTTTTTTTTTTTTTTTTTTTTAATAATTATTTTTTTGAGACGGAGTCTCACTCTGTTCCCAGGCTGGAGTGCTGCAACCTCCGCCTCCCGGGTTCAAGCGATTCTCCTGCCTCAGCCTCCTGAGTAGCTGGGATTCCAGGCGCGTGCCACCATGCCCAGCTAATTTTTGTATTTTTAGCAGAGACGAGGTTTCCCCATGTTGGTCAGGCTGGTCTCGAACTCCTGACCTCGTGATCCGCCCGCCTCGGCCTCCCAAAGTGGTGGGATTACAGGCATGAACGACTGTGCCTGGCCAATTTCAACATGAGGTTTGGAGAGGACAAATATCCAAACTACATCAACTGTGTTACAGAAGATTCTGCCCGTCTGTAGACTAATGTAAATGTTCTTAGCATGGTTTAAGGCAGGCTAGGCTAAGCTCTGATGCTTGGTAGGTTAGGTGTATTAAATGCATTTTCGACTCATCATCAAAATCTGAAACTTTTTGAATGCTGATATGATGCCACAAGTGGTAAATTCCACACAAAAATACTTATCACAAACTTTGTTTCGTGCACAAAACTATTTAAAATATTGTAAAAAGCTACCTTCAGGTTTTAGTTAATTTTATGTTGAGTGAACTTTACATCAATAAAATAGAATAAATTTTAAAATGACAACAACCACCAGACTCTTGACCCTCTCTCAGGTACCACACTTGAGCCCAGGACCTCTGTGGAGCTGCCTCCATGGGAATCAACCACAGTCCCCAAGAACATCCAGGTTAGTCCTTCATGGCTAAGCCAGTCCTGAGGGGCCAGGAAGCAGTCTATTCCCATTCTACCGTTTATTGAGGCTTGGGAAGTGTCACACATCCCAGAGCAGTTTCTGATCACCCTGTGTCACAACCCCTCCCCTCCAGCCCTCTGTTCAGCAGATCTTGGATGTTGTACCCTGCACTGGCTACATAATTTGCAGAGCCTGTATGAAATGAAATTGTGGGGATGTCTCTTAACAAAATTAAGAATTTCACCATGACGCCAGGACAGTGGCTCACATCTGTAATCCCAGCATACTGGGAGGCCAGGGTGGGAGGTTCGCTTGAGCTCAGGAGTTTGAGACCAGGCCGGGCAACACAGTGAGGCCCTATCTCTACAAAGAAGAGAAGAAACAACTTAGCCAAGCGTGGTGGGGCACGCCTGTGGTCCCAGCTACTAAAGAAGTTGAGGTGGGAGGACTACTGGAGGTTGAGGTGGCAGTGAGCTGTATTTGCACCATTGTACTCCAGCCTGGGCATCAGAGTGAAACCTTTTCTCAAAAAAAAAAAAAAGAAAAGAAAAAATATCAAGAAGGTGTTGGCAGAACATTTAGGGCCCTTCTGAGCTCAGGGTCCTGTCTGCATGGGTCCCCTGCCCTGGTGGTGTCCCGTCCCTGTCTCCTGTCCCCGCTCCATGGCTGCTTTATCACACTATGGAGTCCCACTCTGAGGATGACGATTGCTTGTACCCTGTCTGAGCCACCTTGGGCCACTCAGCTGTCCTCACAGAGCCTCCTTCTGAAGCCAGATTGGTTGAATATCCTCCTGTCTTCTCTCATGGCCTCTTGCACATGACCTGGGAGTCAGTTTGCCTGCACCCACAATGGGCTCTGCAGTATGTCTGGCTGCTGCGAGAGCTCACTTACACCAACAAGGTAAGCATGGTAGCCCCAAGGCCCTGGTCCAGTGGAGGAGCCAAGATCTGATGACCTCCAAGACCCCCTCAAGCCCTGAAGTTCTGTATTTAATTGAGGCTGGCATGTACTGTTACACCTATTTTCACAGATGAGTAAACTGAGACTCAGAGAACGTCAGTGGCTGCAGCAAGGTCATGCAGCTCACACTGCTGGTTAAGAGTTTCTTTCAAGTGTAACGTAGGAAAATGTACAACATTTATTGGTTTTACTTTTGATAATACTGGCTCATATATAGTTACCTGCTAGGTCTCTGTTAAGATCGAGACTTTTTTTTTTTTTAAATAGCTTTGCTGGCTAAGTTTCAGTTTCGTTTCATTTTCCTCCTATCACTTAAGTTTCAGTTCTGTTTCTCAGGATATTCTCTTTCCCTTTTTACTAGTATTATCTGATTCTGTTTGTTAGAATTGTTCCTTGGTGCCCTTTAACCTGATTAAAATGAACAGTTATTCTAAGGTAGATATTCCCAAGCAGGAATTTTAAACAGAGGTAAACCTTAGTACCTTGCCAATTTATTCCAGCATTGGCAAAATGTATCTGCTGTAGTAGAGCATAAATTTGTCCAATCGCTGCCTGAGTACCTATGTGTTCGTGGCTTGATTTACCTTATCTGTAATTCCTGGATGTTAAAAGGACACCAAAAATCTCTGACACCCTGATTAGCCTACCTTGAAGAACCCAAGCCCAGGATTTCTGCCTTTGCCTAGAAAAAGGACTGATTCAGAACTTCCTGAGCTACCTAGTATTCTGGCCATAAAGTGGAGGAAAGGAATCTATAATCCCATTTTCTTCTTTTCATTCATAGCTTATTCTCAGTTCTGCAAAAATCCAAACTGCCCCAGGGCTCATGGGACAACATAAACTAGAAAGTTTGTGGGAAAGATTTAAACTGGCCACCAAGTGGTTAGACACTCGCCAGACCTGACGGCACTTGGCGGGGTTGGGGGCAGGGGCGGGGGTGGGGAAGATCCAACAATTTGGACAATCACATACTTCAGACACGAAATCACTAAAATGTTTAAACTCTAAAAACTGTCTACTTGAAATTTAAATCCTTGATGCCTCCTCCATATTTGAAATTATATTCTTTTTTATTCAGAAATTATGCCCAATTTTGATGATTTGGAAAACAGAAAAAAAGTAGAAAGAAAAAGACAAAAATCTAAATGGCAATCCAGGCACTAAAACTCATCTTAGCATTTTGGTATATTCCCTCTCATTTCTTCTTTCTACTCATATTTTTGTGTATCATTTTGACTATGTCATATATACAATTTTATATGCTGATTGTTTCCACTTATTGTATTTCCCTGTGTTGATACAAATTTTACCAACTATATTTTTACTAGATACATATTCTCTCATACATATATAAAAATATATATTATATAACTATATATAAATTATAAATTTATATTATATATTTAAATTTAAATTATACATGTTATATAAAACATATAATTTTATATATACATGAGAGAATATTACATATCTAGTAAAAATGTAGTTAGTAAAATTTGTATCAACACAGGGAAATACAAGTGGAAACAATCAGCATATAAAATATTGTGTGTGTATGTATACGTATATATAATGTATTTGCTCATTCACTTTTTTGGGAACAACAATATTACTGATATCCTATTATAAACATGTTTACATACAAAGCTTTTTATTTTTCTGCTTTAGGATTGTTTCCTTAAGTTAAACTCCCCAAAATAGGTGCACTAAAAGGTATGAAAAGTTTTAAGATTCTTGATACATATTGTTAGGTTACTTTACAAGATAGTTGTAACAGTTTACTTTCTAAAAAGGCTGTTTAATGTAAACATTTCTGGTAAAATCACTACTTAAAGTTGTGTGAAGCCAATACTCTGTTAAAAGCAGCCTGTCACACATCTAATTTGTACCAAAAGAAGTCCTTTATTTTACTAATGCCTCTGCAAGGTTTATAGCAGTTCACCAATATGACCACATTTGGACTTTAAAACCAAGCTTTAATCAGTAATGTATTTGACACACAGGCATAAAGAGAAGTATATATATAATGTGGTCCATATCCCGTAGAATAGACAAGAATTCCACATAGAAAGAGTTGCTGGGGAAATCTGGTTGCTGAACTAGGTGGTAAGTGCTACAGTAGTTCAGAGGGAGATGGCACCCGTATGGACTGAAATGGTTGGGGAAGACAGGTTATTGTCTTCTGGAAGTGGTGGAACCTGACAATGAAGAATGGTGGGCCTTAGACACACAGAAGGCTGAGAAGAGCCTTCTAGACCAGGAGAACAGCATTCACAAGGATGTTTATCATAGCGTTGGAAAATGAGGTGACTGGACTAAAATTTCCAATTGTTATGGACTATATTTGTACCCTAAATTCTGATGTGATGAGTATCACTTGAGGCTAGGAGTTGAGGCCAGCCTGGGCAACATAGAGAGACCCCCATCTCTAGAAAATAATAAAATAAAATAAAATAAATAATAAATTCCGATGTGCCATTTCCTGATTTGCATTCAAATAACTCAGTCCTAGGCCAGGAGTGATGGCTCATACCTGTAAGCCCAGCACTTTGGGAGGCCAAGGTGGCCATGAGTTTGAGACCAGCCCGGCCAACATGGTGAAACCCCGTATCTACTAAGAATACAAACATTAGTTGGGCATGGTGGCGCGTGCCTGTAATCCCAGCTACTTGGGAGGCTGAGGCAGGAGAATTGCTTTAACCAGTGAGCCAAGATCGCACCACTGCACTCCAGCCTGGGCAACAGAGCAAGACTCTGTCTCAAAAGAAAAAAAGAAAAGAACTATTTGTGTCTTGCATACCTAAGTATATTTAAAGAAAATTTACAAATATAATCATATAAATTCAGCTTTTTCTTGAACCCTTACTATGTAGAAGTCACCCTGCTAAATTTTATAAGGAATACAAGAAACAATAAGGAGAAGGATGTACCCCCAAGTAAATCACAATTTAACCGAGAAAATATGATATACTTGTGCATCTCTGCACGATGGGAATATGTTCTGAGAAGTGCATCATTACGTGACTTCACTGTTGTGCAAACATCATAGAGTATACTTATACAAACCTAGGTTAACTGAAACATTGTTATACAGTGCATGACTGCATAGAAACACATATCTACCAGTGCAAAATTATTTGTCACAACTTTTACATAGCTTCTATTACCTAATCAGTGTCTTACAAAGAGTGGGCACTCAATATTTATTTGCGAAATAAATGAAGGAAGGAGGAAAAGACCATTTCCAGGTGGAAGAGCCGGGGAAGAGTCCTGGAACCAGCCGTGATTCAAGCTGGGTTCTCAAGCGTGGTTAAGATTTAAAAGAATTGGGAAGAGATGAGAAACACTGCAGACAAGAAATGCAACAGAAACGTAAAGTATCTATTCTTGGCAAGTGAGATAAACATGTTCTCTGATTGCTAAAAATTAACTTTCCAAAATAGATAAATGTGTTATAACCAGGCACATAGCATAAAATAGCATACACATAGCATAACATGAGCCTACACACACACAAAGCAAAAAGTTAACAGTGCCCTCCACCAAGAGATAATTTTAGGACAAGAGAAAAAATATATCCTAAAAGATAGCATTGAAAAGTAAATAAATTATATTCCAAAGGAAAAAAAAACCAGAAACAAAGGTGTAAAAGATTTTCCCCAATCTTAATGCTTTAAACTAGAATAGTAAGGGATGGAAAATATACCATTTCCTGAAATTTCTAAGAGATTTTAGTGATTGGGATCAATAGTAGCAAAACATTGGTGGATGCCAATTCTCTCCTGTGTAAAAGATATGTAAGTTCAGTTCTGAGTGATTGCACAAGGGTAAAGGTATTGCAAGCGTTCACAGATCACTCACTCTGCACATAATACCTTTGCCCCAAATAACCATTTGCACCTTTTATACAGTAAAAGAATTACAGCCATTCTTTTAGTAACTAGTCCCTAAAACATAAAGGCTTTCTTTCCTCTTTCAAGAATTCTAAACCATGAGACATGTACTATACATATTGAACACATAAAGAGATGAGAACACATGTAAAGATGCAGAACACATGTAGAGTTTTTGTTATAGTTTTTTCTCTCTTCAAAGCATTTGTATTTTTTGAATGAAAGAGGGCCCAATCATTACTTAATCCAAATCCTGAAACCTGTAGGTAGATATACAGTAACTAAGGCATAAAGAAGAGCAGATCTATTCACTGACTGGGAGTTGAAAAAAAAAAGAACAGGAGACAGGGGAAGTGTTTACCATGAGTTGTGGTAAATGAATCTATATATTCTATTACAAGGTTTCTACATTTTGCATAAAGTGGAAACAACATTAAAGTTACTGTGAAAAGTTAAGAATGTCTATTGCACCCCTATAGAAACCACTTACAAAAAATACGGAAGGATTGCCAGAATGCCTGAGGAAGAAGCATGGCAAATCCTTTCCCCAAAAAGCAATGATAAAATTTGACAAAATTATCAAAAACAACCATGTCAGTACACTGTAAATTGACCAAAGTCATACAACAACTTGAAAGGAAATTATTTTGAAAAAAAATCACTAAACTTTAGTAAGCTCAGTGGAGGTCTGTGGTGTTTTACCCCGGGGCTGTTCCTATCTACCCTTTTCCCATAGCTTCATCGTGTGGTAGTTCTACCAGGACAGAGCAGGTCATGGGAGGTAGCTGGCAGAAGGGGCTGCGTTCATTTGTACCAGAGCTTGAAAAAAACCTATGCCCAGGAGCACTGTCAAAAACAATAGGGATCTCAGTGGTAAACAATCAGGGAAGTCCAGTATTGCAGCTAGCCTGAGGTTGCAACACTGTTTAGGGTAAACAACATACCAGCAGACCAACCAGAAATTTAACAGTGTGATCTGGGGACTGAGACAGCCACAGTAGGCACTGATAAGCTCTCACATATCCCTGGGGGTCTGGAAGACTGCCTGCATATGCATAATTGTGCATATGCTCAGGAGAGGCCAGAGATGGCTTTAGCTAGCTATGTAGCTGACTGAATATGAGGCTTTATGATACAGATACTAAAATCAGCGTAGACTTGGCCCGGGATGGTGGCTCATGCCTGTAATTCTAGCATTTTGGGAGGCCAAGGCAGGAGGATCATTTGAGGTCAGGAGCTTGAGACCAGCCTGGCCAACATGGTGACACCCCGTTTCTACTAAAAATACAAAAAAAATAGCTCAGTCGTGGTGGCATGCACCGGTAATCCCAGCTACTCAGGAGGCTGAGGCAGGAGGATCACTTGAATCTGGGAAGTGAAGGTTGCAGTGAGCCGAGACCATGCCACTGCACTTCAGCCTGGGCGACAGAGTGAGACTCCGTCTCAAAAAAATAATAAAATAAAAAAAATAAAAGCAGGGTAGACTTGTAAACTGCCTGTACACTGCATGTGATCTTCACCTAAACACAAATCTGTCAGTTAAAAAGTAGAAGCTTTATTAGATCAAGATGTTTTAAGCACAACTTCTGACCACTCACTGGCTGACCAGTAAGCTATGATGGCCCAGGGTAACCCTTAGGAAATTAGGCATGAAGTGAAAACAATGATAACGACAATAATAATATTAACTGAGCAGAAACATTAGCTGCTGCATGTTGTGAGGGAGCCAGATTCCACAGAATTAGTTCATGCAAATCGCTAAACAAACAAGCAAAACAGAAATCAGAACAACCTGCAGTTGAGGGGGACCAGAATTCAAACTTGGTATAGCACATTATCTAAAATGTTCAGTTTTCAACAATTATGATATGCTACGAAACAGTAAGTATAACTCATACACAGTGGAAGGGGAGGATGGAAGCACTCAATAGAGACCACCTCTGAGGGGGGCCAGATGTTTGATTTACTAGACAAAGACTAAATACATTCAAATAACTAAAGAAAATAATGTTTAAATAATTAAATGAAAGGATGACAACAATATTTCATCAAATAGAGAATACTGATGAAAAGAGAGAAATTATTAAAAAGAACCAAATGGAAATTCTGAAGTTGAAAAGTACAGTAATTGGAATGAAAAATTTATTAGAGGGGTTCAATAGGTTTGAGATAGCAGAAGAAGAATCTATGAACTTGGAAGTAGATTCAATCTAAAGAACAGAAGAAAAAGAATAACAAAATGAACAGAGCTTCACAGACCTGAAGGATACCATGTGTATAATGAGAGTACCAGAATGAGAAGAAAGGTGCAGAGAAAATATTTGAAGAAATAATGCCCCAAACTTCTCAATTTGATGAAAAACCTAATCTACACATTCAAGCAGCTCAACTAATTCCAAACAGAATAACCACTGACATATCATGGATAAGTCATAGTAAAATTGTTGAAAGCCAAAGATCAGGGCTGCCTTTCCCATCACTACTTTGAAACTCTTAATTTCTGAACAAAGGGACTTCACATTTTCATCTTCACTGGGTTCTGCCAAAGACAAAGAGAAAATCATGGAAGTATCAAGACAAAAATAACTCATTATATACAAGGGAACCCACAATTATGTTAACAACTGAATTTTCATCAGAGTGAAGGCCAGAAGACAATAGGATGACATATTGTAAGAACTAAAGGAAAAAAGAAGAACCTGTCAACCTAGAATTCTATATTCAGCAAAGCTCTTCTTTGGAAATAAAGGCCAAATAAAGATATTCCAAAAAACTAAACAAACAAAAAAAACCGAGATAATGTGTTCCTAGCTGACTTGCCTTACAAGAAATACTAAAGGAATCCTTGAGGATGAAGGAAAATGACAGCAGATGATAACTCAAGTTCACATAAAGAAACAGAGCAGTCTCAAAGGTAGTTTTTGTAAGTATTAAATATATGTAACAATAAAAGACAGTATAAATATCTTTCTTTTTTCTTTTTTTCTTTTTTTTTTGTTTTAGATATAGATCTTATTATGTCACCCAGGCTGCAGTACAGTGGTGTGATCATAGCTCACTTGCAACCTCAAACTCCTGGGCTCAAGCCATCCTCCCACTTCAATCTCCCGAGTAGCTAGGCATGCACCACCCCACCTAGCTAACTTTTAAAAAAATGTCTGTAGAGACAGTGTCTCATCATGTCTCAAATTCCTGGCCTCAAGTGATCCTCCTCCTTTGGCTTCCCAAAGTGCTAGGATTAAGGGTGTGAATCATTGGACCCAGACTGGTTTTTTTCTTAATTGAAAATGCAACTATATGAAATAATTATAAAACTATTGTTGAGCTTATAAAATATAAAGATGTGACGTAGATAACTATAATAACACAAAAAAGGAAGGAGAGAATGAAGCTCTAGAACAAGGAAATGTTCCAAAGAGTAACTCCAATCTATGAGAAGAAATGAAGAGCAACAAAAATGGTAAATAGTTACAGATTTCAATATTTCACTCTCAATATTTGATAAAAACAACTAGACAGAAAAACAGCAGGGATATAGAAGACTAGAGCAACACTAGCAACCAACTTGATCTAACTGATACCTATAGAACACTCCACCCAACAACAGCAGAATTCTTTTTAAGCACATATGAAACATTCTACAGGACACGCCATAAGCTAGGCCATCAAGCAAGCCCAAATGAATTTTTAAAAACAGAGGACTGAAATATTACAAAGTTTATTTTCTGGCCACAATGGAATTAAATGAGAAATCAACAACATGAGAAAATTTAGGGAATTTAAAAATATTTAGAGATTAAACAACACAGTTCTAAATAAGCCAAGGAAAAAAGCACAAGCAAAATTGGAAAATATTTTTAATGGAACAGAGAAAAAAACTATCAAAATATATGGGATGCAGCTAAAGCAGGATATATAGGAAAAATGTGTACCTTTAATCACACCTTCAATAGAAAAGAATAATCTCAAATTGATAATGTAAACTTCCACCTTAATAAGCTAGAAAAAAGTAACCAAACTCAAAGAAATCAGAAAGAAGGAAATCATAAAGATCAGAGAGGAAATCAATGAAATAGGAAACAGAAAAGCAATAAGAAAAATCAATTAATTAAAAGTTGATTCTTTGAAAAGATCAAAATATTGGCAAAACTTTATCTAGGCTGATGAAGAAAAAACTGAGAAGACACAAATTACCAAAAATAATGAAAGAGGAGACATCACCATTGACCTTATAGAAACAAAAAGAGTTGTAAGAGAACACTAGGAAGAACTTTATGCTAACCAACTAGACAACTTAGATGAAATGGACAAATTCCTAGAAATATAAAAGTTGCCAATACTGATTCAACAAGAATATAAATTCTGAATAGACCTATACCAAGTAAAGAAGTTGAATTTGTAATTTTAAGTCTTCCCACATGAAAAGAATCCCAGGTCCAGTTGTTTTCACTGGAGGATTCTATAAATCATTTAAATAATACTTAATACCATCCTTAATGAACTCATAAAACAGAGATGGAAGGAATATTTCCCAACTCATACTATGAGACCAGTAATAACCTGATACTAAAACCAAAGACATCAAAAGAAAATTGCAGACCAATGTTCCTCATGAGGTTAGATGCAAAAATTCTCAGCAAAATATTAGCAAACTGAATCTAGCAATATACAAAAAAAAAATGCTATATTATTACCATGTGGAACTTATCCCAGGAATGCAAGGTTGGTTTAACATCTGAATTATCAGTTAACATAATACACCATATAATAAAGCACAGAGCCAGAAAAAGCATCATCTCAACATCTCAAAAGACCAGAAAAAGCATTGCACAAAATCCAATACCCATTCATGATTTAAAAAAAAACAGCAAGATGTTTGAGACTTATGATGAAAACTTTAAAAGTTGTAAATGTTGATGGAACATTTGAAATACAAATATTGCATTCAAGAAAAATAAACTTTGACCCAAGGATTAATAGCAAAATAAATATTTGTGAATATTTCAAGTATAGTCAGACTATAAAACTAGTGTTCTGATATGTGGATAAGCTCTGAGATTAATGTGGTAAGAGTGTGGTTTAATTTGCTTAGAATGTATCCACATAACTCCATTATAACCAGTTGAAAAAATGAAAACGAATACACATATATTTCTACATTATAAACAAATTTGTTTTTAGTTGAATAGTTTTAAATGAACTAAAGAAATTCACCATTTATTTGATCATAATTTAAACATCATTTTTGTTTTAAAAGTACATTTTTTAAAAAGCAATCAGCTGTTCATGGGATTTAAGAGTCTCTAACATGTATTTACTTCTTTACATAAGGTTTGTAGCCAGCCCTCTAAGGTTGATAAGTAATATTTAAAATTGTAGAGTCTTGCTTTGTCGCCCAGGCTGGAGTGCAGTGGCGTGATCTCAGCTCACTGCAACCTCCGCCTCCCTGGGTTAAAGTGATTCTCATGCCTTAGCCTCCCAAGTGGCTGGGACTACAGGCATGTGCCACCATGCCCGGCTAATTTTTGTATTTTTAGTAGAGACAGGGTTTCGCTATGTTGGCCAGGCTGGTCATGGACTTCTGGCCTCAAGTGATCCACCTGCCTCGGCCTCCCAAACTGCTGGGATTATAGGTGTGAGTCATCGCACCCGGACTAGAATTTTTTTTCTATAATTCCTCCGAGCTTTTTTTTTTTTTTTAATAAGGAAGAAACAGTATCCTTGAAATGGTATTGTTTGGGATCTAAGTAGTTATTTAAGTTTAAACAATGTACAAATTAAAATGATGTCAAAATACAAGAACAAGGGGCTGTTTAAGTCATCATACATAGGCAATCTTGTTTATTCCAAATTGATAAAATTCAGGTGGGGGGTGACCCCTCTGACTAAATTTGCAAGGGACTGATACATCAGAATGTCAATGGTTTCATTTACCAAGCAGAACATCTTCCTGCAAGTGGGTTATATATCTCTATTCCCCTAGAATATTCTGTTTCCCAGCATTAAGACACTGGGAAAGTGAGTTGCTAATCAAAAGGTTATTTGGCTCTGAATCACGATCACAGAAAGAAAGTTTGATGATCTTAGAGATTTTTCCTGAGGGTAAGGGAAAAGCCCAAAGAACTAACTCTTCTCCAGGACAGAGTAGGTCTTTCTGGTGATAAAAGGCCACGTCCACCAGATACAGTAGCTGTTAACATTGAAAAGTGCTGCATCAACCTTAGCAAATGTGTATACTGTCAATTGCCCCTACTTTAGATTCCAAGCATTCATTAAATAAGAGAATTCACTTAGAGGGAACTCCACTGTGATTTCACATCATTCAGTTTCAGTGTGATTGCTTTGCAGCCTTTTTTAGGAGCATTTCTCTCTGAGGATGACCTTGCTTGGACTTGACTGTCTCAGGTTTCCTTCAGAACATACTGTCGCACTAACTCTTGGGACACTAACTCTGCAAGCCATTACAAGTTGATTGTAACCAGTTTCACTCTCTAATTTTTTGAAATATCAATATATGGAGGTGACACATTCAGAAAACCAGTTCTCCATTAAGCTTTTAAGTTCCCTTCATAAATCTTATTATTCTATTTTAGGAATAGCTCTCAGGGGACTTTGATTAATATTTTATCCCATTTACAAAACCAGTTAAACAACTTTAAATGTTAAACAGTGTTCATATAATATAGTTTTATTTATTTTTTTATTCACGCTGTGGATGTTTTGTGATCATTTCGCTACTTTTACTTTTTCTACTTTTATAAAAATCACAGCTACAGAAATGTAAAATAGTACAATGTTCACACATACACCCTTCACCTAGATTTGCCCATTATCAACATTTTGCCACATTTGCTTTATTTCTCTATAAAATTTTTTTTCTGAGCCATTTGAAAATAAGATGTAGATACCATGACATTTCATCCTTCAGTGTTTCAGCATGTATTTATGGGAAACAAAGACATTTTCCTAGATAACCACAAAGTAATTATCTCATCTAAGAAAGTTAACATTGATACAATAACAGTGTGTAATAAGAAATCCATATTAAATTTTACTTAATTTACCTAATTATTCCCAAAATGTCTTTTAGAGGTTTTTTTTTTAAAATCTGGGATCTAATCACAGATTATGAATTGCATTTGGTAGTCATGTCTCAACAATCAGTCTTCTGCTTGTGCTTGCTTTCATGACTTTTTTTTTTTTTCAAATGAGACAGGGTCTCGCTCAGTTGCCTACACTGAAGTGCAAGTGGCACAACCCCAGGCTCAAGCAATCATCCCAGCTCAGCCTCCTGAGTAGCTGGGACCACGTGCATGTGCCACCCCACCCAGCTAATTATTTTATTTTTTGTAGAGTCAGGGTCTTGCTGCTCAGGCTGGTCTCAAACTCCTGGGATCAAGCCATCCTCCCCGCTTGGCCTCCCAAAGTACTGGGATTACAGGTGTGAGTCATTATGCCTGGCCATGACTTTTTTTTTTCTTTTTTTTTTTTTTTTTGAGACAGTTTCGCTCTTGTTGCCCAGGCTGGAGTACAATGGAGCAATCTTGGCTCACTGCAACCTCCACCTCCCGCGTTCAAGTGATTCCCCTGCTTCGGCCTCCTGAAGCTGGAGATCACAGGCACCCACCATCATGCCTGGCTAATTTTGTGTATTTTTAGTAGAGACAGGGTTTCACCATGTTGGCCAGGCTAGTCTCGAACTCCTGACCTCAGGTGATCCGCCCAACTCGGCCTCCCAAAATGCTGGGATTACAGGTGTGAGCCACCCTGCCTGACCGACATTAATATTTTTGAAGATTCAGACCAGTTGTCTAATAAAATGTTCCACAGTCCAGATTTGTCTTACTTCCCCATGATTAGATTCAGCATAAACATTTTGGCAAGAATATTACATACAAGCAGTGTGCACTTCCAGTGGCATCCAGGACATGGGGAAGAACATATTAAATTGTCCCATTATTGTGACTACATGGTTGGGGTCGTATTCATCAGATTTATCCGTGTAAAAGTACCTCTTCTCCTTTTTAAATGAGGTGGTACTTTGAGAATACATGTTTCATTTCTTAACTTCCCACTCAATGGTGAAAATACCTTAATCAATTATTACATTTGGTGGTAGCAAAGTGGTACTTTTCTCACTCTCTCTTTCTGCATTTTTTTAGGGGCACTCTTCTATAAAGATGCTGTTGTTTTTTTTCTCTGCACCCTCCCCAACCTCTTTTTCTTTGAAATCCCTATGGAGTTCGATTCTCTTTCTATTCAATGGTACCATCTTATCTTTTTGATACTCAAATTTTGCCAGATTTGGCCAATGAGAGCCCCTCCAAATTGCCTCGTGTGTCCTTTGTCATGTACGAATCATTCCGAACCAATTGCAAAAGTACAGGATTTCCTAATTGTTTTACTGATCGAGATTTATCCTATCCATGGCTCCAGCAAAGGTATCCTTCAAGCCACACAGGGTCTTTGGGAGAAGGCTAGATACCTGAACAAAATCAGGCTTCTCTTTTATGAAAGTTAAAGGGTAAGAGCCGGTGGGTTTAGGCTGGGTTGATAGTCAACAGCTCAGCAAATTTGATGTGATCATGCATTTTAAAAAACATGAATCAGCAAATTCCAATCCCAAGAACACTGCTGGAGCATTGGTTATTTTCCTATCTAGCAAGCCAGTCTTCAGAAACTTCCATCTCTCCATGGGTCTCTAGAAGTCAATGTTGTTTTTTGAGGGGGACAGCCCTTGCCTTTTTGAACAGTTAAGCAGAAGATCTATTTGCAGAGGTCTCACAGAACCCCAGGGGCTTAGTTAAGGTCGTCTACCCTGGCAAGTACCTAACATCAGCCAGTTCATTTCTAAGAGATGAGGTTTCATTATGTTGTCCAGACTGAAGTGCGGTGGCGCTCCACAGACGCAATCACAGAACACTGCAGCCTCGAACTCCTGGGCTCAAGCAATCCTCCTGCCGCAGCCTCCTGCGTAGCTGGAACTACAGGTACACACCACCATGCCCAGCTAGTTCTTTAATTTTTAACACAAGTAGCCTAAGGATTTTCCAAACCAAACCAGTTTAGAATCAAGTTTATTTCTGGACAGTCTCCAAAGACTGGTGGGTTTTATGGTTTTTCCAAAAATTACAAATGTATGAGTGTGAGAACATGACAGCCTGGTCAGTCTAAATCCCTAAGAATCTTTCTGACAAATGGAACCACAACTCCAGGGAGACTGTGAATTCAATCCAAGGCTAGTCTTCCAGAAAATACGCCATATACCACAGTGCTGGGCATGGATTCCCAGGTTACCAATGGAAATACTTGTCACAGTAACACCACCAAGAATTTCTATCTCAAGTCTGTCACCGTATTTTTGTAAACCTTAACAAAAACTTGTATTTTTAATTTTAATATGCAATTAATTTTTTCCTTAAGTTGTATATCAGCAGATAACTTACTGGTGTTTTAGATCAGCTTTGTAAGTGTAATCTTTAAAGACAGTTTAATATTTAACACCTGTTTTAAAATACATGCTGTATGTGAACTAACTAAACAAAAATTTATTTTTGAGGTACCTTATACCCACGGCAATTTAAATGATCAAACTACAGATTAAAGTACAATGATATCAGACATATGTTGGTGCCTCCCTGCATTCATATTTTTCTTTCCCCTCTCCAACAGCCCTGGGTCTCCTTGGAAGGGACCCATATGGTTCTGAAGTTGATTCACTGCCTTGGCCCCAGTGACTGATCAAGAATGGCCATAGAACCTCAGCCAATTCAACTGGAGTGAATCTCAGGGCTAGTCTGATAATGCTGAGACATGTTTTCTTTTCCCTGGTAGGTAGGAACAAGGTTCCAGGTGACCCAAGAGTTTCTGGCCTTTACTTTTTGTTACGGGAGCACTGTTCATTCATTCATTCATTCATTTATTCAACAAATATGGATGAACATCTACTGTGTGCCAGATGAGAAAACATAACATTGAATAAAACATGGTCAGTGACTTCAAGATATTTATATTCTAATGGAGGAAACAGGGAGGTGTAGTGGGAGAGGGGTCTCATAGGGAACAAATTCTTGATATGAATCAGACTGCCTGTTTCAGGATATCTGAAGTAGAAGTGGACGTATCTGGGCATCCTTTTTATAGTTGATATATTTTAGTGTATCAGGCTGCCCTGAACCACCCAGTTATCTGAGGTTTTGGTGAAATGTCTTGCAGCAACCCAGCTGCAAAAAGGAGGGTTGAAAAGCCTCCTCCGTCACTAGTGCCTTCATCCAAACCTTCACTTGGAATCAGTTTTCTGGTTACATATAAATACTTGGACAATAATACCAGCTATATTACGGTATGGCATGGTATATGAATAATGACACCTTTCACTATTAAAAAGGCAAATAAAACAATATACTGAATGTGCATTAAACATCATCTAGGTACATCAGTGTAGTATGGGAAGTTAAAAATATATATATCATCTGGGGACAAGAGACAATAATACTTTGTGTCCTGGTTTTTGTTACAAGATATATTTCTTTATAAAATATTTGGATACAAACCACACACTCACCACTATCACAATAATGTTATCTGGCCCACATGATTTGATTATGCAGGGAATACAAAAAAAAATCAGAAAATCTAGAGCAGGTGTTCTCAACAGGTAGGCTGGCTAAGAGGAATCCCTTTCTAGGGAGTCTTACTAGAATCATCAGGGTAGTTTTCCCAGCTTAAAAACTCACATGTCACAGTGGGACTTCCATCGGGGCCCCTCCCTCAAAAGCACTAGCGTTTTTTCACTCTTACTGAATGTGTTCTCTCACTTATGGTAACATGGAAAAAACATTGAGGCCTCCTTGTGAGCTGCAGTATGCAGAGACGGAGATAAACAACAAATTGTCCAGCTGATGGATAACCAAAATCATTAAATCATGGTATATGTCACTTATGTGTATAAGCTTTGATCACTATATTGTTTAATGTTGGCCAAAGCTATAAACACCCAAGTAATCATTATTGATTACAAATTTGAATTCTGGTATAAAATGTATGCATCAACTATTGTGGAGAGTTCATATCAAATGGCTTCTTATTGCCAAGGAAAATGCCCCTTTGACTGCGTCACATATAAAACTCAATTTGCCAGCCTGGGCAACATGGTGAGACTCTGTCTCTACAAAAAAATACAAACAATTAGCCAGGTGTGGTGTCACGTGCCTGTGGTCCCAGCTACTTGAGAGGCTGAGGCAGGAGGATCTGCTTGAGCCTGTGCTCCAGCCTGGGTGACAGAGCAAGACTGTGTCAATCGATCAATAAAACAAAAATCAACTCGGAGGTAAAGAATTTATTTGCTCACTAGATATCCAGATCTAGACAGCTGGCTCACTATGAACCTGTGAATATCTAGCAAGATTAATATTATTACTAGTTGCCTAAGTATTTCACCCTAAGCTTTAGAAAAGTGGGAACAGGAGATGAGATATGAGTAGAAGATCCCAGGGTAGTTGAGGGTGACAGCAAAAAAGGGCAATGACGTATAAGTCCTCATAATAAAGTTTTCTTGGCTGTAAATTACATCTAAAGACTGTAAAGAACTAGCAAATTACAAGAAAGAGTGACTTTTATATATTTTGCCAACCTCAAATGTGCTGAAAACAGTTCTCCCTCTCACCCTTTCATCCCCGAAACTGATTCAGGCTTCAGTTCACCCTTTTACTGAACTGTGAATGAGCCTCTTAGGACATAAACTTGTGAGGTGAACAGAGTTCAGCATATGCTCTCCCAACAGATGTTCCAGCACCACCGCAAAGAGTTACAATGTGATTCTTATCTTTCTGCATACTCCTACTACATAGCTGTAGTAGGACTTCTAAATTTAAAGTCTTAAGATTTTTTTTAACCCACCTTTTAATTAACCCTCAAAAGATCCAGCTGAGTTTTAAAAATTTGGACTATGTTGCTAAAAAAAAAAAAAAAAAAAAAAAAAAGTAACAGTGCGAGTGTAAACATCTTGGAAGCCTAAATCTGAAAAACGTAACAAAACTTTTTTTTTTTAAGTTTAAAGCCTGTCAAGTTGGTAGCTTATTAAATTCCTCCAGTCACATGAAATTCACAGCAGAACAAGGATTCAAAATGGGTTAGGCACCGAAATGTCATTTAGCAAATCAATGATTCCCAAAAGATAGAGGTTTAGGGGCGGGGAAGGGAGAGGCTTTTCCTAAACTATCCAGGAAATAATTTTCACAGAGCGTTACAGACTAGGAGCGTCCCCAGCAGCGCTCACCCTCGGCCGGCCGGGTCCCGCTGCGCACCTCCCGGCCGCGCGTCCCCACCTGCGCACGGTGCCTCCAGCCTGGGCGTGGGCGCGGCCCGGGATCGCGGCGCCGGGGCCGCAAACCGGGGCCGCAAACCAGCGCCGCCACCCGCGTCCGGACCCAGTCCCCTGTGAGCGACACCTGGCAAAGTTTCACAAGGTGGGAGACAGCCCACCGCCGGCTTTCAGGAAGTGCACTGGGCGGTGAGGACTCGAACGAGCTCGTCCCGGGGCTGGCGCACTCACTTCGGAGAAACCCCTGCTCCCGGGACGCGTTCACTCCGGCCGCGCAGGCAGCCCGGGCACCACTGGCGGAGGCGGGGCGGCAGCTGGCAAGCAGAGGAGAATCAGGAGTCCAAAGCCGGGCCAGGGCCCTCAGGAAAGGTGAGAGCGGCCGCGTCCCTCCGCTCACGTGGGCCTCGCACGCTCCTCACCGCTCCCGGGCTACCCTCACGCCGCCCCACGGCCCCAGCCCGCGTCCTCCTCCTGCCGAGCACCAGCCTTTAGGACCGCACGGAAGCCGCCGAGAGGGAGGCGGCCGGCCAGCAGTTGGGCGTGGCTTCCTGGAGAAAGGCGGCCCCCCAGGGGGCGGGGAGAGCGACGTCACCGTCGATTCGCGGTGCTGATTGGCGGAGGTGAGGTGCGCGGAGCCCGCAAGCTTCTCCGCCCGGCCCGGCTGCTCCACCTCCTCACCCAGCCGCTCCGTCCTCACCGGCTCGCGAGGGAACAGCTCAGGCACCGCCGCCCCGGCTCAGCGCGGACGGCGGAGAGAGGGAGGCGGAAGGAGGACACCCTCGCTCGCTTGCTCCCACCCGCACCCGGGCTCCCAGAACCGGCGAGGAGCCCAGGGGGAGGAGCCGTCGCGGGCACGCCCCGCCCCCAGCCCGGGAAGACGACGCCAGCGACCCCGCCGGCCGGCCACCGCCCCCCTCGCCGGCCGAGACCCGCCCCCGGCCCCGGCCCTCCCCCGGCGGCATGGAGGGGCCCCGCTCCTGACGGCCGCGCCGCCGCCTCGGCCCGTGCTCCACCTCGCGGCCCCTCCCGCCCGCCCCCGCTCGCATGTCTGCGCCGCCCTAGCCGAGGATGCTGAGGATGAAGCTGCCGCTGAAGCCAACGCACCCCGCGGAGCCGCCGCCCGAGGCGGAGGAGCCCGAGGCGGACGCGCGGCCGGGCGCGAAGGCGCCTTCGCGCCGCCGCCGCGACTGCCGCCCCCCGCCGCCGCCGCCGCCGCCCGCGGGCCCGTCGCGGGGCCCTCTGCCGCCGCCGCCGCCGCCCCGGGGACTCGGGCCGCCTGTTGCTGGTGGAGCGGCGGCGGGGGCGGGTATGCCGGGCGGCGGCGGGGGGCCCTCGGCGGCGCTGCGCGAGCAGGAGCGGGTATACGAGTGGTTCGGGCTGGTGCTGGGCTCGGCGCAGCGCCTGGAGTTCATGTGCGGGCTGCTGGACCTGTGCAACCCGCTGGAGCTGCGCTTCCTTGGCTCGTGCCTGGAGGACCTGGCGCGCAAGGACTACCACTACCTGCGCGACTCGGAGGCCAAGGCCAACGGCCTCTCGGACCCGGGGCCGCTGGCCGACTTCCGAGAGCCCGCGGTGCGCTCGCGCCTCATCGTCTACCTGGCGCTGCTGGGCTCGGAGAACCGGGAGGCCGCTGGCCGTCTGCACCGCCTGCTACCCCAGGTGGACTCGGTGCTCAAAAGCCTGCGCGCGGCCCGGGGCGAGGGCTCGCGGGGCGGCGCGGAGGACGAGCGCGGCGAGGACGGCGACGGCGAGCAGGACGCCGAGAAGGACGGCTCAGGCCCGGAAGGCGGCATTGTGGAGCCCCGGGTCGGCGGCGGGCTTGGCTCCAGGGCCCAGGAGGAACTGCTGCTGCTCTTCACCATGGCCTCGCTGCACCCGGCTTTCTCCTTCCACCAGCGGGTCACCCTGAGGGAACACTTGGAGAGGCTCCGCGCCGCGCTCCGCGGGGGCCCCGAGGACGCGGAGGTGGAGGTAGAGCCGTGCAAGTTTGCCGGCCCCAGGGCCCAGGTAAGGCGCACGGAGCCTCCCTGGACTCGCGGTGCGATCGCTGCCCCGGCGGCCTCCCCGGCCTCGCTCTCGGACGCCCCTTGCCCGAGCCCCAGCCCGGCGCAGGTGGCTCGGAATCCCCACCCGGCAGCTCCCAGCGCCAGAGGGCTGAGCTTCGTCTCGCTGGGCCGCTCCGTTCCACTCCCCCACCCCACCCCACACCCCGGCAGACACAGCCACCCGCCATCACAGAATGCTCTAGAAGTCCCTTCCGTGCCACGGTGTTGCCACGGAAGACGTGGAGCTCCCCGCCCGGGGCCCCTCTCGGAGGAAAAGTGTCGGGACGTTTTTGGCTCTGAGCATCTCAGCGCTCGGTGCGGGAGCCGCCGGGCGCTGGAGGAACCTGTGTGAGAGCCAGCCGCAGTGAGCCCCAGGCAGCGCCGTCCTTCCCCGCCTGCCTGGCCGGGGCTCCGCCTCCCGTCTCCGGGCTCTGCCGGGCCCTCGGCGGGGTGTCCTGAAGGTGCGCTCCCGGCGAGCTGCCCTTGTCTTTGGCACAGAGGGACTTTTTTTGCCCAGTGTGTGCCTGAGTTAAAAGGGGTCGTACGGGTCCTTGTGGCTTCTGCTCTGAGGGCTTGTGTTCCCAGCAGACATCTGACGTAGAGACCTGCGAATGGATCTGAGATGAGTAGTAACGCAGGTTGTCCGGGGAGAGAAACCTTTTCTAGCGCGGCCTGGGATGCTTTTTCCCTCCGGCACACGCGCTTTCTCACGGGCTTGATTCCTGCCTACAGATTGGGGTTCCGGGATATTTGTTGAGCGTTTACGATAGGCGTTAATGTTGCCCAAAAGAATCACTTAAACACCAAAATGTAGTAGACGAGAATCCAGATGAGACACTTGTCGCAAACATTAAAGATGAATTTTTTTTACAGCCATGAAAGCAATTTAATGATAATTAGGGTCCAGTGAGTCTTTGAGGAGGACTTTTCCATGGGAAGGTGGGGAGTAGGTTTCAGTAAGAGTGAGAACTGTAAAGTGAGATTATTTGTGGGGTCACAGGCTTTTGAAAGGTGTTGATTTGGATGCCATGTTTTTCAGCTTAGGTGATCTCTAGGAGATAATGGAAAAGGGGATTTTCTCCTCTCCTTGCTTGAACGTTAATTCAGTATATATATATCTGCTGTCATTCAGTACCCCAGAACTAAAATTGGGCATGGTATTTCACTAGTGGCTTTGTGGACTCAGTACCCGTGGAATCAATGGATTTGGGGCTGGAAGGAATTTAGAGATAATCTAGCCTGAACCCCTTTTTTAAAACGACGCTTCTGTGAGGTAACTAATTCATGTTTTGGGACGTATTTTATCAAACTCAGATGTAACGCTCTAGTGCCCAGCATTATCTCGGTGAGTTTGAAATTTTGTCATCTTCCAGCGCCTGTTTACCACTAGCATGCAGTGCGTGTGCTGATGGTAAAAGCCTCCTCCACTCTTCAGCCTACTCGTTAATTTCCCAAAAGTCCTATATGCCGCACAGCCATTAAATTTAGAGACAAAAACATGAATTCAGGAACAATGCTTATTTAAAATGTTATTGTAATAACATACAATATTGTAAAGATAGCCTTAAATTGCAGGTCTAAAGAAAATGTCCCACAGTGGAACCTCATATCATTCCATTCATACTATTCCAACAAAGGTACTTGATTTCTGATTTTAACTGCTGAAAGTCTTTTTTTCTTTCCCTTTTCTTTCTTTAAATTTTGTTTTTAATAAGCGTGTTGGAGGGCAAGTAGAGAAAGGGGAGGGATGCATGCAGACCAGAGTAATGAGATTTTTATGTTGACCGCAATGCGTGACCTTTTCTGCAACCAGTGAGTGCTGGGAGGGATGGACAAAGTGAGGTTGGGCATCCTGCCATTAACGTCAGCACATCACTGCTTCTCAGGACGTGTCAAGTGAAGTGGGGGAATAAATCATAGGGGCCGCGTACTACAGGTGACACTGGGCTATTTCTAGATGCGTGGTGTGTGGTGAACTTCTCCAGCAGTTGTTTAGGGTTACCGTAACACATCATTCACATCTCATTAAGTTGTTACGACCCCGCATTTTCTGCTGCGTAGAGTGACCTCCGAGTCCCAGCTGTGGCTTGTTCTGGCCTTGACCTTTTATCTGATGATGTTGCTCCCAGGCTGTCACTCCAGAGGCCGCTGATGTGGGTGGGCTGAGTTAAGCCCTCATTCGCTGCAGTCCGGCCCAGCTGTTCTCGGCCTCCCGCCGCCGCCGCCGCGCACCCGGGGAGGGCGGGCGCACCTCCCCATCGTCAGGGATGAGCCCAAAGCTCGCGCGCCCCTCGCGTGGAGGCGCCGCGACCCGCCTTAGGGGCTCGGAGGTCACGCAACGCCCGGAGCTAGCGCACGGCGATATAGGGTCCGTGGCGCGGGGCTCCTCCCCGCCCCCGCCCTGCAAGATGGCGGCCGCGCGCGCCTCCCACGTGACCGGCGCGCCGGCCCCGCCCCCGGCGCCCTTTTGGCCTCTTCCCGCGGAGGCCAGGCTTTGGGCTAGCGCCGGAGACTTCCAGGCGGACTCGAGAACCACGTGGATGCTGCGCTGGGCCGTACTGGGCCGTGGCGATAACCCTGGTAAAGGGAAATTCGTGTGGCAGCATTTCCCCCGCCCCCCCCCCCCCCGAAAGTAACCTTTTAGACACAAGTATGCAATTTTAATTGGGAGTCATTCTTTTTCTTAACTACTAAGTGAAGCTCTTTGGTGTGCCAAACGACGTATTTTCAGCCTTACTATTGGTTAACGTAAAGTTAGCATCTTTTTAATTCTCTTTTCTATTAAAGTAAGGGTATACTGGCCCAGAATAGTGCACCTGGCTCTCACAGGACTTCCTTGTATCCAGTACTGAATCAGCTTGTCTATTAAAAAATTTAAAAACTAATGACATTTACAGACAGAACATGTCTTTAATGCCAATTTTATATTACATGCTTTGAAGTTGACTGGGCCCAGCAACTGTTAGTGACATGCCATGGTTACAATGTTAATAGTTGAGGTATAACACGTACACAGGTTGCCGGTAGAATATATACTTTTTAGGCTACATTGGAAATACAGGAAAGCTCAACAAGGATGTTTTTACTTTTAAGAGTAACATTTCTAGAGTTTTTCTATTATTTGGATGACTTTATGGTAAATATTACATTGGATTACAACTTAAATGTCAGCAGTTTTTTTAGGAGGCTTGTACATAAATCTCACATTCCTCACACAACTGCGGTGGACTGCCAGTAACTTGTACAAAATTCAGCAAAGAGGCCAGGGAGCAGTAGTGAAGTCACTCACTACTGTGAGTGTCCTAGGAACTCTGTGTGATTGTTACAATCCTGTGTTAGGAAGTTACAGACTGCTTATATAGCATAGCTGAAAACGCTTGGTTTTTAAAATGGGTGTCTTCCTATTATTAGGAAGCCAAACTATAAATTGTGTGTTAGCAAC
This sequence comes from Homo sapiens, assembly GCF_000001405.40. Classification (NCBI taxonomy): domain Eukaryota; kingdom Metazoa; phylum Chordata; class Mammalia; order Primates; family Hominidae; genus Homo; species Homo sapiens. Next base: position 62,527,844 of record NC_000018.10, read on the forward strand.
AAAAAAATGCCTATGTATTTTAAAAGGTACTAGTTTTGTTGCTGTTTCATTGAAAAGACAGGAAGCAAGACATGCAAGCAATGTTTGCATACTTAAAGACATTCGTTAACTGTTCGGGAAAATGGGTATTCTCATTTTGGAGGTTTAGTCCCCAACTAGCGACACAAAGGTATAAGAAGCATAAAATATGTAGACGATCATAGTAGTGGTTATTGATTAATATGGTATGACGATTCTCTGGAGATTGTGTCACCAAGATCTTCAAAGCTTAATTGCTTGACTAACAGTACTAATGTTTGAATGAAAGATAAAAATGTAAACTTTCGATACTAAGGCACAAAATTATCCTATGTCTTTGTGTTATTTGAACTCACAAAACATATTTGAGTTCATCATTTGAATTCACAAAAATCAAGTAGCCATGAGTCCTTCACTTACTAAAAGTAGTGAATTAAAAAGAAAACCTTGCGGCCAGGTGCGGTGGCTCACGCCTGTAATCCCAGCACTTCGGGAGGCCGAGGTGGGCGGATCACGAGGTCAGGAGTTCGAGACCAGCCTGGCCAGTATGGTGAAACCCCATCTCTATTAAGAAAAATACAAAAAAAGTTAGCCGGGCATGGTGGCACATGCCTGTAGTCCCAGCTACTCTGGAGGCTGAGGCAGGAGAATCGCTTGAACCTGGGAGGCAGAGGTTGCAGTGAGCCGAGGTGGCGCCACTGCACTCTAGCCTGGGCGACAGAGTGAGACTGTCTCGGGAAAAAAAAAAAAAACCTTGTTACTTTTTCATAGCGTAGTTTAGTTAGCTAAATTGTACTTGATAGACCAAGTACTTTGATTAACTTCGCAATATAGGAAACATACTGGAAGAAAACTTTTAAAAGAGTTTTAACATCAACGATGCTACTTCAAGATAACTTGAATGTGGATGTGGCAGCCAGAATCCTAGTGAGAGAGTAACTGACTTAAAATGAGAAGGAAAAGGTTGATTGTCAGAATTTCAGTTATTATAGCAGGCACTAAAAAAGATGATTTTTTGGCCAGGCGCAGTGGCTCACGCCTGTAATTCCAGCACTTTGAAAGCCAAGGCAGGTGGATCACCTGAGGTCAGGAGTTAGAGACCAGCCTGACCAACGAGGTGAAACCCTATCTCTACTAAAAATATAAAAATTAGCTGGGCGTGGTGGCAGGCGCCTGTAGTGCCAGCTGCACAGGAGGCTGAGACAAGAGAATTGCTTGAACCAGAGAAGCGGAGGTTGTAGTCAGCCGAGATCACGCCACTGCACTCCAGCCTGGGTGACAGAGTGAGACAACGTCTCAAAAAAAAAAAAAAAAAAAAAAGATGCTTTTTAAAAATGACCAGTTCTAATGCTCACTGGTAATATTAATAAATACCTTTATTTAACTGACCCCTGCTGCTGGGTTATTTGATATTTTAAAGTGAATAGTGTTGTTGGGGCAGTGGGTGCTGACTGAGGCTTCCCTCCCGCCACTCTGGGAGTGTTAGGGTTCAGTGAAGGAGTCCTTAACTTGTAGCATAGTGTCTGGTTCATGGTCTTCAATAAATATTAGCTGTTGCAGGTGAAAGCTCAGCCTTGTGTGGATGGTGGTGGTAGAGAAGTGGGCACAGCATCTTACATACTGAGAATGGGGGCCAGAAACAGCTATGTCTTTCATGGGAAATTTTAGGTTGGTTTGGCTACAGCAAAGAATAAAAGCAGTTCAGTTATAAAAGCCATTTGGAAGAGACTTTTTAGAATATATCAAATAGTGATTATTTTAGTAGGAAATAACTATTAAAATCCTGAGTTCCTTCCCCAGTTACATTTTTCTATGCAGTCATTTTCCAGGTAAGGAGAACTCAGAAACTAAGTCTCATGTATACCATGGTGGGAGGCGGGAGCGGGTGCTGGATGTGGAGAGGAAGTACATTCTTTCTCTCAAGTTGACTAAAATATGTCTGTGTGATTTATTTATACATACCCATGGTTTCTACATCCGGGGATTCAACCAACTATGGATCAAAAATATTAGGGAAAAATATTGCACGTGTACTGAACACGTACAGACTTTTTTCTTGTAATCCAAAACAATACAGTATAACAGCTATTTACATAGCATCTATGTTGTGTTAGATATAAGTAATCTGGAGCTATTTAGAGTATACAGGAGAGTGTACATAGGTTATACACAAATACTAGGCCATTTTATATCCAGACTGGAGCACTCTTGGATTTTGGTATTGGGAGTTTCTAGTACCAATTCCTCATGGGTATTGGGGGATAATTTTATATGTACTATACATACATGTTGCCTTAATAATTTTTTTGTGTGGAGAAGGGGTCAGGAAGAGTGTCATAGAGGCTATGAGAAGACCTTGAAGAATGATAGCCATGTTTAGTAGATCCCTAGGCTTGGAGGGTTACGTTTCAACTCTGCCACTAGCTGTGATAGTTGTCAGCCAGGCCACTTAAATCCCTGAGTCTTACCTGTAAAATGGGGATAATTTACAGTCTTACCTGTAAAATGGGGATAATAACTTTTGAGGTGATGATTGTATTAATAAGATGTGAAATAATTCACATACTGTCTTGAGCATGCATTCTTTCTTGAGATTAGTGCTCAGTGCATATTTTCCACTAACACAACCTGCAGTGTTTTCAGGAATATGGTTTGTTTTTTTTTTAACCTAATAAAAATCCTTATAGTGGAGTATTTTGTATATTCTCTGTTACCATCCCTGTGAATACATTGATGTTCGGGAAGGACAGGCAATTGAAAAGGTGGTATTTGAGCCACATTTATTTGGAGCAGTTATTTTATTTTTGTTAGTACTTACTTGTAAAGATGCAGTGTTCTACAGATAAACCCAAAGGAAGGAATTCTGTGAGTCACAGAACATTAAAATAGATATTTTCCTCGTATTGGATTTGGGGATGGGAATGGAGAAAGTGCATGTTTTAGATTTAGATTATTATTAATTATCGTGCAGTTGTAATCTACTTAAATCCTGATCCTGTTTTCACATTTAGCTAGAAAACTATTCTATAACTTAAATCTGTTTTGCACTTTTGTTAAGTTACATGATTCTTTGTTAGTTCAGAGCACAGACTAGAATCCATGGATAATTAAGAACATTTTTTTACTTTTATAAAAGCTGTTGAATTGGCTTATTTTTAACTCACTTAATATTTTTCTCTTGAGAAATGTTAAGCTAATTTTTTTTTTTTTAAAGGGAAGCAAAAAGGCCTGTACTACTGTCAAGGCAGACTGAACTTATTTTATTGACTGTGTTTTTCGTTATGGAGGACTGTGTGTGACAGTACTTCTTTTACTTACAAAGAATTCTTTGTCACAAAAGCCTCATTCATCCACTGACATTTTGGGGTTCCTTTTTCTGTAAACAATCAATCTAAAAAGGAAGTGCCTAATCGGGTGTTTATGTTACAGGTGTAGCCTGGCTGGGCCGGGGGTAGTTGGCTTCCTTCTGTTTTTCCTATGCTCTCGGGAACATTTGACCTTTAGTTCCTTTCTAAATGCCTCAGTTCATTAGAAATGTTTTGTGCTCATTCAATAAGTCATTTATTTGAGGTCAGATTTATATTTTGAAAAGGTCATTTTGGCAAGTTATTTGGTCTTCCCAAAGTCCAGAGTGTCCAGTATAAAATAGGGATATCATTCCTATCTGTTTCCTATAATTGTTGTGAGGATGAATGTGTTAATGTAAGTGAAAATGCTTGGTAAACAAGAAGGAGATATATGTATTATTCATAGAGCGATTAGCACAATTTGGTTGCAGTGGATGAGTAGAAAAACAGATGTTAGGTGAGGTGCGGTGGCTCACGCCTGTAATCTCAACAGTTTGGGAGGCTGAGGCAGAGGGATCGCTTGAGCCCAGGAGTTTGAAGCCAACTCTGACAACTTAGTGAGATCCCCATCTCTACAAAAAGTAAAAAAAAAAAAAAAAAAAAAAATGTTAGCTGGGTGTGGAGGCAAGTACCTGTAGTCCCAACTACTCAGGAGGCTCCAGCTACTCAGAAGGCTGAGGTGGGAGGATCACTTGAGCCTGGGAGGTCAAGGCTGTAGTGAGCTGTGGTGGTACCACTGCACTCCAGCCTGAGCAACAGAGTGAGACGCTGTTTCAAAAAGGAGAGAAGAAAGAGGAAAAGAAAGACATTTGAAGAGATAGTAGGGTTGGGTTATAATGAGGGCCTTGAAGGTCATGTTAAAATAATAGGTTGTCAGTAGGTTCCAGTGGGAGCCAGTGAAGGGGTGTGTGTGTGCGCGCGCGCGCACGTGCGCCCTTATGGTGTATATCTCATTGAATGTCAACTGTCACTCTAATGTGAATCTATATAAAAAGAATACATGATTGATTTTTTGAAAATCTTCCAGACTCACTCAGTTCTCTGAATGGTACCATTATGTTTCTAGTCACTCCAAATTACTTGATGACCTTGATCGTCTTCTCCCATCACATCCTGAATACACACTTTCCTCATCCTTGCCTGACACCGTTCTCTGTTGGGACTTTACGCCAAGACTTTTATAGTAGCCTTCTGATTCCCCTGCTTTTTAGCCTTCCCACTTCTAATCGTTTAATACTACTACCAGATACACCTTTCTAAAGCAACATTTAATCATACTATCTTTTCTTTGAGTGACTGATGGACCCTGGCCTCTAATAGGCCTTTAGACTCAAAATCTCCTCCTCCACTCTTTTTTCATATATCCCCCCTTTCATTCTAGGCTGGGTTCATGCCATTGTCTCTTGTATGATGTTTTCTGGAATTGTCCCCGTGGCAGTCTTAAAGGATTATTTGCTGCCACTGAATTTTAGATGCACATATATCGTTGTAATTTTGGTACTTCTGTGATTCTTTGTCTTTTTAACATTTAAAATTGACCTCTCAGGCCAGGTGTGGTGGCTCATGCCTGTAATCCCAGCACTGTGGGAAGCTGAGGCGGGTGGATTGCTTGAGCCCAGGAGTTCAAGACCAGCCTGGGCAACATGGCAAAAACCAGTCTCTACAGAAAAATACAAAAATTAGCTGGGCGTAGTGGTGCATGTCTGTAGTCCCAGCTACTCAGGAGGCGGAGGCAGGAGGATCACTTGAGCCCAGGAGGATAGCTTGACCCAGCCTGGAGGATCATTTGAGCCCTGGAGGCAGAGGCTGCAGTGAGCTGAGATCATGCCACTGCACTCCAGCCTGGGTAACAGAGTGAGACCCTGTCTTAAAAATAAGTAAATAAATAAATTTGATCTTTCACACTAGAATTTTAAGTTCCCCAAAGGCTCGGGCATTGTGCCTCATTTTTTTGTCAGTGTTGTATATATCATCATTGCTCAGTCATAATTTCCTGTGTTTGGACTTGGAAAATATATAGCTTTGAAAAATACGAGGCTGGGTGTGGTGGCTTACGCCTGTAATCCCAGCACTTTGGGAGGCCGAGGCGGGTGGATCACTTGAGGTCAGGAGTTCGATACCAGACTGGCCAACATAGTGAAACCCTGTCTCTACTAAAAATACAAAAATTAGTCGGGCGTGTAGTGGGCGCCTGTAATCCCAGTTACTCCTGAGGCTGAGGCAGCAGAATCACTTGAACCCGGGAGGCAGAGGTTGCAGTGAGCCGAGATCATGCCACTGCACTCCAACCAGGGTGACAGAGTCAGACTTCGTCTCAAAAAAAGAAAAAAGAAAAAATACCAATATGATACACTGCTTTAAGATTAAGTATATCGAGGCTGGGCACAGTGGCTCAAGCCTGTAAACCCAGCACTTTGGGAGGCCAAGGCAGGTGGATCACCTGAGGCCAGGAGTTCGAGACCAGCCTGACCAACATAGTGAAACCCTGTCTCTGATTTAAAAAAAATACAAAAATTAGCTGGGCGTGGTGGTGCATGCCTATAATTCCAGTTACTCCAAAGGCTAAGGCAGGAGAATCGTTTGAACCTGGGAGGCAGAGATTGCAGTGACCCGATATGGTGACATTGCACTCCAGCCTGGGCAACAAGAGCAAAACTCTGCCTCAAAAAAAAAAAAAAAAAAAGACTAAGTATATCAGGCAGTGATTTTGTCTTATTTTGAATTGTACTTACCAGTATTTACTTTATAAAAAAATTTGCAGTTATATAGGATAGGTACAGTTATTTTGGAAATAAGAGGAATTGTTTCTTTATATAAAAAGCGTGGAACAAGTGTAGATTTGAATTGAATCTTCAATGGGTGGATGCTGACTGGCTGTGCTTATTTAATATACCTTCCAAATCAGACTATTAGCAGCCTAGGCAACATACCAAGACCCCATCTCTAAAAAAAATTAGCCTGGCATGGTGGTACATGCCTGTAGTCCTAGCTACTCAAGAGACGGAGGTGGGAAGATTGCTTGAGCAGAGAGGTCAAGGCTGAAGTGAGCCGTGATTGCGTTGCTGTGCAATCCAGCCTGGGAGACAGAGGGAGATCCTGTCTTAAAAAAAAAAAAAAAAATCTGATTATTTGTACTCCCTGTGTTAATTGAGCTTTTGTGTGTGGGTGCATAAATTGGTGCAGACCTAGCAGTGACATTTTGATAGGATGGAAAAGTCATATATTAACCTATTTTCTTATTGCTTGGATAGTTGATGGTAGGTAGCCTGTAGTGTTTGATCTCCAGTTTATGATCTACTTGAGGGGTGGTGTGAGTCAGATGTAGAATTGGGGTAGTGCCTTGTGTGATTGGAAAGATAATTAAACTTTGGTCACTGAAGTGAACGCTCTATAACATAAATGTTGGGGAATTTTTATGTTTCTTGTTAGAAATGTCTAAATTGGGATGTGTCCCGTAGTACAGTTGATTTTTGTCTTGGGTATCAAATGATTGAAATTCACTGGTGGTCCTAAATGGGAGACGGCATGGTCACATGTGAACCAAATGCTGTAATGTTTGGGAGTATTTGCTTGAAAAGAGGTCATCCCTCATACAGAGAGGTTGTGGCATTGAGTATTGAGTAGTTTTATTAGTTTGGGAAAATTGCCCATTCTATAATAACTAGTGGTGTGAAACACAAGTCCTAATGCAGTGTTGGCAACACTATATAGTAAATCAGTTACTGCCGTAGATCCTTCTTAGGTTCTATAAGCTTATGTTTCTACAAGGTTCCAAGAATGTTTTTGCACTGGGGGTGAAGCAGTGGCTCTGCTGCAGGTGCTAGAAGGCATGGAAGCTCCTTCCAGCTTCTGAGCCCAGGCTCACATCCTTCCTGACGACCCCTTGGCCTCCCTCCCTCATCTCTCGTGGGGCGAGACTGCGACAGCGAAGGCAGAGTCAGATGTGGGCTGGGGAGGAGATGTGCGCTTCTCTAGATCCTTGTGCACTCATGCATGCATTCTTTTCACCTCACCCCAGAACACCCTGATGTGGGGACTTAAAGATGTGGGGGCTGCTGGCCCAGGGATATAGCAATTTCTGGATCATCTTCCTAGTTCTAGGGTTAAAAGATGTTTTCCTTCTGTAGTGAGAGCATGTTGGCAAAGGAAGCACAGATGCCAGTGCTGAAGGAGGAGACCTATGAATCTGCCTATTTAAAGAACAGAATTACCCCCAAACTTAGTGGTGTAAAACAATGACCATTTTATTACCATCTCTCACAGTTTTGTGGGTGAGGGATTTAGACAAATAACTATAGTGAAGAGTTTGTCTCTGTTCTAGGGTGTCTGGGACACAGCTGGGGCCCAGATGGCATCCCTAGACCCCTCTCCTCTCTCCACGTGGTCCATCAAGTGCGGCTGCCAGGAGAAGTGCATGTCTCATGTGGTGTCTCAGGACTCCAAGCCCAAGTGTCCAGGAGGCCCAGGGCTGAGGCTTCCCAGGACCTAACTTTAGAAGAGCATCACCACCAGCACATTCTAAAGCCAGCCTAGATCCACTGGGTGGGGAATTGGTTCCACTTTTCAGCGGGAGGAATATTAAATAATTTTTAGCTACCTTTAATCCGCCACGGAAGCTTAATAGAATGTTGTTATATATTGCTGTTAATTTTCTAAGTCTCATTTGACAATTGGGAAAACTTCAGAAGAAGTTAGTGACTTTGGTTTTAAAAAATAAAAAACTCTTACTGCTGTGTTATTATATTTGGAATATCTTGGATTTTTAAATTTATAGTCTATATCGAGGGACTACAAGAACCATGTAGAATATTGTTAGACGAACTAAAACTCCATCTATGACCTTTGTTCTAATGGTATGTTTTCAGAGAAGAGTTTTTTAGGATGTCCAGCTACTTGGCTGTTTCACAAGGTCCCCACAGTTAAGAAATCTCAAGTATGTAATTGTGATGGGTCTACGTGTGATCTGTGGCAAAACCATCTAGACCACCTGAACCACATGCCGTGTAGGTTTGTGCTAACCAGTAGCTCTTGAGGCAAGCGATAGGACAGAAGAAGCTCTGCCTCAGGCGAGTTAAGAAAGGAGAATGCACTCCTACTAAAGTTCTTTGTATGCTTGTGCGTATTTTTGCAGGTTTAGAATCTTTAAACCCTGCTTTCTTGATACAAACAGAGAAAAATCCACTTTTCTCGTGGTCCTGACACTTTTCTCCAACTAGTCTTTGTAAAATACTGATTCTGGCATTTCATCTGTTCTGCATTTTCATGGGAATCTGAACTTAACAGATAAAGTGGGTGCCATTCCTCTTTATATGATTCCATTAAAGAAGGAGTTCTCAGATTTTATGCTACCCATCCCCCTAAGGAAAGTAAAGAGGGAGTGCAGGGCAGACAGCATCGCCGAGCAGCCACCCACCATTGGGGCTGCCGATTCTCATCTCCAGCTCATGCAGCGTTACATGAGTGAGTTTAGTAATAGCTTCTAAACATAGTCTACGTGATTTTATAGCATTGATACATGCTGAGACTTGGAGGAGAAAATAAACATTTAATTAGTAGATATATCATGGGTTGATGAACTTAGGACTTTGGATAGAAACTCAAACTTCATTTTTCTCCCTAGGTTATTAAACAGGAGGTTACTTGGTTAAATTGGGTTCATAAAGTTAACTTCAGACTTCAAAAATGTGATTTTGATTGTGAAGCAAACTACTTTCATACAGTTGCTTCAATTTAATGTTTGTGGAGGCAGTGTGATCATTTCCATTTTTAGTTTTTATTGTGATATAAAATATATAGCATAAAATTCTCATTTTCTCCTTTTTAGTGTACGGTTCAGTAGCATTAAGTACGTTCCCGTTGTCATGAGTCATCACCTCTGTCTCCAAACATTCTATCATCCCAAACAGAAATGCTATACCCATTTAAAAAATAACACCCTATTCCCTCCAGTACCTGGTAACTACTATTCTACTTTTTTTGTTTGCTTTAGAGACAGGGTCTTGCCCTGTTGCCCAGGCTGAAGTGCAGTGGCGCAGTCATGGGTCACTGCAGCCTTGAACTCCTGGGCCCAAGCAGTCCTCCCATCTAACGAGGACTACAGGCACATACCACCACTTCTGGCTAACAAAAAAAAAAAATTCTTTTGTAGCGATAGGATCGTGCAGTGTCGCCCAGTCTGTCTTGAAATACTTGCCTTATGTGATCCTCCCACCTTGGCCTCCCAAAGTGCTGGGATTGCAGGCGTGAGCTACCACACCTAGCCACTATTCTACTTTCTTTATCAACTTGACTATTCTAGGTATCTCATATAAGTGGAATCATGCTGTATTTGTTCTTTTGTGTCTGGCTTATTTCACCTAGCATACTCTCTTTGGGATTCATCTAAATCCTATTATGTATCAGAATTGCATTCCTTTTTAAGGCTGAATCATAGGTAATTGGATGTGTACACCATATTTTGTTTATCTGTTCATCCATTGATGGGTTTTGAGTTTACACCTTGTGGCTATTGTGAATAACTGCTATGAACACTGATGTACAGATTATGTTTGCATTTCTGCTTTCAGTTCTTTTGGGTGTATCTTAGAAGTGGAATTGCTGGGTCATAAAATAATTCTGTGTTTAATATTTTGAGGAACTGCCTGACTGTCTTCAACAGTAGCTATACTATTTTTGTTTCCACCATCAATGTGTAAGGGTTCCATTTTCTTCATGTCCTTGCCAACACTGTCTTTTTTAATAATAGTCATCCTAATGGGTATAAAGTGGTATCTTCTTATGCATCTCACTAATGAAAACATTTTTTTCATATTTTGCATTAGTTTACATTTGAAAGTATTGCTTTAAATTTGTGAACTATATATGAGCAATGTAGAGAAATATTTCGCTTTAAGCAATGGTTGACTGGCCAGGTACAATGACTCACACCTGTAATTCCAGCACTTTGGGATGCCGAGTTGAGAGGATCACTTGAAGCCGGGAATTTGAGGCTGCAGTGAGCTATGATCATGCCGGTGTACTTCAGTCTGGGCAACAGAGAGAGACCCTGTCTCAAAAAAAAAAAAAAAAAGAAAGAATTGGTTAACCTATTCACCCAAGCTTCTTCCAGTTAACACAACTATTTGAGAGGATTATATAGCACTTTATTTTCTTTGTTTTTTAAAGTATTTACAGCAATATTAAAATTTTTGAGAAGCAGAATCTCTCGTGGGTAAATGTGGTTTTACATTTTTTAATAAAATATATGGTCTGGGTTAGGATATGTATGGTTTTGTTATTAAAATAATTCATATCTGCATTTTTAAAAAACCAGTCGCATTGAAAATTGGTAAAGGCTATCAGGCCAAGTGTTTCAGAAGTTGGATGTTGACTGAAGAGGTCTGTACTCTCCTTATTAAATGGTTTTAGGTAGACAGTCTTTGTTTCCTTGGGTTTCTAAATAAAGGAAGACAGACTAGAAGGCAGAAGTTTAGCTCCCAAAAGTATATAATGTGCTCTGTTCTCATAAACAGAGCAATTCATACTTACTGTCGGGTCGGGATGTGTGATTAGACAGCAGAACAAAATATTTTTAAATTGAGATTTGTGGGGAGCTTAGGGTCTTCTATTTGCCTAATTTTTTACAGAAAAAAATATTAATGTATGTTTACTGCAGATTTGTAAAATCATAATTGATTCTTAAAACCAAGTTGATTTTGATATGAGTAGTGTTTTGAGATTCTGCACATAAAGGGAGGGGATAAGGTGCAAGCTGTAATAAAAAACTGTCATAAGGCTATTTATTTACTTACTTAATATGATGTTGTAACAGTTTGTATGTGACAGTGCTTGATTTCTGGCGAGCTGTTTGTAAGTTTGGCATCACCTTTATTACTCCAAGCATCGGATCTAGGAGTCAAAGTTACCCCGGTTCACTAGTGATTGGCTGAGCAAACTCAGTTAGGTTTAGAGCACCCAGTTGCTGTTAGATGACTGAACCTTAATGGTAAACTCCCTGCCTGTACATATTCTTGTTTAGAAATCCTTGGCATGTATTGATGATACCTTTCATAAGACTTTTTCCTAATAAAGCATCTTTTTAGACTGTTATTAAAACCAAACAATGAATAAAAATGGTGTAGTGATTCTTGTAAAAAGTACACATGCCGTTCCCTATGGAGGATTAGTGTAAAGGGCACCATTTGTTATGTGTTCCTTTGATTTGGATTCAGAATTGACATCATTGGCAACTCTGTATATTATTAAGCAATTTCCTGTGTCCCAAGAAAGCTAGGACAGTCAATAATTAATAGAGTGCTCATCTTCTGCTTGCGGCTCTCACACTGTGCCTTTGTGCCCATAGTGTGCAGTCACCTATTGGACCTCTAAAAATTGCCACTAAAATGGTTGTTAGTAAAATGAGAAGACCTAAATCTGTGATTATTACTCTTAGTCCATGGTTTAAGTTAACGTATCTCCCTCTTTCTCATCTAGAACAACTCTGCTCATGGTGATTACATGCAAAATAACGAGAGCAGCTTAATAGAGCAAGCTCCAATACCTCAGGACGGACTTACCGTGGCACCTCACAGAGCTCAGCGAGAAGGTATGCTCTCTTTTTTGTAAACTTAAAGCATTAATACATCAAAAGATTACAGGGTGCTCTTTACGCTGATTAACTCTAAACTTTTTACTCTCCTTTTTGAAGTGGAGAAGTCCTACTGGTCCTAGGCTTCACTCAAGAGCCAGTCCTCCTAGTTCTGCCATCTGCACGCTGGGTGTTTCCTGCGCCACAGCCCTGCTTGTCCTAGCACGCACACAGTCATTCTGCTCTGTAGTCCATTGTCTTGGCTGAATCTTAAACCTGGTTGCATGCTTCTGGGGGGCAGAGACCCCCAGAGTATTTAGTATAGTGCTTTATTTGCAGAATTGAGCTCAGTGTCTACTGAGAAAATGAATTTTATACAAGTTCTCTGGAAGAGTAAATAAGTTACTTACAAATCCATTCTTCCTGCAATAATGCAGTTTTTAAGAGGGCTGGAATGAATGGGTGGAAGGACATTGCCATCTGAACAGGAATGAATTCAAATTATTCTTTCCTCTTTGCATTTGGGGAGCCATTAACCTGTGCTGGGAGAGAAACTGAAATGGAAAATGTAGACTGCCATCTGGGCTTTAAAAGAGCCAAGGATATATGATAAGCTTCACACTCAGTTATAACAATTTTGAATTTATGTCATTATGTCTCCTTTTTTTTTTTTTTTACCAGTAATAATCCTTTTTGTGTAATACATTTTTCCTCACAGAGGAAAAATAGGTCTGAATTTTTAATGTTGAACATAAGTGTTTATATAATGACCACTTCTATTCAAGACGATCACGGTACTCCTATCTTCCCAACTAAAGTACTTTAATCAGACTACTTCAGCTAAACTCATTGAACATACGAATAACCTGAAGTGGAGTTGGTTTTACAATGAAGGTCCTTTTTTTTAATAAAAATATTTTAGAAGAACGTAGAGATTATATCAAAATGCTGACAATTAACTGTAAAGGTGGTACTGTAGATTATTTTTCTTGTATTCCTACTTCTTAAAAAGTGTAATACATGCTTTTTAGTTTTAATTTATGAGGGTTGGGGGTACTTTCACTATGGCCATTCCTCATCACATACTCCTGTCTTCTCTTACCTTGATTCTGGTAGCCAACACCAGACAGAACTTGAAATTATCACTGAAGCTGTGTTCCCATGTCCTGTAATGTCATAGTGGCTTTTTCTGCTAAGCAAAACTGGGTTCTGACCAAACAAAACCCAAGATCCCCTACCCTTGAGGGGACCAATGATTTGCAGAAGTAGAGCTGCTTTATTTCTGAATATAAGATTAGTTCAGAAGATTTTTGTTGAATGGCGTCATCCTTTAACTTAATATAACAGCTTTTGGAAACAGCATACCCTCCCATCACCACTTTGGCTCTTATCCTATTGCACAGTTCTAAGGAGTTACAGGCTTTTGCCTGGCTTTTTGAGATTTTCCGTTGTTTCCATCCTCAACATTTCTGGCCCGCAAAGGGGAAACTGGCCCACAAGCAGGCCACCAAACACTATATATTTGGGAAGTTGACACAAAATACTGGTAATGTTATATCCTTTGTTTATTATAAGTGTCTTTTCCCCTGTGTATTTCTGTATCTTATGCTTCATGCCTTCTCACTGCCCACCTTCCGTGGTCTTTTAACAGTCTTACTCCTCCTCTATGCTTTTGTCACTTTGTGTATTCCACTTTGTCTATTTTAACTTCTTCCTCTAAGGCAAAATGAATGAATGCCCCTTTTTTCCTCCATCTCCTGCTCTCCTGAATCCAACAGTGTACCCCCCACACCCATTCTGTTGAGTTACTTTCCTAACCTCTTCTCTGTAACCTTTAGCATATTCATTATCAGCCTGATATTACCTCCCTCATTATCCTGAAAGTGTGGTTTCTTCTGTTCATACCCTGAACAGCAGTGTCTTTAAGTCCTTAGAGTAGAGTACGCTTTGTAGATTGGCTCTTTTGAAATTGATTTATTTCCTAAGGTGGTACTTTTATTAAAGGTGTCGTAAAATGGATAGTTGGGGGATTTATACATTTGCTTACTTCATGAATAAACTGATTATCTAGTTCAATTCAGAGTGTTTTAAAGTTTAATATAATTTATGTTTACTATTTTATCTCTGTAATGTAAAAAAATTTTGCCACAATGAACGTTTATTATAATGTTCAGTTTATATTTATCATTATATGATATTGAGGGTTACATTTGAGACAAATAATTTTTAAATTCCTCAGCTTGGTATATTACTTTTGAGTAGTTTTTTAAAAAAATTAAATGTAAAACTAGATATTTTGTAGTTTATACCTACTATGTATTAATAATTGAAAGAACCATATTTAGTTGATATTAAAATGCCGTATTTGTGGTAATCTGAATAACAAGTTGGAAGATTATCATTTGGAAAAATATTTTAATTGCAGGTACCTTTTATTTTTATCCTTAAAATCTTTGGTGTTAATAGAGTGTTTGAATTTACTTAAACACTCAGCATGTCGTATGGGTATAGAAAAAAATTTTTTTCATGGGTGGATGGCACATTGCTATGCTTCTAGTTTTTTTGTCTTCTTTTTTTTTATTTCATGATTTAAGACCAGTCATAAAGATGAAAGTGAGTAGCTTAATTGTTAAGCACTTGTCAACTTTTAGGGTTACTTTAGGTAAGTGAAATGTGTCTATAGTCTTTGTAGCACAAGTCACCGTGTGTTTTTTTTCTTTCAGCTGTACACATTGAGAAGATAATGTTGAAAGGAGTCCAGAGAAAAAGAGCTGACAAATACTGGGAGTACACTTTCAAAGTAAGCCATTTTCCCCACAAAAGATACCTCACGTGCTGTGCTCAATGATCTTTGGGAAAACTTGTGGCAGGTTTGCTAATTTAAGGGAAAAGGTATATATGTTTGTTTTTAATTAAGAGAATGTACTGTTTTTTATCATATACTACTGCATGGTTTGCCAAGTTTTTTTGAAGTTACATCACATTAAAATAACCCTGGCTATTTTATTAAAAAGAAGTAAGAGCCTTAGATTTAGGGACGCAATTAAGATGTAAGATACATCTTTAAAAATGCCATTGTGTTTTAAGTCAAGATCACAGGCATTGTCTTTCCTGGCATTGTTCTCCCTGGTATTTTCCTCCTCCTCTTTGTTCTCTGTGACGCTTTTATTGCCACTGCATTGCCCTGTCTTCTTACCCATGATTGGTTTTGGTGCCCGTCCTTTCCACAGCTGGGATTAGCTGTAGAGCCCAGCTCTGATTCTGTGCTCCCAGGTGAAGACTTTGCATGTCTTCTTCTTGCCCGTCAGCTGTATCGGGAATTCCTTGTCCACATCTTCCTTACTTCTCCCTGCTTGAGCTACGCCTTTTCTCCTCAGGTTGGATGGCACGCACCCTGAAGCCAGGTGGAACCATGCCACGTTTTTGTGAATCCTCACTTCAGTTCCTCTCCAAAGGCATTGCTTGCCAAATTTTGGCTGTCCCTCTCTCATGGAGTTATTTCTGACCCTCCACTAGAATGTTTTCTCCTTCATCCATGATACTCTGCCCTCGTACCTTTCACAGATCTTTCCAGTAGATATTCTCATGGAGAGCAGGAATCTTCATTCTTCATCCTCAGCCATCCCACCACTTGCTCGTTGAATGAATTTCCAAACTCCAGCTTTGCTTTAAGGGAGAAAGATCCTCAGTTTGCAGAATTTCAGCCCTCATCTCCTGGTGTCTTACTGCGGCATGCGTCTCGCTCTTTACTCTCCACGCTCAGTCAGGCTGGCCTCTTTTGCTGCTGGAGCTCACAGCTTGCCTTCCTAAAGGCTTCACTGTCCTCTTGCCTGAAATGCTCTTCCCCCATTTCCCCAGACCGAGGACAGGCCACCTTCTGGCTCTAAAGCTCCCTCCTCCGAGATCCTTCTTGACACCCCAGTTCATGTGCATCTCTCCGTTCTTGTACCATGCCCTATGCGTTTTCTTCAAAGCACTGATCACTGATGGAAATTCTTATATATTCACTTGGCTTTGATCTATCTCCTGCACTAGCCTGTGAACTCAGTCAGCGGAGACTTAACTGTCTTGTCCATTTCTGCATCCCTGACACAAGAGTCAGAACAGTGCCCAACACAAGTAGCTGCTCCACAAACATTTGAATACTATCACTTAAGAAATGTAATGTGCCAGTAAAGTAAATAAATGTGCCAGTTAATAAAGATACCAATTTTAGACTTGTAGATAAAATTTTATGTATTTTTTAACTATCTGATTACTTATAAGTTGGTAAGGCCTAGACAGTAGCATAGTGCAAATATTTATTTAGCTCAAATAATTATAGGGTAGAAATTTTTAGGGGGCCACAGTTGAGTCCACATGAAAAGCATCGAGGAGGTAGTGGGTATGGGGTAGCACAAGAGATGTCAGTTCTGACTCTTGCAACCTACTTAGAGTCACACACCTCAGTAACCTAACTTGTTTGAACTTAAGTTTCTCCATCTCAAAATGGAAGTCATCATACCTGGCCCTAGCATCTTAATAGGATTTTAAAGATTGAGATAAAGATGAAATCTCTTCGAACCATAAATTCCATAAAAATATGAAATGGTACTACCAAAGAAGGCAGTAAACTCTAGTTATTTCCCTTAAGGGTGTATACCTAGTAAGTTTCAGGAGATAGAATTTTTATCTTTTGAGTGGCAAAGATTTGTACTGTCAAAAGTGTCATTTTAGAGTTCTATAAGTTCATAGAAAATAACATATATCCCCTTTCTGAAAAATTACTAAACATAATCACATTTTCAGATAGGTTTTAAAAAGTGCCATTTTGAAAAGAGTTATTAGAACGTTTTTGAGTAGCGTATGTCAATGTGCAGTTAATTTTACTAATTTTGAAATTATGACAATGCCAGATTAACTTTATATTTCTAACTGTTAATCTTAGTAAAATTTAAGTAAGGCCCTTTGTTTTTGCACATGGCTTTTTTCTAGCCGGTTCCTGCCTAGGGAATAACCATATAATATGTGTGTTTTTTTTAAATCAGGTAAATTGGTCTGATCTTTCAGTCACAACAGTAACAAAAACCCACCAAGAACTACAGGAATTTCTACTGAAGGTAAAATATAGATTTTGTTGTTAAAATGATTTTTATATAATATACAGAATCCAGAAACCTCAACGTCAAAAAAACACCAGGAAAATTAAAACATACAGATAAAGGTTGGCTCAGAACTCTAAATGAACATTAGCTGTGGAAAACGTCATGTTATTCTAAAAATGTTTTCTTACCTGACATTACCAACATAAGGAAATGACGAAGGGATTTCTACATTTAAAAAAAATGGAGACCGGGTGCGGTGGTGTGCACCTGTGATCCCAGCACTTTGGGAGGCCAAGGCGGGAGGATCATGTGAGGCAGGATTTCCAAGACCAGACTGGGCAACTTAGTGAGAACCTATCTCTATTTGAAAAAAAAAAAGGAACCCTGTTCCTAGTTTCCTGCAGAGATGTGCGTCATTGGTGGCTGCTTGCAAAGGGACTTCTTAGTAGAGAATGTGTCTGCAGAACCAGATGAGGCTTGCTTCTGCTTGGTGGGAGTTCTCAGACTTCACAACTATTCAGCTGTGCACTTCCCTGAAATAGTTCTCCATTTCTTCCTTCTTTGAGTTCCAGCTCCTCCCCACCTCACCCCCCATATGATAGAATCTCCAAACTACTGGGAATAAGAAGATAATAGAAACATCTTATTACAGACTTGCCAGAGGTGAAAGGTATCTTAGATCATTTTGTTCAAACCATCACCTGTTTCTTTTATACTAATCTGATTTTATCGAAAAGTGAATAGTTAGAAATACATATCAAAAGGAGAGAATAGGTATAAATGGTTGATAAATTATTCTTTCTCAGTAAGCAAATATTTTAAAATTTATTGTTAGTAGAGAGATAAAGCAGAAAGTCCAGAAACAAAACATTCCCAACTGACTTACTAAGTTTTGGTTACAAGTGTAGTTATTAAACATATAACATACGATATTATGAGGCTAGTGCTAGTTTTAGGTTGTCTGCTTGTCACCATAAGTGTGTTCTTTTCAGATCATTCTTAAATCTATGAGAGACTTTTATTCATCAACTTGTAGAGCTTTGAATAGCACATTAGATGCTGGTTCTTTGAGGAAGACTGTCAAAGTGTGAATTCCACTGGATTTCTTATTAGTCCCTGTGAATGAAGTAGCACCCAGGGATGACTTGAATAGTTCCATCTTCCTGTGGTTTATTATAAATTAGGCTCTGTCAGTTAAGGGCTGAGGACTTCTCCTCCCACTCATTAGTGACCTGCCTTGGGTAAGATTAGGGGATGAGTTTTACTCATTTCCAGATGCTAGAGGCCACTGCCTGTGACATGTCAGCTCTGGACACCTTGGGGAGAGAGATGGCATAGGTCTGTGAGCTTCTGTCTGCTGTGCTCAGTCATGGTAACAGTCGTGAGGGTGCCAGAGAAGAGTGGCCTAGACCGGGGCAGGCTCCATCTGCCAGGCAGTGCACCCCATTGGAGAAAATGAGTGCCTGAATGACGTTCTAATTACAGAGGAGGCTAAGCAGGGCTGCCTCACCCCACCGCCACACACTTTTACAAGCCCTTCTAATTATTTCTTTCTTTTCTCTCAATAGAAGAAATTTATCAAAATTTAGACAAGTGATCACGAACAGGCTTCATTTGGGTTAAGGAGTAGCCTGTTTTCATTTCCCTTCTGCTGTTCTTCCCACAACAGAATTGTGGGCGAGTTGCAGGAGTACAGAGCTGAGGCTGAAAAGCCTTGAAAAGGGGGGTTCAGACCAAGTGACTTGGTGCCAGTGTGCGTGTGGGGTCCTGCTTCCCTGTCCCTCATGCTGAGAGAGCATGCAGCTGACCCCCAGCTGAGGCCTAGTGCCTGGCGCATGGAGTCTGCCTTCTACTGGCTTTCCCTCTGGAAGCTTCAGCTGTTTGTGCCTTGACAGATTTCTTCAGTCGCCCATTTTTTCGAAAAGCTTAGCTGCTTTAAAACAAATACAACTCCAAATAAGTAATTCACTCTTCAGAATCATAGCAATTGATGAACACCCTGCTTAGCCAGTATTTGGATATAATGTTTTTCTCAAGTAGTATAAATGCCTCTCAGTTACATGAAATAATCTGCAACGTGTACTTCTGGAAACATACTGCCTATTGTATGATACTTTTCCAAGTTTACCTTATCCTTTTTTTCTTTTACCTTCTTTTTAACATCATCTACAAAAGTTCAGGAGCTGCCAGGTTCGGTGGCTCATGCCTGTAATCCCAGCGCTTTAGGAGGCTGAGGCAGGTGGATCATCTGAGGTCAGCAGTTCAAGACCAGCCTGACCAACATGGTGAAACCCCATGTCTACTAAAAATACAAAAAATTAGCCAGGCATGGTGGCGGGCGCCTGTAATCACAGCTACTCTGGAGGCTGAGGCAGAGAATCACTTGAACCCCAAAGGTGGAGGTTGCAGTGAGCCAAGATCATGCCATTGCACTCCAGCCTGAGCGACAAGAGCAAAACTCCATCTTAAAAAAAAAAAAAAAAAGTTCAGGAGCAAAATCTGTCCTTTGGACGATGTGTCCAAACGAACACCCTTTTTCTTCTGTAGACCCCATTGACCTGTACTTCTAGCTTGCTGTAGTGTGGAAATATGAGTTGGAGGTCAATATTTCAAGTCCTTTTTTCCCATACAAATAGCAGCCTGTGTCCTTTGCATTCTGGCCCCCTTCACCTGTTTTTGTGGGTTTGTTTGTTTTTTTTTTTTCTTTTCTTTTGAGACAGTCTTGCTCCATATCCCAGGCTGGAGTGTAAGTGTAGTGACACCATCTTGAGAGGTTCACAGCAACCTCTGCCTCCCCAGTTCAAGCTGTTCTCATGCCTCAGCCTTCCAAGTAGCTGGGATTACAGGCATGCACCACCACACCCGGCTAATTTTTGTATTTTCAGTAGAGATGGAGTTTTGCCATGTTGCCCAGGCTGATCTTGAACTCCTGAGATCAAACAATCCACCCACCTTGGCCAAATGTGCTGGGATTACAGACATGGTGTGGGCCACCATGTCTGGTCCCCTGTTTTTTTCTTCTTAGCAATTACAGCTGTCATTTCTCATGATCAGAATGTCTACTCTGTGCAGCCAGGGTTTTTGTTTCTTCCCTCACTGCAGTATCCAGGGTTCCTAAAACAGTGCCTGGGGCACAGTAGGAGTTTGAAAGTTTGCTGAATGATTTAATGAACAAGGGGTGCTACAAGCATTAGATTATCCGTTGGTCTCAGTGTATTTAGAGAGCAACTTTTGTAATAGCTAGGTACAAAAACCTTTCATTCCTCTGAACTAGTTCTGAGGCTGAGCTGGAGCTCTGGAGGTGGGAGGCTGGGTATGCTAGAACTAGGATTGAAAGGTGAGAAAATTCAAAACACGTGACTAGAATATAAAAGACATGATTTAAAACTGTATATATATATATATTTTTTTTAGCAAATGAGTCTTTCTTTAGGACTGCAAATATGCCCAGGAAATTAAAGATAAAAACCACTTGAAAATAAATCAGTTTGCTCATACTGATGACTGCTTACCTGCAGTCTGCCCAGCAACGTGAACAGTGTCACTGAACTGTCAATAGTTATACGCTGTTGCCTTCAGTGTTTAGTTCAACCATCAGTGATTTGGTAGTTGAAATAGACTTTTCACTGACACTGGTTTTCTTTGGCTGTGTACAGATATTCAGTATAAATTGTGTTTAAAATGGGTAGTAGGATATATGCCTGGTGTTATCAGTCTGTATTAAAATGCTAATATCAAAATATAAATATTGAAATGAGGGATTTCTTTGTTTGGAAAATGGAGGCTGGGTGCAGTGGCTCACGCCTGTAATCCCAGCACTTTGGGAAGCCACGGCCTGTGGATCATCTGAGGTCAGGAGTTCGAGACCAACCTAACCAACATGGAAACCCCATTCTCTACTGAAAATACAAAAAAAATTAGCCAGGGGTGGTGGTACACGTCTGTAATCCCAGGTACTCAGGAGGCCAAGGCAGGAGAATCCCTTGAACCCAGAAGGCAGAGGTTGCAGTGAGCCGAGATCATGCCACTGCACTCCAGCCTCGGTGACAGAGCAAAACTCTTAGAAAAGAAAATGGGTAGGCCAGGCGTGGTGGCTCACGCCTGTAATCCCAGCAATTTGGGGGGTCAGGGCGGGTGGATCACGAGGTCAGGAGATTGAGACCATCCTGACTAACACGGTGAAACCCTGTCTCTACTAAAAATACAAAAAATTAGCTGGGGGAGGGGGCGGGTGCGTGTAGTCCCAGCTACTCGGGAGGCTGAGGCAGGAGAATGGTGTGAACCCGGGAGGTGGAGCTTGCAGTGAGCCGAGATCGCGCCACTGCGCTCCAGCCTGGGCAACAGAGCGAGACTCCGTCTCAAAAAAAAAAAAAAGAAGGGTAGATTCAGACCTGGTGGTCAGAGGGCATGATTCCCACAGCGGGTGTGTAGAATGCCGACAGAGTCTTCTATCTGACCAGAAGGGACTTCATTCTGACAGAGCATCTTGATCTTGCAATCTACTGTACCCACAATGAGGAATGCTTTATGCTACCTTTGCTAAGTTTCTCATTTCTGAATTGACTCAAAATACTTACTTTTCAGAAGAAAATTTACTTCGGACTTCTCAAAGCTCAATATGTAAATCAACAATTTGTATAGATTTTTGTATTCCTGTGGCTTCTCAGATATTGTTAATGGTTCTACTCTGAATTTTAGTGAAAGTGCCAGTAATAGGACAGATTAGTTATCAAAAGTCAAATTTAAAACTGAATTTTTCAAAGACTTGGAAAGTTGGCTTATGAATAATCAATTTAGGAATTTTTTTAAAGTAAACTGGTTAAATTTTGTTTAAAACCTAAAAGTTTTATTGGCCAAGTGTTGATTTTTTTGTGGTTTCTAGCACATTGCTCTGAGGGCACCTCAATCACATGAGGCACCTCTGGCGTGTGGTTTTTATATAAATAAGTAATATTGAGGGTTTCTCACCCGTCTCTCATATTCAGTTCTTTATTTGCTTCATAGCACTGGTGATCTGACATTGCCTGAGAGTAAAACGTAAAACAGGAGGCACAAAAGTGCTAAGTGCAAAGGCAGAGATAACACTCCTTGGAATACTATTCCAGGGTAAAAATAGTACTAGCTATGCTGAGCAGAATCTTCACCTTAACTCGAGAACCTTAGCATGGGTGTCATTTCAGTGTGGTATGTGGAGCCAGAGTGTAAGGTCCATGCAGGCATCCTCCTGTCCCAGGAACATGCTGAATGCTGTGGGTCGCCCTGCACCTGGGGGAGCCCTGAGGTTCAGTCAGAAGATGGTGCATTTCCCAGTAGGAAAGGTCTGTGCTGCTTCATTATGGGGTCAGATGTTGTGAAGATTTGGAAAACAAACTGCTTTTGGGAAAATAATGAGCAGGAGGCATTAATCTTCATTTTATGCATATAACTTGTAACATCTTTACCAGTAAGTGAGAAACTTAACATTGGATATTGTGGTTTTTCTTTTCTAGCTTCCAAAGGAACTGTCTTCAGAGACTTTTGACAAGACCATCTTAAGAGCCCTGAATCAGGGTTCCTTGAAAAGGGAGGAACGGCGACATCCTGACCTAGAGCCCATCCTAAGGTAATGATTTACCTGACGCCTATCATAGCAGCATACACACAGGACAAAGGGCCGCTCCAAATGGGGTCTTCAGGTGGGGGAATCATAGAGATCCTTTCTCTGGCGTACTTCTTAAAATGGACATGTTATCCTTGTGCTATTTAGGTCTAGGCTCATAGTAAAAGATACCAAACTAGTTTCATCATTGTACTCTTCAGTTCTCTGATATCATAAAATTTAGTTGCTTCTGAAATATGCAGATATTGAATAAAGGCTCTTATATTCTTTATAAAATACTTATTGAAAGAGGCCTTTGTCCAAGAGCTCTACTTTGGAGAGATGTTTTATTTGTTTAAAGTTGTCAAGTGCCTGGGCTGGTGGGTGGGAGAGTGAAGGGCAGCCCTGCTTTCCAGCACCTGCTCTTCGTGGCTGTTACTCTCTTGGAGCCATGGTGCTGCCAGAGGTCAAGGTTTTGCCCTCGTAAGGTTGTTGGGCTTGTTGGGAAAGATGCGCTTAGATGAGATGATCTTGGATTAATTCCCGGAGCCTCCCATGTGCTCACAGAGGAAGAAATTGAAGACACAGGCAAGGCGCGTCATTGGCGGCACAAGGACCCTGTGGAGGCGGGATGAGTGTGGATGTAGGGAAATGTACTTGTTTCGTGATGGGAAGTTGAGGGAATTTTTGCCCAATTAATAGCTTATATTTTCCCTAAGAGTTTTTCTTAAGAATGGGTAGATTGAGGGTGTGGGATCACATGCTTGAGAGTAGAGGGGATGTAAAATCATTATGTGGAGAGCTGGAGAACAACCTGATGAAGGAAATCAAGTGAGCTGGGCAAGGTGTGGAGTCCATTTGAGATTGAAGATCAATAAATTATCGTGGTATTGGTCTGTCCTGTTGTGTGAATTATTTTTTAAATGTTTCCCGGCAGCTCAGGTCCAAGTGTCAGGAAAGCAGGTAGTTGTATTTGTCCTGGATGGGGCTTTCTTGGATGTGACAGAAAGACAATGAGGCAAGGGAATTTGGGGAAAAAATGTTCAGTTTTTAACAAATGATGGACAGTTAGGAGAACTAAGCTGGACTAGGAAGTGAAAATAGGTGAGTCTGATAGAGTAGAATGAACTGTGCTTGGAAGACAGGTGCCATGGGAGTAATCGGGTAATTAAGCAGCGAGAGTCTCATTAGGGTGAGAGCGGAGGCATCTGAGTGAGTGGATCTGGAGGTGACGGTGGAGGTCAGCGTTTGGTTTTGGCAGTCGTGGCACTCACCTCTCTGAGGGCTTCCCTGTAGGAGGGACATAAATTCAGGAATCATGGCCAAGGAAACATGCTGTTTTACTGGAAACTTGCAGTTATTAATAAATACATTACATAAAAGCAGTGCTGGAGCCTCTATGGCTTAGGGTCAGGGCTTAAGTAAGACAGCCTATCATCTGCCTTCTAAACTTGAGGTGGCCCAGTTTGGAAAGCCGATTTCCTGAGGTAGAGCAGAGGTGTGTGTCATTGACTGTTACGGCCCCCCTCCTGAGTAGGGAATTGGGACCAGTGAGTATTCTCAGGATGGGTGGGGCTGAAAAGAAGGGGATGAGTGTTTGCTCCCCAGTGGAGACAAGCAGAAATCTGGGAGGGGGAGAGTATTTTCATGTATGACAAGATCCGGGGTGTGACAGTTTGTGCACGGTTACCCAGCTGCCTTTCCCTAAAGACACGGCCTCAGGGCAGGAGCCCCCCAAGCTGTGGATGAGCTGCTCAGAGTTCTGAGCTGGGGAGGAAAGGGGCTTCTGGGCGGGCACCAGCTTGGTCTGGAAGGATCAGAAGATGAAGACTTGCTCCTCTCCCACCACCCCACAGATGCCAGTTGCCATGACAACAGGTGTCTTTGATATGAAAAGGACATTTTGGGGTCAATTGGCAAAACTTAAATGGGATCTGAGGAATAGAAGGTAAAAATTGGTCAGTGTTAATCTCCTGATATTGATTGTAGGAGAACATAGGAAATACTCACTGATGTCTTCCCAGGAGTTAGCCATTACACTAGGTATTTATGGTTTAGGAAAAAAGTATTTGTACTGTATTTGTAAGTTTGAGATTTTCAGAAGGAAAAAATTAACTATTTCTGGAAGGAGCCATTTTCAAAAAATGGCTCTCAGCTAGGACCCCAATTAAAAAGTAAGTGGCTGGGCATGGTGGGTCATGCCTGTAGTCACAGCCCTTTGCGAGGCCAAGACAGGAGGATCATTTGAGGCCAACAGCCTGGGCAACATAGTGAAACCCCATCTCTACAAAAAAAATTTTTTAATTAGCTGGGTGTGGTGGTGCACACCTGTAGTCCCAGCTACTCCAGAGGCTGAGGTGGGAAGATCGCTTCAGCCCAGGAGCTTGAGGCCGCAGTGAGCTATGATTGCACCTCTGAACTCCAGCCTGGGCAACAGAGTAAGACCCTGTCTCTTAAAAAAAAAAAAAAAAGTATGTGGGTGACTCCTTGTTAAAGCTTTTAGGATTCTCCTCAGCTTTGATCATACTTGGCCTCTTGTGCATGTCTGTGTCTGTGTGTATTTTAGGTGTTTTTACTGTAAAGATGTTATTAAAGCTAATTTTGAAGAATGCAGAGGTGTGTACTGAGAAAATTCCCCGGTTTCCCATTCTCCAAATCTGACAGCTAAAGTAGCCTAACTTTTCCAAAATTTTCTGTGCACATACATGCCCTTAGATTTATGTGTGTGTGTGTGTGTGTGTGTGTGTGTGTGTGTGTGTGTGTGTGTATTTCCTTTACTATCCAAATGGAAGTATTTTATACATATTAATACTTTTCTGCCACTTTTTTCTTTAAATATATTGGGACATGGTAACACATCAGTACATGTAAAAAGATGGCTACTTTATTTGCTACATAATATACCTTTTTAGCTGAACCATAATTAATCAACATATTTTACGTCCATTTTAGTTGTTTCTAAATGTTTTTAAACTACTACAATGTCCAGGTATATGATTATTTAATTTTTTACTTTTTATTTTTATTAATTTTTTTTTTGAGACAGGACCTCGCTCTGTTGCCCAGGCTTATCTCAAACTCCTAGGCTCAAGCAATCCTCTCCAGGTATATATTCTTAACACATATGGATACATTTATCTGTAAGATCAATTTATGGAAATAATGTAATTGGTCAAAAGTTACATGTATTTTTAATATGTAATATTTTCAAACTATTTCTAAAAAGGTAGCAGCACTTTATGTCTTCTGAGGCCTCATACTTGTATCTCCCACCTGAGCAGACTCAAAACATTCTCAATTGCTCTTCTTTGCCCATCTCGGAAAGACAGTCCGATTTCAGTTTGTGTTTGAGTAGGCTTTGCCGCCTCCCTGTGAATGGCCTTTTCAGTCCTTTCCACACTTTATTGGTGTCACTGATTGGAAGAGTTACTTGTTAGATAAAGAGCCCTGCTTGCGATTACTTCATGACCATAGAGGTGTTTTAAATTTTTATATACTCAGATTTATTGATCTTTTCTCTTCTGGTTTCAGGGTTTTGTGTCATGCCTAGAAAGACCTTTTCAAAGATATGTTTGAAAATGTATCTGAAATATGTTTCAAAAAATATGTTTTCTTCTGATACTTCCTTTTTAAAAAAATCTTGGATTCATTTGTAATTTATTTTGATGTAGGGAGTATGGCGGGAATTCGTATATTTTCCCAAATGGCTGGCCTGTGGCCTCAACACCATTAATAGGATGTCAGGACACTTCCTTCTCAGTTTGTGGGTTTTAAATTAGTAGGTCATCATTTGTGTCTCAGAAGTGTAGCAGTTATAAAGGAGGCGGAAGAAAGGAAACTGAGAAATAGGAAGTACTTATTAGTGATACAGATCTTGGTTGGTACAGGACACACTGCATTTAGTCTCAAATATGCTGTAGGTTAGGAAAATGAAAATACGGCCTGAAATGTGCATTTGGGGTTGGATGATTTCTGTCATGTCAGAATGTGACCTTGTTTTTCTCACTCATTTGATTTATCAAATAGTTTATGGCCACTTTGATTTTTTAATATCGGTATAATTGCCATCTGTGGTTATTCATTAATGAGCCTTGACTTTAGTTTGCATGCTGATTTCAGTCCCCGCCTTTATCTCATTTGTGGTTTAAATGTAATACTCAGTGTTCCTGTAGTGGATGTATACATAGTATTTGGAGTTATATCTGGGCTGTTGCCTGGGACTCAGGCCTTGAATTGAAGGTGTGCCTGTGCTTTTGACCAGTTGGTTTCTAACATGACTGGGTGTGGGTTCCACCACTGCCTTTGGATTTTAATGTCAGCCTTAGGTAATATGTTCAGACCTGGAAATCTAGATTTGCTCCTGAATTCAGATCTCAGTTCTTTCATCTCTTAATTTCACCCATGTCTTCCTGTTGAATGTTTACTTTCACATTAGAAGACCAAGAAGCAATTTTGCATGATATACAAGGCAACTTTGGCCCATAAAGGTCATCTGTTGGTATATTAATGATTTTATAATTAATCTGAATAATAGGTCAAAAACCTTGGGGGAGAAATTAATTGAAATTTAAAATGCGCATTAAAAGTGTTCAAAACTAATAGAATGGGATTTGTATGTTGAGCACCTAAGTAGTAGGTAGGGTGACTGTTTATCTGTGTGCACTATTTGATTCTTGTAACCATGAGAAATTGGAAGTTGAAAGGCTAACTGGCTTGTTTAGGGTGCTTCATCTTATAAGCGACTGAACTGGTATTCAAATCCAAAGTAAACTTCCTGGTAGATTCTGCTCTAATTCTTTGCCCAAGAGCCCTTTTACAGGTACCACTGTCGGGAAGACCTCCAGCTGGAGTCTTTTAATTACATTAATAAAATATGAGGAAAGCTGGGTTTCAAAGATAACTTTGACTCATGGCATGATACACATTCAACATGAGTCATCAGTTAGTCATGCCTTAGGTTGTAGAATATATGTATGATATATGATAACTACATAATTGACTGTTCCATATTTTTCAGGACTCTTAGCATCCCAAACTTCCCAACCTCCCACTTTGAGAGTGTGGGAATGCCCGTTAATACTACAGCCAAAGGCCAGGCTCAGTGGCTCACGCCTGTAATCCCAGCACTTTGAGAGGCCGAGGTGGGCAGATCACCAGAGGTCAGGAGTTCGAGACTAGCCTGACCGACATGGTGAAACCCCGTCTCTACTAAAAATACAAAATTAGCCAGGCGTGGTGGCACATGCCTGTAATCCCAGCTACTCGGGATGCTGAGACAGGAGAATAGCTTGAACCTGGGAGGCGGAGGTTGCAGTGAGCTGAGATCGCGCCATTGCACTCCATCCTGGGCAATAAGAGCAAAATTCAGTCTCAAAAAAAAAAAAAGTACAGCCAAATAAGGAGAAGAACACCTGTGGAGAAGAGTAAAGAAATTGCAGTTGTTTTTCTGAACAGAAGGGTGGCTATTGGACCACTTGGGCAAAGGCTGAAATAATACATTTTTGGGCCAGTATTGAAAACTTACCATTAGATTATACAAAATTAAAAATGAACCTATTTAGTCGATTCTTGCAAATGAATTTTGTTAAATGTTACTGACTTCTTCCCATAGGAAATACATTAGAAAATAATATTCTTTTCTATAGGAAAAATATTTTTCCATACCTGAATTAAACTGCCACTTCATTCTGCTTTATAATTGAAACTGAGCTTCTTGTGGATTAACATTACCTGAAATTAACAAATCTCTTTTCTTTTTATGTGCAGGCAGCTATTTTCAAGTTCATCACAAGCTTTTCTACAAAGTCAGAAAGTACACAGCTTCTTTCAGTCCATATCATCAGACTCCCTACACAGTATCAGTAAGCATCCTCTGTCCCTCTGTGGAAATCTTTTTTCTTTGTTGGATTTTATTGCTTTACTGTGTCATTTTGTGTAGGTTTGTCACTTTAGTTAAAGTTAAGGAATAGTGACATACATTTTTAATGTCATTTTTAATGAGTTTTTACACTGCAGTTTTAAAGAAGGTCATGAATAAAAGCTAATATAACAGAGCAGACTGATTCCAAGGTAAGGCCTGAGTCTCTCTAGTCTTTGGGGCATGGCCAGTCCTTCATTTCCTGGGCAGGAACTGTTCCCTCACAGGCTGGAGACCTTACAGTGCCACGTGCTGGTGTATGATCTAGTCTGTCTTCCTCCTGTCACCTGTTCCCAATTGACCTTTCCAGCCGATCAGACAGAAAATGTTAGCCCTGTTCTTCTCACTCTGCCTCTTTGTTTTCATCACGGAAAGGACAACCCATACTAGACAAAGGATGTCTTCCTTTATGTCCCTTCGTCACCATCCCTTTGTTTACAGTTAGGCCTTTCTTTCATGCACGGACTATTAAAGGTAAACCCTCACTCTTTTCTCAGATTCTAGTTTCCCACTCTGATCTATCCCTGGATTATCACAAGGATAAATGTGTTAAATTCCTGCTTGGTCTGAAATTCAGGCCTCACTGTGACCTTCCGGGAGCTTCCTTCTGCTCCCTGTGCTCTGTCTCCTAGCATGCCCAGCTGTTGCCTGCCCTGTGTCTTTGCTCATTTGTACCCTTACTTAAACATACATCCTTTTGTCATAGCCCATTAAAATCACACCTGTTTTAAGGCCCAGCTGAAACATCACCTCTTCCACGAAGCTTTGCCAGTTTTTCTTATGTTCCGTATGTTGAGTTTTGCCCTCTTATTTCACCTTTCACCACTGTCTGCCTTGTGTTTAATTTTCTACACATCTACCTCAGCCTGCCTTTTACAAATATTTTGTCAGTAACATTGGCGTGTCCTTTAGCAGAATTTCTGCTGAACTTCAGGCATAGCTATGGCAAGGAACATTTTTCTTTTTTAAAACTGTCCCTCTGCTCTCAAGAGAGTCATTTTTTCCTGTATTTAAAGGGGAAAGAAAAACACATATTTCCTCAATTTGAGGTGTGAGAAAAAGAGGTGCAAGAATAGTATGATTGTTACACGGGCTAACCTTTAAAGTTTCTCTAATTAAGTGTGTTAATGCTAACGTAATTATCAATCCGAATTAAAAATATGACTCTTTGTGATTAGTTGACCAAGACAAAATGTACAACTTCATGATTAAATTTATGTCTGAATGATAACAACAGCATTTATTAAAGAGAATCCTGATCATTCTGTAGCTATGTAGATTTAACCATCAGTGCTTTCCCCCTGCGCCAAATGTGTTTTTTATTGAACATGTATCAATAGCATCAGTTTAGTTTCAAAAAGGCATTGAATTGAGCACAAAGTTAAACTTTTAGTTCAGATGAACAGGCTGCTCAGGAAAACTCACCCAAGTGAGGAGTTCATATATAAGTAATAAACTCATCTTGAGGGTGTGGCAGTATTTAAATTACATGAGCAGTGCTAAAGAGGTTGGTGGATTTTGTTTTTAGGTTGTAAAATTAAAACACTGTATGAAAGTACAGAACTTGAGATTGTGGGAAATCTTGTCAGCCTAACGTTCTTACATATCTGAGTTGTTTCACTAGTGAATATACTGTTGTCAGGGTTCATTTGCATACACTGTTGGGTTTTTTTTTTTTAATTGATAGCTTTATCTTTTTATTCTCTGGTACAGAGAGCATCACTCCATATCCTGAAAACTAGCGCTGAAAAAAAATAATGCTAAAGTCCTGAATGAGTTAAGATGTTGAACTGTGGAGTCCTGCTGGCCTGTATTTTAATGGGGAAGTAATCCAAAATGTGTTGCATGGGCCAGTGCTGGTCCATAAATTGCTTGTTACTGTTCTGTAACACGAGAACAGAAATTGAGAGCAGACACTGAGAGATTAACAATTTGACAGTGCCACGTTATTTTATTGTATTTTACAAAAGTAACGATCCACAGCAAACTGAAGATTTAAAAAAATGAAAACTGAATCTTTACCACACCACAGATGTTTAAGAAGCACCTTTCTACTTTATTTCCTCATTTTGCACATGAGCACACTGGGGCTGACAGATATGAAATGACTTGTCCAGGTCAGTCGCTCTTCAGGGAACAGCTGGCCTCTTGAACACGGTTCCCACTCACAGTCTAGTGCTTTGGGCTGTGTCATCTTGCCTTCTCACTAGTAGCCATGTTTTCTTCACCACTCACCCTCCATTCATTTTCCTTAGGTAAAAAAACAATTATTATATTTGTTTTCTTTATTTTAATTTTCCTAAAAAGTTAATAGTATTGAATGCTTCCTGCAGATAACTTACAATCCTCTCTGAAGACTTCTAAGATATTAGAACACTTAAAAGAAGACAGCTCTGAAGCTTCAAGTCAAGAAGAAGGTAAAGGTAGATTCACTAGAGTAAATCATTCTGCCTGCTGATAGCACATGGATAGAACATTTAAGGAGTGAAGAAACTGACATATAGGAATTGGAATGTGACAGAGGTTGCATTACAAATAAGTGGAGAAGGAATAGACCATTCAATAAATGGTGTGTGGAGAAAGAATAAATTGTTCAATAAATGGTGTGTGGACAAAGAATAGACCGTTCAATAAATGGTGTTGGCACAATTGATTTTCCATATGAAAAAATAGGTATAATTAGATTCCCAGTTACATCATGCAGAAGACATTCAAGTGAATAACAACTTATATGTAAAATGTAAAACTTAAACTTTTCAATGTTAATTTGGGAGGAGAAGCCTTTCTTGAATAAAGTAGAGCATGACCACGGTAGAGATCTTAATAAATTAGAGCTTCTCTGTGACAAAAGGAACCATATAGCCAGGAGACCATCCATAGATTGAGAGATGGTGTTTGCAAGATATTTACAGATAAGACTATATCCAGACTATGGAAGGATCTTCCTAAAAAGTCAATGAGACAATCATCCCAACAGAAATATAGGTGAAAGACATAAATAGGTGATTCTGAGATGAGGAAACCTGAACAGCTATTACATAATGTGCAGCCTCACTGGTAGTCAGGAAAATGCAAATGGAAACAGGTGTCATCTCACACTCAGCAGATTGACAAAACATTTTGGAGTCTGACATCAAGGATATGAAGCAGTGGGAACTCTCAGGCACTGCTGATGGGGATATAAATTGACAGAACTATTTTGGACGAAATTTGGTGCTGTGTAGTGAAGTTGGAGATAATTATATGCTGCTGTCCAGCAATCCTGCATCTATGAGAATTGTTACACACCTGCAAAAGGGGACATGGGCCCGGGTCCTTGAGGCAGCATTGTTTGCAAGGGCAAATACCAGGAAATTGCCTGAACATTTCAAATGTTAGTAATGTTATAAATAAATAATGTCTTTGTACTAGGTAGCAATTAAAATAAAGGATATTTATAGTACAATTGGCTCTCCATCTCTGCATTGGTGGGTTTAACCAACTGTGAGCTGAAAGTATTTGGGGGAAAAAATTCTTTTTCTTGTCATTCTCTAAACAATACAGCATAACAACTATTTGCATAGCATTTACATTGTACTAGGTATTATAAGTAATCTAGAGATGATTTAAAATATACAGGAGGATGTGCATAGATTACATGCAAATACTGAAGGACAGTTGTATATTGAAACATGTAACAGCTAATGTGTTTATGAGCACACATATATGGATAGTTAAAACTTGCACTAGAATGTTTCAACAAGTAAGCTACTAGTTAGCCTCTAGAGGGATGAGGGGGAGTGGAATGGAGGGAAGACCTTCAGTCATTCCTGTGATATTCTGTTTCTTAAAAGAGGCAAATATGGAGCAGTCTGGAGGGTGGTGTACATGGATGTTTGTTATATTAATAGATACAGGTTTGAATGTTTGAAACTCTTCATTTTTTAATGGTTAAAAAGTTCTATCTGAAATTGGATGTTTTAGTTTTGTAGGGACATGCTCATATAGACTTTCATAGTTTTGAACAAGATTGATTTGCTGTTAGGTGGAAGACATTTGAGAGAACATAAAAGGTAATTCAGAGTTTACTGTGTTTTTGAAAAATTGCTTAAGATGTCTTCTATGTTGAGAAATGCTTAGAAGTGCTTCATACCATCTGTCACCAGTGGTTATGATCATACAAACTAGTAGCATCCTACTGTTGGTTTTTGCTGCAGCATTTAGTGTAATAAGTTACTTTTTCCTCTCTTCTAGATGTGTTGCAGCATGCCATAATCCACAAGAAGCATACTGGGAAAAGTCCCATTGTGAAGTAAGTATCCTCTTTCTAAAACAAAAAGTGCTTTGGTATGTTTTAAAATCAATGTAACATTTAATTAAATTTCTGATGTATTTGGCTATAATTCTGTCATTTTGCTATTTGCTTTTTATTTCTTCACTTTTTCTGTTTCCTTTTCTCACTTTTTTTGCCTCCTTTTGGGTTGTTTTTCTTCTGTGGTTTTTTTTTGTTTTGTTTTGTTTTGTTTTCCCCTATCATCTTTGATAGTTTTACAATGAAAGTTCTTCTAGTGGCTACCCTAGAGATAATATTACATATCTTTGACTTATTAAAGTTGGATATTTGTGCTTGTACTGGTCCCAAACAATTTGAGGACCTTAGATTACTGCAACATCATTTATTTCCCCCTAACTTGTAAGCCGTGGCTGTCATGCATTTTAATTCTCTGTATAATTTTAAATTCCATGAAACCTCTTTGTAGTGTTTGTGTACTCATTCCTTCCTGTGTCTCTGAGCATCCACCTATGATCATTTTCCTTCCAACTGAAGAACACTTGAGTATTTCCTATAGTCACATCGGCCAGTGATGAATGCACTCAAATTTTTATCTGGAAAAAATGTTTATTTTGCCTTCATTTTTACAAGATACTCTTGCCACATGTGGACTTCTAATTGGGCAGTTACTTTCCGTGAGCTTTTGAGAGCATAGTTTCCTTATCATCTGGTTCTCCCTTTATTTCCTTGCATCTTATTCTCTCCACTCACCTCCAGTTTCTCCTGCAGATCCCATAAAACCGTCTGTGATTTCTTACTCATACCACATTAGCGCTGTGCTCCTCAAGTATGAGCCGTGACTTTCCATGTTCCGCCTTAGGGCCTTTGCTGCTCACACAGGAGTCTGCCTCCATCCTTTTTGGGTCTGTCATTCTGGGAGGGCCCAGAAGCTCGGAGCTCCTGATGCTTCCAGCCTCCACTGTGGACTCTTCATTGCAGTCCTTCGCCATTTCATCCTCTCCACTCCCTTGCTCCTGCTTTTTGGGATCACTTCCCAAATAAACTCTGTTATGCTGGACTCTGATTTTGAGAGGAACTCACACTTAAGTCATCTGGCATCCAGAGTTTCAATCGGTCTTACTGCTGCTCTTTTGAAGATAATACGCATTTCCCTCTGATTACTTTTAAGGTTTTGTTGTTGTCTGGTTTTCAGCAGTTTTCCTAGCTTCCTTTGCATGAATTCTTGAATCTGTAGCTTGATGTCTTCTGATTTTAGAAAACTAGCTTTTTACTTCTTCAAATATTTCTTCTCCGCTTTTCTCTTGCTCCGTCTTCCAAGACTCCAAATCCTTGTATGTTAGATTTTTCACCATGTCCCGTGGTTTTTTTTGTTTTTGTTTTTGTTTTTTGAGATGGAGTCTCGCTCTGTCACCCAGGCTGGAGTGCAGTGGCGCAGTCTCAGCTCGCTGCAACCTCTGCCTCCTGGGTTCAAGCGATTCTCCTGCCTCAGCCTCCCAAGTAGCTGGAACTACAGGCACCCGCCACCATGCCTGGCTAATTTTTTTTTTGTATTTTTAGTAGAGACGGAGTTTCACTATGTTGGCCAGGATGGTCTCGAACTGCTGACCTCAGGTGATCCACCCACCTCAGCCTCCCAAAGTGCTGGGATTATAGGTGTGAGCCACCGTGCCCAGCCGTCCCATGTCTTTTAAGCCTTTTTTGTTTTTCACATTTTTTTCAGTCTCAGTGCTTTAATCTGTTTTCTTCCGACCAATTTTTTCTTCATTGATTTTCTTCATCTGTTTCCCCTTCACTAATTTTCTCCATCTATTTCCCATTTGTTGAGTTTGTAATATTAGTTTATTTTATAAGTTCTATAATTTACTTTTTTTTTCTTTTCCAAATTTCTCTTCCAAAATCCTCAGTATTGTATTTGTCAACCATGTTAAGCACTGTTACCTGAAAGTCTGTGTCCAATAAGTTTATCATCTGAATTCTGCTGGGGCCTATTTCTCTTGTCTGTTTCTTTTGGTTTTTGATCTCATTATCCTGTTCCTTCATGTGCCCAGTTACTTAAGTGCTCATGACAGCAGTGCTCTCAAGATGCAGGTTGTATAAGCCTCTCTGTCCCAGCTGTAAGCAGTGTATGATGATCACCATCGCATAGTGTCTAAAAGCAGAGTGTGCAGCTGTTACTACTCTTTTTAGAGACAAGTATTAATGATAAATAGATGTGTAGTGGTTTATTTCTCATAGTATACTTTTTTTTCTTAGACCTATCATTAGGCATTCCTTGAAGAAACTAATATATTGAAGAAAGGGTTACTGTAACTTCTTTGTTGAAATGAAATAGGTTATTATTGAGGGCAGATTTTCACACTTTCATAAACTTTTCTTTGGTAGCAATATTGGTACAAGTTGTTCTCCATTGGATGGGCTTACCATGCAATATTCTGAACAGAATGGAATTGTGGATTGGAGGAAGCAAAGCTGTACCACCATTCAACACCCAGAGCACTGTGTGACCTCGGCTGACCAGGTGTGTGGGGAGTTTGTTTTGGAGCTATATAGTTAAAGCATTGCTCCTCTATAAGAAAAAAATTAAGTTCTGTAAGCTTTCAGTCAGACAGTATATCTGGTAAGAAATGAAGGAATGTTTAAGTTTTAGACTTTATACTTATATATGATCTAAGCTCTTCTGAGACCTGAAAATGTGTATTTAGATTACTTTTATTGCTTGTGTAAGATTAGTACACTTTAATATGACACCTTCCCAGGCGCCATGGGTCACGCTTCTAATCCCAGCACTTTGGGAAGCTAAGGCAGGAGGATTGCTTGAGGCCACCCATTTGACCAGCCTCGGCAACATACTGAAACCCTGTCTGTATAAAAAATTTAAAAATTAGCTGAGTGTGGTGGTACACACCTGTAGTCTCAGCTACTCGGGAGGCTGAGGCAGGAGGATCACCTGAGCCCAGGAGTTCAAGGCTGCTGTGAGCCATGATCACACCACTGTACTTCTGCCTGGGCAACAGAGTGAAACCCTGTCTCTAAAAAATAAATTTAAAACAAAATAAAAATTTTAAAAATAATACCTTCACTGTTTAACAAAGGTGTACATCAGATTGTTATGCCAAAATTTTTTGGTCTTGAAAGAATTAGAATTCAGATTTCAATCACTGCCTTGCTATTTGTGATAGAAATTTTCCAACTGACCTTTCTTCATGAATATTTGGGTCAGTTTATTGACACTTCAGAATGCATTAGGGGATGTTTGCTTTCTTAAGATTTGGGTGTGATCAGAGAGCAGAATGCTGTTAAGTATGTTTCATGTCGTATGGCCTCGCAGATATGGGGGGAGGTCCCTGTGTATATGTTACAAGTATGGAATGAAACTTCTCTCTAGAAAATTGATTCATTAACCCGATGTTGTCCCTGGCCAACGCTCAGATCCAAATGTTAACTCTTCTTGGAATGTGTTTTTATGCATTAAAGCATATTCTGAGAAATTATAAATAGTTTTAGTCATAATTAGTGACCTATTTTCAAAGCCCGTCTGAGTTTACTTTCCCTCCCCTACTCCAGTGCCTGCACCCTCTCTTCTTAGAGTTGACGTAGTTAAGTGTTGACAGTTATATGGAATTGTACTTGAAGAGAATAGTAGTAAACCTACAGCAAGTGCCAGTCACTTGATTGTGTTTCATTTTATAGTCAGAAAAAAGAATGTAGGTCCATTTTCAAAGAAAAATAGAAAATAATACTGTATTAATCATGAGGAAAATATGTAAGTGTCACAGAATATGTAAATTTTAGTGGTTCAGGTGGGAAACTTCAAAAATAGGTTGGAAATCAACACTTGTTAGAATATACAACTGGGAATCTATCATTTTAATGTTTATTATGAGAGTAAAAACGTCAAAATGGTTTAGCTTTTGTCTGATTTGTCTTTTTATTCTTTCTACTAGCATTCTGCTGAAAAACGGAGTTTATCTTCAATAAATAAGAAGAAAGGAAAGCCACAAACAGAAAAGTAGGTTCAATTTAAGGAAAGACAGCATATAGCCTTTGATAATAGGCCTGTTTAGTTTATGATAGTATACAACATAGTATTTTTTTAGTTAGTTTTCTTTATATTTTTAATTCTGGGTTTTACTCTTTTGGTTCAAAATATTAATATATGCAGGTGATAAAAATAAAGCTACTGTCAAATATTGCATTCAGTTTGGAGGGGTAAAACTCTCAGAACTTTCCACGGAAGGGCGAATCTTAATTGTATTTAGATTATTCCTTACTAAAAAAATTTGAAGAGTCTTGAAGGAAATTTTATCAATACTGTACTGAATGTGTTTGGTAGATAACCTTATTAAAATGTTGGCAATATGTTCATTTGGTTTAGGGAGAAAATTAAGAAAACTGACAACAGATTGAATAGTAGAATAAATGGTATTAGACTCTCCACTCCTCAGCATGCCCATGGTGGTACTGTGAAAGGTAAGAAGGTTATTTTTCTTTCAAATACCCATCACATAAATATATTCAGCATGATACTTACTGTATTAATAGATACTGAGCTGTTGTGTCAAATCCTAATACTATAAGTTTACCTTGTGTTGATATGTACAGCAATTTCCAAATTAAACAGTTCTGAAATCAATGGAGTTAATTTAGGGAATACAAACCAGCCATGGGGGTGGAGATTGCCTTTGCCTCAGTGATTCTCACCTGCCTCTCCCTTCTGGCAGCAGGAGTCTCCCAGGTTGTTCTTCTCCAGCCAGTTCCAACTCAGGAGACAGGTCCCAAGGCCATGGGAGATCTCTCCTGTGGCTTTGCCGGCCGCTCATGAGAGTGTTTTTGTGTAAAGTATTTTTTAGAATACTGTTGACTTCTTCATGATTTAATAACCATCCTTTGCGAAGTTTTATGAGGCTTTAGGGGAATGTCAACCCTCAAATTTTTGTTATACTAGATGGCTTCCATTTACCCACCACTATTTTAAGGTCCCTTTATTTTTAGGTTCAAGGTTCATTTGACTTGAGAAAGTGCCCTTCTGCAGCTTCATTGATTTTGTTTATCTTCACTATTAATTGTAACGATTAAAAAAGAATAAGAGCACGCAGACCTCTAGGAGAATATTTTATCCCTGGGTGCCCCTGACACATTTATGTAGTGATCCCACAAATGTGATTGTTAATTTAAATGTTATTCTAATATTAGTACATTCAGTTGTGATGTAATATGAATAACCAGAATCTATTTCTTAAAAGTTTTGAGTATATTTTTCAACTAGATATTTGTATAGAAAGACTGAATAGTGATGAAGAAAAAAAATAGTTACCTTTTGAATCTGAAATAATCTG
The DNA here is from genome assembly GCF_000001405.40 of Homo sapiens. Classification (NCBI taxonomy): domain Eukaryota; kingdom Metazoa; phylum Chordata; class Mammalia; order Primates; family Hominidae; genus Homo; species Homo sapiens. The sequence continues at coordinate 62,565,963 of NC_000018.10, forward strand.
GGCCAGACACGGTGACTCACACCTGTAATCCCAGCACTTTGAGAGGCCAAGGTGAGTGGATCACCTGAGGTCAGGAGCTCGAGACCAGCCTGACCAACATGATGAAAACCTGTCTCTACTAAAAATACGAAAATTAGCCAGGCGTGGTGGCACATGCCTGTAATCTCAGCTACTCGGGAGGCTAAGGCAGGAGAGTCGCTTGAACCCGGGAGGCAGAGGTTGCAATGAGCCACGACTGCGCCATTGCACTCCAGCCTGGGCAACAAGAGTGAAACTCCATCTCAAATAAATAAATAAATAATAAATTAAAAAACTAAAATCATCTGGCCAACTCATTGAAGCATTGGAAGTGGGAGTAAAATAACATGGACAAAACCCATCTTGTCTGTAGAAGGATCTTGTAACACTTACTATCTCTGAGGTTCCCTCTGGTGGCGATGGCAGCTTAACGGAGGAGGAACAAGCTAAATGAGGAAGACAGAAGTCTGTCGGTGGACATTTGGAGATTGATGCTGCTGGCCCTCCCTGTCTCTGTTCCTTCTCTTTCTAGTTCATTTTCCATACTGCTGCCGTGTTTGTTTTCTAAAATACCATTTTCTGAATGAAATTCCTGCCCTCCACAAGCTCACTCTGTCTCTTGTCTCACAGTGTTTGGGAACTACTGCTCACTAAAGAAGTTTGCAACTGTTTTTTCGATGTTAGCCCATTTCCAGAGGAGAAGCACGTGGACGTTGGTCAGAGACAGTTAGGGTTTGAGTGTTGTGCTCCCCCAGTTTATTAAGCATGTGACCTCTCTGATGCCTTTGTTTGCTCATTTGTAAAACAGGAGTAATGCCTGCTTCAGCAGATTGTAAGAATTACATGTAAAAACATGAAGAGCATTTTCCTAGTTCCAAGTACCTAGGTGTTCACTGCAGCAATTTAGTTCCTTTTCCTTGTTCTAATAAATTAGAGGGAAACATACATTGTATAGGTTATTAAGAACTTTGTAACAGCATCACAAACTCCCATTCATTTTTTTCCTTAATTTTCAAGTGTTATGAAAATAACAACCTCAGCGTATTTTTCAATTTTATCTATTTTCTCCTCTATATCCGTCACCGATTTGTATGTATTTACATTTATAAAATGACTGAATGAAATATTTTTTGTACAGCTTGTCTTATTGATATCAAGTGCAGCGCAGATGTATGCCAATTCCAACTTTTAAAAAACCCCTCTGTGTATTAATTTTTCTTTGAAATATTAAGGCACCAAGGAAGAATTGTCTTTAAGCATTCAGTAAACTCAGTACGTGCCTAAGGATTTTTTTATGGAACAACAGCTCATATCATAAATTGGAGAGACATTGTCTTGAAGCTGAAAATACTGAGTCTTTCTGATTAGCAGGTTGTTTGGATCTTTAAATAATACATTTTAGCTTAAGATTTGTATTGTTTTACTTCTTAAAAATTTATTATTAAATTTAAGTTTTAACTTCTGTTTTGAGTGATAATCCATTTATGTAGCTCAGAATTTCAAAAGAAAACAAAGATCGCTCCCAGCCCTCCTCTGTGCTGGCTCCTGCCAGGACGCAGTCAGCGCCGTCAGCTGTCTGTGTTGTTGGAGTGTCTTTTCTGTTAAAACCCAAGCTTTCTGAAAGTCTGTCTTCTGAAGAGGTGCATATTACCTCATATAGAGCGTTAAGAATGCTCACCATGGCCAGGCGCGGTGGCTCACGCCTGTAATCCCAGCACTTTGGGAGGCTGGGGCCCGGTGGATCACTTGAGGTCAGGAATTTGAGACCAGCCTGGCCATCATGGTGAAACCCTGTTTCTACTAAAAATATAAAAATTAGCCAGATGTGGTGGTGCACACCTGTAATCCCAGCTACTCGGGAGACTGAGGCAGGAGCATCACTTGAACCCGGGAGGTGGAGGTTACAGTGAGCCGAGATTGCACCACTGTACTCCAGCCGGGGCGACAGAATGAGACTCTGTCTCAAAAAAAAAAAAAAAGAATGCTCATCATTGTAGTTTATTGCCCAGTGTTTCTTCCACCCCACTCTTCTGTTGCCAATTGTGGCACCAAAAAATTTAGAGGGAAATGAGATGCTTGATCTCTCAGTTTCTTGTAAAAGATTTAGAAGGTCTCTAGCTTCGTTTAATATCCCAGATGAAATATGTGGTTCTGTTGCCTATGATTTATTTAAATGAGTCTTAACTCTAACAGACTTCTATTGTTTATAATTACCAATTTCCAGTATTTTTAGTGTTAGAATAGTGGTTTATGTTTTACTTTTTGTTTTTATTATGTGCAAGACCCTTTATCATTTGAGACATGACAAATTCAGTTTGTGTGTCTTTTTAAAAGGGCAATTTGTGGAGTATCCTTTGGCATAATTGGTCTGTCTTCACTTTCCACATCCCCTGAATCTCTAGAGGATCACATAATTTCTGATTATAAAAGTTCTTAAGGTACCACACAATTCTGAAGTACCTTCTGAATTATCAAAAAAAAGTTACGTTAGTATAGATTTAGATTTATGTATTCAGTTCTTTGGAAGCTGCGGTTTTGTATATGGCAATTCGTGATTAGAATATTCACCAGCTTGCACAGTGTAAAGAAAATAGTTTTGTAAATTATGCCATTTGGAGAGGTAGCTGCTTTTTTTAAAACATATTCTGAAATTTGCTCTTTGAACTATAGTCTACTGTAGTTTCACTGTCTGCATCATTTTGATGAACGCTACCCCTGAGGTTCCTTTTCAGTCCATTTCTAGTTTGAGAATATCCTGTTGAATCTTTGATTCTCTTGATCTTGGGTTGTTCATTTTGTTATATGCTGGTTGAAATATTTATATGCAAGACTCATGCAAGTTCTATAGGTTTCATCATTAGTCCAATTTAATGACAACTTATTTGGCCACTATGGCCCGTTAGCTTGTCTTCAAGCAGCCATTGGTGGTGTTGACTTGCATCCCTTTAGTCGCCTTATGATGGGTCATTCAGGGCCTGTTGCTGTGTAGGTATCCTCCAGGTAACTTTTCTGTAAAATTGTTACTTGCCCATGAACTCCTCTGCCACTTTTCCTTCTAGCCTCATAAGATTTTGTGCAGTTTTCCCTTGACAGTTTGACATTTATTACTCAGAAGGAATTTAGCAACATCAACATTCCTAATGACTTTATTTTTCTTCAATATTCACCTAACATTTGAGTGGCTGGGCTAATCTAGGTCATGTTTAACAGTCTTAACACTGTTACAAATTTATCCCAGCCAAAACCACAAGTCAGTTGCCTGCATTGCTCATTATACAAATTGTGCCTTTTCTCTGACACATATTTTGCCCGTGCAATTAATACCCATTATCTTTTACTGGTTCTACCAGTTGGCACAGAAATGATTCACTAATCTATAGTTCTTAAGAAGCCTCTGGAATCCCTTATTTGGGGATTTATACACCAAACATATATTGAATGCTTGCTGTAAGGCAGAATTACGCTAGCTACTGGGTTTACAGAGATAAGAGAATATTTCCCTCAGTCAGGGCCACTACAGGAAAAAAAAAATCCAAAGTTTGTATCTCTTGTCCAATACTAGATACACCGATAGTCCCTCCTTATGTGCTCAAAACAGATACGGCTAGTTGGTCATGGCAGGTCCTGTCACCACCTCACACTACCTCAGTATAGGCTTGAACTTGGCAGAACTCAGGGGACTATTCAGTCTACTAGATGGGAAGCATTTTATTATTTTAAATACTCCAAGTAATTTTCATTGAATAGGCATTTTGGCAGCCCTTTTCTTCTTGAGTTCTTTTAAAGAATGAATTTTCCAGCAAGCTCTTAAGAGTTAAAATATCTAGACTTAGAAAGTAGCTCAAAGTGATATTATTGGACAGACCCTGCAACCAACCTTAACTCGTTTTTTCTTTGAAGTCAGTAAGATTGACTTATTCTGTGCATTGTTTTAAGGATATATTTATTAAGTATTTTCTATTAGAATTGTAATTTAATCAGTTTAGATCAAGGACAAGCTTTTTTAGATGGTTGTGGGGAAACTGAAGAAAATATAGCTAAAATTAATTTCTAATGATTCAACTTAGAAATTAATTTAAAATGACTTAACATGATTTTTTAAAATAGTGTTGTTATTTTTAGATGTGAATTTGGACATTGGCTCTGGACATGACACATGTGGAGAAACATCTTCAGAGAGTTACAGTTCTCCATCTAGTCCCCGACATGATGGAAGAGAAAGTTTTGAAAGTGAAGAAGAGAAAGACAGAGGTTTGCTCTTTGAAGTGGGAGTATTGTTGGCATGGCAGGGGTGGGGAAGTGGAGGGAAATGTGTGTTGTTTCTTCATGTCAAAGTCAAACAAGGAATTTTATGATCCTATAAATGCCATTAACTGATTTTAAATGTAAAGTCGTTATAAAGGATGTCGTATAGATCATTGCCTTAGAAATTCCTAACAATGTTGATTTGATAAACATATTTCACTGCATATGAAGTTAAGTAGGATGAAGACAGGATCATAATGAGGTAGAGTTAGTGTAGAAAGAAGGAAAATGTGTCTTGTTAGATGCATATGTATGTTTATGCTCTTTACGTCCTCTCGATTGATTGACCCTTTTATCATTTTGGGATATCCTTCTTTGTCTCTAGTAACAATTTTTGTCTTAAAGTCTATTTTGTCTGAGAATAGTATAGTCGATCCAGCATTCTAGGTACTGCTTGCACAGTATTTTGTTTTCTATCCTTTTACTTTAAACCTATTTGTGTCTTTAAATATAAATTTTGTCTCTTGTAGACAACATATAGTTAGATTATGGTTTTTTATTCATTCTGCCGATCTCTGCTATTTGTCCATTTACATTTAATGTAATTACTAATAAGGTAGGTTTTATGTCTGCCATTTTGTTGTTTTCTCTGTGTATTATGTCTTCAGTTCCTCGTTGCACAGAGGCTTAAAATCAGCCAGCAGTGAGAGCTTAGGGCCTTCTCAGGTCTGCCTTGGAAAGGTATGTAACTATAGGCATGAGCAAAACGTTTTAGGTTCCCAGGAATATATTAAAGCTTTTCAAAGCCTCCTGTAGCCATCTTATTCCCCAGTTTTTCATTTTAAGTTTTCTGGTCAGCCTCTTGTCAGCCCCAGCTAGTAATGCCACCTTGGGCGGCTACATTTTTAAACAGTTGCTTCTGACTAATTATGACAAATGTCCTGCGGGTAAGAGGCTGTAACACAGAGTGAGTGCTAGCTGCCAGACAGTCAAATGGTGACAGTTTGGTGGTGGGGCTTTTGGGGAACTCGAAACCCATACTCCTAATGGCTGCTGGGTTTTGTAGCTACTACTGCAAGAGAGATGGTGTTTGCACTGATTTCAGAAAGTGAGGTACAAGTCATTTACAGGGCTACTTTAGAGCTGTAGAAAGGGGGAGTGGAAGTAGGACAAGGGGAAAATGCCTTGAGATTTTCTTTTCTTACAGATCGAGCTGTTTTTCTTGAATAAACACTCGTCAGAGTGCTGTAAGCCTTTAGTTAATTTCCAGAATTTTGAGAAAGTTGGTTATTTGACAGTTTTTGCTAGGGTTTTCATTGCTTTTATGGAAGAGTGGATTATTAGAGGTCTTACTCTACCATTCTGGTATGGAGGTGAGATCTCTTTAAAAATGTGTATGTTGAATGAGGATGTCATTCTTTATGCATGATGACAACGTCTGATTGGTAACACCTTGGTTACAAGGTGTACCCATGCTGGTGGGCAGCATCAAGTTACTTCTCATGGTCCACCCACAGATTAAGATCCTTACCACATATTGTTTCAGCCAAGTGTGGTTTCTTCCTGGACAGTCTGCAGCTCTCTGTGACATTAGCTTCTTTCTGTGTTGTGGTATCACGCTATGTCTTAGGGAGCTATGGTATAGAGTGTTGCTACATGATATACAATTAAAGTCAGCTTTTACTTTGCAGTTACTTTGTAGTCATACCAAATGTAGCATAGTTACTCTACCACCAATTCTTCTAATCTGAGGCAACACTGTACTTCTAATCTGCAGTTTCCTTGTGAAAGAAAAAAAATGAAAACAACGTCTCACTGAGCTGTTTTGAAACTTAAATGAGAGGATTTTTTTCGTCTTCTTTTTTTAAATTTATGAGACAGGGTCTTGCTGTGTTGCCCAGGCTGGTCTTGAACTCCTGGGCTCAAGTGATCCTCCTGCCTTGGCCTCCCAAAGTGTTGAGATTATAAGCATGAGCCACTGCACCCAGCATTAAATGAGAGGATTTTTATGCCTTACCCAGAATAGACAAACTTTCAGTATGTTTCATTGTACATTTATGCTTGATTCTCTAGGATAAGCAGGTGACTCTGTGGCTCACACTGCAGATTTGGCCCTGTCCGAAGTGTTAGTGTACATCTGTACACTTGGGTAATGACAGCATCCCTCTTCTGCCATCAGATGGCACAAGTTGGAGGCCTGTGTGGAGGAACTTGGCTTTTTTCAAATAGGCTGTTATTAAATATGAAAGAATGGCTTAGGGCTGTCTTCACCCAAGGAAAATATCCATTATGGTAGAGAGTTTTGATCATTTTTAGAATTCTGAGTGGATGAAAAGTCTCCTTTGAAAAGGGCGTGGGTGGCTTTGCTGTTGCTCTCCTGGGTAGTGATGGTATTTCTGTTTGGGGCTTTACACTTACCGAAATCAGTGCACAAAAGGGTGAGACATGTCTCAGCATGTCTAGAGGAGTCTCAGGATGCTTAGAAAACCAACTGGGAGCATTAAAAATCATGAGGCCATTTGCTATTTCACATAGAAATTTAACGCACTTCTTCCAAAATGTTTCTGCTTCTTTCAGACTTAACATTTTTATCTTTGACTGTGCACTGGTGTGATGATACAGATAAAATGCCTTCAATAAGTTTGGATTTTGGGATAGTTTTTATTTTGCAAAGTTTAGCAAGAAATACCCCAATTATTAATCTATTAGGGGAAGTTTATGCTAGAACCATTCACTCTTTGAGTTTCTTCTAATATAAATTAAAATCATTGAATTAGTAATACTGTTGATGTTCTGTGTCAGTAAGTAGCTTTCATTTAATCTTTCTTCAGGAAGACGAATTCGTTTTTAGTGTTCTGTTTGAAAACTTTTTAATATCTGAAGCTGAATATAAACAGTTCATACCTTAATGAATACAAATATTTTAAGTACCTAGTACAATTCAGCTTATCCATACAAGCAGAAAGATTTTTAAATAGGCACTACATTTTAATGGAATGGTCTGTGTATACATCAACACAGTGTCTGGGTCTATGATGTTTAAACATTGTGAATCAGATTTTATCCTTGTCCCCTTTATACCAAAAGTCAGGACATCCCCTGAAGGCTAGGTCCACGCTATTTCTGTACACAAGCGTAAGACTGATGCAGGAGTAGTAGCCGATGCAGTGTTGTTTGTATTTGCTGTTTTGCTGTTTTGATTTTGGAGAAATTGCCACACTCTCCTATTCCTGTTTCTTGTGTTCTAGCGTGTTTGTTTTATGATTAATAATAGCTTTAAATTTTCTTCCCCCCATTGAAATATTTAGTATTAAGAATATTGATTCCATTCTAAAAAAAACAACAACAACAACAAAAGAAAACTCTTCTGTTCCCTGCCTCTAGATATTTGAGTTAAATATTGTCTTGACTGAGCTCTTTGAAATTGTATCATTTATCTGCGACAAATTGAAGAACTTGGGTTGGCAGTGCAGAATAGAAACCAAGTGGATTGCCTGAAGTTTATTAAGGTTAAGAGTGTCTGATGCTCTTCTCAGTACAAAGATGGTGTTACATAAATCTCTTTGTTTTATACTATGTTTCATTCAGACTCCAACTAGCCTTTTATGTTTTGTTTTCTGTTTATATCCCCGTATTTTAAAAATAAAGCGTTGATCTAATATCGACCCATAGAAAGCCGAAAGTTAAAGGGAGGTCAGCTTGGACAGTCAGGAAACATAGAGGGACACTTTCCAAACTTGAGTTACTTTGAGGTATACTCAATGTTTATTTCTAGCAAGAAAGATGGGAGTTATGCCCGTGTTAATATCTCTTTATGTTTGTTTTCTTTAGACACAGACAGCAATTCTGAGGATTCTGGGAATCCATCAACAACTAGGTTTACAGGTTACGGTTCTGTCAACCAGACTGTCACTGTCAAGCCACCTGTTCAAATTGCTTCACTAGGAAATGAGAATGGAAACCTTTTAGAAGATCCCTTAAACTCACCCAAGTATCAGCATATTTCTTTTATGCCAACGTTACACTGTGTCATGCACAATGGTGCCCAGAAGTCTGAAGTTGTCGTTCCTGCACCCAAACCCGCTGATGGCAAAACCATAGGGATGCTTGTTCCTAGTCCTGTTGCTATTTCTGCAATAAGGGAGTCTGCAAATTCAACCCCTGTTGGAATACTAGGGCCAACAGCTTGCACTGGAGAATCGGAAAAGCACCTTGAGTTACTGGCTTCCCCTTTACCTATTCCATCAACCTTCCTTCCACACAGTAGTACTCCCGCTTTGCATCTTACAGTTCAGAGGCTAAAGTTGCCACCACCACAGGGATCTTCTGAGAGCTGCACAGTTAACATCCCACAACAACCACCCGGAAGCCTGAGCATCGCATCACCAAACACTGCCTTTATTCCTATCCATAACCCAGGTAGTTTCCCAGGCTCTCCTGTTGCTACCACGGACCCCATCACAAAATCTGCATCCCAAGTGGTAGGACTCAATCAAATGGTGCCTCAAATTGAGGGAAACACAGGGACAGTCCCTCAGCCTACCAATGTGAAGGTAGTTCTTCCAGCAGCTGGCCTCTCAGCTGCTCAGCCACCAGCTTCCTACCCCTTACCAGGCTCTCCCCTTGCTGCCGGCGTGTTACCCAGCCAGAACTCCAGTGTGCTCAGCACAGCAGCAACTTCTCCCCAGCCAGCGAGCGCAGGTATCAGCCAGGCCCAGGCAACTGTTCCTCCTGCAGTTCCTACCCACACCCCAGGCCCTGCCCCGAGCCCAAGCCCTGCCTTGACACACAGTACCGCGCAGAGTGACAGCACCTCTTACATCAGTGCTGTGGGGAACACGAACGCTAATGGGACAGTAGTGCCACCGCAGCAGATGGGCTCAGGTCCTTGTGGTTCTTGTGGGCGAAGGTGCAGCTGTGGGACCAATGGAAACCTTCAGCTAAATAGTTACTATTATCCTAATCCAATGCCTGGACCAATGTACCGAGTCCCTTCATTCTTTACTCTGCCATCCATTTGCAATGGCAGCTACCTCAACCAAGCACATCAGAGCAATGGAAACCAACTTCCTTTTTTTCTGCCTCAGACTCCATATGCAAATGGACTGGTACATGACCCAGTCATGGGGAGCCAAGCCAACTATGGCATGCAGCAGATGGCAGGATTTGGGAGATTCTATCCTGTATATCCAGCACCTAACGTAGTTGCCAACACCAGTGGTTCGGGGCCCAAGAAGAATGGGAATGTCTCATGTTACAATTGTGGTGTAAGCGGACACTATGCACAGGACTGTAAGCAGTCGTCCATGGAGGCCAATCAACAAGGTAATCACAATAACTCCCAGAGGACTTGTTTTTGAGTTCACTCATTTCTCCTTCCTTTCCTTATTGATCATGGGATTCTGTTGTAGCAGAAAGATCTGTTTGTGTTTTCGTTTATGGATATTGTTTTCAGTGACAGATCATAAAATGCAACTGGAAAAACAGTGTAGACCCAGGTCACACAGAGCACAAGGAAGTTCAGAGGAATTCAGTTTCCAATTAAGGAATAAACTCTAAAGGCCCTTTTGAAGGAGTGTGATGGGAATTTGCATTCTGTAATGTTAAATCTCTTGCTTGCAGCACTTTTTTTTTTTAAGCTACAATCCTGTTTCATAGAGTAAGCAAAATTTTTAAATATTGAAAACCTAGGAAGTAATTTAGTTATCTGACATTAGGTTTTGAGTAACTATTTAGTATATCTGCATAACCAGCTGCCTCATGCCTGTTTCCCCATGCTACCCTTTTCCTTCCCAGCAAATGTTAAAAAAAAAAAGGTCCAAGATTCTATTGCATTAATACAGGAACAAAATAGTTCAGTACTATTTTGATTTGAGAGTAAAGGAATTTGAACAAAGTTTAATATTACTACCACCAGAAAGAAGAAAATGGTCTTACCTATGTTTGAGTAAGATACCAAATTTTATGTCAACTTCAGGCTGTTATTTTCACTTGCATTTGACCTTTGTCGTTTTGCCAAATCTTACCCAGAAACAAAAAAAGTCTTAAATTGGGAATATATTTACTTGGCATTCTTAAAGAAAGATCAAGTTTGATAGCTTTTAGATTGAATTCAAAGCACAAACTTTACATTGCTTTTTAAAGTGAGCGGATTGGCCATTTGGAGTGGCACTAGAGCTGACGAAGGTGCCTTGTGGAGAGCATGCCCGTGTGATAGCTTGTACGTAGTGGTTTGTGATGACGTTTGCTTGTAAGCGGTGACTTAGTTCTGTCTTTCCCATTTTAGGCACTTACAGACTGAGATACGCACCTCCCCTCCCCCCTTCTAATGATACGTTGGATTCTGCAGACTGAAACGAGTAAAGCTTGCCTACTTAATACACTCAAGTGTGGGGAGTCATGGGGTGTGGAGGGGAGGAAAGGAAAGGTATTTTGTTTCTTTGTCTATACATTTCCTAGATTTCTATGCAGTTGGGATTTTTCATTTCTCTTGTACCAATGTCCAAAACAAGAAAGAATGCAATGCTTTTGAGCCTCTGGTCTCCTGGTTCAACAACAGGCTTATATGTATGATACATGTAATTTAAACCTTCAGACAAACTTAAATGTTGGTGCGTGCTTTTTTTTTTTTTTTTACACTGAATACTTGCTGTGTGCAATGTTTACTGAATCTTTAAAACTGTGTATTTGACCTTTTTTTTACAACACTGGTGACAGTCATATGGTTTTGAAAAAAAAAAGAAATTTTGCTTCTTCCCAGCTTTTCTCACTTTCACCCTAAACGACACTTCCTCCCCAGCCAGCCTCACTCTGTCTCCGGCCCGCAGCAGGAGCAGCCAGCAGTGCATTCACCCCACTTTTGTAAACTGCTCTGCATATAAACCAAGGGCAGAATGTTTCACCCTGATCTTATGGGAGGAATCAAACTCCCAAAATAGTGTGTATATATGTAATAAACAGCGTCACGTAAATACATATATGCAGTGCTTGTTGTCCAAATAGAAATGAAAATAAGTGGAAGAGAGAGGAAGAAGTCAAACCATATGAAACTGAAAAAATATGACGTACGAAATGGACAAAAAGCTTTTTCTGAAACCAACTTTTTACTTCCATCATCCTTTTTTAGCCTGTTGCTTCAGAGAGACACAAAGTGAACACACTGGTGTGAATGTCGCTCTCTGTGTGCTTGTGTTTGTAATGAAAGTCTACAGCCAATTTTACTTGTCTACCACCGTGTTGTGCTCAAAGAGACACTACTTGAGTGAAGATTTCTTCTTTCCCTGTACCAGCTGTTACAGTGTTACGTTGTGTTTAAAATGTGTATGGTTTATTGCAATCTGAACAGAGCTATGGGTTTCTACCATAAGTCAGGTTGTTTGTTCCCTAACCTGTCTCTCATAGCAAAGTCACTTTTATAACAGTTTACCACTATGCTTGATTATAATGTGAAAGGCGGAATTCTGAGTGTGTTAAGATGGTATTAATCATGTCGGTGTCATGTCACTAAGTTTAATGCTGCTGTTTTTAAAAAAAAAAAAAAGTTTTTTTAAAAAGCCAATCTATGTACTAAATTGCTTCCAGGTAATTTTTGATTTCCTAAAGTGCACTGAGGTTATCTGGAAGATTGGGTGTATTTTTTGGTGACTGCTGCATTCATCAGCAATGAACAGTTTCCACTGTATAGTCCTAGGGGTCAGGGGGTGGGGGTTTCATTTTCCATTCCTCAGCACAGAGCAGAAATGATAGATTTTTATTGTTTGGAGTAACGTTGGTATGCAGCAGAGGAACGTAAACATTTGGTCTTGGTTCAGAAGCCTAACAGATTGCTAGACAAGAGAAAAAACTTGAAGAAAAAAGAAGCTTAATTTCATGCTTCATAAGTAGCATTTATATTTATAGCACCAATGTACATTTTGAAACTTTCTTTCAGGGGTGGGAGTTATGGGGAAGGGGTGGGTGTGAAGGGGTAGATGAAAGCTTTAATTTAGAAAGAAAGTTCAAGTAAAGGAAATTATTTTGATTAAATATATTTTATTTGATCTGGGTATTTTTGGACCACATTATTAAATTAATTGTTAAGCTGCAGTTGAGTTGTTCAAGTGAGAGTTTTGATAAGCCACTTATGGGCCGCGTTGTGAATCACTTGCCAGTTGTACTTTATGGAGCTTATTTTATGATTTAAAATACTGTACTGTACATAGGAGGTATGTTACCTTCTCCTTATTTGTATGTTTACCATATACTTTGATATTTGAAATGTTATGTACTGGAAAGGCCACTTATATTTCTAGAACAGATTGGATTTTATGCAACCTTTTTTCCTTGAATTAACAGCAATAAAAAAATGAAAAACAGCTTAAGAATTGTGCCTCATTGTAAATTTTGTAAAAGTGGAGATAGGACATCATACATGGCGATTTTTTTAAAGTTTTATTTAGGTATGTAATTATTTTGGGGTTAAGGATCAATCCATTTCCCTGCAGGGTGGGCAGTGAATCCCAAAGTTATTTACCATCTGGATGCTCCTCAGTTCTTCCCCCAAATAACCTTTTTGTTTTTGAGACGGGGTCTTGCTCTGTCGCCCAGGTTGGAGTGCAGTGGCGGGATCTCAGCTCCCTGCAACCTCTGCCTCCCTGGATTCAAGCGATTCTCCTGCCTCCGCCTCCTGAGTAGCTGGGATTACAGGTATGTACCATGACACCCAGCTAATTTTTGTATTTTTAGTAGAAACGGGGTTTCACCATGTTGGCCAGGCTGGTCTTGAACTCCTGACATCAAGTGATCTGCCTGCCTCTGCCTCCCAAAGTGGTGGGATTACAGGCATGAGCCTCCATGCCCGGCCTCCCAAGTAACTTTATATAGAGGTAATCTGCGTGACCACTAGAGAAAGGGGGACTGCACTCCGTGAGTTTTGAGTACTCGGCTGCGTGCCAAACACTATGGTAGCAATGAGGCAGAGTCCTTGTCAACCTTGAGCTCGTATTTCCAGTTTAGGCCTTTAGCCACTAAAAGTGTAAAGGACTCATTACTTTATCAACTTTGTTAGTGTGATTTTATTAGCCAGGCCCCTCTCTCAGTATAATGTGTACTATTTTTTATTTCATTGCTTATCTTGGCTGTAATCCAGGCTCAAAGTTTTTAAACGGTTGGTAATTTATAAGAGACGGTTGGGGGCCTGTGTGTGTTGCTCCACGCCGCCCTTGACGCAGTCCTGGTGGCCAGCACCGTCCTGGGCCTTGGCTCTTTGTCAGGAGCCATCTAATGACTGTGCCCTCTGGATCCGGTTGGGTGGGCAGTGAGTTTGAAATGATTATAAATTCCCTGATTGTTTACAGGGCACCAACTTTCGTTTTCAGCCAACAAATAATGCACCTATAGGTAACGTGTAAATCATGAACCCAGATTCACATTAACTAGCATGTCCCATATCCTTAGCTATCCCTCCCTCCCCTTCCCCCACTACACTAAGGTAACCACTGCTTTAGATTGTGTTAGTCTTTTCTTTTTTTTTTGTGAGACATGCTTTAGCTCTTGCTGCCCAGGCTGGAGTGCAATGGTGCAATCTCGACTCACTGGAACCTCCACCTCCCGGGTTCAAGTGATTCTCCTGCCTCAGCCTCTCAAGTAGCTGGGATTACAGGCGTCTACCACCACGCCCAGCCAATTTTTTTTTTTTGGTACTTTTAGTAGAGAAGGGGTTTCACTGTGTTGGCCAGGCTGGTCTCGAACTCCTGACCTCAGGTGATCCACCCGCCTTGGCCTCCCAAAGTGCTGAGATTACAGGCGTTAGCCACTGCGCCCGGCCTTCTGTTACTCTTTTACTTGTTTATTTCCCCACACACTGCTCCTAAATATACCGTTTCTTTTTGTTTTTCTTGAGCTTTATAAGGGTATCCTTTTGTGCCTAGCTTTCTGTGCCTGGCTCTGTTCATCTGATTTTATGGTCTTGATGTTGTGTTCTTATATTTATTCATTTTCCCTACCTTATGATAGTCTCATTGTGGGGAAGAATATAGATAATTTCTCCATTCTGTCAATGGACATCTGGGTGGTTTTAATTTTTTTTCTGTTACAAACAAGTCTGCTGGGAACATTGTTGTCCCTGGTTCGTGTGTACACGAGTCCTCTAGGGCGGCAAGCTGGGAGTGCAGCGGCTGGGTTGTAGGACATGCAAGTATTCAGTTTGCCAAGATTTGCAGTATTGTTTTCCAAGTGATTTACACTCACACCAGCAATGTAGTAGAGAATCCTGAATGGGTATCTAGACCCCCCTCCCGAGATGGTGTCACAGTGCTGTGGAAGGCCAGGTGGACCCCTCCCGAGACGGTGTCACAGTGCTGTGGAAGGCCAGGTGGACCCCTCCCGAGACGGTGTCACAGCGCTGTGGAAGGCCAGGTGGACCCCTCCCGAGACGGTGTCACAGTGCTGTGGAAGGCCAGGTGGACCCCTCCCGAGACGGTGTCACAGCGCTGTGGAAGGCCAGGTGGACCCCTCCCGAGATGGTGTCACAGCGCTGTGGAAGGCCAGGTGGACCCCTCCCGAGACGGTGTCACAGTGCTGTGGAAGGCCAGGTGGACCCCTCCCGAGACGGTGTCACAGCGCTGTGGAAGGCCAGGTGGACCCCTCCCGAGATGGTGTCACAGCGCTGTGGAAGGCCAGGTGGACCCCTCCCGAGACGGTGTCACAGTGCTGTGGAAGGCGAGGTGGACCCCTCCCGAGATGGTGTCACAGTGCTGTGGAAGGCGAGGTGGACCCCTCCCGAGATGGTGTCACAGTGCTGTGGAAGGCGAGGTGGACCCCTCCCGAGACGGTGTCACAGCGCTGTGGAAGGCCAGGTGGACCCCTCCCGAGACGGTGTCACAGTGCTGTGGAAGGCCAGGTGGACCCCTCCCGAGACGGTGTCACAGCGCTGTGGAAGGCCAGGTGGACCCCTCCCGAGATGGTGTCACAGCGCTGTGGAAGGCCAGGTGGACCCCTCCCGAGACGGTGTCACAGCGCTGTGGAAGGCCAGGTGGACCCCTCCCGAGACGGTGTCACAGTGCTGTGGAAGGCCAGGTGGACCCCTCCCGAGACGGTGTCACAGCGCTGTGGAAGGCCAGGTGGACCCCTCCCGAGATGGTGTCACAGCGCTGTGGAAGGCCAGGTGGACCCCTCCCGAGACGGTGTCACAGTGCTGTGGAAGGCGAGGTGGACCCCTCCCGAGATGGTGTCACAGTGCTGTGGAAGGCGAGGTGGACCCCTCCTGAGATGGTGTCACAGTGCTGTGGAAGGCGAGGTGGACCCCTCCCGAGATGGTGTCACAGCGCTGTGGAAGGCCAGGTGGACCCCTCCCGAGATGGTGTCACAGCGCTGTGGAAGGCCAGGTGGACCCCTCCCGAGATGGTGTCACAGCGCTGTGGAAGGCCAGGTGGACCCCTCCCGAGATGGTGTCACAGTGCTGTGGAAGGCGAGGTGGACCCCTCCCGAGATGGTGTCACAGCGCTGTGGAAGGCCAGGTGGACCCCTCCCGAGATGGTGTCACAGCGCTGTGGAAGGCCAGGTGGACCCCTCCCGAGATGGTGTCACAGCGCTGTGGAAGGCGAGGTGGACCCCTCCCGAGATGGTGTCACAGTGCTGTGGAAGGCCAGGTGGACCCCTCCCGAGATGGTGTCACAGTGCTGTGGAAGGCCAGGTGGGGGAATGCATGTGCAGCCTAGGTCTTTGCATCTAGAAAGAGCCCCAGAGTGGAGAGTCACCTTGGGGAAGGGGACGCAGGCTGGGCAGGAACAAAAACAGCAGTGTGTGGTTGGGGACGTGGGGGAAGGAGATACAGCCATAGTAAAGGGAAAATTATAAAAGAGTTTCAAGATTTGTGGGTACAGTAGATAAAATGGGATCAGACTGGAGAATTTGGAGTTGGTTGAATGAAAAATGGGAAGTTTCCAAGTTTTGAATAGAGGGAAAACACATTGACAGTGGTATTTGAGGAAATCCTCAGGTGGTTAAGGAAAGAGAGCCTGGAGGTTGAAAGACGGGTTAGGCATGGCCAGGAGGGCCGAGACTAAGGTGTTGGCCGTGGGAAGGTCCATTTAGAAAGGGATGGAAGAGACAGGTAGAAGGAACCTTGATGCTCTGAACTTTATTTTCCCTAGATGTAAAATGAGAATTGCTCTTTTAAATTATGGTTCAGTGGCCGGGCACAGTGGCTCACTCCTGTAATCACAACACTTTGGGAGGCCAAGGCGGGTGGATTACTTGAGGTCAGAAGTTTGAGACCAGCGTGACCAACATGGTGAAACCCCGAATCTACCAAAAACACAAAAACTTAGCCGGGCATGGTGGTGTGTGCCTGTAATCCCAGCTACTCAGGAGGCTGAGGTAGGAGAACCGCTTGAACCTGGGAGGCGGAGGTTGCAGTGAGTTGCAGTCACACCACTGCACTACAGCCTGGGTGACAGTGAGACTTCATCTCAAATAAATAAATAATGGCTCTGAAGGTTAAATAATCTATGGGAAAGGTCCAACATAATGAAATAGCACTGAGAAGCCACTCAAATTCTAGTTGAATTCAATTTTGATGAACAGGGAGATTGTAATACTATTTTAAGAGACAGGGCCAGGCACAGTGGCTCACACCTGTAATCCCAACACTTTGGGAGGCCAAGGCCTTGGGCAGATCACTTGAGCCCAAGAATTCAAGACCAGCCTGGGCAACATGACGAAACCCCATCTCTACAAAAAATACAAAAATTAGCTGGTCCTGGTGGTCTATGCCTGTAGTCCCAGCTACTCAGGAGGCTGAGGCAGGAAGATCGCTTGAGCCCAGCAGGCAGAGGCTTCAGTGAGCCCAGATCATGCCACTGCACTCCAGCCTAGGTGACAGAGTGAGACCGTGTCTTTTTTTTTTAATAAAAGGGAAGATGTGGACGAGAACAGGTTTGGGTAGGAGTGATGGCAGTGATTCTTTGGATGGTGAGGAACCTAGCAAACATAGCTCTTCATTAGACTAAGATTAGTTAATTTTGCTCTATGCACTGATGAACGATATAGAAGCTATTCCTTACCCTCGCAGATTAAACCTAGTTGGAAAGCTTGCCAGTTAATGGTATGTATGGACTGTACAGACATGCCGAGTCATAACGGTCATGATTATTCAGTACCAAAGTAAAAGTTTATGGCAAGGCAAATCTACATTTAATTTTTTATGTAAGCACTAAGAATCAAATTTTTCTGAAAAGGTTCCAAAGAGATGAGAAAGCACGGTGTAAAATACCTGTTTTCTTAACAGCACCTAGTACTTAACAGCACCATCCATTTGAGCTTGGAAGACATCTTTTTCACTTCTCCATACTGATTGCAAAAGCATTCTAAGGTTAAGGCAGTGAAACCATATGGAGGCAAGCTGTGACAATAGTTCCACCCCATGACACTCCCATAATCTTAAAAGAATAAAAAAATACTGACCCCCCCCTCCACCCAACCCCACCCCACCAAGAGGGAGGGCTCATTGATTTCCAGAGCAGTGAGTTTCGAGGTGTGAGATATGAAGAAATGGGGTCCCTGCCTGGAAACGTAGTCACGACATCTCTACATCTTCTTCTCTTTAGGGGAGGAGACCAGCTGTTAAAGGATGAGGGGCTCTGGGGTCCCAGGGCTGAGAGGCAGGTGTCAGCTCGGGGTGGAGGGAATGTTTTAACTGGAGTGCCCTCGCCCCTTCAGATGACCCTGTGCAGAGAGAGGACAGGCCAGGGCGGACAACCTTGTCTTTCCCTGGATGCTCATTAACGTATTGGCTTGCTCAGGTTGGATTCCTAGGGTCAGAATAACATCATATTTGATGTTACCGCTGCTTACAGATACAGCTGTTGTGCTTGTCCATGCAAAATTTCCCTAATTCCTAAACGCTGTCCTCTGTTGAAAAATGTAAGCCCCCTGAATTGGAACATGGGTACACATCACCTGAGTTCTGTGTGTGTATGCAAATGTTTATCAATTGTGGAAGCTTTGGAATTGGGGGTGGTTTGGGGCTTCCTCTTGTCTGTTCTGTAATGGGGGCACATCACACGTGTGGGGACCGGAGACCCTTCACGCAGTCACCTCCGCCTGCAGAGAATGCGGGCCTTGGTCACCAGAAGCTCTCAATCCCATGATCCGGTTTTGCTCTCTGAAATTTGGCGGTGGGAGTTGTGGTGAGGTGGGGGGTTGGGTGGTTCTTCATTGTTTTTCTTTTTCCTCTTGCAGTTCCAATTTGAGCCGCTGTGAAAAAGGCCTCCACCAGCCTCTCACCAGAAGAGATTGCTCATTGGAACGCAATGCCACCTGGTGGGGGACGAGGACAGTGCGAGCAAGCAGATGTTATTTCCTACTGACCTAATTTAGAGAACATTAAACGTAAGAGAGGGAACATTTGGGGTTGGAAGCCTGTGCCCAAAACCTTAAAGAGTGCAGGCAGCTGGCCATAAAAGCAGCTTGAGCAAACCCCTCATTCAGCCGTTGAAATGTGTGTGTGAACACTTTAAAGGTTTCCTCTGTGCTTTTCCTGCGTGCATTTGGTCATCACAGCTGTGAAGTGGGGTGGGAATGTTTCCCCTCGTTTTCTAGGAGAGAAATTTTGGGTTCAGTGAGACGAAGTGCTGCAGACAGGCCCATGGTGATGCTCAGGCCTCTGCTTGAAGTTGGTGCTCACTTCCTGGCACCACTTCCTGCCCCCACCAGTGCTTCTGGCAGAGCCCAGGGCAGTGGCTTTATGGAACTGTGTAAGGTGATAGGAACCCACAGGTGGAATGGCCGTGTGGCCTCTGGACTGAGGAGGGCTGGACCAGGTTGTGGGCACGCCTGGAACACACGCCACATCCTATCCCATAGCGAGGCCTCTTCCTTGTGGCTCTCGAAGGATTTGAGGACGCGGGAGGGTGAAATGTTTCCAGAGAAATATCCAGGACTTTTAGAACTAGGCTTTCAAAAGCATTTACCTGTCAGATAAATTCAAGTGGCATCAATGCAGATTTTAAATGTGTACAGATATCTCCACTCGCACGCTGAGTTGTGCTTCACACAAGTTTTGCGCACGGAGTATTCCATTAAATCTACTGAAGCAGTGGGGCAAGGAGAAAGGAGAGGTGACTGCTGATGTTTTTAAAGCTCTGACAGTCACATATAGATTGTCCCAGGTACCCCTGCTGCCCCCAAGACACTCCAAAGGCAAAGATGGATGGTGACAAAGTAACCTTCATGCAGAAACAAGAACAGTCACCCCCAACAACAAGCCCTGCTGAAGGTGAAGAATGCCACCAGGCTGCCTGGCAGTTACTGAGTGCTTATTCCTGCTAGCCTATTGGAGTCACGTCATATTTGTTACATGGTAACTTAATTGTGCCTTCCACGCCTTCACAAAATCAGTTGTACAAGAGAAGGCACCCACCACAGTCCATGTGACCTTTCTCGGTCTGATTTACATAGTGGGGATGATGACACTCGCGTTGTAGAGTAGTTGCACGATTAAACCTGGCACACAGACATAAAGCACTCAATGTCTGACACATAGTGGACTCTCAAGAAGTTTGTCATGCAGGGGACACTTGAATGCCCAGTATGGGCCAGACAGCATCAGCTCATTTCAGTCCCACAGCCCTGTGAGGGAGGAACTCTGCCCTGTTTTACAGTTAGGGAAATTGAGGCACAAAGGCTAAGAAGTCGATATCCAAGGGCACAGAATGATTGGGTGACGGTGAGCCCAGGCAGTGTGACAACAAGGTTGCTGCCCCACGCCACCTCTGTCTTTCGTGGGTATGTCGGTGTGAGGTGTAGGCAGCCCTGCACTGGCATTCAGCAGGCGGGACTCCCGGGCAGGCTCTTCTGCGAACACTCATGGGCCACCAGCCCTTTCTGGAACTTGCCTTTTTTTTTTTTTTTTACCTGAAAGCTACGTGAATCGTTGGTAAATTGGTGTAAAAATGGAACTGAGTCATCTCAAAAGTTCCTTTCAGTTCTAAAATTCTGTGAATTGAAGCCTACTTTTTCACTTTAAATGATTTATTGGGTTTACAGTTCTTTACGCTTTCTGATTGAACTGATTTGAAGTTCTTATTTCGTGTGTTGGGGAACACACCCCCAACCCGTCACAGCGTGGCCGTGGGTGGGAGATGGACGTTAGGCTGGCCAGTCACTAGGGGGCAGCATCAGCACGGGTCTGGCTGTCCCTGGCCTTAGGGAGCAGTTTCTGCCCCTCCTGCCCCGTCAGAAAGTCTCGGACTCCTCTCTGCTTGCATGTGTAAAGTTTTCATTTTCAGGGGCCTTTTAGTCAAAAAAAATAAAGCTGTATGACTTAGTGCTGAAGGATATGAATTAGGCGTAGCTCTTGGGTTGGCAGCATAAACCAAGGGGCATCAACCCACCACCGACAAGCTAAGAATGGTTTTTACATCTTTAAATGGTTGAAAAAGGAAAAAGAATGTTTAGTGACACGTGAAAAATACATGAAATTCAAACTTCAGTGTCTACAAATAAAGTGCATTAGCACACGGTCGTCTTGCTTCTCTATGTGTTGTCTGTGGGTGCTTTGTCTTATCCCAGCAAAGTGGAATAACTGGGATGGAGACGCTATGGCCCTCGAAGCCTAAAATATTTACCGTCTGTCCCTTACAGGAAAAGCTTGCCATAATCAGCCTCATCTGAAGAAAGATGCACTTCGCATTATCTTGAAGGTCCTGATTTTCTGGGAGGAGGGACTCGTGCCCTCCTTTTCGGGCTCTGCTTTCTTGGCACAGTCAGTAGTTTCTGGCGCTTAAGAAGGCACAGACGCTAAGTGGGTGCAGTGAGCCCAGGCAGTGCGCGGCACTGAGCGGTTAGGAAGTTGCTGGTTCTTATGCACAGTCATTCAGCAAACCTTGGCTGGGAGCTCAGCCTAGCGAGGGGCATCCTAGCACCAAAGATCAGAAAGAATGGGGAGGGGAATGAGGGAAGGACTTTCAAAGGGCGTGTTTTAGTTGAGCCAAGAAGGAAGAAGTGAGCTTTTCCTTAGTGAAGAGGTGAGAGATGGCAAAGGAAACAGCATCGCCCAAGGTGCTTCTGGGAAGAGTAGCTAATGGAGAGTGCGCTGGGTGGGGGAATGAAAGACTCCAGGTCCTGCTGCAGGAGCTGGGAGGCGGGGTGGTCCAGAGACAGGCAGGGGCAGGCAGGGGCTGCAGGCACCTGCTTCACCGCGGGAGGGAGCCAGGAGAAGTGGGTCCCAGAGGAAAATCTTCCTGTACACGGGCTGCATTAGTGGTACCTGAGGGCATCTGGAAGACCGTGGTTCTCCTTGCAACAGTCACCTAATGGCCTTCAGTGAAAAGACAGACTCCTTGACTCTCTCTTTCCCCAAACACATTCCTACAGAGTGGAAGTTTCCAGAGAAAACAGCCATCAAAGAAGGTTGAGAGTGAGAATTAAGAGACACTGGAGAAGATCAAGAGAATGTGCCCTGAAGACAACAACAAAAATCAATAAAAGATTTCAAGAATGAAATGGCTGTTGTGGTCACGTGCAGTAGAGATAAGGAATTATTCCTCGGGGTCACTGAAGCTAAGAAGACGGGTGCTGGGGGATGGGGGCAGCAGGGGAGGGGATGAGGGCAGGGCTGGAGGAAGACGCCTAGGCAGATGGGAGCTGTGAAGGTGGAGTTGCCCGTTGTACTTGGGGCAGGCGGAGGGTGGCCTGATGGTGTCCTTTATCCCGGTGACATGGGGGAGGCAGGCACTGAGGAGAGGGACCAACGTCTGGAACTGCTGCTTGGATCAGGGAGCCGAGGGGCACTGAGTAAAACTCCCAGCATCCCTGAGGGTCCACTGAGATTGAAACCATGGATTTGAGGTGTGGCCAATCACACAACACAGCTTAGAAATCATTTCTTTCTAATGATGTAGGAAGCCGAGGCAAGAGAAGGGTTAGGTTGATTTGGGATGGAGATGTGCGGGTTCCATACAAAGATTTTGTGTTGAGTTCACTGCCCTTGCTAATTCAATTACCCCTTTTGGGCTTTCACTTCTCCTATCACTCTCCCTGCAAACCCATTCCTATCTCTGCTACAAGTTGAATGCCTTGTTAGGGGTGCTGCCTCCAGCTCCCAGGGTTGCAAGTCTGCGCCCTGCATGCCTGTTCCCTGCAGCCACACTGGGCCCATCCCAAGGGTCCTGCTGCCTCCAGGCTTCTTGGGCCTTCACTTTTTCCAAGCTCTTGTTTTGGTGCCAGCTTCTATGTCACTGTTCCCAGACTAAGTGGGGAAGGGACTTGCCCCAGGAGTCCCAAATCTTGTCCGCAAGTCACTAATCTCTGGTAACTTACATCAATCAAACCAGAGACTGAAAAGAGTTCCCTGGGCGGGTCAGGAAAGTGGTTTTTCTACCTAGACAGTGTGTGTGCATCAGGCAGCAAGCTGAAGTTACACATCAGCAGCAAAGGCTTACCAGAAAACTCCGTTTGGACTTAATTTAGATTGTGCAAATACGAAAAGGTGAGTGGCTGAAATGTGCCTTTTACTAATGGTAGGGGTGAAGGGAGGGAGGACAGTTTGCTAAACATAGAAACATGATTTCTGGGGAAATGTTTAAACCGTTAGGACAAGGCTTATGCCTATAATCACTGGGCGGCTGAGCTGGGGGGATGGCTTGAGGCCAGGAGTTCAAGACCAGCCCAGGCGACATCACAAGACCCCCTTCTCTACCAAAAAATAAAAGCCAGGTGTGGTGCATGCCTGTGGTCCCAACTATTCAGGAGGCTGAGGCGGGAGGATTGCTTGAGCCCAGGAGTTCGAGGCTTCTGTGAGCTATGATCACACCACAGCATTCCACAGCCACAGCGAGACCCTGTCTTAAAAAGCAAACTGCTAAGACAAGTGACCTCCAAGCATTTCACAAGGATCTATTAAATAACAGATAAGTAATATTACAATTCCACTCTAGTTAACCTCTGTCTAGTTGCTAAATTTCTGAACAGAAGTATAGAGGTTATTGGCGTAGACTCAGTTTGAATCCGAAGACGACTATTTACATGCTGGGGCCACAGAGCAATGTCCTTCCCCTCTGAGCCTCAGTTCTTTTACCTGTAAATAAAAATCACAGTAGTGTCCACCCCACAGGTGTGTGCAAGGGTTAGATCATCTAAACGTGGTGTCTGGCATACAGGGAGCGCTAACACAGTCTTCTGTTTTCTCTTAAAATGTTTACTTATTCGAAACCTGCCTTCCTATTTTAGGGCTTATCAAAGTTAGAAATGCCTCCCTTCTTGGGTTAGACTGTGCCTTGTTCTTTCCTGTTAGCTGTTTTTATTTTACATACTCGTAATCGTCCTATACAATCATTCTGTATCTTATTTTTTATTAATACGAGGGATGAGCCAACATTGATACTTTGTTGCTAACCAAAGTCTATAGTTATATTAGGATTCACTCTTGTTCCGTTCTGTGGGTTTTGACAAAGGTGTGAGGACATGCATCTGCCGTTACAGGGTTGTGCAGGATAGTTTCACTGCCCCAATGTCCTCTGTGCTCCTCCTGTTCATCCTCCCTCCCCTGAATCCCTGGCAACCATTTTTTTTTTTTTTTTTTTGAGACGGAATCTCACTGTCACTCAGACTGGAGTGCAGTGGTGTGATCTCAGCTCACTGCAACCTCTGCCACCCAGGTTCAAGTGATTCTCCTGCCTCAGCCTCCCGAGTAGCTGGGATTACAGGCGCCCGCCACCATGCCTGGCTAATTTTTGTATTTTTAGTAGAGACAGAGTTTCACCATCTCTTGGTCAGGCTGGTCTTTAACTCCTGACCTCAGATGATCCACCCGCCTCGGCCTCCCAAAGTGCTGGGATTACAGACGTGAGCCACCGCATCCGGCCCACTTATCTTTTTATTGTCTGCCTAGTTTTGCCTTTTCCAGAATGTCATGTAGTTGGGATCCTGCAGTCTGGAGCGTTTTCAGGTTGTCTGCTACTGCTCGGCAGGACGCATTTCAGGTCCTCCATGCCTTTTTGGGGTTGGATCGCTCGTTTCTGGTCTTGCTGAGTAATAGAATGTTATATGGATTCCCACACCTTATCCATTCACCTATTGAAGGACATCCTGGTTGCTTTGACATTCTAGCAATTATGACTAAAGCTGCTGTAAACATACACGTGGACATAAGTTTTCAGCTCATTTGGGTAAACACCAAGGAATGTGATTGCTGGATCATGTGGTGAGAGTGTTTAGTTTTGTTAAGAAACGACCAAACTTGTCTTTCCAAAGTGTCTACCATTTTTGCATTCCCACCAGCAATGAATGAGAGTTCCTGTTGCTCCACATCCTCACTAGCATTTGGAGGTGTCAGTATTTTGCATTTTAACCTTTCTGATAGGTGTTGTCTTACAACAATTAACATTGTTGTCTTAATTGGCAATTCTAATGACCTATGATGTGGAACGTCTTTTCATCTTTTCATATGCTTATTTGCCATCTTCGGTGAGCTGTCCAGATCTTATTGGGTCATTTTCTTATTGTTGAGTGTTAAGAATTCTTTGTATACTTTGGATGCTAGTCCTTTATTAGATGAGTGATTTGGAAATATAGTATTTTCTCCCAGTTTGTGGATTGTCTTTTCATTGTCTTAATGCTTTGTTCTTTTTATTGCAGTGAAACTAAAATTTAAGGACGCTAAGGGACAGAGAACAGTCAGAGGTTTCTCTCTGTCTTTATTCTTGTTAGATGCATTGCTGGGCAGTCTCCAGTGCTGCCTCCTTGTACATTCAGCAACGGGCCGAAGGTGGGAAGTCCTCAACCCAGAGCTGGCACAGCTCCATCAGCAGAAGGCGTGGACACTGGGGGCTTTCAAGTCCTTCCCCTATAGGGACAACCAGCCACTATTCAGGGGCTGGGCCCTTGCTGACCCTTTTTATTACCTGCCCTACCCAGAGTACAGAAATTGTGACCTAAAGGATGTCCCCTCATCACATTGCCTGACCTTATTTGGGACACACGGGACTGAGCTCCTCCCTAGTGTATTTATAGAGATGTGCACATTGGAGAAGCAAGTTCCCAGGTTTCTAAACTTAGAGGCTTCAAGCAGGGTTTGCAGGTGTTGCCTCCCCCTCCCCTGTCTCCCCGTGCAAATGTGCCTTCTTTCTAGAAAGCACACACAGACCTTGGTAAGGCCTCGGTGGAACAGTAGACAGCAGTCCCAATCCTGTCTGCTTCCTGCAGGGTGGGAAGTCACGACACGGCCGTGGAAGGGAAGTTCAGCCCACGGAGGGCTTTTCCTGTGGGTCTCCAGAACGCTTCTCCCACCCTCCCCGCCTCCTGATAACGCAATGCTCTGATACTTCAGAATAGCCGAGTATCTTCTGGGGAGTTTGATGTTAAAATATGCCTGTTTCTGGCTATGTTGAAAAACGATGGCCAAGGAGGAAGTGACCTGTTCTGGAGTTTCTCTGTCCCCAGTGAAAATAAATCATTGTGCCCAGCTGGTTCGCAATCTCAGTTTCCTTTTAAATCAGACTCTCCACCTAATTGAAAGTGGAGGTGTGTTTATTCTGGCAAAGAATGGTAGCACTTCTTGATTGAAAACGTTTGGAAAGGCCCTTAAAGTCCAGTGCGAAGTGGTGGAGCACAGCTGTCACAGTGTTTCTCCCAGTGCAGTCCAAGGACCACCAACCAGGAAGCCTGTGAAATGCAGCCTCCAGGGCACAGCCTAGCCCCACTGCACAGAATGCCTGGGGCGGGCCATTCAGATGCACATTACATTAAAAAACCATTAGGTTAAAAGCACAAACTTCCGCTGGGCGAGATGGCTCATGCCTGTAATCCCAATGCTTTGGGAGGGCAAGACGGAGGATCACCTGAGGTCAGGAGTTCGAGACCAGCCTGGCCAACATGGTGAAAGCCCATCTCCACTAAAAATACAAAAATTAGCTGGGCATGATGGCACGTGCCTGCAATCCTAGCTACTTGGGAGGCTGAGGCAGGAGAATTGCTTGAACCTGGGAGGCAGAGGTTGCAGTGAGCCAAGATCGTGCCACTGCACTCCAGTCTGGGAGACAGAGTGAGAGTCCATTTCAAAAAAAAAAAAGCACAAACTTCAGAGGCCTAAAAACCTGGATTTACTTCCTGACTCTTCTGCTTTGGGGCCAATAATTACATGACTTAATTCTTATCTGCAAAGTGGTAATAATAGGGTTGTGGAGAAAACCAAGGATCAATCCATGTCTTGCTGCATATAGAAAACTTAATTCAAAATGGCTCATAGATCTAAATGTAAAAGCAAAAACTATAAACGTTATAGAAGAAAACGGGAAAAAACCTCTGTGACCTTGAGTTAGGCGAAGATTTCTTAGGTGAAAGTAAAATCCGTAAGAGTACATATTAATAGATTGGACTTCCTCAGAATTAAAACTCCGCTCTTTGAACAACATTGTTCAGAAGATGAAAAGACAAGCCATAGACTGGGAGAAAATGTTTGCATATCATACATTTGATAAAGGATTTGTATCTAGAACCTCAAAACTCCATAATAAGAAAACACAATTTTTAAAATGGGCAAAAGATCTAAGTGCTTCACCAAGGAAGAAGCCCATGAAAAGATGCTCAACATTGTTGGTCTTCAGGGAAATGCAAATTAAAACCACAGTGAAATACCTCTGCACACCTATTATAGAGTGGTTGAAATAAAAAGACCACACTAGGTGTTGACCAACATGTGGAGCAACTGGAACTCTCATAAACTTCAGACTGGAGTGTAAAATGGTACAACCACTTTGGAAAAGTTTGGCAGTTCTTAAGTTAAACATACGCCTACTATAATCCAGCCACTCTACTTTTAGGAATTTACCCAAACGAAACAACAGCATATGTCTATGCAAAGATTTGTGTAAGAATGTCCATAACAGCTTTATTTGTATTAGGCTACAAGTAGAAACAACTCAAATCTCCATCAGCAGGTGAAAGAATGGTCTCACCAAACAATGGAATATTACTCAGCAATAAAGGGAATGAATTGCTGAGACACAACATGGTGAATCTCAAAATAACTGTGCCAAGTGAAAGAAGCCAGACAAAATATGAGCACCAGACTGCATTATTCCATTTGGATAAAATTCTGGGAAATGGAAATGACAGGAAGCAGATCAGTGGTTGCCTGGGTGTAGAGGTAGGGGCATGAATGGGGAAACCACAAGGGGACACAAGAAAACTTTTGGATGTGATAGGTATAGTCACTATCTTGATTGTGGTAATGGTTTCACAGGTACATATGTCAAAACATATATATATATATATATATATATATATATATATATATATATATATATATATATATGTCTCCCCGCTCCCCCCGGAGATAGAGTCTTACTCTGTTGCACAGGCTGGAGTGCAGTGGCATGATCTCAACTCAGTGCAACCTCTGCCTTCCAGGTTCAAGTGATTCTCCTGCCTCAGCCTCCTGAGTACCTGGCATTACAGACATGCACCTCCACACCCTGCCAATTTTATATTTTTAGTAGAGATGAGGTTTCACCATGTTGGCCAGGCTGGTCTCGAACTCCTGACCTCAGGTGATCCACCCACCTTGGCCTCCCAAAGTGCTGGGATTACCGGCTTAAGCCACTGCACCTGGCCTCTTTATTTTTTAGAGAGAAGGGTTTTGCTCTGTCACCCTGGCTGGAGTGCAGCGGCACAATCAGAGCTTGCTTCAGCCTTGAAGTCCTGGGCTCAAGTGATCCTCCTGCCTTGGCCTCCCAAGTAGCTAGGACTACAGGTGTGTACCACCACACCCAGCTAAATTTTTCGTATCTTTTTTGTAGAGACAGGGTTCTACTATGTTGCCTTGGCTGGTCTTGAACTCCTGGGCTCCAGTAATGCTCCTGCCTTGGCCTCTGAAAGTGCTGGGATTACAAGTGTGAGCCACTGTGCCCAGCCAAAATTTTTAAATATTGAAATAAAATTTAAGATTTAGCTCCTTAGTTGCACTAGCCATATTTTAAGCACTCAGTGGCCACTTGTGGCTAATGGCTACTGCATTTGACACCAGCAAGAGAGAACATTTTCCTCATAGCAGAAAGTTCTGTTGAATAGTGCTAGTCCTAACGCAGGACCTCCTGTTCCAGGCTAGCAAGGAATTCTCATAAAAAGAATTTTCTTTTGGGCAAAATGTCCCTGCTGCTTTTGTCTGCAAAGCAAAATGGATGATGGGGAGGGACATGTGACAAGCCACCAGGACAGGCCATTACCAGGGGCAGGTGCACAGGTGCATGCCTGTTCCTTCAGCTGTACCATTGGGAACATGGATATTTTGCTTTCTAGTCCTGCTCCTCAAATGTAGTTCACCCCTAGGTAATCCATTTCATGTGAGGAATCTGGGGTCTTTGCCCACTTTATGTCCTGTACCTTTTTTTTTTTTTTTTTTCCTGAGACGGAGTCTCATTCTGTCGCTCAGGCTGGAATGCAGTGGCACGATCTCCGCTCACTGCAACCTCCACCTCCTGGGTCCAAGCGATTCTCCTGCCTCGGCCTCCCGAGTACCTGGGATTACAGGCACCTGCCACCATGCACGGCTAATTTTTGCATTTTTAGTAGAGATAGGGTTTCACCATGTTGGCCAGGCTGGTCTTGAACTCCTGACCTCAGGTGATCTGCCCGCCTTGGCCTCCCAAAGTGCTAGGATAACAGGCATGAGCCCCCGTGCCTGGCCTGTCGTTGTTGTTTTTGAGACAGGGTCTCACTTTGTTGACCTGGCTGGAGTGCAGTGGCACCATCACTGCAGCTTTCAACTCCTTGGCTCAGGCAATTCTTTCTACAGGCACATGCTACCAAGCCTGATTTTGTTGTTGTTGTTGTTGTTGTTGTTTTTTAGACGGAGTCTGGCTCTGTCACCCAGGCTGGAGTGCAGTAGCGCGATCTCGGCTCACTGCAAGCTCCGCCTCCCGGGTTCACGCCATTCTCCTGCCTCAGCCTCCCAAATAGCTGGGACTACAGGCGCCCGCCACTACGCCCGGCTAATTTTTTGTATTTTTAGTAGAGGCGGGATTTCACTGTGTTAGCCAGGATGGTCTTGATCTCCTGACCTCGTGATCCGCCCACCTCGGCCTCCCAAAGTGTTGGGATTACAGGCGTGAGCCACCGCGCCCGGCCTTTTTTTTTTTTTTTTTTTTTTTTTTTAAGAGATAGAGGTATGTATGTATGTATGCAGTATGCATTTATTTATTTAGGAACGAGGTCTCAATCTGTCACCCAGGCTCTGGAGTGCAGTGGCATGATCACAGTTCACTACAGCCTGGACCTCACAGGCTCAAGCAAGTCCTTCTACCTCAGCCTCCCAAGTAGCTGGGACTACAGGTACACACCATCAAGCCTGGCTAATGTTATTTTATTTTTTCATGTAGAGATGTAGTCTTGCTATGTTGCCCAGGCTGGTCTCTGACTCCTGGGCTCAAGTGATCCTCCCACCTCGGCCTCCCAAAACATTGGGATTATAGGCCACAGCCACTGCCCATGGCCCCTGCACCCTTTAGTGTCCAGGGGAAGCTGCAGACCTCCTACGCAGAATGATGTTTTTAAGTGCACCAAGTCATATACATAGAATTACAAAGAAAACCAATGGCATTAAAATACAGTTTTGTCTCCAGAACCTGGCTATACAGAACCAGTCATGTAACTGCGATGATTGGGAATGAGGCCACTCCTTAAACCTATTTTGACAATTTGGCAATTCTTAACCCGGATTCCAGAATACAATCGAACGAGGAGTTTGGCTTCCCTAGAAATCTGTCATTTTTTGGATGAATGAAGGAATGGAAACGACACAGGGACTACGAAGAAAAGCCCAGCCACCTGGCCCTTTCCAATTCTGGCCGCGGACAGCCAGTGCTGTGGCCAGTTTCGCCCGCCCACGCCCTCCTCCCCAAATATATATTTTGAAAATTATTTGTTCAACAAATATGTGTTGGGGTCGTGCCCTCCGTGCTGCCCTGGGACGCGACCGTCACACGGAACCTCCCCTGGGCCTGGGGGCCGCGCTGTGTTGTTTGCGCCGGGACTGCGGAGGACGGCGGCGCGGGCCGGGGCTCTGGGCGGGTTCGCGTTCAGATCCTCGAAGTGGCTCCCTCCGGGACCTCGCTGGCTTTCCTGTTCCCGACCCCTCGGCCAAGCCGTGCGACCGGGTGGGCTCTGCTTCCCCGGGACCCCACTCTGACCCCATCCCCTAAGCCGCTCCCGCGAGCACCTCAGCTCCGCTCCCGCGCGGGTCAGCAATTCGAAGTCCGCCCCAGACCCCTGGGCCTTCGGGCGCCCCCGGAAGCCGCAGGGACTGTCGGACTGAGCGGCCCCCTTGCTTGGGTGGGAGCTGGGGTGCAGAGAGGGGCTGTTCTCGCACCCTTCCGCTGCATCGGTCCCCGGGCCAGTGCGGAGACTCCTCTTTGCGTTTCCAAATCACTTTTACGAACAAAAGAGGCGCCCAGAGGATATCACCCCGGGCGCACCGCCCTCCAGGGGTGTTTGAAACGTGAGCTGTTGTCAGGCCCAGGGCCAAGGATGCTAAATGTCCGGGAAAATGCGCGCGGCAGCCGGCCACACTCAGGACGATGGTCCGTCCCCGAGAGCCAGCAGGGCTGCGGAGAGGAAGATCCAGCCGCCGAGCGCAGCGCGCACGGAGCGGGACGCCTGCGGCGATGCCTGCCCGGGTGGCCGCTGTCCTCTGCCCGGGCGCCGCTGGAGCCGCGCGTCCCCATCGCCGCGCCGGCTAGTCCCACAGGTGCCCGGAGAGGGAGGCACGGAGGCATACCCAACCTTGAGTGCGTCCAGCATACGTGGGTGTGGACGAAGGTGAGAAAGGGTTCTTTCCAAAGGTTCAAGACAGAGCTTCCAGTACCTTCTAAATCCCCAGAAAGTAGTGGTCTAGAAGTTGCTTCTCCGCTTCCCAACGCCACAGGTGAAGGAGCCAGGAATCTCCCTTCCCTGTGGATCGCCTTCTCCTCCCTTTCTGCATGCCCCTGGGATCCTAATCCCATTTGCCTCAGGATTGGAGTCTCAGGTATTGATTTCATCCTGAACTAAGAGGGGAGAGATCTGGACTCTTGTCTGCAAAACAGGCAGGGTCTTGTGTCTAATAAGCACTCAATGAACATCGATGGAATGAATGAGGGGGGGGAACTTCTCCACTCAGGGTTCCCTTTTGTTCCTCTTCTGATCAAGAAATGATGTATCCTCCCAGGGCACATTGATCAGCGGAAATTATGGAGGCTGCACGGCCTCTGGATCTTTCCCCCCTCAAGACAGGAAAAGGACCTTCAAAGCCATTCACTTCCTTACAACAAGCCCCGAGGAAAGGTGGGACGCGCCATTCTGAAAAAGAAAGTAAATGACTTCATTCACTTGTTTTTAAAATGGGACAGATAGGCCGGAGGCGGTGGCTCACACCTGTAGTCCCAGCACTTTGGGAGGTCGAGGCGGGTGAATCACTTGAGGTCAGGAGTTTGAGACCAGCCTGGCCAACATGGTGAAACCCCATCTCTACTAAAAATACAAAAATTAGCTGGGCGTGGTGGCGGGAGCCTGTAATCTCAGGTACTTGGGAGGCTGAGGCAGGAGAATCGCTTGAACCCGGGCGGGGGAGCTTGCAGAGAGCAGAGATCTCGCTACTGCACTCCAGCCTGGGCGAGAGAGTGAGACTCCGTCTCAATAAAAAATAATAAAATAAAATGGGACATATAAAGCATGAGGGCATGTTTATCAGTGAAATTTTTTAACAGAGTTAAAAATTAAAATCCCTGGTCCCCATCCCTGAGTCCCAATTCTCTCCCCAGGGATCTCCATTGTTGGTCTGCTGTGCACCAGCCTCATCTCACTACCCCTTCCCTGCACTCCACCTGTCTTCCTGCGGCCCCACCTGCAGGCCTTGGTGTTTATTATTTCTTCCATCTGGAATGCTTCCCGCTTCCTTTTCCTTTTGAGGAGGCGGGTATTTTATTTTTATTAAGGTATAACATGTATATATATAGTAAAGTGCACATGCCTAAAGCATGCAACTCAATGACTTTTCACATAATTTTTGTTGGTTTGTTTGAGATGGCGTCTCACTCTGTCTCCCAGGCTGGAGTGCAGTGGTGCAATCTCGGTTCACTGCAACCTCCGCCTCCCGGGTTCAAGGGATTCTCCCACCTCAGCCTCCGGAGTAGCTGGGACTGCAGGCGCCTGCCACCATGTCTGGCTAATTTTTGTATTTATAGTAGAGATGGGGTTTCACCATGTTGGCCAGACTGATCTTCAACTCCTGACCTCAAGTGATCCGCCCACTTCGGCCTCTCAAAGTGCTGGGATTACAGGTGTGAGCCACCCCCAATGCTGCCCTAATATTGTACTTATACAGTCTATTCACCCAGATCAAGATATAGGACATGTTCAGCACACCTGAAAGCTCCCTCGTGCCTCCCCCAGTCGGTGCCCTCCCCGGAGGTAACCACTCTTCTGACCTCTATTGCCTGTATTCACTTTGTGCACCTGAATGATCTAATGGTCTTTTGCATCTCTGGTGTTTTTAGTGGGAGTTTATTCGCATCCCGCAGGTTTCAGCTCTTCTCCTTTCCCATTCCTTTCAATGGCATGACGGCGTTTCTTTCCTTCAAACCACTTCTCAGTTTGCAATTTCTGTGTTAGTTTGTTTACCTGTCTGCTGTTTGCTTTCCAGCTAGAAGGTAAGTGTCCTCTCCCATTCACTGCTGTCTCCTGAGCCCCTAGCGCAGTGTCGGCGCACGTAGATATTCAACAAATACTTACTCAATGGATGAGTATGGGAATGAAAGGAAGAAATACTCCAGGCATGAATTTTTGCCGTCCTGAATCTAAAACCAATTTACTTGGGCAAACACTGGCCTATGACTGAGATCTCTGCATTTGTTTTACAAAGACAGTGTTCACCAAATCCAAGTTAGAAGACTTAGAGAAAAATACTGAAGTTATTCCAGTCTGCCTGGAAGCCAAAAGTGGCATCATTCTCACCTTCTGTGATAGGACTACCTTCTCAACCAAGACTAAATTTTCGCTTTAAACTGTTGAATCAGTGTTTTATAAAAGCACTCCACTTTGGCTACATAAAAAGACCCTCAACAGTGGTGTTTCCCCCCCACCTCTCTTTTTACAGTCAGGGTCTCCTTCCATCAGTCCATTGCTGGAGGGCAGTGGTGTGATCATAGCTTAATAGTGGTTATCTCCATTGGGGTGATGGAGGATGATTTTGCTTACTTCCCTTATACTTTGTCATTTTTTATATGGACACATTTTACTTCTTCAAATTTTTAAATAATGTTTAATTGTGGCAAAACACATATAACTTAAAATTTAGCACCTTAACCATTTTTAAGTGTACAGTTCAATAGTGTCAAATACATTCACATTGTTATACAACCAATCACCAGGATGCTTTTCATCTTGCAACTCTGAAACTCTGTACCCATTAAACAACTCCCCATCTCCCTCTCCACTTCCCCCAGCCCATGGCAACCACCATTCTGTTTTTTTTCTCTGTAAATTTGACTACTCTAGGTACCTCACATATGTAGAATTATACAGGATTTGTCCGTTTGTAACTGGCTTATTTCACTTATTGAATTCAAGATTCATCTATGTGGTAGCCTGTGTCAGAATTCTCTTCTCTTTTAAGGCTGAATTATATTCCATGGTATGAATATCCCACCTTTTGTTTATTTATTCATCTACCCAGAAATGGAATGACTGGGTCATGTAGTACTTCTATTTTTAATTTTTTGAGAAACTGCCGTACTTTTTTCCATAGCAACTACAACAACTACATTCCCACCAACAGTGCACAAGGGTTCCAGTTTCTTTACATCCTCACCAACACTTGTTATTTTCTGACTGTTTTTTAATAATAGCCATCCTAATGGGTGTGAAGTGATATCTCATTGTGGTTTTGATTTGCATTTTCCTAGTAACTAATGCTGTTGAGCATTTTTTTCATGTGTTTGTTGGCTGTTTGAATTATCTTTGGAGAAATGTCTGTTCACGTTCTTTGCCCATTTTTTAACCAGCTTGTGTTTTTTGTTGTTCAGTTCTAGTACCTATTATTTTTAAGAAAAGAATTTTCTTTCAGGAAGAAATGGAGGGGAAAGCATACAGGAAGCCGAGCAAGAGAGGTTTGGTGGTTAGAAGTGTGGGCTCTGAAATTCGAAGATTGTTACCATAGTTATTGAGCACCTGCTGTATGAGCTAGGCTAGGCTAACTACTCTAACAACCCTGAAAGCTCAGCGACCCAACACAATAAAAGTGTGGCTTCCAATGCAAGTACAGCATGTTCTGAGGCAGAGGTAGGGGGAGGGCAGGGGTTATCAAGGGATGATAGGGCTCTGTGTCATTTCATCATTCAAGGACCTAGGCTACATCCATCTCGTGACACTGACATCCTTGACATGTGGCCTTCAAGGTCCCCATGGGAGGAGATAAAAGGAAGGATTATACAACGGTGATTTTTTATGGACCAGTCTTTGCTTGTATTACATCAGCCTAAACTGGGAATACAGCCCCACTCAACTACAAAGAAGACTGGAACACATCTGCCACAGGACACCCTTCTGGTCACCAAACCACTTCATTCTTCTTCCCAGCTGCAGACACACCCATCCCCTTCTCTGAGGAGACAACCCGAAGTCCCATCAGTCATTGTATCCAGGATCTCTGTCACGCATGTTCTTCCTTAGGACTAGAGACTGATCCTATTGTTCTGGTGACCAATGAACTAAAGGGGTACATATGCGCCCCCATCCCAACACCCCACATACAGTGGTGAAGTAGAAATGATGCAATTTCCATTGAGAAGAGGAAGGGCAATAGCCCTAATTCGTAGAAGTGACCGACTCCTTTCTGTGACGCAGGCGTTGTGAGGGTCCCCTGCCCTAGCAAGGGGGCAGGTCCAACCAAGATGTTTTCCTGGGCCTTTGCTGTTCAAAGTTCTTTTCCATCTTTTATCTCTGGCAGCTTGGAATTTAGAAGCAATGAACTTTTCCAACTCTGCCACCTCCACACTTCTGGGCTCTCTCCCACCCACTTGCCTCACTTCTGGCCAACTGGCCTGTCCTTCCTAGCCTTCTGTCCTTCTTGTAACACCTGGCCTAGCACCGCCAGTGACAGCAATACACCCTGTTCCCTGCCAGTCGCCAGTCTCCTCCCCAGAGTCTCCCCACAGCTCAGGGGGCATGTGGTCTGCCCTTCAGGTCTCCACCGGCAATGGTTTTACCAAGTTTTGCTGCCCCATAGAACAGCTCACCACTCTGCCGATGGCACAGAGACTCACAGGTTTCCCAGATGCCAGGAAGCAACACTGACCAAAAGACACACAGCTGTCCCCCTTCCTATGAATCTGGCGGAGGACAGACGGCCACAAAGCATGGAGGGAAAACGGGTCAGGTGCAATCGTGTCATGTGGTATGGAGGAACATGGGGCGGCCTGGGGTAAGGAGCAGGGCGAGGAGAGGGCAGCTGGGAGGAAAGTGACCAGGGAGGGCCTCGGGAAGAAGGTGGCATCTGAGCAAAGGTCCAGCCTGGGGACACGTGAGAGAACACATTCCAGGCAGAGAGAACGGCACGCACAGTCATTGAGGTGGGAGTGGGCCTGACGTGTTTCTAGAACAGCAAAGGGGTCCGCATAGCAGAGACAGGCATGGTGAGAGAGAATCCTCGTCAGAAGGTAACAGGGCACCGGGTCATAGAGGGTCTCTGAGGACTTTGGCTTTGACTCTGAGTGACATGAGGACATTGGAGAGCTGTGAGCAGGAGAGAGACATGCTCTGACTTAGACGTTTGAAGAGTTCCCCATGGCCACCATGCTGAGAACAGAGCAGCCACACAAAGGCAGCTTCTGAAAGGCTGCTGCAATTACCCAGGAAAGAAATCGCAGTGGCTTAGAGCAGGGTGGGGCTTGCAGAGATGATGATAAGTCGTGAATGTCAGATGTAGTTTGAAAGTAAAGCCACTAGAATTGGCTGATGGGTTGGACGTGGCCTGGGAGAGGAAGGAGAGGCGTTGAGGCACACTCGGTGTTTTTTTGGCTTCAACAGCTGTAAGAATAGAGCCTCTGCTTAAGTTCTCAGGGAACACTCTGGCTGGGAAAGGCATGTTAAGTTTGAGGTGCCTGCTAGGAACCCTAGCAGAGACATAGACTAGGTCATTGGATATAAGAGTGTGGCTCTCGGCCGGGCGCAGTGGCTCACACGTGTAATCCCAGCATTTTGGGAGGCCAAGGCAGACAGATCACCTGAGGTCAGGAGTTTGAGACCAGCCTGGCCAACACGGTGAAACCCCATCTCTATTAAAAATACAAAAATTAGCCAGGCATGGTGGCATGTGCCTGTAATCCCAACTACTCAGGAGGCTGAGGCACAAGAATCACTTGAACCCAGGAAGCGGAGGTTGCAGTGAGCTGAGATTGTGCCACTGCACCCCAGCCTGAAAAACAGAGCAAGACTGTCAAAAAGCAAAAACAAAAACAAAACAAAACAAAAAACAAACAAACAAAAAAATATGGTTCTCAAGGGAGTGGCCGAGGCTGGAGAGATGCCAGAGGAACATCAGCATATAGGCAACATGCATTAGGAGGCTGGCCCATGCAGACAGAGAGGAGATGAGGGC
Source organism: Homo sapiens (assembly GCF_000001405.40). Classification (NCBI taxonomy): domain Eukaryota; kingdom Metazoa; phylum Chordata; class Mammalia; order Primates; family Hominidae; genus Homo; species Homo sapiens. The sequence continues at coordinate 62,602,834 of NC_000018.10, forward strand.
CAGAGACAGAGCCCTGGGCCACTCCGGGGGCCAGGGAGAGGTGAAGGCACCAGCCAGTAGATGTACAGGAAGGGTCTGGGAGGTGGGTGGAAAATCTAGAAGAGTGTGATGTCTGGGAAGACGCATGAAGAACACGTCTCAAGGAGGAGGTGGGCTCAGCTAATTCAAGTGGTGCCGATCGGTCGATGAGGGGAGTCATTGACAAGAGTAGCTTCCACCAAGTAGTGGAGGGAAAGTCTGATTGAGGTGGGTTGGGTCAACGAAGAAAATGGAGTGAGTGTGAATGTGAACAGAATAGTCTTGCTCTAAAGGACAGCAGAGAAATAGGCTGGGATCTGGTGCCCAGGGGAGCAGGAACAATTCACTCAAAGCAGCTTGAAAGAAGACAGAGGATGACGTGGCCATAGATGCTGCAAGGTGGGAGGTGAAATTCGTAAAGTGAAATTAAAGCCAGGTCAGCAACTGAGCGTGAAGATGAAGAGGCAATGCAGGGGCTGAGCTGAGAGGGAAATGTGTGCAGGGGTGGCCAAGATGGGGGATGGACCGGATTGCTGGGCAATGGGAAGGGCCCCTGGATGCCTGTGGTCATCTGATGTGAGACCACCCCACCAGGGCTGTGTGCCTTTCTTCAGCCGAGCACAGCTGTGTGGGTGCAGGCCTGGAGCAGGCAGTGAGCTGGATTTAACCAAACTTGGGGTTCTGCAGGAAGGCATGATGGAGAAAAAAAACGAGGGATCTAAGGGTGTTAAGAAAGGAATTCTTGAGGCTGGGAGAGTTGGCTCATGCCTGTAATCCCAGCTACACCTGAGGCCAGAGGATAGCTTGTGACCAGGAATTTGAGGCCAGCCTGGGCAACATAGTGAGACCCCCATTTATTAAAAAAAAAATTGCCAGGCATGGTGGGGTGTGCTGGTTAGTCTAGCTACTTAGGAGGCTGAGCCAGGAGGATCATTTGAGCCCAGGAGTTTGAGGCAGCAGTGAGCCACGATTGTGCCACTGCATTCCAGCCTGGGCCACAGAGCAAGACCCTATATCTTTAAAAAAAAAAAAAAAAAAAAAGGAATTTTCTGTAGTGCTAAACCAGGAAGTTTATTTTAAGCAGATAAGTGAGATTTGGAGGGGGTAAAGGATGCTGCTGAGAAGGTGGATCAATGGGCCGAAAGGTCGCCCTGCACTCAAGGATTGCTGAGGGCAGAGGGAGTGAGAGAGTGGGCTGGAAAGGTAAGAGGTGCCGTCCGACAGCAGGTTTGCGCTACTAGGGTTCCCCATGACAGTGAGGAGCAGAGTCGGGTGGATTAGAAGATTGCGGGAGGCGGGGAGAGCAAGGAGAGGCATAGCTCGGGGATTGCAAATGTCATGTTTGTGGGTGTTGGAATCACCACGTCTGAGGGTAGGAGGGGTGTGTGGGGCAGGGGAGAGATGGGCTGAGGGAGGAGGAGGGGAGTCCTGGGAGCAGCAAGGAAGGAACATGCCCGCTCTGGCGGAGGAGAGAGGACAGGCATTTGCTGAGAGGGCTCAGGAGCTGCAGTGTCCTCGGGATGAAGCCAGATTTTGGATGAGAACATTCACAGAAGAGGTTTTGAATGTAGGAAATTTCAGCAATTGGGGGTGTGGGTAGGAAAGTGGGCCACAGTCAGGCTGGGTGCAGTGGCTCACGCCTGTAATCCTAGCACTTCAGGAGACTGAGGCGGGTGAATTGCCTGAGCTCAGGAGTTCGAGACCAGCCTGGGCAACACGGTGAAACCCCATCTCTACTAAAATACAAAAAAATTAGCTGGGCATGGTGGCATGCACCTGCAGTCCCAGCTACTTGGGAGGCTGAGGCAGGAGAATTGCTTGAACCTGGGAGGCAGGGGTTGCAGTGAGCCGAGATCGCGCCACTGCACACTCCAGCCTGGGCGACAGAGCAAAAATCTGTCTTAAAAAAAAAAAAGAAGAAGAAGAAGAAGAAAAGAAGAAGAGGAAGAGGAGGAGGAGGAGGAGAAGGAGAAGGAGAAGGGAGGAGAAGGGAAGGAGAAGGAGAAGAAGAAGGAGGAGGAGGAGGAGGAGAAGCGCAGCAGAAGCCACAAAAGACTCTGTGCTCCTTGGGAAGGAGTTTGATCTTCAACATCCAGTGAACACATTTGTCCTTCTTCAAAGAGGGTCAGAAACTCAGGGTCACAAAACTGCTCAGTGACAGGGACGCGATTCTTTTTTTGAATCTGCCCTTTAATTTGCAATGAGATGCAATTCTGATGGCAACTCCCAGCTGCTAGCACAGCAGTCAGGAAGTACAGGGGCCACATGCATGCCTAACTCTGACCCACAGACCCCTGGGAGCCCCATCCGCTTGCTGTTTCTATCAAGGAGACTTGTATGTCAGTAGTTTTAACCCTTTGGAAGTCACAGATATCTTCAAGATAAATGCACGTGTCCACAAGGTGTTGCCTGGCATTTCTAGGGGTCTTGAACTCTAAGAAACCCATCCAAAGCCCCCAGGTTAAACCCCCTGCCCAAGGGCCCCCACATCTCACTGGCATCCCTGTTTTCTTTTCTTTTCTTTTTTTTTTTTTTTTTTTTGAGATGGAGTTTTGCTATTGTCTCCCAGGCTGGAGTGCAATGGAGCGATCTCAGCTCACTGCAACCTCCATCTCCCAGGTTCAAGCTATTCTCCTGCCTCAGCCTCCCGAGTAGCTGGGATTACAGGTGCCCACCACCACATCCAGCTAATTTTTGTATTTTTAGTAGAGACAGGTTTTCACCATGTTGGCTAGGCTGGTCTCGAACTCCTGACCTCAAATGATCTATCCACCTTGGCCTCTCAAAGTGCTAGGATTACAAGTGTGAGCCACCGTGCCCGGCCACATCCCCCTTTTCTCCCGGAGCTAAGGTGAGCTGGAAGTGGGGGCTGGGATGGAAGCGGTACAGAGGCCCTGGTGTGACCTGCACTCACAGCTCCCAGTTATGAAGAACCAAGTGACCACGCCACCACTGCGGCATCTCACTGCTTGGTCAGCAATCTCCCTCGCCGGTTGCCTGGACACCAGGACAAAGGAGAAACTATTAGGATTGAAGTGTGTGGGGCCAGACTCATCAGCAGGGAGCCAGTGGCCTGGCGTTCCTGCGCTACTCAGTCCCTATTTAGGGCTCATAAAGGTGCACCCCGCTGCCCCACACAGCGCTAAGTAGGTCACCAGCCTGCTAGCGAGCCCTTTGGAATCAAGTGTATCATCAATCCAACGGTTTAGCCCTGTCTGGGATGCTCCCAGGGGCTCCTCTTTTGTACTCACCTAACACAAGTCTAAAAAGCCAGGCCTGGCCTGTGGTGGATCTAGAATTTCTAGGGCCCCCGCTCTCCCCACCCCCACAACCTCATGAGAAAGTCCTAATCTCCAAATAAACAACCATTCCCAACTCTAAACACTGACTTATGCCTGTGAACAGAGCATAGGGGCAACTTGTCCAAGTGGACAGAGTTCTAGGAGTCATTATTGGATCCTCAGGAGTGAGTCACTCCTACAAAGCACCAGGGTTTAGCTGGTGGGGGGTGGGGGTGGGGAACAGACAGCATTCTAGGAGGCTCTAGAGGGTTCTGGCAAGGTCTTGCTGCAAATACCCCTTGGGGAATTGGCAGAACCTTGAAATAGCTCGCTGGCCAAAAGCGCCCTCCTCTAGGTCCCCCAGGAGTACCTGGCTTTTTCTCTTTTCATTTAATGCTGGGAAGACTCAGCGATTGTTTCAAGCCCCATTCTCTCCTTGAAAAGGAAACCATCCATTTGCTCTCCCTCTTCCCCTCCTTCCCGCTTTTCAGCTTAGAAAATATGGAAAGTCTCCAGCAGTAGCCACAATAAAAGAAGCCCTTAATCTTATTAATGATAACAGGAATAAGGAACATCAAAGTAAAGCAGTGAGTGCACTCATTAGGGTGTTGAAAGGTATTGGGGCTGGAGATCCTGAGAAAGCTATACTCTTTTGTGTTGGATAACAACACAGAAGGCCCAATTTCTGGACAGTTGTTATATCACCAGATTCCCATTACCCATAGAATATTAGCATTTCCTGAGCCAATAGGGCCCATTCTACTTGCTCTAGTTAGGCTCTTTCCATAGCAAGAGGCTTAAGTTACTGGGGAAAAAAAAAAAAAAAAAGAAGGAGGAGGAGGAGAAGGGGGAGGAGGAGGAGGCGGTGGTGGTGGCCAGGTGTAGTGACATGCACCTGTAGTGCCAGCACTTTGGGAGGTCAAGGCAAGAGGATCGCTTGAGACCAGATGGCTGGAGGGGGTGCCGTCAGGGTGGGAAGGGCTCTGTGGACAGGCCGGGGCGTTCCTTCATGAGTCTGTGCTTCCCCCTGGACATCCTCCCATGCATGCCCCTCTCTCCTCTGCCTACTGCTGGGTACCAATGCGGCCCATGGTGCTGTCTCTAGACCTCTCCGATTACCCTTCATCGGAAACTGCCTTGTTCTCGTGGTATTTCTTAGCTCATTTCCCAGGAGGGAGCCCTGCACTAGCCCTGCATTCGCTCTCTAGGGCTGCTGTAATAAAAGTTCCACCAACTGGGCGGCTTAAAAGCCGCCCGGTAGTTCTGGAGGCCGCAGTGCGAGATCAAGGTGCTGGTGGGGCTGGCTCCTCCTGAGGGCGGGGCCAGGGCTTCTGTTCCAGCCTCCCCCCAGCTTCCGGTGCTTTGCGGGCGATCTTTGGCACTCCCCGGCTTGTAATGCATGACCCTGACCTCTGGCTTCCTCTTCACGCGACATTCTCCCTGTGTCTGTCTCTGTATCCAAATGTTCCCCCTTTTAGAAGGACACCCATTGTGTTTGGATTGGGGCCACCCTACTCCAGTATAACCTCATCTTAGTTACATCTGCAATGATCCTATTTCCAAATAAGGTCAAATTGGAGGTACAGGAGGTTAGGACATATAAATTTGAAGGACACGATTCAACCCGTGACAGGTCTCCTTAGCTTTTGGAACTGGGCCACACTGTAGGCATGTACCTGGCTGTATTCGTTACCATAGGCAGACTGGCTTAAAACAATACAGATGTATTGCCTCACAGTTCTGCAGGCTGGAAGTCCAAAATCAAGGTGGCAGCAGGGCCATGCTCCCTCTGAAACCTGTAAAGGAATTTTCCCTATGTCCAGATAAGGTCAGATTTACAGATTTAGGGAGTCGGGACTTCAACATATTCAACCCGTAACAGTGACCATCTTGTGACTGGCTTCCCCTTGGATTGGGTCATTTCTGTTCTAGTCAGCTGGGGGAGGGTGTCTCTTGTGTGATACACCATGGCTGAAAGTGGGACAGCTCGCTTCACTTAGCAAAGGCATGGACCTAAGAGGCCCCGTGAACTCACCTTCCAGGATATGGTTTCAAATATGCGCCCACCTAATACCCTCCAGCTATCTAAACACAAGGCCTGAAGTGTTTCCACTTCCTCCAAAGCCACATCCAGGTACTGCCCCAGAAACAATAGGGTAGGGCCCCTTCGGAAACCACTTGCTCATCACAGAGTCTATTTCTCCCCTGGTTATGTTGAGATCCTTTCTAGATAGTTCTCTGCATTCTACAATCCATGTAATAAATGATTAATGTAACCACTGCCAATATCAATTCTATAGACGGTGGAACAAAAATGGAATTTCTGCATGGGCAGAAAGAGAGCCACTTCCTCCACTTGAGTCCTGGACCAACACATTTCAGCAGTGGCAGGGGCAGCATTATTCTTGGTAACTTGTCCCCAGTCTGTCCTGAGCCCTACAGACATTCTCCTAGCCTCACAATGTGGGACCATCATCATTACACTGACCACCTATGGGTGGTAGGAGAATTTGGGGATCCCCATGTGACCTGACTTCTTTGCACTAAAGTGAGTTCTGTGGTTGCTGTATCTGACTTCCAGAGTTTCTTTCTGCTGGGAGGGTTGAGCCACATGTCTGCTGGTGCCCTTATCAAAGGTAAAGCCACCTGGCTCTCCAGATGTGTTACAAGATCTCAGGATTAGGCTGGGCGTGGTGACTCACGCCTGTAATCCCAGCACTTTGGGAGGCTGAGCCAGGTGGATCACCTGAGGTCAGAAGTTCGAGACCAGCCAGACCAATATGGTGATTGGTCCATCTCTACTAAAAATACAAAAATTAGCCGGGTGTGGTGGCGCTCACCTTTAGTCCCAGCTACTTGGGAGGCTGAGGCAGGAGAATAGCTTGAACTCAGGAGGCGTAGGTTGCGGTGAGCCAAGATCACGCCATTGCACTCCAGCCTGGGCAACAAGAGTGAAACTCTGTCTCAAAAAACAAACAAACAAAAAAAACCAAAAAAAAAACCTCAGGATTAATGCGGAACCAAAACTCCCTGCAATCTTAGTTTAAGAGTGACATGTCCCTTTTTATTAGGCTGGGATTTTTTTTTTTTTTTTTTTTGAGATGGAGTTTCATTCATGTTGCCCAGGCTGGAGTGCAGTGGCATGATCTCAGCTCACTGCAACCTCTGCCTCCCAGGTTCAAGAGATTCTCCTGCCTCGGCCTCCTGAATAGCTGGGATTACAAGCGCCCGGCACCATACCCGGCTAATTTTTCTATTTTTAGTACAGATGGGTTTTCACCATGTTGGCCAGGCTTGTTTCAAACTCCTGACCTCTGGTGATCCACCCACCTCAGTCTCCTGAAGTGCTGGGATTACAGGTGTGAGCCACTGCGCCAAGCCTAGGCTGAGATTTTTATGATGATACACTTCCTGCAGAACCCCTGGGGGCTGCCCATCAATTCCCACTCTGGGGTCTCTTGTCTTAGAGATGAGTGATTTTGCCTCTCTGTGCATCTGGGTCACCACAGCTTTGGAGATGCCAGCTCTCAATAGCTACAGTTGGGCCCAAAAGACCAAAGCCCCAAGGCCTTAATTGCCAGGGGGTGGCAAGGCCCTCCCCCGCCCCTTAAAGCTGGGCAGCTGAGTACTTTCCCCATGTTGATCTGATTTTGACCTTGTTGCTTGATTGTAGGCTGGATGGCTTCATTGTAGAAGTTGTGGGTGGGGCAGGTGCTGTGAACACACACTGCAGACTATCATTATGTTATATGAAATTCAATGACATTTAAAAATAAACACAGTCACTTCAACAAGCTGCCAATGTGTTGGCATTTTCATACACAGTACCACTCGCCCCCATGGAGGGCTCCTTGAGGGACACATGCTGTTTTCCCAACCATGATGTCATTTGATCCTCAGCACAATCCTGGGGTCTGGTTTTAGGATTCCACCTCATAACTGGCGAAACAGACACAGAACATTTCAACTTTCTGTTCAGGATTACAGGGCAAGACTAAGAACCTTCATTCCCTAACTTCCAGTCCTATTCCGGGCCTTTAGTTTGATGTTAACAGCTGTTTGTCATTTTAGCAGGGAGATGGGTACATTCGTGGTATTTCTCAAGGAAGGGAGGACGACATTAAGGAATGCAGAAGAAGGTCACCCTACTTATTCCTCCAGTTTCCCTGGGTTGCCCTGTCTTTGCTGCCTCATTTTCTTTGTTAGAAATTCACTTTGCTGTCTTCCATGCTCATTACGCATCGTTATGTTGGGGTTGGGGGTGGGGGGGGCAGAACGAATAATTAACTCCCAGGCTTTGCCTTCTCTTTGTCTCAGGCACTTTGCATCCTCCCCTGTCTTTCTCCTCCAGAGATCAAACTCTTATCCCTCTTCCTATTTTCCTTTGATGCAAGCTTTATGACTGGGAGGATGTGCTTGTCAGTTGCTATTCTAAGGACCTGGAGGTCATTTCAGTCCCTGCTTCTGTAAAAAGGATGAATTTGGAGGAAGCAACCCACCAGCCTCCCCTTCCTCCACTTCACTTGTTTATGTGTTTGCATAATCTGTTTTCAGCAGTAATTGTCCTATATGTGAAAATATGAAGCCTTATTTTGACAGCTGGCAGTGTCTTTGATATTGGAAGATGTCATTTGGAAAAGAGGGAACGACAGCAGATCGGAGGCAGCTGTTCACCGCCGTGGTAGCCCGTGAGCGCAGCTGTGGGGTGGTGATGGTGGGATTTGGGATTGGGCGGGCTGGTGTTTGTTTCTGTTTTGTGTTTTGTCAAATCCCTGGGGCTGGATATCATTAGGCTACAAGCTGCACATTCTATTTAGTTAGAACCAGGAGCTGACGGCATCAGAGAAGAGGAGGAGGGAGAAAGAGCAAAGGGGCATGGAGCGGAAAAAGAAAGAACAGGAGAGGACCTTGAAAGGTGGAATAAGGCCGTGAATGCGGGGGAGAGAAGTCACAGGCAGAGAAAGACAGAAAATGAGGAGGTGGAAACCGGCTGTTTGGGGGATGGGCTAATTGCCCAAGTAAGGCTCTGCCCTGAGACCTGGGGATTATCTAGCCTTTTTCACCGGTCAGTGTCACAGGGGCCGCCGCTGCCTTAGTGCAGGGAGCCCAGTCCCTCCACCGCCGTCCCTGCAGCCTGCAGACAGGGCCCACCTGCCGCCTACTCCCCGGCTCCAGCAGCTGGGAAAGGCTCCCATCAGCAGGTGAAGGGGAGCGGGAAAGCCACTCGCCAGCGCCTGCTCTGAGGCTGCTGTCCTTGCACGTTCACACGTGGGAGAAGCGACTTTCTTTCTCTTTCTTCAGTTCCAAGGAGCCCATTAGTGGCCTGTGACGGGCTCAGGTATTGTTCCCCTCAAGACCCACTGGGCCTGCCGCTGCCAGGGCTCACATTCCTGCCCCGGCGACAGGATCGGGTCAGGCTGTGTCCTGAACCCCACGCCCCACCGGCGCCTGCACACACGCGCCCCTCTCCACCTCCCCTTCTCAGTCTCCTGCCCTGGGCGCTCCTTGAGACCACCACCAGGACGTCCAACTCTAAAGCCACAGAGACCCGGGCTTCCTGGGAAAAGCTGACCAGCGCATTCCTGCAGGCGCAGGATTAAGACGGGAAACCCAGAAAGGAGTCTCTCCTCATTGCAAACAGAGATAAGCCTTCGGGGAGAGTTGCACACAGGAGTGCGAGTGGCCACCCCTCCAGGGGCTGTGACAGGGGAATCTGTGGGTCAGCGGCCTCTCTGCCACCACCAGCCACACGACTTGGGGAGGACAGCTGGGGCCTCCCTGTTCCCCTGTCCGCAGCAGTCAGGGCCTGCCTGTTCATACCCAGGTTATCACGTGAAACCAGGGAAGTCAGGGACCAGCCTCTGACTGCGGGACAGAACCACAACACAGGGTGTTGCTGGGGAGGCCCGACCTGGCTCGGGTTGGCTGCTTTCTCCTTTACAGGCTAAAGATCTGCTGCCCGCTGGCTCCTGCGGCCCTCCGTGGAGTGGGGGAGGCCGCCCTCCCTCCTGCGTCACCATCCTGGCTGCCTCCGTTCCTGCAGCTGACTCTGCAGGGGTGGGGAGTTTTGCTAGCAAGGCAAGTGGGATGTATTTCCATCCATGTCACACAGAGCTGACAGAAGCTAGGCGATTCCAGGGGGAAATGTCCTTACTTCCTTCCGAATGGCCTGGCTGCAGCTTAAGTGCACAGAGGAGTGGTTCCTAGACCCACTCTCAATCCTGGGTCTGGGTCTGGCTGGGTCTGGCTGCTTCTGCAGGCTTCTTGCTGTCAGGTCTCTCTGGTGTCAGAAATCTCCTGCCCTGCTGCCACCTTATGGAGTTAGGATGCCAGACAGACTGGCAGGGAAGCAGCCCCATGGGGGGTTGAACCCTGCCTCTCTACTCTGTTCTCTGCATGGTATCAGGGTGGCCCCGAGGGAGTGCAGAAGTGCCAGCCTTCCGCGGAGGGGAAGCCCTTTTTTGCCTGATCTTCTACATAAGCTTCTCCTAAGTGCTAGAGTCAGGCATAACCCCAAGGAAAGTTTCAAGGAGACGAGTGGTTCCAGCATGCAATGCTGCAGAGAGCTCAAGGAAAGCATTTAGTGGATGTCATAACTAGGAGGTCGTCAAGACGGGGAAGCTGCAGAGAACACCTGGGCACTGCTCCTTTGGGGATCTTAGCTGAGAGGCCTTCCTGTTGGCAAGAGAGGGGGTAGGAAGGACCTACTCTCCTGCCTACTCCAGTGGGCAGGCTTTCACATGAGAAGGAAAGAGGAAATGTAATTATTTCTGAGACTGAAGAGATCAGGTGGCATGGTATTAATGATTAGGGAACAAGACTGTCATACACATCACGACAGTTCGTCAGTTCCAACTTCCCTCATGTGAATGACAGCTGACATTCACACTTGCAGGACCAGGAGCCAATAATAACTACAAAGTGGCAAGTGGCTCTGTCCCTTCTGCCGCCACTAAAGAAAGCATCTCAAAATGCAAGCGTGTGGTAGTGACTTCATTGTAGAGACACTTGAATCACCTCTAGTTTATTAATATATTATAATAAACCAAAGAATGGTCCTTTCACTCTTAGTCACAAAGTACTTGCACCATGCCTCTCAATAACATAAACCAACAAAAAACTCAGTGAGATTCAAGACTCATAGTTCAACTAACACCCCTGCCATACTCACTCTTCCTTCTTAAAAAAATATCAATGCCAACAACTTACAGAAAAATCTCATCAATACTAAACAGCTGTTCCTTTCCTAAAAAGTCTCTTTGGATATAAATTGGTATCTCCATCAGCTTACAAGGTTGTAATCAGTATGTACATATAATTTCATGTTCTACTTTTCTTCACTAAATATTTCATCTACACATTCTCATTTACTGGTGTACTCTCACGATGTCTAGGGGCTAAAAAGATTTTATTAATTAATGTTTTCCCATTGTGGAGTATTGGTTGTTTCCCATTGTTCATTTTACAGTGCTGCAATTGATTTTTTTATAGAAAAGAAAATCAATGTTTTGTGTTTTCATTTTGAGGTACGTTTTCCCAAGTGAAACTATTGGATCAAAGGGTCTAAAGTGTTTGATGCCCTCTCACATAGTGTCAGATTCCTTTTCTATAAGAATACGCAAGCCGGGCATGGTGGCTCATGCCTATAATCCCAGCACTTTGGGAGGCCGAGACAGGTGGATCACCTAAGATCAGGAGTTCAAGACCAGCCTGGCCAACATGATGAAACTCTGTCTGTACTAAAAATACAAAATTAGCCAGGCGTGGTGGCACATGCCTGTAATCCCAGCTACGCAGGAGGCTGAGGCATGAGAATTGCTTGAACCCAAGGGTTGGAAGTTTCAGTGAACCAAGAGCGCACCACTGCACTCCAGCCTGGGTGACAGAGTGAGACTCTGTCTCAAAAAAAAAAAAAATAAATAAAGAATACATCTATTGTTAGTACCACTAGCAATATATGAATATCCAGTCCCCTTCATGTCAAATGGATTTTTTTTTCTTTTTTTTCTTTTTTTTTTTTTTTGAGATGGAGTCTTGCTCTGTCACCCAGGCTGGAGTGCAGTGGTGCAATCTCGGCTCACTGCAAGCTCTGCCTCCCGGGTTCACGCCATTCTCCTGCCTCAGCCTCCCAAGTAGCTGGGACTACAGGTGTCCACCACCACGCCCGGCTAATTTTTTGTATTTTTAATAGAGATGGGGTTTCACCATGTTAGCCAGGATGGTCTCAATCTCCTGACCTCGTGATCCACCCGCCGGATTTTTTTCTTTCTTTTGTTTTTCTTCTCCTTTTTTTTTTTTGGTTTCATAGATATGCAATATTTCTCAAAAGAATTGTTTTAAATCTGTATTTCTGAAGTTGAATTTAGGGGAGAGCCTGTGCCCCTGATGCCACCCTAAAGTGTCAGAGCCTCTTCACCCCGACAGTCTCCTTGCACACACATGTGTATGAACCGAAAGAGGGAAGTTTCTTCAAGACCCAGGCCCAGACAGCCAGCTCACACACGCATGTGACTGGTTTAAAGGGAAGTGCATAGCTGCTCTGGAGCATGGCACGGCAACCATTAGTTTAGTACCTGGCAAAGGGTAGACGATCCAGAAGTAGGCGCTGAGCTAGCTGCTTCGTGGAGCCTGAAGGAGAGTGTGATGCTGTGAGCGCTTCCTCCCCGAAGCTGCATAGCAACTACACATGCCTCCTGAACAGCTTTTCTTACCCCATCTTCTGTTCTAAGTATGGCAACTACATGTCCTAAATCTGCTAACATTTCAAACAGGTGGTCCAGTTGTCCCCAGAAAGTGCACTCATTCTTTTGAGACCACATGTCCCAAATTTGGACTGGGGACATGTGGTCACTACTATTTTGATGTATTGGTCTCCCACACTCCACTAGAACGCAAGCTTATTAAGAGTAAGGACTGTCTTATTCATCATTCCAAACCTGTATCATCCCTTTTCTACAACCTACACCATCCTTTAATTATAAAGTTGGTTCTACTTGCTCTCTTGTCACTTAGAGAGTTGCTATTCTTTGAAAATACAGATCCTAAAATAGCTCCATCTCTTTTCTCTCTTCCAAACTGTGTGTGTGTGTGAAAATGGGTTCCAAAAATATAATTTTCTTTAATGTGTTATAAGTAGCAATAGAGAAGCAAAAGGCAATAATATGCCCAGTAAGCATTGCCTACCAAACTAATTCTGAATACTTTATTATCCTGCTGACAACTGAAGAACGGTATTTGAAAGTCAAAAATTTCACTGCTTTCACACAGTATACAAATTGAAGCTCACGTGGCCAATGAAAGATATTAGCCAGAGGCGTCAGTTATATAAAGAGTTTCAGCACAGTGCTATAAATGCGTAGCTCTCAATAAATATTATAAAGATGAAAATACTAAACACGCTTTTTTTTTTTTTTGAGACGGAGTCTCGCTCTGTCGCACAGGCTGGAGTGCAGTGGCGCAATCTCAGCTCACTGCAAGCTGCACCTCCCGGGTTCACACCATTCTCCTGCCTCAGCCTCCCGAGTAGCTGGCACTACAGGTGCCCGCCACCACGCCCAGCTAATTTTTTGTATTTTTAGTAGAGACGGGGTTTCACCGTGTTAGCCAGGATGGTCTCGATCTCTTGACCTCATGATCCGCCCGCCTCAGCCTCCCAAAGTGCTGGGATTACAGGTGTGAGCCACCATGCCCAGCCTAAACACGCTTTTATAAATGACATACTAGTATAGCATATCCATACAGCAAATCCTCTAGAGTATCAGAATAATTCTGGCAAATGCTTTGATTCTAAACTCTCCACATTCCACTGACTTCAACAGAGATCCCAGCACCTAACATTGTCTTCCAGACTCCTCCTACTGCTATGACAGGAGCCTGAAAGACTGATGGGAGTCAGACTTGTTGAACTGGCACAGTCTTCAATATGCGAGGAGACCACAGCATCCTCGACCTAGAGCTCAAATCCAAGCTTTGGCGACTGGACCAAAACATCTAGATGGTTAGGTGAGGGTGAAGGGGATGGCTAATCATTTCTAGAATGGTAAGTTTCACTTGGTAGGAATTGTCTTTCATTCACCAGCAGGGTTTTTAATTCTCCCCCAAAGAATTTAAATGACAAATTCAAGATAAATGAGGAAAGTGTCCTTTGGAAAATAAACATCTACCATCAGTCCCATTTGTGGGTTCCCAGGGCAGCTGGTACGAATCAAGGGGAATATGAAACATCTTCCGCATCTCTTGACTCACATCTGGCCCCAACCCACCGCCTTCTGAGTCCAGAAGACTTTACATCTCACAGTTTCCTCTGCCGCCCCGCAGGCCTGCTTGGACAGCTGTGGCTTGCCGGCACGAAGGCCACGAAGCTGCAGATCAACCAGTGAGTATGTGTTCTGTCCTCTTTCCAACTTCCTGCACAACCTGAGCTCCAGACGTGATGCACAGCAGAGTGACGCAGGCCGGGGTCTCTCCGTGCTAATTCTGAGCGCAGCTCCCAGAGGCCAAAGACAGGCGAGGCAGGAGCGCCGCCGCTATTGGAGGATGGAGGCAGGGAATGTGGACTGAAGTCCAGAGTGACCCCCGGAAGTCTCTATATGGCAAAACCCCAGCTGGCCATCAGGAGCAGGAAAAGCAAGGCAGCAGGACCAGGAAAGGGGTCAGGAATGACTCTGAAAGGCTGGGCTTTGGGACGGCAGGAAGGGCTCCACGCTGAGAGCACCGGCTTGGATGGCCATCAGAGTAAGCAGCAAGGGCTAGGTAGAGCTCAGTTCTGGACACTAGGCGAGGGGGGAGAGATGTTCTGGGACACCCCAGTCTTCACTGAGGGATTCTGAGCTCCAATTATGGTTTAGTCATTCAATGCATAGACCAGGCTCTTCTTTTAGCTGGCCAGAGTCCCAGGGGCTAGGAGCCTGGCACTGTACGAGACACGCATGCGCCCCTTCCTGCGGAATATACTTTGAGGAGGGAGTTTTCAGGAGCAAGAGTTGGGAGTGATAGAAAAACTTACCATTTAACTACAGCCCAGAACCCATACCTGAACTAGTAACTTAATTCTCATTTTTAAAATTTTCATTATTTTTTAGAGACAGGGTCTCGTTCTGTCGCCCAGGCTGGAGTGCAGCGCCCAGGCTTGAGGCACTCGCTGCAGCCTCAAACTCCTGGGCTCCTGAAGGTCCTCCCGCCTCAGCCTCCTGAGTAGCTGGCATTATAAGCATGCACTATCCTCTTGCCTCAGCCTCTCCAAGTGCTGGAATTACAGGCGTGGGCCAATGTGCCTAGCTGTGACTTAATTCTAAACTTTGCCAGATTATTAATCAATTTCTTATCTTCCTCATATTTGGCTCAAGTAAGAGATGGGGCAGTATCTAAGGAACCTCAGTGGACTCAGCCAGGAAATCTGCAAAGAAGCCTCAGGTATTTGTACACACGTGTTCATAACAGCATTATTCATCGTAGTCAAAAGGTAGAAACAAGCCAATGCCATGGATGGATGAACGGATAAAGAAAATGTGGTCCATACATACAGTAGAGTGTGAGTCAGCCTTTACAAAGAAGGGGATTCTAAAATATAGAAATACAATTAAAATTTTTACAAAGAAAGGGAAATCTCCATCCGATAACAACATGGATGAACCTTAAAGATATTATACTAAGTGAAATAAAAGGACAAATACTGTATGATTCCACTTCTATGAGGCATCCAAAATAGTTAATTTATAATATATAGAGACAGAAAGCAGAATGTGGGTTGCCAGGGGCTGGGTGGAGAGGGAAAGGGGACTTGTTTAACGGGCACAGAGTTGCAGGTTTGCAAGATGATAAGAGTTCTGGAGACAGGTTGCACAACCACATGAATACAATGGTTAGCATGCAGAACTGAATGGGGAGTTACTGTTGAATGGATACACAGTTTCAGTTTGGGAAGATAATGCATAGTGGAGATAGTTGCACAAGGAAATGAATGTACTTAGTGCCACGTAACTGTACACTTAACATGGTTAAAATGGTAGCTTTTATGTTACGTAGATTTTACCAGAGTTAGGAAAAAGAAAACATTTAAAAAAAAGGTATGGTTCCTTCAAACTCAGAACCTTTCTGTAGGGGAGCCGTCTTCCCCAGCTAGCATAGCAGCTCCTCAAAGTTTAGGAAATGGCAAAGGATAAATGAACATGTTCTCTAGTGAAAAATACAAAACCAAACTAGGAAGAAGCAGATGCAGGGGAAATAATGAGGAGTTGGCACCTCTTTGAGCTTCGCCTGTGCCAGTGGCTCCCAAAGGTCAACGTGCCTCAGAATACTGAGAGGGATTGTGAAAACATGGATTGCATTTCTTTTTTTTCTTTTTTTTTTTACATAAAATCTTTCAGAAAAGATGCATTTGCATTTCTAACAAGTTCCCAAGTGATGCTGATGTTGTAATTCGGGTACCACACTTTGAGAACCGCTGGCCTATCCAAATCTCTTTAAACTATAAAACCCATAGTCAAGGGGTTCTCAAATTTCTGTAGGAGGATTTACCTGCAATGTTGTTGTAATTCCAGATTCCTAAGCCCTATAAAAATATGTTATTTTTAAAGCTTCCCCCCCGATTCTGATACAGCAGGTGCTCATTCCATAGGCTGATAAATGCTGCCTTAAGCATGCATTAATTAGCCCAGTGATTTTCAAAGTGTGGTCTGTGGACCACCAGCCACAGCATCACCTGGGTACTAATTAGAAAACCAAACCTCAGTCCCCACCCTGACCTACTGAATCAGATACTCTGGGGGTGGAGCCCGACAATCTGTGTTTCAACAAGCCCTTTGGGTGGTTCTGATTCACACTCAAGTTTGAGAATCACTGAGTTAGATCTTTGACAACTCTTTTCTCATTGATATACTGATGGTAAGCAAGAGCTTTTGGACAATGGATGGGAAGTTTCACCATGTATGTGACCAGGGCTGGCTCTGTTGCCCAGGCTGGAGTGCCATGGCACAATCATGGCTCACTGCAGCTCTGATTTCCCAGGCTCAAGTGATCCTCCCGCCTCAGCCTCCTGAGTAGCTGGGACTGCAGGCATGCACCACCATGCCTGGCTAATTTTTGTATTTTTTGTAGAGATAGGGTTTCGCCATGTTGCCCAGGCTGGTCTCCAATTCCTGGGCTCAAGTAATCCTTCTGCCTCAGTCTCCTAAAGTGCTGGGATTACAGGTGTGAGCCGCCACACTTGGCCTATTCCTTTTTTTTTTTTTTTTTCATATTGGCCTAGAAATGTAATTTGTATATTCTTGGGGTTGGAAAGGTTAATGAAGAGAATTAGAAATACTCTGATACTGGAGGCCACATCTAACATAATTGATAGAAACTTCAAGGAAGGGGCTGCACAGTGGCTCACGCCTGCAATCCCAGCACTTTGGGAAGCCGAGGCGGGGAGATCACTTGAGATCAGGAGTTCGAGGCCAGCCTGGCCAACGTGGTGAAACCTCGTCTCTACTAAAATACAAAAATTAGCCGGGCAGGGTGGTGCGTGCCTCTAGTCCCAGCTACTTGGGGGGCTGAGGCAGGAGAATCGCTTGAACTCGGGAGGCAGAGGTTGCAGTGAGCCAAGATCACATCACCGCACTCCAGCCTGGGTGACAGAGCGAGACTTTGTCTCAAAAAAGAAAAAGAAAAAGAAACTTCAAGGACGCAAATTTTGGCTTAGGAAGAGGAGCCACTTTCTCCCATTGGAAGGGCTGTGGCCATGAGCAAGCTGTTCTTGGGGATGTAGCGAGTGGGCTGTTGTGGGAGGTGGTCCGTTTGCAGGTCATAAGGAAATCTAAGAACAAACTAGACTGGGTCAAGGGTTCCCGATGACTGTCTAAACAACATCAATATCAGGATCACCCGGTATTGTTAAAATCCATTCTGGAGTGGCACCCACAAAGATTCGGCTGGGGCATACCTGGGGAGGGCGACTCTCTCATTGCATCAATTCTCAGGTGATTCCGAAGCACCTGATCTGAGAATTACTAAACCAGATATATTTGATGTCCTTTCTAAATTCTTGGGCTGTACAAAAGAGGATGGAAAGGTTAGTTGTTTTTGTTTTTGTTTTGAGTTGGAGTTTTGCTCTTGTCGCCCAGGCTGGAGTGCAATGGCACAATCTTGGCACACTGCAACCTCCACCTGCCAGGTTCAAGCGATTCTCCTGTCTCAGCCTCCTGAGTAGCTGGGATTACAGGTACCCACCACCATGCCCAGCTTTTTTTTTTTTTTTTTTTTTTTGTATTTTTAGTAGAGACGGGGTTTCACCGTGTTGGCCAGGCTGGTCTCAAATTCCTGACCTCAGGTGATCCACCCACCTCGGCCTCCCAAAGTGCTGGGATTACAGGTGTGAGCCACCATGCCCGGCTGAAAGTTTAGTTTCTAAGGGTTGGAAAGTGAGAAAAGATTAAAGAATTTTCTTCTGCACATAAGAGGTCTACATTAAAAACTAACATGGATGATGGTGTCTTCAACTCCACTAACAGTGCCTGTAAGAAATGAATTTAAACTACAGCAGAAAGGATTGCATTAAAGGAAAAAAATATTCTTGGCAATGAGGATTATTAAACACTGGGATGAGCTAAAATAGTTGATTGTGGAAGATTCTTCTCGGAGAATTTTTAAAGGATGGCTTCTCATCTGTCTGGAATGATGCTGGGGGAACATTTTAAATTCCCTCCTAACCATGATTCTGATGTTCACATCTACATAACAGCACATTAAACTAATAAGGACTCTGTGTCCCTCAAGCTTATAAAAGAGTCTTAAGTGGAAGCTTCCCCCACTATTAGATTGCTAGTAAAACAGAATTAGCAAGTGGTGAATAGATACAATATTAATATACTAATAACTTGGTTTCAATAGGAGGAAAGCCCAATGTCTCGTTTGCCAGTCACTTAATCTTCTGTGAATGATTTAAGAGGCTTCAGCTTTTTTCCACAGATTTGTGGAACCAAAGTCTCCAATAAAGAAAAATAAGAAATCAACTTCCAGGCTGGTTGCGGTGGCTCACGCCTATAATCCCTGCACTTTGGAAGGCCGAGGCGGGCGGTTCACCTGAGGTCAGGAGTTTGAGTACAGCCTGACCAACATGGAGAAACCCTGTCTAATTTTTATATTTTTAGTAGAGGCAGAGTTTCACCATATTGGCCAGACTGGTTTGTAAAAATACAAAATTAGCTGGGCGAGGTGGCACATGCCTGTAATCTCAGTTACTTGGGAGGCTGAGGCAGGAGAATCGCTTGAACTCGGGAGGTGGAGGTTGCAGTGAGCCGAGATGGCGCCATTGCACTCCAGCCTGGGCAACAAGAACGAAACTCTGTCTCAAAAAAAAAAAAAAAAAAATAGAAATCAACTTCTACCTGATCATATCTTTCTGTGGTTCTGATTTTAAGTTACAGTTGGAATTAGACATCAAGGCAAAGGTTGCTGAAAAGGGAAGATCTTAAAGTAGAAAAAGAGCCAGGAAGGAAGCCTCTGAACAAACACAGATAGGAATAGCAGCTTGAGAGAACAGGCCCCCACCCTGGATATAAAGTGGGGAGCTGACACCGCGCCAGGACAGAGGCGTCAGAGCCAGCAGTGAACCCAGCTGGGGACGAGGCCAGAAGGGACACAGCCATCACGGGGTTGAAATCTCTTAAGCATTCCTGATTCAGGAAAGATTGTCTTAGTCAGATGCTTGCAATTTTTCAGTAGGCGGCACACCCAAAACTGATGTAGACGGGCCGGGCGAGGTGGCTCACGCCGGTAATCCCAGCACCCTGGGAGGCCGAGGCAGGAGGATTGCTTGAGCCCAGGAGTTTGAGACCAGCCTGGGCAGCATGACAAAGCCCCGTCTCTACAAAAAATACAAAAGTTAGTCAGGCCTGGTGGCATGTGCCTGTAGACCCAGCTACTCAGATGGGAGAAGCACCAGAGCCCGAGGAAGTCAAGGCTGCGGTGAGCTATGATCACACCACCGCACTACAGCCTGGGCAACAGATTGAGACCGTGTCTCAAAAAAACAAAAAACAAAAAACAAAAAACAAAACGGATGTAGAGTTTATGAAACCCTTTCACTCTGTTTAGAAAATCCAGGAGGCTCCTTCTGTGAAGAAGCATGTTTGTAATGTGCAGCATCATGGTTTAAAATGTTTGCCTTGGGCCTGATGTGATGGCTCACACCTGTAATCCCAGCACTTTAGGAGGCTGAGTGGGGAGAATCAGTTGAAGCCAAGAGTTTGAGGCCAGCCTGGGCAACACAGAGAGACCATCTCTCTACAAATTAAAAAAATTACCTGAGCATGGTGGCACAGGCCTGTAGTCCTAACTACTCAGGAGGCTGAGGCGAGGATTGCTTGAGCCCAGGATTTAGAGGCTACAGTGAACTGTGATCATGCCACTGCACTCCAGGCTGTGCAACAGAGCAAAATCCTGTCTCCAAAAATTTTAATTTAAAAAAGGTTTGGAGGCCGGGCACGGTGGCTCACGCCTGTAATCCCAGCACTTAGGGAGGCTGAGGCAGGCAGATCACTGGAGGCCATGAGTTTGAGACCAGCCTGTCTCTACTAATAACACAAAAATCAGCCAGGTGTGGTAGTGCACATCTGTAAGTCCAGCTACTTGGGAGGCTGAAGCATGAGAATTGCTTGAACCTGGGAGGTGGAGGTTGCAGGGAGCCGAGATCTTGCCACTGCACTCCAGCCTGGGTGACAGAGCGAGACTTTTTTCAAAAAAGTAAAAAATAAAACTAAAAAAAGGTTGGCCCTGAAGTCAAGTGACTTGGATTAAAACCTTCCTCTACCACTTGACTGCAGGCGTGATTCTCAACATCTCTGAGCCTCAGTTTCCTTATTTGAAATAGGAGGACTAATTAGAACTGTGTTATTGAGGTGATTTTATGAGATAATGACTATGTACAGGGGCAGGCAATGGTCAGTGCTCGACAAATGTTAGCTTTCCACCATTTTTCTACAGAACTGCGTGGCTAAACTCTCAGGTTCCCTAAAGCAGTGCCTCCCAAATGCTAGGGTAAGACCTGGCACCAGCCTGTGACAAAGTTTTCAGCATTCCTTGGCAAAGGGGAGAAGTGAGGAGAATGTTCTGCGTGCAGGGTGGTATTCAGTGGCCAAGGACAGAGTTCTTTCTTGGGAAGCAATGCTCTTTCCTCTGAGGACGTACAATGTCCCTTGCTTTTGGAAGTAATGATCATAGTAGAAGACATTTTAAGTTTCATGTTCTTTGCAGCTTTACGTTAGTCTTTAATTTTTTCTTCCTGGACCATGAAATCCAAGTGTCCAGGAACCATTCGAAAGGATATGAGAAAATACAAAGAGGGGTGGGCTGGGCAATGGCTCAGTGATTCTGCTTGGTGGTCCAAGGGCGTGAGCGTGGCAGGTGTATCTTCTACTTCTTTTACCACCACAGACTTCTCTTCGTGCTCTCATGTTCTTCCTTCTCATGTTTTTTTTTTTCCTTCACCAATTTCTCCCTCTCATTGGGTATGTTTCTAACTGTATTCTCCCTCTTGCTTTTGCTCCAGGCTGTTAGGCTATTTTCTCTTGTTTGTGGCAATTCCCCCCCTATTCATGCCCTGTTTCTCCTCCCCTTCACACACTTTAGATTTGTTTCTGGTTTTGCACCTGATTCTTTTTTTTTAAGCCATAAGTGCTGCATCCCCAGGTGTGCCCATGTACCCAGGTAACAGTGGTGGGGGACAGGTACAGGCTGTGTGCAGTAGAGCAGACACTGTGTTCATCCCCTCCAGACAGGGGTTTGTGCTGAAACAGGACAGCAGACGTGGCCCTTTCCTAGGCTGTTTTCTGTTACTTGTTTTTAGTAAAACAAAATACTGGAGATTGGGTAACTTATAAAGAAATGAAATTTATTCTCACATTTCTGGAGGCTGGGAAGTCCAAAAGCATGGTGCTGGCATCTGGCAAGGGCCTTCTTGCTGCATCATCACATGGCAGAAGAACAAGTGAGCACCCAAGACAGAGACATCAAATTAGGCCAAACTATCCTTTGTTTTGTGAGATGGAGTCCCATTCTGTTGCCCAGGCTAGAGTGCAGTGGCACAATCTTGGCTCACTGCAACCTCCGCTTCCCAGGTTTGAGCAATTCTCCTGTCTCAGCCTCCCAAGTAGCTGGGATTACAGGTACCCGCCACCACATCCAGCTAATTTTTGTATTTTTAGTAGAGGCAGGGTTTCACCATATTGGCCAGGCTGGTCTTGAACTCCTGACCTCAAGTGATCCTCCTGCCTTGGCCTTGAAAAGTGCTGGGACTACAGGCGTGAGCCATGGTACCCAGCCAAACTCATCCTTTTAATCAGGAACCAACTCAGGTGATAACTAACCATTCCCTCAATAACGGCATTAATCTACTCATGAGGGCAGAGCTCTCATGATCTAATCACCTCTCTAGAGGCTCCACCCTTAATGCTGTTACAATGGCACTTATATCTCAACATGAGTTTTGGAGGGACGTTCAAACCACAGCAGCTTTTCAGATGGTTCTGTCTCCATATTCATGACACGTCGTGTAACATTGCATTTTAGCAATGAAGATCATTCCTCCGGTGGTTGCATTTTTTTCCCCAGAGACAGCCAGCTAGGCCAACTTATCACAGTTTACCTGGGACTTTCCTGGTTTTAGCACTAAAAGTCCCACCTGGGCAACCTCTGGCAAGCTGCGACAGTTGATCACCCTAGAGCCAGTGGTGGTGAACCCCCTACTGGACTGTTGGTCAAAGATTAGGCACAGGTAGGTCTAAGTTCAGATAATGAAACCGATCAGGAGAGATTTCTGGGATCATTTATCCCATACAGGGGCTGGGATCATTTAACCCAGAGCAGAGAAAGCTGAGGTGGGGATGGGAGGGGGCTATTTTGGTAACAACCTTCACGTGTGTTTGCTGAGTGTACTTGAATGTGTGTCCAGCTGCGGTCCATCTCCACCCGAAATCAGAGCCAGAGGAAATGGATGGGAGTGGAGTCTGAATTTACTCACAAAGTTGAATTTCCTGCCAGTAAGTATTCTTAGACACTAGAATGAGTTTCTAAGACAGATTAGGCATTGTCCTTGGCGGTCCTCAGCACAGTAAATTCCTGAGGGCTTTAAGAGTTTAGGTGTGGCCCGAGAGCTGAGGGGATGGGCAAAACATATTTCCAAGATTCCTTCCAACCCTAGGACTCTGTTTCCATCTACCCACCAATTATGGCTCTAATTATTTTTCTTGTCCTCTTTTGCCCCTAGTTAAACCTTATGATGAGCAAGAAAAAAGTGGTTTGATTATAGTCTCCTTAAGGAACCAATGAAGCTTCCCCACAGCGTGATGGAGAGGAAAGGTTAGCATGTTTGTTTGTTTTTCCCTAAGGAATGCTTACATTTAGAAAAGATTATTTATTGCTCAACTTGATAACAGCAATATTAAAAGTTTAAAACAAAGAGAAAAATTCCCTGTAATCCTACTACTCCAACAGACTAGCCCACCCCACTTTTCTTCCCACTCATCATTCTGAGATTTCCTGAGGTTTTTTTTTTCTTTTTTTTTTCTTGACAGAGTCTTGTTCTGTCGCCCAGGCTGGAGTGCAATGATGCGATCTCGGCTCACTGCAACCTCCGCCTCCCAGCTTCAAGCGATTCTCCTGCCTTAGCCTCCCAGGTAGCTGGGATTACAGGCACATGCCACCACACCTGGCTAATTTTTGTATTTTTAGTAGAGATGGGGTTTCGCCATGTTGGCCAGGCTGGCCTCAAACTCCTGACATCAAATGATTCACCTGGCTCGGCCTCTCAAAGTGCTGTGATTACAGGCGTGAGCCACTGCGCCCAGCTTCTCCCCAGGTCTTCTTAGCATTTAACTTGGCATCCAACTTTACTCATTTAGGATTCTCACATTACAGCAATTGGACCTTATGGAGTAATTAAAGTAAAAAGCAAAGCAAACCAAACTAAAAGGAAATCCTAGTTAATTGAGTTATTTCTAATTTTTGAAATCAGCTTGTTTTCCTTCATGGAATTGTCTCACATTCTGGGAAATCAAGCTGAGCCGTCTGGTGAACAGTTGTTTCCAATCGATAGGCTTTGAGGTTGGCGATGGGTTCTTATTGTTTTAGGGATTTTTCCCTTTCATATAAACAGTTTCCTTTGTTGGAAATTGAGCCCCTGCTACACTAAACCTGAGCATCTCTTTCCACTGTGCTATCCTTTTTTTTTTTTTTTTTTTTTTGAGACTGAGTTTCGCTCTTGTTGCCCAGGCTGGAGTGCAGTAATGTGATCTCGGCTCACTGCAACCTCTGCCTCCTGGGTTCAAGCAATTCTGCTGCCTCAGCCTCCCACGTAGCTGGGATTACAGGCATGTGCCACCAAGCCTGGCTAATTTTTGTTTTTTCAGTAGAGACAGGGTTTCACCATGTTGGTCAGGCTGGTCTCGAACTCCCGACCTCAGGTGATCTGTCCGCTTCGGCCTCCCAAAGTGCTGGGATTACAGGCGTGAGCCACCATGCCCAGCCTCCACTGCGCTATTCTTAAGTTGTGACTCATCACTGATCGTGGCCCACCAACTCTGAGGTCAGATGCTGACAGTGTAAACTCTGGCTGATCTGATCAGCTCCCCACAGAAGTTCCTTGACTTCTGTCTACCCCGGTGCTGACACAGTTCCCACCCCAGCCCACCACACTTGCACCCATAGTCTCATCCGGGTTACTCTGTGTGTTCACAAACTCAAATGGCAACGAAAAGCTTAGCCAGTGGTAACCAAAGTAACAGGACTGGGGCCAGGAAAAATCCTTAACTCAGAGAACAACATCTTGATTCTTGCGTGAGTGGTTTTTCAGGTAAGAATATAAAATAGTTTTAGTTTCACCTTTGGATATAAAGTAGATGAAATAAATTATGCTCAAAAGAGGTATAATGTATGAGGCCCTGTATAGATACTGATTTTATCTTTAAGCAAGCGGTTGTTAAAAAGCAGCAAGGCCATAGAGCAGGATGCAATGTAGAAACCAGTAAAGGGTTTAATATGATGCCTTTTATTACATGATTTAAACAATAAGCCTGGGGTTTTTCCCCACATGGATTCTTCCTTTAAGAAGGAGAACAATGCCTTTTGTCTTGTTTTGGTTTCCGCTGGGTGTCCATTTAGAGTTACAGGTTAATAGTGATATTAGTGACACCAGCAGAATGTTGCCAAAACTGGGGGATGTCACTGTATTTTGTATCCTTTTTAAATAGAGGAGGCTCTTCCTTTTTGTTTATATTTTTTCTACTTGGTTTTCCAAATCACAGCTCTATCCATAAACCTCATGCAGTCATCATAAGCAGTAAGTACACTGATGAGACAAATGTTCTGATTTGGTTTCATTACAGTCTTTTAATGACCCATCCCCAATCTTACTCTCTTCCCATGAGTACCCAGGTTTTATTTCACTTCTTTTTTTTTTTTTTTTTTGAGACAGGGTCTTGCTCTGTCACCCAGGCTGGAGTGCAGTGGCGTGATCACAGCTCACTGCAACCTCAACCTCCTGGGCTCAAGTGATCCTCCTCCTTCCCCTCCTGAGTAGCTGGGACCACAGGCACATACCACCACATCCAGCTAATTTTTTAATTTTTTTTTAGAGATGGAGTCTCACCATATCATCCAGGCTGGTCTTGAACTCCTGGCCCAAGTAATCCTCCTGCCTTCAAGCAATCCTCCTGCCTCAGCCTCCGAAAGTGCTGGGATTACAGGTGTGAACCACTGCATCCAGCCAGTACCTATGTTTTAATGTGTGTTCTTCCAACTCACCTTCCATACCTTCATATACATAACATCATCTATATAATATAGACTTTAATTTACCAGTGCGCATTGTGCTATACATCTCATTCTACTGATTTTCTTCATCCAACATGTGTTTTTTTTTTTTTTTTTTTTGAGACGGAATCTCACTCTGTCGCCAGGCTAGAGTGCTGTGGCACGATCTCGGCTCACTGCAACCTCCAACTCCCTGGTTTAAGGGATTCTCCTGCCTCCACCTCCTGAGTAGCTGGCATTACAGGCATGCACCACCATGCCCGGCTAATTTTTGTATTTTTAGTAGAGATGGGGTTTCACTATGTTGGCCAGGATGGTCTCGATCTCCTGACCTCGTGATCCGCCAGCCTTGGCCTCCCAAAGTGCTGGGATTACAGGTGTGAGCCACCGCGCCCGGCCCATTCAACGTGTTTTTGAGATCTAGCCATGTTGATAGAAGTAAATCTTATTTACTGATCTGGCTGCCTTATGGTTTTCCCATCCTATGCATATACCACATTTTCCTTACACACCCTCCCACTAAGGGATGGCTTACACTGGCAGACGATGCTACTGCAAACTGACATAAATCTCTTTGTGCATCTGTCAGAAGGATTCTCTGGGATATCACCCAGGAACTGTACTGCTGGATCACATGAGAGTATACATATGTGCATGTTTTCACAAAATGCTTCCCAACTGACCTTCACAAATGACAACAGAAGGTGACTCCTGCCCATCTGTAGTGTAATGAGGAGTTTCATTTCCCCATGTCCTTGTCAGCACTTGATATCATACAACTTTTTATTTCTTGCCATTCTAATAGTTGTAGTATCTCATTTTTAACATACTCTATTTTTTTGATTACTAATGAGTTTGAGAGTCTCTTCACATATTTATTAACTACTCTGGTTTTACTTCTGGTGCACTTCTCATTCAGGTTTTGCCTACTTAAAACTTTTTTCTTGCAATTGCAAGTGTCCCTTAGATTTTTTACATTTTAATCTTCAGTCCTGGTTCTGCAAAATATTTTCTTCCAGCCCATCTCCTGTCTGTTACCTTTCATCTAGGGTGTTTACTTTTGATGTTGTTAAATCCATTAATTTTTCCTTTGAGATTTACACTTTTTGTGCCCTGCTTGAATCAGTTAGCTTTTGCTATGTAACAAACCACACCAAAGCATAGTGGCTTAAGCCAACAAGGATTCATTGCTGTGGGATTAATTGCTTCTGAACGGGGCCTGATGGGCGGGGGCTGGATGATCTGGGGGGCCTCACTCACATCATGGCCCCAGCTGGGATGGCTGGGCCTCTTACTCCACACGGCCTTTCACCCTCCAACAGGGCAGCCCAGGGTTCCGCACACGGCGGCTCCGGGATTCCAGCGCAGGAGAGGGCAAGCCTGGTGGACCTGAGCTTTCCAGGCCTCTCCTTCTTCACATTTGTTAATGCCCAGTGGACCAAAACAAGCCACATGGCCACACCCAAACTCAAGGAGTCAAATAAAAGCCCCCACCTCCTGCTGGGAGAAGCTGCCAGTGCAGTTGTTACTTTTCTCAATCTACTGTGCCACTCTAAGCTTATAAAGATGTTTCTTCTAGCCGGGTGCAGTGGCTCATGCCCGTAATCCCAACACTTTGGGAGGCTGAGGTGGGAGAATCGCTTGACATCAGGAGTTCAAGACCACTCTGGGCATCGTAATGAGGCCCTGTCTCTAAAAAAAGCAATTAACTGGGCATGATGGCTCATGCCTGTAGTCCCAGCTACTGGGGAGGCTGTGGCAGAAGGATTACTGGAGCCCAGGAGGTCAAGGCTGCAGTGAGCTATGATCACACCACTGCATTCCACCCTGGGCAACACAGCAAGACTCTGCCTTTAAAAAAAAAAAAAAAAAAAAAAGATAGTTCTAGATTTCTTATTAGTAGTTTTATAGTCTTAAAACTATTTGGCATTTCTTTTTTCTTTATATTGTGATTTTTAATTCATTGAAATCATTTAAATCTTTATAAACAGTAAATATTAATATATGTGTTATGTATCAATATAATTATACATTATCATATATTGTTAAAATAAATTTCAGCCAGGCACAGTGGGTCATGCCTGTAATCCCAGCACTTTGGGAGGCCAAGGCGGGTGGATCACCTGAGGTCAGGAGTTTGAGAGCAGCCTGGCCAACATGGTGAAACCTGGCTCAACTAAAAATATAAAAATTAGCCGGATGTGGTGGCAGGCACCTGTAATCTCAGCTACTTAGGAGGCTGAGGAAAGAGAATCGCTTAAACCTGGGAGATGGAGGTTGCAGTGAGCCGAGGTCATGCCACTGCACTCCAGCTTGGGTGACAGAGCAAGACTCTGTCTCTAAATAAATAAAATAAATTTAAATTTTGAATTTTATTTAAATCTATTTGTTTTTCTGCAGAGTGATTCTGTTTCTTCTTTTTGGTGATGGGGTGGTGGTTTTTTTTTTTTTTTTTTTTGAAACACAGTTTCACTCTGTCACCCAGGAGTGCAGTGGCACGATCTTGGCTCACTGCAACCTCCACCTCCCAGGTTCAAGCCATTCTCCTGCCTCAGCCTCCCGAGTAGCTGGGATTACAGGCACCCGCCACCATGCCCAGCTAATTTTTGTGTTTTTGGTAGACATGGGGTTTTGCCATGTTGACCAAGCTGGTCTCAAACTCCTGACCTCAAGTGATCTACCTGCCTCGGCCTCCCAAAGTGCTGGGATTACAGGCATGAGCCACCGCGTCTGGCCACATGATTCTGTTTCTAAACTTCCTGTTCTGCCCATCAGGGCATAACCTTGCCATATGTTTATGCTTTGTAATGCGGGTTACTGTCTAATAGAGCTAGTCCTTTGCTTTTGTTTCTCAGAATTCCCTTGACTATTTGTGGACTTTTCTTTATACATTTTAGAATTAATTTTTCCAATTTACGGATTATCATGAGATTTTGATTAAAATGGCATTGACTTAGACATTAATTTAGGGAGCATTAACATCTACTTGGTGCTAAGTTTGCCCATCCATTAGACATGATATGTATATATCTGTTTACTTAGTTGTTCTTTTATACCCTTTATTAGAATTTTTCTCCCGTAACTTTGTGTGGTTTTATTGTTGTCAGGTTAATTCATAGATACTTTCTAGTTCTGGGGATTTGACAGTATCAAGTAGTGTTGTTCCTCCACCCTTGCATCTCACCAGACTTCAAACGGTGTAGGTGTGGCCTAATGGAATTCTTACAATATCGTAATAAAACTCTGAATCTGAGTAAAAAGCATGTTATCCAGGGTTTATATTAATATTTGAGATGACATCATTTATCATGCCTTCTAAAATGCACCAAATGATTCACTTCAAAATGAAATCAGCCTGCTGAAGTATTCACCCAAGAGATTTTAATAGATTTTTCTTTCCCAGTAACGCAGGAGGTCAGTTCTCAGTAAAACACACAAAGGCATAAGGTCATGAGCTATTCTCTCTGAAATCTCCTTCATTTCAGCCGTTCCCAAGTGTTAGAATTAATTGCTCAACTGTAAGAACTGCGACCCAGAGAAGTTTCAAGAACCAGCCAGATGGGAGAGAGTTTTACAACACACATGGGCTTACACCCTAGCAACAAAAAGACCAAAGGAGGAAAAAACTCACATTTCCATTGTTAGCACTGTGCCTATAATTTTCCTTTGTTTTAGGGGACAAAAACTGAGACAGATGATGGGTTAAACTTAATATACCTGAATTTTCATAGTGTTGGGTGCTAGGGGTTGTCAATATTTGCTCAGAAAAAGATGGTAACTGCTTGTCATTTTTGCAGAGAAGAAAGAATATAATGAACCTTTTGAGAAACACGTTTCGACAGTTTGAGAAGGCTTTGTCTTTTGGACACAGCAGCATGTTTAGCAGAATGATTACCTGGTCTAGAGAGCAAATACTATATGCATTATTTTCTTGTTGTTGTTTAAGACTTTTTTTCACGCCTGGCGTGGTGGCTCACACCTGTAAGCCCAGCACTTTGGGAAGCCGAGGCAGACAGATTGCTTGAACTCAGGAGTTCAAGATCAGCTTGGGCAACATGGGGTCTTGCTATGTTGCCCAGGCTGGTCTTGAAAAAATAAAAAATTAGCTGGACATGTTGGTGTGAGCCTGTAGTCCCAGCTCCTCAGGAGGCTGAGGTGGCAGGATTGCTTGAGCCTAGGAGGTTGAGGCTACAGTGAGCTGTGATTGTGCCAGTCCACTTCAGCCTGGGTGACAGAGCAAGACCCTGTCTCAAAAAAGAAAAATAAAAAAAGGACTTTTCCTTATTTTTACATTTTTTTGTTTTCACTGCATTTTTACTGCATTTTTAATCCCCCTTTTTTGCATTCATTTTAAATATCTGGATCCACTGCAAGTACTTCCGTCGATGAGAAGGCATGACATAGTAGATTCTCAGTTGCTCAGTTCAAAGCACCAACATGCCACTTAGTCAAAGAACCTTAGGCAAGCCACACTCTGACACAGAAGGGGTTCAGATCAGCAGTCCCCAACCCTTTTGGCACCAGGGACTGGTTTTGTGGAAGATAATTTTTCCACGGACGTGTTGGTTGGGGTTGATGGATTCCAGATGAAACTGATCCACCTCAGATCATCAGGCATTAGGTCCTCATAAGGAGCATGCAATCTAGATCCTTCGTATGCACAGTTCACAATAGGGTTCACGCTCCTATGAGAATCTAATGCCACTGCTGATCTGACAGGAGGCGGAGCTCAGGTGGTCGTGCTCACTCACCTACCACTCACTCCTGTGTGGCCCCATTTCTTACAAGCCGCAGACCAGTACTGGACTATGGCCTGCGGGTTGGGGACCCCTGGTTTAGATGAACCCAAATGTCCTCTCAATCACTAAGATTCTCCATAGCTTCTTGAACTCTTGAGCTTTGGAGATCATTCTCGAAGTTTCTATAAATAAAAGTGGAAATCAGCCCCCTCCTTAAAACCAGTGAGAGGCTTAGAGAGCACAGTAATCATGATGTTTCTGTAATCCTCCCAGAACCGAATCAGAAATGGCCAGGACACTGAGGCATTCACATGATAGCGAGGAGCAAAGTGCAGGCTTAATGTGTCCTTCCAAAGTCCACATTTCTTCTGCTAGCAATTTCTTAAATTGCCACAGAAATTGAAATGGATAAGAATTTTGGTTTGTCAACAAGATAAAAAACTCACAGATAAAGTGAGTTATCTGCTTTTTGTTCAGACCAAAAGGTGACTTTACCAGAAATTATGCTGGACATCTAGGGAATTAATCTGGATGAGTGAGCTCAGCCTGACATAAAGATGCTTCAATGCCCTTCTTAGCAATGATGCTGAAATAGCAACAGCTTTAGCTTGCTGAGGCAATAACAGCTGCCAGGGCAAAAAAGAGAAATGAGAAAATCAAAGCCATTCTGAGGTATGAGGCAGCAATTAAGAGAATCTCCCCTTGAAGGGCTTACTTAAGTAAGCAATCATTCAACCAATATCCATTTATTACCTACTAATCAAGACATCAGATCTGTATTCTCTGCCTTCCAGGAGCTTATGATTTAGGTAACAGCTACCACCTCTTCTCCAGACTAAAGAACCCCAGTGCCTGCGCCTCTTTCTGACATTGCACCTCACCCCGTAAAGCCACGAATTGCCCCAAGCCCATGTGTCTTTGCATTATTTGATGTTTGGTTTTTCTGTTTTATTATTATTATTTTTGTGGCAAAGTCTCACTCTGTCACCCAGGCTCCAGTGCAGTAGCGTAATCATGGCTCACTGCAGCCTCAACCTCCCAGGCTCAAGTGATCCTCCCACCGTAGCCTCCCGAGTACCTGTGACTACAGGTATACATCACCACGCCTGGCTAATTGTTGTGTTTTGTAGAGATGTGGTCTTGCCATGCTGCCCAGGCTGGCCTCGAACTCCTGAGCACAAGTGATCTATTCTCCTTGGCCTCCCAAAGTGTGGGAATTATAGGCATGAGCCACCGTGCCTGGCTATGTTTGATTTTTCGATCCCTTTGGATTCTCAGGTCCCCATCTTGGGAATCCACCCCTTTGTTGGCTTTAGCTGCCTGTGTCCTGGCGTATTTCTGGCGAATCATTTTTTATTCTTGGAATCCACTTCAATTGCTGTTGTGTTCGCCTTTCCAACTTCATCACACATTTAGCCCCTAGTCCTGCTGAATTCTGCAGCCCGAGGCCTTCTACGCTGCTGTGGCGCTCCGAGGCTTCCCTGCTGACATCCTAGTGGCCCCAGCAGAGCCCCATCTATTGGTTGAAGCTCCTCTTCAGCCTGTCCTCTCCTGGACGTGACTCTTCCTTGTACTCACAAATGTACCTTGACACAATAAATGTACCTGTTTTGAGTCCCTGCATCTCTCTGTCAGGTGATGCACCACTGGACATGCCCACTGTAGTGTCCAGAAGGTAGCTTGCTATTGTTTGAGCAGAGAAGACCAGAGAAAGAGCAATCTCTCCTTTGTTCTTGGAACCTGCTTCCTCAGGGCTCCAACTGAAGACTCAAACCGAGACCTTTCTTGAGTTAAAACTATAGAGATAATGTTATTAGAGATAAAAGGTTCCAGATGAAAGAGAAATTGGCTTCCTCCAGAAGTGAAGAGTTTTCTCTGGAAGATGAGGCAATGGTGACAAAGGAAATACTCATTCTTTGATGCCTAGTCAGCAAGAGGACGCATTTCCCAAAAGTCCACATCTGTGTGGGGGTTGGGTGCACGAAGCATAGCACTGAGTGATTATCAGGGGAGACACAGTAGTTCAAATTGCAGTTCAACTTCTTTAGCCCATCATCCACTTCCTCCTTAGCCCTGTTAGTGACACCATTAAATGACCAGTCACCAGATTTGGAAAACCTCCCTTCAGCCTAATAAAAATCCACTGAGTGTATCTGTAAACTATGTCACCCCTTTGACCCCCTCATTATCACTCATGTAGACCAATGCAGTAGCTTCTTAACCCTGAAATTCTTATCCCACCCTTGCCTTCCCCGGCTCCACTCTAACACAATGGCTTCCCTTTACCTTAAGAAAGGAAGTTCACACTTCTTAGTACAAGAGTCCGAGTTCCCCACTAATTGGCCATCCCCCTCCTTCATCAGCGTGTGCCCTGTGAAATATAGTGAGGAATGGCCAGATGTTATCCTTGATCTGATCTGATGTTGTAACTCTCATGTTAATTTATGTGCCTGGCACAACGAATGACTCATTGCTTAAACATGCCCTATATTTCTACCTGGGTCCTGAGCTCATGTTATTCCTGTGCCTGAACGGCCCTCCTGTCACCTCCTATCTCCTCTCAAGCTGACCTCAAACATTCAGCAAGTCAGAACAATTCTTCTTCTTGTGTTATAACAATGGCATTTAACATCTTTTGTCTTGTGTTGCATAGGGTTGCTTATGTGTCTGTCTCTTCTACTTGCTTATAAGCCTTTTGCATCCAGAGAAACGTAATACTCCTCCTTATGGTTGCCACAGTCATTGGTCATCATAGATACTCAAGGAATGTTTCTTGGAATGAATCTGCCCAAATATGAAACCTGAAAGCCTGGTTCCAAAGCTTGATATTTACACACACACCTACTTATACTATAGGCACAGCTATGTACATGAACATTTAGGCACACATGAACACCCACACCCGCATGCCTACACCTGTGCCCTTGCACACACTCATGTACACTTACACACTCACAAGCTCATATGCAAACTCATAACGCACACCACACTTGCACCATAGGCAAACCTATACACACATTCACACACACATACACATGCAAACTCAGATATATATGTATACATATATGTAGATTTGTTCATCCTCACATACATGCACACATATATGCCTGCTCATGCACACACACTTTATCATCTCTATGAAAGGTTATCTCTGCCAAGATGCTTGGGTGTGCAATGGTGAGGGACTCAAGACCACAGTCCCTAAGGGAGGTAAGGCATCAGGGTAGGTAGGATTTGGAAGTAACTTATTTCCCACAATGAATAGTTGTTTCAGGAGGAAGTGGCTCTGTTTATGTGACATCTGGCTCTCTCTCTACCTCTGCTCAGAGAAGATGGAGTGATTTAGCTGATAGGAACTTTAGAGAGAATAAACTGGTGTGGTTGGCTCAGCCTCTCTCTGGTTTCCTCCTTGACAGCTACCCTGCCATCAGAGGGCAGGAGTCAGGGGTGGGCTGGAGCGGGGCAGGTCCAGGGTGGGAGGCTGCCATAGTCCAGGCTGCTGTGAGGGGGGTTCAGTATTGGGAGGTTTATTTGCTCACAGATATAAGCTATCTTTTCAATGTCAGCATAAGAAAGTGGTATTATAGCCTCCACTTGTCATCTCTCTCACTTTGTTTCTTTCTTTCTTTTCTTTTTTTTTTTTTTTTTTTTGAGACGGAGTATCGCTCTGTCCCCCAGGCTGGAGTGCAGTGACACGATCTCAGCTCACTGCAACCTCTGCCTCCCAGGTTCAAGCAATTCTCTGCCTCAGCCTCCCTAGTAGCTGGGATTACAGGTGCCCGCCACCACATCTGGCTAATTTTCGTATTTTTATTAGAGATGGCGTTTCACCATCTTGGCCAGGCTGGTCTTGAACTCTTAACCTCATGATCCACCCACCTCGGCCTCCCAAAGTGCTGGAATTACAGGCATGAGCCACCACCCCCAGCCTCTTTCTTTTCTTTTTTGAGACAGGGTCTCACTCTATCACCCAGCCTGAATGCAGTGGCACGATCACAGCTCACTGAGGCCTTAACCTCCCAAGCTCAAGCAATCCTCCTGCCTCAGCCTCTTGAGTAGCTGGGACTACAGGCATGCACCACCACGCTTGGCTAACTTTTTATTTTTTGTTGAGATGGGCGTCTCGCTATATTACCCAGGCTGGTCTCAAACTCCTGGCTTCAAGCAACCCTCCCACCTCAGCCTCCCAAAGTGCTGGGATTACAGGCATGAGCCATTGTGCCCACACTTGCTTTTTTTCTCTTTTTTTTGAGACAGAGTCTCACCCTGTCACCCAGGCTGGAGTGCAATGGCAGAATCTCAGCTCACTGCCACCTCTGCCTCCTGGGTTCAAGCGATTTTCCTGCCTCAGCCTCCCCAGTAGCTGGGATTACAGGTGCACACCACCACGCCAGGCTAATTTTTTGTATCTTTAGTAGAGACGGGGTTCACCATCTTGGCCAGGCTGGGTCTCGAACTCCTGACCTTGTGATCCACCTGCCTCAGCCTCCCAAAGTGCTGGGATTACAGGCATGAGCCACCGCACCTGGCCACTTTGTTTCTTAATTGGTTCATAAATCAGGCAGTGAAGGGAATGTTGTCTGTTGGAATCCCTCAAAGACCCTAACAGAAGTGGAAAACCAAGGGCAGAACTTGAGTAAATTGCCACATCTGTACTCTGATCAGGCAGCTTCAAATTCACATAAAGGAAAGAGGCTAAGGAAACTCCCTCTCCGTGTCTGTGGGTAAGTGTATTTACTGCTTGTGATGTATAAGACAACGCTGTAGGTATTTGGCGGCCCCAAAGACATATATGCTTCTTGGCATTCCCAGGACTTGGAATCCCATTGAAGCAAAGGCCATATCCATATTTACCTTCGTGTGTTTACCACTGGTTGTGCTGGCAAGGTTCTTGCTCTGCTGGCTTCATCTGCCTAGGGAGTTGGTTTCAAACCCTGGGATATTCATTTTCCTCCCCTGGACATGACATCATCATGTTTGCAACACCTCAACAGGCATCTCATCCAACAAGAACTGTGTTTTCTTCATTGTAATGAAATACTTAGGAAGACATGAAACCAGCCCTGTGTTTCAGCAGAACACACAAATCTAGGGTGAAATGGTTCCTTTCTTTGTCCCACTGTTAAACTCCATGCTGTATTCAGTTCCATCTTTTTTAGCTGTGATTAGGGATGAGACAAACTTAGGGCCCATGAGGAAAGGTTAAAGCAAAGGAGATTATTGTAGGGAGAAAGCTGAAGAGCAGGTTCACTGTCGTGGAATCCAGTAGCAAGGGGTAGATATTTGGCAGTTAGTGACCAGCTAGTGTTCATCTCCACTAAGGAAAGGAGAGGAAGTAGCCTTAGGCTGTGGCAGAGGGGTTGAGTCTTGGAAAGGGAGACACAGGGACTCAGTGGAACTGCCTTTTCTTGAGAACTTGACAATTAGGGTCACTTTTAGTCTGCCTGGGACAGTTGGCGTTACTCTTCAAATAAGTTTCAGAAAGAAATAACAAACCCATGGCACCAAAAACATTTGACCAAACCCATTCTCATCAAAAGAGGGCTTTTTGTTTCTGTTTTGCCCTGGGGAATCCGGTCATTACTGCCCTCTTTCCAGGAACCACTCAAATATGAGTAATACTGTGAATCCTGTTCATATGAACGTTACAGTTATTTCTATCTCCAGTCAAGAGCAGTGCCCATCTTAGAAGCTGGCTAAGGTTTCAGAGCAGCTTTGGAAGCAATATTTATTTGTAGCACATGTATGTATCTATAAAATCCTACCTAAGTAAAACAAGTGTTTCTAGAATCATGTGCCATTTGGGGAATGGAAAACTCAAAATGTAAATTGTTATGCAGGTCCTGTGATGGATTCCCCAACAGACATGTCAGTTCGTGGACAACATCCCCCATAAGTCACCGTGGGTCCTGGGGCATCCTCCTTTCCCCACCAGGGGGCAGAAGCCCTGCTTCTCACACCAGCTCAGAGTTTCTAAAACTGTGACTCGTGCCACTACTGGTGTTTGAGGCAATTTTAGTGACATACATTTCATCTTTTTTTCCCTTCTTTTCTTATACGTTAAACGAAAATAACCAAAGAGTAGATATTCCAAAGAGAAGTGAGAAGAGGCTGAGAATAACATGAGCAGAGAAATATGACATGCATTTGCTGTTTGTAAACAAGAGGGAGAAGACTATTGAAAAAGTATGGTGAGAGGACCAAGTTAAGACAGAAGGTAAATCAGTTTGTTTGTTTGTTTGTTTGTTTATTTAGAGACAGAGTCTCACTCTGTCACCCAGGCTGGAGTGCAGTGGCACGATCTCAGCTCACTTCAACCTCCGCCTCCTGGGTTCAAGCGATTCTCCTGCCTCAGCCTCCCAAGTAGTTGGGACTACAGGTGCACACCACCAAGCCTGACTAATTTTTGTATTTTTAGTAAAGACAGGGTTTCACCATGTTGGCCAGGCTGATCTCGGACTCCTGACTTTAGGTGATCCACCCACCTCAGACTCCCAAAGTGCTGAGATTACAGGCATGAGCTACCACACCCGGCCCTATAAATAAGTTTAGACAGAAAATGTGGAATCTGTCAGAGGGGACCTTGGAAGCAGTAATAAATGTAATAAACAGCATGTTAGTAATAGAACATGGGCTTTGGAGAAAATGAGATAGAATGCTGAGGTTGAGTTGCTTAACTCTCTGGCCATGGATGCAATGATGACTGGTTTTTTTTTGTTGTTTTTTGTTTGTTTGTTTGTTTGTTTGTTTTTTAACTAATGGAAAATGGGGTACTGGTGATCTACAGATTGTGATGGTGTCACAATTAATTAAATTATCACTGGTGGTAGTTATGTTTCTGGCAATAACTGATAGGTTACTCTGTATCAAACTTGTTTCTGAAAACAACTAGAAAGCTGAGATAAATATAAAAACATTTTTTAGGACATTGGAGAGCTACCAAGGTACTGAGAATTTGCAATACCAAGATTAGAGTATTTTCTCCAACTGCAGTTAAAACTAAAAATAGGTAACAAAAAGTTAAGGAGAAAAATCTCCATATGTTGGGAAATTAATCAATATGCTTATAATACCCATAAGTCAAAGGAGAAATTACAATGGAAATTAGAAAATATTTTGAATTAAGCCACAATTAAATTTCTGCATTTCACAATTTGTGGGATTTATTTAAAGCCAAGCTTAGAAGAAAACTTATAGCTTTAAAATGCACATATTCGAAAAGAAAAAAAGTGAAAACCAATGGTCTAAGAATCTATGTTTATAGCACATACATGTTTATAGCAACAGAGTTTGCAATTGCAAAAATATAGAACCAGCCCAAATGCCCATCAATCAACAAGTGGATAAAGAATATGTGGTATATATATATATATATATATATATATATATATATATATATATATATATATATACACACACACACACACACACACCATGGAATACTACTCAGCCATAAAAAGGAACAAAATAATGGCGTTTTCAGCAACCTGGTTGGAATTGGAGACTATTATTCTAAGTGAAATAACTCAGGAATGGAAAACCAAACATCATATGTTCTCACTCATATGTGGGAACTAAGCTGTGAGGACGCAAAGACATAAGAGTAATACATTGGATTTTGGGGCCTCAGGGGAAAGGGTGGGGGGTGGTGAGGGATGAAAGACTACACATGGGGCACAGCGTTCACTGCTTGAATGATGAGTGCACCAAAATCTCAGAAATCACCACTAAAGAACTTATTCATGTAACCAAAGACCACCTGTTCCCCAAAAACCTATTGAAATAAAAAATTAAAAATTTAAAAAAGAATCTATCGAAATAATTTAGAAAATAATAAAAAAATCCAATCTAATTCTAAAAAGAAAAAAAAAAGCAGAAATTAGTAAAAAAGAAAATAAATCTACAATCAACCAACAATACCAAAAGTTGGCACCTTGAAGATCAATAAAAGACAAGACCAATTAACATAGAGAAGACACAAACAATACACGAAATTCAAAAGAAGGACATCACAATCAAACCTACATTTAAAAAAAAAAAGATATCATGGGAAACTTTATGCCCATAATTTGAAAATTGTAATGAACAAATTAAAAACCAAGACATGCAAAAACTAACAAAAGAACTAAAAAATTATAATAAAGCAATTAAAGCAATGAATTTAAAATGGTATGACAAAAAAACACAAAACGAGATGGCTTCACTGGTAAATTCTACCAACTTTTTTTTTTTTTTTTTTGAGACAGAGTCTCACTCTGTTACTCAGGCTGGAGTGCAGTGGTGCGATCCTGGCTCACTGCAACCCCTGCCTCCCAGATTCAAGCGATTCTCCTACCTCAGCCTCTGGAGTATCTGGGATTACAGGTGCCTGCCACCACCCCTGGCTATTTAAATTCTACCAACATTTAAAGAAACTCTTTTAAAGAATAAATAAAGAGGGAATACTTCTCAACATGTTTTATGAAGCCAGGAAAATCTTGATATCAAGGTGTTCAGTTTTATTGATCTTTTCAAAGAACCAACTTTTGGTCTTATTGATTTTCTCAATTATATTCTGTTTCCAATTTCATTGATTTTTGTTCTTTATAATTGTTTTATCATTTTGCGTGCTTTAGGATTTATTTACTCTTCTTTTCTAGTTTCTAAGATGGAAGCCTACATTAGCAACTTGAGACCTTTCTTTTCTAATGTAAGTATTTCACGGCATAAATTTCCCTCCAAGCACTGCTTTGGCTTCACTCCATAAATTTCGATAAATTGTGTTTTCATTTTCATTCAGTTAAAAATATTTTAAAAATTTTTTCTTGAGATTTCCTTGTAGACACTGGACTGCATTAAAATTAGAAACATTTTTGCATCAAAGGATACCATTAAAGGAGTAAAATGACAGACCACAAAGTAGGAGAAGGTATTTATAGCACAAATACATGACAAAGGGCTTAGACCCAGAATACATAAAGAACTCCTACAAATCAATAAGGAAAAGACCACCCATTAGGAAAATAGGCAAAAGACAAAAAAAAAAAAAAAAAAAAAAAAAAACCAGATACTTCACAATAGAGGGCATCCAAATGGTCAATAAATATATGAAAAGCTATTCAACTTCAGTAGTCATCAAAGATGTGCAAGTTTAAACCACAATGAGACACTTCTATATAATCGCAGTGGTTAAGTGTTGGAGATGATGCAGATCAACTGGAACTCATATGCTGTTGGTAGGAATGTAACTTCGCACCACTTTGGAAAACTGTTTTTGCAAGGATCTACCAGCGGAACATATGCATACCCTAACTCAGCAGTTCCATTCTTAGGTGTACATCCAAAGGAAATGCAGAATGTGTACATCCTAGGACATATAGATGAATGTCAAGAGCAAGTTTATTCATAAGGCTCTGTAGCGGGCTGAAGAATGGCCTCCCAAAGATAACCACAGCCTAATCCTTGGAAATTGTAAACATGTTACCTTACATGGCAAAAGGGACTTCGCAGATGTGATAAAGTTAAGGTGGGAAGATTATTCTGGATAATTCAGGTGGGCCCAATGTAATCACAAGGATGCTGTTAAGAGGGACACAAGATGGTCAATGTTAGAAGAAATAAGGATGGAAGCAGAGTTGAGAGAGGAGAAAAAAATGTTGTTGTAGAAAAAGCCAAGTCCTGGTCACAGGACCAGGAGAGATTAGGCTCGCGGACATATAAAAGGGTAAGGAGTGGAATTTATTGGGTGAAAAGGAAAAAAACTCAGCAAAGTGAGAAGGGTTCCTGTTAACAGACCCCCATCTCACAGAATGAATCCCAGGTTACCACACAGGAACAGGAGAGGCTAGGCTCCTCCCCGCTGCAAATGGCACAAACTTCCCAAGGCTGCACCTCATCCTCCCAGTGCGCAGGCCAGTGGGAGGTTCTCTGGGTACCTTCCCCCTTATTTTCCTCCTGCATCTATCAATACTATGTTCTTGGCTTTGAAGATGGAAAAAGGGACCATGAACCAAGGAATATATGTGGCCTCTAGAAGCTTCAAAAGGCAAGGAATTGGATTCCCTTCTAAAGCCTCCAAAAGTAAAATAGTCCTGCAGACCCATTTTGGACTTCTGACCTCTAGAACTATAAGATAACAAATGTGTGTTATTTTAAGCCACTAAATGTATGCTCCTTTGTTACAACAACACTAGGAAACCAATAGATGCTCCAAACTGGAAATAGCCCAAATATCATGTGAGTAGAAGGAATAAATAAATAGTGGTCTATTTCTATAATGGAAAACCATACAGCAATTGAAATGAACAACTATAGCTTCATGCAACAATATGATGAATTCTCATAAAATGAGCTTGAGCAAAAAAGCCACATGCAAAAGAGTACACACCGTATGATCCCATTTATATGAAATGTAAAGCAAGTGACCTGCCCCCATGGCCTATTTGGGCATCTGGCAGGCAGGAGATTCAGTTGTGGAGGTGAATTCAGTCCTCTGGAGGCCCCAGTGGTGACGGCTCCTTGACCTTTAGGAACCTGGCAGTGCTAAGCCATCTGAATAAGATCATCTGAACAAGCACTGTTTGGAAATTCTTGTTTATATTAGGTTCTTGGCTTCTTTGAACACGTCTGTATTCAGAGGCAGTCCTCCATAAAACTCCGTAAAACTCAGCAATAGGATAATAGAAGGAAAGGTATTCCCTTTGATTACCTTTCAGAGCTGAATAATGGCCCGGGAAAGCTCACTGTTCAGCTTTCTTTCTAAACTGCCCAGCAGGAACCAGGCCCAAGGGTGGGGTTAGCACTTCCTCACATAATACAGGCCCTTTCAAGAAAGAATTTAAGGGAGTTTGGGCTGTTTTACAAGACTTAAGTCCTGAGAACAATTTCATAGAAGGTTGTAACTGACGGCTGTGCAAATGAAAGGTTTTGGAACGGGTCCTCCCTTAGGGAAAGCAGGGACACTGCTCCCGACTAGGGATCAGGCACCAGGTACAGGCAAAACCACTGCTTGCCTGGATGGGTACATTCCACTGAGTCCCCACATCTGAAAGAAACAAGGTGATTAAGAATCTCTGTGTTCAGTCCCAAACTATTTTACAGAAAAGTAAGTTTGGGGCTGGCATGGTGGCTCACACCTGTAATCCCGCCATTTTGGGAGGCTGAGGCAGGTAAATCTCCTAGCTCAGGAGTTCGAGACCAGCCTGGGCAACATGGAGAAACCCAGTCTGTACCAAAAATATAACAAATTAGCTGGCCATGATGGTGGGTACCTGTAGTCCCAACTACTCAGGAGGCTGAGATGGAAGGATTGCTTGGGCCTCGGACGCAAAGGTTGAAGTGAGCCGAGATTGCACCACGGCACTGCAACCTGGGTGAAAAAGTGAGACCCCATCTCAAAAAAAACAAAATTGGAGAATGAAAGTCACTGGGTGATGTAGACTTTCTCACATCTTCCACATGTAAGAAGTGGCCAAGTCTAGTAAAATGCATGCTCACCTGATACAGGGTGTGGGTTCCCAACAATCAGCCTCACCCATTTAACGCAGATGCTCCCTGACTTAGCCATAGGGCTATATCCAGATAAACTCAGCCTTAGTCAAAAATATCGTAAGTTGAAAATGCATTTACTATCCCAACAAACCCATTGTAAAGTCAAAAAATCCTAACTCAAGCCATGGTAATGATAGAGACAGGAGGCAGAGAAATTCTAGGCAGAAAAGGGTGGGGTCCCTGGTGAGAGCCCCACCTTCAAACCTGGAACCATGGCCCAAAGTGAGAACTTTACATCCCCAATTTCCTGCTCCAATGTTGCCTCTTCCAAAACCACCCCTGGCCCGCCCCCCATCCTGTACCCATAAAAACCCCAGGCTCCACTGGCAGAGGGCAGAGAAGCAGGGAAGGAGAGAAGAGAAGAAGCTGATGAATGTTGGAGAGAAGCAGTTTGACTTCAGAGGGATGGCTTGACGGTGGAATTTCAAAGAGTCTAGCCACAAACACAAATGGCCAGACTTCAGGGGAAGATTACCTTCCCACTCCATCCTCTTTCCAGCTCCCCTTCCTGCTAAGAACCACTTCCACTGGCAATAAAATCCCCCATGTTTACTATCCTTCAATTCATTCGTATGACCTGATTTTTCCTGGACACCAGACAACAGCTTGGGGTACAGAAAGCTGTCACAGTGACCCTCTGCCCTCGTGAAAAGGCAGAGGGTCCACTGAGCTGTTAAACACTTAAGCCGTCTGTGGACAGCCAAGCTCAAAGCGCTGCCTGTAATACATGCCCTCTGGGGCTTCAAGGGTCATGGGTACCACCCCCTGCAAGATGCTGCCGTGGGGCCTGCATGGAGTTTTGCACCTGCCAGCGCCTGAAAGCATTAACTCCAGCTCCTGCACCCACTCACCTGTGTGCTCCTCTTCCCACGAGGGGTTGAAAGCTGCAGGCTGAGTAAATGAGGCATCCTTGTCACAAGGCCCATGAAAGGGTCAGGGAAAATTTCCATTTTCAGTTAAGTTGGGACCATCTGGACTGCTTTTTGGCAGCTGGGCTGCCAACATACTCTTCTCAGACAGTTCTCTCTGCTGCCTCTCTTCTCTCTTTCCCAGGCCTGATTTATTCTGGATGGTTCAAGTTCCATCTGAGTACAATGTTCTCTAGAGTGGTCTATGGGGAGGCGGAGGCAAAGAGGATCACTTGAGGC
This sequence comes from Homo sapiens, assembly GCF_000001405.40. Classification (NCBI taxonomy): domain Eukaryota; kingdom Metazoa; phylum Chordata; class Mammalia; order Primates; family Hominidae; genus Homo; species Homo sapiens. The sequence continues at coordinate 62,645,335 of NC_000018.10, forward strand.
CAGGAGTTCAAGACCAGCCTGCGCAACAGTAGTGCCACTCCTTCTCTACAAAAAATAAACATAAATTAGCAGGATGTGGTAGTGAGCATCTGCAGTCCCAGCTACTCGGGAGGCTGAAGCAGGAGCATTACTTGAACCCACACTTCAAGGCTGCAGTGAGCTATGATTGCACCACTGTACTCCAACCTGGGTGACAAGATACAGAGACCCTGTCTCTAAAAAAAAAAAAAAATACATATATATATATATATATATATATATATATATATATAGAGAGAGAGAGAGAGAGAGAGAGAGAGAGAGAGGACCAGGAGCAGTGGTGCACAACTGTAATCCCAGCACTGTGGGAGGCTGAGGTGGGTGGATCACCTGAGGTCAGGAGTTCGAGACCAGCCTAACATGGTGAAACCCCGTCTCTACTAAATACAAAAAATTAGCTGGGCATGGTAGTGCATGCCTATAATCCCAGCTACTCAAGAGGCTGAGGGAGGAGAGGCACTTGAACCTGGGAGGCGAAGGTTGCAGTGAGCTGAGATCATGCCATTGCACTCCAGCATGGGCAATAAGAGCGAAACTCTGTATCAAAAAATAAAAATAGAGTGTCTAGATATTTCTCCTGGAGATTAATTCACTTTCTTCCCTATTTATATAGTCATCTCATAGAATGTCATGTTGTTCCATGTTGTTGCAGAAAGACTACAGATTTACCTGCTTTTCCAGATTTGTTGGTAGTGTTTTCTACAATGCTGATCCTAACCCAAATTGTGATGGGAGACAGAGTTTTCTCTGGAGTCCCCTCTCTACTCTTTATTGTAGTCTCCATCCCATATTTTGGATCTTAAGCTGTTTCCCAAACAAAATCCTTTTCAAGACAAAATTTGAAACCAACTCATCCCAAGCGTAAGTGGTTGTCAACAACTATCAGCTCAACTTGTTAACTCTACCATTTTGAAAGAGGCAGAGTCTGAAAGCAAAGGCCTCATGCACTTAAATTAGAGAATAGGGATATTATTCACTTTTAAGGAATAGTAAACAAGGAAGAGAGAGAGTTTGTTGCTCAAAGAAGCTTTCCTGGTGCCCCAGAAATCACATTAAATAACCAAATGGCAGTTTGTAATGTTCCCTGCATTCCCTATTTTAATATCTCAGAATTGGCAAATGGGGATTTAAAACAATAATGACCGTTGATTCATTAGCTGATTCAATTCGTTTCCAGACATTATAAGACCTCCCTCAACCCTCAATAAAACAACAAGCAATTTAAACCCCATATTACCCAAACATCATATCTTTCCTTATGAGAAAAAAATACGCTTATAAATGGAAAGGATAGTTTTTTTTTCTTACTCAATCCTTTAAAGTGTCTACCATAGCAAGATGAACAGTGTAAGCATTCAATGACTTTATTGGGTAAATATCAGAGTTTTACCTATTAATGCATTCCCAGAGATAGCCTTGATGTCAGTCTTAACAGTGTATTATTTGTTTAGTTATTTATTTTTTAGATGGAGTCTTGCGCTCTTGCCCAGGCTGGAGTGCAATGGCACAATCTCAGCCCACTGCAACCTACACCTCCTTGGGTTCATGCAGTTCTCCTGCCTTGGCCTCCCAAGTAGCTGGGATTACAGACTTGCACCACCACAGCCGGCTAATTTTTGTGTTTTCAGTAGAGACGGGGTTTTGTCACGTTGGCCAAGCTGGTCTCAAACTCCTGACCTCAAGTGATCCATCTGCCTTGGCCTCCCAAAGTGCTGAGATTACAGGCATGAGCCACCATGCCCAGCCAACAGTGTATAATTAGTAATGTATATCAGCTGAAATTTCATACAGTCTTATCTATATATTTGCCTTAAGATAAAGTTTACAAAGAAAATATTCACCATTTTCAACTAAAATTTTGAATATTTTCTTAGGAAACAAAAAAATGCCTATTTATCTAGACCTAAAATTCAATATATTTGATACCAACATATATATGTATATTTATTTATTTGTATTTATGACCAGCCTTCCAAAATCATGTTCAACTTTATTCTTAAATTGACTTCTGTCAGCAATTTTTTCCAATTTCTTATTTTTAGCAATATTATTTCTTTTTCTTGTTTTGCAAATATTAGTGATGATAATACTAATAAGTATTTGCACCCTTGAAACCTCGTGCTTTTCTTAGTTTTTAAAAGTCTTCACGTATAGTATTATTGATTTCACCCTCACATATATCCATGAAATAGCAAGAGGGAAAAAGAGCTGAATGTTTATCACAAAACAGACAGCAAAATGCACCAGCTGCTCTTCCGGGAGACCTAGTCAGGAAGCGAGGGGTGGAAAACAGGTGAGAAATATTCTGACAGGGAGGAGCAATGAGGGGTGCCACTAGGTTGCTCTTGTCCCCTACCAGAGAGATTTTTAAAATCCATATTGTTCTTCATCAGTCAAATACCCATTTGCTTTTTGAGCCAAAATGTGATTTTAAAGAAAGTACTTAAGAGATGGAACAGGGCCAGGCAGATCCCAGCACTTTGGGAGGCTGAGACGGGCAGATCACTTGAGGCCAAGAGTTTGTTTGAGACCAGCTTGGCCAACATGGCGAAAACCCATCTCTACAAATGTACAAAAATTAGCTGGGTGTGGTAGTGCACGCCTGTAATCACAGCTACTCGGGAGGCTGAGGCACGAGATTCGCTTGAACCCGGAAGAGAGAGGAGGCAGTAAGTGAGATCTTGCCACTACACTCCAGCCTGGCAAGAAAGCAAGATCATGTCTCAAAAGAAAAAAAAAAAAAGAGAGAGAGAGAGAGAGAGAGAGAGATGGAACAATCACAGCCCAAAGATGAACATTCTGTCAAATACCGAGCCTCCCTGGTTTCTTGCTGAAGCTTGGGAAATCCCCTGGCTTTGCATTTCTGTGGACTCTCAACATCCATTCCCTCCCTTCCTTCCAACGCCTCCTTTTTCAGCGTTTTAGAATTGGGCCAATTACAATGGAGATATGGATATATCTCCAGAAAAGTCAATCTGCAAGGAAAAATTAACCATACAGTATTTTGAAAGCTGCCTAGCAGCAGAAAACACATCGCCACGGGCTTGCATAAACTGTGCCTAAATTTTGGAAATCATAAGTGGATGTGAATGTAACACTCCTGAGTTACACATTGGGTGTGGCCCTCAGAAAATCCTATCAGAGTACACTGGCATTTAATAGACCATTTCCTCTGTTGTTATGGGGCATCCTGACAATGTATTGTACAAATTTGCCACATAAACTGGTAATAGCCCTTAGGAAAGCAGTTTAGCTGTGGTGTCGAGAATGATTTAAATGTTTATCCCCTTTCACATAATAATCTCACTCAAGCCTGGCACGGTGGCTCACGCCTGTAATCTCAGCACTTTGGGAGGCCGAGGCAGGAGGATCACTTGAGCCCAGGAGTTCAAGACCAGCCTGGGCAACATAACAAGACCTTGTCTCTACAAAAAAAAAATTAGCCGAGCATGATGACACATGCCTGTAGTCTCAGCTACTCAGGAGGCTGAAGTGGAAGGATTGTTTGAGTCCAGGAGGCTGAGGCTGCAGTGAGCTGTGATTATGCCAGTGTGCTCTAACCTGGGAGACAGAGTGAGACCTTGTCTCTAAAAAACAATAATAATAATAATAACAATAAAATAACAATCTCGCTCACTCCTGGAAATTGATCCTAATAAATCTTTTTTGTCAAGCTATGTATTTAAAGATGTTTATTACAGTGGAATCTGTAAGGAGGGATGGGTGTGAAAAAGGGATACATAACTTATTCAATATTACTTGAATAGCTATGTGAATTATAGCATATATATCCTGTAAAATGTTATGCTGCAATTGAAAAGTTTAATTATGTAACAATGTAGAAGAATGTCAATAATATCATATTAAGTAGAAACAGCAGAATATAAAATTGTACATGCCCTCTGATTAAGAAACTGTAAAAAATACTAATGTCTGAAGAACAGAGCCTGGAAGGGACTAAAGAAAATCAGAACAAATATATTCAGATGCTGCAACAGAGTTGTCTGGGGGGTTCTTTCAAAAGTTCCTTTTAGCTGGGCACGATGGCTCACATCTGTAATCCCAGCACTTTTGGAGGCTGAGGCCGGCAGATCACCTGATGTCAGGAGTTCAAGACCAGGCTGGCCAACATGGTGAAACCCCATCTCTACGAAAAATACAAAAATTAGCCAGGCGTGATGGTGCGTGCCTGTAGTCCCAGCTACTTGGGAGGCTGAGGCAGGAGAATCGCTTGAACCCTGGAGGCAGAGTTTGCAGTGAGCTGAGATCACGCTACGGCACTGCAGCCTGGGCAACAGGGTGCGACTCCATCACAGGGAAAAAAAAAAAAGGTACTTTTATGTTATTTTAATAGAGGTTTTGTAATTGGTAGAAACAAAAACAAGTGCAGCAGTGGAATTAATATGAGGAGTGAAAATAAGAAGACAACCGAGTGGCAGTTACAGAAATTTTTGGTTTAGTCGATTTTGTGACACAACTGACTATAATGCCATTTAAATGCCATTTGTCATAGAGGATTCTCCAAAGCTAGAGCAGGTGAAGGACACAGTGTTTTTGTTTGGTTGGTTTTGGGGGTTTTTTTCTGTTTGTTTTTTGAGACAGGATCCTGCTCTGTTGTCCAGGCTGGAGCGTAGTAGAGCAATCACCACTCACTGCAGCCTCAGCCTCCTGGGACCAAGCAATCTGCCTACCTCAGCCTCCTGAGTAGTTCTGCAGCTTCAGCCTCCTGGGACCAAGCAGTCTGCCTACCTCAGCCTCCTGAGTAGTTGGGACCACAGGCGTGTGCCACCACACCAGCTAATTTTTTATATTTTACTATTTTTTTTAGAGATGGGGGTCTCACTATGTTGCCCAGGCTAAGGAAATAGTTAGTTGTTTAGTGGATGGGGACGAGGGGAGAACTTACCAGCATTCAAAGCGCTTTCTTTTTTTAAAGAGACAGGGCCTCATTGTGTTGCCCAGGGTGAAGTGCAATGGCTATTCACAGGCGTCATCCCACTACTGATCAGAATGGGAGTTTTCACCTGCTCTGTTTCTGCCCCTGCTGATTTCACTCTTCTTTAGACAACCTGGTGGTCCTCCACCCCCAGAAGGTCACCATATTGATGCCAAACTTAGTGTGGACACTCAATTGGCAGAGCACACTATAGCCATAACTTCTAGACTCAAGTGATCCTCCTACCTCAGCCTCCCAAACAGGTGGAGCTATAGGCACACCACATGACAGCCACTGAAGTGCTGTAATAAACATATGCCATCATATTATTTTCTCTCAAGACATAGTATTTCTAGTGACCTTTATGCTACCTTAGAGTTGAACATAGTACTATTGTACCTTTTTTTATTTGAGATGGAGTCTTGCTCTGTTGCCCAGGCTGGAGTACAATGGTGGGATCTTAGCTCACTGCAACCTCCACCTTCCAGGTTCAAGCAATTCTACTGCCTCAGCCTCCCGAGTAGCTGGGACTACAGGCATGCACCACCACTCCCGGCTTATTGTTTGTATTTTTAGTAGAGATGGTGTTTCACCATGTTGGCTAGGCTGGTCTCGAACTCCTGACCTCAGGTGATCCATCTGCCTCAGCCTCCCAAAGTGCTAGGATTACAGGAATGAGCCACCGCGCCCCGCCTATTGTACCTTTTAGAATCCTTTCACTACCAGCAAATTCTAGAAGTATGTCTGGAGGAACTACCACATGATAAATACCATGTCAAATCCAGGGCACACAATTTTGCCAAGAAGCAGACCCACTGTGTACCCCAGTAATGCAGAGGATGCACTACTATGATGCAATTTACATGAAAGGGGACCACCATGCCCAGTGGAGAACAGGGCAAGGCGAGAGTGTGAATGAGGGCATCTGGGGAACCGAAACCTTGAAGCTGGGACAGGACTTCAAGAAAGATGCAAGGAGTGTCCCAGAGAAAACGCAGGCAAGATCCAGGCTCTAGGGGGGAATTCAAGGCACATCCCAGCCGTGGCTGGTTCACAGGGAAGAGACACTCATCTCGCTGCTTTGTTTGACACACACAGTGAGTATTCAATAACTGATACCAAGTGAATGAATGAATGAATGAGGAAATGCACTCAGGATGACTGGCAAAGAGAGGAAACAGAGAATAGGGGGAGGAGTTGCAAGGACCTGAACCAGGGCAGTGGGAGTAGAAATAAAAGAGCAGAAAAGAGGGTCAAAATTGTGCAGTAGGAGAATCGACAGGAGCAGAGGGGTGTGAGGATGGTTTTAAGGTTGAAAACCTGGGAAACAGAAAATAGAATGGTGGCTAAAATTGTCTGAGAAGCAGCCGTTGGTGGTTATTTCATCACTGATGCATAGCTAACCTCTCGATTCAGTCTCTTAACTCATAAAATAAAGTGAAAGAAATGTAAACACACAAGAATTTATTACAAGATGCCAATTTGGCTTCATGGGACCAAGGGAAAATGAGAAGATAGAAATAAAATCTCTAAATGGCTAGAATTGCTCAGGAACAGGGGAGAGGAATTATATTCTAAGGAAATAAAGGGGTCCCAGGAGACCTTAAACATTCATAAATTGTATAGAAACACAACCATATTGCCACCTGGTAGAGCTGTTTCTTTGTCTTCTCTCTGTCTGTTGTCATGGGCTACCAATCCTGAAGGGAAAACTAGCTCCGAAACAACTGATTAAATAAATTTAATTAACTTGGAAAATATAAATGCAGCTTCGTGGGACTTCTTTCTGTTTCGGCCAGCTTTTAAGACACTATCACATGACTCTCGGCTTTCGGCCCTGACTGAGACACTGATTGTTGCATGAGTTTCCTTTAAACGTGTGTATGCGGTCCTAAAATACACATTGTTGTGTGTCTAGTGAGGTCTTACTCAGGCAAGGGGACGTTCTTTTTTTTTTAAGATGGTGTCTCACTCTGTCACCCAGGCAGGAGTGCAGTGGTGCAATCTCGGCTCAGTACAACCTCTGCCTCCCGGGTTCAAGCGATTCTCGTGCCTCAGCCTCCTGAGTAGCTGGGATTACAGGTGCCCGCCACCACGCCCAGCTAATTTTTGTATGTACATATGTATGTATGTTTGTATGTATGTATGTATGTATGTATGTATGTATGTATGTATGTATTTTTCCGAGACAGAGTCTTGCTCTGCCACCCAGGCTGGAGTGCAGTGGCGTGATCTCAGCTCACTGCAGCCTCCACCTCCTAGTATGGTATGAGGCCACCACTTCTCCTGTTGGCCTTCTCAGTTTCTCCCCAACCTCCCCTTTTCCCTAGTTTATAAGACAGGAGAAAAGGGAGAAAGCAAAAAAGTTGGAAAGAAACAGAAGTAAGATACATAGTTAGACGACCTTGGCACCACCACCTGGCCCTGGTGGCTAAAATAATAATAATATTATTAACCCCTGACCAAAACTACTGGTGTTATCTGTAAATTCTAGACATTGTATGAGAAAGCACTGTAAAACTTTTTGTTCTGTTAGCTGATGTATGTAGCCCCTAGTCACGTTTCTCACGCTTACTTGATCTACTATGACTTTTTCACGTAGACCCCTTAGAGTTGTAAGCCCTTAAAAGAGCTAGGAATTTCTTTTTCGGAGAGCTCGGCTCTTAAGACACGAGTCTGCCGACGCTCCCAGCAGAATAAAAAACCTCTTCCTTCTTTAATCTTGTGTCTGAGGAGTTTTGTCTGCGACTTGTCCTGCTACACTAGGTTCAAGTGACTCTCCTGCCTCAGCCTCCCAAGTAGCTGGGACTACAGGCATGTGCCACCACACCTGGCTAATTAACAAAAAAATGTGAGATTTGGCTGGGGATACAGATCCAAACCATGTCGATGGCCATCCTAATAGGCGTGAGGTGATATTTCATGGTTTTGATTTGTGTTTCCCTGACGATTAGTGATGTTGGGCATCTTTTTCTATAACTGTTGACTATTTGTATGTCTCCTTTGGAGAAGTATCTATTCAAGTCCTTTGCCTGTTTTTGAATTGGGTTATTTAATTTTTTGTTATTGAGTTGTAGGAGTTCCTTATATATTTTTGGATATTAACCCTTTTAGATATATGGTTTGCAAATATTTTCTCACATTCTGTAGGTTGCCTTTTCACTCTGTCAGTGGTTCTCTTTGCTGTGCAGAAGCTTTTTTGTTTGATGTAGTCCCACTTGTCTATTTTTACTTTTGTTTCCTGTGCTTTTGGTGTCACATCCAAGAAATCATTGCCAAGACCATTTGGTTTCTTAACAGTATTAAGAGCGCGTTATTTTTCCCGTAGTGCATTGCTCCTCCAAAAATCGTATTTCTATTATCCCTGCAAAAGAGAAATCCTTTTAATTTGGAATCAGTTTTTAATTTTAACCAGTTTTTAAAAGCCGAGTTTACAATAGAATTAGCAATGATGTCAGATATTTCACCTTTGGCAGAATGAACCTCCATATATTGATTCCAGGAATTAATTGTATGAAAAAAAAGGCCATTATTGGGCTAAACTGCTTTTCTTTTTGAAACATCTGATGACATTATCAAACTACTTTCATTAACCATTTGCTAAGTTCTACTGCTGCTAATGGAGCCAATACAAACAGCTATCAGCAGGCACAATGGCTCATGCCTGTAATCCCAGCAATTTGGGAGGCCTAAGTGGAAGGATCACTTGAAGCCAGGAATTTGAGACCAGCCTGGGCAACATAGCAAGACCCCCTCCCCGACCCCATTCCCTACAAACATTTTTTTTTTTAATTAGCCTGGCATGGTGGCCCATGCCTGTAGCCCTAGCTACTCGGGAGGCTGAGGTAGGAGAACTGCTTGAGCACAGGAGTTCAAGGTTACAATGAGCTATGATGTCACCACTGCACTCCAGCCTGGGCAACAGAGTGAGACCCTGTCTCTAAAAATAAAATAAAATACAAAACGACTATTGCTTGATTTTTTTGTATCTGTAAGAAAACTTGGAATAAAAAAGCAAAATTAACTTAGGCGAACAGTTATTTGATATAAACAAAAAGTCGGCCGGGCTTGGTGGTTCACACCTATAATCCCAACACTTTGGGAGGCTCAGGTGGGAGGATCGCTTGAGTTCAGGAGTTCGAGTCTGCAGCAAGCCATTTTCATGCCACTGCACTTCAGCCTGGGCAACACAGTGAGACCCTGTCTCCAAAAAAGGTCAAACTTCATGGAATGAAAAGTAAATGACAGTTGCAAAAGTCAAATTGTTGTCTTTGGGAATAACTACTTAAAATAACTTCCTAAAGTAAGTCCTAACTTCTGAAAGAGATGCTGATGTTTCGTCAGCAGGTCTGTGCCTTCTGGGTTTTGCATGGCTAGTGATAGGATGACAGCTCCCAGGGTGGATGGTAAATGTCAAGAAACATTTTGACAAAACTACACATTAATCAACAACTTTCATGATGTACACAAATTTACTACCTAATGGAGAATTCTAGGATGAAAATTTTCCTCAGGTTCTGAAGTTACAGCAGGTCCTCGAAGAACATGGTTTTGTTCAACGTCATCTCATTATAACATTTATTTATTTACTTTCTTTTTTTGAGATGGAGTCTCACTGTGTTGCCCAGGTTGGAGTGCAGTGGCACGATTTCGGCTCACTGCAACCTCCGCCTCCCGGCTTCAAGCAATTCTCCTGCCTCAGCCTCCCGAGTAGCTGGGATTACAGGCGCCCGCCACCACACCCAGCTAATTTTTGTATTTTTGGTAGAGACGGGGTTTCATCATGTTGGCCAGGCTGGTCTCAAACCCGTGACCTCAAGTGATCCACCTGCCTCGGCCTCCCAAAGTGCTGGGATTATAGGCATGAGCCACCATGCCCAGCCACATTATAACATTTATAAGGAAAAAAAATAGATTCCTGGTTGGGGCCACTGTCTGTGTGGAGTTTTGCATTCTCCCCATGTCTGTGTGGGTTTTCTCCAGATACTCCGATTTCCTCCCACATGGCAAGAATGTACCCATTAGATTAAGTGATGTGTCTAAATGGCCCCAGAATGAGTGAGTGAGTGTGTGTGTGTGTGTGTGTGTGTGTGTGACTCCAGAGTCTCACTCTGTCACCCAGGCTGGAGTGCAGTGGCGCAATCTCAGCTCACTACAACCTCCACCTCCCAGGTTCAAGCAATTCTTGTGCCTCAGCCTCCTGAGTAGCTGGTATTACAGGTGCCTGCCACCACGCCCAGCTAATTTTTGTATGTATGTATGTATTTATTTATTTTTCCGAGACAGAGTCTTGCTCTGTCACCCAGGCTGGAGTGCAGTGGCGTGATCTCAGCCGACTGCAGCCTCCGCCTCCTAGGTTCAAGTGACTCTCCTGCACACACACACACACACACACACACAGGAATGGGATGGCGTCCAGTCCAGAGCTGGTTCCTGCCTTGTGCCCTAAGCAGCCAGGAAAAGCTCCGGCCACCCTTGATCCTGAACTGGAGTCAGTGACTTAGATGATAAATAAATGAATGTGTCTGAGTCTACTTTGTGTTTTTATAAAGGAATCCCTGAGGCTGGGTAATTTTAGAGAAAAGAGGTTTGTTTAGCTCACAGTTCTGCGCGCTGCATAAGACTCATGGTGCTGGCCTCTGCGCGGCTTCTGGTGAGGGCTTCTGTGCTATGTCAAAACACGGCAGAGGGGGACAAAGGGGAAGCAGGCATACGTGAAGAGGGATTCATACCTGGGGGTGTGCTGACTTTATATCAACCCTCTCTCATTAGAACCAATCCATCCCGCTGAGAACCAATTCAGTCTCATGAGAGTGAGAACTCACTCACCACCCTGAGACCAGCCCACGCCATTCATGAGGGTTCCATCCCATGACCCACACACCTCCCCCCAGACCCCTCCTCCACCACCACCACCCTGGGGATCAAGTTTTAACATGAGATTTGGTGGGGACAAACAAATCATTTCCAAACCATAACAGGATGGATACAAATCATTGTCAAATAAAACTTGTAAAGTCTGTGATAATCATACAAATGCACAGCAATAAACAAATACACAGCCAGGTGTGGTGGCTCGCACCTGTAATCCCAGCACTTTGCGAGGCCAAGTTTAAGACCAGACTCGCCAACATGATGAAACCTCATCTGTACTAAAAATACAAAAAAATTAGCCGGGCATGGTGGCAGATGCTGGCAATCCCAGCTACTTGGGAGGCTGAGGCAGAAGAATCGCTTGAACTGGGGAGGCAGAGGTTGGGGTGAGCGGAGATTGCACCACGGCACTCCAGCCTGGGCGACAGAGTGAGACTCCATCTCAAAAAAATAAAAATAAAAATAAAAAAATTTGCTGGGCGTGGTGACGGGTGCCTGTAGTCCCAGTTACTTGGGAGGCTGAGGCAGGATAATTGCTTGAACCCAGGAGGTGGAGGTTGCAGTGAGCCGCTACTGTGCCACTGCACTCCAGCCTGGGCGACAAAGTGAGATTCTGTCTCCAAATAAACAAACAAACAAACAAATAAATGACGTGGTACAAAAGTGCTCAGAGAGCCCGTGGAATTTGTTCTTGTTTGTTTCTGAGCTACATGGTGGCAGGAGGTGCTCCTGACAATTTCCACTTTGCAAATAGTTATTCCCTGATTTAACCCACCACCACAACAACCATCGTCCCTCACTGATTCACCTGAAAGTGGGAAATAATTATCTTGCTTGTTTTTATTCATCCTTCTTAAATGTATATATAGATTATATTTATTTCAATGTTTAATATTAGAAGTGTTTGGGGTCTTTATTTAGAAGTCTGGTGAGGCCGGGCGCGGTGGCTCATGCCTGTAATCCCAGCACGTTGGGAGGCCGAGGCGGGTGGATCACGAGGTCAGGAGATCGAGACTGTCCTGGCTAACATGGTGAAACCCCGTTTCTACTAAAAATAAAAAAATTAGCCGGGCGTGGTGGCAGGCGCCTGTAGTCCTAGCTACTCGGGAGGCTGAGGCAGGAGAATGGCGTGAACCCGGGAGGCGGAGCTTGCAGTGAGCTGAGATTGAGCCACTGCACTCCAGCCTGAGCGACAGAGAGAGACTCCATCTCAAAAAAAAAAAAAAAAAAAAAAAGTCTGGTGATATCTGGGGGGCCAGAAATATGCCATAGGAACTTAATTCTTGTTTACATCAATTAGCTTATGGCAAAATTAGTTAGGTTATATGTTGTTCTGCTTAAAGTCGCAGTTTCAGAGAACCTATGGAAGACGTTAAGTGATTACTATACTGCTGAGATAGTGTCGGTGTTGCTATTGAAAGGAATGAGTACTGATTCTGGATCCTTGTATGTGGCCTGCTTGTTCTCTCTGAAAGCTTTTAGATTAAAAAAAAAAAACTATGTGTGTTTGTTTGTTTGTTTGGAGACAGTCACCCAGGTTTGGAGTGCAGTCGTGCAATCATGGCTCACTGCAGCTTTGACCTCCCAGGCTCAAGTGATCCTCCCACCTTAGCCTCCTGAGTAGCTGGGACTACAGGCATGCACCACCACACGCAGCTAATTGGGGTATTTTTTTTTGTAGGGACAGGGTGTCACTATGTTGTCCAGGTTAGTCTCTAACTCCTGGGCTCAAGCCATCCTCCTGCCTCAGCCTCCGAAAGTGCTAGTATTACAGAAGTGAGCTACTGCACTTGGCCTGGTGTTCTTAAATTTTACAGGGTTATGACTTATTGTGGATCTTTTTTCATTCTTCGTTCTAGGTGCTAATGGGCCCTTTAAATCTGGGGCCATCTTCTAGTTCTTGGGAAACTGTTTATTTCTGTAGTTGAGATCTCTAATTGTCTACTGAATACACCTTTCCTTCTTTCTTAGTAACAGCATATCTCTATGCAGGATGGCAATGTGCTTCACAGCCATCTTGTTGGTAGATGAAGTCATGTGACACAGTTCTGTCCAATGAGCTGTAAGTTGAAGTTACAGTTGACACAAATTTTCCCATCTTTTTCCTGCTTGAAACATACTTGCAATGCCTGAGATGGGAAGAGAATGGGCAGAAAACATTTTGTGTGAGGATGAGAGCAAAACTAATGATGTCTAAGCTCAAAGATAGAAATAATCTGGTTCTCTGGTAACAACATAGAGACCCTATATCTGCTAACCACCCATTATGTGATAAAAATAAAACCAATTATTTTTAGTAGAGACAGGGTTTCACCGTGTTAACCAGGATGGTCTCGATCTCCTGACCTTGTGATCCGCCTGCCTCGGCCTCCCAAAGTGCTGGGATTACAGGTGTGAGCCACCGCACCCGGCCAAATATAATTTACCTACCATACAATTCACCCATTTAAAGTATAAAAATTGGCCAGGCACAGTGGCTCACGCCTGTAATCCCAGCACGTTGGGAGGCTGAGGTGGGAGGGTCACTTGAGGCCAGGAGTTCAAGACCAGCCTGGCCAACATGGTGAAACCCCATCTTTACTAAAAATACCCTCAAAAAATTAGCTGGGTGTGGTGGTATGCGCCTGTAATCCCAGCTATTTGGGAGCTGAGGCACAAGAATCGCTTGAACCCAGGAGGCAGAGGTTGTAATGAGCTGAGATCGTGCCCCTGCACTCCAGCCTGGGTGGCAGCATGAGACTGTGAAAAAAAAAAAAAAGTATACAATTCAGTGGTCTGTAGTATACTCACAGAGTTGTACAACTGTTCCCACCCTCAGTTTTAGAACATTTTCATCACCCTAAAGAAAACCCATACCCTTTATTTATCACCCTCCAATCTCCCGATTTCCCCCAGCCCAAAACAACACTAATCTTTCCATCTCTACAGACTCGCCTTATTCTGAACATTTCATGTAAATGTAATTAAATTAGACAACATATGTTCCTTTGTGGCTGGCTTCTTTCATTGAGCACCATGTTTTCAAGGCTCATTTGTGTTTTAGCACAAATCAGTACTTCATTCTTTTTATACCTCAGTAATATTCCATTGTGTGGATAATAGTACATCTTATTCTTAATTTTTAAGAATTCTTTCATATGCTTTGAATTTTTTTCCTTTTCATAGAATGATGTAATTGTGCCATGGATACATTCTCTTCTCTTCTCTTTTGAAGATATTAATCATTGTTTTTCTGAAGTCATCTTCTTCCTGCACCATCTGTTTTTTCTGGGCTCTTTTTCTGCTTTTGTTTTGATCTCTGGCCTTCTTCATAGTAGAGGCCTTCCTCAAATTTCTGGTGATCCTTGGCCATTCACCAAATTACTTATCAGAATTTCAGTGTATGTGCACGAGGCTTGTCAACTGGTAGCCTCACTGTGAGATGACAGGCGGAGTACCTGCTTTTTCTCTTAAGCTAACCAGTTCCCCCAGGCGATACAGGGAGCACCCTTGACCTTGCAGTTTATGGAATGATAGTTCCCTAGAGTTCTGCAATGCTGTCACCCTGCACAGAAAAAGCAGTGAGCTAGTGTGGCATCTTGGGGGTGGAATGGGGACAATGGCCCGTCATATGTGACTTCTGAGAGCCTTACTCATTTCAGAAATGCCTTGTTTTCTTGCCCTCTGTGATGCCTCATGTCTCCTGGATCAGGACATCTCTGGTTTGCCCTCTTCAGAGAGCAAATCTTCTGTCACCTGCTGGGTGGTAGAGGAGTGACAGCCTCTGGCTGTGTGGAGTGAGGAGGAAGAGCTGAGGTCCAGCTCCTTCTTACACAGACATTGAATGAATTCTGTCATTTTCAGCGCCATCCTAATCCCCTGAATTCAGAGATGTCTAGTGCTTCCAGTTTCTGAGATTTTGGAGGATTCATAGTGGATTCAATTTATTTATTTATTTATTATTTGTATTTATTTATTATTTGTTGTTTTTTTTTTTGAGACGGAGTCTTGCTCTGTCGCCCAGGCTGGAGTGCTGTGTCACCGTCTCGGCTCATTGCAACCTCCAACTCCCGGGTTCAAGTGATTCTCCTGCCTCAGCCTCCCAAGTAGCTGGGATTACAGGTGCATGCCACCACACTAGGCTAATTTTTTTTGTATGTTTAGTAGAGATGAGATTTCACCATGTTGGCCAGGCTGGTTTCGAACTCCTGACCTCAAGTGATCCACCCGCCTCGGCCTCCCCAAGTGCTAGGATTACAGGCATGAGCCACCACCCCAGGCCGGATTCAATTTATCTTTTATTGGCTTCTTCAGGTATAGACACTCAGCAGAATGGAGAAAGCTGACGTTAAATTCGAAGTCTTTTGTCCAAACAACTTATGTCTTCCAAAATATTGTTGACACTTTTTGCATCTCCATTGCCATTCGCTTCTTCCTATTTTATTCCTTTATGGCTGAGTGGCTTTGAACAGGGAGTAGAGCAGATGGCATGTATTCAACCTACAGAGTTAACTGTGAGTCGACAGCTCCCAGGGAGAAGGCAAGCACAGGTGAGCCCTTAGTAGCATGTATCAGGAGAATCCTCAGGCTGGAGGCCACCGCGGCTGTGAACTTAAAAAAATAGATTAGCAAATTATGAAGAAAATCATTCATCTACTTCACAGTTGTATCTAGTGATGCCTCAGCCAAAAGAAACAAATATTTAAAATAATTACCAAGTTTCCTCTTGAGTCACCAATAAAGCAGCTGCATGTAATTACAACAATACAAGACATCCCCATCCACTTAGACCTGTCAGATTCCCAGGCTACTGTTTTTCCAGGCCACTGTCTTTCTGTTAGGCTATGCTGCTGCTGCTCATTGCCAACATTACATAGCGCTTCATATGTCCAAGCACTTTACATTTTTTAATACTTTAATCCTCACAACCATCGTTTTCTAGAGTTACTGTTATTACAGGAGGATAATATAGTTGGCCCTCTCTGTGGGTTCTGCATCTGTGGACTCAACCAACCTCAGATTGGAAATATTCAGGAAAAATCTGCATCTGTACTGAACATGTACAGATTTTATTCCTTGTCATTATTCCCTAAACAATACAGTATAGCAAATATTTACATAGTACATCCATTGTTTTAGGTATCATAAGTAATCTAGAGATGATTTAAAGTATAGGAGAAGATGTAAGTTATATGCAAATTCTACAGCGTTTTATCAGGAACTTGAACATCCATGGATTTTGGTATCTGCAGGGGGTTCTGGAAATAATCCCCCATGGATACTGAGGGGCAACTGTTGTATGGCACAAAGCACTTAGGTAACCTGCTCAAGTTCACACAGCTAGAATAGTTCAAATAGAATGAATGGTTAATAGTGTAAATAGAATAGAATGGTTCAAAGCCAGGATTTGAACCAAGGATGACCTTCTCTAGTCTTTGCTCTTATAAATGCACTATAGCACTTTGGGAGGCTGAAGTCGGCAGATCACCTGAGGTCAGGAGTTCAAGACCAGCCTGGACAACATGGTGAAACCCCGTCTACTCAAAATACAAAAATTAGCCAGGCCTGGTGGCGCGCACCTGTAATCCCAGCTACTCAAGAGGTTGAGGCAGGAGAATTGCTTAAGCTCAGGAGGCAGAGGTTGCAGTGAGCCAAGATTGTGCCACTGCACTTCAGCCTGGGCAAAAGAGCAAGACTTCGTCTCAAATAAATAAATAAAAAACAAATGCAATATAGATAATAATAATTGAATTTATTTATCACCCTACAATTTCAAGAGCATTTTCACCTGATCTCATTGATTTTACAGTCCCATTTTACAGTTGAGAACGCTGAAAGCCCATTTGACTTATCCGAGATCTGCAGTTTACCTTACTGTTTTACCTAGCGATAACACTGATGCGCTTTGTTTTTAAGGTTTATAGTACTTTGCAGCCCTAAGCTCAGCCCTTTCACTGGTTCATTTTGATGATTATGAAAATTCATTTCCATAGGATGCCAAGAAGAGGAGGCATTATAAAAGCAATAGACATATTCAAGAGCAGATTGTGAATTGTTGGTTAAAACTCAGAAGGTATTTTCCCATAAAAATAATGTGAGTCATGGTCAGTAGGTGTGTAGGCTAGCCCACAAATGCTAGGATGTTCCTTAGTGTTACCACAGTAACTGCAGCTCTCCAGGGCCTGGGGTGGAGAGGAATTTAGGTACAAGGGAGGACCCAGTGGTGGCGGCAGCCCCTCCCACTGGAGGGCGAAAGCCTGGAGGTGGAGGGAGCCTGGAAGGGGGCTGAGGAAAGGTCAAGGATCAGTTGAGTGTTTGTAAAGTGCGGACCTGCCTGGCATGGTTTTGTTTTCCTTTTTTTTTTTTTTTTTTTTTGAGATGGACTTTCACTCTGTCGCCCGGCTGGAGTGCAGTGGCACGATCTCGGCTCACTGCAACCTCTGCCTCCCAGGTTCAAGCAATTCTCCTGCCTCAGCCTCCCGAGTAGCTGGGACTACAGGCACACACCACCACGCCCAGCCAATTTTTGTATTTTTAGTAGAGGAGATGGGCTTTCACCATATTGTCCAGAATGATCTCGATCTCTTGACCTCATTATCTGCCTGCCTCAGCCTCCCAAAGTGCTGGGATTACAGGTGTGAGCCACCACTCCCAGCACATTTGCCATTTAATCAAAGAGATTTCCTGGAATAACAGACACTCTACATCTAAGGAACGTGATGGGAAACTTAGATTCTACACTTAACAACGTGGAGAGAGTTGAAGAGCAGGCCCAAGGCCAGCTGAGAGTCATTTACAGAGGGAACATCATGTCTAAATAAAGCCGATTTCCCCAAGGAATATGGAGACCTTTCCCTCCAATCATTAGGTCCCTAGCTTGACTGTTTTGTTTTTGTTTTGTTTGTTTGTTTTTAGAGAAGGAGTCTCACTCTGTGGCCCAGGCTGGAGTGCAGTAGTGTGATCTTAGCTCACTGCAACCTCCGCCTCCCAGGTTCAAGTGATTCTCCTGCCTTAGCCTCCAGAGTAGCTAGGATTACAGGCATGTGCCACCACACCCAGCTAATTTTTATTTTTTTGTATTTTTAGTAGAGATGGGGTTTCATCATGTTGGCCAGCCGGGTCTTAAACTCCTGACCTCAAGTGATCTGCCTGCCTCAGCCTCCCAACGTCCTGGGATTACAGGCATGAGCCA
Organism: Homo sapiens; assembly: GCF_000001405.40. Taxonomy (NCBI): domain Eukaryota; kingdom Metazoa; phylum Chordata; class Mammalia; order Primates; family Hominidae; genus Homo; species Homo sapiens. Next base: position 62,663,355 of record NC_000018.10, read on the forward strand.
CTGGGCCTGGTCCCCTGGCTTTACTGTTAACCTACAGACTTTGTGCAGTTAGAGGGTTTCTCTATCCCAGGGTGACATTAGAATCTCATATTTGGAGTAAATGGAATCAGTCATTTGTAATAAAGACTTCCGAGTTTTACCTGCTTCCAAAATTGGGATCTTGCCAGCTAGATCCAGGATGGAAGCTGGGTGTGATCATGTTTTCATTGATTAATTATAATAATTAATCCCATTTTAATCACTCATTTAATCATTCATCTATCTCCTCCAATCATTCTAAAAATTAGGAGGTGACTGGAAGTGTTTTTATTTGTTGGGTTTTTTATTTGGAGTCCATGATTTTCCTGAATGTTCTACAATTGTAAAAGAGTAAACATTTCTAGGCAGAAAGCTGGTTTTTCTTGTTGCCAGTACTCAGGATTTGTTTTGTTTACTGTTGTATTTTTTCCTGAGAGAAATTAAACAGGTCTTACAACCCAACCTGCCTTCTGGCCACAAAGCCTCCCTCCTGTATATTCGCAGAGCGGATCTGATAAGGGAACTGCCATCTTAAATTCTAGAAGCTTCTTGATGACTTGACCAGAAGCCAAGCCAGGGCCTGCAGTTAAGCACAGCCTTCAGGGCCTTGAAGCTGCCATGTGGGGAGACTGGAGTACCTTTTACAGTTTTCAAATAAGCAAAACCCACTCGAGAGATTTTTTTTATTTTGAGCTTAAAATAAACAGAAAAACAGTTGCAATTTGAATCATCAGCGCCTTGCTCAGCAGCCAGTTTAACTGAAGTCTCCATGGAGCTGCCCCAAGGGCAGAAGCCTCTCCCTTAAGATAACACTACTCGGTGATGAGTCATTTTGGGGTCCAGGACATTCATCAGTCCTTGAAATGACACCATAAGTAATAGCTGTATGGCTGCCCAGAGTGAGATAACTTCTTAGGACCAAATGCCTTGCTCAAGCATTTTGCAGAGACTGGGAGGTGGGATGCAGGGTGTTATTAAGGACAGGGAAGCTTGTTGTCTACTGCCTGGAGGGTAAACTGAGCCTGAGCCCTTGGACTGCCAGGAGATGGCCAGCCGCACAGTGCATCAGGCTGACAGCCAGGTCCTTTCTGCAAGGCTATTCCCGGGCCTTCTTTCCTGTGTTCATTAGCGCAGATGAGCATACGTTTGGAGAAATGTGTCATTAGGTGATTTTGTTGTGTAAACAACACAGCGAGCACGTACACAAGGCTAGATGGCATAGCCTACTGCACACTTAGGCTGGATGGTCTAGTCTATTGCTCCTAGGCAACAAGCCTCTATAGCATGTCATTGAGTACTGTAGGCAACTGTAATGCAATGCTAAGTATTTGTGTGTCTGAATGCAGAAAAAGTATAGTAAAAATAGAGTATTATAATTTTCTGGGACCACTGTTGTATATTCAGTTCATCATTGATTGAAATGTTATATGGCACATAATGTTTAGATTTCTTTATCTAAACATTTATTTTTTGTTATTTTTTAAATTAATTAATTTATTTTTTCTTGAGATGAAGTTACACTGTATTGCCCAGGCTGGAGTGCAGTGGCACGATCTCGGCTCACTGCAACCTCTGCCTCCCAGGTTCAAGCGATTATCCTGCTTTAGCCTCCTGAGTAGCTGGGATTACAGGCACACGCCACCACGTCCAGCTAATTTTTGCATTTTTGTAGAGATGGGGTTTTACCATGTTGGCCAGGCTGGTCTTGAACTCCTGAGCTCAGGTGATCCACCTGCCTTGGCCTCCCAAAGTGCTGGGATTACAGGCATGAGCCAACGCGCCCGGCCCTAAACATTTTTATACAATAGTATACCCACCTCTCCAAATGTTTTTATCAGGATTTTGAGTTGGAAAATCTTTTTTTCCTCACTCTCCTAAACCATCACCATTATTTTCCATCAAGATGCCTAACATTGATTCAGTTAGGCCTCTGCAACTCAGGAAATTACTGAAATTACAAAAGGACTGTAACACACACCAGAATTAACCTGCCCTCAAGAAATTATTCTTAAAATGTGCATAGCTTTGACAGTCCAAACTGTACAATAAGCTGAATATGGTATGGAAATATTAAAGTATGCAGAGTTGGCCGGGCGTGGTGGCTCATGTCTGTAATCCCAGCACTTTGGGAGGCCAAGATGGGCGGATCACCTGAGGTCAGGAGTTCGAGGCCAGCCTGGCCAATATGGTGAAACCCCCATCTCTACTAAAAATACAAAAATTAGCTGGGTAGGGTGGCGGGCACCTGTAATCCCAGCTACTTGGGAGGCTCAGACAGGAGAATTGCTTGAACCTGGGAGGCAGAGGTTGCAGTGAGCCAAGATTGTGCCGCTACACTCCAGCCTGGATGACAGAGCAAAAACTACTTCTCAAAATAAATAAATAAATAAATAAATGCAGGATGATCTCATCTCCAGATTCTTAATTACAACTACAAAAACCTGATTTTCAAATAAGATCACATTTGAGTTAGCACTTGAACATCGGTTTTGTGGGGCCACCATTCAACCTATGACAGTGAACAAGCCAGCGTCTTGCTTTTCCTTGTCCTGAGCAGTGGACAATCTCGGCACCCTTCCGCAGTGCTCATCTGCCTTCGTGTATCTAGACCAGAGACTTCCAATCGTTTTGGTCTGTTCTCTCACAGGAGTCACTCTATGGCACTTTGTTGAGCCTTGGAACTACTTCACTTATCATTTGTCTCCCCCCAGATTAGAAGAATGTCTTTTCTGGAGAAGAAAGCTCGGCATGACAAAGCACACGGTGGCTCACAGCTCTGTTGAAAATAGAGTTGGAAAGACGTTTAGTAAATTCGTGCTTTCAGAAGATTCTAATAAAGCAAGGCAAACCAAGTTAATGCTGGGGCAATAGCGTCTTCTATTGCCTTCAGCCTTCCCTGAAGAATTAGATTTCTTCAGGGAATTGGAGTTGTAAACCAAAGAGAGCCTCCTATCTGCTAAGGTGTTAGTTAAGAATTATTCAACCTTGGCACTTTCCAGTTTGAGCAAATAAACCCAGATTCTTCCCTGATGTTTAATAGAAGGGCCTTAAGAGTATTAGAGTCAGGCAGATGTGGGCTGGAATCTAGGCTCTGCCACTGTATAACCTGAAATAAGTTACTTAATCTCACCTAGTCTCATTTTCTGTATCTGTAAATTTGAGCTGATAATAGAATTATTACTTCATAGGATCACTGACATAGTTAAATGAGATAATGCAGATAATATACTAAGCAGAGTATGTGGCATATAGTCAAGTTCTTTGTGTTCCTATCTTCTACCATACCCACTCAGTGACTTTATTTATTTATTTATTTATTTATTGACACAGAGTCTCGCTTTGTTGCCCAGGTTGGAGTGCAATGGCGCGATCTCGGCTCACTGCAACCTCCACCTCCTGGGCTCAAGTAATCCTCCTGCTTCAGCCTCCTGGGTAGCTAGGATTACAGGCGCCTGCCACCATGCTCAGCTAATTTTTTGTATTTTTAGTAGAGATGGGGTTTCACCAGGTTGGCCAGACTGGTCTCGAGCTCCTGACCTCAAGTGATCCACCTGTCTCGGCCTCCCAAAGTGTTGGGATTACAGGCATGAGCCACCACACCCAACTGTGATTTCTTAAAGCATGAATTTACTAAGCATCTTTCCAACTTATTTTCAAGAGCACTTTATAACATAATATTTTTGTTGTTATTAATATTACTATCAGTACTATGATTATTATAGCAGCAGTGAGACTTTATGGTAACACAAGTACACCAACCAATTTTTTTTTGAGACAAATGTCACTCGTCGCCCAGGCCAGAGTGCAGTGGCACAATCACGGCTCACTGCAGCCTCAACCAATCAAGCGATCCCTCCACCTCAGCCTCCCTAGTAGCTGGGACTACAGGCATGTGCCACTATCCCCAGCTAATTTTTTCTTGATTTTTTTGTAAAGACAAAGTCTCACTATATTGCCCAGGCTGGTCTTAAACTCACTGGCTCAAGCAATCCTTCCATCTCAGCCTCTCAAAGTGCTGGGATTACAGGCACAAGCCACCACTCTCAGTCTAATAAAACTAATTTTTGTCTACACCTTTTGTCAGAGGTTGGAAGTGGCTTGTTTGCATTATTTTTGGTCTCCACTGCAATTATACCACCATCATCTTCTAAAAATCTCTGTCCCTTTGTGACTTATGCCATTAAGCTATTTATCCTCCTCATCTCTGCCTTGCACTGACAACTTGGCCACTCCTCAATAGTCATTGAAGACTGTGGCAGCTGATTCCACCCAAGTCCTGTCCTAATTTTTGGTACCTTCAAGGTTTATATGGTTGCCCAATCCAATGTGCTAGCTTCACAGGTCTGTGTGTGTGTGTGTGTGTGTGTGTGTGTGTGTGTGTGTGTGTGTGTGTGTGTAGAGACAGGATCTCACTATGTTACCCAGGCTTGTTTTGAACTCCTGGTCTCAAGCTACCCTCCTGCCTCAGAGCCTCCCAAGTCTTAATCTTCTCAGGCCCAAGGACTTCCCGTCAGCCACCTATTCCTATGGGCACGTCCTGGCCCTGTCCTCACTAGGAAATACCCCTGTCTAAAACCAATCATAAACATCAACATCCAGCTTTTGGCCATAACCTTCTCTTTTTCCAGACTTTTCCCACCTTCCTTCCTTCCATGCCTGGCTGTCAACCTCACAAACCCCACAGTTGAATCTATTGATCCCCTCCTGGCCTCCTGTCAAGTTTTTTGTACTTTTGTCTTCTACCAAACCCACTCAGTGAAAATGCAAACACAGGTCAATCATTCTGATAAGTTTCTCCTCTCCTACTCTCAGGAGACTGAGTGCTGCCAGAGAAAAATCACACCAGCAGGCAGGTTCACATGCATCTTGGTAGGCACGCAATCACACCTTGTTGATGAATGTGCGAAGGCATCAATTGGACCCTCAGCTTTTGTCATCACCCGTGTTACTTGACCTTGCTTGACTGGCTTCTTCTCTGATTCTTTTCCACCACTTCTAACCCAATCTAGGTTCAACCATTTGGCCTCAAGAGTGGCGGTATCAAGGAACAAAGTTTGATACAACCAGATCTGGAGTCAGACTGCAGAAGTTTAAATGCTGACTTTGACCCTGACTAATTATATTACCTTAAACCAGTCACTTAATTCCTCAAAGTCAATCCCTTATCTATTAATTGGGAAAAACAAGTGCATCTGCCTTACTAGGTTGTTATGATAGTTAAGGGAGATTATACATCTGTACCTGACACATTGTAATAGTTCAATAAATGTGGCTCTTCTTTTTACTCTATTGAGAAAATTGAGGCCATTGTCAAAAATCGTTTCCTTCAATTTCTCACCCTTTCCTACTACACAGTGTTCTAAAATCTGTCTTCTCCCTTTTTGGTTTAAGGTCAACTTTTCTACCTATGTTCTGACCTATTCTTTCAGCACCTGCAGGATTTTTTAAAAATTGAAGTTGAATTAATATAACATAAAATGAACTATTTTTAAGTCAACAATTCAAGCTGGGTGCAGTGGCTCATGCTTGTAGTCCCAGGACTTTGGGAGGCTGAGGTGGGCATATCACTTGAGACCAGTTGCTCAAGACCAGCCTGGCCAACATGGCGAAACCTTGTCTCTACTAAAAATACAAAAATTAGCCGGGTATGGTGGTACATACCTGTAGTCCCAGCTACTCAGGAGGCTGAGGCATGAGAATAGCTTGAACCCGGAGACAGAGTTTGCAGTGAGCTGAGATCACACCACTGTAGCCTGGATAATAGAGTGAGACTCTGTCTCAAAAAAAATAAAAATAAATGAAGTCAACAATTCAGTGGTATTTAACGCACTAACAATGTTGTACAACAGCCACCTCTATCTGGTTTCAATAGTTTCATCACCCACAAATAAAATCCCATACCTATCTATCTATTTATTTAGTTATTTTTGAGATGGAGTCTCCCTCTGTCACCCAGGCTGGATCATATGGTAATTCTATGGTTAACTTATTGAGAAACCACCAAAATATTTTCCACAGTGGCTGAACCATTTATATTCAGGCAATGTACAAGGGTTTCAATTTTTCCACATCCTCACCAACAGTGGTAGTAATACACCCACTTTCACCTTTAATTTTAGTTACTTGCATCTTCTACTTTTTTAGTCAGTCTAGCAAAAGGTTTGTCAGTTTTGTTGATCTTTTTGAAGAACCAGCTTCTAGTTTCATTGATTCCGTTATTTTCCTATTGTCTATTTCAATAATCTCTGCTATAATTATTCCTTCTGTTGGCTTTGGATTTGGTTTGCTTTCTTCTTCTAGTTCCTTAAAGGTTATAGATTTGAGATTTTTCTTTTCTTTTTTTAATGTAGGCATCTATACTTACACATATCCCTCTGGACACTGCTTTTTCTGTATAAGAATTGGGGATTTTTCCCATTTATTGTAAAGTATTCTTATTTCTCTTGCTATTTATCCTTTGACCCCTTTGTTGTTTAAGAGTATGTTGTTTCTTTTTCATGTACTTGCACTTTTTTTTTCCAGTTTTCCTCCTGTAGTTGATTTCTAACAATGTTCTGTTGTGATCTGAGAAGGTACTTTCTATTATTTCAATCTTTAAAAATTTATTGAGACTGTTTTTTGTGGCCTAACATATGGTCTGTCCTAGAGAAGAATGTATATTCTGCTGTTTTTGATAGGATGGTCTATATATGTCTGTTAGGCCTAATTGTTTATAGTGTTATGCAAGTCCTCTGTTTCCTTATGGATCTTCTGTCTAGATGTTCTATTTATTATTGAAGGTTGGGACATTGAAGTCTTCAACTATTACTGTAGAACTGCCTATTTCTTCCTTGAGTTCTGTCAAGGTATGTAGTACATATTTTGGAGCTCTGTTATTAGGTGGGTATATATTTATAGTTGTTATAGCTTCTTGATGAATTGACCCTTTTATCAATATATAATGACCTTTTTGTGTCTTTTAATCATTTTTGACTTAAAGCCTCTTTTGCTTCATATTAGTATAGATACCCCAGCTCATCTTCAGTTACCATTTGCATAGAATCTCTTTTTACATCCTTTCACTTCCAACCTTATAGAGCTAAAGTGAGTCACTTATAAACAGCATATAGTTGAAACATTTTTAAATTAATAGAATTTATTTTTTTAGAGAAGTTTTAGGTTTATAGAAAAGTTGAGTGGAAAGTACAGAGAGTTTCCATATACCTACTGCTGCCCCTACACACCATTTCTCCTATTGTTACCATCTTACGTTAATGTAGTACACTAGGCTTCCCTCTTTGTGTTGTACATTTTATGAGTTTTAACAATTGTATAATGACATGTATCCACTATTAAAGTATTGCACTGAATAGTTTCACTGGCAGTCTGCCAGTCTGTGTATTTTAACTAGTGAGTTTAATCCATTTATATTTAAAGTTATATTATTTAATATATTTATATTAATATACATAATTATATGTTAAATATATGTTGTACATTAAATTACTGAGTCATTATATTCTACCATTTAGCCATTTATTTTCTAAATGTCTTATCTTTTTTGTTCCTCGTTTTCTTCAGTACTACCTTCTTCTGTGTTTGATTTTTTTCTAGTGGACTATTTTTACTTTATCCATGTTTCCTTTTATGTAATTTTAAAAGTTATTTAAAAATGGTTACCATGGAGATTTCATTTAGCATCCTAAATTTATAACACCATTGCTTGTTTGAAATGATCCAAACTTAGCTTCTATAGCATATAAAATTTATCCTATACAGCTTTGTACCCACCTTATATTGTTATTGTCACAAATTCCATCTTTATACACTATGTGCCTACTGCATAGATTTGTAATTATTGTTTGATGCATTGTATTTTGAATCATAAGAATCAAAAATAGGAAGTATAAACTAGAAATACAATAATACTGGCTTTTATATTTACCTATGTAGCTATCTTTACCAGAGTTCTTTATTTCTTCAGATGACTTCAACTTCAACTCACTGTCTAGTGTCCTTTCATTGCTGCCCAAAGGACTCCCTTTAGCATTTCCTACAGGGTAAGTCTAGGGGCAACAAACTCCCTTAGCTTTTGCTTACCTGGGAATGTTTTAATATCTTCCTTTTTTTTTTTTCTTGAGATGGAGTTTTACTCTGTTGCCTAGGCTGGAGTACAGTGGCACAATCTTGGCTCACTGCGACCTCTGCCTCCTGGGTTCAAGTGATTCTCCTGCCTCAGCCTCCCAAGTAGCTGGGACTACAGGCACATATCACAATGCCTGGCTGATTTTTGCATTTTTTTTAAATAGAGACGGGGTTTCACCATGTTGGCCAGGCTGGTCTTGAACTCCTGACTTCAAGTGATCCACCTGCCTAGGCCTCCCAAAGTGCTGGGATCACTTAGAGTCATGAGCCACCATGCCCAGCCCATATCTTCCTAATTTTTGAAGAACAATTTTGCTTGATATAGAATTCTTACTAGACAGTTTTTTTTTTTTTATTTCAGCACTTGGGTATGTCATTATACTGCTTTCTGGCTGTCATTGTCTCTGATGATTATTACATTAACAGTCTTATTGGGGTATATATTGAATAATCAATGCATTATGAGTCACTTATCTCTTGCCATTTTCAAGATTATCTCTTTGCCTTTGGATGTTGACAGTGTGATTATAAATATGATTGATTATCATAGTGTGGATCTCTTCATGATTATCCTACTTGGAGTTCATTGAACTTCTTGGATGTGTACTTATGTCTTTCATCAAATTGGGACTTTGGGGCCATTCAAATGTCTTTCTAACTCTTTTTCATGTTTGTGTGCTTGATGGTATCTCACAAGTCTCTTAAGCTCTGTTCGTTTTTCATTCTTTTATCTTTATGCTCATCGAACTGGATAATTTCAATTATTTTATCTTCAGGTGCACTGATTCTTTCTTCTGCCTGTTCAAATATACCACTGAATCCCTCTAGTAAATTTTTTTTTAGCTATTGAACTTCCAGCTCCAGTTGTTTAAAATTTGGTTTCTTTTACAATTTACATTTCTTTATTGATAACCTTTACTTGTTCATCTATTGGTTTCCTTTAGGTCTTTGAGCAAATGTAAGGTGGTTGATATTTAAAGTTATATTATTTAATATGTTATATTTATATATTTAAACTCTTTCTCTAGTCATTCCAATGTCTGGCTTCCTCTAGCATGGGTTTTGTCTATTTTTTTTTTCTGTGGATGGGCCATACTTTCCTGTTTCTTTGTATGCCTGTATTTTTTGTTGTTGAAAACTGGACGTTTTGAATATTATACTGTGGTAACTCTAGATAGCATACTTTCTGTTCTCCCCAGGGTTTGCTGTTGTTGATTGTTGAGGACTGCAGTAATCTGTTTGTTTAGTGACTTTTCCAAACTATTTTTGTACAGACCATGTTCTTTGTTTGCGTAGTCACTGAAGTCTGTGTTCTATTATTTCAGTGGTCAGCCAGTGACCTGACAGAGGTTTCCTTGAATGCCTGGAGCCAAAAAGAAAAATAAAAGCAACTCCATTGGTCTTTGCATATTGGCTGGGGTGCTCCCTCAACTGTGCCTTAGCCTTTACCTCCTGCTTGTGTGGAGCCCAAAGAACAGCCAGAGGTGCAAGTGTATGATTTATTCTGAGCCTATATCTGGCTTTGAGCTTGTGTGTTGCACTAGATTCCACAGTATGCAAGGCAGCCCTTCAGAGCATTTATTCCTCCTCCCCACTCCTCCCCCAAGACTATTCCTCCTCACTGTCTCCTTCTTAGGCTTTTGAGTCTGTCTTCTGCTTGCCTGCTCCTGCATCCTTTCCTCCAGGCAGCTATGGATAGTGCATGTCTTTACTTGCTTTCACCATTTCTGTGGCACCACTCCTTCTCCTGCTAGATTTTGCTCTGGCCCTTTATTTCTCTGATTTTCTTCATCATTTCCCTCTCATGAGTATCTTGCTTTAGATGACAAATTATTCTAGCCTCACTCATTTAAAAAGAAAATAATCTCTGCCCAGCTTCTCTCTTCTCCGAAGAGTTGTCTACATTCTCTCTCTCCCCTTCAACTTCCTTTTGCCCCACAAACCCCTGCATTCTTTTTTCTATTAAAAATATGCTCCTTAAAGACAACCAATGACTTCCTAATTGCTCTGTGCCGTGAGTGTTTTTCAGCCAACTTCTTGTATCTTTTGGAGACATTGTTCATTGCTAACTTATCCTTCCTTCCTGAAACATTTGTTCCTTTTGACTTCTGTGACATTTACTGGTTTACATTTCCTGACATTTATGAATCTTTTGATTCTTCCTGACATTTATCATTCTCTCTTTTATGGGCTTATCTTCTTCCACTCACTCCTTAACTCCTTAAACTCCAAGGTCCCCCAAGGCTTAATCCCCCACCCCAGTCTTTGTTACATTTTATCTGGGTGATGTTTTCCACACTCACTCATTGTTTCAACATTATCTCTACATTGACAACTCCCAAATCTGTTACTCTAAAACTTTTATTTTCCTCCTTAAGAAGATAACTCATATATCCTATTTCCTACTAGATGGATAGATAAACATCTCACATGTACCAAAACAGAACCTAAACTATCTCTTCCTCCAGTATTCTCAATCTCCAGTGGAAACACCACCTATCACTAGGTTAGAAATTGGGTTTCATTCTAAACTCCTTCCTGTCCTTCATTATCAACACCCAAGGAATCACTCAGTTCTGCCTGTTTAGCCTCTTGGGTATTTCTCAAGTTAGTCCAGTTTTCTCTATCCTCATTACCAATGTCCCAGTCCAAGTCTATGTCATTCTCTCTTGGACCACTGTGTCAGCATCCTCATCCTCAGCAGTCTGTCTTGCTCAGTGCTATCATCTCCTAATTTCTTCTTCCTTTTTTTTTTTTTTTTAACAGAGTCTTGCTCTGTCGCCCCGGCTGGAGTGCAGTGGCATGATCTTGGCTCACTGCAACCTCCGCCTCTTGGGTTCAAGCGATTCTCATGCCTCAGCCTCCCGAGTAGCTGAGATTACAGGTATACACCACCATGCCCAGCTACTTTGTGGATTTTTTTTTTTAGTAGAGACGGGGTTGCTCCATGTTGCCCAGGCTGGTCTTGAACTCCTGAGCTCAGGCAATCCGCCCGCCTCGGCCTCCCAGAGTGCTAGGATTACAGGCATGAGCCACCATGCCCGGCTCCCTAATTTCTTCCTCAGCTGCTGAAGAGGAAATCCTTCCATGCAAATATAATCATATCCTTCCTGCTTTTAGTTCTTCAGTGGCTGCCCATCTCCTTCAGCTCCTTCATCAATCAGGTCCCTACAAACCTCACTATTGACACCTCCTGCTTCTGACTATGGACTGCAGCCATTCATCTGCATTTGCCAGGCCTTTTCTCACCTCTGTGCCTTCCCTCCCTCTCCCACTCCATAACACCTACTTACATCATCCATGAAGGCTTCCCTGGCTTCATCTTCAAGGTCACTACTCTGAGCTCTGGGAATACACTGGGCCTATTCTAGTGGTTGCATTCGTACACTGTTCTGTGGTGATCTCTTTCCATGTCTTTCCCCTTTACTGGGTTGGAAGCTGCTTGTATAACCATCAGCTATTGCACTCCTGCCACATTGTTGTTTTTTTTTTTTAATTTAAGTTCTAGGGTACGTGGGCACAACGTGCAGTTTTGACACATAGGTACACATGTGCCATGTTGGTTTGCTGCAACCATCAACTCATCATTTACATTAGGTATTTCTCCTAATGCTATCCCTCCCTCAGTCCCTCACCCCGCAACAGGCCCCAGTGTGTGATGTTCCCCGCCCTGTGTCCAAGTGATCTCATTGTTCAGTTCCCACCTATGAGTGAGAACATGCGGTGTTTGGTTTTCTATCCTTGTGATAGTTTGCTCAGAATGATGGTCTCCAGCTTCATCCATGTCCCTGCAAAGGATATAAACTCATCCTTTTTTATGGCTGCATAGTATTCCATGGTATATATGTGCCACATTTTCTTAATCCAGTCTATCATTGATGGACATTTGGGTTGGTTCCAAGTCTTCGCTATTGTGAATAGTGCCGCAATAAACATACGTGTGCATGTGTCTTTATAGTAGCATGATTTATAATCCTTTGGGTATATATCCAGTAATGGGATTGCTGGGTCAAATGGTAATTCTAGTTCTAGATCCTTGAGGAATCACCACACTGCCTTCCACAATGGTTGAACCAATTTACACTCCCACCAACAATGTAAAACAGTTCCTATTTCTCCACATTCTCTCCAGCATCTGTTGTTTCCTGACTTTTTAATGATTGCCATTCTAACTGGCATGAGATGGTATCTCATTGTGGTTTTGATTTGCATTTCTCTGATGACCAGTGATGGTGAGCATTTTTTCACGTGTCTGTTGGCTGCATAGATGTCTTCTTTTGAGAAGTGTCTGTTCATATCCTTTGCCCATTTTTTAATGGGGTTGTTTGTTTTTTTCTTGTAAATTTGTTTGAGTTCTTTGTAGATTCTGGATATTAGCCCTTTGTCAGATGGGTAGATTCCAAATCTTTCTCCTATTCTGTAGGTTGCCTGTTCACTCTGACGGTAGTTTCTTTTGCTGTGCAGAAGCTCTTTAGTTTAATTAGATCCCATTTGTCTATTTTGGCTTTTGTTGCCATTGCTTTTGGTGTTTTAGACATGAAGTCCTTGCCCATGCCTATGTCCCGAATGGTATTGCCTGGGTTTTCTTCTAGGGTTTTTATGGTTTTAGGTTTAACATTTACATCTTTAATCCATCTTGACTTAATTTTTGTATAAAGTGTAAGGAAGGGATCCAGTTTCAGCTTTCTACATATGGCTAGCCAGTTTTCCCAGCCACCATTTATTAAATAGGGAATCCTTTCCCCATTTATTGTTTTTGTCAGGTTTGTCAAAGATCAGATGGTTGTAGATCTGTGGCATTATTTCTGAGGCCTCTGTTCTGTTCCATTGGTCTATATATCTGTTTTGGTACCAGTACCATGCTGTTTTGGTTACTGTAGCCTTGTAGTACCGTTTGAAGTCAGGTAGCATAATGCCTCCAGCTTTGTTCTTTTTACTTAGGCTTGTCTTGGCAATGCAGGCTCTTTTTTTGGTTCCATATGAACTTTAAAGTAGTTTTTTCCAATTCTGTGAAGAAAGTCATTGGTAGCTTGATGGGGATGGCATTGAATCTATGAATTACCTTGGGTAGTATGGCCATTTTCATGATATTGATTCTTCCTATCCATAAGCATGGAATATTCTTCCATTTGTTTGTGTCCTCTTTTATTTCATTGAGCAGTGATTTGTAGTTCTCCTTGAAGAGGTCCTTCACATCCCTTTAAGTTGGATTCCTAGGTGTTTTATTCTTTTGTAGCAATTGTGAATGGGAATTCACTCATGATTTGGCTCTCTGTTTGTCTGTTAATGGCGTATAGGAATGCTTGTGATTTTTGCACATTGATTTCATATCCTGAGACTTTGCTGAAGTTGCTTATCAGCTTAAGGAGATTTTGGGCTGAGACGATGGGGTTTTCTAAATATACAATCATGTCATCAGCAAATAGGGACAATTTGACTTCCTCTTTTCCTAATTGAATACCCTTTATTTCTTTCTCTTGCCTGATTGCCTTGGCCAGAACTTCCAAGACTATGTTGAACAGGAGTGGTGAGAGAGGGCATCCCTGTCTTGTGCCAGTTTTCAAAGGGAATACATCCAGTTTTTGCCCATTCAGTATAATATTGGCTGTGGATTTGTCATAAATAGCTCTTATTATTTTGAGATACGTTCCATCAATACCTAGTTTATGGAGAGTTTTTAGCATGAAGGGCTGTTGAATTTTGTTGAAGGCCTTTTCTGCATCTCCTGCCACATTTTTTATCCTCAGCCAAAGTTAATAGAATGAATGCATGAATAAATGAACAAATGATGTACAGATTTTTTTTTTCCCTTCTTGTGGGAAAGAGTTGGCAAAAGAGAAATTAGGAGGAGTAACTGGAAACAATCATGAGAAATCTTTCAAATAGAAAACATTACACTGCTGGTTAATCTGGTTTTTTAAAGTCATCATATTTAAAGCAATTTTTAGAGTAGCATTTGAACTTTATGGAATTCTGAATTGGGAGAGATTATAAGAGCTCATCTGTCTCAACCTCTAGTTTCTGAAGAACAATAATTAAAATGAAAAAAAAATGCTCATTTTAAAAGATGCCCTTTAAAAGTAGTTTCATGTATCCTGAACCATCCCCAGACAATGAGCCTTACAAAATCTCGACCTGCTGAACTAAAACTGTTCAACCGAATACTAAAATAAGCTCAAAGGAAAAGAATGGAGAGATTTGGTGTGGAGAAGAGGTGGTGTTGCCTAGTAACCTATGGACAGCGCCTGCAATAGGTTTGCTCTTGCCTGACATCCCAGATAGCCATGAGAAGGAACCTTAGTTTTCAAGTTACTGATACCTCCTTCTCTCTCTGTCTGTTTAAAGAGCACTACCCTTACACACACTGGTGAAAGTCATTAAGTACTAGTCTTTCTGTTTCTAGCCAGTGATTATCGATCTATAGAGTATGTAAGAATCACCTGGAGGCTTGTTAAACCATAGATTACTTTGTCCAGCCCCAGAGTTTCCAATTCACATGTCTGGGTCGGGGTCTAAGAATTTGCATTGCCCACAAGTGCTTCCCAGGTGATGCTGGTGATTCTGGTCTGGGGACCACATTTTGAGAACCACTGTTCCATGCTGTCCCTGAGAATGGCCATGATGACTTACATGATGGTCTTCAGGATGCAATTAAATGGGATTTAAGGTTATGCTTTTATGCTTCTCAAATACTCAAATAAATGTAACGTTGCAAGATGTAAACCATCACCTTGTTTGGGCTGCTTTCTAAAATATTTTGCTTTTAGGTTAGTAGTTTTGCTTCTCTAGCCTTGGATCCTTTGAAGATAGGTCACTGGATTATTGTGCATTATAGTTAATGAAATAATCGCAAATGTGCAATGCTAAGTAATAGGGCAAGTTTTCAAGCTTCAGACAGGGCCTCTTTATGCATTGGGACCAGTTGTCTAGGAACTGTTGTACTTTTTAACAAGCACATTTAAAAAAAAATGACAGTGAATGTTCTAAAGTTATATATATATATATATATATATATATATATATTTTTTTTTTTTTTTTTTTTTCAGTTGGAGTCTCACTCTGTTGCCCAGGCTTGGAATACAGTGGTGCGATCTCAGCTCACTGCAACCTCCACCTCCTGGGTTCAAGCGATTCTCCTGCCTCAGCCTCCGGAGTACCTGGGATTACAGGTATGCGCCACAACTCCCGGCTAATTTTTGTGTTTTTAGTAGAGACAGGGTTTCGCCATGTTGGCCAGGCTGGTCCTGAACCCCTGACCTCAGGTGATCTGCCTGCCTCGACCTCCCAAAGTGCTAGGATTACAGGCGTGAGCCACCGAGTCCGGCCTAAAGTGATATAATTTTTAAAATGAGAAGTCTGTTTTTATGTTTTTGTTTTCTTTCTTATTTGTTTAATCTTTTTGTTTGTTTTTACATTTTTTTAAAGGAAAAAGAAGACAATAAAAAGATGAGTGTTCAAAATGCTGATAGAGAGCAGTGTGACTCCCAAGTGTCACAGCGGCTCAGATGCCACATAGACCCCGGATATGGTTGTTTACAGGCACCGTTTGTTCATGCTTCAAACGAGCTTCAAAGCAGGACTCTGTTCTTCCCTTTGTTCCCCAAAGAGAAGATGCCAACCTGAGGCAGGAGCGAACAATGTGAAATGTACAGACTGTGAGAAGGTTTCCGCTGCGTATCACTCAGCATTTCACCCCCCAGATTCCCCATTAGTTATCTGTTACGAGTTTCTCTGCTGTGGGGCCCTGCTCTCTCTTCATTCACTCTCCCTGGCTGCAGCCAAGTGGAAGCCATTGCCACCTTTTCCTTTGCAATGCTAAGCAGTTTAGCTCAGTCCGAGCTCTCTCAAGTCCAGCCACCAGCTGGCCCAGGCTCAAAAAAGACTCAGGAAAGCACATTATCAAAGCAGGTCACCTGCAGAGGGATTTTACCAGTAAGGGTCCTGGCAGGAACAGATGGAGCACTCCAATGGGTAATTTGAAGAGAATTTAATTGAGGGACCATTTAAAGGTATAGGCCAGGTTTAGGGAAAACAATTCAAGGGCTAGGAACAGCAGACTGACTTACCCCTCTGTACTAGGCAGAATTCTAAGAAGACTTCCAATGTGTTACACCCTCGTATAATCTGCCCTTAAATATGGGTGGAACATAACCGGGTGTGGTGGCTCATGCCTGTAATTCCAACACTTTGGAAGGCCAAGGTGGGTGGATCACCTGGGGTCAGGGGTTTGAGACCAGCCTGACCAACATGGTGAAACCCTGTCTCTACTAAAAATACAAAAATTAGCCAGACATGGTGGCAGGTGCCTGTAGTCCCAGCTACTCAGGAGTCTGAGGCAGGAGAATCACTTGAACCTGGGAAGCAGAGGTTGCAGTGAGCCGAGATTGCACCACTGCACTGCAGCCTGGGCAACAGAGCGAGACTCTGTCTCAAAAAAAAATAAAAATTTTTAAAAAAGGGTGGAACTTGTGATTTGTGTCTATCCAATAGAATATGACAGAGGTTATGGGATATCAGTCCTGTGATTAAGTTCCATTGTGGAGGACTCTGTCTTAGCTGACTAGAGTGAGAGATTCTCCTGTTGGCCTTGGAGAAATGAGCCACCATGTTGTAAGGAAGTCATCTGGCAAGGAACCACGGGTAACTTCTTTTTTTTTTTTTTTTTTGATACAGAGTCTCGCTCTTTCGCCCAGGCTGGAGTGCAGGGGCGCCATCTCGGCTCACTGTAAGCTCCGCCTCCTGGGTTCATGCCATTCTCCTGCCTCAGCCTCCCGAGTAGCTGGGACTACAGGTGCCCGCCACCACACCTGGCCAATTTTTTGTATGTTTAGTATGTTTAGTAGAGACGGGGTTTCACCATGTTAGCCAGGATGGTCTTGATCTCCTGAGCCTCCCAGGTTCAAGCGATTCTCCTGCCTCAACCTCCCGAGTACCTGGGACTACAGGCACCTGCCACCACACCTGGCTAATTTTTTGTATTTTTAGGAGAGACAGGGTTTCACCATGTTAGCCAGGATGGTCTCAATCTCCTGACCTTGTGATCCACCCGCCTCGGCCTCCCAAAGTGCTGGGATTACAGGCGTGAGCCACTGCGCCCGGCCTATTTTTATTTTTTTACTGATTTTTAAATGTTTTGTAGAAATAAAGTCTTGCTTTATTGCCCAGGCTGGTCTCAAACTCCTAGGCTCAAGCATTCCTCCTTCCTTGGCCTTCCAAAGTGCTGAGATTACAGGTGTGAGCCACCACACTGACCAGGGTTGGTTTTGTTTTCCTGGTTGGTTGGTTGGTTTGTTTTGTTTTTTGAGACAGGGTCTTACTCTATTGCTCAGGCTGGAGTGCAGTGGCACAGTCATAGCTCACCGCAGCCTTGACCTCCAGGATTAAGCAATCCTCCTACCTCGGCCTCCTGAGTAGCTGGGACCACAGGTGAGTACCCCCAGTGCCTGGCTAATTTTTAAAATTTTTTGTAGAGACAGTCTCCCTATGTTGCCCAGGCTGGTTTTTAATTCCTGGGCTCGAGGAATCCTCCCGTGTCAGCATCCCAAAATGCTGGGATTACAGGCGTGAGTCACCATGCCAGCCCCATTTTACATTTATAGGATATAAAATGTGTCTTCAACCCATGTGAAATAGACCAAAGTTCATTTTTACGTACAGATATGGAACCATATCCAAGATAAAGAGATAAGTGAGAAGAAAATAAGGATTGGGACAGTATGTATTTGCTGGTACGTGCATAGAAATGTTTCTGGAAGGTAACACAAAAACCTGTTAACAGTGGTTTTCCCTGGAGAGTGGGAATAAGATGGGGACTTTCCTGTAAATTATTTTGTATCTTTTGAATTTGGTCCCATGTGTATGTACTACATCTTTGAAAACATGAGTGATTAAACATTTTTAAAGGTGTCTGTACTCTACAAACCAAAATATACACTCAGCATTGGAGATGGCCTTCCAGAAAATAAAAATAATGAATTTTCCCCCAATAGACAAGATTGTCACTTAATAAACTATCCGTCCATATCTGATATTTATCCTCATGTGCTAAGAATAATTCATTCACCTCCACCAACAAGCTAGTTTCCATGAGGGGTACAGAGTTTTTAATTATGTAGCCATGTACAAAATCAGAAATTTTCTGTCTTTCTGGTTTGTCTACCTGCTTTACACAGGAAAATTGGGGAACATTCTTCCATGCAAACTGTTGCAGGGAAAAGGACCACACAAACATTAAACCATTAAAACAATAACTGTGATTGGGAGGTGAGTGGGGAGACCATATTCATATATTCATACTATTTTTTAAGTACTTGGTGGGCCATAGTTAAAGAGGAAACTATCTTACACTATTTGCTTTTCTTTTTAACAATATAGGTGATTATATAGGATGTTTCTGTTACTTTTTTTCTTTTTTTGAGAAAGTGAGAAAAGGCTGTTGCCCAGGCTGGAGTACAGTGGCATGATCTGGGCTCACTGCAACCTCCACCTCCTGGGCTCAAGCCATCCTCCCACGTCAGCCTCCCAAGTAGTGCACACCACTATGCCCAGCTAATTTTTTGTATTTTTAGTAGAGATGGGGTTTTGCCATGTTGTCCAGGCTGGTCTCAAACTCCTGAGCTCAAGTAACCCTTCCACTTCAGCCTCCCAAAGTGCCACCATACCAAGACTCCGTTACTGTTTATTGATCTCTCTGTTCCCTTTGGCATTGTTCTAGTGGTGTCATGCAAATTGAGGATAAGGTAATTTTTTTTCTAACTCAATAAAATGGCATCATAGAAGAGATTCCTATAATCAAGCAGTTGTTTTCTTTAGAAACATAACAGTTCTTTTTTAGAATACTTTAGAGACCCAGAATATATCAGTTATTAATTCTTTCCTCTCCTTTCTATCCGGCTGTGTGGCCCTGGTTACTATAGGCACTTGTGTAAAATGAGCTCTTTGCAGTTAAGCACTTCTGTTGAAATTATACTCTGTAATTGCTCAGCCCTCACAAAGAGAAAACTCACAAGCATCGCATTGAGGAAACTGTCATGCCAGGTCCAGATCCTCATCTCATGTGCTCAGTCAGCCAAGCAGACAGTCTCAAGGCTTTCGAGACTTTGCACGCAGCTGCTGTATGTATTAATGGAGATTTTTTGGTTGGCTTGAGAGTGGGGTAGGGGAAGGTGATTATTATTTCCTCAAAAATATATGTCTTCAATTTAGTGATTGCAAAGTGACATTGTTATTCAAATCAGTTGTAGGCAAAGGAAAGGAAGTAGAGAAAAGCATTCATTAATGATAAGGTTTCCTGCTGTTCTCAAGCAAGGCTCTCTCCAGAGCAGGCTGCGTAAAAATTGATCCAGCCTTACTGTGCCCTGGTGCATTTACTAGGGCATTATTAATTTGCTAAACGATGAGCCATCACACAATTTTTATATGTAGCCCCCTAAAAGCAGGGATGCTATAACTTCCAATTCTAACTATGCTTTCAACTTCATATCAGGGAACATGAAAAAAATGGGAGATAGTTGATGAGGACATCTAATTAAGGTATGTCCTCAAAACTCCTTTTGAAGCAGCTTTCAACCTCTTTGAATTCATGCTAAAATTAAATGTTCCTCTGAATAAACGGATGTATCTGAATACATAAATGTGCATGTGTGCGAATTGAATCATCTACTTTTCCATAAAATAAAACATATTGGTGGCTCACATTACCTGCTGAAATAACCTGGCAACATTGTTTTAAAGTAAATTCCTCCCCAGGCTTTTTTTCTAATACTTTCTGCTCTGATTATATTTTATTACTGGTTTCTAGCCTTTATGCCAACAATGTAGAACTCTCAGCAGCATCCAACATAGAGAAACGGGGAGGCGGGAGGGGGACAGTTTCATCAAAGGAAACATTAGATCCACATCTATGATTTTCTTGTTCTCTGACTTCCAATCTTACTTTTAATTTATTTTATTTTTATTTTTTTGAGATGGAGTCTCATTCTGTCACTCAGGCTGTAGTACGTGGTGCAATCTTTGCTCACTGCAACCTCCACCTCCCAGGCGCAAGCATTTCTCCTGCCGCAGCCTCCCAAGTAGCTAGGATTACAGGCGCCAGCCACCATGCCTGGCTAATTTTTTGTATTTTTATTATAGAAGGGGTTTCACCATGTTGGCCAGGCTGGTCTCGAACTCCTGACCTCAAGTGATCTGCCTGCCTCGGCCTCCTAATTTGCTGGGATTACAGGCGTGAGCCACTGTGCCCAGCCCATTTTTTACTCTAATATAACTCTTTTTCTTCAGCTGAGTTCAGAGTAATACCACCAAGGAAGAAAATGAGAGTTCAATCTGAATCATATTTATAACAGAAAATTATAATGTTTAATATAATAATGTATAATAATAAATTATAAATGGTTTTAGATAATAATAGTGAAGAATTTCGTGCTTGGAATATATCAGTATATCAGTTGAGAAAATTCTTCTAAGCCCCAAGGTAATATAATTCAAAGCTGCCATAGCTCTTATAAACCAAAAATAAAATTCTAAGTCCCCCAACCGGCTGAATGAACTGCGTTTCATGGAATCCACCAAAGGGATTCCAAGAAACCTGAAAAACTAGTTAAGGCCGTAATGGGAAGGCAGGGGTCAGACATGCCTCATTATACCCTCTCCCTTCTGGAGTTCAGACTCAACCGACCAACATTGACATTAGCATACACATCCCAGACTGACAGAACAGACTCTCTGTAGCAGTAAGATACTGATAACATCATATGACAGGTAACAGGCCCTAAAGGAAATCAAAGTATTTTACCCTAACATATATTTATTTGACATATTTTTTAATGGCCCTTCAAAGCCATCTCTTGTGGGGAAAATTTACATTCTGCAGACAGCCTCCTTCTCTTTCCAGGTCTTTTCCTGTTCCACAAGAGATTTCACTAAGAGCCTGATAACTTTTTTTTTTTTTTTTTTTTTTTTTTAGATGGAGTTTCGCTCTTGTCACCCAGGCTGGAGTGCAGTGGCACTACCTAGGCTCACTGCAACCTCTGCCTCCCGGGTTCAAGTGATTCTCCTGACTCAGCCTCTTGAGTAGCTGGAATTACAGGCGTGTGCCACCATGCCCAGCTAATTTTTGTATTTTTAGTAGAGACAGGGTTTCACCATGTTGGCCAGGCTGGTCTTAAACTCCTGACCTGATGTGATCTACCAGCCTTGGCCTCCCAAAGCGCTGGGTTTACAGGTATGAGCCACTGCACCCAGCCCCTGATAGCTTTTTTTTTTTTTTTTTGAGACGGAGTCTCGCTCTGT
Source organism: Homo sapiens (assembly GCF_000001405.40). Lineage (NCBI taxonomy): Eukaryota > Metazoa > Chordata > Mammalia > Primates > Hominidae > Homo > Homo sapiens. Next base: position 62,684,787 of record NC_000018.10, read on the forward strand.
CACCCAGGCCGGACTGCGGACTGCAGTGGCGCAATCTCGGCTCACTGCAAGCTCCGCTTCCCGGGTTCACGCCATTCTCCTGCCTCAGCCTCCTGAGTAGCTGGGACTACAGGCGCCCGCCACCGCGCCCGGCTAATTTTTTGTATTTTTAGTAGAGACGGGGTTTCACCTTGTTAGCCAGGATGGTCTCGATCTCCTGACCTCATGATCCACCCGCCTCGGCCTCCCAAAGTGCTGGGATTACAGGCGTGAGCCACCGCGCCCGGCCCCCTGATAGCTTTTAAGCTCTGATAAGAGACATTGACCAGCTACTCTCTCTGAAACCTATGTAATAGATTCTTGGCTTCCACAACTCCCGTTATCTTAGCCCCAAGCATTTCTTTCTGCTGACTTCAACTCTTTAGGCAAAGCTTAACTCTTTCAATCAATTGCCAATCAGGAAATCTTTGAATCCACCTATGTCTTGGAAGCCACCTCTCCCTGCCCTTCAATATGTCCCCTTTCCAGGGCAAACCAATTTAGAACTTACACGTACAGATTACGTCTCTGCCTGTAACTTCTGTTTCCTCAAAAAGTATAAAATGAAGCAGTGCAACCCAATCACCCTGGGCACATGTTCTCAGGACTGCCCGATGCTGTGTCACAAGTCATGGTCTTCACATTTGCTCAGAATAAACCTCTCCAAATATTTTAGAGTTTGGCTTTTTCATCTATACTCTTTACAGTTTACAAAGCATGTTCACATGTTCGCTCATTTGATTCACTCAATAACCATTTAAATACAGCATTCCCATTTCACAGACGAGGGCAACATGGCTCAAGAAGTTTCCATGAATTGCCCAGAATCACCCAGCTAGTAACTGGCAAGGTCATGGCCGAATGCGCTTCTGAAGCAAAATGTGTTTTAGCTCCTTACCCGGCTTCCTTCTCCCTCTATCTGAAAAAGGCATTCACACTCAGATGTGAGTTCCTGATTGTGATATAGTGTACAATCCCTGCCAGGGTATTTTGGTTTTAAAAGAAGATTAAGTCAATAACCTAAATGAATTCTCTCTAACAGTGGACTTTGAGGCACTAGATTAAATAGTGATTGAAAAATAATGATAGTAACAGTTACTATTTTTTGACTATTTGCCCATAGGCGAAGTGTTGGTTATTGACTCCTTATAGTCTCTCCTAGGTAGGGGTTATAATGGCCACTTTTCAAACGCAGGAGCTGAGGGGCTTAAGGAGTTAAGCCCCTTTCTCAAGGTCCCACTGCTGGTGCAGGAGAAGGAGCGAGAACTCCCCCAAGTGTGTCTGATTCTAAATCCTCAGCTCTTTTTTTTTTTTTTTTTTTTTTTTTAAGACGGAGTCTCACTCTGTCGCCCAGGCTGGAGTGCAGTGGTGCGACCTCAGCTCACTGCAAGCTCCGCCTCCCAGGTTCATGCCATTCTCCTGCCTCAGCCTCCCGAGTAGCTGGGATTACAGGCACCCGCCACCACGCCCAGCTAATTTTTTGTATTTTTAGTAGAGATGGGGTTTCACCCTGTTGGCCAGGCTGGTGTCGATCTCCTGACCTCGTGATCCGCCTGCCTCGGCCTCCCAGAGTTCTGGGATTACAGGCGTGAGCCACCGCATCTGGCCAATCCTCAGCTCTTTCAACTGAAATAGCCAGGTCCAAGGCTGCCTCCCCAGTTTTGGGGAGATGTGTTTGTTGGTTTGCTTTTCCTTTGTAATCAGCAATGATACATGATGCAGAAGATCATTAGATCTGGAATCAGGAGCCTTGGTAAGAATCCCAGATTCCTGCTCATTCAGTTTTCCTGCAGAAGGTGGAGTTGCTCTTCCTCTGTCCAAGCTCCCAACTTCTTCAATAAACAAGAACTCCTCTCACCACTCCTCTATAACTGGGTGGGGAGGTGGGGGGACTCATTTAAAAATATTTTTAAAAAATATTCTAGCAAACCACCCTACCATTATTCAATATTTTATATTTCTTTTGGCAAGCATGCGGAATTTTGCTCTTTGGTATCCCTCCCCCTCTTCTTTTCGTAGATCCCCATGTAAGGATATTATTAAGGAGTTTCTATGTCAGGAAGGAAGAAAATGTTCCATCCCATGATCTTTATTCATGGCTTTACATTACTTTTTCAAAGTTATTTTATTTTCAAGAGTTTCAGAGAACACTGAATTCTATTTTTGGAAATTTGTTGGCACTCAGCTCTTAAATGGATGCAGAGGCATTAGCATTTATCATCTTTTCCTTTGCTGCTAATCACTAACATCCTATTTGCAACTTTAGGTCTCCAGGTCAGAGGTATCAGTGGGCACATAATTGACCCTTCCCTTGGCCCTAGGTTATGGGAGAGCTCAACCAGGGGACAGAAAGAGAGCAAAAAACACATTCTAGGTGACAATGCATATTGGTTTCCTATTTTTGTGATAATAAATTATCACAAATTTTCTGGCTTTAATACAAATCTTTTATCCTATGTTGGGAGGTCAGAATTCCCAATGTCAAGATGTGGGCAGGGCTGCATTCATTTCTGGAGGCTGTAGGGGACAATCGCGTTCCTTCCCTTTCTTGGCTCCTGGAGGACTGCCTGAATGCCTGTTCCCTTCCATCCCCAAAGCTAGCAATGGCTTAAGGATCTAGTCACTAGAAGCACAACAATGAACAAGAACAACAAAGCCCTGTCTTAAAGACTGTATGTCTGGCCAGGTGTGGTGGCTTACGCCTGTAATCCTAGCATTTTGGGAGGCCAAGACAAGTGGATGATTTGAGGTCAGACGTTCAAGACCAGCCCAGCTAACATGGTGAAGCCCCGTCTCTACTAAAAATACAAAAATTAGCTGGTCATGGTGGCACGCGCCTGTAATCCCAGCTACTGGAGAGGCTGAGGCAGAAGAATTGCTTAAGCTTGCAGTGAGCCAAGATCATGCCACTGCACTCCAGCCTGGGTGAGCAAGACTCTGTCTCAGAAAAAAAAAAAAAAAAAAAAAAAGACTGTATGTCCCTGTGGGGAAAGACAGAGATGAACTAACTGATAAAAAAAATATATATAGGACCAGCCGCAGTGGCTTACGCCTGTAATCCCAGCACTTTAAGTGGCTGAAGTGGGTGGATCACCTGAGGTCAGGAGTTCGAGACCAGCCCGACCAACATGGTGAAATCCTGTCTCTAGTAAATGCAAAAAATTAGCCAGGGGTTGTGGCATGGGCCTGTAATCCCAGCTACTTGGGGGGCTGAGGCAAGAGAATCACTTGAACCTGGGAGGCGGAGGCTGCAGTGAGCCGAGATTGCACCATTGCACTCCAGCCTGGGCAACAAGAGCGAAAACTCTGTCTCAAAAAAACTACAAAAAAACTCATATGTATACATATATATATGTCAGGTAGTGACAAATGCTATATTCATTTCTTGGGGTTACTGTGAAAAAGTACTGCAAACTTGGGTGGCTTAAAACAACAGAAATTTATTCTTTCATGGTTCTGGAGGCCAGCAATCTGAGATGAATGTGTCAGCCACGCCATACGTCCTCTGAAGGTTCCCTAAAAGAATCCTTCCTTGCCTCTTCCTGGCTTCTGGGGACTGCCTGCAGCCCTTGGCATTCCCTGACTTACAACTGCATCACTCCAGTCTCTGCGTCCTGGTCACATGGCCTTCTTCCTGTGTGTGTCCCTTTGTGTCCTCTCTTCTTCTTGTAAAGATGCCAGTCATATTGGATTTAGGGCCTACCTTCATCCAATATAACTTCATCTTAACTAATTACATCTCTGAAGACCCTATTTCCAAACAAGTTCACGTTCTGAGGTTCTGGGTGGACATGAATTCTTGGGGGACATTATTCAACTCAGCATATATGCTGTGCAGAAAAATAAAGCAGCGTTGGGGAAAGAGCATGGGGGTGGTGCCATTTAAATAAGGAGGTGTCATTTGCAAGGAGGCCTAAATGAAGGCAGTGAGGGACCCAGTCACAAATCTAGGGGCAGAATACCCAGGCAGGGGCACAGCACCACAGCAGAGTCACAGCCTGTTTGGTGGCTGGGGCAGGAGAGCCGGAAGGGTGAAGACGTTGGAGGGGAGGTGCCCAGAAGAAGAGTCCCTGTTGCCTTGTAGACCAAGGTGGGGATTTTAGAGTTAGCCACCTTCCAGGAAATTTGTGAGGGTGAAGTGAGTTAAGCACTTCAGAATACCGAGCTTAAACTAGGCACATGGGAAGTATGAGTTCTCTTCCTCCTTGCTCATCATCCCAGCTCTAAGACAGCATGTTAAAACATTTTTCTCTGGCTTAGGTTTGTCTAAGTTCAACTGAGAATTTCTTCTCTTCCTAACTGGTCACCCCATACAGGATCTGACATTTTCCATTGCTTCAGGGACTGCATTTCAAGGCTTGCAGGAGATCAGCTCCATCAGGGGACCTTCACTAAGGAGAACACCTGCTCAACCACCTGCAGTGCAAGTGCGGTCGGAGAGGAATCCCTTTTCCTCCGCTCCATCCTCACCCCTGCTCGTCTCTGAAGACTCTCAGCAGACACTGGAGAGGAACACGGCTACATACTAGAAGAGTCTCTCCTGTCTTCTATTTCCAGAGTGGCCCTATTATGGAACTAAGCCAATGGACTTTGAAGGTTCATCTATCATTTACAACTGATCTCATTGTACTTTTTGCTTAAAAAGTATTTTAATGAATGAAAGAAGTGTAAGATGATAGTATGTATGAATACATTCCCATAGATGAAAGCTCATTCTACCCTGGGACTGTTTATCAAGCATCACAAATCTTTGCAAATTTCTAATTTTGCAAATTAGAAATTTCCCTCGTTGTCTTTAAAATATGCATTTTAGAATGACATTTCAGCTATTCACTGCTTTACAGAAGTTCCTATGATTTGTTTGGGAAAGTAGGCAGGTAGCATGTTGTTGTGAGAATAGGTGTGTAGCATGGTGTTGTGGGAACAGGCTTGTATGTAGTATGGTCCTGTGGGAGTAGGCATGTAGCAGTGGTGTCATAGGAACAGGCATGCAGCATAGTGTTGTGGGAACAGGTGTGTAGCAGTGATGTTGTGGGAATAGGCGTGTAGCATGTTGTGGGAACAGGCATGTAGCATGGTGTCATGGGAACAGGCAGGTAGCAGTGGTGTTGTGGCATGCTCATGTGCTGTGCTCCTGCAACTCTGACCAGGGGGCCTCAGGAAATCCTGAAGACTATCCATTTAGTTAACACTTTAGGGAAAAACTGATTAATATGCTGGCACTAAAAATGTTTGCCACCCAGGCTCTTTGGGGCGTTACTAATGGACTTGTGTAAACTTTTTGAATTCCAAAGTAATACAGTTCTTCTATTTTGCCTCTGATGTGTCTGAGATGGAAATGTCTGGATGGCAGCGGAAACTTAAACAGGCAAATGGGAAAATTCAGTCGTAAAGTGTTGTGGTGGGCTTTTAAAAAATACAAAACTAGACTTTTCTGTTCATCTTACATCTGCTTGGAGAGTGTGGAAGTGTGGAGTGCAATCTATGCTAGAAAGAGAAAATGAGAAAATAGCTTGTGGAAAGATTAGGGAACATTTGCTACCAATTATGGCTTTCAGTCCTGAAGCCAAGCCTTGAATTCGACTCAGCAAAGTGAAATAATGAATCTTTCACCGAGCGTGCTTTCATCTTCAGTTGAGATTTAATATAACATTTGGTATTTTGAATGTAGCTTTTGACACTCCAGGAAGGGAAAGCAGCTCCGAGTTGTTTGTTTTCCTGAGCTTCCGTCTTGTTTGGGGTGTCAGTAACACCAGAGCCTATGACAGGCAGCTGATCGCTGGGAAAGTGCAGCCAAAAGGAAGATCCCAGCCAAGCCATGAACTTTAGTTCAAATGCTCATCTCTGGCAGACAATGCCATCCCTTGTGTGGATGAAAAATAGGGACAGAGCTTTGTATGGGAATGGTAATGACAATATGCCCTAAGATTCACTTTCTTATTAATGCAGGGTTTGTGCTACCACACCATGAAAGACAACTGTGTATTTACTGAAAACAGGGTCATATTCATTGTGTGGTGTCCTGGAAAAATACAAGATCTTTCCAAAACTCAAAATCTTCTCTAAAATTTAATGCCCGTTAAAGGGTATGAGCTTAATCCTCAGATTAGAAAGCCCTGTTTAGAAATTTTTCACTGTTTATTCTAATGATCTGGGCCTTTTAGACCTCCTGAGCCCTTGACCTTAATCATCACTCCCTACCCCCTTAATGAAACTCCCATTTTCCTTGGGTTTCTTGGCTATTCTCTCAATGGAAGTTCCTTCTCTCTTGACACTGTAAATGGCACTTATAAAATGTTTGCCTTCAAGCTCTCTTCTCTTGTTTCTCAACACCATTTTTCTTATAGAGTGAATTCTCTTCCAGTTTAAATAATTACAAAGTCTCTATTCCAAACCTTGTTTTGCCTCCTGAGCTCTGCTTTCTTATTTCTCTATTTCTTTCTTTCTTTTTTGAAATGGGGTCTTGCTCTGTCACCCAGGCTGGAGTGCAATGGCACGAACTTGGCTCACTACAACCTCTGCCTCCCGGGTTCAAGGATTCTCTCGCTTGAGCCTCCTGAGTAGCTGGGACTACAAGCACGCACCACCACGCCTGGCTAATTTTTGTATTTTTAGTAGAGACAAGGTTTCACCATTTTGACCAGGCTGGTGTTGAACTCCTGACCTCAAGTGATCTGCCCGCCTTGGCCTCCCAACGTGCTGGGATTACAGGTGTGAGTCACAGCACCCGGCCTAATTTTCTTTTCTTTTCTTTCCTTTTCTTTTTCTTTTTTCTTTTCTTTCTTTCTTTTCTTTATTTATTTATTTTTTTTTTGAGACAGAGTCTCACTCTGTTGCCCACGCTGGAGTGCAATGGCATGATCTTGGCTCACTGCAACCTCCGCCTCCTGTGTTCAAGAGATTCTCCCACCTCAGCCTCCTGAGTAGCTGGGATTACAGGCACCTGCCATCATGCCCGGCTAATTTTTTGTATTTTTGTAGAGACGGGGTTTCACCATGTTGACCAGGCTGGTCTTGAACTCCTGACCTCCTTGACCGAAGTGATATACTTGGCCTCCCAAAGTGCTAGGATTACAGGCGTGAGCCACCGCACCTGGCTTCTTTTCCATTTTTATCCTACTTTCTCAACTTTTCTCCCAAGCTTTCTATTGAAATTTTCATTTCTTTTATCCTGTTTTAATTTCAAAAAGCTCTTTCTTATTCTGTGTTTTTACATACATATATCTCGTCTTGTTTCATGCAGGTAATAATATTTCTCATTTCTGAAGACACGGATGAGTAGTTTTTAAAAGTCTATTTCTGTCCAATTGCCTTTTTCAGCTCATTTCTGTTTTCTTGATAAAGGTTTTCTTCAGATGGATTTTCAACTGCCTGCTGGTGGTTGGGTGTGAAGCTGGGTCTGCACAGCTTTTCAGCTATGGGCTTTGCTGCAGGGTCACCCGACTGGGCTGTTGTTGGGTGCTTTGGGGGAAGGCTTGTTGGATACCCCTGAAAAGGATCTTTCATGAAGAGTATAAGTTTGGCTGCCAGAGTCCCAGGGCGGGCCATTGCAAGTCCATGCCAGGTCTTTGTGAAAATTAGGAAGAGGCACCTTCTCTCCAGGAGGCAGCCCTGCAGGAGCAGCATTGGTGATCAGATGGCACCTTCTGGAGAATGAGGGAAAGGGGCACATTCCTCCAAGAGGCAGCCCTGCAGGAGCAGCATTGGTGATCAGATGGCACCTTCTGGAGAATGAGGGAAAGGGGCACCTTCCTCCAGGCACAGGGCCAGAGGCCGGAGAGAGGAGCTCAATCTCAACCCCACCCAGCCCTTCAGCCAGGTGCCCTGTGCAGGACAAACCTGTTCAACTGCACATGGTGGCTTTGGGGCTGGGGGCTGAGTGAAGGAAGAGGGAGGAGTATGTAAAACATTACTTTAATCCCCCTGTTTCCAGCACAGTAACCCCAACTGAAATTGTTTAGTGCCTCTCCCATCCCAGGAACTCTCAATTTTATCTACTTTTTCAAGAGAATAAACTCTGAAAGGCAACTATTTCCCAGAAGGTGCAAGGCATCTGATGTCTAGTGACACAATTGCTTCCCAAGTCCATTTGCAGCCTCCTCTTTTTGTACCCATCTTTACTTACAGTTCCAGAAGGGCCTGGTGTCACCAGTTCCCACATCTTCAGGAGGTTCTGCATTGCAAAGTAGGTTGCTTGTCAGCTCTCCCTGCTGCTGGCTTAGAATTCAGGTTTCTTAGGCCGGGCAAGGTGGCTCACACCTGTAATCCCAGTACTTTGGGAGGCCAAGGTGGGCCTGAGAATGGCCAACAGCGAGTGGATCACTTGAGGTCAGGGGTTCAAGACCACCCTGGCCAACATGGTGAAACCCCATCTGTACTAAAAATACAAAAATTAGCCAGGCACGGTGGCGGGTGCCTGTAATCCTAGCTACTTGGGAGGCTGAGGCAGTAGAATCACATGAACCCAGGAGGTGGAGGTTGCAGTGAGCCAAGATCGTGTCACTACCCTCCAGCTTGGGCGATAGAGCAAGACGCCATCTCAAAAAAAAAAAAAAAAAAAAAAAAGACGAATAACATTGCATTGTGAGTGTGTGTTCATTTTCTTTATCCATTCATCCACTGATGAACATTTAGGTTGTTTCCATATCTTTGCAAATTTTCTATATTTTTAGAACATCCACTGTCATTTTAGTAGGATTTCTTGAGAGATCAGAGTTAAATAAGTATTTTTCAGCCAGCTTTCTTTAAACAAAAATTGGTGTTACTTTTTAAAAGGCTCATTTTAGCAGTTTTTAATAAAAGTTGTACATAAGATGACTTTATGACTTTTTTTCTCAGTAGTCTCATCCTTGTATTTGTCCTTTTCCATTTCTCCTTGGTCTTTTCATAGTCTTTGTCCAGGTTTAGTTGGTGATAACCACTTTCTAAGGTGAATATACACACGTGGACCATTGTACTGTGAGACACTGTGCTGTGAAATCACACTGAACATGTTAAATCATGCATTCAGTGCAGATGACACATTTTTCCTGCAAATCTGAATGACCTGGCCAGTTTGCCTGCTTTTGCACTGACCTTGAATGACTTGGACTTTTGACTTTGCAAACTGGAAAGAGAAGACATAATATTCCTACTAATAGGTGAAAGTGCATAGAAAGGTCTTTTATGGTTTTTTGCTAGGTGAGAAGATACAAAGGGATTGTACTTTATTTTGGCCTTAAGCAGGAACATTTCTGATTTTTTATTGGTGTATGGGATCGCTCAGCATGAAAAACGCTGGAGTCAAATGATTCTTATTTATTTATTTATTTATTTGAGACAGTCTCACTCTGTCACCCAGGCTGGAGTGCAATGGTGTGATCTCAGCTCACTACAACCTCTACCTCCCAGGTTCAAGCAATTCTTGTGCCTCAGCCTCCCAAGTAGCTGGGATTACAGATGTGAGCCACCATGCCCAGCTAATTTTTGTATTTTTAGTAGAGACAGGGTTTTGCCACGTTGGCCAGGCTGGTCTCGAACTCTTGGCCTCAAGTGATCTGCCCGCCTCAGCCTCCCACAGTGTTCGGATCACAGGTATGAGCCACCACGCCCAGCTGGAATTCTTGACTTTTATAGATGAAAGAGTGAAATCCAGAGAGGTCAACATCACACAGTAATTCAGCCCCATGTTCGGCAGAAACCTCTTCCCCTTGACATGGTCAACGTCCTCTTGCCTTCCAGAATACAGCTCAGGTGCCATCTCTTTTAGGAAGGCTTCCTTTACCACCACCAGCCTGCTCTCTTCCAGGCTGACTTGGGGTTAATTACCAGATGCTCCTCAAACAGGTTGTGCTTACCTTTATCATTGATGAGAGCTTTTTTTTTTTTTTTTTTCAGATAGTATCTCCCTCTGTCACCCAGGCTGGAGTGCAGTGGTGCTATCTTGGCTCACTGAAACCTGCGCTTCCTGGGCTGAAGCCATCCTCCCACCTCAGCTTCCCAAGTAGCTGAAAGTACAGGCATGCATCACCACAACCAGCTAATTTTTATATTTTTTGTAGAAATGGGATTTTGCCATGTTGCCCAGGTTGTTCTCAAACTCATGAGCTCAAGGGATCTACCTGCCTCGGCCTCCCAAAGTGCTGGGATTTCAAGTGTGAGCCACCATACCCAGCCCATCTTTTTTGCTAAACAATGTGGATAAAGTCTTATTCTTTGGTTCCCTTCAAATTTAACAGTCCTTCCACTAAAACATCCTTCTTTCAGACAGTTATATTACTCTATAATTGGCAAAAGTGCAGCTTTCCTCAGGTACATTCTAGTCCTAAGGATACACTATAATTACTTTGATTGATCTTGGGTAGCTTTCAGGTCTCCATAGAAATATATTTACATTTTAGTATGGGTTATTTCTGTAAGTGTCTACTTTCAACCATTCTTCATTTTCAGAGGCCTTGTCCTCAAATTCCATGAGTGGGAGCCCCTAATCATAACTGCCCATATCCTGATTATGTTCGTCATTTATCCACTTCCCAGAGCCGTTGGGAGGATCAGGTAAGAGGATGTACATGAAAACACTCTGTCAGCAGGAAGGCTGACACATTAAGGTGTCACTTTTTTCAAAACATCCTATTCTTTGTTTATAGTCCACCCTGAAAAAAAAACATTCAATGGATTAGGAAATGACCATTAATCTGGAAAAAAATTCCACAATGTAATTGATCATTAGTCAGGGGTGGTGGCATACACATTTGGTCCTAGCTACTCAGGAGGCTGAGGTGGGAGGATCGTTTGAGTCTGGGAGATTGAAGCTGCAGTGAGCCGTGACTGTGCCATTGCATTCCAGCTTGGGCAACAGAGTAAGACCCTGTCTCAAAAAAAAAAAAAAGAAAAAGAAAAAGATTTTTCATTTGGAAGTGCCAGTTTATCCCCTGCAAATATTAATAAATAAACAAATCGTCTGTGCTCAGTCTTATATAGAAATTGTATTCATTTGCAACTATAATTAACTTAAAATGGAACTGAAGTAGGCTGCAGATACCATAAAATACTATATATTAACTGTTATTTATTCCAAAAATTCTATATGATTCTCTCTCCCTGAGTCTTCTAATCTTGGATTATGGGTCTCCAATTTTTTCTCTCTTTTTTTAAAACACATTGACTAAAATTATTTTTTCTCCCTGTGTTTTGGTATCACTATTAATTGTAAATATTATCAATCTGCCAGGTGCAGTGGTTCATGCCTATAATGCTAGCACTTTGGGAGGCTGAGGTGGGAAGACTGCTTGAGCCCAGGAGTTTGAGACCAGCCTGGCCAACATGGTGAAACCCTGTCTCTACAAAAAAATACGAAAATTAGCTGGGTGTGGTAATGCGCACCTGTAGTCCCAGCTACTCAGGAGGCTGAGGCGGGAGGATCGCTTGAGCCCAGGAAGTCAAGGCTGCAGTGAGCCATGATTGTGCCACTGTACTCCAGTGGGGATGTCACAGCAAGGTCCTGTCTCAAAAAAATTAAAATAAATAAATAAATGTTATCAATCAACATTGACTAATAGTATTTAGTACTTAACATTTAAGTAGGGAAAATAAAAACATGAGCTTTCTTACACTATTATTCTTCATGCCCTTTGCCTGATTTAAGTCTAACATGCATTGATTTCAGTGAAGTCTTTATTCTTGCAAGCACCAGAGGCAGAGTAGGTCATAATTTTAGAAAATTGATGTTAATATTAAAGTGTCCACCTTCAGAATACAGAAAAGGTATAATTAGAAAATCATCGTTCATTCTTTGTAATATTCTGGAGTCAAGAAACCTCTTCTATTTTCTATCATCTATTGTCTATAGGTTTAAGTTTTTTCTGTCTTTTAATTTTAAAAGCTGCATATATCCCATTCCAGTCCAGTGGAGTAGTCAGCCCTTTCCTCCCTTCCTTTTCCTGGGCCCTGCCTTGCTGCCTCCATCCTTCCCTCCCTTCCCAGATTATGTGATATTAAAGGACAGAACTAAATTCCAGTTTGAGAAGCTGATTCTTATTGGAGACTTAACACACAGTTATTTTATTATTTGTTTTTTTTGAGATGGAGTCTCGCTCTGTCACCCAGGCTGGAGTGCAGTGGCACCATCTCAGCTCACTGCAACTTCCGCCTCCCAGGTTCAAGCGATTCTCCTGCCTCAACCTCCCTAGTAGCTGGGACTACAGGTGCGTGCCACCACGCCCGGTTAATTTTTTGTATTTTTAGTAGAGATGGGGTTTCACCGTGTTAGCTAGGATGGTGTATATCTCCTGACCTCGTGATCTGCCCGCCTCGGCCTCCCAAAGTGCTGGGATTACAGGTGTGAGCCACTGCGCCCAGCCAACACACATTTAATTTATTTTTATAGAGCCAGAAAATCAATACTGAATTAAAAAGCAGGCATTTCTCCTTCCAAGGCTCTAAGATCCAAGAGGGGTGGGTCTGTGGAGGATGTGGTCATCATTGTAATTCTCATACTTAGCAAATTCCCTGGTACAAAGTAGTTGTTCAATAAAACTTTCTTGATTTAGTTCATCTGCATAAATGGCCCACCACAATTTGGATAATGGCATTGTATTATCTGAAGACAATAAATACAACTCATTTGAAGTCCAGGTCTCTAGGTTCACATGGAGCTCAAACAGAGAAGACAGCTCCTGGTTCACATGCGTTTGGTCAGAACATTTATCTTACAGAAAAAATGTAGGAATTAAGACCCCTAGATGAAGTTGCAAGATGATTGCCATTTTATTTTCTCTTCCAGATTTTGCTGCCTGTTTTGGCATTATCTCCATAGATTCACCACGGCTTCGTCCTTCCCTGGGCCTGCCTACTCTACTCAACATTCCACCTCTTCCTATGTCACATGTAAGAGCTCAGAGTTTTATGTAATAAATGTGTGAAACAAATCCAATATTCCTGTGTCTTAAACAAAAAGGCAAAACCTTTTACTAAAGGGATAGGTACAAAGTAAAGTATTCATATGACACAGACCTTTAAACTTTCCTGGCTCAATAGCACAATCCAAATAAATCAATAGAATATTTGCCAGCAGTCCAGAGGCCCCCTCCAGCCACTGCCCTCTGTCAAAGGTCTCCTGTATGCTGACTTGCATCAGATTAGTTTTGCCTATTCTTTTAAAAAATTGTGTTACTATATATATATATAGCTTAAAAATTACCAACTTAACCATGTTATTTATTTATTTGTTTGTTTTTGTTTTTATTTTATTTTTTGAGAAAGAGTCTCACTCTGTCTCCCATGCTGGAGTGCAGTGGCATGATCTCAGCTCACTACAAGCTCAACCACCCTAGCTCAAGCTATCCTTCCGCCTCAGTCTCCCGAGTAGCTGAGACTACAGGCGCATGCCACCACGCCTGGCTAATTTTTGTATTTTTTTGTAGAGATGCGGTTTCGCCATGTTGCCGAAGCTGGTCTTGAACTGCTGGGCTCAAAAGATTCAGTAACTTCAGCCTCCCAGAGTCTTTGAACTACAGGCGTAAGCCACCGCACCTGGACTTAACCATTTTAAAGTGTGCAGTTTAGCAAAGGTAAGAACATTCACAATGTTGTCCACCAATTGCTAGAGCTTATCTTGAAAAACTCAAACTCTATATCCATCCAACTACTCATTTCACCCAACTCCCAGCCCCTGACAAACACCACTCTATTTTTGTCTATAAATCTAACTACTCTTAGGTACCATGTATAAGTGGAATCATATAGTATTTACCTCTTTGTGACTGGCTTATTACATAGTTTTGCCTATTCTTAATCTTGATTCATATACACAGAATCATATAATATGGGTTCTTCTGTGTCTTTTTCTGCTCCACATAATAGCATTAAGATTCATCCATGTTGCTGCGTGTCTCATTAATTCTATTGCACAATTAAGTATACACTACAATTTATCTTTCCATTCCCCTGTTCATGGGCATTTGGGTTGTTTTTTATTTTGGGCTATTTATGAATGAAGCTGCTGTGCATCTTCATATATTTGTTTTGTTTTTTTTTTTTTTTTTTGGTGGATATACTTACTCATTTCCTTGGGGTATCACATCTGGGAGGGGAATTTCTGGTTCATCAGGCAGACAGATGTTTATCTGTAGTAAACACTGTCAAACCGTTTTCCAGAGTGGAATGCATGAGAGTTCTAGTTGCTCTACAACCTTACCATCATTTGGTATTGTCACTTTAGTAATTTTAGTCTTTTAAAGATGTGTAAGGGTATCTTAGGGTGTTTTAATTTGTATTTTCCTTGTAAGTAATGATGATGAGCACCATTTCACATGCTGCTTGGCTTTCTGAGATCTTCTTTTGTGGATAGTATGTTTGTTTGTTTTGCCTGTTAATTGAAGGGATTGATTTTTTCTTATTGATTTGTAGGAGCTCTTTACATATCCTGAATAGAAATTGTTGTCTCCCAGTGGTCTGTGGCTTGCATTTTCATTCTCTTGGTGTTGTCTTTTGATAAAAAGATGTTATTAACGGTAAAAAAAAAAAAAAGACTAATTTACCATTTTTTCTTTTTTTAAGAGCTTTCTTGTGTCTTAAGACCTTTGCCTACCCCAAGGTCACTTTCAGAAGTTTTGTTATTTTATCTTTCAAGTTTCGATCTAAGATCCATCTCAAATTATTTTTTTGTATGGTGTCCCATAGCATTTTAACTGTCCCCTAAGAGTGATGAGCTCTCTCTCTCACCCTTGATGATCTTGGTCCTTCCATCTCTTTATCAAAATGTGGCCATTTTAAGTCAAGTGAGGCTAGTGGAGAAGCTGTGGAGATATTTTAGGGGAATGGAAGCCTTTCTTATCAAGTCACATTTCTTAAGTGTCTACTTTTGCAGCTTTGAATCTATGTCCAATTCTTTTCTAGGGTAATTCTAATTTACAAGCATGTTGCCAATGTGGAAACATTATAATTTGTTTAAAAGTTGGGCAAAAATCAGAAACTAAATGTTCCCTAGCAAAGCAAAAATTGCCCCAGACAAAGTTAAACAGGGAAGGAAGACTTTATTGAAGGCTATTGAAATAGAGGAGAGAGACCAGAGCTAAGTCTAAACTCAACTCCACTGAAGCAGGGGGCAGTAGGGTTTTTTAAGGGTTGGAGTGAGCAAGTTGAGGAGTACTGGGCCGAGTGCAGTGGCTCACACCCAGAATCCCAGAACTTTGGGAGGCTGAGGCGAGAGGATCACTTGAGTCAGGAGGTTGAGACCAGTCTGGGCAGCATGGAGAGATCCTGTCTCTACACAAAAAAATGTTTTGTTTTGTTTTTTTTTTAAATTAAAACTTTAGCCAGACATGGTGGTGCACACCTGTAGTCCCAGTTACTCAGGAGGCTGAAGTGCAAGGATCGTTTGAGCCTGGGATGTTGAGGCTGCAGTGAGCTATAATGGTGCCACTGTACTCCAGCCTGTCAACTGAGTGAGGCCTTTCTCAAAAAATATAAAGAAAAGAAAAAGAAAAGAACTGGAACATAAACTCCTCCTATCTTTTTGATACGAGGTAGCTTTTCAAGTGGGAGCACAACACTCACTGACGTTAGGCTCCCATCCTCCCACACTGAGGACATAGGGCACTATCTGCTTTGATGATTACATTTCAAAGAGGTGGCTCCTGGGTCCTTGAGAAAGACATTCCTGGGTGGTAAAGCTGGCAAGAGGAGATTATATATATATATATATATATATATATATATATATATATATACACACATACACACACACACACACACACACACACACACATATATTTACATACATCTCAAAGAGGTAGAGAAAGACCAGTGCAGCTGAGAAACAAATGCCACCCCTCAAAGGAGACGATGACACATCATGCATGGAAGAAGTAGACTACGCTCTGGCTGAGGAATGACTTCTACATGTGTTCAATGTTCTACAATTCCTCTGATAGTATATTTTCAAGGATTTTTTTCTTTATTTTTGTTAACACTTAAAAAGTCTGTATGGCGGCTGGGCATGGTGGCTCACTTCTGTAATCCCAGCACTTTGGGAGGCTGAGGCAAATGGATCACCTGAGGTCAGGAGTTTGAGACCAGCCTGGCCAACATGGTGAAACCCCATCTCTACTAAAAATACAAAATTGGCTGGCTATGGTGGTGCATGCCTGTAATCCCAGCTACTTGGGAGGCTGAGGCAGGAGAATCTCTTGAACCTGGGAGGCGGAGGTTGCAGTGAGCTGAGATTGTGCCATTGCACTCCAGCCTGGGCAACAAGAGTGAAACTCTGTCTCAAAAAAAATAAATAAAAAAAATAAAAATCGGTATGGCATGACAATACTTTAAGGGGAAGATAAGATTTCTTTCTACTTCTAAATGATACTGTGATACCTTAGGCACTAAGGCAGAGCTAGTAATGCTTTCGTAGTTTCACATTGGCTTATTTTAACAGATCAAGGCAACGTGTGTTGTAAGTATGTAAACTGATACTAACCTTGTGGTCTAAAGTATTTAGCTATCAAGCCAGATTCCCTAGTAGACCAAGTCTTATTATCAAAGTGTTCTGAGGTGTACCTTGATGTTTAGGAGAAAAGTATTTGTTAACATCTTCTAGGATCTACTTTTTGAACTTTTCATTCCCTGTAGTTGCCAATTCTGCATGTGCTAGTCCTCTAGAAATAGGTTAAACTGAAGCAACTCGATGGAAGGAACTCTCCACAGGGCTTGTTTTCCAAAGAAAAGTATTGCTTGGAGGAGCAAAATTATTAGCCTACTCTAAGCATCATAAAGTGTTCAAAAAATTGGCCGGTTGCGGTGGCTCACGCCTGTAATCCCAGCACTTTGGGAAGCCCATGCAGGTGGATCACCTGAGGTCAGGAGTTTGAGACTAGCCTGGCCAACATGGTGAAACCCTGTCTCCACTAAAAATACAAAAATTAGCCGGGCGTGATGGTGCATGCCTGTAATCCTAGCTGCCCAGGAGGCTGAAGCAGGAGAATCGCTTGAACCCGGGAGGCGGAGGTTACAGTGAGCCGAGATTGTGCCACTGCACTCCAGCCTGGGAGACAGAGCAAGACTCTGTCTCAAAAAAAAAAATAAGATAAAATAACAAAAACTCAGAGCCAGGCTTGCGGATGGAAATGTAGTGCCCGAGTCACATTCTGCTTAAAGTTGTAATGAATACAGATGAGTTAAAAGAGAGAAAAAAAAAAGAGGTAGAGAAAGAATTTAAAATGACAAGTTTTTTAAAGTAAATGCTCTGCAGGCAGGTGTTGTGGCTCTGGTCTGTAACTTCAGTTACTCAGGAAGTGGAGGTGGGAGGATCCCTTCAGCCCAGGAGTTCAAGACCAGCTTGAGCAACATAGCAAGATCTCATCTCAATTTAAAATAAAATAAAAATTTTTAAAAATGAAGTAAATGCTCTATGAAAAGGAAACCCAAGGGCCTAGAGGCAGTAGGAACTGGTTTTCAGTAGTAAAGTTGAGGGGCATGTGGAGTCCATCTTGGCTTTCCTCTGACAGCCAGTGAAGATGGAACCCGTATCCGCACACTGAAGCTGCTCCCTGGGCTTGCTGCATGCCTGCCTGCAGGTTGGTTGAGCTTTGCAGGAAAGCCGCGTTGGCAAGTGTGCCAGGACCCTGAACTGCTTTGGGGACCGACAGAATGCAAGTCTGAGGCCGTAGAGACTTAGGGAGGGGAAGTGCAGCTGCTGTTTGCTGCCAGATGCTGGGTGTGGGTTTGACACTTGCTTCCCCTTGGTGCAGAGAGACTCAGGCCCTCGTTGGTTCAGAGCTAGATGCCATTGAGCAGATACGCTTGCCTGGAGTAAGGCTGGGGGCCTTAGTGGGTGGCGTTGTGGGGGTCTGTGTGTTTCTCCCAAGTCCTACCAAAGACCTCACCTAGGATTGCCACAAGAGCCACATTCAGGGGAATCTCGGGCCCAAATGAGGCTGGGGCCTCTGTCATTTTTCCTGATTCAGCTCCATTCTGTCTCCTGCACCCACGCTCCTCAGACACTGGCACTTCTGTCCCTCCTCCGTTTGGGGCCTAGGGAAGTTTCACCTCCTGGCTAGGAGTGGTAGTACTCTGAGGGGTTTGCCAAATGGCTCATTTAGAATCTGCTTGTGTGGGGAAGGAAAGCAGCAAGTTGCAAAGGAATGAATGAGAGGGCACAAGAGAGGGGAGCTTGGCCTGTGCCACGCTGTGGGGCCAGACTCTTGGCTGGACAGGAGGGGATGAAGATAACGCACACAGCTTGGATCATGTTTCCTCCCATATGACAGTGGAACCACTTCTGGAAGTTTCACCCTTTTTACTATTTATTTTAAACCTGAATAAGTAAATAAAGCCCCTGCCCCCTACCTCAAATCAAAACCCAAAACCTTCCTTGGGGTTTCCAGGAGCAAATGAAATTAAAATGTCTCATCTGATGGTCATCAGGAAGAGTGCTGATGGGTGAGTCTTCTGGCTTCCAAAGGGTGGGGCTAGGGGGTGTGTTGGAGCTTCCTCTTTGCTGCCCTGTGGTAGCTTAAAGCCCCTTTTCCTGGACCTGGTTGTTTTGAGTCAGTTCAGTGGCTTGGCCCTGCCGCCTGGGTCCAGAATTCTTCCCCTACCCCATACTCATTTTTTAACTTATTTTTAATTTTTATTTTTTTAGAGATAGGGTCTCACTGTGTCACCCATGCTGGAGTGTAGTGGTGGAACCATAGCTCACTGTAGCCTTGAACTCCTAGGCTCAACAATCCTCCTTCCTTAGCCTCCCAAGTATCTGGGACCACAGGCATGCACCACCATGCCCAACTAATTTTTGTTGATTTTATAAAAATGTGTTTTAGAGACAGGGTCTCGCTATGTTATCCAGGCTGGTCTTCTGACCCTGAGAGATCCTCCTGCTTCAGCCTCCTGAGTAGCTAGGACTACAGGCATGCATCACTACTCCAGGCTAATTTCTCAATTTTTTTTTTTGTAGCGATGGAGTCACACTATGTTATCCAGGCTGGTCGTGAACTCCTGGGCTCAAGCCGTCCTTCTGCCTCTGCCTCCCAAAGTGTTGGGATTACACATGTGAGCCACCACACCCAGCCACTCATTTTTGACATAACAGTACAAAAGGGTTGATGAACTGTTTTGTAAAAAGAAACAACAATAACAAATGAAAACCAAAAACACCCTCTCTCACTGAGGGAGAGTTGGGTCCATTTTACCCAAGCATTAGGGGGTAAGCCCCACCAATTTGGAGCCACAGTCTTGGTGTCAGAAAGCTTAGGTTTCCATCCTTGTTTTACTCCTTTCTAGCTGTGTGAGCTTAGAGAAGTTACTGATCCTTACTGAGCTCTTCTTTTTTTTTTTTTTGAGATGGAGTCTCACTCTGTCACCCAGGCAGGAGTGCAATGGTATGGTCTCGGCTCACTGCAACCTCTGCCTCCCGGGTTCAAGTGATTCTCCCGCCTCAGCCTCCCGGGTATCTGGGACTACAGGCATGTGCCACCACACCCAGCTAATTTTTTGTATTTTTAGTAGAGACGGGGTTTCACTATGTTGGCCAGGCTAGTCTTGAACTCCTGACCTCGTGATCTGCCCGCCTCGGGCTCTCAAAGTGCTGGGATTACAGGCATAAACCACTGCGCCCGGCCTGAGCTCTTCTTTAAAATGGGAATCGTATGTAACTCTCAAAGGGGTCAAAGGAATTAAATTAGAATATACTCCTGACAGCCCTGGCAGTGCCCTGGCATTGGGTTGCCAGATGAAATTCAGGAAACCTAGTTAAGTTCAAATTTCAAATAAATATGAAGTAATTCTTTCATATGTGCAATTATTGCAAAAACTGTGTGTCCTATAGTTTTATTTGCTAAATCTGGCTACTGCACCCTGGCATATTACAGGAGTTGGTAAATGTTTCCACGTTTTGACTTCCTCATAAGCCCATCTACAAAGGGCTTCAGATGGCCAGGCATGGTGGCTCACGCCTGTAATCCCAAAACTTTGGGGGGCCGAGGTGGGCGGATCATGAGGTCAGAAGATCGAGACCATCCTGGCTAACACGGTGAAACCCCGTCTCTACTAAAAAAATACAAAAAATTAGCCAGGCGTGGTGGTGGGCGCCTGTAGTCCCAGCTACTTGGGAAGCTGAGGCAGGAGAATGGCAGGAAGCTGAGGCAGGAGAATGGCGTGAACCTGGGAGGCGGAGCTTGCAGTGAGCTGAGATTGTGCCACTGCACTCCAGCCTGAGCGACAGAGCAAAACTCTGTCTCAAAAAAAAAAAAGAAGAAAGGGCTTCAGACACTGCCTGATTTCAATGTTGCTACGTTGTGGTTTGAAGGATGGGGAGATAAGGAAGGTGAAGGTATAAAAATTGGCTAAGATCTCAACCTTATGTCCACAAGTAGAAGAGCATAAAAATAGTATAAAAATACTGAAGGCCAGTACAGTGTCCTGCGTGATCACGAATTCACCCTTTATGGTGTGTATAAATAAGTTTCAGGGTCTCCCAATAATTCACCATTATCTAGAAATTTAAAATTCTGTTTATAATGATATGGAAAAGTGCTTATGGCATCATTTTAAGCAAGAAAAGCAGGGAAAAAATGTAGCTACATTGTGATCTCTACCACATTAAACTGCATAGGAGAAAAAAAATCTGGGAGGAAATATGTGAAAATAACTGTGTCATTGGGATTTATGTTCATCCCTGCATCTTTATACCTGGCAATATTATCCAAAGTTTCTATAATGAACTTACTACTCTTAAAATTAATCTGAAAGTTCTCTCTTAAGTTATGTTTATCATTGTTTTACATGATAAATATAACTCTTAAGTTATATTTATCATTGTTTTACATTATGAATACAATTCTAAATGAATTAAACAACTTACGGGAAATATAACTTCAAACTCTTAAGAATGGACGTAATATAGAAATTCAGGGTGTAACAAAACCATATGATCTTTAAAAATACCTTTGTTATGAAATATAACACAAACAGGAAAGTGGATGAAACAAGAATGTACAGCTGAACACGTTTTCATAAAGCAGAGACCCAGGTAACCAGCAAGGTCAAGAACAAGAACACTGTCAGCCCTGCTGAAGCCCAGTGTTCTCTTGCCCAGTCACAATCCCCTCAATTTCCCTAGTCAGTTTGTTATTTACTTCCTTTTCCTTTCGTTTCAGTTTGACCACCTAAATTGTGTTCCTAAAAAACATGTTCTTGAACTTGATATAAATGGAATCATCTGGTAAGTATTCTATTGTGTCTGGCTTCTTTCACCCAACATGCTTTTAAAAAGGTTCACTCATGGCCAGGCATGGTGGCTCACGCCTGTAATCCCAGCACTTTGGGAGGCTGAGGCAGGTGGACTATGAGGTCAGGAGATTGAGACCATCCTGGCTAACATGGTGAAACCCCATCTCTACTAAAAATACAAAAAATTAGCCGGGCATGGTGGCGCATGCCTGTAATCCCAGCTACTTGGGAGGCTGAGGCAGGAAAATCGCTTGAACCCAGGAGCGGAGCTTGCAGTGAGCTGAGATCATGCCACTGCACTTCAGCCTGGGTGACAGAACGAGACTCCGTTTTTTAAAAAAAAAAAAAAAGAAAGAAAAAAAAGATTCACTTATATTGCTTACCACTTTAATTTAAACTTCTTCATTTTTGTTGCCATATTAGCATTTCAAGGTAGAACTATGCTCCTGTTTCTTGATTCATCCTACTGTTGATGTGCAATTGGGTGACTCCCAAGTTTTGGCATGGCAAACTGCTGCTGCTATCAATATCCTTGTCTGCGTCTCCTGGGCCCATGTACTCACGTGAGCTGATGTTTTAGCTTCTGTCAGCTAACCTAACTTTGTGGTAATGAGATTTATATCTATACACATCCACGACTGTAAAAGAAAAAACTGATACAGACACTGGAGTTTGGGGATCTGAAGTTGTGGATCTTGTTGTCATGAATTAGTTCCTATTAGTGACAAATTCATATTTCAGAGGACTAAAAACCCAGCAGTTTTCATACATATCAGAATAAACCTGCTGTTAGTCTAAATGCTTTAACAATTCTTTTAAATGGAAAGAAAAAGTCTGAAAAGTCTTTTTATTTTAGGCCAGATGCAGTGAATCCACCTGTAATCCCAGCACTTTGGGAGGTGGAGGCAGGTGGATCACTTGAGGTCAGGAGTTCAAGACCAACCTGACCAACATGCTGAAACCCTGTCTCTACTAAAAATACAAAAAATTAGCCGGCGTGGTGGCGGGCGCCTGTAGTGCCAGCTATTCAGCAGGCTGAGGCAGGAGACTCGCTTGAACTCAGGAGGCAGAGCTTGCAGTGAGGCGAGATGGTGCCACTGCACCCCAGCCTGGGCGACAGCGAAACTGTCTCAAAAAATAAATAAATAGTCTTTTTATTTCAAAATGATAGCATCTAAATGTGAAGGTTTCTGCTTTGTGACTAATAAAAACATTTGTCAATATTCCAAATTAGACAGTTTTGCTTTGAGTCAGAATTAGAAATTTCTTTGCACCAGAAGAGATTTTAGAGACACTATGTAGTTCAATCCCTTATTATATAAATAGTAAGAAAAAGCTCTTTAAGGTCAAATGTCTTCTCCAGGCCATACTTAGCTAGGGAGTTTAGAACCAGGACTTCTGACTTCTAACCTCGAATGTTATAAAACTTCCTAAAAATATTACATGGCACTACCTTTCAAACTATGGCATGTGTAGGAGACTAAGAATGTTATTATGCCATTGCCACTGTCACTGTATCTGATTTATTAATTAATGCACCCACCTGAGCATGAGCCTGGCTGCTTGATTTTTCTGCCATCTCAATTTTACAACAGAGATATGGGTAAGATCGCAGATATTATGAGGTGAAGAGGCAGTGGTCATATTTTGCAAAATTTTGGTACACATGGCAACAGATGGCTGTAAATTGCTAAATTCTTGAAAGTCACAGCTTGAAAGTTACCGTGACCATCTAGTGCTGACTATGGAATAGTAGTAAGGTGCTGGGGACAGGGACTTCTGTGAAGCTCTGGCTCTGATTCTCAAATGCCAGCTTGAGATCTGAAACTGACCTGGGATGGCATTTTTCTTGATCTTGGTAATAGAAGAGAAAAAAAGGACATATTAAGAAGTTTTTCATAAAGTTAACTTTGTTCAATTTGAAGGACCACTTTTTCTATGCTGAGATCTGTCCTTCCTACTTTTTGTATGTATTAAAATATCCTTTTAAAAATAGTATATATATATATATTTGACATGGAGCTTCCCTCTTTTGCCCAGGCTGGAGTGCAGTGGCGCAGTCGTGGCTTACTACAACTTCCGCCTCCTCGGTCCAAGTGATTCTCCTGTCTCAGCCTCCCAAGTAGCTGGGATTACAGGCGCCCACTACCATGCAGGCTAATTTTTGTATTTTCAGTAGAGACGGGGTTTCACCATGTTGGTCAGGCTGGTCTCGAACTCCTGATTTCAGGTGATCCACCCACCTTGGCCTCCCAAAGTGCTAGGATTTCAGGCGTGAGCCACCACGCTTGGCCAAAATAGTATTTTTTTGAGACAGAGTCTCGCTCTGTCGCCCAGGCTGGAGTGCAGTGGCGCAATCTCAGCTCACTGCAACCTCCACCTCCCAGGTTCAAGCAATTCTCCTGCCTCAGCCTACCAAGTAGCTGGGATTACTGGCACAGGCCACCATGCTTAGTTAATTTTTGTATTTTTAGTAGAGACGGGGTTTCATCATGTTGTCCAGGCTGGTCTCGAGCTCCTGGCCTCAAGCGATCCACCTGCCTTGACCTCTCAAAGTGCTGGGAGTACAGGTGTGAGCCACCATGCCTGGACTCTCCCCTCACTTTTAGTGTCCAACTCCTTCATTAAGAAGCCTTACATTTTAGCCCCCTCATCCTGCACTAGTTGAGAAGGTGATTTGCCAGCCATGCTCCCACTTCTTCATTCCCTGGCCACAGACTAAACCTTGCTGTGGGTGATGCTCACTTTCAGTTGTGTATTGGCTCTGCAGCAATGAAGGAGGAAAGACCCCATCTTTTGGGGCCCTCAAGTTTACCGGTAACAAAAGGATAAATTTTTGTTGTTTTGAGCCACCCACTTCATGGTGGTTTATTACAGCAGCCCCAGGAAACTAATAAGCTTAGGAGTCTAGACCACTAGATGTGGCAGGGAGTAGAGGGAAAAAGGGCAAGATTTCTAGGGACTGATGGAGTCTCCTAAAACCTCTCTACAATGGGGCGGAAAAAAGAAAAGAATATCCATGCTGCTTCTTCACGGTATAATTAATGAATGTAAGTATGGAGGAATCATTATCTGGAGAATACTTTTCTCTTTTTAGTCACGGAAGAATCAGAATAAATGTTTTGGGATGGCGTAGGAAAATAGATTTTTGTTAGATAGGAATCTTTTTTATCTTTTGTTTTTTTTGAGATGGAGTCTTGCTCAGTAGCCCAGGCTGGAGTGCCATGGCCCAATCTCAGCTCACTGCAACCTCTGCCTCCCAGGTTCATGCGATTCTCCCGCCTCAGCCTCCCGAGTAACTGGGATTACAGGCACGAGCCATCACGCCTGGCTAATTTTTGTATTTTTGTAGAGACAGGGTTTCGCCATGTTGGCCAGGCTGGTCTGGAACTCCTGACCTCAGGTGATCCACCCGCCTTGGCCTCCCAAAGTGCTCTTATTACAGGCATGAGCCACTGTGCCTGTCCTAGATAAGAATCTTGATGCAAACAGGTATTAGGTGCTTGTGTGAGGTTAGAATCCAAAATATGTTTCTAAAAAGCTAGGTATAAATTAATTTTTAAAATTAATATATTTTAAATGTATTCATATTATAAGAGTACTTAAAACAATTGTATGATGATTTCATTCATAAGGGAAAGAATAAATGAGACTTTGAGAAGAAATATTTATACTCTAATATGTAATTTGTATATATAGATTTTCATGTTTCCTGTTTGCCCCAAACAAAAATTATCTGTACAACGGAAGAGAATAGGTTGATTTTAATTGAAGATTTTTTATTAAATGCCAATGCCTATAAATAGGCTTCATTAGATCAGGTATTTTTGTCTATACTGTTTACTTAGGATGAATGATACCTACACTTAAACGTTCAATAAGTAGTCGGGTGCAGTGGCTTACGCCTGTAATCCCAGCACTTTGGGAGACCGAGATGGGTGGATCACCTGAGGTCAGGAGTTTGAGACCAGCCTGGCCAACATGGTGAAACCCCATCTCTACTAAAAAAAAAAATACAAAAATTAGCTGGGTGTGGTGGCAGGCGCCAGTAATCCCAGCTGCTCAGGAGGCTGAGGCAGGAGAATCACTTGAGCGCCGGAGGCGGAGCTTGCAGTGAGCGGAGATTGCGCCACTGTACTCCAGCCTGGGTGACAAGAGCGAGATTCCATCTCAAAAAAAAAAAAAGTTCAATAAGTACTTGTTGAATGAATGTCCCAGGTAATTTACATTATTAGGGTATTGGGGTGGGTTTACGCCGCCTGTATTTCTGTTCTAAAACTTAATTGTTGCCACGTATGGAACATCTGTTTACTTTGGTGAGGCAGGATGTGAGAAATAAGAACAAGACAAAGAATTATGGGATTAAAAAGGGTGCACTAAAATCTGAAAAGCTATCAAGCCGTATCTATAAAACAGATTACCTAAAATGATAGTAGCAATCCAAGCTCTTGATTGAATTCAGATTGTAAATTTTATGAGGGAGGGGTAAGACTTCAGAGAGACCATAAGGTCTCATCCTGCCAGTGAACAGGGAACATATTAATTCAGTTTGGCCACCTGGGGCCCATTTAGTGCACTAGAGCAGTAATTTGCTAAATGGGTCCCTCATAGTAAAAAAGAATGAGTAAACAGTGAACAATTTAGGCATGGTAAACCACTAGTAGCTCAAGGGATATAAAAATGTGAAACTATAATTAGATCCCTTGTTCATAATGTAGGAACTAAATGTATTACATTGTATATTGCATCTTTCTGAGTTTATTTCTGGACACAGCTGAGCCCTTAACAACTCAGACTGAAATCATCCCAGCTATCAATTTATGCCTCTATTAAAATTCCAACTGCTTATATTAGAAAATAAACCTCCAAAGATGACTTCTTTTATCTTAGTTCTAAGGATTCAAACAGAATTAACCTAGATGCAGATCATAGCAAGTCAGTTATAAATCACACAGCATAAAGTAAACTGTGGCAATAAATTGAAAATTGTGTTCTCCTTTTCTAAACTTAGATGTGAAAATATTTTAACAAGTTGGCATCAGGATTCACAACTTTTGCATCTGATGTTTCTTTTCAGGATTATCTTTTAGCATTTCAAAATGGGATTCTTTGGAAAGTGTGGTTAGTCAGAAATGTGGTATTAGAACGTACATTTGGAACACTTTAAAGGGGGGCATTCATGATGTATGTGGTTTTAGGATACTGGTGTATTCCCCACTCCACTTTCAAGTAGGAGAAGCTGCCATTTCATGGGTGTCTGGAACACATTTGTCTTTTATTGAAATCTTTTTCTTATTTGGAGAAATTGTATAGAGTGCATTGGCACAGATGGTCTGGGTGATGTTTCCCGATACTAGCAAGCTCTAAGTACAAGTTTCATTGCCCTTTATCAATTTGTTCTTTCAACTACAAGGATCCAGTTGATCTGGCGGTAAGGGATTGTTTATTCTTCAGGAGCTCTCATTTTCTTTCTGTTTCTTCTCTTACCCCAAGCTTAGTAACATCACTGGGGGCTTGGGTCAGAACAAGGGAAGGATTACACAGTGGACCCCGGCCCTTTTGCTCTCCCCTTAGCTCTGATTTACATTATTCTGCATACAATGGAATATGTCATCTTCAGATGATGGACTCTATGCATGAAATCCAGGAAAATTGTATTTTAGGTCCCCACCCCTCCAAACACTGTTTTTATGAGGTAGGAATGTATTTCCTTCTTCGTTATGCTGAGGTACTGTAACAATATTCATCCTGTTCATTTCCTGCCTCCTCCCGACACCACTTAGTATTAGGTATCCCAGTACCAAGCCCCTATCTGCCAGGAGTGTATGATGGCTCTCCAGTCCCCATTTCCCCATTATTTGGATACTAAATCCTCTGAGCAATGTCTTTATTTTTTTTTTGAGACAGAATTTCTCTCTTGTTGCTCAGGCTGGAGGAGTGCAATGGCGCAATCGCGGCTCACTGAGTCCTCCGCCTCCTGAGTGGCTGAAATTACAGGCACCCGCCACCACGCCCGGCTAATTTTTTGTATTTTCAGTGGAGGCGGGGTTTCGCCATGTTGGCCAGGCTGGTCTCCAACTCCTGGCCTGAGGTGATCCGCCCGCCTTGGCCTCCCAAAATGCTGGGATTACAGGCGTAAGCCACTGCGCCCAACCTGAGCAATGTTTTTGGTACAAATTTTTTTCCCCTTGAAAAAGGTGTTTTAGTTATAAATACCTTCAAAGAGTAAACAAAATTGCTAGAGAATAAAAAAGGCAGAGTTGCGGTGATTGTGTAATGTTAAATAATAGGAACCATGGGTGGATTCAATGCGGTATTGTAATTTCTTAGAGAAGGAGCAATGGCGATAGAATTTATGATTAGAAGAAACATTCTGGGTTAGGTGTGGTGGCTCACGCCTGTAATCCCAGCCCTTTGGGAGGCCGAGGCAGGTGGATCACTTCAGGTCAGAAGTTTGAGACCAGCCGGGGCAATATGGTGAAACCCCATCTTTACAAAAAAATTTAAAAAGTAGCTGGGCGTGGTGGTATGCGCCAGTAGTCCCAGCTACTCAGGAGGCTGAGGCAGGAGAATCGCTTGAACCCCGGAGGCAGAGGTTGCATTGAGCTGAGATGGCACCATTGCACTCCAGCCTGGGCAACAAGAGTGAAACTCCATCTCAAAAAATAAATAAATAAATAAATAAACAAACATGCCGGCCGTGGTGGCTCTCGTTTGTAATCCCAGCACTTTGGGAGGCCGAGGCATATGGATCACCTGAAGTCAGGAGTTTGAGACCAGCCTGGCCAACATGGCAAAACCCTGTCTCTACTAAAAATACAAAAATTAGCCGGACGTGGTGGTGTGTGCCTGTAATCCCAGCTACTTGGGCGGTTGAGGCAGGAGAATCGCTTGAACCTGGGAGGTGGAGGTTGCATTGAGCCGAGATGGCGCCACTGCACTCCAGCCTGGGTGACAGAGGGAAACTCCGTCTAAAAAAAAAAAGAAAAAATAAAAATAAAATAAATAAATAAATATAAAGGGGTTTGTAGGAAATCAACTAAGGAATATAAAGAGGTATACAAATTCCATGTTTTAGTACTGAAATTTAACATGTGCCTTGTTTTTTAAATTTTATTAAAGGATGCCTAAATTAAAGGACTATTCTTTCAATTTCTAGAACAAATAGTTTGTGTCGGGGCTACTGAAGGCACAACACAGATCAGTGTAGTTGAAATTTATCTCAATATAATTACCTCTTTGGTTCTTCCCTTTCTTTCAGAGACTGATCCTTCAACAAATGCACATTTTCACTGACTCCAAAAAATTTCATTCAAACTTTGGTCTGTATTGCCTGACTTCTTAGACTAGGTTAGTTCCTCTTGTTTTATGTCTATTTCTGTGGCACCTTGTATTTTCCCCTTCTGTACTTCTGCTGCATTTTTTGAATGTTATTCTTTCTAACCTGTAAACTCTATGAAGGCAGGGACAGTGTGTGATTTATTCAACTGCTATAACACGGTGACTGGTACATAATAAATGTTTGTAATTATCTGTTAAATTAATTGACTTGAAAATGTTATCACTCTTGGGAGAACTTGCAATCTCCCTAATTTTTCATATGTTGCTGTTGATTGAATTTAAATAAAATACATATTATTAATAGATTCATGAGGCTAAGGGGTGAAACTTTAAATGAAAATACAGAAAATCATCAGGAATGTAAAAAATCATTGAGAAATATTTATTTTTATCTCCACAGCTTCTTCATTCTTGTTCAATGAAACTGTGATAACCTAAGCGGTAAGTTCCAGTTGGTCTCTCTCTCCAACCCCCTTCACTCTTCATCTGCAAGTTTAGTCACTTTATTGAGGTTAAAACAGGTCATAGATAGTATGTGGTTTAAAACTGTTTAAAAGTTTCACATGTGAAAATCCGGATTTAGGGCCTGGCGCGGTGGCTCACGACTGTAATCTCGGCACTTTGGGAGGCTGAGGCGGGCAGATCGCTTGAGACCTGCCGGGGCAGCATGAAGGGACTTCCCACCCCCACTAAAACAATACAAAAAATGAGCCGGGCTTGGTGGCAAGCCCTGTAGTCCCAGCTACTCGGAGGATGAGGTGGGAAAATCACCTGGGCCCGAGAGGCGGAGGTTGCAGTGAGCCCAGATCGCGCTACCGCACTCCAGCCTGGACGACAGACCCACTCTGTGGCCAAAAAAAAAAAAAAAAAAAAGAAAAAAAGAAAAAAGAAAGAAAAAAAGAAAAGAAAAATCCCGAATTACAAAGCAATTGGGGGAATGGTAATTCAATTAAAAAGGTGTACAACATTCTTTTAAATAGTAAACTGCCCAATGATTACAACATTGATTCAACTGACGAAAAATACAACTTTTCAGACCACGACTAAACATTGTGGCAGTAGAAACTATTTTTTTTTTCCCTGAATGATGAAAGAAAAAAACCAGAGAAGACGTTAAGACAGAACACGTGGAAAAAGCCCATCTCATACTCCATTCTAATGTTTCTTCTACTTACCAGTGCTTTCTGTGTCATTAAACTACTTCAGACTTCAAGAGCAATGGGAAACAATGAAACCTCAGTCCTTTGCTATTTTCCTTTTCAGGTACAGGAGAGGGAGAGGACAGACTTAGGGTTGTGCCTTCGAACAAGCACATTCAACGACAGCCTCAGTTAGAATTCCCAGACGCTGCCTGTCTTCCTGGGTCTTGAAAAAGTGGGGAAAAAGTGAGGTTGGCCCACTCAGACTGCCAGTGATGCTGTGGTGTGACGGGTGTGTATCTCTATCTCATACAATGGGCGCAGGTGAGGACCAGGACCTGCGACCTTCGTACGTTTACAGTCCCTGAAAGCCCTCACCTTTAATTAGTAGGGAAAATAAAAGTCATCTGGCAAGCTGGAGTGCGGGTAAAATACAAGTTAATGAACATGAGCATTCGTGTTCATTAAGAACTCTGGCACAGAGTTCAACGGCAGAGGGCACAATACTCACTGGCCACGGCCAGCTGCTGGCGGCCAGGAGAAGCAGAACCAAAGGACCGCTGGGACTTGTAGTCCACCATGTTTCCCTCGGGATTGCCGATCCCCTTACGAGAACCACAACTCCCAAGGTTTACCGCGCGCGTCGGTCTTCACTGCCCTCTCCGAGGCCGGCTCAGGAACCTCCCGGGAAACTGCCCCCCACCCCGCCCTCGTACGCACGCGTCACGTTTGTTTACCCTGAAGCTCCGCCTCCGGCCATCCCCTGGCTCTCCCCACTCCTCCCTGGAATGCCGTCATGCCGGCGATGAATATTTATGAGGCACACGCGGCCCTCCCGCCCTGCCAGCCTCCCGCCTTCCCGCTCCCGGCGCATGATTAATATTCAATGAGCCCAGATCCGCGGCTGGTTCGCCGGGTTGAGGCGGGGGTAGCGGGCGGGGCCGGCGCTGGGGAGCCCGCGACCCGGGCGGGGAGGGCGTGTGTCGGGGGGGCGGTGGCGGCGAGGCGGGCGCGCGGGATGGAACACTGAGACACCGACGGAATGCTCCGAATCGCCACATAATCCCCTGGAACGGCCGCGCACAACGCCATTGGCTTCTCCCTTCTCCGCGCGCCGCCGCCGTCTCCCACCTCCGCCTCATCGCCTCCCTCTCCGCCCGCTGCCTCCGGAGCTGGGGGGGAAACGCGAAGCCCCACTGCAATGGAGCCCGCCGCCGCGGCCACGGTACAGCGACTCCCCGAGCTCGGCAGGGAGGACCGAGCTTCGGCTCCGGCGGCCGCCGCTGCGGCAGCAGCAGCAGCAGCGGCGGCCGCGGCGGCTCTGGCGGCGGCGGCCGGGGGCGGCCGGAGTCCGGAGCCCGCGCTGACCCCGGCGGCCCCGAGCGGCGGGAACGGCAGCGGCAGCGGGGCGCGGGAAGAGGCCCCAGGCGAGGCGCCGCCGGGGCCGCTGCCGGGCAGAGCGGGGGGTGCCGGGCGCAGGAGGCGGCGCGGGGCGCCCCAGCCCATTGCCGGCGGGGCTGCCCCCGTACCCGGGGCCGGCGGCGGCGCCAACTCCCTCCTGCTGAGGAGAGGGCGGCTGAAGAGGAATCTGTCCGCGGCCGCCGCGGCCGCCTCCTCGTCGTCGTCGTCCTCGGCCGCTGCTGCCTCGCACTCCCCCGGCGCTGCCGGCCTCCCCGCCTCCTGCTCGGCCTCGGCGTCGCTGTGCACCCGGAGCCTGGACAGGAAGACGCTGCTTCTGAAGCACCGGCAGACGCTGCAGCTGCAGCCGTCGGACCGGGACTGGGTGAGGCACCAGCTCCAGCGCGGCTGCGTGCACGTCTTCGACCGCCACATGGCCTCGACCTACCTGCGCCCGGTGCTCTGCACACTGGACACCACGGCCGGCGAGGTGGCCGCCCGCCTGCTGCAGCTGGGCCACAAAGGCGGCGGCGTGGTGAAGGTGCTGGGCCAGGGGCCCGGAGCCGCCGCCGCCCGGGAGCCCGCTGAACCGCCCCCCGAGGCCGGCCCCCGGCTGGCGCCCCCGGAGCCGCGGGACTCGGAGGTACCGCCCGCGAGGAGCGCGCCGGGTGCCTTCGGGGGGCCTCCGCGCGCGCCCCCCGCCGACCTACCCCTGCCCGTCGGCGGCCCGGGCGGGTGGTCGCGCCGCGCCAGCCCAGCGCCCTCGGACTCCAGCCCCGGCGAGCCGTTCGTTGGGGGCCCTGTCTCTTCGCCCCGCGCCCCACGGCCTGTGGTCTCCGACACCGAGAGCTTCAGTCTGAGTCCCAGCGCCGAGAGCGTGTCTGACCGGTTGGACCCCTACAGCAGCGGCGGCGGCTCCTCGTCGTCGTCGGAAGAGCTCGAGGCCGACGCAGCCTCGGCCCCGACGGGGGTCCCGGGCCAGCCCCGCCGTCCCGGCCACCCCGCGCAGCCCCTCCCGCTTCCCCAGACGGCTTCCTCGCCTCAGCCGCAGCAGAAAGCCCCGAGGGCCATTGACAGCCCGGGCGGGGCCGTCCGCGAGGGGTCGTGCGAGGAGAAGGCAGCGGCAGCCGTGGCCCCGGGAGGCCTCCAGTCTACCCCCGGGAGGAGCGGGGTGACCGCGGAGAAGGCGCCTCCGCCGCCCCCGCCGCCCACCCTGTACGTGCAGCTCCACGGAGAGACCACCCGGCGCTTGGAGGCGGAGGAGAAGCCATTGCAGATCCAAAATGACTACCTCTTCCAACTGGGATTTGGGGAGCTGTGGAGGGTGCAGGAGGAAGGCATGGACTCGGAGATTGGCTGCCTCATCCGCTTCTATGCAGGTAAGGAAGTCACCTGCCTTGACGGGTGGTTGCAAAAGCTGCCGAGGACCGAGGAGTGATTCAAATTGCTTGTCAGTTTGCCCAACCCAAGAGTAAGTGCGGGTCCTGATGAGTCTTTGTCTTAAACTTTACAGCTTTTTCATACAGTCTGTGTAGTACTAGATTGAGCAATCTTTAAATCTGCACGTTTTATCAATCTTGAGGGCTCAGAGGTTGGAAAGCAATGTGAAAGAGGTGGCTGAATCACCAGGAAGTACAGGAAGCAGATCCCTCTGAAAGCGGCAAGAGCACCTTTAACCATAAAGGTGCTTCCTCAGGGGCATGTTGGGTTTCAGGCAGTTTGGGATTTCAGGTAAACTGTCACGTGAGCATAAGACGGACAGAAGAAATGACAATAAAAATGCTCTATCACACTTTTGCCTGCATTTGACTGTCCAGTTGAGCGTTCTAGCTGTATGTGCCACCGGGAGCTCCTGACTTGTCAACTGGTGCCTTTGTTTATTCAGCTCTGCCACACTCATAAATTACCCACGGAGCCCTCATTAGAAATCTGACAAAAGGGTGCCTTTTTAACTGATACTTTTCCCCAGCGCTTTTTTTGCTCGATTTCTGTTTCGTCTGCAAGTTTGTCTTGCATAAAAAAAAAGATTTTGCCTGTTTCTCTCATTTTCTTCCAGCCTTTATGGTCAGAACTGACCACCGCAATACGCCTTGCAGGAAGGTTCACAAGAAGGATTTAAGTGGTTGCTATTTCTTCAGATGTGTCCTGAAATCTTCCCCCGTCTTGTTTCAGTACATTAGCAAATTCTTGACTAGGGGTGACCCATGTAATGTTTCTCTTTTGGCTGAAGATTTGGCTAGTACTAAATTCAGGAGCTATAGATGCTGGATATTGTACTTGAGTTTTCTAAGTAGTTTTACATCCCTTTCCTCCTCTGGTTTGAATAATTATGTTCTCAGTGATAAGGAATTTTATTTAAAATAAAGTTCTCATAGCAAAATTAAATCAAGAGTGTTAACTCTTCGCTAACTTTACGTTTTTAGGTTGTAGGTGATGGTGGAAAATAATCATACTTGTAACTCCATTAATTTGTAGCCATTCT
This sequence comes from Homo sapiens, assembly GCF_000001405.40. Classification (NCBI taxonomy): domain Eukaryota; kingdom Metazoa; phylum Chordata; class Mammalia; order Primates; family Hominidae; genus Homo; species Homo sapiens. Next base: position 62,718,363 of record NC_000018.10, read on the forward strand.
TTACAATTTAATGTCTTTTGGTCCAGCTTGTGTGTCCCAGTGGCAATTTAATTAGTTTGCATGAAGAAATCTTTACATCTTTACTCCCACATTGAAATATGCAAGACTGACAGGATTCCTGGTGAGAGAGATGCCCTTTAAATTTCTTGGAAGTTTTTCTGAAATTTAAGTGGATTTCTGATGAATCTTTTACTTGTAAAGAAAACCAAATCGTAATACAGTAGCATTTGCAGTATCTGAAGACAATTTGTCAACTCGATGACATGGCTTTTAAAGTTTATGGTCCAGGAAATAGATGATTTTTTATGTAAGATCAACAACTGTATTCTTTTCTCCTTTAATTCATGTAATTTGTAAAATATTGTTATTTTACAAAAGCATTAAAAATAGGTGCCCTTTAACTACATGGAAGGAACTGTATATAAAAACAAGGGATGTATTAGAGTTTGAACAAATTTTATATGGAAAGAGTTTGCTTATGATTGGATATATCCATTGTGATAAGTGTCCACGGAAAGGTTTTGGGTGTCACAGTTAACAAAGTTTGAATCTGTGTTTCCCTTTGATTCTCTTCAAGAGTGTCTAAAATATTCTAATGGGTAATAAGCACTTTCTTTTTTCTCAAAACCTCATCTCAATATTAAAAAAGTCTTTCCTGGTTAAATCTTAAAATGTTTGGCATGATCTTTTAATCTTTTTGTTTTGTTCTTTATGAAAAGCAGTAATTGTTACCTCATTCTGCACTTACTGCCTTGTTTCTATATGTACAGCATAAATGCATGTATGCCTCTGAGTATGTGCTTACATATACTCAGATGTGTGGGGGTGCCACACAAAGTATCCACCCTATTCTTGAACATGAAGCCAGTGTACAGGTGTCCTAGAAGAAAAATGCCTGATTGTTGCGAAGTTGTCTAATTGCTTATTTTGGCTTTAAAGCAAAGTTGAGCTTATTTTAAGCCTAAGTTAATATACCAGACATCTCTGCTGTTATTCATTTGCAGTAGAACAAAATTTAGTGTATGGTGAATCCACTTGAATTTTTGCAAAGAAGTTCAGTTATTGATGAACAAAAGCGTAGTCTCATTTATGGAAACGTTGTCAGGACTCCACATATAGTGAAGGTTTGCACCAGGCTGGAAGTGATTCCTAGAAATGATCTCTGTGTTCCAACAGAATATAGGACACCTCAACAGGACAGAGTTACATTTTGGTAGTAGTTTTTTTCTGTAGGAAGAGGATAATTAATGTTTGTTTTAGATGACATCTTTTACAGGGTTTTTGAAAATTCTGTACCCCATTGGTAATTTTATACATAACTTATTTTTAAATTTATTGCTGCATGTTGTTTTGTTTACGTATAGTTGGGGTTAAGGATAGCTAGGAAGTTGCTTTCAAATTCTTTTGAATATTTTTCTGCATTTAAATTGAGCTTATCTACTGTCTTGAGGGTCTGCTCTCTTGAAGATCACCTTTCTGTTCAATTTTAGTATTTATAACCTGACTAGGGTTGTTTTTTAGAGGCTTTGAAAGCCATTTGTGGTTGCTTTGAATATTTAAATATTTATCTGGGTAAAGTAAAATGAAAGTCTTTAATGAGCGAGAAGGCCCTGGATAAAGGTACTATCTAATTACAGAGTTGTTAATGAAAACTTGGTTTGAAAATTGTTATAGCATCTACCAGGCCACCATTCTCTTAGCTGACTTAAGATATGGGAAAATTTAATTAGCTTTATCTGAAGTTACTTAAGTATTTAATATCCTTTTAAAATCGGACATCTTAAATTTTGCCTGAAAGAGAGTAATTATAGGTTAAAAAATTCAAGAACTTAAGGTTGCTCGACATAAGTTATGGACTCCTAAACATGAATGAGCTTTTGTTTTAGACTCTCTGGGGAGCCTTTGTCATTGATGTAGGGCAGCATTAAACTATATCTTTTTATATTTTTTGACTCTTTTCTCCCAGCACTTAGATCTGAGTAGTCTAGCAATTTCTGTTCGAATTTTAGTAATGACAAAGGGTGTTGACAGAATAAAGTGCACATTCACTGTACCTAGTGAATCTCGGACAAGGTATTTTTGTGTGTGACTCCTTGGGATTTCGCGGGAACAATCTTTTTATCCCTGTCATATTTTATTTATTTTCTCTTCTGGGAATGATCAAACCTTAATGTGGTTTCCTACATGCAAACCAAGAGGGGAGAGGTGGTTCAGCATTAAGCTATAATATTGACAAGCAGGTTCTTATTACTATAATTACAGCAGTATTGAGTAACGCGGTTCGAACGTGTGACACCAGTGTGTGCTTGAACAGTCCCTTTAATTTTCAGTACAGAGGCTTTAAATTTTTTTTTTAGTATTTTACATTTTTATATTTATATTTTATATTTGTTTGTTTTTGTTGTAAAGTACATGCCACCCTTCACTACTATGGCGTGATAACATCTACAATACATTGGTTTTTATTATCTTCAAACATCTTGAAGGGTTTTTACATAAATTATTTCATTCGCCCTTTCAAAAACAGTGTTAAGGAGGAGTCAGTGGCAATCCTCTTTTCAGATGGAGAAACTGATGCACAGAGAGATCTGACTCGTCGTATTTCCGTCCTCGGGAGGGCGGAGAATAGAGAGCTTGGGTATTTTATTTTGCAATTCGTATCACTTTCCATGAATCGATGCTAAATTAAATTTACACTTGAATTTTTCCCTTGGTTAAAAGCATTCCAAAAATATGCTGTTTTTGTTGGTAATGAGGTGGTATTATCCTCTAGTTCAAAGTGGTATTTCTTGTGAAATGTGGATGGTTCTGTTTATCATGGTGCCTTTAAAAATGTAAAGAACCAAGACGGACAAATAAGGAGACAGTATGGAAAGAGTACTGAAGTGTTCTAAATATCCTGGTTGCAAATAGTCATGCTTGGATTTAAGTTGATATGAATTAAAGTTTACGTAATAGTTCTTTATTCTCTTATTCAAGCATACCTATTTGTTAAACTGTAAATCTTCATTGGGAAGTAGAGAATTAACACTTTGCCTGAAAAGTGGGTAACTTTTGAGGGGTGTGGGTGTGTGTGTGTGTGTGTGTGTGTGTGTATGTGTGACAGTTCAGTTGCTTTAAAACATGGCTTTTAAAGTAACTGAAAATATTTCTCATTAAATATCTTATTTGCTTAAACTTATTATTAAAAAATCGAGTTGTCTTTTAATGATGCTTTCTTGATGTTATTGTGCTCTTGTATAATTTTTATAATTCATGTTATATAGTGCTAGAGATAGTAAGTTCTTCTCCTTGAATTTCATAGTTATTCCTAAATTCGTGTGTCTTTTGTACTCATTGAAGTAATTGTAGGGGCAGGAGATGAGTGTAAATGAATTTGTGTAAAGTTTTAGGTTGAAAGTTTTATCTTTTGGTTGCTATAAGATTATCAAATCACCCACCTTAAATGATTGATATATACAAAGATAAGTTATTTTTTAAGTGTAAAATGTTTTTGTTGTTTCTCATTCTCTTCTTAGAATCCTGAAATTAGCTTTTCATTTACTGGTAACATAACATTCACTGACATTGTATGTGATCTAAGCCTAGTATAGTCCTTGGCATTTTAGTTTAACATTTGTTGAATTTAATTTGTGGAATTTTGTTAAGCAGCTGGTGGTGTGTGCCCTGATTTTTCAGCTTCCATCCTGTTTGGGTCCCCAGGGATGTGTTAAACACACATACACACAGCGGCATTTCTCCCATGGCAGGAGATTTTAGATGTGCTACATACTATTAATATCTTCTATTTCACGTGAGTGAACTCTGGATTTTGAGAGAATAGCTCTCTCTGAAAGTTTTCTTAGAGTTAACAGGTTTCTCCCAACTTTTCAAAGGCATCTCGTACTTAATTTTGCAGTGAATTTAATGAGACATCTGTCAAATGAGGCATCTTAGATTTAATGATTTTGTTATGTGCCAGGGTTTAACATAATTCAGTCTATCTGGACTGGAGAAGGGTTTGATTGTACTGTGAAAGTCCAGAGATCCTGAAGCCGCTCAATAGAAAAACGATTCCTTTAAAGACGCCTGACATTTTGAAAAAGAGAAAGAGATGTTATCAAAATGTCTAAAACAGCCTGGGAAAATGAAGTCTTTTTTTTTCTTTAAAGTTCCACCTTCTAAACCCATTCCATCCCTTTAATCACATGCATCTGGTGGAACACTGGTAATGAGGGGTTTTGAATCTGGCCTGACGTCACTGTGATTCTACGGCAAACCCTTTTTTATACTTACCTTTGGCTTTCTAAAGATAATATAATTAAACAAAATCCACCATATGAATTCATTAGATATATTAGATATTTATAACCTAAGGCTGTATGACTGACTGGATTTGTATGAAACTTCAACTCCAGAAACTTATGATAAATTGAAACTCAAGTACTTAGGAAGAATAGACTTTAATGATACTTTGATTAAAAGATGTTAGTATATTTAGGTAACTGTGAAATAGCAACTCTTTGAAGATGTGTGATATTATGCTTTTTATCAAGCATAATAACAGTTACTGGATTAATGAAGTGTTGTTATTCTTTGACTTTAGAGTTGGAATGGTTTTGTTGTGTTACCATGACTTGGCCTCATATACTTTTTGGTATGTTAGGTGAAACAAGGCATAACCATTTTGTAATGCCACATGCATACTGAAGTAATTTTTTTCCCTGTTGTATTTTTTACATTTGAGATTTTTATACATCGTAAAGTGTGTTTAACAATAAAGTGTCTTGTGGAGGTGTAAGCCTAGTGGCCTCTGAGTTTGTGACCTAGAAGTTAATAATGAAAACTCCATAAAATACTTTGTTTGGAGGTTGCACATATTGTATGATTTTGGAGATATCAATACTTTAGAAAAACACAAGCAAAAAACATCCAGAATTTTGGCATATTTTTTTCTAACTGGAGCTTGGCTAAAAGTAAATTAGCCTTGCTTCTAGTTTGTGAAAGCATTCAGTTGAAGACTGATGAAATTTGAAATATTTGGTTTTGGACCATTTCAATAATGAGTGAAATCTAATTAGAAAGTGAAGTTAGAGAGAATTTGAATTGGTTGTAATTTTTTTAAAGGGTTTTTCTCACATTCTGTTTAAGCAGGAAGAGATTTGTATTTGTTGCTCTCTATTTCTTCTGAATCAGACATCTGAGGAAGAGCAGGTGGAGAATGAATCTTTTCATATACCTGCCTCAGTTAATAATGTGTTAGAGTGTTTGGGCTTTCTTTTCAAATACCAGGCATGTTTTTAAATACAGCAAGAGCTTGGCTGGTGTGTTGGGGGTGGGGGTTGGGTCAAAGTCACTCTCCTCTTCAAAAACAGAACTTTGGGAAACAATTTTTTCCTTTTATCTCACACTGTGAGAGAAAATGTACTGCTTTTTAGAGAAAGTAGTCTGAGAGTTGGGAAACTTGGCATGACTTTGGGCATTCATTTTAACCTACCCTGGGCTTTGATTTCCTCATTTGTAAGACGATGGGGTTGGAGTAGAGCGAGTCCAAGATCTCTTCCAACTCGTAACATTCTGAGGCTTCATTAGAGAGCCTGTTTTTTTTGAAGGGCTTTGAAAGTTGTAGTTGTTTTAAGTTCTGTAAGACATGGCTATGGGCTTAAAACTGTCAAATCCCCTGCCTTTTCTTATGGACTTGGACCTAATGTACACAAGTCAGCTGGAGGTTGCCAACCAAACAAAGCAGACCTCCTCTTTGGTGTAGATTAGGACAAGAATCGATGTTTGATTACCCCGTTCCCTGTCATTCCTACTCCTGAAGTAAAATTCAGCATGCCAGAGATGAGTATAAAGTACATCCTCTTTTAAGTTAAAGTGAAATTCTTAAATTAACTTAGCAAGATGCCTTCATAGTCTAGTTCATCAAGTTTACTCTAATAACTGTATTAGAGGGATACAAATGTGTAAAATTTGCTGGCTAGTTAGCTTTATTTATGGTGAGCTGTGTGCTTGCCTACCGGTGCTTAGAGTCAGTAGGAGAAAAAACATTTTAAGAAAATGGATTTTTTGCACTGTTACTTTGGACAGGTAATAGAATTTAGGATGTTGTAGAGATAATTTAGTCCAACATCTGTATTTTTATAGATGAGAAAAGTAAACCTGTGAGGTAAAGAATCTGGTCCAGAATCATTGGTTAAGTCAGTTACAGAGTTAGGACCACCACCTAGGATTTTGATGATCTGTCCAGTGTTCTTTTTTTCCCACACTGTGAATGTGTAATACTTACTGTCTTTGGTGGTTCTTTATATTAATACTATTAAAAATGAAAGTTAAAGAAATTGTGTGCTTTACACAGTTAGTCGTTTCTCTATTCAAGGTTTTTTCCTAGTTCTTTTCATTCTAATCAGTGCTTTTGAGGGGTTGCATATCACTTTGACAGATTGTAAGAAAGGAACTTCTGATGGAACAGGTGGGTATTTTAATTGCAGAGAGAGAAATTAGATTTCATCAGTGATGTTACCTTTGTGGGATGCATGATAGAACTATTGACAGTTGGCAGAGAAGAGGTACAGTGTTAGAAAATCAATGTTCTTAGTTCATTCAGTACTTTGAAGGTGAAATTGTTAAAAGAATAAAAGTGTTAGAAAAAAATCATTGAATTAAAAAAATAATTTGGGAGAAAAATTTAAGCATGAATTTTGAAAAAAATTTCCCTTTAAATATGTGTGTGTTGGCTGTGTGCGGTGGCTCACACCTGTAATCCCAGCACTTTGGGAGGCTGAGTCGGGCAGATCACCTGAGGTCAGGAGTTCGAGACCAGCCTGGCTAACATGGTGAAACCCTGTCTCTACTAAAAATACAAAAAATTAGCTGGGCCTAGTGGCGCACGCCTGTAATTCCAGCTACTCCAGAGGCTGGGGCAGGAGAATCGCTTGAACCCGGGAGGCAGAGGTTGCAGTGAGCCAACATTGCACCACTGCATTCCCGTCTGGGTGGCAGAGCAAAACTCAGTCTCAAAAAAAAAAAAAAATAATAAATAAAAAAATAAATATGTATGTATTAAAAAGATTCAACATTATCTTCTTTGAATTATTTTTAAAAAGATGTGTCAAAATTAATTGCAACTTAGCTTATTTTTCAGGTACATGTACGCAGTTCTACCTTTCTGTGACATAATTGAAACAACTTGTTCAGTATCTTTGGGCTTTTGTTGTGTGCTGATTTGGAAGTCTTTATCAGAAATATGCCATTGCTTTGAATACTTTCTCTCTCTCTTTCTGTCTCTTAAAAAAAGAGAGAGAGAGAGAGAAAGAAATATCCTGCTCTCATTAGCAAAAAGATAGTTTGTGAACTGTGGAAACAAATATTTCCAGCTAATTTTAGGGTATGACAGATTTCCTTTTATGCTAGATTTCATTTTAATTTAATTATTTATCTTAAGCAAAAGCTTTAGCTTCCTTTCTATGAGAGTTAGCCTACTAAGTCAATTAATTCCCCAAAGATTACTGTTCAATTTTAAATGAGTAAAGGAACTTTTAAAAAAATGCGTAAGTACACAAGGGTAAAAATATATTGCATCTGTCATATTGAGTATCCCAGATGCGGAAGCAGAGGAAAAATTTCTCTTGATGGTCTCTTAGAGAGGTGGTATGGCTGGGGTGCAGCTGACATTCAGTTTTAAGTAACAAGGAACTCTCGTGTATAAACACTGCTATAGTTGGCAAACTTATTCTTCCTTATGCACACACACACTATATATATGTATGTGTATATACACACACACACACACACACGCATGTTCTCCATTGAGTGTGGAGGTAGGATATGATGAGAGGTAGTAGTTGTATTTATGGATGGGAGGGGGTGAGTAGGGTAACTGATCCTGGGGAAAAAAATCTCAATTTAAAAAAATTTGCAGTTAATTTTGTTGAACATTAATTGGTAACTCATTGTGACTTGTTCATATCCCTTGCCTGCTTTTTTTTTTTGGGGGGGTTGGATGTTTGCTTTTTTCTTACTAATTTCTTTGGGAGTTACATAGAGAAGCTAGTTTTGTTTACTAAGTCACTTATATTTTCTTTATCTGTTCACTTTTATATCAGTCTTTTCCTCTAGGTTTTCAGGGTCTGTGTCATGCTTAGGAATATCTCTTCTACTCCAGGATTTTAAAAATTTTCTAGTACTTGTAGTATTTTATCATTTTCTTTTCTTTTCTTTCCTTTTCTGTTCTGTTCTGTTCTTTTTTTTTTTTTTTTTTTTTATGGAGTCTTGCTCTGTCACCCAGGCTGGAGTGCAGTGGTGTGATCTCGGCTCACTACAACCTCTGCCTCCCGGGTTCATGCGATTCTCCTGCCTCAGCCTCCTGAGTAGCTGGGATTACAGGCGCCTGCCACCACGCTCAGCTAACTTTTGTATTTTTAGTAGAGATGGGGTTTTGCCATGTTGGCCATGCTGGTCTTGAACTCCTGAGCTCAGGTGATCCATCTGCCTTGGCCTCCCAAAGTTCTGGGATTACAGGCGTGACCCACCATGCCCGGCCAGTATTTTATAGTTTTCTATGCATAAAAATTTGATGTATCATCATTTAAGATAGGAAGGAGAGGCCGGGTGCGGTGGCTCACACCTGTAATCCCAGCACTTTGGGAGGCCGAGGTAGGTGGATCACCTGAGGCCAGGAATTCAAGACCAACCTGACCAACATGGTGAAACCCCATCTCTACTAAAAATACAAAAATTAGCTGGGCATGGTGGCAGGCACCTGTAATCCCAGCTACTCGGGAGGCTGAGTCAGAAGAATCACTTGAACCTGGGAGGTGAAGGTTGCAGTGAGCCGAGATCAAGCCATTGCACTCCAGCCTGGGTGACAGAGTGATACTCTGTCTCAAAAAAAAAAAAAAAAAGGGAAGGAGGAAAAATAACAAATTGTTCGCACATTTTAATTGAATAACTGTGTTCTTTCTTCACTGATTTAAAATGCCCCTTTTGGCAGGTATGTGGCACATGCCTGTATTTCCCACACTTTGGGAGGCCAAGGCAGGAGAATCATTTGTGCTGAGGAGTTCGAGACCAGCCTTGGCAACATAGTGAGACCCATTCTCTACAAAATAATAATAATAAAAAAAATTAGATGGGCATGGTAGCATGCTTGTAGTCCTAGCTACTTGGGAAGCTGAGGTGGGAAGATATTCTTGAGTCCAGGAGTTCGAGGCTGCTGTGAGCCATGGTCATGCCACTGCACTCCAGCTTGGGTGACAGAGCGAGACCCTGTCTCAAAAAAAAAAAAAAAAAAGCACTTTTCTCCAGAGTTTATGCCATTTTTGCTTGTCTGTTTTAACTGGCAGGCTGGGGATTAAAATCTACAATATGGAGTAATGTAAGTTTAGGGTAGGTATTAGGGTTTGTTGAGGGACAGTAGGGAGAAAGGGAAGGCTCTTTAGCCTTACCACTGCATTTCTTTTTGATGCCCCAATTTCCCACGCCATCGTCACTTTTAGGATGGCAGCTTATGTGCTTCTGGATATGGACTTATCAGGATACTCCTTTCCTGTGGATTCTGTATCATCTCTAAGTGGCTTGGATGGGAAGGGGAGGGGGGCTGGAATATAAAATATTGCTTCTATGTGTATTTTTCACCCTTTACGTATTAGAGATAATTTTTTAGGCCAGGTGCGGTGGCTCACGCGTGTAATCCTAGCACTTTGGGAGGCTGAGGCAGGCGGGCGGGCAGATCACCTGATGTCAGGAGCTTGAGACCAGCCTGGCCAACATGGTGAAACCTCGTCTCTACTAAAAATACAAAAATTAGCTGGACGTGGTGGTGCATCCCTGTAATCCCAGCTACTCGGGAGGCTGAGGCAGAAGAATCACTTGAGTCCAGGAGGCAGAAATTGTAGTGAGCCGAGATGGTGCCACTGCACTCCAGCCTGGGCAATGGAGTGAGACTGACTCAAAAAAAAAAAAAATATTTTTTTTAAAGAAGTGACATAAAGCATTGATTTCTGTTTTCTGAATTTGAGCTCTTTGACTAATTTATTTTGCATTAGGCAGCAGTCTCAGCTGTTTATACTGTTCAGATTCACTGAACTTTTTTCACCTTCTGGAGAAATTCTGGGGGCTACCCCTTAAAGGTCATTGTGAAGCACATATGGCTTATCTTTATCTTTTTTTTTTTTTTTTTGAGACAGTGTCTCACTCTGCCACCCAGGCAGGAGTGCAGTGGCGCGATCTTGGTTCACTGCAACCTCTGCCTCCCAGGTTCAAGTGATTCTCCTGTCTTGCCTCAGCCTCCCATGTAGCTGGGATTACAGGTACACACCACTACACCTGGGTACTTTTTGTATTTTCAGTAGAGACGGTGTTTCACCATGTTAGCCAGGCTGGTCTCAAACTCCTGACTTCGTGATCTGCCCGCCTCGGCCTCCCAAAGTGCTGGGATTACAGGCATGAGCCACTGCGCCTGGCCTGGTTTATCTTTTAATTTTAAAAAAGGAAGGCTAACATGCCTATTGAAATTAGTAGACTCTGCCAGTGGTGCCTTGAGTTTTTTTTTTGGCTAGCCTGAGAAGGGGGTTCCATGTGTTGTCTTGAACTGATGACAGTTCTTGATTACAGGAATAATAATTTGAAATAGCTCTAACTTGAGATAGAACTCTGTGATCCTGCGACCAGTGTTCTAATCGTACCCATGGTACGTTAGTGCTGTTGAGTCAGTTAATTCCCAGAAAAAATGAAGTGTTTTTTTTAGTGGGAATGGGGGAGGGAAAAGGAACACATTCCAAATATAGAAAAGTCAAATTAGAACATCTGCCATCTTTGGCAAACGGGCTTTCATGGTCTATTGACCAATTCTTAGTTATTATATAAATGACTGCAAGACACAAATGGTACTGCTGTTGGGTTTGGTGGCTTTATAAGATTCTGTGTGTTGGACAACTAGGTTTCTCTTCTGTAGGCTTTTAGTTGTGTTGCAGAAGTTCCAAATCACCTTTGCTGTAGTTGACTATAGGCTTTTTAATACATGAACACTTAAGGAGAAAATCTCCGGACCCATTGCTGTAAAATACTAAATGAAGCTGGGCGTGGTGGCTCATGCCTGTAATCCCAGCACTTTGGGAGGCTGAAGCGGGCAGATCACTTGAGGTCAGGAGTTCGAGACCCTGTCCCTACTAAAAATACAAAAAATTAGCCAAGCATGGTGGTGTGCGGCTGTAATCCCAGCTACTCGGGAGGCCGAGGCAGGAGAATCGCTTGAACCAGGGAGGTGGAGGTTGCCGTGAGCTGAGATCATGCCACTGCGCTCCAGCCTGGGTGACAGAGCAAGACTTCGTCTAAAAAAAAAAACCTAAATGAAATGAAACTGTGGTCACCACATTTAGGTATTTGTATGTAACAGTGCTTTCTTCCACAATGACAAACCAGATGTTATTTTTAAAAAATTTGAATAAGCAAGTGCAAAAGAATTGAACTGCTTCAGCACAATTGTATCCTGCTACCTAATGTTCAAGAAATTATATAGTATTTTGGTATTTAGTAAACATTTCTATCACCCTGTATGCTAATTACTGTTTAGTGCTTTATAAATATTAAGTGCTTTATAACTATTAATTTAATTCTCACAACAACCGTATGAGGTAGGTTATCACCCCAGTATTACAGATAGAGAAATGGAGTTACAGAGCAGTTTGGTAACTTGTCTAGATTTGGACAGTGAGCAAGAGAGAGGCAGAATTCAAGTTCAGGCATCACATGTCAGAGTTAACTTGTAAGTGTCCCCCTTGATTTGCTGAATATGGAAAACGTATCCCTAATGAGCTTCTGTGGTCAGTTTGGGCACATCAGCATTTGTGAAGCATAGACTTTAAACTAGTTACCACCTGGACTTGAGTTCTGGCTGTGCCACTGACACGGCTTTTCTGCATTCTTTCTTACCTGCTGCACGAGGTTGTTGAGAGGATCAAGTAAGATAATGAATGAAAGTGTCTATGACGACAGTACTAGTTCTTACACACCATCCCTCCACATTTTGGGATGTCTGTTGCTGCTCTTCCTTGGGGTGGAAAGAGCACTGGAGCCCTTCTCTGGTCTTTGTGCTTCTTTACATGATGTGAGACCTATAGTAAACCCCTTAACCTCCTTCAGCCTCATTTATTAGAGAGAGAGAGAAAAAAAAAGGTGATTTTAAAAAAATCTGTTTTCGGCCAGGTGCAGTGGCTCATGCCTGTAATCCCAGCACTTTGGGAGGCCGAGGCAGGTGGATCACCTGAGGTCAGGAGTTCGAGACCAGTCTGGCTAACATGGTGAAACCCTGTCACTACTAAAAATACAAAAAAATCAGCTACTCGGGAGGCTGAGGCAGGAGAATCCTATGAAAACGGGAGGCAGAGGTTGCAGTGAGCCGAGATCGTGCCATTGCACTCTAGCCTGGGCAATGAGCAAAACTTTGTCTCAAAAAAAAAAAAAAAAAACTGTTTTGAAGAACTTTGTGAGATTCAGATTTGATGATACGTGTGGAAGTGCTTTGTAAACTGTGAATGTTATACAAATGTCATGTGGTTTTATTATTTTTAGCAATGGGAAATTGCCACAGATGTTAATTAGAGTTAATTAGGGCTCATTAAGGAAGATGGGATCTACTGTTGTTGGGCACTGATGCTCAGTTACATGGAAGACTGTACAGGCATACCTTGTTTTATTGTGCTTGCTTTTGTTGTGCTTTGCAGATATTGCATTTCTTACAAATTGAAGGTTTGTGGCAACCCTGTGTTGAGTAAGTCTGTTGGCAACGTTTTTTCCAACAGCATGTGCTCACTTTGTGTCTCTGTGTCATATTTTGGTGAGTCTTGCAATATTTCAAAACTTTTCATTGTTTATAATTTTTTAAAAAAAATAGGGAACGTTTCATGAATTTGCATGTCATCCTTGCACAGGGACCATGCTAATTTTCTCTGTATCATTCCACTATTAGTATATATGCTGCCGAAGTGAGCACCCTTTTCATTGTTATATCTGTTAAGGTGATCTGTGATCGGTGATTTTTGATGTTACTATTGTAATTGTTTTGGGGCATCACAGACCACGCCCATGTAAGATGGCAAGCTTGATAAAGTTGTGTGTGTTTTGACTCCTTGACCGACTGGCTATTCCCCCATCTTTTTCCCTCTCCTGGGGCCTCCCTATTCCCTGAGACACAACAGTATTGAAATTGGGCCAGTTAGTAACCCTATAAAGGCCTAAGTGTTCAATTGAAAGGAAGAGTCACAAGTCTCTCACATTAAATCAAAAGCTGAATATGATTAAACTTTGTAAAGGAAGGCATGTTGAAATCTGACAAAGGCCAAAAGCTAGTTCTCCTGTGCCACAAACAGTTAACCAAGTTGCAAATGCAAAAGAGGTTATTGAAGGAAATTAAAAGTGCTACTCCAGTGAACACATGAATTGTAAGAAGGCAAAACAACCTTATTGCTGATATGGAGAACGTTTTAGTGGTCTACATAGAAGATCAAACCAGGTACAACATTCACTTAATCCAAACCCTAATCCAGAGCAAGGTCCTAACTCTCTTTAATTTTTTGAAGGCTGAGAAAGGTGAGGAAGTTTCAAAAGAGAAGTTTGAAGCTAGCAGAGGTTGGTTCATGAGATTGAAGGAAATAAGCTTGTGTCCATAATACAAAGGTGCAAGGTGAAGCTGCACAAGTTATGATGTGTAGAACCTGATGTAGAATCTGCAGCAAGTTATCTGGAAGATCTCGCTAAGATCATTGATGAAGGCAGCTACACCAAGTGACAGATTTTCAGTGTAGATGGATGAAGCAGCCTTCTATTGGCAGAAGAGGCCATCTAGGACTTTCATAGCTAGAGAGGAGAAGTCAGTACCTGGCTTCCTTCAAAGGATAGGCTGACTCTCTTGTTAGGAATTAATGCAGCTGGTGACTTTAAGTTGAAGCGGATGCTCATTTACCATTTTGGAAATCCTAGGGCCCCTGAGAATTCTGCTAAATCTGCTCTGTCTGTGCTCTATGAGTGGAATAACAAAGCTGGATTACAGCACACCTGTTTGTAGCATTATTTACTTAATATTTTAAGCCCATTTTTGAGACCTACTGCTCAGAAAAAGAAAAGATTCCTTTCAAAATATTACTGCCCACTGAAAATGTACCTGGTCATCCAAGAGCTCTGAGGGAGATGTACATAGAGGTTAATGTTGTTTTCATGCCTGCTAACACAACATCCATTCTGTACTCCATGGATCAAGGAGTAATTTTGAATTTCTGGTCTTATTATTTAAGAAATACATTTTGTAAGGCTATAGCTGCCATAGATAGTAATTCCCTTGATACATCTGGACAAAATAAATTGAGAACCTTTTGGCAAGGTTTCACCATTCCGGATGCCATTAAGAACATTTGTGATTCATGGGAGGAGAACCTCCATTAACATGGGTTTAGGAGAAGTTGATTTATGGATGATAATGAGGAGTTCAAGACTTCCATGGAGGAAGTAACTGCAGATGTGTTGGAAATAGCAAAAGAACTACAATTAGAAGTGGAGCCTGGAGATGAGACTGAATTGCTGCAATCTCATGATGAAACTTGAATGGATGAGGAATTTCCTCTTATGGACAAGCAAAGAAAGTGGTTTCTTGAGAAGGAATCTACTACTGGTGAAGAAGCTGTGAACATTGTTGAAATGACAACAAATAATTTAGAATATTACATAAACTTAGTTGATAAAGGAGCAGCAGGGTTTGAGAGAATTGACTCCAATTTTGAAAAAAGTTCTGTGAGTAAAGTGCTATCAAAGAGAAATCTTTTGTGAAAGGAATAGTTAGTTGAGCAGCAAACTTTATTGTCTTATTTCAAGAAATTGCCACAGCCACTCCAATCTGCAGCAGCAACCACCTGAATCAGTCAGCAGCCATCAACATTGAGGCTAGACCCTTCACCAGCAAAAAGATTATGACTTGCCAAAGGCTCAGATCATTGTTAGTACCTTTTAGTAGTATTTTTAAATTAAGGTGTGTGCATTGTGCTTTATATGTAATGCTGTTACAAACTTAATAGACTATACCGTGTAAACATAACTTTTTATATGCGCTAGGAAACCAAAAAATTCATGTGACTTTATTGTGATATTCGCCCTATAACAGTGGTCTGGAACTGAACCTGCAGTATTTCTGAGGTATGCCTATACACATTCATTCATTTAATCAGTAATTACTGTGATTATTTACTATATCGTGATCCTTTGAATTAAAGATGATTAATGTGAATTGTCTAGGATCCCTTGAATTACTTACCAATTTGAGGGCATGTTTGTGGAAACAAGCCAGCATTAACAATAAAAAGGTGAAAAGTGTTCTAATGGAGACATAGTATTCGCAGGTTACTGTAGTAGCAGGAATGGGGAGAGAGAGCCTCCAAACTCCACTGTGTTGCCCTCGAAGGACTAGGAGTAGACTGTTGCTTCAGTTCTGGGATCCTGAATTGTTTTAGGAGCAACTCTAAATTATTGGTTCCAGATACAGTCGACCGAGTTTAGGATTAATAGTTCCAGTTGAATCCTTAGCATTTACCAAATACTTCCAGGCATCTGGGCCTTTTTATCACTTGAATCGTTTTGGGCTCTATTTGTATTATAGTTTGTGAGGATCTAAATTCTGGGTTAAGCAAATATTCGTTTTGATTTTTTGAAACAAAAAAATGCAAATGTGCATGTGCTGGAGGTTGCACTAAAGCCTGACAGTAGCCTAGAGTACACTGAGGGACATTCTTGTATTTCTTTTTTTTAAGGCCTATGAGGTTTTATTTTTCTATGGATTTATGAGGTTGATGGGAAGTGCTGTTTATCTTCTGAAGGGAGGTACTTTTTTTTAGTTTGGTATCATACGTACACCACATTCATGTAAAAATTGGAAGATGATGATTTGGTCATGACCTGGGGTCATTTTTTAAAAACCTCTGTATCTCCTCTCTGGATCTTCATGGAAGAAGGAATTTTTAAAAAAACCTCTCGTCTATGCTAGGAAGAAACAAAATCTTTCAGCATTCATATAAGCATAAAACAACTTATTAGCTCTTTTATCCATGGCTGTAAAACCTGTACTACACACATGGCAAGTTGTCTTTACTAATGACCTATTATAAATTATTTTTATCTTGAGTAGATGGCAGTGGCTCTGTGAAATATTGTCTTGTAGTAATGTGGATGACAACACTGGAAAATGAGCTGCTTTTTGCTTTTTGTGTTTTATAATTATGAGAAACACCATGGTAACAAAAAAAATTATTTCAGCCTGTCTGACTAAAATAAGTCATGCTTCTAATCCAAATAAAATACTTCTAATTCAAACCAATCAACATTCAGGTTAATTACCTGCCAGTGGGTATTTTCCACCATCTATTATTAAATAACACCTATTTGCCCTCTGTGAAAATTTTTACAGAGACTTCAGTTAACTCATTAGAGCAATATCAACACTTGACAGGCTGATTTTTATGGGGGATGTTAACAGAAATGTTAGCACCAATGTAATCAGGAGGAGAATAGTTATTGGCCCTTGTGATTATGAAGCAGAAGCTCAATGATCCCTTGCTTTGTAACCAAGTCATGTGAGGGACTTGGTGTTTAATTCACAAAATGAATATGTGATGAGAAAAGTTCTACAAACATCTTGGAACTGCTTAAGAGGATGTCATTCTTTTTTTTTTTTTCTTTTTTTTGAGGCAGGATCTGGTACTGTTGCTTAGACGGGAGTGTAGTGGTGCGATTTCCACTCACTGCAGCCTCTGCCTCCTATGCTCAAGGCATCCTTCCACCTCAGCCTCCCTAGTGGCTGGGACTACAGGTGCATGCCACCTGTAATTTGGCATTTTAAATTTTTGTATTTTTGTAATCTGGCTAATTTTAATTTTTGTATTGTTTGTAGAGACGAGGTTTTGCCATGTTGCCCAGGCTGATCTCAAACTCCTTAGTTCAAGTAATCCGCCTGTCTTGGCCTCCCAAAGTGCTGGGATTATAGACATAAGCTACCCTGCCTGGCCGAGGATGTCATTCTTAAGATACCACACAGAAGTTCATTTCTGAGAGTAGGGATTGTCTTGTTTGTATAGTTGGAATGCTTATTTTATATCCTGAATTGGCTTGTAGCCATTAGAATTGGAAGGTGTCATTGCTTCCTACTTTTATAGATATGCATACTTCCCCTTCCCAGCCCCCCATCAAAACAACAACAACAACAACAACAACAACAACAACAACAACAAAACCAGTTGACCACCCTCTTGGTTTTAAGAAACTGACAGATTACCCCAGGTAGCATCAACCTCCAGATAATCCTGATGATGGGTAAAAGAAAGTAGTACAGTTCATTTATCTTTAGGGTACTATCACAGGCACAATTATACTTACCCCATGCACAGTATCTTCTTTATCTTTTAGAAACGTATGTAATATTGGAATAGACTAAACCAGGGTTGTCTGTAGACAGTTACTAAATCAGAACCTGACAAATGCCATAAGTGAAGTAATGTCTGTTAAATGGCACATGTATACATATGTAACTAACCTGCACATTGTGCACATGTACCCTAAAACTTAAAGTATAATAATAATAATACATAAAAAATTAAAAAAAAAAAGAGTATAGCTTTGCCAGGCTTCACTTGTATAAAATGGGTGAGAACCTCATGGATAGCCCAGAGATGGCCTGGAATCTTTGCACCGAAAGGGGGCAGAGAGCATCTAATAGTTTCTTACCTAGCATAGAAACCTCTGCTTGTCCATTCCTGATTGATGGTTAGCTGGCCTCTGCTTGTTGACTGCATTGTGTTGAGCCTTGGCCCCTTGAAATGTGGTCTGTGGACCAGCACCATCAGCCTCTCCTGGGAGCTTGTTAGAAATGCAGAATCTCAGGCCCCACCTCAGACTTACTGCATAATCGGCATTTTAACAAGATCCCCAGGAGTTTCATCTGCATGGTGGGAGTGGGAGAGAGTAGAAGTTGAAGGAGGTAAACCACTGTGTGGTTCAGGCGAGACACTGAGGGCCTGAGCTAGGGCAGTGGGAGGGAGTAAAGGAGATTGATGTGGATATTATCCTGGGACTCAGTAGCTAACTGGCTCTTTTGGCAACAGAAGCTCCAAGATGACAAGTTTACAGTTGGGTGATGGAAGAATTGTGGATCAGTTCATAAAAGTAGGAAGCAACAGATTGTGTAGCGGATATCACTGATTAATTCAGTGATCCTTGAGGACCAGGCACTACTTAGGAGTTGGCGACATAATGAATGAAAGTGTGTCCTCTGTTCTTGGTATTTACAATTTAACATTGAAGGACTGGTTTTGCTGAGGCATGAGTTTGAAATGGTAATACATGTTAAGCTGACTGCAGCCATCTGTTTAGTTGGTAAATGGGCCTGGCTCACCACCCAGCTTCCAAATTTCAGTGGAGGTTTGTCACTTTCTACTGGTTACCATATGTGTGGTAACTCTCAGGAAGTGATATAGACATTATTTATTTACTTGGTTTTCTTCTAGGAGCCATTTATTTTTTTCCGTATACAAAATAAATGCTAGCACTAGCTATGGCTATCAGACAGAAGTGAGGAGGTATAAAAAGAATATGTATTACATTTATGAAGCTCTTAGGATGTATGTCTTTTGAATGTTGAGTTTTTCCTATCTAATGGGAGGTGACGTTTACATAAATAATAATAATAAAACTTGAAATGCCTTATTGGAGGCATTTACACAGTGCCAGGGGAATCCAGAAAGGCTGACATACCAGCTCCCTGGAAGTAGAATCCTCTGGAAAGGATTCCTGGGAAAGATTCTCTGAGAAAATGAGAGACTAGCATTGCATGAAAAGGGCATGCCAGGTACTGCAGCATGAATGACAGGGCTCGATGTGGGTGGGGAATGGTGAGTAGTTTGGAGTGGTGAAATTTTAGGTGATGAGATGAAAAGTGGTAGGAGATGAGACTAAAAGAGAGGTTGAGGCCATGTGGTGAAAGGCCTCACATGCTAAGGACTTGACTCGATAAGCAAGTCAAGTGGAGAATGACATGATTAGATTTGTAGTCTTTGGCATTAACTGGGCAGCCAGCTGGAGGATAGATTGGCGAGGGACTAACTAGAAACTTGAAGACTGCCTTAGTAGGGCCTTTGATAAACATGTTTTGACTTTGTGTGTTAAAACAGCCTGTTAGGAGCTGACGAAGGAATGATATGCTGCCCTTGGCTCAGGGAGTTCAGCCTAGTGGCAGGGAAGGAAAGCATGCAGTGCTGCTTGGAATGTGCTGCTTGTGAGGTTTGTACAAGGTATTTGTCATTCCAAAAAGGGAGGTAATCACCTCTGCTGCAGTTGTGATAGGGTCGGTGGGAGATGCTTTTGAGGATTAGGAAGAGTAGACCAGGAGCTGGAGTGGATGGGATAGGACATTTTTGGCAGGGGACCTAGAAGTTAGATGAAGGTCTACACGAGGTCAGTGCAGATGAAGAACCATGAACATAGGATAATTGTTTACAATGTAGAATTGTTGGGTTTTAATGAATGATTATATGTGGAGGGGGGAAGGGCAGTTCAGGATTTTTTATTCACTCCTGAACTAATTTGAGTACAGCAGTTCCCACTTAATTTGAGAAGGGTATGTTCCAAGACCTCTAGTGGATGCCTGAAGCTGGGGGTAGTACCTATACCTATAGGTAGAACATTAGATATACAGTAGGCCATCTGTATCCATGGGTTCTGCATTAATGGATTCAACCAACCACAGACCGAAAATATTCAGGAAAAAAAAAACAGTAAAAAATAATAGCCTAGGTAACATAGTGAGACCCTTTCTCTACCATTTTTTTTTTCTTAAATTAGCCAGATGTGGTGGCACATGCCTGTAGTCCCAGCTGCCCAGGAGGCTGAAGTGGGAGGATGGCTTGAGCCTGGGAGGCCGAGCCTGCAGTGAGTTGTGATGGTGCCACTGCACTGCAGCCTGGGCGACAAAGTGAGACCTGTCTCAAAAACAACAAAACCCCAAAACAAAGCAACAATGCAACAATAAAAAATAATAAAAAAATGCAGTATAACAACTATTGGATATTTACATAGCGTTTACATTGTGTTAAGTATTATAAGTAATCTAGAGATAATTTAAAGTATGTGGGAGGATATGCATAAGTTATATACAAATATTTATATAAGGGACTTGAGTGTCCATTGATTTTGGTATCTTTTGGGGTGGGTGGTGGTCCTGGAACCAGTACCACTTGGATAGCAAGGGATGACTCTACTATGTTTTTTCCTATACATATATTCCTATGATAAAGTTTAATTTCTAAATTAGGTACAGTAAGAGATTAACAACAATAAATACTAATACAATGGAACAGTTAATAACAATACTGTAATAAAAGTTATGTGAATATGGTCTGTCAATCTTACTGTATTGTACTCATCTATTTTTGGACTGTGGTTGGCTGTGGGTAACTGAAACTGTGGAAAGTAAAATTGCAGATAAGTGCAGACTACTGTATGTCCTGCATGTTGGTAACTAGGGATATGGTGTGAACTAGACCAACAACATTTTATATGTCTGGATGACTTGGAGGTTTCTAGTTTAGGGGTGACCATAATCCCATTAACCAACAGGCAGAATATGCGAGCAGGAATTGGTTTTAGGGTAAGGGGAGAGATGATGAGTTAGAATTTGGATGTGTTAAGTTTGAGGTTCCTGAAGAATACTCAAGTATGTCTGAAGAGCTCCAGGATCATCTCTATTTAGGTAGTACTTTTGAAGCCTTTGGATTGAATGAAAATGCTAGACAGATAGTAGTTTTGAAGCCTTTGGATTGAATGAAATTGTTAGAGTGAGGAAAGGCCTTAGGAAGCAACTCCGAAGAATGCCTATATTTAAAAAGTAGTAGCGAGTTATATTGAGTGAAATAATTCAGACATGAAGGAGATACAACTCTATGATTATGTTTATATGAAGGTCAGTTAGCTGGCAAAGCTAATTTTTGGTGACGTATTGTAGTGGTTACCTTTCAGCGGGATATGGATGGGAAGGGACATGAGGAGCCGTCTGGTCTTGATATTGCTCTTTGTATTGATTTGGGTTTTAGTTTTCTGGGTGGGTACATATACAACAGTTCATTGATTGGTACCCTTATGGTTTGTGTGCTTTATTAGATGTAAGTTATATCTCAGTGGAAGAAGAGAAGAGGCCCTGAAGGCAGAAATTTGAACAGTATTTCTATCCTGAAGGGAGAGAGGGAGAAAGAGGCTAAGGATGATGGATGAACAGAGGGGAAAAATTTAAACAAAGGAAAGAAAGAAATAAGCAGGCATGGAGCATCCATGAAGGAGTTAACCCTAGGTGGGAAGAGGGTCGTCTGTTTCCATAAGGCTTTTAGGAAGGATGGATAAAGAGATTCTTGTAAGAGCTCTGGAAGTCTTTGGGTCTCAATTGGCCTCAGTTTTCTTAGTGAATTAGAAGGTAAAGAAGAGTCACATCTCAATATTTATTGTAATATGCTTTTTCTCGAGCTCATCAACCAAGTAATCATAGTGTATACCATCTGTTGTGAATTCATGAGTGATTTCAACTACTGCTGAATTTTTGGAGGATTGATCCTTCCTTGGGCCATCCTAAAGCACCTTACTGCACTGGAAGGGAAACGGGGACAAAGGAGAGGTGGAGGAGCTGATTGCCAAACTTGGTTTTACAGGTTCGGCAATGCTTGCATTGGGTAGGTTTGTTTTGATAGCAAGCACAGCTTGTAGTTCCCTGCTCCTAATCTGTAGGGGTGTGTATGTGTTTGGGCGGGAGGGAGGGTGGGTAGGTCGGGAGGCAGAAAGGCAGGATGTTCAGAAGCCTTCATGAAAGCTGCGGGTAGTAAATAACCAAGCTGGGATTGTGCTTTCTATTATATTCTGTTTCCTTTCTGTTTATAAACTCATTTATGGATATTTCTGAGATAGATTTGATTTTTTTCTTATGACTTCTTTTTTCTTATGACTTACAGGTAAGAGCTGATTCTGAAGAATGTATTTTCCATTCTTAGATTATCATAATAACTCATGGATTAAATCTGTTTATAAAGTGAACATAAAGACATGGTAAATTTTAAGTTCAGGTAGATATGTAGATATAAACCAGATGGTATAGAGGACAATTAATAAATAATAAACACTGTTAAGAAACCATGCTAAACCTATCATGGAAATCTTGTTAATTGTAGTAAGCATTGTATTTTCATTTTGTGCTTAGGACTGGGCTAGATGCCAAGATTTTAAATTATGGTTATTGAAACAAAAACGAGCATTATTTTAGTTTTTCTTAAGAACATAATTATGGCTGGGCATGGTGGCTCATGCCTGTAATCCCAGCACTTTGGGAGACTGAGGCAGGGGATCACCTGAGGTCAGGAGTTCAAGACCAGCCTGGCCAACATGGTGAGACCCCATACGTACTAAAAATACAAAAACTAGCCAGGCGTGGTGGTGCACACCTTTGTAATCCCAGCTACTGTGGAAGCTGAGGCAGGAGAATTGCTTGAACCTGGGAGGCGGAGGTTGCAGTGAGCCGAGATCATGCCACTGCACTCCAGCCTGGGCAACAGAGTCAGACTCTGTCTCAAAAAGAAGAAAAAAAAAAGAATATAATTGCTCAAATATTTACTGATGTCTTCAGATCATCTAGCTATTTTATATTCCCGTAGCAAAGTTGTGTTTTGTAGATTTTTAATAAAGGTAGTTTGAGAACTAGGATAGAAACTCTTGAGAAAGAACCATAATTGCTCACTCTTCATATGATGAATTGCTAAACAGCAGTAAGAGTGGAAAAAAATAATAGACCGTTCTTGATTTTATAGGCCCTGGTGGAATGGCTGTAGAGTTCGGTTGTTTTTTACTTGCTCAGGAACTTTGTATTTATTGGGCTAGCAGTTGTTGGCACAAAGGTTTGTTTGTGTTCAAAAGTCACTGATTAGTGGTAACAGAAACTTTTTTTCATATGGGACACTGTCTTTTTTTCCCTGAGTCTACTTAGTCAATTCAGATGTGGAGTGCTTGCTTCCCAAGGTATAAGGTGCTTTGAAGGCTGGGGGAAAAGATGAGTCACCAGATCCTCTGCCTTTTCAGAAGCTTAAGCCAATTGCACAAGGACGCAGATTATCATAAAACGTAAGACAGTACTATAGGGTTCTTCCTCTCAATTTCTTGCAAATACTTCTTGAACTTTGTGCCTCTTGTGTGCCACTCTTTAACAAGAAGGTCCTTGCCCTTGTGACTTCAAAGTAGGGAGTAAACTTACCAAATACTTTTATAAATAATTGTTTAATTGTAATTGTTATGTGTGCCACGAGGAAGAAATCTAGTATGCAGTGAATTCTTGTTTAAGCTGAGACCTGAGGACTGAATAGTAGCTTGGGTTACAGGGTACGTGAAAGAGCATTGCAAATAGGGAAACAGTGTGTTTGAAAGCCCTGAGGTAGGAAGCCCGGCAAGTTTAAGGACTTAGAGGGAGGACCAGTGTGAATATAGTGTACTGATTGAGAATATCAGGAAATTGTAAGGGGCCATATAATGGGTGTGTGGTCTGGGGCTAACTTCTGCCTGACCGAATGCTTTGGTCATTATAGTTTTTCTCCTCTTAAATTCAATGCAAAATAGGTAGATATATGAATTCTCTGTTAAGTCTAGCTACAAAGGCCTTTGAGGCCAGTGTTTTGGAATTGATTTTAAGATAATGGGAAACCATTCCATTGAGTTATCAAATGTTCTTTAGATTTGTCTTTTTCAAGGACAGGTGCCATGACTATCATTTCCTAACTTTTTATCTTATCAGTAGGAGGGAGAAAAGAGAAAAGGAAGATAAAAGTAACGCGGTCTTTTCTATAATCTGAACACACAAGAACAACCACTTTTTCTGTTCTTCCTATGTACATGACTTTCTTCATCTTTTAGCCACCTACACAGCTGTGTAGTTCCTTATACAGCTATATTGATTGACTCTATGTTATCTGAGGCCCCAAGATGCTCCCAGAATGCAAAGGGGTGTGGTCTGAGAATAAAGGCATAGTCTTTTTACTGGCTTCATGTAATTTTTTTTTTTTGAGATGGAGTCTTGCTCTGTCGCCCAGGCTGGGCGCCTGAGTGGCGCTATCTTGGCTCACTGCAACTTCCGCCTCCCGGGTTCAAGCGATTCTCCTGCCTCAGCCTCCTGAGTAGCTGGGACTGCAGGTGCCCACCGCCATGCCTGGCTAATTTTTGTATTTTCAGTAGAGACGGGGTTTCACCGTGTTGGTCAGGCTGGTCTTGAATTCCTGACCTTGTGATCCACCTGGCTCGGCCTCCCAAAGTGTTGGGATTACAGGTGTGAACCACTGCAGCTGGCCTTTTAAAATTTTTATCGGAAGCTCTATTTTACTCTGTTTCTGCCCCATCCCAGCACACTCATTTTCCTTTTCTTAGAAAAGAAAAATTAGTACCTCTTATTGAATGAGTATATAAAATTCCCTGCTGTATATTCCAGCTTCCCGTAACTCACCCCCAATGATAATAAACTGTGCTGAACATCAAGGATGTTTGATTGAGGACATTAAAAATCACCAATTCAGTGTGTTCTCTTAATACTTTAAAAACCAATTTCCATTTTAATGGAGTTGGAATACAGCATTCTAATTTGTATGTCCTGTTAGGGAGACATTAAATGAAATTATACTTGCTTAGGATTTTTTTTTTACACTTTTTATCCATAAACAAGAGAGGTCCCAGGGTTACTTACAAAGTCAATTATTTTTAAATTAAGGGGCAGGTTAATTAGTTTCTTTATAGTTATTATTGAAGTATTATTTTCTGTTCTTTTTCCCTCTCTTGGTTGTCTTAATCCTGTGCATCATTTCCCTATTTTTGAGTAGATTAAGTGATAGTGAATAGGAAAAACTTAAAAACAGCTTTTTTTTTTTTAGAATTTTTTTTTATTACGGAAAATTTAAACACAATTACAAAAGTAGGCAAAATAATGTAATGAACTCTCACGTAATCATTACCCAGCATCAGCAGTTGCCAACTCATGGCCAGTCTTACTTTATCTCGAATCACCTTCCTCTGCTTAGGTTATTTTGAAACTAATCCTAGATCTCATATCATTTCATCCATAAATACCTCTAAACTTAAGTATCGCCATACAGAAATACTCCTTTGGAAGTACTTCAGTCAAAACGATGACACTGTTATTTTCTTAAAAATTAACACTAATTCCTATTTTTCAGCAATTACCTAGTCAGTGATCAAATTTCCATTAATCTTACATTTTTGGTTTGAATTATGATCCAAATGTGGTCCAAACCTAGTAATTGCATTTTTTATGTCTTTTAAATTTCTTTTAATTTTAGGTTTCCCGCCTCTCCAGCTCTTCTTCCCTCTCCTCTTCCACCCTCCCCCTCTCCCTCTCTTTCCTTGCAATTTACTTGTTGAAAAAACCAGGTTATTTGTCCTGTAGAGTTTCTCACAGGGTGAGTTTTTGTGACTGCATCTCTGTGGTGGTTACATTGAAATTTTGGACATATATGTTGATAGGCTTTTTAATTTTTTTGAGTTTTGCTTAATGTTTACTACTTTGATGTGGAGAGGTAAGTTGGATCTTCTTTTGCTGGATTTAGAGCAGAGGTCCAAAACTGGTGCCGTGGGACACATGTGGCTCACAGGTGTGTTTTGTTTGGTAGGCACAATTGGAAATACTTTAAAGTTAATTGCCATGAGTTAGACATTGTAAAGTTCCCTTAAGAATCAAGATTTCTTCTTTTTTTAAATTCTGTTTTAAAAAATCAGAGTATCTGGGCACCCCAGCTTCTGTGGCAATGCCTCTGGTGAGTGGTGGGGCTCCTTCAGAGGGCGCATGCCCGCACCTGGTGCGAGCACACTCCTCATACAGGCTTCCTGCCTGGTCCCAGAGGCCTGCTGGGTTTGTGAACCCTGACTTAGAGGAACAGAGATTACCTTTATTTGTGTGGTGTCTCTGAAATTCAATGCATTTTTTGCCTCATGTTTTCTCCAAGCTGGTATTTGAGCTGTTTCACTGTCTAAGAATTGATGTTTATTCAGAGAGTGGTCAGAGTGCCAGCTGAAGTTCCTGCTGTGCTTCATACCTCTGTCTTAAGCCTGACTCCATGCATTGCATGAATTTGTTCTCATGTGCCTCTCCCTTGGACTGTGGATATTGGTTTTTTAGTGCCTAACAGAAGGCTTGGTGTATAGTAGGTGCTCAATTCTTATTGAATGAGTAAGGGAGAAAAGGAACCAGTAAATCAACCTGATAATGAAGGCATAGGAAGATAAACAGATCATGTAATGCACATCCATGTTTGAAACTTCAGTGATGTTAGCACCTCTACTTCCTCCACTGGCATGTGTTACTGGAAGTGATTGTAATCATGGTATGTTACTATTATAACACTGTACAATATTATAAATAATTTGTGTAGATATGCACATGTTTAGCTTAGACATTAGTCACATGTAAATCAGGGATAGGCTTCTTAATAATAGATTTTTAAACATTAGCTAGGCTTTCCTTTCTTGGCCTAAGAATTTGGAGTTTGAATTCCTCCATTTGGTTTATGTCCAAAGGAAGGAAGTACAGCATGGATAGAGCCCACAAACTTGAAGATAGTTTAGGAGGTATAGCTGGTGTAATTTTGTAATGTTTTAAAACCTGGCATTTGGATATCATTTAAAAACAATAATAATTTTAATACCATTGCATTTTAGGGTTTAGTAATCTTATTTGTTATACTAATGCATACTTTGAAATTAGAGTTGAGGTTTTAATTTTTTTGGTAGATGTTAAGCCTGCCTGAACCTTTACTTGCTGCTGACAACCTTTGATAAAAAGTGTGGGTGGGGTCAGGTTCTGTACCCTTTGACTCCAGGAGAATATTTAGTTTATCATGATTAAGAGAACAGGAAAAGTAAACACGTTACCAGTTGCATGTTCTAGTATAGGCTAAATTCTTATTCCCTAGTGGTTATTACATGAAAATGTAGTTTGAATGACTCCAAACAATCAATAAACTAACATTGCATTAAGAAATCTAGCTCATTTTATACTGTTAAAAATTGTCAACAAGTGGTACTATTAAAAGTGAGGTGTTTCAATTTTAAGCAGTCCTTCAGTGGCATTTGTGGGTGGTGAGAACTCTCATTGAGAGCATGTGGGTGCCTTCACATAGTGCAGTGGTGAGTGACGGGGATGTGCTATAGTGTTGCAAGAAATTAGAGGTTTTTTGGAGTAATTTTAATAGTACCACCGTTCTGTATTTACCAAATACTTTACATTTTTTAAACCATTTCAGTATTGAAATTATAATCACTAAACCAAATCTTTGAAAAATTCATGATTAAAATTAAAATTCTTAATGTTACTCTTGCCTCTTTTAGTGACTGAATTGAAAAAAGTTACTGGTAGTAAATGTTGGCCAGTGTTCTACATATGAATCTATGATAAGAATTTTTACAATCTGGAGGAAAACTATAAAGATTTGAAATCCAAATACTGTACTAGTATATAGTGAACTGTGTCAGAGACTGGGTCAGAGGTGTTAGATCTGAATTGCTGACCACTGGATTTCTTTCTGGGCTCCCAAGGGGAATACTCAAATGCATGCCTAATATATGTTATATAAGTGGAGGAAGATGGAAGAAAAACTAATTTTTTTTTTTTTGAGACGGAGTTTCACTCTTGTTGCCCAGGCTGGAGTGCAATGGCGTGATCTTGGCTCACCGCAACCTCCCCCTCCCGGGTTCAAGCGATTCTCCTGCCTCTCAGCCTCCTGAGTAGCTGAGACTATAGGCATGAGCCACCATACCCGGCTAATTTTGTATTTTTAGTAGAGACAGGGTTTCTCCATGTTGGTCAGGCTGGTCTCGAACTCTTGACCTCAGGTGATCCACCCTCCTTGGCCTCCCAAAGTGCTGGGATTACAGGCATGAGCCACCACGCCCGGCCAAAACTAATTTTTTATAGTGAATTTTCCTCAAATGTTAGCACTTTCTTGTGTTCCTGCTGCTGTTAGTCAGGACTTACTTCGGCAATTTGCTTTTCTTCTTCCTTTTCTGCGTGTTGCCTTTGAAAATTGTAAGATGAACACTATTTGAATGATGTTCTTAAATAGCAATTAATTTAGTTTGTTTTGCCCAAATGATTTTAGCTTTGCAGTATTTTTTCTTTTAAAAAATGTATTATAGGCCATTTCAAGCCTGAAGACAAGAGTAATATAAAGAACACCTGTGTAACTATCCACCAGCTTTGTTGAATCTAACATTTTGCTGTGCTTCAGATGTGATTTTTTTTTTTTTAAGTTGTAAACCTGTGTACAACTTTTGATCCACAACCTGGCGCGTGTGTTGTGAGATTTATTCCTATATATTGTATGTGGGTTTTTTTTTTCTATTATAAATGGTGTATTAAAACTAAAAAAAAGTTTGCTGGTGCATAGCAATGTGATTTATTTTTCGCTTGGTAGAACTTGCTTAAGCTTTCTGGACCTGGTAGCCTTTAAACTACAAATTCAAATGTATCTAATGGTTGTAGCTATATTCAGGTTTTCTAATTGTTCTAGACTCAGTTTTGGGAAGAGATACTTTTCTAGAAAATATTCCATGTCTGTTTTTCAGCATTATTTAAGTCTACTACATTTCAGATGTCTCCTTTTTAGTTCCTTCTCTTTACTGTTGGTCTAACCATGGCTTTGTAACTTTTATTCGTGTTTTGAAAGAATCAGCATTAGGTTTTCTTGAAATTTCTATCATTCCCCTCTCCCATACTTAATTTATGCTCTTATTTTTAATTCCATCAATTAGTTTTGTTAGGAGTTCTCTTTCATTTTATTCCTAAGGTCAGGTGCTTAGCTTACTAATTTTTAGGCTTTCTTCATTTCCTTTTTTTTTTTTTTTTTTTTTCTGTGGAAACAGAGTCTCGCTCTTTTGCCCAGGTTGGATTGCAGTGGAATGATCTTGGCTCACTGCAACCTCCACCTCCTGAGTTCAGGCGATTCTCAGCCTCCCAAAATGCTGGAATTACAGGTGTGAGCCACAGCGCCCAGCCGATTTTTGTCTTTCTTTCCCTTTCCTCCTCTTACCTTTCCTACCTTCCCTCCTCTCCCACCTTCCCTCCTCTCCCCTCCCCTTCCTTCGCTTCCTTCTTCAACAGGGTCTCCATGTGTCATTCAGGCTGGTGTGCACAGTCATGGGTCACTGCAGCCTTGAACTCCTGGGCTCAAGCGATTCTCCCACCTCAGCCTCCTGAGTAGGTGGACTGACAGGTGTTTGCCACTACACCTGGCTAATTTTTAAAAAATGTTTTGTAGAGACGGGGTCTCACTCTGTTGCCTAAGCTGGTTTTGAACTCCTGGGCTCAAGTGATCCTCTCGCCTTGGCCTTCCAGAGTGCTGGGATTACAGGTGTGAGCTACTGTACCTGGCTGATTTTTTTTCTTTTATTTCATGAATTGTTTTAAAGGTCATTTTGATGTTTTCAAATACATCAGAATTTGTAAATTCAGATTTTACTATTTCAGATTTTATCGTATAATTGTCAAAGTGCCTGGATGATATTGATTCTTTGGTATTGGTTGAGATTAACTTTGTGATCTGGTATAATTGTTCCATGTCTGCTTGAAAAGAAGGTACATTCTAATTGTTGGGTGTTGGTTAGGTCTAATGTGTTCCTTAGATCGTGATTGTTAAGTATTTCATTCATCTTCTATAGTTTTACTACTCAACTATTCACAGTACTATATACATGAAGTCCTTCTTCCATAATTGTGAATTCATGAAATTCCCCCTTTAATTCAATGTATTTTGAGGCTATGTTGATAAATAGCAGGCAAATTCAGGATAGGGTTTTTTTTGTTTTTTTTTTTTTTGAGATGAGGGTATCGCTCTGTCATCCAGGCTGGAGTGCAGTGGCACAATCACTGCTCACTGCAGCCTCAGCCTCCTGGGCTCAAGTGATCCTCCCACCTCAGCCTCCTGAGTAGCTGGGACTACAGGCATATGCCACCACACTCGGCTAATTTTTTTAGTTTTTCCGTAGAGATGGGTTTTTGCCCTGTTGCCCAGGCTGGTCTGGAACTCCTGGGCTCAAGCAGTCTGCCGGCCTTGGCCACCAAAGTGCTGGGATTACAGGGGTGAGCCACCACGCCCCGCCCAAATTCGGAATAGTTATATTCTTCTTGTTGGTGGAATCTTTTTCTCATTATATAGTGACATTTTATTTCTAATAGTGACTTCTGCTTTAGTGGCTATTTTGCTTGATATTAATATGATGATAGCTTTTTTGGGTTACTGTTTACTTGGTATATATTTTTTCCTTTATGGTCTTACTATATTGCCATAGTTGCCCTTCTTCTAAACAACATATAGCAGGTTTAAAATTTAATCTGAGAATCTATGGATTCAATCTATTTATATTTGGATTTGTTTACTTTTGACTTTGTGGCTCCCCCCAACACACACACCTTTTAAGGTTTTAATTTTCTCTTTTCTTGGTAGTGTGTTCTTTAGTTCTCATTTTACTGTCCATTCTTCTGGAAGTTTTATAATACATTATTTTAGTGGTTACCTTTAAATATTTAACTTCAAAATGTCACATAAAAAGCGTATAATCACCATTTCTTCAACATCCTTTCTTTAAAACAAAACCCCAAAAACAAAGACCTTAGAATACTTCAACTCTGATAACTCGTCTTCATTTGTAGGTGTTACACTTTTCTCTAGTGTTTTTGCTTTCTTACTTTTTTACTCCTGAAATTTTACATAATTATTATTATTTGGTCGGCACATGTTCAGATTTACCCAAAGGCTTGCTGGTATTCTAAATAAATGTATATATAAGGTTTTTTTTTTTTTTAAATTTAAGTTTTGCAGCCTCATATGACCAAACTCCAAACCTCCTGGGAGTGGGGGAAAAAAGACTCTTAAAAAAGATACCTACTTGCAAAAAGAATTTACTACAATATGGAAAAGTATGTGGGAGAAAGTATGTATTTCTAGAGACTTTGAGATAACATTTAACATTCTGGCTATTTAACTTCTTCCTTTTCTTCCTTTCAGTTTCTCTCTTTCCAGTTTCTGCCTTTCCCGTTGTATTATTCTGCTCAGGTTGTGATAGCAAAATACCACAAACTGGGTGGCTTAAACAACAGAAATTCGTTTTCTCCACAGTCTGGAGGCTAGAAGGCCAAGATGAAGGTGTTGGCAGGGTTGGTTTCTCCTGAGGCCTATTGGCATGCAGATGGCCACCTTCTCCCTTTGTCCTCACTTGGTGTTTCCAGCTGTGCCTGCACATCTCTGGTGTCTCTTGTGTGTCCAGATTTCTTCTTATAAGAATACCAGTCAGGGTTGGGCGCGGTGGCTCATGCCTGTAATCCCTCTTTGGGAAGCCGAAGCGGGTGGGTCACTTGAGGTCAGGAGTTCGAGACTAGCCTGGCCAACATGGTGAAACCTCGTCTTTACTAAAAATATAAAAATTAGCTGGGTATGGTGGCACATGCCTGTAGTTCTAGCTACTCAGGAGGCTGAGACGGGAGAATCTCTTAAACCCCGGAGGCGGAGATTGCAGTGAGCCAAGATGGCGCCACTGCACTCCAGCCTGGGCGACAGAGCGAGACTCCACCTCAAAACAAAAGCAAAAACAAAAAACAAAACAAAACAAAAAAAGAATACCAGTCAGATTGGGTTAAGGCCCACCCTAACAGCCTCATTTTAACCTTATCACCCCTCTAAAGACCCTGTCTCCAAATATAGTTACATTTTGAGGTACTGAGAGTTAGGGCTTCAGCATATAAATTATGAGGGAGGGGGACACAAATCAGCTTGAAACACCCATTTTTCATCTTTCTTTTGGCAAAGGGTGTTGTTATTACGTGCAGTTATGTGTTCACTGGAGATACATACAGAAGTAGTTCATGTCCTCATGAGGCTTTCACCTAGACAAGTCTAGTAATAATCTCTCTCTCTCTCTGTCTCTCCCTGCTCTCCCTCTCTCTCCATCCCTCTATACAGACACAATAGGGCACCTGCGGACTCCTATCAGACTTGTTGCTCTGTGATTACTAATATAGCCACTCTCTTTTACGTAGGAGAAAAAGAAAAAGCCTTTACAGTCTTCAAAACCCCGCACTTATATTTTTATAGTTTTTTTCAAAAGCTGTGCTCAGATTCAGCTTGTCTCAGATTGGACTGTTGACTTTTTGTCTTTTGCATTTATTGCCCTTCTTTTCTTTTTCCTGATTTCCAGCTACTTGTGAGACTTGTTGCTGTTGTGGAAGGAAACACTGTATTCTATAGTTTAACATAGGGAGGGTGAATTTCCTAGTTGTTTTTTTTTTTTTACAAGCTACTGGGTTCTCCACTTTCTTCTGTGATTCATTAATGTATTTTTTCTTGCTGCATTTCAAAAAACTCCCTGCTTTATTAAGGTTTAGGTGACAGGTCACCCCATTTTGGGTGAAACGCCTGGATGGAACAATTAAAGAGAAAATGAAAGGATTCAAGTACAATAGAGAGTGGGAAAAGAGAGAGAAATTTGTGGAGTTCATTTGTCTACATGTCTGTTCACGTTAAATACTGTTTCTCAGGTGTCCCTGATTCCTCAGGTGCCCAAAGTCCCAAAGTGAGAGATGCATTTTAAAAAACCAACACCAACAAAAAAGCAGTGTTAGCCACGTTTGATTTTTTCGGTACTGCAGCTGAGATGTCCGTGATCCATAGTGAATCTTGAATTGATTCTTAGAACTGCACATCTGAGATGTGTAAGAGGTTTTCCCCACTACTTATTCATAAGCCTAGTTGGCAGAATTGATCTGGAAACATTTCCTAGTATAATTATTATTTTCAAAAATAAATGTGAAGCATATAGAATGTTTGTGGGAGGAAGGGGGTAGTCTTTCCCTGTCCGAACTGTCTCTAAAACAAGTGATGTATATGGAAGTGTCCAAAGGAGTAAAACTTGAAGGTGGCTCGGAATTTGACCTCTAGGTAGGAGAGAATTTGTACTTCAACTTCCTCCTGCAATGTTTTTCTAAGAGTAAGAACAACATCATCTCAAGGGGGAAAATGGCAAGCATGCAGAGGAGAGTCATTTGGCCTTGTTAGTCCAGTCCAGCTCCTTGGAAAAGGCTTTCATTTGTATGCTGCCTAATTATACTGTAAAAGAAAAGACTGAATCCATTAACTAGCCAGGCCCTTTGTGTCGCTCCTGAATCCCTTTAATTTCGTGGCTGCATAGAAGCTTTATTCAGGGCATTCCTAGTCCTGCACTATCTTTCCTGTCTGGATGCCAGGCCCTATTCATGGTGTTCTCACTGCAGGAAGTTCTCACAGTCATTTGGGGTGGATGGAGGGGGAGGGGAAAGATGAGGGAAGGCAAAGGACTATGTGGGTCTTTCCCCTCCTCCATTTCCTGCTCTGCCCCTTAAAAACAAAACACCAAACAAAAAGCACACTCAGGAACATAGCTATAAAGGAGGGTCTTAAGTGACTCAGTGGATTGATAACTCCTGTTAACAGAAAATATGTCTTCTTCTGACATCTATTTACAAGTAGTACTAAAATACTCAGAAAAAGCTTTTCAGGTCATATGAGGGTAGGGGGCATTGGAATGGTAATGTGCTCCAAAGGAATTTATTCCTTACAGTGAATGTATTTTAAAGGATTTAAAAAGATTTTTATTTTTAAATTTTGTGTTTTCTTTTTTAGAGACAAGGTCTTGCTCTGTTGCCCAGGCTGGAGTGCAGTGGCATGAACATGCCTCCCTGCAGCCTTAAACACTTGGGCTCAGGCAGTCTTCTCGCTTTAGCCTCCTGAGTAGCTGGGACCACAGGCATGAGCACTGTGCCTGTCCAGGCCCCCCGCGCCCCCACCCAGTAAAGAATAGCTCTTAAGGTTGTGTTAGTAGTAAGTTGGGAGTTGACACAGAGAAGCAGGGTGTTCAAGCAAACATCTAAACATTTTAAAATCTAAACAGGAAGATAAAGAGGCTAAGGAATGCTTTTCTCTTCTGCATGGTCTTTAAAAGTAAGTATTATTTAGGTTTGGTTTAGAGTATGCGACCTTTTACAACAGACGCTGAATTGTTGTTATATCTCCAGTCTTTTCAAATAGATATGCAGATAAAGAGGGGAACTAGAATGATTTTGTTTTGTTTCGAGAGGCCAGTGTGGTAGAAAATAGATAAAGATGAGTGTAGATGGATTCTTGAGAATAGCATGGCACCAATTTTGAATTGCCAGGATGTTCTCTTGGTTAATAGTAGTTCTGTAACCCAAGGGAAGCTTGATCTTGTTGCGTTTTGTTTGCTTTGAATGAATACATTATCAGGGGATGGTCAAGGTTAGATTCCACTCTTGTTACATGTTCAATATCTTTTTCAAAACTTTTGGGATCATTTCAAGTGTCTGCTCTCTTACTGTCTCAGTAGATCCTTATTGAAGCTGACCATGCAGTTAAAAACAACAACAAAAAATCAAACAGCTTGTCAAATCCCTGAAAAATCTTCAGTAGACAATAAGTGTGAATAACTGGATGAAAACTAAATAAAAGTGGAGAGTGTAGTTGTGTGTTGTGCCATATTACTACTGTGACATACATTTAAAAATTATAAACAAAGAAAAATAGCTGTTTAAGGGTTATGACAAGAAGAATTCTGACATGTGGAACCCTTGACTAGATGCATAGGAAACCAGGTAATAGAATAAGGATGAAGAACTGAATATCAGTAGTTTGCATTGAGAGAAATAGTGCAGAGCTTTTTCTGTTTTGTTTTTTAGTGAGGTGGGCATGAGGATATGCTGCACATTTTATTATGGTTAAGGATGTTTTCTTAGGTAAAGTTCTCTTTTTTAATATGGGAAGCTGATGACAAAAAATGTTTTTAGTTCACAGTATTCTATATGATTTATCATTTTAATGTGCTCTTTTCTGATTTAATCAACTGAGTTTATATAAGTCACTTAAGAAGACTTTTACAATATGGTTTATATATAGAGTTTGATTAGAGGAAAATAACTGAAGGCTTGTTTTTATAATAGTAATATAATAACTATCATTTGTTGCACCCAGCAATGTCCCATAAGTTGCACAGGCACTTTGCATGCATTGCTGGCATCTGGTCCTGTTCCCTAGCAGATGTTTCTGTTCACTGCCTTCCTAAAAATTTAATCAGGTCACTGTAGATGTGTGTAGCTGCATTCAGGTGCTCTACTAAATAGTGGGACTTTAGAAATTCATTAGTTACTAAACATTGAGACAGGAGCATGCCCTGTCCATGCTGCCCACTCTAGGATGGGCTTCACCCTTCCTTTTCAGGATATAACATGTTACTATTGTTGATGTACCTTCCAACAAATTAGGCTAATAAAAGTATAATTTCCCTAAGATTATGACTTTTTAAAGTTTGCAGTTTATTTCTCTGCAAGTTCAATTAATGAAATTGACTGTTTTGTAAGATTTCTTACTATGGGCCAAAGAAAGAGAAACCATAGTAATTTTTGATCCTGTGAGATTGAGGCTATTGCTTTTCCTTGAAGTCAGCCCTTTTGGAGTTGGGTTGGTTATTTTCTTGAGCTGTCACCTATTCCTGATTGTCAATAAAGGCTGTGTGGTGAAAGCATTTTGTTACACCCATGTAACTAGCCCTTCAGCTTGTAGTTCCCACCCTGCTTGTCTTAAACACTTCAGCTGTTCTTCTGAACTGCTTTACCATCTTACCTTCTCCAAGGAAGTTGCCATTGTACTTTGTCTTAGATTCTGGCCTCTCAGTTGTGCCTGAATTACTTGCTCAGCTGTTCTGTTCTGCTGTGGAATTCTTTTCATCTTTGTGCAACAGGCATTCCCCATCACCTGTCTTGTCAGTCTGGCACACTGTGCTTGGAGACAAGACTAGGCAGTTGTTGGGTATGAATGTTGGGGTAGCAGTAGGGCATGTCTGTGTGTGCACAGGAATCTGTGCAGGGCACCTGTCTGCAAGTTGGCCACTCTTCTAGAGGTGTAGAGGCTGCAGTCTTCATACTTTTTTTCCCCTCCCAAACTGTTTCTCTGCCAGTTTCAGTGTAATAAAATGTGTTTGGCTTTCAGAGGCTTTCCGTTAAGAGGAACAAGAAGATTGCATTTTGCAGTTAACGCTGAGAGAGCAAGGTGTTTTTGCTTTGGGGAGCATCATGGAAAGGACTAGAAGGTGTTTGAGAAAGCTTCGTGTACTTTGGATCCACAGTATCAAAAGTAGGCCTCTCCAGACCCCTGAGGGAAATATCAGAAGGGAGGGCTGCTTAGCTATTGTATCAAAACGTAATGGAAGTCATTCCCCCTGTAATTTGCTATAAGGGTAACAATGATATATACAACATACCAGATTCCACATATAAATTAAGAGAGAAGAAATAGGATTGAGGATGTAATGTTCACGGCGTTACATTTCTGTAATGTTTAATAGAAAGTAGGAATTGCCATAGTCAGCTACACCTGGTGGTACATACCTGTAGTCCCAGCTACTTGGAAGGGTGAGGTGGGAGGATTGCTTGAGCCCAGGAGATCAAGGCCTGGGCAGCATAGCAATACCCTGTCTCTGAAAAAAAAGTGACTGTAGTCTTTCTAGGATTTCTAATATGTGTCTCCAGGACCACAGTAGGCTTCTTGACATTGACAGATTTTTGTCTTTGAGTTAGCCAGCTAGACAACAGCATTTTGAAGTAACTGACATAGTGAAATTAGCTGATGTTTTTTGTAGGAAGTAGAGGTTTAGACATTTTATGTTTCTTTCTTTGTTGTCCCCTGGATAGATAGATGATCATTATAATCCTTTCATTCTGTGCAGATACGTGAAAGTTGAAAAGCACTTCTGTAACTAGCCCGGACGTCCAAAACCTGATCCTGTCATGCTCTGTCAACCCATTGGCTCATTCTTTTCCTTTCTTTAGGTTCTTACCAATACCAGTTTTCTCAATAAGTAACTCCTTCCCCTCTAATGATTCCTATGGAGAAAGAGGGCAAAGTTTAGATAGTGCCGTGGTGTGAGTGTATGTGTGTCCCTGTGCAATTCATATGTTGAAATCCTAAACTCCAAGGTGATAGTTTTAGGAGGTGGGGACCTTTTTGGGGGTGATTAGGTCATGAGAGCAAAGCCTTCATGAATAGGATTAGTGCCCTTATAAAAGACGCCTGAGAGAGACTATTCTTCTTCCACCCTGTGAGGATGCAGTGAGAAGGTGCCAGCTATGAGCTAGGAATCTGACCCTCACCAGACATCAAATCTACTGGTGCCTTGATCTTGGACTTCCCAGCCTCCAGAACTGTGAGAAATACATTTCTGTTGTTTATAAACTGCTCAGTTTATGGTACTTTGTTATAGCAGCCCAAACAGACTAAGACAGATAGAAAATTGCTTTATTTTGTGCTGGTAAGATAGTTTGTATCTATTTTTTGTTTGCTTGAACTGGGCAGTTTCTATTGGGGGTTTCTTAGAAGGTATTATTCATTCTTCTGGGGGCAGTTCTCTTTTCTTACTTTCCCTTAGCAAATTATTCTTTTTGCCATTTCTTTATGTCTTGTTAAGGCAAAAAGAAACATGATTTGTGAGAATATTTTTGTTCCCCCCCCCCTTCAATTTGTGCCAAGTGAGAACACAGATTAATGATTTTTTTCTTTCTTTGACTCATTCATTTTTTTTTTTAATAAAATGTGTTAGAACATGCTACACTAGCTCATGATTCCCAAGTAACTTTAGTGGCTTGAAATAATAAAGGTTTATTTTCTGCTCATGTTGTGTTAATCATCATGGAGGGAGAGGGAAGCTTCGTGTATACATCATTATCCACTCAGGGAGCCAGGCTGATGGAGTAAACACTATCCGGAATGCTGCTGGCTACCAAAGGGAAAAGAAAGTTCTAGAGGGCTTCAGCTCACTTGGCAGAAGTGGCATGGCCTACCCAGCCACCAGGGAGCTAGGAAGGATAGTCCTGCCATGTGCCCAGAAGGAGAGGAGGCCCACACATTTAGCATGCCATCGTCTGCAAGTAATGGACAGCCTGAATCAAAGAAGCTTAAATAATCAGGGGATTATTATTTCACAACATTGAGAATCCAGAAGTGGTTGGGATCTAGACAATATGTGGTATGATGAGGAACTCATTGATGTCCTTAAGGACTTTAGTTTTTTCTCTCTGAGCTCTGCTATCCTTGACTTGGCGGTTTGCTCTCAGGCAGGCTTCGCTCTTGGCCATATGCTGCTGCGGCGGTTCTACATAACACTTTTGGAAACGACAGTCTAGAGAAGAGGGGGATAGGAAGAAACGGATACTTTTTCTTAAGAAAAATTCCCCAAAGCCCCCAGTTAGGTTTCCCACGTATCAGTGGGAGGAATTGTAATATACCCATTCTGAACCAGTTACCATGATTGGTTTAGAAATGAGAATCTCTTTGTTGGAGTTAGGGGCAGGGTTGACTTTCTCCTGAAGCACATGGCTATTTGCAGGACAGGTAGATACTTCAACAAAAGTGGGGTTTGATCAAGAAGAGAAGTGTAGAATGAGCCTCCAGCAATGTCTGCCATACTCACTGCGGTGCATGTACATACGATTGAGACTTTTGTCTCTAGAGGTGATGGGAGATGCTAATTTTTGATGAGTGTAATATGATACATAAAAGAGAGACTTGAGTGGACAAGGGGTATCCTTAACGTTAAAACTTGGTTTTCAAGCAAAATGTCATTATTTGTACAGACGTCAACATTGTATGCAAAATACTGCAGTAGGTAGGTGCCAGTTTATACTTTACAGGAAGACAAGGCCTCAATACATAATCTCTTATTAGTTTATAGAACGACTACTGAAACAAACAGAAACCTACATGAAGCAAACCAGTAATGGGCCGATGTATTTAGTGCCTCTGAAACAGTTCTTGTTTGAGTGAGATAAAACTCAAGTGTGAATTTAATTAGTTTTTATTTCATTTCTTGCTGACTGTTAGAGATTTGTTAGTAATGTTGTACTGATGTCCTTCTGTGTTTCAAATAAGGCTTGGAGTTTTCTTTGAGGTTTTGAAAAAGGTGTGTTTTAATTTTTCTCTTTGTAGTGCAGGCCATACTGGGATACTTCTACCCATTTGTATGGGGTGTCCCCATTTTAACTTCTGAAAAGTTTGCTGCTTTTCTGTTCTTTCAGGGCTAACCTTCACTCCTTTTCTGACGTCGCTGACTTCTGAAACTGGCAGTGTGCTGGTAGAGGTAGACTCTGTCTATTATAGCTTAAATATAAAGCTATAAACACATGTAGTTTTTCTTCTCTAAATTCTTTAGCAAGACACCTGTGGTCCTCAGCTGGCACAGAATACCTGGTTGCCTTGGTGCTTGCTTACCTTGGGCCACCCTTGTGCTGTTTTCCAGTTTTGCAGCTCTTTTTGCGGCTTGCTCTTTCACCTGCTTGCAGACCTGTGTGAACAACTCAACCTGTGAATATTTCCTGCAAAAACGTTTTCATCTTGCCCATTTGGCTCTGGGCCCTTAAGGTGTTTGTTTTCGTGAGCAAGGCCTTTTTCACTGGTGTGTTCGGATTTGAAAGAAATATGTTCAATTAGTTTTCAGCTGTGGAAAGTTCTAGTTTAGGGACACTTTTAAATAAAAGCTCGTCGGTTATAGTGTGGTAGAGGCAGCATGCATTTCGACCCCATGAGCGGAGCTTCTGCAAATGTAAAATGCCTTTTTCTCCAAGTGCTCTAAAAAATATACATTTAAAGTTTATTATTAGCAGAGAGTAGAAATCTTTTTCCCTATTCTAAGAAAAGTTGTTGCACTTTGGATGGTAAAATTGTAATTGTAACTTTTTTTTCTTACCCCTATAGGGTACCTTTACCAAAGTAAATCATTTTGGCTTCCAGTGATTAATAACATAGCTTTTAAAAAGACAAAATGAAACACCTAATTCAGGCCAGTAAACTGACATTTCCAAGATAAGGGAAAAGCACTAAGTAACTTGGAAGCTAAGTAACTTGGTGAAGATTTTTGTCATCTAGTAAATGGGTATCCTTTCGTGCTCAACCCATGCTGTTATGATAGTATTCTCTCCTTACTCCGTTTCTTTAGATAAAAGCAAAACCTTTATTTCTTTGTGCATCTTTGGGTAGTCACAGAAACCCCTAATTAGCAAGCAAATAAAAAAAATTTAGCTTCTTTTTGCTAAAGTAAAGAGCCTCTGACACCTTAACTAGGTACTGTTGAGTGGATTGGTCTGAGGCAGAGATGTGACATCTTGTTAAGTTTGTAACTTTCCCTAGTAAATCCATTTCAGAAAAAATTTCAGTTTATGACTGCACTTGCATTTTGCATGTGGAAAACCCGTGCCACCAGAGTGAAGGATTTCCTTAGGAGTTGAAACAAAACAAAACAAAACAAAACAAAAAAACGATCTTTCCACCTCTTTGAAAATTGCTTCCTTTTAAGGATAATGAACCAAATGCAAATTACCTTCTTTTCACATGGTGATTGCAATAAGGGGAGAATGGAGGCTCTTGTTGAATCCAAGTCTTTCTAAACTAAGGAAAAAGGAAAATTTTGTGTTTAATTCCTGTGTAATGTTTACAGAGCCGACTGTGATGTTCTGGAGTCAAAAACAAGATTTATATGGAAATGTTGATTTGTTGAATTTGTGAGTCTGCTTTGTGGGAAGTACATAGGATAGAGAGAACAGTCCTTAAGACAACTTGTAGCTACTTTAAAAAATTACATAAATATGACAGAGGGTGATTTAGTACTATGTGGTGGGATCCGTATCAAGGGTTTGCATGCCTATAATGGTATGGAGTGTATCAGATGGCCCTGTCATTCAGTGAGAAGACTGCTGCAGAAAAAACACAGGTAAAAATAATTGTCTTGCAACCTCAAAAAGTTTGGGAAAATGTTTAAAAAATGTAATCATTTCCATAGCTTAAAAAAATCTCCACTCACCTGTTAAATGAAAACTCTTTTCAGCCTTAGGTCAGTGTGTACTTTTGGAGATTCTGTTGTGTTTGCAGCTAAAATGTTTCTGAATTTATTCACAAAGATATTTCTTTGGAAATGCAACAGACAGAGGATGCATAGAGAGATGGGAAGAGTTAGCTATATTGAGTATGTTCTCATTTGTGTCTTTGGCTTAAGTAATATTTGTCAAAATCTCTTGAACATACTAAATATTTGTCTTAATTTCAAGATCTTGCTTGAAATGTAACCACACTGATATGCTTACTTTCCCTTGGCTATGCTTTGATGGCTAAAATTAAGGACTAATAACGAAATGACTAATTCTACCCACCCAAATTAATCTTGTTCAGAATTAGTGATATCTTCAAGTTTCTGTAACTGGTGGTTGACTGACTCAGTTAAGAGCGGGTTTTGCCTGAGCATTAAAATCATCTTACCATTTATGTATCATTTCATCATTAGCTATATTGTTCCTCCCCTCCCCCAACCCAATCTTCTCTTTTGCAGCCTTGCTCTTTCTTTGGGAAATAGAAAACTAAAACCCTGGGAATGAAATATATAGTTAGTGACTAATTTCATCTTGGCTTAAATGGATATGATTCATCTAGTTTTTATAATCTTCCGGCTGTTCTCAGACCTGTGTCTCTTTGCCCCTTGGGTTCCATACTTGTCTTTGTATTTCTGTTTCTATTAGAAATGATAGTAGTGCCCCCAGAATACTGGAGGTTGAAAACTGGCAGTTCTAAGGGATGGATACTAGTGGTCTACAGATTTATATTGTTTGATCAGTGGTGTGTTTAATTTTTAAAAATTAATTGTCAGTATGAAATAATAAGATTATTTCCAGTGTCTCTTGAAAAGAAGCACAAAATCTGGCAACACCAGGCCCACATTCCTGCATGAAGTGAAGCAGCAGCTGCCTCCGTAGATGATACATACACATGGTCTCCTGTTCCCAGTCCCGTTGAATTCCCTTCATTTTATATTACTTGCCTTGGCCCTGTAGGCATTTTCAGTTTGCAGTCCGAGATCTGTAAGTTTTCTCATCACAGATGGGTTCCTATTTTTGTGATATTCGATTAGGTTTTCTACCTTGATTGCTGCTGATGCTGTGATAGCCTGTGAACTGGGGAAAGCAATGTGTGGTTTTGGCAGCCAGGTAGAATTGGGTTTGAATCCTGGTTTCACCGTTTACCAGTTTTACGTCAGCTCTCAAAGCTTCCGATTCCTCCTGTGTGGAATGGATATAATCCCACCCCCTGGAGTGGTTGTGGTCTTGGTGCAAGGCTCTCTCTGTTGCCCTTCTTTAGTTTTCTTCCTCCACGTCCACATTGTAAACTAGAGGACATAATTTAATTTTGTAGGAATTCAGAGTTTGAGGAGAGGAAGGGTGAATATAAAATGGGATTTAAACAAGGTGGGTTTTTTGTTTGTTATTAGTGGCCTGCTTAGCAAAACTTGATGAAATTTACAGTGATACCTCTTGGAATGAGTGTCTCCCTGGCATTATTTTGTTTTGTTTTGTTTTATTTTATTTTGTTTTAGACAGGGCTGCCTAGGCGGGAGTGCAGTGGCACAGTCATGGCTCACTGCCATCTCGACTCTCTGAGCTCAGGTGATCCTCCTGCCTCAGCCTCCCAAGTAGCTGGGACTACAGGCACCTGCCACCACACTGTCCAGCTAGTTTTTTTGTATTTTTTGTAGCGATGGGATTTTGCCATGTTGCCCAGACTGGTCTTGAACTCCTGAGCTCAAGCAATCTGCCCGCCCTGGCCTCCCAAAGTGCTGGGATTACAGACATGAGCCACTGTGCCTGGACTTCCCTGGCATTTTTAATAACAATGCTGCATATGTGCAGACTCTCTGGAGATCGACAAATCTTGTTAAAACTTAAAAGCATTGCAGCATCTCTTTCAAATATTCTGGAAGGAATGGTGATAATTAAATGGTACTGTTCTCTAAGCAAGGTGTTAAAAGAATATGGTTTATTAAGAAATGATGGTAGGGCCGGGCGCAGTGGCTCACGCCTGTAATCCCAGCACTTTGGGAGGCCGAGGCGGGCAGATCACGAGGTCATGAGATCGAGACCATCCTGGCTAACACGGTGAAACCCCGTCTCTACTAAAAATACAAAAAAATTAGCCGGATGTGGTGGCGGGCGCTTGTAGTCCCAGCTACTTGGGAGGCTGAGGCATGAGAATGGCGTGAACCCAGGAGGCGGAGCTTGCAGTGAGCCGAGATCGCGCCACTGCGCTCCAGCCTGGGTGACAGAGCGAGACTCCGTCTCAAAAAAAAATAAATAAAAATAAAAAAATAAAAAATAAAAAAAAAAAGAAATGATGGTATTAGTAATGTAAAGAAAAAATAACAGGCCTTCTACAAATTTGAAGTAGAGGTACTGAATTTGATACATTTCTGTAAGCATTTTTCTTTTTTTAAAAAAATAATGACAGAGTCTCACTATGTTGGCCAGGTTGGTCTTGAACTCTTGGCCCTGAAGCAGTCCTCCTGCCTCAGC
Source organism: Homo sapiens (assembly GCF_000001405.40). Lineage (NCBI taxonomy): Eukaryota > Metazoa > Chordata > Mammalia > Primates > Hominidae > Homo > Homo sapiens. The sequence goes on from NC_000018.10 coordinate 62,761,864, forward strand.
CTCTCAAAGTGTTGGGATTATAGGCATGAGCTGCCGCACTGGTCCTCTGTAAGCATTTTTTAAACAGATTTAGAAAATACTGGGAAAAATGTCCTACACTCTATCCTCATTATAATTAGATGATCTTAAACCTAATGAAGATCTAAAGCTTTTACTTAGTATGTGAAACCTAAGTAATATTTTTTATTCTTAATAACAATTAATATGGATTTTTAAATTAATAAATTATAAGTGCTATGAGTATTCCTCACCACCCAGCTAAATAGAATCCTGTTTTTGTTCTAGAAAATTGACTGTCTGCATTTGTAAAGCTATGGTTTTGATGTACTTTGTATCTAGTTCAGGTCGTCACTCATCTGTATTGAACAGATTGAGTCCTAAAGAGGGAATTGATTGTTTAGGATCCTGTAAATAATTATCGGCTGACACTGAACCCAAGTCTTTTCCATTCAGTTTATAATCTTTCTGTAATTATTAAAAAAAAAAAACCTTAAAAGAAACTAGTGTTTTTCTAGAAATTACTTCTGTTTTCTTGATTTTTATTTTTTTATCTTTTTTTTTTTTTTTTTTGAGAAGGTCTCACAGTTTCACCCAGGCTGGAGTGCAGTGGCGCAATCTCGGCTTGCTGCAGCCTCCACCTCCTGGGTTCAAGCGATTCTCCTGTCTCAGCCTCCTAAGTAGCTGGGACTACAGATGTGTGCCACCATGCCCAGCTAATTTTTGCATTTTTAGTAGAGACGAGGTTTCACCATGTTGGCCAGGCTGGTCTCGAACTCCTGACCTCAAATGATCCACCTGCCTTGGCCTCCCAAAGTACTGGGATTACAAGTGTGAGCCACCATGCCCTACCTGTTCTCTTGATTTTACGTGATTTTCATGTAGATTTATGCTTTGAATTTAAATTTTAAAAATTAGAACAATTCTTTAATTTTGCGACCTTGGTTTTTATGATTAATCTAAGTAGGATATAAATTGCTCAAAGGAAATACCTCTATTGCATGTATATAATTCATTTTAAAATATTGATTATTTTTTAATTTTACCATAATGGTTGCAATAGAGGTGTTTATGGAAAAGAGTTCTTAGTGTTTTTATCCTAGAAATATAAATTGTAAAATATCTAAAACAACAGTTGTTACTTTTTAACACTCCTTTAAATACACTTTGCAGCTAAATCCACAAAGTCTACCAGTCTAAGGATCCACCTAGCCAATTAAAATTTTTATCCAGAAATTTTCCCCGTATGACTCAGTTACTAATTTTTTTGTTCTCTAGCAATCACTTCTCCCTCCGGGCTATGCATGAGCTCCCAAGCTGTGTAGAGAAGTAGCCAACCTGTGCAGCTAAAGTGGTTGCAGTAACTTGTCTGTTCTACTGCTCTTTGAGTGTCCTTTTTTCTGCATAACTCTGCATGCTTCTGAAATAAGTATATAGTGTGAAACCTGAAACTGTGTTCTCTGACCTCCGGTGGAACTCGGGAGGAAGCAGGGCGCTACCAAAAAGCAGGGGAAGATCACCCAGTGCTTTTCCTATAGGTTGAGTAGGCCCTGGACATCTGCTGTCTTCAGCCCTGGACTCTACCTTTTGCCAGGTTTTCTAGTCTCCCGTGCAGCAAGTCATGCGAACACCTCATTCAGCCTTTTGCAGCCTGTACTGAACTGCTGTCGCTCATCGCACCCTTGTTTTGGGATGGAAGGAACTCCGAGACTGCTACACAGCTACTATTTCTGTCTGATTCCTCTCAGATCTTACTCTTTCTCAGTCCCTCTTTTTTAGTTTTCTCACTGTCAGAGTCAGTCAGTCCATGGTGCTGTGACACTATTGTTTGGTGACACTATGCTATTCTCTACTGTATTTCTTTCTCTGTCTACTTTCTGGACTCTTTGACATCATACCTCTGTCTTCGTGACTTTTCCCAGTAGCACCAGAGATTTTTTTTTCTATGGGGCAGACCTAGATTCTGTCTCTTCAGTTGGTAAACGCTTAAATGCTCAAATAGTTTCTGTCTTAAAAATCAAGCTGGGTGCGGTGGCTCACACCTGTAATCCCAGCACTTTGGGAGGCTGAGGCGGGTGTATCACCTGAGGTCAGCAGTTCAAGACTAGCCTGACCAACATGGAGAAACTCCATCTCTACTGAAAATACAAAAATTAGCCGGGCGTGGTGGTGCATGCCTATAATCCCAGCTACTTGGGAGGCTAAGGGAGAAGAATCGCTTGAACCCGGCAGGCGGAGGTTGCAGTGAGCCAAGATCAAGCCATTGCTCTCTAGCCTGAGCAACAAGAGTGAAACTCCATCTCAAAAAAAAAAAAAAAAAAAACAACAACAACCAAAAAAACACAAAACAAACAAACAAACAAAACCATTTTTACCTGCAGCTGCTGTTCTGTTTTCTTATACCTCTGTTCATTTATAGGCAGATTATTCTTTCTCACCTTTCATTTGTCCTCAGCCCCATCCACTTTGGGTTCTGCCTCTTCCTTATTATGGATTTAATTTTCTTGTTGGTTACCAAAATGGGGATGCTAGTCACACTTATGTCCTATGGTTCTTGGGGATGAAATGAAATTGGGGATGAACCAAAATGGGGATGCTAGTCACACTTAACGTTCATCTTGGGGATGAAGTGGGTTCTTACTTGTACAAGGGAGGCCAAGGCAGGTGGATCACCTGAGGTCAGGAGTTCGAGATCAGCCTGGCCAACATGGTGAAACCCCGTCTCTACTAAAAATACAAAAATTAGCTGGGCCTGGTGGCGCATGCCTGTAAGCCCAGCTACTCGAGAGGCTGAGCACCAAAATGGGGATGCTAGTCACACTTACGTCCTAGGGTTCTTGGGGATGAAATGGGTTCTTACTTGTACAACTCTTGAAGTGGTGTGCCTGGCATGTGACAAGCATGCAGCAGATGTGATGCTAGCTTTCATTATTATTGGCTATTTGCCATATCCACGGATGTCATCTTGTCCCTTGTCTCCTTTAATTATTGACAGAAGTTGACACAAGTGATCATCTCATCCTTTAAAAAGTGCTTTCTCTCTTCCCTTGGCTACTAGGACACTTTACTGTCGTCGTTCTTTTCCAGTGTCATTGGCCATTTTCAGCTCCTTCATTAGTTTCTCTCCCACTTGTCTTTTAAATGCATGTATTTCTCAAGGATCTCTTCATCTAAATGTCCTTCCCTCAAATTGCTGTCTTGTGCATTTTCCTTTTTAGTTAATACTATTATATCCTCCAAGTCACTCAGGATTGTTACCGTGAAATCATCCAGAATTCTGTCTCCTCCTTTGTCTCCCTTTTCAGACCACTCCAAAGCTGACCTTTTTTCAAATTTTGTTGATTGGACCTACCCCATCTTATGCATGGCCTTCTCATGTTCGATGCTACGATCCCATTTTGGATATCTGGTCATTCTCTTTTTCTGTCTTCTCATTACTGTCAGAGTTCTCTTTCTTAAAGTTCAGCCCTAATGTCACTCCCCATTGCATGAAGTGGTGGTCTCCAAAGAGGGGCGCTGGCATAATAGGAGGTATGCAAATAAGTACATTTGGATATGAAAAGAAAATATTCAAGCTGTATTTATGCTTAAGTTAAGCTTTACTAATATTTGGTGCATGCATTGGTACCTTTATTGGCTCTATAAGCCATTTGCTCATATATCTTGAAGTACCCAAGGGAAGACTGCAAGATGAATTAATGGTCTTCCACTGTTTGTTGCTTCTCAGCATATTGCAGTCTATTAAAGCTTCCATGTATCTGCTTAAGTAGATCTACAGGGTAAAGCATGTAGTTTTTAAGATGCATGTGTTCTCAAAAAGGGTAAGTGACATAAAATATTTGTACAGAAAAGGGGCCGGGCGCAGTGGCTCACGCCTGTAATCCCAGCACTATGGGAAGCCAAGGCGGGTGGATCACGAGGTCAGGAGATTGAGACCATCCTGGCTAACATGGTGAAACCCCGTCTGTACTAAAATTACAAAAAAAAATTAGCTGGGTGTGGTGGCAGGTGCCTGTAGTCCCAGCTACTCGGGAGGCTGAGGCAGGAGAATGGCGTGAACCTGGGAGGCGGAACTTGCAGTGAGCCGAGATTGCGCCACTGCACTCCAGCCTGGGCGACAGAGCGAGAAGGGGGAGCTTGCAGTGAGCCGAGATCGCGCCACTGCGCTCCAGCCTGGGCGACAGAGCTAGACTCCATCTCAAAAAAAAAAAAAAAAATATATATATATATATATATATATATAAAATATATATATATTTGTACAGAAAAGGAGAATTGGAGATAATAATGTAAGATGAATAGGATTTAGATAGGTGGAGAGGAAAACTGTTTCAGTCAGCAAGTTCAACGTGTGGGAACTGGGGAATGTCAGCCTGGCTTTGGGGGCAACTTGAGGTTCCTTGGTGCTGCATTTTGGGGAATAACTTTCTTTCTTCTGGTTTCGTGTTTGCATGCTTGTATGGGATGGGCATTCACTGGGATAATACTCCTGGCCTCTCTAGTAACTCCCTCACTTTAGTCTTCCCTAGGGGAGGAGAAGTGACTTATCTTCGAGTTTGGAAAAAGGAACTGGGCCTGTCTAGTTTCAGCTCATTCCTTTCCTACAGATCTTGCATTCTGCTGTGCTTGTTCACGCTGTGAGTTTTATAGGGGCAGTCCTCCTCAGGGAGGCCTCTGCCTGGTGAGCTGCACCTGTGACTAGGTAGAGAAACTGGCCTAATTCTGGGGTGAAATATTAGCCAAGACCACTCAACTAATAGAGCTAAGCTACCTTTTCCAACCTACGCTTTATTAGTAATAAAGCTATTATCTGTGTATATCACTCTATATAATATATCAGCTGTATATTATATATCAGATAAATATATATTTTTCTTTCTGGCTTTCCTGTCTTACTGGTTTTGAACTTGGGCTGGAAAAATAAGGGTGTTAAATATTGAATCTCTTTTACTTCAACACCAAAGACTTCATCTCTAAAATCGAGTTACCAATCACTAACTCTTAAGAGTTATGTGAGGGTAACAAATTTAAAATGAGAAGTTTTTGAAAGATAAACTGTCTACAGATGTATAGATTTATAAATGTTCTTGGGGGTGGAAAGTAGAAACAAGCTGGGACCTGTTATTTTATAATTAACTGCCATCCACAGATTAAATTCTAGCTCCTGCCAGCCACTCTCCTGCCAGATCCTTGGATTACAAGAAATGGTGGAGGGGGTGGCAGTGAGTGGATACAGCAAATGAAAAATATCTCGCTTTGAGCATTTAACTCGGTATCAGGCCCTAAATCATAGTATTATGATATCTCAGTATATGGAAAGGAGACAATATCAGATCAGGAAAATTAATTTTCCAACAGGAATGGGGAAGGTTAAAATACATAATTTCAAAGGAGACCACTAAAACCGAGATTCCTTCAGCTTTTCAAAAGTGCCACAATGTTATTTGGCCTTCTCTCAGTTAATGAACAGTGGGAAATGTGCTTACATTGGCTTAAGAGAGCCAAAACCGCAATTCCTGCAACCACTTGAGAAAGTCCTAGAATTTGGGAGAATAAACCCATTACTGTATAAAACTAGAGAGAAAATCATTTGCAGTTTTCTGTTGGATTTGATCCATTCTTCCGTACATGAAAAGTTACGGCCCATATATGGCAAAACCCAATTCAGTTTTTGAGCGCTTTAAATGAAATGATTGAACAGTTTGGAGCATGACTTGCCTGTGGCATAGGCGTGAAATCTTAGGTAATGACTCATAAGAATTACTGTTGCCACAGAGTTTTAGAATGCAAGAATTGATCTGTCTCTGAAAATATTTATATTTGATTGCATTTCTAAATAGGTAAGTGGGTAACAGCTGTTTGAATCTGGTGGCATGTGTGTTTGGAGGCATGGGGGAGAATATAGACTGTACTGCTTTTGTGTTAGAGAAATTGTGCTGTTTTATTTTTTCCTATCTGGTTAAATAGAGTACAATAGCAGAAAACCAATCAGTTCAGGGAGTGGCCCATTTCAGTGTGGCCCTCTTCATCCACAAAGTGGTTTGGAATGAAAAATGCTAAGATGCAGTATTTGGCTGGCACTTAGATAACTAAGAAAAGAGAATTGACTTAACTGTAGCAAAGAGAGTTGACGTGAGGCTCAAGTCATCTTAGGGCTCCTAGGAGAGGATGAGAATCCATTAGCACCTCTATATCTGGGGAGAGGGGTGTTGCCAAGAAGGCCTGTTTTGTAAGTTTGTTTTCATTGACACTGAATTTAATTTATATCTTAGAAACTATCCAGAGAAGTCTAAAGTTAAAAGTTTGAGAACTGCAATGTAGTAGTCAAAGAGGCCACAGCTTGGATGAAAAATTTCAGCTGCTATGATTAGAGAAAAACAAAAACAAATTAAAAATCAATATTGTCTCCCTTTTTTCAAGCCCCTGATCAGTCAGTAGTCACCTTGAGAACCAAAGGGATTGAATACAGTGGAGAGGATCCAAAAACGGAACCAGACATGACCTGTGAGGCAGGAAGTACAGCATGAACTTTTATTGAAAACAGCTCAACAGTGATATCATTGGCTGACGATGGAGGAGGCTATTTTATATCTCTCTGGAATATAAGTTTAAAAATTACATTACTCTGTAAACAACAGAAACAGTACAACAAAAGTTTCTTTAACAACCATACCTATCTGTAATACAGGCAAAAATGAGAAAATAAGTTGGAAAATTCTCTGTCCTAAATTGGAAGTCACTAAACCTTACCCAGATCAAATTTTATTATCTTTAAATATAATTCTGCTGAGCTTAGTTACGTGGTTATATTAGAAACATGCAAGTGGAAAAGAGGCTGCTCTAGGCATTCTCAGTGACAATAATCAAACCATTATGTAGGTGGGGAGGAGAAATTATATGATTACCTAACAATGAAAAAGGAGATGGGGGAAAAAAAGACTAGAGAGAGCAAATACCGGAAACTGGGTTTTATTAGGATAAAAGCAAACAATTTATGCCTTAGTAAGCTTTTAGCTATCAGAATTATAATTTTAGTTTATAGGTATCAAGAAAATGATTTATATGCTGTATTCTCTGGGGTGATGGTGGGGATGACAGTCTGTTAGTGATGGCTGCTATCCTCATTGATCATCAAGGTTGAATTAGAAATAAACTATTGAAAGTTTAATATATCATCTATAAATGATTGCTAATAATAAAGATAGACTAAGTCCTTAAAAGAATAACTCTGATATCTAGAAATTATTAAGAACTGCTCATTCGCTTAGCATTCTGTATCAAACTTTCAGAGATTATTTAACTGAAAGAAACAAAGTCAAGTGTGATTAGAAATTGTAGATCAGAAATATATTTGAATTTTAGTGGAACATTAGATGTAAATCTTGACTAAGCCTTTTAGTATTGTGGAATCAGAAGTCCAGAGGTAGGAATGTTCTTAAAGAGGATTTTATGTAATCCCTGGTTTCTGCCAGGCTGTTTTGAAGCGTTTTATTTTAGAAAAAGTATTGACCAAGTGAAAAAAGATGATTTCTGATTTTGAAATGAGTAGAATAACTAGATGTGATTGCTGTGGGGAGGGAGGATAAACAACTTTAAACAAACTCTTGTGTAATCATGCGAGGATTCAAAGGATGTATTCTTTGTTTCTAAAATGCATCTTTTTTTTAAACATTCACAGAAATGTCACCAAGATGCTCTGTCTTTCATATACCAGGAAAAATAGGCCATTACTGTTTGTTGTCTGGATCCAATGGCTCTTTTGTAATGTTTGTGCAGTTTTCACTTTACAAATAATGTACAGAACAATAAAAGGATAGGGAGAACAGCTTTATTAGAATACTTTAATAAGAATTTAAGCATAGTATACCCAAATTCTTCTTCCATGATGTATTCCAAATGAGTAATGTGCTAAAATGCAGCTAACTGTTCATCAACTGTTATACGTGAATCTAGAACATTTCCATCTTATTAATACTGATTCCATATTTCAAATACATCTCTAATAAGTTCTACCTTATCATTACTTTTTGTTCTTCTTGTACTTACATCATCAAATGCCATGCTTGAAGAACTTTGTGAAATCTTGGACAACTCATAGTTCTGTTGAAGGAGGCCATCATCTTTCCTCCATGTTTGCAACATATTTTTCTTCCTAGGTTTGTAAAAAGCCAATTAGCATCATCAATCTAGTGAATATTTTTTATTTCCAAATCATGTATTTCCTACTAGTCTTTTTATTTTTATTTTATTTTTATTTATTTATTTTTGAGATGGAGCTTCACTTTTGTCACCCAGGCTGGAGTGCACTGGCATGATCTTGGCTCATTGCAACCTCCGCCTCCTGGTTTCAAGCGATTCTCCTGCCTCAGCCTCCCAGGTAGCTGGGATTACAGGCATGCACCACCACACCTGGCTAATTTTGTATTTTTAGTAGATATGGGGTTTCACCTTGTTGGCCAGGCTTGTCTCAAGCTCCTGACCTCAGGTGATCCACCTGCCTTGGCCTCCCAAAGTGCTGGGATTCCAGGTGTGAGCCACCGTGCCCGGCCTACTCTGGTTAACATGTGTCAACTTGCAATCCAGTAACAACCATATGAAGTTTTGTTACAGGCCATTTTAGCAAAATGGTATGGTTCAAATTCTTATTGTAGAATATTGCACCATGTAGTCCTTTCTGTTGAATAACTTTTTGGATGAGAACACCATACATTCTTTTTGCATTTAGAAATATATTGGTGATGCATCGGTTCTTGAATTTGAGAAAATCCATGTAGGATGTCTTCATTAAAGATTCATAGTTTGGATTTCGCTTACACAGATTGAATATTCCATTTCCAAAATGTTTGGAACCGGAAGTGTTTTGGATTTTGGAATTTTTTTGGGGGGGGTGGGGAATATTTGCATATACATAATAAGATATCTTGGGGATAGGATCCAAGTCTGAACACAAAGTTCATTTATGTTTCCTATACACCTTATACACATAGTCTGAAGGTAATTTTATATAATATTTTAAAATAATTTTGTGCATGAAACAAAGATGGTATATACATTGAACCTTTAGAAAGCAAAGATGGTCTGGGCGCGGTGGCTCACGCCTGTAATCCCAACACTTTGGGAGGCCGAGGTGGGTGGATCACCTGAGGTCAGGAGTTTGAGACCAGCCAACATGGTGTAAACCTATCTATACTAAAAATACAAAAATGAACTGGGCATGGTGGCGCACACCTGTAATCCCAGCTACTTGGGAGGCTGAGGCAGGAAAATCGCTTGAACCCGGGAGGTGGAGGTTGCAGTGAGCCGAGATTGCGCCATTGCCCTCCAGCCTGGGCGACAGAGTGAGACTGTCTCAAAAAAAAAAAAAAAAAAAGAAAGCAAAGTTGTCACTATCTCAGCCATCCATGTGGATCATCTGAGGTGGTTTGGCATCACCATTGTTCCTGACTTTGAATGTATATGCTACCATTAAGCAATCATTTTCTTATACTTATTCACACATGAGTTCTTAACAGTGAGAAATATGACATACCATTAATACAGTGAAAAAATAATGTGTTCATGGTAACTAAGCCTGTAAGCAGAAAAGCATCAACAGAATTACCTGTACCATCTGTTAAACAACAGCCCCAATGAACAATGGCAGGTTTTTAGTCTCCACCTATAATGCTGTGTTTTTGTTTAAAAATTCACCCATCCGTACACTGATGATGTTGTGTTTTGATTAAAAGGTTAGTGCACACTGAGCTTTTTTAGGAGAGAAGAAACATCAGAAGCAGTTGAGGGACCAGGAAGTGGGTCCTCTAGTTATGAGGAGGCTTTCTGCTGGTTGGCTTCTAAAAATGTTTCCTCTAGAGTCATCTGCGTCGTTAACACTGGTTTTGATCTTAGACATCTCTCTTTGATTTTAAAAATTGATATGATTGATACCTTCTTCTGTTAAGAATGCACACTACTCTAGGCCTTCAGTAAGCCCATCAGCCATTTTCACCAGTCATCAATAAGCACTTCTTCTGCAGTGTTAACAATGTCCATTGCCTGCTTCTGGCATCTTATTGGCACTCAAAAAGTTTCAGATTTGGGAGCACTTCAGATTTCTGTATTAGGGACATTCAGCCTGTATGATCAGTTTCTTCTTCTTCTTTCTTCTGTCTTCTTCTCCTTTCATCAGAATCTGATGCTAGAGTGCTGTCATCTGTCTCTTTGCATTCATCTTCTGACGTAACTGTGCTGTGTCTCCATTTGTCACTTCTCTTTGCCATTGTGGGCAGAAAATGAAAAATTCTGAATTCTCAACTGTGTTCAGTGAAAGCTAAAAGCAGACTATAAAGTTAGTATGTTTAGTCTGAAACTCTTCTGGAAGGTTATGTAATGTTGTGGGTAATGCAATAAGAAAACTAAAGGATGATAATATAATAGTAATAATTTATTTCATCATTATATCGTATCATGGAAAATAGGATTCCATTTTTCTGTTCTGTTTTCTTTATTTTTTTTAAGCATAATTGGCAATAATTGATGTGTAATAGTGAAATAATTCTTAGGGTGATGAAATAAAGTGTTTTAAGATACAGGAAAAGCGAGATCACTAGGATCCCATAACATATCTTGGGTTGATGAAATGCTCCAGTAGACCCATCTGGCTTGAAAGATAGTGAATTTTATTGTTTTTAAAAAATAATTAAATTTAAATTGGGCATGCTGGCTCATGCCTGTAATCTCAGTACTTGGGGAGGCCGATGTGGGTGGATCGCATGAGGTCAGGAGTTCAAGGCCAGCCTGGCCAACATGGTGAGACCCCCATTTTTACTAAAAATAAAAAAATTAGCTGGGCGTAGTGGCACATGCCTGTAGTACCAGCTACTTGGGGGGCTGAGGGATGAGAATGGCTTGAACCTGGCAGGTGGAGGTTACAGTGAGCTGAGATTGTGCCACTGCACTCCAGCCTGGGCTACTAAGCAAGACTCTTTCTCAAAAAAAAAAAAAAAAAAAGATTTTCTCTTTCTTTTTGTTCTTTGGAAGGTGTCCAAGAAAAAAACAAGTAACAAAATACAATCCTTATATATAGTTAGAACTGCTCAAAAAAGAATTCCTCTCCCACCCCCCCAAAAAAAACTCTAAAATTGAGTACAATGGACCTTTATGGTATGCTGAGGCCCAGTCAAGGTTGTAAGCAGTATGTGATGTTCTTGGAAGCCAAAGGGAAGAGATGAATGTGGGAAGCAACAGGAATGAAAAAGGCTTGGATTTTGTCATGCTGGGAACCCTAGGCTGCTGGAGTTTTGAGAGTCTCCTTATTTAAACTTTAGTTTCTGTGGTACTGCTGAATTGGATCTACTCTAAGATCCCCACCCCACTTAATTTTTTTCTTTTTAACATGTTTCACAGGTTTTAGCTGCTGGAAAACATCAAGCAGTATAATGGGACATTTGTGTTAGCTACAAGTCTCCATAGGTAGAAGGTGGAACGTTGTCAAAGCCCTTCAAAACCTGTAATGTTGTTTGAACTTTGTACTTCATGATTTTTTTTGGAGCTTCCCTATGGCCTTGATATAGTTTACCTTACTTGTCTCCCTGAGATAAAGTAGTGCATTTCAGAGATGGGTGTTGTGAGAACTTTGGCTACATGGAAAGTTTCCTTGTTGTTCGTTTGTGTGTTTTCTTTATTCATACTTCTTTGCCTCCAAAACATGCCAGATTTTTAGGGAGGTTAATTTCCTAAATAAAATTATTTTTGGGGTGAGGGGGATGGGTTCTGTTTGTTTGTTGTTAACCAAAATGTAGTGTATCTCCACCCTAAATGTTGAGGAAGCTCAAATAACTGAAATTTGAAAAGCCATTGCTGATGTTGCTGTGAATTTGGTAGAAAATGACACAACCCTGTCTTAGTTCGTTTAGGCTGCCATTATAAAATATCATAGAATGTGTGGTTTTATAAACAACATAATTGATTTCTCACAATCCTGGAGGCTGGGAAGTCCAAGATCAAGTTGCCGGCAGATTCCTTGTTGATGGAGGCCTGTTTCCTGGCTTATAGTTGGCCATCTTCTCACTGTGTACTCACCTGGCAGGAAAGGCAAGGCAGCTCTCTGGGGCTGCTTTTATGAGGTCACTAATCTCATTCATGAGTGCTTTGCCCTCACAACATCATCACCACCCAAAGGTCTCACTTCTAACACCGTCACATTAGGGGTTAGTATTTTAATACATGTTTTTTTGTGGGTGGGGGCACAAACATTCAGTCTGTGTAGCAGCCTTCTTGTGATATATGTACTGATTCATTGGCTCCTTCATTGGTCTGTTGTCCAAAATCTGGTTAGCTTGGATAGATTTAAGGCCAGGTATAATATGTGGTCCCGGACAGTTTTTTTCTCTTCTTTCCTGATACTGTTCACTGCAGCTGAATTCAGCTATTTTTGCTCCTCTGTGATACTTCCAGATTGTTAGACACGTAGCATGGCATGGGGAAGTGCAAGGAGACTGAAGTCAGATCAGCTTCATTTTGAGCCTTTGTCAGCTGCCAATTGGGTTTTTGACCTTGGGAAGGTCACTTGACCTCTCTGAGCCTTTCGTTTTTCTTCTACAAATGGATTGCAAAGTTGTGATGTCTAAATGTGATGATAACTGTGAAAGGTTTTGACATAGAGGTCATTTAGTAAGTCTTCCTTTGCCCTTGACTGAGCTAATATCATAATGATTCCCATCCCTTCTTTTAAAAGAGGCATTATATACACACTTAAAATTGCAGTAAATTTGAAAGCTGTCTTAAGAATTTGTAGAACCCATTGAGATGATTATTTAAGGTAACAATTTCATCTGTGTTCTTGACTTTCGTTTAGAAACCTTATCCTTTCCTTTTGTGGTGTCAACCTGCCAACATTGTGGGCTCATTCTTTCTGGCTATAAAAGTGTTCAAATGTTTTCTGTGTACAAACAAAACTAATATTTCAGCTCAAATGAATAGCACATGAAATGGGAACAAACAAAAATACCTCTAAAAAAAAAAAGCAAAAAATAAAACCCTTCTTAGTTCTCATTCCTATTTATCAACCTCCTTTTCTCTTGCTTTTATAGCTAATGTCTTAAAAAAAATAACCCATAATCACCATGGTCACTTTAAAAGAATTTCCTTTTATTTCTAAAACTGATTTCAGTCCACCTTCCAACCCTACTACTCTATTGAAACTACATTCCTCAGGTCACAAAAGACCCAATAGCAGAATCTGTGGGACACTAATAAAGCATTCTTTTTTTTCTTGGAGACGGAATCTCATTCTGTCATCCAGGCTGGAGTGCAGTGGCGCCATCTCAGCTCACTGCAGCCTCTGCCTCCCGGGTTCAAGCAATTCTACTGCCTCAGCCTCCTGAGTAGCTGGGATTATAGGCGCCTACCACCACGCCCGGCTAATTTTTTGTATTTTTAGTAGAGACAGGGTTTTTAACATGTTGACCAGCTTGGTCTTGAACTCATGACCTCAGGTGATCCACCCGCCTCGGCCTCCTGAAGTGCTGGGATTCAGGCGTGAGCCACCGCGCCCAGCCCACTAATAAGACATTCCTTTTCTTTACTTGCTATCTTGTTCTCATCAAATCTGTCCCTAGCCATTCTTATTACTTTTGTGCAGACAACTCCCAAAGTTGCATTCAGCTCACATTTATCTTTTCAGGTCTAAACTCATATATTCATTGGCTTTCTTGGCATTACCACAATGTCCCAGTAGAACCACAGTTGAGTGTGACTAAAGGTAAATCCACTTCAGCACGTATTCTTCATGTATTTTTTATCTCGACTAATGACACTATCATTCACCTAGTTGTCCACTTTTAGCTATAATTTATTGAGGTATAATTTATATACAGTAAACTGTCATTTGAAGTATATAATTAGATCAGTTTTGACCTATATCCACCTGTGAAACCACCACCACAGTCAAGATATAAAAGATTTCCGTCATCCCCAGAAGTTTTCTCATGCCACTTTGCAATGTTTATCCTCTATCTACCCTTGACCTAGGGAACCAAGTTCATTATCTACCTTTAGTCACTAGAGATTCGTTTGCATTTCTATAATTTTGTATAAATTGCATAATTTATATAAATTTCATATAAATACAAAATGTTGTATTAGGGTTCTCCAGAAAAAGAGAACCAATAAGATAGCCTATCTATGTCTATACATAGGCATAGATATATATCTATAAAGAGATTTAAAAAAATATATATATAAAGAAGTTTATTTTAAGGAATTGGCTTGCTTATGGGAACTGGTAAGTCCAACAGTTTTAGGGCAAGCTGACAGGCTGGAAACTCATGTTAAGATTCTGTGCTACAGTCTTGAGTTTGAAGTTTGTAGGGCTGGCCAGCAAGCTGGAAACTCAGACAGGAATTGATGTTGTAATTTTGAGTCTAAAATCTGTAGGGCAGGCTGGAAATGTAGACAGGATTTCTATGTTAGTGTATTGAGTCAGAATTCCTCTTCCTCTGGGAAATCTGTTTTTTGTTCTTATTGCCGTCGACTGATTAGATTAGGCCCACCCACATTATAGAGGGAAGTCTACTTAAAGTCAACTGAGTGTAGTTAATCACATTTATAAAATATTTTCACAGCAACACCTACTGTATCTTAGCCAAGTTGACATACAAAATTGAGCCATCACTTACTCTTTTTGCATCTGCTCACTTGTACTCAGTAGAATGACTTTGAGATTCACCCATGTTGTATTCAGTAGTTCATTCCTTTTTATTGCTGAGTGTTTTTTTTTTTTTTTTCTGGGACGGAGTCTCACTCTGTGGCCCAGGCTGAAGTGCAGTGGTGTGATCTCAGCTCATTGCAACCTCTGCCTCCTGGGTTCAAGTGATTCTCCTGCCTCAGCCTCCCAAGTAGCTGGGATTACAGGTACCCGCCACCACACCCGGCTAATTTTTGTATTTTTAGTAGAGACGGGGTTTCACCATGTTGGCCGGGATGGTCTCAATATCCTGACCTTGTGATCCACCTGCCTCCGCCTCCCAAAGTGTTGGGATTACAGGCGTGAGCCACCATGCCCAGCCTGCTGACTGGTATTGTATTGTATGAATACATGACAGTTTGTTTAGTCATTCTCCTATTGATGGACACTTGGGCTATTTCTAGTTTTTGGCTAATATGAACAATGTGTTATGAACATTGGTGTTACAAGAGTTTCTGTGAACATGTTTTCATTTTTGGGGGGTAAATATTTAGCAACCCAATGGTAGATGTTCGTTTAATTTTAAAGGAAACTGCCAAACCATTTTCCAAAGTGTTTATACCATTTTGCATTTTCACTAGCAGTGTTTGAAAGTTCCAAATGCTCTACATTCTCTGCAGTATTTGGTGTTAATCTTTTAAATTTGAGCCATTCTAATGAGCTTGTAGTGGTATCTTATTGTAGCTTAAATTTGCATTTCTTTGATGGTGAATGATTTTGAGCATCTTTCCATGTGCCATTCAGATATCTTCATTTATGAGATGTGAGTTTAGATCTTTTGCCCATTTTTCTTATTGGGTTGTTATTGAGTTGTGAAAGTTCTTTTTATATGCTGGATATTAGTCCTTGTTAGGTATATGTATGTATTGAAAAATATTTTATCCTATTCTGTGGTTTCTTATATTCTTATTTATATTATATATTTTATTATATATTTCTTACATATTATCTAAAGGGTGTTGTTTTGAAAAGCAGAAGTTAAAATTTTTTTAAAGCCTAATTTGTGAGGTGTTTTTTGCCTACTGTAAAGTCACAAAGATTTTTCTTGAGTTTTCTTCTAGAAGCTCTGTAGTTTTAAGTCTGTGATCCATTTTTGACTTTACCTTTTCCGTCACTGTCTATATTTGGATATCACTTGTAATAGATTTCTGTTTTAGAAAGGACTCATCCCCTTCCCCCAACCAGTAAGGACTCTCTTTTAGAATATTTTTGTTAAAGTGCTCGTTGTTTTTGTCTCTCACATTAAAACACCCTTCTCATTGGTGTCCTGCATATCATGTCTGCCTTCTCCAATCTATTTCCATAATGCCATAATGTCATAGGTTATTACTTTAAAATTACTCCAATCATTCGTGTTACTACCCTGCTGAAAAATCCTCAATAACTGTCAATTTCCCAAGAGTTGCCTAAATCTAGGTGATGTCACTTGTTGGAATCTCCATGTCATACCATATGACAAGGAGAGAGTGAATCAGCCAGTTTTCTATGTAAAGAATTAATCAATCCCTAACTTGGAGGACTTAGCCATAACTTCTGTTATTATATTTACTGCATTCTATTGTCATTATTTTGTTAGATTGAACTCTTTTTAATGTATTACCTTTGATATTCTTCCCAGCACCTCCTAGACCATTGTGATACAGGAGACTTTTTTTGAGGGAATAGTTGAGGAACCTTGGCAGTTAAAAAGACAGCGCTGGAAATCATTGACTTGAAGGGCAGACTGGGCAGCCAGTAAATTTTGGGTGCTATGTTGTTTTTAAAAATCATTTTATACTTAGAGGGGCTAACTTAAAGAGAATAATCTGGAAGACTAAATATAGCCTTTAGTTTAATTAGGAAATAGCTTCTGTTGAACCGGCAGTGAAGATGTGATGAGGAGAATGGTAAGAGTAAATTCATTATTTATTCTTTTGGTAGGAATAAATTCATTATTCTGAACTCCCTCTGACTTATTGTATACCGTGCTTATTCCATCAGGGCCTTGCTGTTGTTTTGCTCAGAGACATAGCTATTTAAGTGTAAGATTACATATTTTTAGAAATAATACAAGCGTGTGTTCAAATTAAGTTTATTCTTTAGAGGGTTTTTTTAAATGAAAGTAGAGCTCCAAAAAACACCTTGTAAAACTTCTATTACTGCTATTCTAAGGTAGTATACAGGCTAAGTATCCAGGAGATAGAATAATTTAGTCTGTGGAGTAACTGTTAGTTTATTGATTAATGTTTATAGCTTGATGATGTGGTATAGATTTTGAGTCATTCTTTAGCATATTTGCTCATATTATGCTTTGGAAATATTTTAAATTAAGCCTTCTGACTTCTTTGGTCCCACAAGGTTAGCCGTAGGCTTGTATATTGTTAATTCAGGGAATGTTAGTGGCTGGAGTAATAAACTCAGAGGCTATTGAAAATTTGTAATGATTTTGTTGTATTCATATGTAATTAGACCCTGTCATGCTCCTATTTAAAACCTTCCAGGGGTTTCCCATTGCACTTAGAATGAAATCTGAATGCCCTCCTAGGCCTTCATGCTCAGCCTTATCTCCTACCCCTCCTCCCCTTGGTAGCCTTGCTTCCGCTACTCTGCCTGAGCATGAAAGTGCATGATCTCCTTAGGCCTTTGTATTTGTGGTCCCGTCTGTTGGTAATCTTCTTTTCCAGACCTTCAGATTTTTTTTTTTCTTCAGGTTTCATATTAAATGTCACCTCCTCAGAGCAATCTTCAGCAGTCTCCATTCCTCTCTAGTCACCTATTCCATTACACTATTTTAACTGTCTCCATGGTACTTGTCACCCTGCCTCTTGTTGGTCAGTAATCCTCAGGAGAGTGGTTGCCTTGCTGTATGGTTTACTTACTGCAGTATCCCAGTGCATGGAGACACACAGCAGGTGCTTGGTGAGTGTGCAGAGGGATGAATGTCATCTGTATCATCATCCTCACTGAAGTAACTGACAGTCAGAAACAACTTGTGACTAAATAGGTACTAATTGATATGATTGTCTGTTTAAATTACTCAGTAATTGATTCAGCTTTTCATTACGTAGTACAGAATTTAATTATGGTAGAAACAGATACTGTCTTTTGTGGCTGGAGCTATGCAGATTACAGGGTTCTGTCTCGTATTCAATTTGTCGGGTCATGATTTCTCATCATATCAATTCTTTAATGTAGCTAAATAATACTCTTCTTTTGGTTTTAAGTTTCGATTAATTCCAGAGGTGTTTTGGGACTTGCTGAAGTATCATCAGGCCATGTGTTCTGTTTTTTTTGAGTTAAAGCTTGGCTGAGGCAGGCTGGTAGATTGAGAGCTCTCTGGGCTGGAGGTCAGGAAGCCCAGCCTCTGGTTTTAGTTCTGCCAGTAGCCAACTGTCCACATGAATATTTTGGCCCTCAGTTCCCTAATTTATAAAATAATAGAGTTGAATGAAATGGTCTCAAATGTTAGTCTTTTTTTAACAGTGTATAATTATGTAATTCTGGGCAAGAACCAGTCATTTTGCGCTTGTGGGAATTTTTATAGGTTGTATGCGTATGTGGTATATATGATAGTTGTCCAGTTACCATTACGCTTTTCAAGAAGGAATAGTCGAGTTTGTTTTACTTAACTGAACATTAAAACATCTGAAGGATTCAGAAGTGGTCTAGTTTATTTCAGTTTTTGTTTGTTTTCATTTTTGTTAGTGGCTGCAATAAGAAATACTGTACATGATTTATTGGGCATATTGATTTAAAAATTGGCAGTATTATTTAAGTGGATAATAAAGTTTTGTCTTAAGGATACTTATTTGGCCTTCTCACAGTTTGAAGGTTCTCAACCTTTTTCTTCTTTGGAAGTCATTTGAGAATTTTATGATTGACTTGGCCTCATGTGTCCTACTTTAGCACATCAGTTTTACTTAAGGTTCATATCATTCTTCATTGACATTAGATATGCATCAGTTTTAAGAAATCTTATAGAATGCTGAATGTTCCATTCCGTGTTCTGTAGTTCAGTGCTCATCAGAATCACCTTAGGATTTGTTAAAACATGGATTGCTGCTCCCCACCCTGAGTTTCTGATTCAGTAGGTCTGGAGTGGGACCTGAGAACTTGGGTTTGTAAGAAGTCCTTAGGTTATATCACTGCTGATCCAAGAACCATGCTTGGAGAACCTCTGCTGTAGTTTGTCAAATTCTTTATTTGCATGTGCTGGCAGCATTTTGATTAAGGAGTCTTCCTTACTGTATACTGATGCATCTCAACAATACACCTTGTGGTCCTTGGATTCCCTCATGCTATATGATACCTCATATCCTCTCCAGCTTCTTGGTTAGTGTGATACATAACACAGTTTTCAATGCCAGTGGAACTCTTAACAACAGGATGCTGCCAGTAACTTTAACCTTCCAGGTTGTGTGTTTCAATGGGAAAAGCATGCATTTAGACATTTGGGTTTATTCTTGAGAACACTGGCTTTGGAATCCAAAAGGCCTTGGCTCAAAGGTTAGCTTTACCACTTATTTGACTATTTGAGTTTGGGAAAACTATGTAACTCTTCTAAATCTTAGTTTCCTTAATTTAAAAATTGTTGAAATTTTATATTTGCCTCATAAGATTTTTGGGAGAGCTTAAGTAAATTAGATAAGGTATATAAAGTGCTCCGTAGATACTCAATAATTGATGGTCTTAGAAAAGTTTGTACATCAGTCTAAATGATTATAACTTTGATGTGGCTTTGGACAAATTTTCTCTCCATTTCATGTCTTGCCTTAATGTGGGTTGCTCACCTAACCTGCCTACCAGGGCCTCGCCATGGACAGTAGACAGGTGTCTGCTTCATCTTACGTGTTTGGAAATGCTATGTCTTGTTCCTGTCTAACCTGGCTCTATCACTGGGCTCTCAGTTTTGGCTCCTGGCTCCACATCAGGCCTTTCCTGCCCTGGTGACCTGTTGCTGCCTGTTTCTCTGACGCTCACCTTCACTTGTGAGAGTCACTGGGTTCTGGAGTGGTTTTGTATTCCTCTTTCTGGCTCCATGTGAAAAACAGTGTGATTAGAGGTATATCTCTACCCTCCCACCTGGGATAAGATGATTTTTTTTTTCCACCAAATTAATTATGTTAAATATGTGTGATTTTAATTTATAGTCAAACTGTCTTCTGCATTTTAAGCTCCAGTTTTAATGCTGCATGTTCATTAGAAACATAGCCTCATGAAGATAACTTTGATTTATTGTATTTTCTTAAAAAGGGCCTATATTCACCAGATTTTCATTAGCTTGGAATACATATGAGAAATTTTTAGCTGTGAGTCTTGCTGATTGGAATGAAGATTCCCCTAAGAAACTGTTTTAGTGACTAATAAAAGTTTTGTAAGAAAGTGCCAGTTGCCTCCATCACAAATAACACTTGGTAGCAGTGTTGGAGGTTCAGTGACTTGTCATTGTTTCACATTCTTTTTTGTTATGGTCATGAATTCTCTGTTGTCCTAAGTCCTATTGTAATATGTTTTCAGCCATACTTTTGATTTCATGCTTTTCAGATGCCAAAGGGGTTTGTCTTTGTTACATATTTACGCAAACACTTCGCTGCCTATTTCCTCTTCACTTTACTGATGCTCCTCTTGCTCAACTGGAGGATGTCTGCCAAGAGGCATGAGTCTGCCTGTGCAGGTGTCTCCTAATCCTGATTTTTGCTTGTATTTGTGAACATGTGGCAAGCCTCTTCTGCTGAACCAAGTAAGGGTTGTGGAGAGAGAACAGAGGCACCAGACATAGACTAAGGTGTAAGGAGCAAGATGTAATAGTTTAACTCAATTGGATTTTTTAATTGGGTGGAATAATTCAGGGTTGCCACACAATATTATCACCTAAAAAGATGTGACTTACTGTGAAGGATTCAATACTAAATAATGGGGCTCTCTCTGCCATATATATTCTTGCTTAAAAGTATCTTAGTACAGTGCAGACATATTATATACAAATTTAATTTACATGAATTCAGCTATATGCACTCCATCTTTTATATTAACTATAAGTGTTATATATGTGACAGAATTCACAAATGAAGGAATTTACAGCAATAATTTCAATAATATGTGATTTTATCCTATTCACTGACTTTAATATCTATCCCTAGGTAAGATAGGGATAAATCTCCTATCCTATAAATTCTTACCTGTAAATTATTTGAGGGAAGGAGAAATAACAAGGGGTAGTGACTCTTGGCGGTGTTAAAGATGGCATAGCAAAAGGCAGTGCAGTGGTAATTTTTGACAGATTAAGATCAGATGTTTTCGGGGCAAAGCGCTATTTGTTTTTTGACTTCCAGTGGTCTGTTTTTTGACATCTGTTTGTGCTGTAGTAAAATTAATTTATTTACTTTTATAATGTTTTAAACACTTAGCCATAGTTTGGGTTGCTTCCAGCTCTCATAAGTAAATCACTTTGATGAGAGTTTATGAGAATCTTTAAATAATTTAGGGACCAATAAAATACTGTTCTTGCCAGAAGATAGAAATGATACCCATCAATGGTACTCATGCTAAAACTTAGTGAGTTAAAAGTATTTGTTTTCAGAGTTTTAAAAAAAAAAAAAAAAGATGAGTCACGTATAGTTACTAGGTCTTGATTCTGCTCCCCACAAGCCTTTCTTTTTTTTTTCTTTTTTTTTTTTTTTTGAGACAGAGTCTTGTTCTGTTGCCCAGGCTGGAGCACAGTGGCGTGATCTTGGCTCACTGCAAGCTCTGCCTCCTGGGTTCACGCCATTCACCTGCCTCAGCCTCCTGAGTAGCTGGGACTACAGGTGCCCGCCACCATGTCTAGCTAACTTTTTTGTATTTTCAGTAGAGACGGGGTTTCACCATGTTAGCCAGGATGGTGCCGATCTCCTGACCTCGTGATCTGCCCGCCTTGGCCTCCCAAAGTGCTGGGATTACAGGCGTGAGCCACCACACCCAGCCCACAAGCCTTTCAATAAATGCTATATTGTAATGGTTATTGTAACAAGAAGCTATTGTGCAGCACTCATGAAATGAGTATCTTTTCTGATCCATGAATAGCACTATTAAGGGGACACCTGAAGCCTTGAAGAAAAGCTTTTCTTTTGCCCTTTTTTCTTGATGCATTTTTTTTTTTTCTCTTAGAATAGCTACCAGTTTATGTTTGGAATACAGCCTAATAACTTGTGCCTTAACCTAATTAAATCATGTTTCTTATGGGGTGAAATGATTGACTGTAGGCACAACAGTCCACATAATGGAAGTAAAAAAGCAATACGGAATTTATAGTTGACTTTTAGAGAACTTATACTTCTCACAATTTTGGTCTGGTCTCTCATTCAAGAAAGGGCCTGAGAATGAGAAGAAAGATGGCCACAGCAAGAAAGGGCCTAGTGTCTGCCACCTGGCTAGGCAGAGCTGAAGCTGCTGGCTACAGCTCAGAGCACTTGTAACTCCAGACCCAGGCTCATGGCCTCCAAGGTTGTGCATTTTTAAGATTCAAGACGATGGGGAGTATTTTGAAGTTATTCTCATTCTCTGATTGTACTTTCCTCCTCCTAGACTTCACATGGGGCAGACAGTGGGGTATGTCTAAAGCAGTGGTTCTCATGAGCATTTGGCAACATCTGGAGACTTTTTCATTGTCACAAATAGAGGGATTACTTTGACATTTGTCATTGGACAGTGAAACATCCTACAATACACAGGATAGCCTCTCAGGAAAGAATTATCTGGCCCCAAATGTCAATAGTGAGAGTAAAAGAGGAATGTAAAGTTTCTACTATAATAGTTTCATCCCAAAGGCTAATAGAAAGAAAGCAGGGACAGAATTCTTATTTTAGGCTTGAGGAGGGTAATAGAAGTTGGTGTACTATAACTCATGGTAGGTTTTGTAGCCATACCCATAAGCTGTCATCTTCAGAAGGAAGAGAAGTTTAAGGGCTAAGTTTGTTCCAGTGAAGGCCAACTTGCAGTTAAGTGAGTGGTGCAAAATCAGAAACTGCTAAAGCCACACATTTGTCTGTGTGCTGAAGAAATGGGAGAATTATCACTAATAAAACCTCATGTTGTTTGCAGATATATAACCTGCTTCAGTACGTGTTAACGTTTTGGACTATTTGGTCATTTCATTTAGTCCTAATTGAACTTTTTGAGAGTGAATTGGAACAGAGCACAAGCTAGTTTCACTGACACTTAAATCAACAGAAGATTATGGGGATCCTTTTTTGAATTCAGTAATTGTGGTTTCCTTTTTGACGTAGTTGCCGTAATTGAGAAATTGAAGCATGGTCTGTTCAGGGCAAAATGAGTCATAAAATCAGAAGATATATAGATATTTGTGGAAAAAAAGATTAATATAGCATAAATGCTAGAGGAGGGGAGAATAATTTGAAAAACTCCTTATTTATAACGAAGGCAATTAAATCATAGCTCCAAAATTAGGTTGTTATAAAACATAGAAAACCAGATAATTGGTATGTTTTTCTGTTTGACTCTCAATTTTAAAGGACTGTAATTGATGTATTGTTTATATTGTTCACTAAATACAGTGTTTGGCTGATAGGGAGGGAATAGAGAATGCATGTGATCACTCAGAGATATTCAGTGCTTCTCCCCCAAAACAATTATAGTGCCGTGGCTGCCAACAGTGATGTCACAGTCAGTAGATAAAGAGCCATTTAAGACTCTCTGTATCATCCTCAGAAGGACAGGGAGAATTTATGTAACATCTGAAGCAGTGTTAAGATTCCTGCTGTGTTCATCATTCAGGAAAGGAGAGAGTACTGTTTATAGAGGGAGAAGCGGTTGCTCTGTTTGTTAGAGCAAAAACAAATTCAAAGCAGTACCTTGGGACTGAAATAGAGAAATAAGGCTGGTTTCTCTACCTTTGTGCTGTGGCTATTAGAGATGGTGTTGGGCAAGATTGATCTACCTAGATTGTAAATTTTAGTACTGTTTATAGATTAGTAACATCCTTCTGGGGAGAAGAAAATGGCATTAATATAGACTTAAATTGTTTGTGGAAAAAAAGTTTCCTTACAGGCAAGAAAAGCGTAACATGAAAGTAGTTTTCCTAATGCCAAAGGCTTTCTCCGCTGCCCACTGTGCTGTTTTGCCAAAATTTTGGCATTGTTCTTTTCTCGGGTCATTACCGTTCATGCTGGATTTGGGGCCTAAGTAAAAAAGGAATATGCTGTCGGTTTAATTTTGGAGGTGAGGAAACCATGCCATCGTTTGGTATGGCAGGAGTGGGCCATGCAGGGGGAAGAGTGGTAAGCTGAACTGAATTGTATTTGAATATTTTCAGTCCATAGCCAAGTGCCTGACCTGCAACAAGTGCTTAATCAATAACTGTAATAATCATAGGTAGATACACATAGGGAGATGACTACTTCCTAAATATATCTCTTATCACCCTCTTTGACTTTCTATCCCTGCCTTAACTCAAGATTGTCATTAATTTCTTGTAGTCAGTTTAACCAGTGATAGCCTCTAGTGTGGTCCCTCAGTTTCTAGTCCCTTCTGCACACTGATGCCAGAGCATCTTCCTAAAAGAGAGACATTACATTTCTTAATATAGGCGTCTGTGGCTAATGCTCACAGGTAAAAGTCAGTTTTTAAAGTGTTCCTTGCAGTGTAAGGAGTAATAGGCATTTTAAAAGATAAACATCTTTATTCTATGTCTACAAGCCCTCTCCAGCAGACGGATGAGTCTGATGCTTCCCATATCTTGAACTTTATGAATGGAACCATCAAGTTGGTTATCATTTATTATTATCACCATCTTGTTGTAGTATCACCATTTTGTTGTTGTTATTGTTGTTTTGTTTTGTGATCCTTAACTATCATTATTACTTTTGGTTGAGAGTTAAGTCCATGGAATCAGACTGTCTTGGCTGTTTTATTTCCTAGCTCTGTGACCTTGGGTAAGTTACTAATCTCGCTGCCTTATTTTCAAAGTTACTGTTCCCATTGTCTTTGCTTTTTGCAACAAACTTTTCATTTAAACATCTGATTTTCTTGATCAATATTAAGGAGAAAAAGTCATCTGCAATTTAAGAATGCTGTTTACAAAGCAAATGAATAAAAAATCATTGACTTTTTTTGTATCTACACTTAAAGGCTGTCCTAAGCTCTTGCTTTTAATAGTAGCTACACTTAGTAGAATGATTTTGGTAAAAGGTTCACAGTCTGCTCTGTGAACTGCCTCTTCTAAAAGCTACCAGTTGTGCCAAAGAAGTAATGACATTTGTCTTCATTTTTTGCAATGGTTTGTGCTGTTTATTTAGTATAAAATTTCTGATGTAACATAATTAGAATGAGTATTTGGTCAGTTAATTGAAAAAGCTGGCTAAAGGAGAATATAAAATGTTTAAGGTAATTTGCAAATACTTTCCCCATCTTAGACTTTATCTAGAGGCAGGGAGGTGTAGAATACCTCTAAAGCGTGCATGCATTCATTCATTTATTTATTTATTTAGAGACGGAGTCTCACTTTGTCGCCCAGGCCAGAGTGCAGGGAAAAAATTCAATTTTCTCTGGAATTTTAGATTCCAGAGAAAAGATGTTTTACTCAGGATGCCTTTTTTTTCTCTCTTTTCTTTTTAGCTTAACAGATTGCTCTCAATTTTTGAAATATAGCTAACCCCAATTATCTGTATATGGTACACTCAGCCCACTGCAACCTCCACCTCCTGTAAATGATTCTCCTGCCTCAGCCTCACGAGTAGCTGGGACTACAGGCACGTGCCGCTACTGCCTGGCTAATTTTTGTATTTTTAATAGAGACGGGTTTTCGCCATGTTAGCCAGGCTGGTCTCGAACTTCTGACCTCAGATGATCCGCCCACCTCGGCCTCCCAAAGTGCTGGGATTAGAGGCTTGAGCCACCGTGCCCGACCTAAAGCATCGTTTTGAAGGGAGGAACTGAGGGGAGCAAAGAATAATTCCTAGTTTAATATTCCGAGGATGACAGAAGCAGGAATTGAATTTTTATTTTAGTTCTTGCCTTGGAACCAGGGTATAGATTTTTATCAGCCTTTTCCCATTTACAGTTTCTTTCTGAACCTATTTTGGTATTTTTATTAATTGATTCACTTGATTGAGTTTCTCCAAAGCATTTAGTTTAATTTTCACAGAAATTACTTTGCCTTCATATTTCACTGGTCTACGTAAATGTTATTAATAATGTAATTACAAGTACAATTAGCATTACCGTGCAGCGGGGGTGGGGGATAGGAATATGCTGTGCATACTAGTGGGGGATCCCATGGTGTTATGGATTTCACCGATGTGTTTTACTGAAGGAATGGAGATGTGTGGGTAATCCAGTGGGTTGGTTAAGTGGAACTTGGTTAAAAGTACATTTGCCCTGTTTAGAGTCTTTATCCAGACTGCTGCCTTTGGGAGAACATTGCTAGTTTTATTAGACCTCAATGGCACTGTATTCATTCAGTATCCTGTCATAAACATTTCATGTCTGTTTTATGTTATTTGATTTTTTCAATAATACATCAATGAAGACGTTATGCCAATAGCATTTTCTATCTGTTTGAAGCTGTGGTCTCCTGAGGCGCAGCAGAGAGGCCCTTTTAAGTTTGTTTTCTTTAAATTCCTTCCTTTGAATTGGTTGTTAACAGAGAACCCCTAGGCTTTATCTCCGGGAGGTGGATCCGCTTTCACTGCCCAGGTGTCCTGGGCACACTTGTATTTTTCTGAATGAGCCAAGGTGGTAAAGCAGGGACTAGAATGGTGGGAATAGGGAAGGATGACTGTTGTCAGAGACAGAGACTAAGCAGGACTTGCAGTGCATGTGTAATCTCACTGTAATTACCAGGGACAAGTTAGAAATCAGTCCCTCCCTTCTCAGTTTATATTGGAATAGTGTCTTCTGGCAAAAGGTGAAAGGTTTTTCCTTTTGTGTGCTGTTTATAACAGAGCACCATTTTATGTAATTCATGTGCTTTCAAAAATAGATGGGTAGTAAGAGGGTTTTTTTGTTTTTTTTTGTTTTTGTCAAAGAGCTGTTCTTGTTCAGTCTACCAAGGTGTGTCACCATAAATTGTAATTAA
This sequence comes from Homo sapiens, assembly GCF_000001405.40. Classification (NCBI taxonomy): domain Eukaryota; kingdom Metazoa; phylum Chordata; class Mammalia; order Primates; family Hominidae; genus Homo; species Homo sapiens. The sequence goes on from NC_000018.10 coordinate 62,788,638, forward strand.
AACTTGTACATCTTATGTTTTTCAAAACATCAATCTTGAGTTGTAAAATTACCATACCAAACCCTTTTTATACTGTACAACTTGTCTTTTTGGTACTGGTTGGATAAACCAAGAACAGAGTATTTTGAATTCCAGATAAAAGATGGTTTACTCACAATGCCTTTTTCCCCCTTTTTCCTATATATTTCTTATATCTTAGGTTCTTTCATCTCTTTGTATTCTTATGTCTGTTTTTCTGTTGTGCAAAGGGAACCAGTTCTACCAGGCCCTTTCATCTTGTTGTTAGCAAATAAGAGGTGTGTTTAAAAAAAAATAATAAAACAGAAAACCCAGCTTAACGTGCAATGGAAGTGGCTTGCCTCCATTCCCATCGCTGAGTTCTTAATGTTGTGGCAGGGAAGCCCATAAAGCTAAATTAAACAAAGCCACATCAAGGCTTTGTGTCAAGGCAATAAACCAGGCAGGGAGAACCACACTGATGTCAGATGAGCACACAGGGGGTGGGGAAGCAAGATGAGCTGAAAATATTTCAGGAGTCTGAACTATGCCGGGTGATTTCTTTCCTTAAGCATTAGTGAATATATGTAAGATTTTGTTGTTTTCCACAGAAACAAACAATGGCAGAGAGCATTTTCATATAAGTAGGTGACATTTTTGTCTTAAAAGAATCGTTGCTTGAAAAAAATCTCAGATGGCTATATGTGTGTTTATGTGTGTATGTGTTGTGTGTAGCTGTATTGATCAAATGACAGATTTAGTTGTTAAAAACAATGCCTTTGTTTTTGAAGAGTCACATGGACAAATAACGTTTCAGATTTTGTAAAACATCTGAATTGTTCCCAGAATTTTCTGGGCTTTTTTAAAAATATTGTTTGCAGAGGTGAAATACCTTGTTCTCTGCCTCAATGGTGTAGGTGCAGTAGGGGGTGGGGACTGACTCCCTCCATTCTTCATCAGTGTCTTCTCACACAGCACAAACCTTCTGCACCCTGATGCCTAGTCTCCAGGTACCATACTTTTTATCTTCAAGTTCCTGCTCTGTCTGGCTTTTGTTTCTTTATGCTGCAAATCCCTGATGCTGTTTGGAATGCACCTTTTTAGTTCTATAGGGCTGGGAAGTTCTGAGTGATGAAGGCAAGTAGTTCAAGGCCGCACCCGAGACCAATTTAATATATACATATATATGCATATTCATCTACATGAGTATAAGGAAAGTAAACATATAAACCTTTGATGCTTTTCACAGTAACACATTTTCTTTGGCTTTTTCTTTAATGAGCTTGATAGGTCATTTATCGCAGTTGAAGTCCTGTGTGTCTAAGTATACTTATTTTCCAGCTAATTTTTAAAGATAAATTGTGTGTGAGGCTAGTGATTTCATGGGCTATTATGATGGAACAACAGCTAGGAATAACAGGAAATAAATACAGATTGCATAAAAGAGAGTCAATGCTTTCCATGAATTTTTTACAAATTTGGAAAGGTAAGACTATAAATAAGAAGGCTAAATAAATAGGCACACCTCACCTATTTAGTGTTTGGTTGTCAGTCAGCGATCACTTGCAAGCACAACCTTGGGCCAGGAGGCTAGCGAAAAAAGACCTCTAAGCAGCCCAAACAGACACTACAGAATTTCAATAAAACACGTGGGAGGAGGTATCAAAAGTAGCATTCATAAAGTAGGAGCCAGCAGTCTGGGACCTCAGTAGTATCCATGGATGTTTTATGAATATCATTTATTATACTCTAATATAACCCCATAATGATGATGACCTAAGGCCATCAAGAAAAGGTACTTGCTATTTATTTGATTTTTGACCAGGCAGGACAAGTTATGACATATTCAAAAGTATTGAAGTAAAACATATTGCCAAAAGAATAAATTCTTGGGCATCTATAAAGCTCAGTAATCTAGAATACCACATGACTCCCAAGTTTAGGAAAGCCAATATATTAATATTATTGTTAGCAGCTATCAGGATTTAAAATGTTTTATAAAAAGTCACAGCATTTAAGTGGAACAAATGAAGGTACCCACCATGATTCCTGGTGGTGGCATGCATGCTGGTGGTGGTATGTGGTAGGAAGAAACTGTGGATAGAAAGATTAGTTATGTGGCTCTTGCCGTTAGTTGAGTGGGAGTTAAGGTCATGAATCTGAGTCTGGGGACTGAGAGGAAGGGATGGATACAAGAGATGCTATGATGATTCTTGAGGATGAAGTGGTTAACTGGATATACATGGCAAAGAGGGAGGGAGTATTTAAAAGTGACCCCAGGTTTTGCAGCTCATGAGTCTGGGAGAATGTTGTTTACTACTGCAGAAATGGGACAGGCAGCTGATTTTGCAGGGAGGAAGACTGGCTTTGTTTTCGGTGTGCTGAGTTGAGGAGCTGGCGACAGACCTGGCCGGAGCTTGGACTTAAAGGCCTGGAGCACTAAGAGGCTCTTTCCGACAGTTCCCAAGACAAGCAAAGACAGGCATGCTTTCATTATTGTCCTAGCAAGCGCTTAATAATTAGTGGTTGATTTGTAGTTTTTAAAAAATTTTGTGGGATGATTGGATTTTCTTGAAAACAAGCTGTTCAGATACGTAGTTTCTACTTACAAACAAAAAGTCAGTAATGAGACTTGCTCATCTGCTTGGAGGGTGGGAGCAGAAGCAGAGGCAGGCATGCTAGCCTGACAGCACTGTGTAGCCACATGTTTCCTCCTGAAATGTTATGTAAAATTTCCATTCTACTCCATAATGCTTATTTCAATATAATTTTAAAAATATAAAAGTATTAAGAATTGCCATCAACCCCAAATGAAAGTTTCCTCCTATGTTTCTCTTGTGGTTTTGCTTGGCTTTTCTTGCTTCTGCAGAGGGATGCTTTGCTTCTGACTTTATTCAAGCTACAAAGGGAGATCCAATTTCCTGCCAGCAATATGACAGCTCTTTTGCTGCATCATTGAATGTTCTTGCTGTTTTTTATGATCTTTAAACAAGTACTCTAAATTTATTAGCTGAGCATCATGAAATGCGTTAGGAAAGCAAGATAGTACAGCTTCATGTCATTGACATTTTTTTGAGGCTGGATTTACAACAGTAGGGAACTTATGATATGACTTTAGACTTTTGTCTTCATAGGAAATAGTGTTCTTTATTAAAATGACTAATTAATCATTGCAGATACTGACTGTCATTGGAAGGTTAAGAGTCTACACAGTTAACAGGTGGACTTGAAGGAAAGCAACCTTAGGTAAATTGGATTCGTACCCATTTTTTTCTTTCATAACTATAATTATTACCCTGCTAATTAATGAGTACACTTTTTTTTTTTTCCTGGAGACATTTTCTCTCTTTCTGAATAAAGAAATAATGAAAACAACTATTTTTCTAGTTTAGATTCCTATAACCAAGCAGATTTTGTTATTATAAATGTAAGCATATGTTTTTCTAATCAGAGTGACTAAATCAAACTCCTCTTTTTATGCTGCAAACTATCATTTTCAGTGACTGCTATGGAAATAGGAAAGTCAAGTCCATGTAGCATATGATACTGACCGAGCTTTACTTATGGACTTGGAGAGTGTCCCATCTTTCAAACAGCTGGAACTTAAAGGCAGCTTAGAAAAGAAATATTTTCTCAGTCATGACCTATTGAATTGTTAGTGCCAGAGTAAAACTGTAATTTGCTGTCTCATTTGTGTTCTATGGGCACTGGTGTGAAACAGTAGATTTTATTCTGATGTCCTTTTAGTATGAATGATTTTTTTATAATTTTTTTGATGGCTTCACTTTCTTCTGGTGGGAAAAACTCTGATTTTGTTACTCTTTTCTGACTAAATTCCACTTTTGCTCTCTTCTAACCTACTCCTTGCCTTCTAATCAGTGTATTCTGATGACTTCTTTGTTTCTCTAAATGTTACAAAGGAACACCCATTGATAAACTTTAAAAATGTTTCTAAGCCAGATGTGGTGGCTCACGCCTGTAATCCCAGCACTTTAGGAGTCTGAGACGTGAGGATTGCTTGAGCCCAGGAGTTTGTGACCAGTCTGGGCAACATAGGGAGACCCCATCTTTACAAAAAATTTATTAGCCAGGTATGGTGGTGTGCACCTAGGTTGCAGCTACTTGGGAGGCCAAGGTGGGAAGATTGCTTGAGCACAGGAGGTCAAGGCTGCAGTGAACCATGGTTGTTGTGCCACTGCACTCCAGCCTTGGTGAGAGAGCGAGCCTCTGTCTCAAAAAAAAAAAAAAAAAAAAAAAAGGTCACGCACAGTGGCGCATGGCTGTAATCCCAGCACTTTGGGAGGCTGAGGTGGGTGGATCACCTGAGGTTGGGAGTTCGAGACCAGCCTGGCCAACATGGTGTAACCCTGTCTCTACTAAAAATACAAAAATTAGCTGGGCATGGTGGTGCATGCCTGTAGTCCCAGCAACTTGGGAGGCTGAGGTGGGAGAATCACTTGAACCCAGGAGGCAGAGGTTGCAGTGAGCTGAGATCATACCACTGCACTCCAGCCTGGGCAACAGAGCGAGACTCCGTCTCAGAAAAGAAAACAAAAAACAAAACCTGTATAAAGCTTATCGAGTGAATGTAGATTGCAGGGGGGTGCTTGTCATGATCAACAAGTCACCTAGATATTTGCATAGAAAATCCATTCTGGAAAATTGAATAATGGTTCTGGTTCTTTCCAAGTCTAATGAATCAATCTTCAAAGCTAGGTTTTACCACCTGCTGCTGTTTCGCCTTCATATCATCTTGCCTGCCTGTTTGAACCATTTCATTCTAACTGCCAGATTTACCTGTTGATGGAACTTGATCTACTTATAGTTTAGCGCTGGCCATTCCTGACACTGGTCCTTGTCCAGACAGTCAGCCTGCTCCTTAGCTCTTCCATAGTAACAACCATAACCTGGATTTATTGAACATAGAACTTAATATACATTATAACATTAATTTAGTTAACAGTTATTGAGTGCTTGCTATGTATTAGGCACTATACCAAATACTACACATAAATGATTTAAGTGCTAGTTTTATCTGTTTCTACGGAGGAATAAACTGATGATTGAATTTGTAACTTGCCCAAATTCACACACTAGGGAGAGGTGGAGCCAGGACTCAAACACAGGCCTGTCTGACTCTAGAGTCTATTCTCTTAACTCCTGTGCCATGATGGTAATTCCCTGCTCTACCTCCTGTGGTTTGGACTAGTTGAATGTTTCTCAAACTGGGGTCTGTCAGCCTGCCAGTTGGGTCTTAATTTCCTTTATGTTCAATCCTATATCAAACTGAAATTATACAAGTTTGGTTTCCCAATATTGATGAATCTCCTTTGTTGTTGCTATCCACATATATAGTGACCTTTGCCATAACTAACTTGCTTTCCTGAAAGACAAGTTTTGTTAAAGAAATTAAACCAGCATTTTTTAATATTGGGAGGTTATGTGGCTCTCATGGAAGATTATGATAAACCTTCTTTTAAAACTTAAGGTGAAATGTCATATATATTTTGTATACATATGCATACATATATACCTGCACACTTATATATCTATCCCCCCCGAAAAAAGTGATAGATTTGAAGTGCTTGTTTTGTTTTGTTGTTTTTTTTCTTTCCAGAAGCAGCTCTAAGTCCCTCTCTAGAACATTTTATAAATTAGTATATTAGTCTGCGATTTTGGATATGGGAATGACTTTTCATTCCACAAGTGTATTTTTTGTTGAGAGTTTAATTATTACTTTTTTTTTTTTTTAAGGCAGATTCTCACTCTGTCAACCATGCTGAGTGCAGTAGCACAGTCATAGCTCACTGCAACCTTGAATTCCCTGACTCTAGTGATCCTCTTAACCTCAACCTTCTAAGTAGATGGGACTACAGCTGCACATCACCATGCCCAGCTAAGTTTTGATTTTTTTTCTTTTTTTAGAGATAGGATCTTGCTGTGTTGTCAAGGTTGATTTTCAACTCCTGGACTCAAGGGATCCTCCTGCCTTGGCTTCCCAAAGTGATGGGATTACAGGCATGAGCTATGGTGACTTGCTTAATTATTACTGTTTTAATCTACAATTAACAATTTAAAGAACTAGCTTTTTTTTACACAAATGACTCAGTTTGTATTTGTAGATTTATTGTTGACCAGCAAAAGATGAAGCACACACAGGAACTGGCCCTTGTTATGTAAATGCTCCAAGTGGACTCTGTAGTGTGGTGTTTTCAGTGCTGGGGAAGATTTGTTTCTAATGAGCATCAATACTTTTACTAACCTAACCACATTAAGGATTAAGTAGATGGAGTAGGGAACAAACTCTTAAGGGCAATAGAATAAGGAAAAAAGTGGGCTGACACTGTGTATCCCCCAGCCTCTTTATTATCCATCAGTTTCAGCTTATTTTGAAATCTGCTTTGATACTGCTTGAAAACAAGGGTTGGCAAATGTTTTCTGTAAAGGACTAGGTAATAAATATAATATTTTAGGCTGTGCAGTTCTCGTAGGTCTTTGTTGCATATTCTTAATTGGTTTTTTACAACCCTCTAAATTTTTTACTTTAAAAATGTAAAAACTGGCCGGGCGCGATGGCTCACACTTGTAATCCCAGCACTTTGGGAGGCTGAGGTGGGCGGATTCCCTGAGCTCAGGAGTTCACAACGAGCCTTGGCAACACGGTGAAACCTCATCTCTACTAAAATACAAAAAATTAGCTGGGAGTGGTGGCGTGCGCCTGTAGTCCCAGCTACTCGGGAGGCTGAGGCAGGAGAATTGCTTGAACCCGGGAGGTGGAGGTTGCAGTGAGCCGAGCCGAGCCAAGCTGAGATCACACCACTGCACTCCAGCCTGGGCGACAGAGTGAGACTCCATCTCAAAAAAAAAAAAAAAAAAAAACAACAACAAAAATTGTAAAAACCATTCTTAACTCACTGGTCACTCAGAAACAAACCATAAGCTGGACTTGGTCACTGGATGGTAGTTGACCTCTTCTCTACAGGAATCTTTACAGGAATCTTTTCAGTTGAGCCCATGAACACCTGAATTAGAAATGAAAACTTATCTTCTATCCCATGCTGCAGAAAGCATAGACATCCCTTAGCGCCTCCAATATCCTGTTGCCCCTCACTACTCTCAGACTTTTAATATGACCCCTAGCCCTTCCCACTCAATTTCACCTTCTAATCTAAAATCTTATTGATCAATTGCCTGGATTATTGCATAGTTACGTGCTGTGCAAGTTTCTTGCTAGTTTGCTGCTTCGAGTCTCTTGTCTAAACTGTCCTGTACACAGCTATTAAAGTAATGTTCTGGAGATACAGTTTTACTATGTCATCCTTCTACTCAGGGTATGTTAATGGCTTCCTAATTTCTTGCCATGTGACATTGACACTTGTCATTCTTTGAAAGGTTATGGAGCTTCCCATACTCTGACCACTTTACTTGTTAGTTTCCTGTGTGAGTCCACGGTTTACAAAGCAGGTATAGCTTGTGATTAATTCCTTGACAAATCTGAAATTTGTTAGTGATAATGGATTTTGTTGAAGTACCTTGTTAAAAGTAAATTCCAAGTTTGTAAAACTCAGAATTTTCAGAGCTGTAATAATAATAGTAAATATGAAGTATCATTGTGCTTTACAGTTATATTGGCCTATTTAATCCTCACAACAGGAAGGTGTTATTGTTTTTACCATTTTACAGGGAGGAAACTAAGACAGAGAGGTCAGTAGAGAGAGTAAGAGGCAGAGGTCAAACCTAAGCTGTCTGGCTTTGGAATCCATGTTTTGGAACTACTGTGCTGCATTGCTTCCATGATGAATTAGTAGTTAAAAGAAAGACTTTGAACCTAGTAGAGGAGAGGAAGGAATTGTTCAAACATAACTTTAACCTTCATTCCTTTCCCTGCCAAGGTCCCAGGTCTTTTTGTATTTTGTTATTTTTGCCAGATAGTTTATGAACTTGGCCGAACTTTACAGATGGAAGTATTTGAATATTTGAAATAGGGAAGAGTTGAAGGTTATTAGAATAGAAAAAGTTCAGTTCTTTTCTTGGTGCATAGTCAGGTAGGTGCCTTTAGATAGAATGTGCCAGGGACCCTGTCCATAAACAAAGACAAGAGAAAGCATTTGAGCATGATTATTCTTTCTGGAAAATTTGTTAAAAACATGAACAAAGTGCTGTTTTGGTCAGCCATCTGCTGGAAGAGAGAATAAACTTGTTATGAATTTACAGTTGTTTCAGAAAACTGTTGATTAGTGTTTTGTTTATAGATTGCATATTGTCATCTGGATTGCTAATTTTTTGGGAAGAGAAATTCTATTTTCTATTTCTTTGGCAATTCAAGCCCAGATTGCCATTTCTTAGAATTCTGTAGATAGGCAGAAGATATATAAATATTGCCCAAGTGAGATACAGATATCTGATTTTATTGAACAATAATCAACATTGATCTTATTTCATATAAATCTTATTTCATATAAATCCTCAAGGTATTTAAAGGTAAAGCTGATAAATCAAGTGCATACCTTCCGACCTGTTTGGGTAGGAATAGATTATTCTTCTGTAACCAAAACTTTTTTTATTCCTTTTCCGAAAGATGTTCACATCTTAAACATTTTTTACCATAATATATCGTAAATATTGCCCAGCTGTTAATTCCACAACTTTTGTTTGAGGCCACTGTGTGTCAGGTATTGAATGACTTCTCTGCCCCAGGCACTGTTGTAGGTGCCCAAGATATATCCATGTGTCCCCATGGACAATGCTCTGTGTCCCCATAAAGCTTATATCCTAGTGGGCAGAAGAAATAACCAATAAGCATAACACATCAGTTTTATAACACACTATATGGTAGGTGCTGTGGAAAAAAGAGAAGTAGGGCAGGGTAAGGAGGTGCTAGGGAATCGGGGTTGCACTATTACAGATGGACGGTCAGGGCAGGCCTTGCTTTGACTTGAGCAGAGACTTGAAGGAAATGAGGAAATAAGCCAAGTGCTAATTATCTGGAAACCTTGTCATCTCTTATTTTCTTACCGTTCTTCAACTTGTTATGTGCAGACCTTGATTAATTTAAGTCCCTAATTATAACACATTTGTATACCTTTAAGTGTCTCAGTGTTCCCTACATTAAATGATATAATTTTTCATCTCTTGGTACAGTGAAATTATGAGGAATCTCAGGATAAGCATTGCCGGGGAGAGAGGTTGATTATGGCTCAGTAGAATGTAATTCCTAAAACCTGAGGACACTATAAGACTGACCATGATTTAATGTTCTGTTTTATCCTGACTAATGGAAGGCATATAGGGCCATGTATGTTTAAATATTTCCTGTTACATAGTAACTCTCAGTACATGTCTTGGAAAGGAAAGAATTAAAATCTTAAATAAAATAGTTGATTCCTTTTTCCAAGCTACAGATTTTGTAAACTTGACTTCATTCCCTCCTTATAATAGTGCTTCTCAAACTTGAGCATGCATCAGAATCACCTAGAAGGCTCATAAAAGCCCAGGTGGCTGGTCCCCAACCCCAGAGTTTCTTATTAAATAGTTCGGAGTAAGGCCCACAAATTTGCTTTTCTAACAGGTTCTCAGGTGATCCTGATGCTGCTGGACCCAAAACTAACACCTCACCACGTGCCTCAGAAATTGGTATTATGTTTTATAAATTATTCAGAAAGAAATTAAATTGCTTTGCTTGGGATCCAGGTGTGCATGATTCCACTCATCCTTTTTGTCCTATCTTGCATCTTTCTTAAATTTTTCTTTGAAAATGACCAAAATACACAATCCTTTACTTCTTGGTACTCCCTAGTCTACACTGATATATCTTATGAAGCAAAATTTAAACTCTGAGATAGTTTACGGGAGTTGACTCACAGAAGTGCCCTACTTTTGTTAAAGTAGAACATATTAAATTACTAAGAAAAGAAAGACCCTTTTAAAAGTCTTCAGAAACATTTTAGAGTTATGTTGTTGAAGTATTTGCATTATGAGCGTTTATAGGCCTGCTTTGACAACTCTAGCAAAACTCCTATGCAAAAATGAACCTTTCCCTCTTGTTTTTTATTGCTCATTTGCTTCCTAGAGTTTGCCTCACCTTCTCTTCTTTGAACTCTGTGGCTGAGCTGTCTGGGTGGTCACTGTGTCTGATTGATTCACAGATCAAGGCAACCCCTGTAAGAGCCAGAAAGGTCCCCAGTGAAATCCAGTGGTAATAAAACAGATGTTCCTGGATCTTCTTGTGTGTCCACTAGATACCTGTGAAAAGAATGGGCATGTTTAAAAACAAAACAAAACAAAACAAAACAAAAAACAAAACTCAGAAAATTGGCAAATTTTAGTTTTAGCAATTAGACTTAAGCTCCCTTCCAAAGCTACAATGTTTTAGTACAATTATTAAGTAGCAAAATTGACTTATTTGAATTTCCCATCCTTCCTCTGGCTTTGAAATATTCTCTACTGAATGGAGTTCACAGACAATGAGTGAGATTTTAAGGAAAGAAAGGGAAGCTGCAGTGATCTTGGATAATCACTCATAAAGAGGAAGAAAAGAACCAGAGGAGTGGTAAATAGGCTATTGTATAAAATGGACAATGAAAGGATACTAAAAATAACATTTTGTTTCATGTACTTTATGTCATTTGGTTTATATCAGTGAGCTTTCACTTACTAATGGGGGCCACTGTTGGTAGCAAGACTCTGAGGATGTACAGTCTGTTGGCTGGGACATCTCTTGAGGTGGTTACAAAGGCCACTGAGAGGCTGTGATATTCCCTGTTCAGAAGCATTATCCATTCTTTTTAACCTGTCATCACAAGACAGACATACTATTTAGAAAATTTTGAAGCTAGAAAGGACCGCAGAGTTCATCTCATAGAATCTATGCCTTACATTAGGAAACTGAGCTCAAAGGATGTGTTTAAGGTGCACAGCTAAAGAATGAGAGCATCTGGAATAGAAAGAATGATAGTTGCACAGTGTGCAGGTTCCCCGGATCTTCCTGCTGTATTTTCCCCCTTTCAGGCATCTCTCTCCATTCATCTATCATAAACCATTTATTTATGATACCCTTGTAGAATACAGTGTGTGTTCTACAGCAGAAGTGCAGTTCTTTGACCTTCCCTCACCTGTATTCATATTGAAAATATAGCTGAGGGTTTTTGTTTATTTGCTTGGGCCTTACTGCTTATAAACAGAACATATCTCTTAAATGTTCATTAAAACATTTTTCCTCTTTTTAACAAGTATAATAGTCAAGATCTCAACAGGAAATAGCACACTTAAATCAGGAGAATTTTAGAAGGATGTGGACAGGGTATTGGGGAACTGCAAGGTTTAGTGTAGAAAATGCCTGAAATTATCAACTGCTGGAGATGTTATTAACCCACACCCCAAAGGGATGAGTGGAAGAAGAGATTTATAGAACCTAGCAGGAGATGCTAGACCCTTTAGCTAGAGCTGACTGCACCTTGAGAGAACTTCAGACCAGGGCACGGCCAGCTGGAGGCCACCTAATAGGGAGGGTGTCCGGAGAATAGATACCCTTGACCACACTCTCTTCTCTCCCCACCCCCCACTGGCTGAATCCAGTGGGAGGCAGAGTGCATAGAAGGCCCTTTACACACTTGTCACTTCTGGGGACAGAGAACAGGTGGGGAAGGTTTTGAACAACAGGGATATCCGAATGTTCTTCGTTTGCGTTATAAATTAACGCTTTAGAGTTTGTGTTGCATAAAATGTAATTTATTTGGGTCAACTGTATAGTTTTTGTGGTTTGATTATTTTTAGTAAGTTCAGTCTTCAGTTATGTTTTAAAGCTGGCTCTATAGTTAATATTAGGTATATAGTGGTGATCTCAACTTTTTTTCTGCTTCTAGATTAGTCATGGATAATGCATACAAACTCACCTATAACATCTTTCATTATATGCAGTTAAAATTCTCAAGGGGAAAGTGAGTGAGGGTGGCTGAAGAATGGGCTGTTTGTCTCGGGGGAGCATATGAAAAGAAGAGTCTCTGTTGTAAAAACCCTCTCAGTTTGATATTTACTTTGGTTCATGTTACTTGTTTTGTTGTTTAGCGAGTTTCTGCTTATGATCCTAATAATAACCTATTTAGAGTAGGGCTTTATTTTCTAGAGTGCCTTGAAGCTATTCGATGCTGAGCTGGCTTCTCCGGCTACCTGCATTCTTTGCATGACTTAATAGTGAGCTTTTGTAAACATGAACTCAATCTTTAGGGGTAAGAATCTCTTGTCACTGTTGGTGGAGGAGACATAGAGAGAAGTTCAGCTGAAATCCACTTTTACTTAACCAGAAATTCCCTTTGTTGGTATTTGTGCAAATTAAGTTGAGAGTTGAATTACAGCTAATTCCTTCCTTCCTTGCTTCCTTCCCTCCCTCCCTCCCTCCCTCCCTCCCTCCCTCCCTCCCTCCCTCCCTCCCTCCCTCCTTCCCTTTCTTGCCCTATCTCCCAGGCTGGAGTGCAGTGGCATGATCTTGGCTCACTGCAGCCTCCTTCTCCTGGGCCCCAGTGATTCTCCTGCCTCAGCCTCCCAAGTAGCAGGGATTAGAGGTGCCCACACCCTGCTAGTTTTTGTATTTTTAGTAGAGACGGGGTTTCACCATGTTGGCCAGGCTGGTCTCAAACTCCTGGCCTCAAGTAATCCGCTTGCCTTGGCCTCCCAAAGTGCTGGGATTACAGATGTGAGCCACCACTCCTGGCTGCTAATTTCTAATTAATTGTTCTGAGTAATTAATTTTTAATTGTGAATTTGCTGAGGTGACATGTTTTGCCTGGTAGGTTTGATGCTAAAGAGATGCATCAAGCAGAAATTGTTAGTTAGTATATGGAGCCTCCCTCTGTCCGTCCGTCGCCCAGGCTGGAGTGCAATGGCGTGATCTTGGCTTACTGCAACCTCTGCCTCCCGGATTCAAGTGATTCTCCTGCCTCAGCCTCTTGAGTAGCTGAGACTACAGGCATGCACCACCATGCCCGGCTAATTTTTGTATTTTTACTAGAGATGGGTTTCCCCATGTTGGCCAGACTGGTCTCAAACTCCTGACGTCAAGTGGTCCGCCTGCCTCTGCCTCCCAAAGTGCTGGGATTATAGGCGTGAACCACTGTGCCTGGCCTCTGTTTGTTTTTATGTCCATGGTTTCTCATATTTCTTTCCAAGTCATAGGCATTTACCTTCTGTCTCTTCAGCATTTTAACACATTTTCTTACCTATGTCTTGTTTTTCTCATATTTCATATTTAACTTTTATGTCATTCACATTTGCATACACAGAGCATCACTCCTAGTCTCTAGGAACACATTGGCTTTGTGTTGTTTTGACTTATGTCTAGTACCATTAATATTTTTACTTTTTCTATTTTTTTTAACCGTTTTTTCCTTGTTGCCTTTCTTTTCTCTCACTCCCCTGACTACTTTCTTGGCCAGAATGTGTGTATGTGAGCACCCAGAGGCAAAGAAGGGCTAGAAGAATGAGCAGAGGGGGTTATGAGGATACGAGCTACCCCTTTTTCCAGTTGTTGATGGAAGAGAGGCCAAAGAAAAGAAGAAAGGTTGGCTCACCAGTGGGTCAGAGGAAGGACTGAGTGGCCCAAAGAAAGGGAGGAGCATGGAGTCTGCAGGAACTGCAGAGCTGAGCCTGAACAGCAAGAAAACAGTGGAGCAACCCAGGAAGGAAGTGATAAGGTTCCCAAGTCTTTTTGGAGGGGTACATGTGGGGAAGAGGGCAGATTCGATTCCAGGGAAGGAAAAGAGCAAAGTGGAGCCTGAGCATGTGGGGATTAACACACCCTCCCAAGCAGAATAATTTTGATGATTGAAACTGTTCTAAGCATCACAGTTACAGTATTTATGGCTCCAGAACATCATAGTGCTAACTAAAGTAGGGATAGCAGGACATGGACTTCAAAATGCAGCTGGATCAAAGTAACTTTATTTCTGATTTCCTAATTTGGGCTAAGTATCATAGGTACTTAACAAGCACTTAATAAATATTGATTGAATTGAAAGTAATATGTTTCTTCTGTAAAACACATATGTACATGTTTTCATCCATTTTTCTACTGTGTGAAAACACCGAGAATGTATAAATGGATGAGTTACTGCCCTCTGTTGGAGCGTGGAACTTACTTGGGCAAATGACAACTTGTGAAGTTGTCTTGAGGAGTATTAACAAGGTAGAAACGTACTAATTATGCCTTTTGTAGGGGAGAAGTCCAGTCCTGTAGATTCCAAATAAAAAATTAGATTGGAGTTCAGAGAAGTTGTTTCAGGCAGGGCAAGTTGGTAAGGAACGGCATGTTGGAACCAGGGAGAAGCTCAGTGAGGGTTGAATAAAGGTAAGTGGCAGAAGATAAATTTTGAGAGTAGGGTGGAGAATGGAGAAAGCATACTGCCTAATGCTTTAATCATTTTATGTTTTAATTTTATGCCTTAAAAGTCTTAAATATAAAATCAGATTTAGAAATAATCTCAAATGTTTTGTTCTGGAAGACTATGCTCTCTGGATATGTTAAGGGTTCATATTGGTGTTAACAGTTTGTATGCTAGAAATTTTAATTTAAACATTTGTCTGTTTATCATTAGTTTTTCTAAATCACATAGTTTTTAAGAAAAATCAGATCTTTTATTAGAATATAACATACATTCAGAAAGGTATGCAAGTCTTCATCACCAAGTGGTTACTACTGAGCTCAAAATACTGTCAGCATCCCAAGTCCCCCGCTTTTCCCCCTCCTAGTTATTACCTACCCACTCCAAAATAACTGCTGTCCTAATTTCTAACACTCTAGCTTAGTTCTGCTCATTTTGAGCTTTATATAAATAGTAGCTTATCATATGTACTCTTTTGTGTTTAACTTAAGATTGTGAGATTCAGCCATCATTTTGCATGTAGGAGGTCATTGCTATGTAGTTTTACATTGTATAATTATACCACAGTTAATACTACTACTGTTTTTGGACAGCTGTGTTTCCAGGTTTTCTTTTTCCTACCTAATTACAAATAATGCCGCCATGAACATTCTTGTGCATCTTCTAGTGCAATTTACATGTATTTTTTTGCTTTGGTAAATCTGTAGGAATGGAGTGGATAAGTTATAGGGTATTTATGTTTTAACTTTAGTAGATTCTGCAAACAATTGTAAAGAGATTATACCAGTTTATATTTCCACAGCAATATATGAGAGTTCTTATTGCTTCACATCCTTGTCAACGTTTGCTATTGTTGGTCTTAAGCTCAACCGTTGTGGTTGGTGTATAGTTTGGGCTCATTGTGATTTTAATTCGCATTTCCCTGAAACTAAGATTTTTATTGGTTCTATAGATATTGGGGGTGGGTGGGTGTGTGTATTAGTCCGTTTTCACACTGCTATAAAGAACTGCCTGAGACTGGGAAATATATAAAGGGAAAGATGTGTAATTGACTCACAGTTCCAAATGGCTGGAAGGACCTCAGGAAACTTAACAGTTAATGGCGGAAGTTGAAGGAGAGGCAAGTACCTTCTTCACCAGGGGGCAGGAAAGAGAGAGAAGTGAACAGGGAAGAGCCCCTTATGAAACCATCAGATCTCATGAGAACTCACTCACCATCATGAGAACAGCATGGGAGAAACTGCCCCCATGATCCAATCACTTCCCATCAGGTCCCTCCCCTGACACGTAAGGGTTACGATTTATGATGAGATTTGGGTGGGGAAACAGAGTCAAACCATATCGGGGGTGTATGTGTAGGGGGAAGGTGTCTAGTTTTTTTATTCATTTTTTATTGGGTTGCCCTTTTTCAAAAACTAATTTGGGCCTGGCACAGTGGGTCACACCTGTAATCCCAGCACCTTGGGCTGGGAGGCCAAGGTGGGAGGATCACTTGAACCTAGGAGTTAAAGGTTGCAGTGAGCTATGATCATGCCACTGCACTTCAGCCTAGGCAACAGAGTGAGAAAAAGAAAATAAAAGAAAAAGTAATTGTTAGAGGCTTTTTAAATGTATTCTGGATATGAACGCTTTGCTAGTTATATATGTTACAGTTATCTTTTTTTTCTAGTCTGTGGCTTGCCTGCCCCCATCCCCCCATCCCCCTCTTTTTTTTAAGAACACGGTCTCGCTCTGTGGCCCAGGCTGGTATAATATACAGTGTGTGTGTGTATATATGTAAACACACATATACATACACACAGTATAATATACACTGTATATATTATACATATACAGTATAATATACACTATATATTATACATATACAGTATAATATACACTGCATATATTATACATATACAGTATAATATACACTGCATAGGTTATACATATACAGTATAATATACACTGCATAGGTTATACATATACAGTATAATATACACTGCATAGGTTATACATATACAGTATAATATACACTGCATAGGTTATACATATACAGTATAATATACACTGCATAGGTTATACATATACAGTATAATATGCACTGCATAGGTTATACATATACAGTATAATATGCACTGCATAGGTTATACATATACAGTATAATATACACTGCATAGGTTATACATATACAGTATAATATACACTGCATAGGTTATACATATACAGTATAATATACACTGCATAGGTTATACATATACAGTGTAATATACACTGCATAGGTTATACATATACAGTATAATATACACTGCATAGGTTATACATATACAGTGTAATATACACTGCATAGGTTATACATATACAGTATAATATACACTGCATAGGTTATACATATACAGTATAATATACACTGTATATATTATACAGTGGTATAATCATAGAGGTCACTGCAACCTTGAACTCCTGGGCTCAAGAGATCTTCCCACCTCAGCTTCCTGAGTAACTAGGACTACAAGCATGCGCCCCACACCTGGCTAACTTTTTAATTTTTTTTGTAGAGACTGAGAGTCTTGCCATGTTGCTCAGGCTGGTCCCACACTCCTGGGCCTAAGTGATCCTCCTATCTCAGACTCTCAAAGTGTTGGGATTATAGGTATAAGCCACCATGCCCGACCTTTTTCCACTGTCTTAATGGTGTCTTTCGATGGCATACACTTTTAGTTTTAATGTATTCTGTGTCTGTCTTTTAATAATGATTGGTTTTTGTGGGTGTCTACTTAAGAAACCTTGCCTATGTTAAGGTCATGAAGATATTCTCCTGTGTTAATATCTAGGTATGGTGTGTGGCAGAGGTCAAGATTCTTTTTCACCCCCATGCATATAGATTGCCAGTGTTGCTTTTTTTTTTAATGTTTGAAATAATAGAATATAAAATATTTCAAAATATTTTTATCTAATTCATTCTCTTCTGCATATAATTTTAAATGACTTTAAAAGTTCTCTTTTAATAGAAGTAATGGTTGTTCTGTTTCTTTTGTAGTATTCTAAATGCAAACAAAGTGCCCTCCCGGACTTCTGTTCATCTATTTGTAGGGAAAGTGAAACAAAACAAAAACTCAAACTGAAGAATTTTATATCATATCCTTACCCTGAGAAGTGCTATCTTTATTTGGAACACAGGAAAATCCTCTATCTGTGATGTATGTATAAACACTTAGAAGAAGGGAGAATTGGTAATAAGATTTAAGTAACTCTGTCATAAAAAACAGCAATTTCTATTACTTGACTCCTTTCTGCCATTTTGTTCTTGATTTATTTCTTATGGTAATTCCAAAAAGGATTTACTGATACATTTGGAAGGAAAGGAAACATTCTCTGTTATTTATTTCTAGTGATTTATGCTTGTTCTTTTCTCCTGCTTTCCTGATTTTTCTTCAAAGGCATAAGGCATAAAAATGATCATAGCAGTGGAACTGATGAACAAGTATTCTTTGAGGATGGCTTGTTATTTGGTTAGTTGATTCTTTTTTTGCTGTTCTTGTTGGTCCTAATATTTTTGAGAAAACTCGTTTCTTTTGAGAGATAGATAAAACTGTACTCCCAAGGCAAACCATTTATAGGAAAATAAAAAAGACAGTAAGAATTTTGTGGTATATTGTGTGTACACTCCTTTCTGTAATTGGGCTATCTAAATGTTGTTTGCAATGTTGAAATTAGATCTTCAAGGATTAGCTTGACATCTTTTTTGAAAGACATAATTTTCTATTTATCTACATGGAACTTTGTCTCAGATAGTATGAGATTATATTCTTCAACTCTAAAGCTTTTAAATATAGTTTTGTTTTCCTTTTAAATTTGTTTGGGATTAGATGAGCTCAGGATTGTCTATAGGAGATAAAGAGAGTCAGAACTATTTGAGGAAATTCCAAGAAATGAGGACTTTGAGGTGAATGCATCAGGAATTAGTTTAAATCAGTATGTTATTCAAAATTTGTCAGCTTTTAGTTTAAAAATTTTTTATAAATAAAGTTGCCCTTATTGTCTTTCATAGCGAAATCTGGTTTAGTGTAAGATGAAGGTATTAATTGGATTTTTTTCAAGTCTTTTGGCATTATTATTTCAAGTCTTTTGGGATTATTTCAATCTTTGGGATTATTGCAATATGTGACCACAAGATAATTTTCTTCTTTGTTATACAAAAAAGAAACTCTCACATCTTCTTTGTTACATAGTTATTGAGAGAGTGATGGTGAATTCAGAGTTCTCAATAATAATCGGTCTTAGTTTTTCCAGCAAGTTATATTTTCTATTAATTGTAATTACTCTAAAATTCAAGGACATAAAATTAAGGTACTACTCTAAAATTTTAAGTAAATTTAAATTAATTAAAATACAATCGTATGTATTGAGTATTTGCTCTAAGGCTTATGATTTCTTGGGGAGAAGCATAAAGAAGAAGGTATAATTCTTGTATTCACATAGCTTATAAACCTAAAATAGGACTAAGATGTTTTTACATTCATGTGTTGTTTAACAACAGGGACACATTCTGAGAAATGTGCCATTAGGCAATTTTGTTCTTGTGTGAACGTCATGGAGTGTATTACACAAACCTAGATGATACAGCTTACTCCACACCTCTCTATGCTGTATGGTATATAGCCTTTTGCTCCTAGGCTATAAACCTGTGCAGCGTGTTACTGTACTGAATATTGTAGGCAGTTGTAACACAATGGGAAGTATTAGTGTATCTAAACTTCTAAATATAGAAAAAAATAATAGTAAAAATACAGTATAAAGGATAAAAAATGGTACACCTCTCTAGGGTACTTACTGTGAGTGGAGTTTGCAGGCCGGGAATTGCTTTGGGTGGGTCAGTGAGTGAGTGGTGAGAGAATATGAAGGCCTAGGACATTACTGTACACTACTGTAGACTGTATAAACACTGGACACTTAGGCTACACTAAATTTATTTTTAAAATAATTGAATTAGGCAATAGGAATTTTTCACCTCCATTATAATCTTACGGGACCATCATCCTATGTGTGTGTGGTCTGTCTTGACCAAAAAGTTATGCGGTGCATGACTGTGTTTTTTAAAGATAGGGCAGAGGTGGAGCTTGGATTGGGTCTGGGGTGTGTGAGAGAGAGAAGTTGAGGAAGAGGCTTTGGGTTTTGATCCAAGACACTCAATGAATGGAATCATCTTTTCTGAAGATGAGTTAATCTTAGATAAGTAGGAGGAGCCATTAAAGTAGATCTGTGGAGTAGTGGACAGATGACCATAGGAAACTGGATTCAAGTGAAGAAGACTGGGCTGGAGATAGAAATTGGGAAGTTGACAGTATGATGTAATCAATCTGTAATTCAAGTGAAGAAGACTGGGCTGGAGATAGAAATTGGGAAGTTGACAGTATGATGTAATCAATCTGTACTTTACATGATTACATATATTGATAAAATTTATCACGCTAATTATATGCACATGGATACTTTTTAATAGTTCTCTTATGCTAAGTACTTGTCTAAAATAGTCACTTTTGTTTAGAATTCATCTCTCTGTTTTTTTTTGTTTTTTTTTTTTGAGACGGAGTTTCACTCTTGTCGCCCAGGCTGGGGTGCAATGGCACCATGTTGGCTCACTGCACCTCCGCCTCCTGGGTTCAAGCGATTCTCCTGCCTCAGCCTCCTGAGTAGCTGAGATTACAGGCATGCGCCACCAAGCCCGGCTAATTTTTTTATATTTTTAGTAGAGACGGGATTTCTCCATGTTGGTCAGGCTGGTCTCAAACTCCTTACCTCAGGTGATTCACCCACCTCGGCCTCCCAAAGTGCTGGGATTACAGGCGTGAGCCACCGTGCCTGGCCTGGAATTTGTATCTCATGTGATTCCCTAGTACACTGTACTTTTTCTATTATAGTTTCTACAAAATTATACTGCAGTTGCCTGGTTATTATTTTACTAGACTTTAAGTTTTTTGAGGGCTGGAATCTGTGTTGTTGCCTGCCTACTGCCAGGTATAGAGATGCTCATGTAGATCATATAAAACTCAATTTAATATGAGTTGAAATTTAATAGAGTACCAGAATATTAAATCTTTCTAAATGTGAATTTTTAAAAATATATGTTTTATTTGAAGGCTAGAAGCCACCGCCGTTCCATTTTTAAACAAAACTGTCGTTTCAAACAAAAAAATAACTGAATGTTCTATTCTTTCCACTTTCTTTTCCCCTGAGGAGATTACCTGTGGGGAAGACAAGGCCTAAGTGGTATCACAATGGAAATTAAGTCAGAACCTTGTAATTATTATTTTAGGGCTCCAAATCATTAATTTGAGAAAACCTCAAAAGTAATTCTGCTGTGAATATCTCATCCCATCCAAAGTTGAGTATTTCTGCAGATATACACAATATAAGTATCAAAAAGGTAACAGGCCAGGTGCGGTGGCTTATGCCTGTAATCCCAGCACTTTGGGAGGCCGAGGTAGGTGGATCACAAGGTCAAGAGATGGAGACCATCCTGGCCAACATGGTGAAACCTCATCTCTACTAAAAATACGAAAAAAATTAGCTGGGCGTGGTGGTGGGAGCCTGTAGTCCCAGCAACTCCGGAGCCTGAGGAGGGAGAATCACTTGAACCTGGGAGGCGGAGCTTGCGGTGAGCTGAGATTGCGCCACTGCACTCCAGCCTGGCGACAGAGCAAGACTCCATCTCAAAAAAAAAAAAGTCATTGGCATTTCTCAGTATGTCTTACAACTCAATGAATGTTGGGGCACTATTTTTTTAAAAACATTCTGTTTTTACCCTAGATGCTGGTTAAATGAATGTTTGCCAAATAATTATGTTCTCTTCAGTGTTTTACAATGAATATGCGGATCTTTTGTACATGTATTAACATTTTAGTTCACTTTCCAGTTGGTTTATTTAATTGGTGGATACTAGTTCTATTTGGTGTTGTGAGTAGGTTGCAAAAGTTTATAAGATTGTTGAATATGTAAGATTGTGATAGTCTGCAGGGTCCATCTTCGTGGTTTTTAAGTCTTTTCTGAGTGCTAAGAGAGCTTCTCTAGTTAAATAAACAGCAAGACTTGTTTAACTTAGAGCTGAAGTGGTAACACTGGTACAGTCTACTCATACACTGATGATTGGACCTTAGTCAAGAAATTGCCCTACTACAGACAAAAATCACTGTGTCCTTTGTGTATCTATAGTAGTTTGAATTTCCAGATACAGTGCATAGAGGCATGATACTTTGGTCTTCTGGGGCATTTGACTTTAATATTTAAAAGTCAAAATGCCATATTTCCCTAGCAATCTATTTGGAGCTTTGCTGGTAAGAAGTGCTTGATCTCAGGTAAGATTTAGTGATTAAGTAATTTTTTTTTGTGGTAATCTTAATACAGTATTCCTCTTTTATCTTGGGAGAATTTGTTCCAAGACTCCCAGTGGATGCCTGAAACTGGGGATAGTACTGAACCCTCAATATACTGTACTTAGGGTTTTTTCCTATATAAACATACCTGTGATAAAGTTTAATTTATAAATTAGGCACAGTAAGAGATTAACAACAATAACTAAGAATAAAATAGAATAATTATAACAGTATACCATAATAAAAGTTATATGTACGTGGTTTCTTTCTCTCTGAAAATATCTTACTATACCATTCATATGTTCTGACTCAGGTTGGCTGTGGGTAACTGAAATCACAGAAAGCGAAATCATGGATAAGGGGGACTACTGTACTCTCACTGCATTATATTGAAAATACGTTAAAGCAATACTGAACAAAGGTAGTACTATAAATAGTTATTTAATTAAAAATAAAAACGTTGTAAAACCAAAGAAAATTAGACTTATTTAGATCGGAGGTCAGTAGTGTAGGAGTTTATTGTCCCCCAATTCTGTCCAGCTAAAACCTCAGAATGTGACCTTAGGGTCTTTACAGACATAATTAGTTAAGATGAGATCATACTGGATTATAATGGACCCTAAATCTAATTACTGGTCCTTATAAGAAACAAAGAGGACACATGGAGATATAGAGAAAAAGGTGATGTGAAGACAGAGGCAAGGATTGGAAAAACCTATTGGTGTTTTGCTGGGTTTGAGAATGTCCGGAAAAGTTGCTCATTCCTGTGGGAAAAATAATTCAGTAGTAGAAACATGCTTATTTTTGCTCATTTTGATTGATAGCTGGTTTAGAGCTGCTGGCTAGAAAGAAATGGTAACATTAAATAGGGATCTGGAGTCAGAAAATTCATGCTATTTGACCTAGCAGTTTATAGAATAAAAGATCAGAAACAATCTTGAACAATAAAGAAACTGGTAAACAAATGATAACTTATGGAATATTTTGCAGTCCTTTAGATATAAAATGACAACTTAGAAAGGTGTGTATGATACAAAGGTGTGTGAAGGGGTTAAAGCAGGATGTAAAGTTGTGTATATGTAATGATTACAACTATGTAAAAAGGTATGCAAATTTTTAAAATGGACGAAAATTCACCAATCCGTTTACTATGAAGATAGTAGGATTATGGTTATGTTGTTGTGTCTTTTTTTTTTTTTTAACTTCCTTTTCTTTTAAACTTTTGTTAATGGGGCTGTATTTATAGTAATTAGAAAACATTTAAGTGAGAACTCTATGGATTTTGTGTGTGGTTCTAAGAAGTTTTAAAACAAAGCTTCTAAAATTTCCAAAAGGTAAATCTTAGTAATAGGCTAATTATAGGAGGTTTTATAATTTTTTAAAGAGATTCCTAATAAGTTGAGAGAAGCCATCTATTTGGAATGGGTTTAAGGTATTTTTCTGATGTCATGTCTATACAAGATAGCTTCTTAAGGTCAGTTTTTGAACTTTTGAATCCAGACTCAACATATTTAATGTGATCAGCTTTGTAGGGAAAAGGGCAGTGAGTTGATTATTATCTAATGCAGTAGAGAGGAGTGGAACATAAAGTTTTTAGGAAATTGTTTTGCTCTTGGAATTTTTGTTTATAAAAGACTAATTTAAACAATAGCTGTGTATTACACAGTAGAAAGTAAACTCTATAACCCAACCTCCTAGTTAGAACCACTGGAAAAGAATTTTTAATTATATTGGGACTTATATGATTGTAGGGACGTGGCTCTTAATCATTGTCTGAAGTCATCTTGGCCGAAGTCTGTTTGCAGCAAAGAAAATGGAAATATAGTTCGTTTTTTCACCGTTTGAAGAGAGAGAAACAGTGGTGTAGATTATCCCAAAATCATTCATGCTTGGCTTTCGAATTTTTATTTTATTATGTACTTAGGAGTGTGTGTATGCTCAGAAGAAACACCACAGCACTCCTGATAAAAGCATGTCACAGTGAAAACTTGACTCAGTTGGAGCTGTGGAGCTGTCTAGCGTCATCATCCTGATTTCCACACACACAGCAGTGTGCATCACCTTTGACACAGTCATAGTTCTTATCTAAAGGAGGTAGCTACGTATGTTTGTTCCTTTAGAGGAGTTAAGAGTAAATAGGGGTATACTGGACCTTAGACATTCCAAGAGTTAACATTGAGTCATTCCTAAGGCCTCTAAATCCTCATGACAGAGTGTAATTGGTAATTTTTCTGAGGCTGAAATTTGAGTTAAGCCCACCCTGAGTGAGGCCTGCTGCCCAGCTTCATTGTTTCAGCGAAGTTCAGTTGTGTCTCCTTGCTCATGACATTGCACACTTTAACTTTTGTGCCTGTGACCTTTTTTTTTTTTCCTATGGAAAAGTACCACAAAAATAAATTCAGCTGGGAAGGCGGTGATTAAAATCCTGAAGTCTACAAAAGTGATGGTTTCTAGGTGGAATATAGAAGTTGTAGGTAACTTCAGAATGTTGAATGTGGTGGAAGCTAAACCTACGGAACTGAACAGGTCTACCATCTGTTACAATGGAAGTGACAGCAACAAGAAGTTAGTGAAAGTGTTTCAGTGATTATTCCAACCAATGAAAATATTGCTCATCAAATAAGAAAGAAAACTTGAGAATGCTGAAAGGACTCTTAAGGTATTGTGTGAAGTTATGCACAGGAAATGTGAGAAGTAACAGATGGTGAAGACATTGAACTGACAAGTGAAGGTTGATTTTGCAAATTTCAAATATGTTTTGCCAGATATGAAGTTAATAGTGGGAGGCTGCCCCAACTCACTATATATTGCTCCTGGAACTGAGCTGAAGAAGCTCATAAAAGGGAGGAAGGGCTATGGTTTGTATGAATTCAAAATTGTAATGAAACCCACATTTGAAGAAGATACCTTCTCATACATCCCAAACATACACATCCCAAAAAGAGATGTGAGCATCAGGCATTCGGGACTACTGAAGAATAATTGTGATCTGTCCATGGAATCGTGTAATGGAGGGAACTTTAAAGATGCCTGAGAACTGAATCTAGTTCCTTTTGAGGAAGAGAGATGGAGGAAGGAAGGAAGAAAGAGGGGAGTGGAAAGTTTGGGCAGCACCTGATCTCTCATCCATTATGCCCCACGTTTGCCTCACTCTTCTCTCTGACCTGATTTGCTTGCTTCTTTGGTCTAGGTATAATCAACCAAATCCTGATGATCCACCAGGTCAAGTTGGTTAGTTATGTTAGTAACATAATACTGTAACTTGGTGGGTCTCAAGTTGTGGTCCCCACACCTGCAACATCTGCAAAATCTCACGCTCCTGCCCAGAACTATTGAATGAGAAACTCTTGAGTGGCAGAGCCCCTCAATCTCTGTTTTAGCAAGACTTCTAGGTGGTTTTGGCACATGCTCAGGTTTGAAGCCTTTCGTTCTAACTTGTCTTCATTCAGCCTTTCCCTTTCAGCATTTTAATGTATTATTTCCTGCACCACTACACAAACATACAATCAGTGATCATGTTTATGATTTTGATGTTGTATTATTTTAAAAGTTCATGGCTCATTTTACTATAGTTTATGTGAGAATTTTCTTTGGTGGATTTTTTTTTTCCTTTTTAATTACTTTAGCCCTATGTTTGCAGAATCTTTAGAGATATAAAGGGGTACTATTTTTCAGGTACCAGTTAATCAGTATTATAAAGAAAACTGTAATCTGTAGGCATATTCAGGAATTTAGAGATTATCAAAAGGTTCAGGGCATGACATTTGTCCAGGATAAGTGTCTATGGTAATTTGGGAGATATAAATAAACCTAATCAAATTGAATAGCTGTCAGTAAGAAGCAAGATTTACTGGGCAGTTGACTTCATATATTTTGATCTGATGCATAAATTAACCCTCCCAAATCTATTTAGCAGCTGGTTGTCATTTCCATTAGCTAAAAAGCAGTTAGTCTTAAATCTGTTTCAAAGCTCCTGCCAGCACTCCTTGCTGAGCTTCTTTTAGCTTCTTAGCTCTGAGACAGAATTCCCAGATGCAGTTTAGTGCTCCCCTAGACCTCTTACGGAGTCATTTCAATCCTTCTCCTAGCTCTTGAAATGACCCTAGGCAAGTAATTTAATTCATTCTTTCTGTCACTGGTCATAGTGAAGAAGGATTTAAGGATTTATATGCAATAAGAAACATGCTTTAGAGTTTTATCAGTCTAAGCTCTGAAGATAAAGAGGGTGAGGTGAGAGTTGAGTGTTTTCACTCATTCGACCATTTTCAGCTCCAGGGACATGGTAAATTCTTCCAGTAGCTTTATATAGTGATCATACTTTTCTTAGATTTTGGTGCATTATTTATCATGAGTACTTTCACTCTCTTACATTTTGGAAATTCTTGTGATTGCTTAATGTGTTGTTCTTATTCTTGTTTTTGACCATTTCTAGTTGTAGTAGATTTATACAAAGTCCTATAAATTTTGTAGGCTCTTTTAGGGAAGTGTAGGTTATTAAAGTTTTACTGTGTTCAGTAAATAGAATTATGTGAAACCAACACAGTAAAGTTGTGAGGTTTTGCCCCAAAACTTAGTAGTTTAAAACACCAAACATTTATTTCTGAGTTAGGAATTCAGGAATGGCTTAGCTTAGTGGTTTAAACACCAGACATTTATCTCTGAGTCAGGAATGCAGGAGTTTCAGGAGTGGCTTAGCTGTGTAGTTCTGGATCAGGGTCCATCTTGAAGTTTGCAGTCTGGCCCTAGGGGCTGGAGTTCTCTGGATTTGACCGTGGCTGGAGGATGTTTCTTTTTTTTTTTTCCTCTTTTTTTTTTTTTTGACAGAGTCTTGCTCTGTTGCCCAGGCTGGAGTGCAGTGGCGCGATCTCTGCTCACTGCAAGCTCTGCCTCCCAGGTTCACGCCATTCTCCTGCCTCAGCCTCCGGAGTAGCTGGGACTACAGGCGCCCGCCACCACGCCCGGCTAATTTTTTGTATTTTTAGTAGAGCCGGGGTTTCACCGTGTTAGCCAGGATGGTCTCAATCTCCTGACCTAGTGATCGCCTGCCTCAGCCTCCCAAAAGTGCTGGGATTACAGGCTTGAGCCACCGCGCCCGGCCTTGAGGATGTTTCTAATATGGCCTGCTCACATGGCTGTTGTTAGGAGGCCTTAGTTCCTTGCTGGCTGTTGGCAGGAAGTTTCAGTTCCTCACCTTGTTGGCCTTTTCAAAGGATTGTATGAGTATCCTCACGACAGGGCAGCTGGCTTCCCCAGAGGGAGTGATCCTAGAGAGAGAGGAAGGAGGAAGCTATATGCTTTTATGACCTAGTTTCAGAATTCACAAGCTGCTGCTGTCACTTCTTCTACATTTTGTTTGTTAGAAGCCAGTCACTAAGTGCAGTACAGACACAAAGAAAGTGGAATTAGGTGCTCTCTTTTGAAGGAAAGAATTTAAAATAATTTGTGGGCATATATTTAAACTTGTTCTGTTCTTAAACTTTAAATTTGTGCTACCCTTTTCCTGATATTTGAATGAATACATATTGTATTTATTTACAGTGTCAGAATTATGACATACCTGTAGTCTAAAACAGACATTTTTCTGTTAATACTCTATGGTAACCATCTTTTCAGGTTGGCAGTTACATATCAATAGTATTGTTTCAAGTGATTTCTTATAATTGCATTATAGATGCATTCTACTTTAACCAGTTTCCTTTTGTTGAATGTTGAGGAGGGTTTTTAATGTTTCTTCACTATAAATAATATTACATTGGGTATTCTTTACATACATTTTTGTGAATTTAAGTTTTTTTCTTAGATTAAATGTCTGGAAGTTGAAAAGAGTACAAAAATTAAGGCTCTTGAAACCTATTTTCAAATTGCCCCTCAGAAAGGTTGTATTAATGTACACTCATATCAGCAATGTATAACAAGTTTGTTTCTGGCTGGGTGCAGTGGCTCACGCCTGTAATCCTAGCACTTTGGGAGGCCGAGGTGGGCGGATCATGAGGTCAGGAGTTCAAGACCAGCCCAAGTAACACTGTGAAACCCTGTCTCTACTAAAAATACAAAAAAATTTAGCTGGGCATGGTGGCACGTGCCTGTAATCCCAGCTACTCAGGAGGCTAAGGCAGGAGAATCACTTGAACCTGGGAGGCGGAGGTTGCAGTGAGCTGAGATCGTGCCATTGCACTCCAGCCTGGGTGATAGAACAATACTCCGTCTCAAAAAAATAAAAATAAATAATAAAAAAAAAGAAGTTTGTTTATTTTTCTAAAACTTTATGCAGTGGTGGGTATTATTAGTCTTTTGAAATCTTTGCCAATTAGAGAAGTGGTAAATGGTTGTAGTTTGTTTTAGTTTTTACTATTATCAGTGGCAATTTGGGGGATATATTTTTTGTCTACTTGTACTTATTATATGAACTTGCCTGTTTATATATCTTTATTTTTTTCCATTAGGTTACTGTTTTGTAAAATTATTATATTAAATAAGACATCATTTCTGCCATATTTTGCGAAAGTATTTTCCAGGCCTCTTTGAAAATTTATCATTTTTATTTAGCCAAATCTATGAGGTTGTCTTGGGAACTTTTAACTATTTAAGTATTTTAATAGTAGAGACAGGGTCTTGCTCTGTTGCCCAGGCTAGAGTGCAGTGGTGTGACTTTGACTCACTTCAGCCTCACCTTCCTGGGCTCAGATGATCCTGCAACCTCAGCCTCCAGAGTAGCTGGGACTACAGGTGCACGCCACCACACCCAGCTAATTTTTGTACTTTTTTGTAGAGATGGACGTCTCACTGTGTTTCCCAGGCTGGTCTGAAATTCCTGGATGCAAGCAATCCTCCTGCCTTGGCCTCCCAAAGTGCTGGAATTGTAGGTGTGAGCCACCATGCCTGGCTCTGTGGAACTCAACTAACACAGAAATGATACAAATGATAGACTTAGTTGCCAAGGACATTTAAGCAGCTATTTTAGTTATGTTCCATATATTCATGAAAATAAAAGAAAGCATTTGCATATTAAGGAGAGACATGGAAGATAAATACATACGTATGTGAATGCATATGTGTATATGTAGGTAAATACACACACATACATACACAAATTGAATTTATAGAGATGAAAAATACACTGGATGGGATTAACAATAGCTCAAACACTACAGAAGAAAGGATTAGTGAACTTGAAGATACAGTAATTGATTACCAACGATGAAACATACAGAATTAAAAAAAAAACCCATAATGAACTGTGGGATAACTTCAAGTGTTTGTAATTGGAGTCCCTGGAGAGGCCTTATGAGGTCAGAAAAAAAATTTAAAATAATGGCTGAAAAAATATCAAATTTGACCATAAATCTAAGTTCCACAAACCTTGAGCACATGAAACATGAAGTATGCTAAGAAGCATAATTAAATTGCTTAAAACCAGTGATAAAAAGAAAAAAATCTTTAAAAAAGCACTGACAGAATGCAGAACATGCTAGGACTTAAGAATGGCAACAGACTTTTTTTTTTTTTTTTTTTTTTGAGACGGAATCTTATTGTGTCACCAGGCTGGAGTGTAGTGGCGAGATCTCGGCTCACTGCAACCTCCGCCTCCCAGGTTCAAGCGATTCTCCTGCCTCAGCCTCCCGAGTAGCTGGGACTACAGGTGTGCACCACCACGCCCAGCTAATTTTTGTATGTTTAGCCGAGACAGGGTTTCACCATATTGGCTAGGATGGTCTTGATCTCTTGACCTCCTGCCTTGGCCTTCCAAAGTGCTGGGATTACAGGTGTGAGCCACCATGCCCGGGCCAAACTTCTTGACAGAAACATTGAACACTAGAAGTCAGTGGAAGAGATCATTCTGAAAGAAAAAAGCTTTGACCTAGAATTCTGTACACAGTGAAAATATTTTTGGGCCAGCCGCAGTGGCTCACGCCTGTAATCTCAGCACTTTGGGAAGCCAAGGCAGGTGGATCACCTGAAGTCAGGAGACCAAGACCAACCTGGTCAACATGGCGAAACCCCGTCTCTACTAAAAAATATAAAAATTACTCTGGTGGCGGATGCCTGTAGTCCCAGCTACTTGGGAGGCTGAGGCAGGGAGAATTGCTTGAACCAGGGAGGCAGAGGTTACAGTGAGCCAAGATTGCGTCACTGCACTCCAGCCTGGGTGACACAGCAAGACTCCATCTCAAAAAGAAAATATTTTTGAAAAAACAAAGGAAAAGGAAGACTTTCTCAAATTTACAAAAGCTGAAAGACTATCAACAGCAGACCTGTGTCGTAAGAAATGTCAAGCCATTGAGGTCAAAGGAAAAAGATAACAGGTGGAAATCTGGATCTACATAAAGGAATGAAGAACAATGGAAATAATAAATATAAAAGACTTATTTTAAAAATTCTCTTCCAAGGTAATGTGCTGTTTTAGTAAAGATAACAATAGTATATTGTGGGTGGGCAAGGGGGAGGTTATAACCACTGGACTGCCAGAAAATGGTTAACAACCTCCTCTTTGCCTTGATGGTACCGTTTGCCAATTTCCATGCTGTAAATACAGCCACAGTGGTGGTTTTCAAGCTACCAACATGATGTCACTAAATGCAGAGCTGGGAATAGATACACAGTAATATACCATTATATAGTATTTCCAACATTAATGTACAATAGATGTATGTGTTAGACAAAGTAAAATGTAGTAAAATAATTAGGATGTAATGAGTTTTGAGTATTTATTACTGAAAGTTCAACAACCAACTTGTGAACCAGTATAAACCAACTCATGCATACCACTGTCAGTAACATGTAAGGAAACAAACAAATGGCAACAGTAGCACAAAGACTGGGAGAAGGGAAATGGCAGTGTATTATTCTAAGGTTCTTAAATTGTACATGAAGTGATACAATATTATATTGGTAATGGAAATGGAAGTATATTGTTGTAGTGTACTACTTATGGTGTTCATGAAGTGGTATAATATTACTTGAAGGTAGATTGTGTGTTCAAAATGTATATAATGAACCATAAAGCAACCATTAAGAAGAAAGCAGGAGGGAATGAATTGTTAATATGCCAACCAAGGGGATAAAATGGAATCAGTTAATACAAAACAAGGCATAAAATGAGTAAAAACAAAGAACAGATGGGATAAGTAGGAAACAAAGAATAATATGGTCAATTTCAATTCAAACACATCTATATTTACATTATCAGCAGTCACATTAATGTAAAAGGAGTAAATGTTTCAGTTAAAAGACAGATTATCAGATTTAAAAAAAGAGGTAACTGCTGCCTACAAGAAACCTATTTTATTTTATTATTATTTATTTAGAGACAGAATTTTACTCTTGTTGCACAGGCTGGAGTGCAATGGTGCAATCTGGGCTCACTGCAACCTCTGCCTCCTGGGTTCAAGCGATTCTCCTGCCTCAGCCTCCCGAGTAGCTGGGATTACAGGCGCCTGCCACCACACCTAGCAAATTTCTGTATTTTTAGTAGAGAAGGGGTTTCACCATGTTGGCCGCCAGGCTTTTTTCGAACTCCTGACCTCAGGTGATCCACCCACCTTGGCCTCCCAAGTGCTGGGATTACAGGTGTGAACCTCTGTGCCTGGCCAAGAAACCCATTTTAAATATAAAGACCATATAGGTTCAAAGTAAAAAGATGAAAAAATATAAATGTTGGTAACACTGATTGTAAGAAAAATAGAGTGGCTATATTTGTATTGACAAAGTAGATTTTAGAGAAAACAGTATAATCAGTGATAAAGAAGGTCATTTTATAATGATAAAGCAATCCATACATCAAGAAGATATAACAATCCTAAATGTTTATGCACCTAAATAGAACTTCAGTATAAATAAATCAAAAGCTGGTAGAACTGCAAGCAGAAATAGACAGATCCACAATTATAGCAAAACATTTCAATGTCTTTCTCTCAATCTTTGAAAAAATGTGTAGACAAAATTATTAAAAATATAGAAGACTTGACTAGCACTCTTAGCCAACTGGACCTCAGTTTATAGAATAATGCACTCTGCAATAGCAAAATACACATTCTTTTCAAGTACATATGGAACATTGATATGGTTAGGCTTTGTGTCCCCACCCAAATTTCATCTTGAATTGTAATCCCCATAATACCCACATGTCAAAGGAGAGATCAGATGGAGGTAATTGAATCATGGGGGCAGTTTCCCCGATGCCATTCTCATGATGGTGAGTGAGTTCTCATGAGACCTGATGGTTTTATAAGGGGCTCATCCCCCTTCGCTCAGCACTTCTCCTTCCTGCCACCTTGTGAAGAAGGTGCTTTGCTTCCCCTTCTACCATGATTGTGAGTTTCCTTAGTCCTCCCCTGCTATGCTGAACTGTTAGTCAATTAAAGCCCTTTCCTTAATAAATTACCCAGTCTCAGGCAGTTTTTTATAGCAGTATGAAAACTAATACAAACATTAACCAAGATAGACTGTATTTTACACTATAAAACAAGTATAGTAAGTTTATTTTGTTTTTAATTCAGCACTGTAAGACAAGGCGAGAACAAAATATTTTAAAAATTAATTCCTACAAAGAACATTCTCTGACCACAATGGGATTAAACCAGAGACCAATAAAAGAAAGATAGCTGGAAAATCTTCAAATACGTGTCAATTAAATTACATACTTCCAAAATAGCTATGTGTGATAGAAGAAATAAAAAGGAAATTAGAAAGTACTATGAACGGATGAAAAGTTAAAACACAATATACCAGAATTTATGGGATGCAGTTAAGCAGTGTTTAGAAAGAAGAGAATCTCAAAATTAGTAAAAGATGGACCTAGTGCGTTGGCTCACGCCTGTAATCCCAACACTGGGAGGCTGAGGTGGGCAGAGCACTTGAGTGCAAGAGTCTGAGACCAGCCTGGGCAACATGGTGAAACTCTGTCTTTAAAAAAGAAAAAATATATGTTAGTAAAAGAAGCAATAAGCAATAACAATGAAAAAAATAAATGAAACAAAAATAACAGAAAATCAGTGAGCCTGAGGAACATGGCGAAACCCTGTCTCTACAAAAAGTACAAAAGTCAGCTGGGCATAATGGCATATGCCTGTAGTCCCAGCTACTTGGGAGGCTGGGCTGGGAGAATCACTTCAGCCTGGGAGGCAGAGGTTGCAGTGAGCCGAGATCGCATCAGTATACTGCAGCCTGGGTGACAGAGTGAGACCCTTTATCCAAAAAAAAAAAAAAAAAAAAAAGAAAAGAAAAAAGAAAAAGAAGATCAGTGAATATAAAACCTTTAAGAAGCTTAATAAAATTGGTAGTTCTCTAACCAAACTGATCAAGAAAAGATAGAAGACTCAAGTTACCAATATCAGGAATGAAAGAGGTGACATCATTACAGATTCTATAGATATTAAAAGGATAATAAGAATGTATGTTCTTTTTTTTTTTTTGAGACAGAGTCTTGCTCTGTCTCCTGGGCTGGAGTGCAGTGGTGCTGTTTCGGCTCACTGCAACTTCTGCCTCCCATGTTCAAGCAATTCTCCCACCTCCTACTCAAGCCTCTTGAGTAGCTGGGATTACAGGCGCATGCCACTATGCCCATCTCTACAAAAAAAAATTTTTTTTAATTAGCCGAGCATGCTGGTATGTAGCTGTAGTCCTAGCCACTCAGGAGGCTGAGGCAGAAAGATCACCTGAGCCCAGGAGTTTGATGTTACACAGAGCCATGATTGTGGTACTGCACAGTGTGGGCTATGGACCAGGACCCTGTTTCTTAAAGCAAAATATTATCAATTAAATTCATCATAATCATCTTAGTTGGTGGCAGAAACAGCATTTGAGGAACTCCAATATCCCTTTCTGATTTAGAAAAAAAAGATAACTTGGCAAGTTAGGAATAAAAGGAAACTTCCTCAGTTCAATATAGAGGATCTGTAGAAAATAGTGTTTTTTTTTTTTTTGTTTTTGTTTTTTTTTTTTTGAGACAGAGTCTCGCTCTGTGGTCCAGGCTGGAGTGCAGTGGCATGATCTTGGCTCACTGCAAGCTCTGCCTCCCGGGTTCATGCCATTCTCCTGCCTCAGCATCCTGAGTAGCTGGGACTGCAGACACCCGCCACCACGCCCAGCTATTTTTTTTTTGTAGTTTTAGTAGAGACGGGGTTTCACCGTGTTAGCCAGGATGGTCTCGATCTCCTAACCTCATGATCCGCCCGCCTCGGACTCCCACAGTACTGGGATTACAGGCGTGAGCCACTGCGCCTGGCCGCCAATAGTGTTTTAAATGGCACAAATTTGAATGCCTCCCCCTTAAGATCAGGAAAAAGGAAAGGATGTCTGCTTTCACCACTTCTGTTCAAGGTTGTAGCAGTGAGATAAGCAAAATAAATAAAAGGCATCCAGATTGTAACTGTGCTTTTTTACAGAGCAGGATTTATACCAACTGGTTTCACAAATAATTTTAAAGATTCACTACTCAAGATAGTATGAAGGTAGACAAATAGAGTAATGGAAGGACTAATCAATAAATTGACCTATATAACTATTGGCAACTCAGTTTTATTGCAGGTACCAAGGCAATTCAGTAGGAATTTCACCAGTGGTCTTAGAACAATTGATGTAGCCTTTTGCCAAAAATAAAAACAAACATAAAAGAAGACCCAGACCAAATCTCAGCCTTATTTCTTGATTTTGTTAATAGAAATTTTTGCTTGAAATTGATCATAGACTTAAATGTAAGAATTAGAACTATAAAATTTCTAGAAGAAAACATGGGAGAAAATTTTACTGGCCTTCAGTTTGTCAAAGATTTTTTAAGTACAACACAAAAACCACTAACTATAAAAGACGAATCAAATAATTAGGCTTTATTAAAATGGAAACTTTTGCTTTCTGAAAATACTCTCAAGAAAATAAAAAAGTAAGCCAGACTGGGAGAAAATATTTGCAAGTCATATATTTGACAGAAGTCTGGGCACAGCGACTCAGGCTTATAATCCTAACACGTGGGGGCCGAGGTGGAAGCATTGTTTGAGTGCAGGAATTCGAGACCAGCTTGGGCAACATAGCGACCCTGTCTCTACAAAAAATAGAAAAAAACTAGCCGGGCATGGTGGCGGGCACCTGTAGTCCCAGCTATTCAGGAGGCTTGAGGAGGGAGGATCATTTGACCCCAGAAGGTTGAGACTGTAGCAAGCTGTGATGGTGCCACTGCACTCCAGCCTGGGCAACAGCAAGACTGTCTCAAATATATATATCTATATATATCTACATATATTATATATCTACATAAATATATATATCTACATATATATGTAGATATATATAGATATCTGACAGAGGATTTATGTTAAGAATATGTAAAGGACTTAACCCAATTAAAATTGAACACAGGATTTGAATAGTTACTTTGGCAAAGAAGATATGCGGATCACAAACTTGCGAGAAGATGATTAGTCATTAGGGGAATGCAACTTAAAACCATAAGGAGATACCACTACATATGCACTAGAATGGCTAAAAGTGTTGACTGGGGGCCAGGCGCGGTGGCTTATTCCTGTAATTCCAGCACTTCGGGAGGCCGAGGTAGGTGGACCATCTGAGGTGGGCAGTTAGAGACCAGCCTGGCCAACATGGTGAAACCCCATCTCTACTAAAAATACAAAAATTAGCCAGGCGTGGTGGCGGTTGCCTGTAATCCCAACTACTTGGGAGGCTGAGGCAGGAGAATTGCTTGAACCTGGGAGGTGGAGGTTGCAGTGAGCCGAGATCATGGCATTGCACTCCAGCTGGGCAACAAGAGCGAAACTCCGTCTCAAAAAAAAAAAAAAAAATGTTGACAGGGATGTGGAGCATCGGGAACTCTCTGCACTGGTGCTGGGGATGTAAAATGGTACAAACCAGCCATTCCAATCCTAGGTATTTACCCGAGAGGAATCAAAACATTTGTCTATACCAAGACTTGTACACCAGTGTTCTCCATCAAAATAGAAAAAAAAAAAGACTGTAAAGAATTCAAGTGTCCATTAGCAGATCAATGGTTAAACTGTGGTATATTCATACAATGTAATACTACTCAGCAACAAAAAATAATGAACTCTTGCAACAACATGGATGAAAGTGACAGAAACCAGATCAGCAGTTGCCTGAGCGCGGGAGGAACTCTGGAGGGATATAGGGGGAGGGAGAAATCACAATGGGACATGAGGAAACGGCAGTGATCAATATACTTATTTTCTGGTGATGGTTTCATGTGTGTAGATACATCATATCTTATTTTATACTTTATGTAGTTTACTGTATGTCTTTTATACATTAATAAATCTGTAAAAAAAAGTGGAAGATTTTTAAAAGGTGGACGTTTCTATCATAGAAAGCATTTTGCAAAAACAATTCATGGCACTAGAAAAATACTTCACAAAACAGTGACTTTTTGGCTCTGAAAAAAATGACAAGGTCTTACTGTGAAAATAAATGTTTAAACCATTCAGGATGTAAAACAACCCCAACAAAGGCACACAAAGTATATTGCTTCAGTTTTCTTAAAGTTTTACTTATAATGGACCACCCCCACCCCCCATTTTTTTTAACAGTGGTCAAATGAGCCAATATATATACTTTTTTTTTTTTGAGACAGACTCTTGCTCTGTCACCTAGGCTGGAGTGCAGTGGCACAATCTCAGCTCAGTGCAACCTCTGCCTCCCGGGTTCAAGTGATTGTCCTCCCTCAGTCTCCCGGGTTCAAGTGATTGTCCTCCCTCAGTCTCCCGAGTAGCTAGGACTATGGGCGCCTGCCACCACGCCTGAATAATTTTTGTATTTTTAGTAGAGACGGGGTTTCGCCATCTTGGCCAGGCTGGTCTCGAGCTCCTGACCTCAAGTAATCCACCCACTTCAGCCTCCCAAAGTGCTAGGATTACAGGCATGAGCCACTGTGTCCAGCCCAATATGTACTTTCTCAAATAATGTTTTACTTTTTGGTTAAGATGTTAGTTTTGGCTTTCTGATGTAAAATTGTAAATACTTTAAAAACCAATGTATGTATATATATAAATATATCAACCAAATTATATATTATATAAATATATATTATATTTATTTTATATTTTATTACATATTATATTTATTATATATAATATATTTATATAATATATATATTTTAAAGACAAGGTCTTATTCCATCTCCCAGGCTCTGGAGTGCAGTGGCACAATCATAGTGCACTGCAGCCTTGACTTCCTGGGCTCAAGCAGACTTCTCACCTCAACTTCCTGATTAGCTGGGACTACAGGTGCCTGCCACCACTCCCAGCTAATTTTTTTATGGAGACGGGGTTTCACTATGTTGCTCAGGCTGGTCTTGAACTCCTGAGCTCAAGCAGTCTTCCCACCTTGGCCTTTTAAAGTGCTGAGATTACAGGCATAAGCCACTGCACCTGGCCCAGATACATTTTTAATTATAGCAATTACAGTAGACCTATCACTATAATACTCAGCTTTTTTTATTGGAAAAAATGTCTATCAAGATAAATATTATCTGTCTAAATAGTTTGCTAGGTAGGCTAGGCCCCCTGAGATAGGTAAACTATGTGAAAGAAGAGATGAAAAAGATAAAAGGCAAAGTGACGAGCCAATTAAAGTAGAAATAATTTTGTAAGAATAAATTCGGCTATAGGAGAAATTAATTTTAAACCACCACTTCTTCATGTTTGGAATGTGATTTAAAGAAATGGGAATAGGCTCTTGTTATTGAGTGATTTCACCATCCTTTATTCTCATGGTTATGGTCAAATAAATCTACTACAGTTATCTGACAAATCTGATGTCTGTGCATATTTATTTATTTGTTTTTTTTTTTCTGGAGGTCCATTGCTTTCATCATATTTTTAAGGTAGCTTTATATGACATGAAAAGATTGAACTAGCTTACTTACGGAGATGACAATTAAAATCCTGAATTCATGAATGTGAAGAATACATTTGTTAGAAAATAAGCTGACCTTGGGGAATGACTTATTTTATTATTTTAGATTTATGGTCACAAAATATAAGCATCTATTTGTGGTTGCGGAAGTGCAGGTCTCAGGCCTTGGCTACCAATGTTTCAAATCTAGGGCTGCGGTAGTAGACAGAAATCTAAGTGATACTAATATACGTGGTCCTTGGACTACATTTTTAGAGGTTTTGCTTTATATGGTTTTTGGACTACATTTTTATAGATTTTGCTTTAAGCAATTTGGCGCAGAGAACATTTTCTTGATACCTCTAGCATCTAGCATAGTGGCTTATAACGGACATTAGATGCTCTTTTTTGCCCCCTCTTTAAAAAAACAATTTTACTATGTGAAATAAGAACTGTCATTTTGGTGTGGGAGAGGAGCCTTGAGTATGTAATCAAGATCCAGAGGCCATCCGGGCGCGGTGGTTCATGCCTGTAATCCCAGCACTTTGGGAGGCCGAGGTGGGTGGATCACGAGGTCAGGAGTTTGAGACCAGCCTGGCCAATATGGGGAAACCTGTCTCTATTAAAAATACAAAAATTAGCCGGGCATGGTGGCACACGTCTGTAGTCCGAGGTACTTGGGAGGCTGAGGCAGAAGAATCAATTGAACCTGGGAGGCGGAGGTATCAGTGAGCCGAGATCATGCCACTGCACTCCAGCCTGGGTGACAGAGTGAGACCCTGTCTCAAAAAATAAATAAATAAAATAAAATAATCCAGAGGCTCTAGTTTGATTCTTTAGCATTGTGCTGTAATTTTCTACAAGTGGTCCCATGCCTGGTTTTTAAATAGACTAGTATAGATCACCTTACCTACTATGTGCCAAGTGCGTAAGTAAAAGAGAAAGTATATGAATATGTTTTCAAATCACTCTCTGTTGTTATGTTTCTGTCTCAGCTTGAAATGTTTGCTTTTACGTCTATTTTTCCTCCTGGATCATGTAAAAATGCCTTAAGCCTGTAGGGAATTAGAGTAACATTTCTAAAGTAAAAGTTACAACTGACCCAGCTTTAAACTGGCAGACATGAGTTACTTTGGTATTGTCAGTGTTTATTAGAGAATAGGGCAACTGGAATTCCTCTGAGTTGAGAATTTTGAGAATTGGCAGGAAGAGCAAAAATATTCCTTATGTTGTAGAACAAGGAAGTCTGTTAAAAAGGAGGGTGCACCTGGGTGATTGTCTAGGTATATATTACCTCATTCATCTCCATATTCCCCAGGGCCCACTTAGTACACAGCCATGTCCTAAGGATGTGTCTGATCTGGTACACCCAGGGAGAGGACAGACAATAGGGACATTGAAGTTCATTCAGAGCAAGACCAGAGGGATTTAATTCATACTGGGATCTTTAGGGTTTTCCAAGGACAGGCTGATCTGACTGTTGGGCTCCAGGACAATTCAGAACTCTTGGGAATTTTTCTGACTAGGGAATAAAGAGCCAGTATCTACTGATGTATCCATACTCTTCTGTTAAAGATCCCTTCTGGCCTTTGTCCAGTCTGTCTGGTGATTTGCTCTGGGGCTTTCTGTAGGATGTATATGGAGTTGGAGAATTGAAGGGCCAGCCCTTATGTACCCCTGTTCCCTTTTCTTCCAGTCTCTGGTTCTTCATAGAGCTGCATAAATGTGACAGGTTAACAAGTATTCTTGAAGCCACTCTCTGATGGACTGAATAAAATGCCTACTTCTTTGCATTTGTGTGTGTGTGTGTGTGTGTGTGTGTGTGTGTGTGTAGATCAGATCCCTTTTTAGCATTAGTTTATTATGTCAAGGAAATTGGAGTTTGGAAACCCAGTTGCCTATTGTCCATTGTTTTTAGTCCTTCACTTGCTTTTCATTTTTATTATTCTTTGTCTTTTCTTCTCTCTTACTTCTTCCCCACAGGAAGAGAGTCTGTCATATAGTAAGGAGCTCTTAGACTGGAAACCCCGGCATCTTCCTCTCTAGATATAAATGAACTTGTGCAGAATGGGACATGTGAATCACTGTGTCTGATCCATCATTGGCAGCCCTTGGCCTGTCACATCTCACATGTTTTAAATAATCTTCTGGGCTTCCTACTCATTTGTGGGAAAACTAACATGTGGTAGACAAACAATATGGTACCTTTCCAGTGAGAGCTCTAACAGTGTAGCTGTTTGCTGGGCACCTGGTTCAAGTAGCTGAATCACTGTTATACTTCATCCTGGCCCAGCCTCAGCAAAATTTTGTAGTGTGAAGTATTTATTTTATAAAACATTTTGATATGGGAGAAAGAAGAAGTGAAATTCGAACCTGTGGCTTATTTCCTAACATCTGTGCCCAAAGTATGTATTGGGAACGTTCAGATACTCTTTGGAGTTTCTTGTTATTTATTTTTAGAGCTGTTGTTCTTCCTGTTCCCTAATAGGTTTTAGACATGTATCAAAACCACTTGGTATTTATGTTGGTTTTTAATATTAATAAGAATATAATTTATCTTGAACCTATTTCTTTTGCTAGCCCTTGGCAACTAGTCCAACTTCTAAATAAATATGTTATTCCTGACTGGGGTCCTACTATAGTACATATATCTCTTATTAACTTATCTCTGGGCAGAGGCTTTGGTACTCTGAAATTATCTGTTCAGTATCTAGAAATGGGGAAATACTTTTCTGGTTGCTTATATGACTGTCACTATGTTCATGTCAATCACAGTAGTTCTCCCATTAAGTTGATAAGACTTGCCTAACTAATTCTGCCAAATTCGTTTCCATTTGGGAAGTGAAGACTCTTCAGACCTTTCTCAGTTCTCTTTCTGCCTTTCAGCCTCATTGCTTATTTCTCTGTCTCTGTGCTCCTTACCATGAGTCATAAGCATTGTAGGACCCATTCTTCATGGATTGCTGGGATAGTATTTCTAATAGGAAATAATAGTGTTTTTTTAAGAAAAATATTTCTTTTCTAATGTTTCCTTTACAGTAAATATACATTGAATATCTGTAGGAGGAAAAACTCTGCAGTTAATTTTATTAAACTGATTAGTTTTATTAAATGTAAGATGTTGGATGTTATTTTCCTATCTCAGGCTATAATACTTTCTTCTTAGTGTATTTAAATCTAACCATTCATAAACATCATGAAGTCGTTTCAAATGTAAAATTAACTTGTGAAAGATAGGCAAGAAAATAAAACTCCAACCCAGGCGTGGTGGCTCACGCCTGTAATCCCAGCACTTTGGGAGGCTGAGGCGGGCGGATCACCTGAGGTCGGGAATTTGAGACCAGCCTGACCAACATGGTGAAACCCCGTCTCTACTAAAAATACAAAAAATTTAGTCGTGTGGTGGCCGGCACCTGTAGTCCCAGCTACATGGGAGGCTGAGGCAGGAGAATTGCTTGAACCTGGGAGGCAGAGGTTGCAATTAGTCGAGATTGCGCCACTGCACTCCAGCCTGGGTGACAGAGCGAAACTCCATCTCAAAAAAAAAGAAAAGAAACCTCTAGTTAAAACAAAGAGTTAAAATGGTGTTTTCCTATGATTTTATGGAAAAGGCTCTTCACTTATTGTTACGTGTACATGTGGAGATGTAGTTCTTACCATAATTCCATTATGACAGTTGTCATCTCAATTATAAATTAGATTGAATTTATAATTTTCCCTTGAATTATTCCCTTGTTGTCCAATTCATATATCTGCTATGTAGATGAGTAGGAAAAGGGTCCATTTTAAAAGAATAACATGTTTGCTTCTGTTTATTTCAGGAAAACCTCACAGCACGGGTAGCTCTGAACGGATTCAGCTCTCAGGAATGTATAATGTCCGTAAAGGCAAGATGCAGTTGCCAGTGAACCGATGGACAAGACGCCAAGTCATCCTATGTGGGACCTGCCTGATAGTATCATCTGTGAAAGACAGCTTGACCGGAAAGATGCATGTTCTGCCACTAATTGGTGGAAAAGTAAGTTTGTTTGTTTGTTTGTTTATTGAGTCAGAGTCTCACTCTGTCACCCAGGCTCAAGTGTAGTGGCGTGGTCTCAACTCACTGCAACCTCTGCCTCCTGAGTTCAAGCGATTCTCCTGCCTCAGCCAGGATTACAGGCGTGCACCACCACACCTGGCTAATTTTTGTATTTTTAGTAGAGATGGGGTTTCACCATGTTGGCCAGGCTGGTCTTGAACTCCTGACCTCAAGTGATCTGCCCACCTCGGCCTCCCAAAGTGCTGGGATTACAGGTGTGAGCCACCATGCCAGGCCGAAAAGTAAGTTTAAAACAAACAAAATACTAACAGGTTTCCCACCATCAGTAAGGACCTTACTTTGAGCCATTTCTGTGATATGGGGTAGATGATTTTTTACTCATCTGAGGTCTTATTCAGTTCCTGTTGTGGGTGTTGTCGGTTGGTGGAGCTGTGGGGAAAAAACAGTGCCATTGGCTCATGTGAGGCCTTGATGATTATTGTTTCATTAGTTATGTGCATTTTACCTACTGGACAGAAAATAGGTAGAATTTTATTGTCATATGTCAGAGTTTAGATGATAAATTCGTTACTTATGAGTTGATATCTTAAGCATACATTTTCTAGTAGAGTATACTCATCCTTAATTTCGTGAATTTAGAAACATTGACACATGCGGAGGGTTTGAGTCTATAGTGCTTAAGTCTTTGACCACATTTTCCCCTATCTGTGTTTAGTGATCAGTGGGGTTAGCATTTTTAGTTTATTAAGTGCCTAGTTATAAATTTTGAATCTTAAATGTTTCTCATTTCGGAGAAAATGTGATGCAACGGATATATTTTTGACATTACTGATTTCTTTGCTTTGGGTATGTTAACTATTTTATTGCTATTATTTATAAAATAGAACCAGATTACTTGGGGAAATGTTACATTATTTTCTTTGTCAGAGTTATTTATAAAGTCCCAAGCATTGGTAAGGGTAGCATCACCATACTTATAGGTCAGTATTTCTTGATTTTTAAGTGATATGTTAATAAATGGAAATTAGGATTTGGATGAGAAAATGGGTCATTGGGGGCACATTGAGCAAATATTTTCTTTTTCTTTTTCTTTTTTTTTTTTTGAGATGGAGTCTTGCTCTGTTTCCCAGGCTGGAGTGTGGTGGTGCAATCCCAGCTCACTGCAACCTCTGCCTCCCGGGTTCAAGTGATTCTCCTGCCTCAGCCTCCCAAGTAGCTGGGACTACAGGCGCATGACACCATATCCAGCTAATTTTTTGTATTTTTAGTAGAGACAGGGTTTCACCATGTTAGCCAGGATGGTCTTGATCTCCTGACCTCGTGATTCACCCACTTTGGCCTCCCAGAGTGCTGAGATTACAGGCATGAGCCACTGTGCCTGGCCTAAGTAAACCATTTGTTAATTGGTTGTCTAAATGTCTGATCTGTTTCAAGGGTTGTAAGTGAAGGAAGTAAGACCACATGTGTATGGTAATAAATGGTTTTGTTGCTCACTGCTGTGTAGCAAGCACATTCTTGTAGTCTTTCCTTATGAATAAATAGCCTATGTTAGTTTTTTCCTCTCTATTCTAGTTTCAAGAAGGCTAATACTTGATCATTTTCAAAAATAGGTTTTGGTCAGGCTGTGCAAGATGCGTTTAGATT
The DNA here is from genome assembly GCF_000001405.40 of Homo sapiens. NCBI lineage: Eukaryota > Metazoa > Chordata > Mammalia > Primates > Hominidae > Homo > Homo sapiens. The sequence goes on from NC_000018.10 coordinate 62,831,897, forward strand.
GATTTTAGTCGTTCATTTTGAAACCAATGCTGCTTAACTTTTGTCGGAGCATTGAAGAGTTAGTGACTGATATACTAAGATTTTGCCCTGTGGATGGATGGATTACTGAAAAAATACTCATCTGTATTACCACTATAGGTTATTAAAAATGCATATTTAATGTTTGATACTTTGTTAGGTCAACAGTCTCTCTCTTTGTGATGCTGGGTGTTTGCATAGGCAAATCTAATATAACTATTCAGTATCCTCTTTGGGGAAGGCACTGTGCTTGGCACCCCAGAAATACTAACATAGCTAAATAACCCTGCCTGCCTTTGAAGAGCTTATGATTTTGTATCAGAAGATGAAGTAGGCACAATGATATCTGTTGTAAGAAAGATGCAGGAAGGTACTGTGGGGGATTAATGGAAGGAGAGATTACATTTTTTCGGGTAAGAGGGAATTTTGTAATGAAAGGTAGCAATTATGATAGAATTTGAAGGATGAAAAGTCTTTTGACATGTGAAGGAGATGGTCAGAAAGATTATTATGCTTATAGAGGCAGAGGCAGGAAAGCACATGGAATGTTCAGATAAGGTCAGCAGATCCGGTTATAATTAGCATTTTCATTCAGTACTAGAGTCTTGTCCTGTTTCCCAGGTCTGTTACTGGATGGTCTTCTACCACTGAGTGAATTGAAAGTTAATAGCTTCCTCTTTTCACAAGCAAAACTTGTAAAACCTGTTTTATACTATGCCTTTAAAAAATAATTGACTACATTGAAAAATTGAGTCTTTAATATCTGTTGACTGAGTTAGGGAAAAATAATTGATTTCTTGCAATTTGAGCTTTCATTAATTTTTGTCTGTTGTTGTTTTTTTTTATCCTGTTCTATTGTTAAAGAAAAAACTGAGAGTATGAATGAAAGGAGTTTTATTTTTTCTTTTTAATTTAGATATAGAAGAGCTATAGATTTAGAAATAAGGTGTGAGATAGATTGGTCATAACCTAGTTAGAATTGCTGTGGTTTCATACCACGTGAGCATGGTCATTACTTTACATATATGGCTTTGCTGTTAAATAAAACTCTCAAAATTTAGTTATTGAAAGAGTATTTAATAGATACATTTATATTATGCAGTTTTAATGTTGTATTTAACTTGTCCTATAGAATTTAACATAGATTTTTAAATAATGTATTATTATTATTTTTTTAAAAAGACAGTCTTGCTTTGTCATCCAGGCTGGAGTGCAGTGGTGCGATCTTGGGTCACTGCACTCTCTGCCTCCCGGGTTCAAGCGATTCTCCTGCCTCAGCCTCCTGAGTAGCTGGGACTGCAGGTGCACACCACCATGCCCGGCCAATTTTTGTACTTTTAGTAGAGACAGGGTTTCACCGTGTTGGCCAGGCTGGTCTTGAACTCCTGATCTCAAGTGATCCGCCTGCTTCGGCCTCCCATAGTGCTGGGATTACAGGCGTGAGCCACCACGCCTGGCCAGATAATACTGTATTTTAATTAATATTTGTTAAATTATGAAGTATAATAAATTGAAGAATTGTCAGCCACTACTGAATTTAGGAACTGTGGGGATATCAATACCAGAGTTTCTTCTACCTGTGTTCTCTTTACATATATCTCATTGCCTCCCCTAGCCCTAGAAGGATTCACTGTCCTAGAATGTATATTCCTCATTTTTTCCTTTTTTGAAATAAGTTTTACCGTGTATCTATATTTTGCTTGTTTTTGATGTGTATAAAAGTGATAAATTGCTGTGGTCTTCTGTAATTGAATTTATTCACCTAATACAATGTTTCATAATAAGATTACATGTTACTTATGTGGTTTTCATTTCTCTATAATGTCTACTGTAAACATTCCACAATTTTCATAATTCCTTAAGTAATTTTCCTGCTGATGGACATTTGGGTTGCTTTCAGTTTGTTGTTGTTATAATAACAACAGTGCTGCTGCTATAGTCTCATGTTGATATGCCTCCTGGTATGCAAGTACCTTTTCTAAGACAGTAGTTTGCGAGTGGAGTTACTATGCTGAAGGGACATTTGGTTATATGTAGGAATGTTTTGATGGTCAGATGATTGAACAGTGAACATTATCAGTTAATATAAGCATAAGTAATGCCCTGGTAACACCCCTCTTTTCCCCCCAATCTTAGTGACTTGTCATAACAGTTATTTCTCACATTGTCTGTTGTGGGTCAGTGGGGTTGGGGGGTGGGCGTTTCTTTTGTCACACAGTTGTTCAGGGACCCAGCCTGATGAAGTCTTGGCTCTTTTATACTTCCCTTTGTTGTTTTGGCAAGGGAAGAGGTAATTGGAGCATCATTCATGGGCCTTGTATGTTTGGATGCAGAAGTGACACATGCCACTTCTCTCTGTGGCTCATTGGCCAGAACTAGTCACATCGCTCCACCTTAATTGCAAGGGGTCTGAGAAATGTGGAGTAGATAGAGTGATTGGTGAATAACATTATCTTTGCTGCAGGGGACACTCTTGGCATTTAAAGGCAGAGGCGAGAGTTTAAAATATTGTGCAAAGTATTAGAGAGTTCTGCATAGGGGACAATGAAGAACTATTCAATCCACAATTCCTATAATGATCTCCTTGAGAAATACTACTGTTGGGTATACACTTTGGAGCTCGGTTACTGGGCTCTGGGACATACACACATCTACTTTCGCAAGATGATACCAAGTTGTTTTTCAGGGTCGATGTACCATTTTGCATTCACATCAGTGTACAAGTGTTGTTTCTCCACATCTTCACCAACACTTTACTGACGTGTAATTGACAACAATAAACTGCACATTTCAGTTTTATAACTGTACACTCCAGTTAACACAATTTGATAGCTGTATACCCCCATTAAACCATCACGGCAACCAGGATAGTGACCATGTTCATTATTCCCAGAAGTTTCCTCGTGTCCCTTTGTTCTCCTTTCCTCCCACCCTTTTATTTTCCTTTCCTCCCACCCTCTCCCACTCCTCTCCATCCCTAAGAAACCTTTTGCTTGATATCTGTCAATTTGTTTACACAGCATTTTTTAAAAAATCGTATTTTCTGTTTGGTTTATAGAAACACAGTTGGTTTTTGAGTATTGATCTTGAGTATTGATTTATCGTCTTGCTAAATGTTCTGGTTTATTCTAATATGATGCCTGTAGGTTTTTTTGTTTACTGTATAGTTAATCATATAATATTCAAATGATGACAGGTTTCTTCCTTTTCTTTGTCTTACTGTTACGGGCAGGAAGATCTAGTACAGTGTTGAATAGAAACAGTAGATACTTATCAATGATCCTTTTTTTTTTCCTTTTTTTTTTTGAGACAGAGTCTGTCTCTTGTCACGCAGGCTGGAGTGCAGTGGTGCATTCTTGGTTCACTGCAACCTCTGTCTCCCGGGTTCAAGCCATTCTCCTGCCTCAGCCTCCCGAGTAGCTGGGACTACAGGCGCATGCCACCACACACAGCTAATTTTTGTATTTTTAGTAGAGACTGGGTTTCATCATGTTGACCAGGCTGGTCTTCTGACCTCAGGTGACCCCCCTGCCTCGGCCTCCTAAAGTGCTGGGATTACAGGTGTGAGCCACCGCACCTGGCTCCTTATCAATGATCTTGAGAATGATATCTCATCATTAACATTGAAGTTTGCTTTAGATGTTTGATAAATACCCTTGGTCAGTTTAAGTGAGTTTTTATTTTCTGAGTTTGCTGAGAATTTTTATTCTTCATTTCAGCCTGAATGAAGTTACTAACAGCTTTTTCTGCAACTGTGGGGTTAATAGTATGGGTGTCTTTAATCCGTTAATGTGATTAATGGTTTTATAGTTCTAATTACGTTAAACTGTCTTTCTTTATCTGAGGTAAATTCAACTGGTTCTTTTTTTTTTTTTTTTTTTTTTGAGGCGGAGTCTTGCTGTGTTGCCCAGGCTGGAGCACACTGGCACAATATCAGCTCACTGCATCCTCCACCTCCCGGGTTCAAGCGATTCTCCTGCCTCAGCCTCCTGAGTACCTGGGATTACAGGCATGCACCACCACGCCCGACTAATTTTTGTATTTTTAGTAGAAGTGGGGTTTCACCATGTTGGCCAGGCTGGTCTCAAACTCCTGACCTCAAATGATTCGCCTGCCTCAGCCTTCCAAAGTATTGGGATTATAGGGGTGAGCCACCGTGCCCGGCCTTGTTCTTGATACATATATATATTTTTAAATTACTGGGTTTTCTAAAATAAATAAATAAATTAATTAATTAAAAGGCTGGGAATGGTGGCTGATGTCTGTAATCCCAGCACTTGAGAGGCTGAGGCGGGTTGATCACGAGGTCAGGAGTTCAAGACCAGACTGGCCAAGATGGTGAAACCCTGTCTTTACTAAAAATACAAAAATTGGTGGCGCAGTGGCAGGCGCCTGTAATCCCAGTTACTTGGGAGGCTGAGGCAGGAGAATCGCTTGAACCTGGGAGGCAGAGGTTGCAGTGAGCTGAGATCGTGCCACTGCACTGCAGCCTGGGCAACAGAGCGAGACTCCATCTAAAAATAAATAAATAAATAAATAAATAAATAAATAAATAAATAAATAAATAAATAAAAATAAATTACTGGATTTTGATGCAACATTTTGTTCAAGATAAATCTTTGTGACCATGGTTACCTGTAAGTTTCCTTTCTGTTACTGTTCTCATGTGGGTCTTGGTTATACTATCCTCATAGAATGGGTTGGGGTGTTTTCCTTCATTTTTTTGTTTGCTGGATGAGTTTGCATGAGTTTGGATTGATCTATTTTTTGAAACTTTGGTAAAAGTTACCTGTAAAGCTATATGGGCCTGATTTTTTTTGAGACATTAAAAAAAAAAAAAACTTCTATATTTTAAATGGCTATATAGGGGCCAGGCGTGGCTCATGCCTATAATCCCAGCACTTTGGGAGGCCAAGGCTGTAATCCCATCTACTCAAGAGGTTGAGATAGGAGAATCGCTTGCAATCGGAAGGCGGAGTTTGCAGTGAGCTAAGATTGCACCACTGCACTCCAGCCTGGGCAAGGAGTGAAATTCCGTCTCAAAAACAAAGTTATAGGACTATTCAATTTTTGTTTTGTTTTGTTAACACTGGATTTTACTCCATTGTACAGGTTGGAGTGCAGTGGTATAGTTACTCCACACTATAGCCTTGACCTCCCCAGGCTTGGGCGATTTCCCCACTTTAGACTTCTGAGTAGCTATAGGACTACAAGGTGTGCGCTGCCACACCCAGCTAACTTTTGTTTTTCTGTTTTTTGTAGAGATAAGGTTTTGCCATGTTGCACAGGTTGATCTCCAACTCCTGGGCTCAAGCGATCTGTCCCTCTAGGTCTCCCGAAGTGCTGGGATTACAAGTGTGAGCCTGCACCTGGCTGATAGGACTATTTAGGCTTTTGGTTTTTCTTTATTTAGTAGTATTGGTAAAACATATTTTTTCTAAGAATTTGTCACAAAATTGTTCATAATATTCTCTTCTTAATCTCTGGCGAATCTGTAGCTGTGTCTCCCTTTTTATTGTTAATTGTTAATATTATTTATAAGTGTCTCTGCTCTCTTTTTCTTGCCAGAGGATGTATCCATTTTTCTTGCCAGAGTATTTATCAATTGTACTAGTTTTCTTGAAGAATCAGTATTTTGCTTTGTTAATGTTTTCTCTTACATATTTGGTTTTCATTTCACCAATTGCTAGTTTTTATCATAGCCTTCTTTCAATTTTGGATTTATTCAATTTGGAGGTTTGATTTTATTTTTTTCCTTCCAAGTTTTTTTTTTTTTTGGAGACAGAGTCTTGCTCTGTCACCCAGGCTGGATCTCAGCTCACTGCAACCTCTGCCTCCTGGGTTTAAGCGATCCTCCCACCTCAGCCTCCCCAGTAGCTGGGACTACAGGCACCCACCACCGCTCCTAGCTGTAAGGTTTTTTTTGTATTTTTAGTAGAGAGGGGTTTTACCATGTTGACCAGGCTGGTCTCGAACTCCTGACCTCAGGTGATCCACCTGCCTCGGCCTCCCAAAGTGGTGGGATTACAGGCGTGAGCCACCACGCCCAGGCTTCCTTCCAAGTTCTTAAGGTGCATGCCGAGCAAATTAATGTTCTACCTTCTTTTCCAATATGACTATCAAAAGATACACGAGTTCAATTGAAAAAAATATATATATATATAAATTTCCCTTTGTATATCTTCTTTTATTGCAACATACAGATTTTGATATGTAGTTTTTCTAGAATTATTTAGTTCTAAGCGTTTTAAGATTTTGGTTGTAATTTCTCCTTGCACCTGTGAGTTGTTTAGAAGTTTGTTATTAAGTTTCCAAACATAGAAGTTTGTATAATGTTACTTTTGGTGTGTATTTTTCCCCTTGTGAAGAACTTACAAGGAGTGGAAATTTGATTTGACTGTATTTCACTGCATCATTAGGACTTGAAAGTTCTCATGGTAGGGTTTTATTACAGGTTAATTTCAGTTTAACAGTAATGTTTTCAATACTTATTTAATATGCTTGAAGACTTCTTAAGTAAAAATTCCTAAGTAAAATCTTAAGTAAAAATTCTAAGAGGAAGTAAGAACCCCAGCACCCTATTGTGAGGTTAGAAGAATAAGAAAGGGAGTCTGGACTAATTTTAAACAGAAAGAGGAGAATTTCACTGTGGTGGGGAAATATAGTAAAGATAAAACTCCCCCTTTTTTGGTTTCTTTGTAATTCAAATTGGGTGATCATATGCAGGAACTTAGTTCTCATTAATGAGTAACATATATAGGGAAACATGCAAATCCATGCAGGCTCCTTGATCAGAGGCATAGTTAGTGAAATACATCAGTGGTTCTGCTGTCTGACTTGTTTCTGCTTCTCTCTGTTTGCTTTTATAGGTAGAAGAAGTGAAAAAGCACCAACACTGTTTAGCATTTAGCTCCTCTGGACCCCAAAGCCAGACTTACTACATTTGCTTTGATACTTTCACAGAATACTTAAGGTGGCTGCGACAAGTCTCCAAGGTAAGCAAGCACTTAATCCAGGAATCCACTCAGCTTCTAGCTGGCTACAAAGTTCCTTTCTGCTTTAGCTGGGTCTAAAATATGGTTAGTTACACACACTTTTTTTTTCCTCCCCAGATACTGCCAGTGATTAGCAATTTTTAGTTTTTTAAAAACTAATTTTGCCTGAAAAGTGGCTTTTTAAAAATTGTTTTTTACTTGCCCAGTTTATACTTAAAAATAAATTGGTCTGTAAACAGGCATTACTATCTTAATGTTGTAGATAAAAAACATGAGATTGGGAATATTTGAGGGACTGACCCAGGCTAAGACAACTATAAAACCACAAAATACCCAGAGAATTGTTACAAATTTCCCTTCTTTCTCTGACTGTTTTTTCATATAAATAGTCTAATATTATACCATCTCCCCTTCACCTTTATTCTGCCTTTTCAGTGATTTAATTTTTTATCTTATTTTGGCCATTTTATATTCCTCTGATTTAATAAGATCACCATGTCCCATGAAATAATATATAGTACTTTTGGCCAGGCACACTGGCTCACTCCTGTAATCCCAGCACTTTGGAAGGCTGAGACAGGCAGATCACTTGAGTTCAGGAGTTTGAGACCAGCCTGGCCAAAATGGTGAAACCCCATCTCTACTAAAAATACAAAAAAATTAGCCAGGCATGATGGTACGCACCTGTAGTCCCAGATACTTGGGAGGCTGAGGCACGAAAATTGCGAACTGGGAAGGTGGAGGTTGCAATGAGCCGAGATTGCACCATTACACTACAGCCTTGGTGACAGAGTGAGACTCTGACTTAAAAAAAAAATATATATATATGTATATATATAATATAATATATAATTATATATAATATATATTTTATAATATATATATATAATATCTAGTGCTTTTGTGTTTAATGTAAACCAGAATCACATTATAAATAAGACAAATAAATGCTGATATTTCAGGTAACCTGTGTAAGAATGTTTTTATATCTCATTTAGAGAATTAAGTGTAAAATAATGGGGTGGATTGCAGTCCTTAGTGCCTTGGTTTGGGTGTTGTTTTTGAAATGACAAAATCTCTCTAGGGTGCCAGGAGCATTACAATGGAATATGCTTTCATATTTTTGAATTGGTAATTTAACTTGTTATCCAAGTTCAGTGTGATTCAGATTGCTGTGTGATGTAATTATTTGTCAAGTGAATGAGTAAGGGAATAACTTTGGAAAACAGTTAAGAGAAAATTTGAGAACAGTATCTAGAAAATCATTTTGAAATACTGGCCACATTTGAATTACCAGGTAAAAACCATTGCCTGATGATGAGATATCATTTAGGAGAGTTGGTTTCTCTTCCTTTTAGAGAAGAAGCAATGGGTAGAGAGTTTCGGTTGATAGGGCTTAGAAAATTCTCTCAACCTAATAGACAAATGGAGGTTCTAAATGTGTAAGGCAGCACTCCTGCAGGGAAAAGTAGGGAAGAGGACCCTTGTCCTTCAGATTCACATGTAGAATTAATGTGATATTAGAAGTATACTTGTCTGGTTTTAAAATTATTCATATGTTTACAAATGTGAGGAGATGAGGAGATATTAAATACCATTGGGCTTTTATATTTATAATTTATCATTTTTATTGTGCTTTTGTATGTATTTATATCAAAGTGGTTTTATGGGTTGAAAGCAGTGAGTCAATTGCCTACGCTCTGCTTTGTTCAGAATAAAATGCCTAACTAGGATCAAAGTGCAGCACATTTCTTTCTGTATAGAGATGTTGATATTTTAAATCAACTTTTAAATTATTAACTTTTTCTTTATTTTGGAATACTTTTATAATTACAGAGAAGTTGCAAAGATAGTACAGAGAGTTCTCAAACATAGTTTCCCAACCCCCTCACTCAGTTTAGCAGATGTATTACCACAATATATCTCTCAAGTATAAGAAACCATCATTAGTACTTAACTCTGAACTAACCTGTGGAATTTATTTTTTTGTTTTTGTTTGAGACAGAGCCTTGCTGTGTCATCCAGGCTGGAGTGCAGTGGCACGATCTTGGGTCACTACAACCTCCACCTCCTGGGTTCAAGCAATTCTCCTACCTCAGTCTCCTGAGTAGCTGAGATTAAAGGCATGTGCACATGCCTGGCTAATTTTTGTATTTTTAGTAGAGATGGGGTTTCACTATGTTGGCCAGGCTGGTTTTGAACTCCTGACCTCAAGTGATCCACCTGCCTTGACCTTTCAAAGTGCTGGGACTATAGGCGTGAGCCACTGCGCCTGGCCTTTATTTGGATTTCACTAGTTTTTCCATTGCCTTTTTTCTGTTTCAAGATCTAATTCAAGATACCACATTGCATTTGATTGTCATGTCTCTTTTGTCTCCTCTAGTGTGTGACAGTTTTTCACTTTTCTGTTTTTCTTTCTCTCTTTTTTTTTTTTTTTTTTTGAGATGGAGTCTCGCTCTGTCGCCCAGGCTGGAGTGTAATGGGACGGTCTTGGCTCACTGCAACCTATGCCTCCTGGGTTCAAGCAATTCTCCCATCTCAGCCTACTGAGTAGCTTTGACTACAGGCACATGCCACCATACCCGGCTAATTTTTTGTGTTTTTAGTAGAGATGGGGTTTCACTATGTTGGCAAGGCTAGTGTCCAACTCCTGACCTCATGATCCACCTGCTTAGGCCTACCAAAGTGCTGGGATTACAGGTGTGAGCCACTGCACCTGGCTTACTTTTCTGTGTTTTTCATGACCTTGACAGTTTTGAGGAATACTGATGAGGTATTCCTCAAAAGTGCTGAAATGCCTTGCAGTTGTATGTAGACAGTAATTCACACACATTTACATATACAGCATACATTTTATACTTACAATAAGTGGAGCTTAGTATTTCTAAGAGGGCAGAGGGACTTTGATTTGATTATCTTAGATTACTGGTATTGACTACAACTAATTAGAATAAGACCTTCTTTCCTTTTAGAAAGGCTTTGATTAGAGAAGCTGTGTAGTGTTGGGGTCAAGAGTTTGAGTTTCAAAGTAAGGCAGGCATGGATTCCACCATTTCCTAGCCATGTGGCTATATCTAAGTTCCAAGTTTTAAACTTTTTCATCTAATAAGGGGAATAATAATAATAATAGTACTTACCTTTTAGGGCTTATTTGAGATATGCATATAATAGATTTATACTGGCACATAGTAAGTGAGTAGAACTAACTAACTCAATAAAATAATTTTATGATGGTCATCCTTGATGGGTCAAATAATATTTTAAAGTATTATCTATTTGTAATGTGTATTTTCAGCATATAAAGACACGGGTCTTAGTTTGTCTGAACAAGTTACCTTTTGCTGCTCTTAACAACCATGGCAGCCTTTTGGGGAAAGGATGGCAGACATTGGGGAAATGATTTCCTCCTGAGAAGTTGGGGTGGGGAACAGAGGGTGTTACATTTTAGTAAATGCAGACTTTTTTTTTTTTTGAGATGGAGTCTTGCTCTGTCGCTGAGCCTGGAGTGCAGTAGTGTGATTTTAGCTCACTGCAACCTCCATCTCCCGGGTTCAAGCAATTCCCACCTCAGCCTCCTGAGTAGCTGGGATTACAGGCGTGCGCCACCATGCCGGGCTAATTTTTTTGTATTTTTAGTAGAAACGGGATTTCACCATGTTGGCCAGGCTGGTCTTGAACTCCTGACCTCAGATGATCCGCCTGCCTCAGCCTCCCAAAGTGCTGGGATTACAGGCGTGAGCCACCGTGCCTGGCCTAGTAAATGCAGATTTTCAATACACTACTTTTCCCTTCTCCAATTTTAAAAACCAGATATATATTTCAAAAATGTTTAGCAGTTACAGTTGGTGAATTAAGGACAAATGAATTGTAAAGGACTGATTAAAAGAGGTTAGATATTATAAAAGAAATGGGTGAAGGAACTCCCTGTTTGGGTTTGAATCCTATGTAAAACATGGCCACACCCTTCTTTAAGCATTATGTGTCGAGGATAATCTTTTGATAATGTCTTTTCCTTTTTAACCTAGCATCTAGGGAGAGTAGACTAGAATCTCGCTCCATTTGGGAATATATGCCTACAGGGAATTTGACATGGATAAGGATGATTGTTACAAGCTCCTTCAGCTTCCAGTTTCCCCCTTCAATTGTCATCTGCTCTTCTTCCTATGTAGGTATTAGGAAGTTATATCATTTAGTAACACTCACTGTTACTATGGAAATGTTTAGTTTCTTTTCTTCATATTGAGAAACAAAACATTCTCAGAATGGATAGTCTTTACATCTTGATGTTTAGATAAGGATTCATTTTGATAAGGACCTAAAAGAAAAACAAACCAACAACAGGAACAAAAGTTTCTGATTATTAGTAACTGTCCCCACTCCAGAGTAGGAGGGCAAAAAAGAAACAAATTTCCATTATTTTTAAATTAAAATGAATTAAGGAAGTAATTTAAAAGGAAAGTTCTTTATTTTCAGTTTATTTTTCTGGATTTTCAGCTACAAGAGAAATGTTATTTTTTGTTCTAATTTGTTTCATTTGATTTTGGGAAAATTTATAGTTTATTAATCAGATGTGTTCTACCAAGATAGGCTTTTATATACTTATTATTTTTAAACTTTAGCACTTAATATTGCTTACCAAAATAATACCCAAGGCAGTCTCTTTAGAGTTTTTATTTTGGATGTGTATTAGTGGTAGACACTGTGGGAGAGCTCTTTTGGGAGGATTACTATATTGGTTGTAAATTCATTCCTAAAATATTAATGCACAGCATGCTGTAAAAATTGAGTAAACCTCCTATTATATACAGTGTAAAAAACGGCTCTGTTTGTTCAACATAGGTACATGCATCCAGCATGTTTTCAAAGTGGTTAGAGGGGCAGTGAAGTGAAAAGGCTACGGCTAAGCTGTGGGAATAACAAGAACGTGCAGAAGAGCTCCTATCAGATATATGAGTAACTTGATGGAAATGCTGACCTGGATATCCATCTTGATGGTCCACTTTTTAAAGTGCATTCATTGTGGATATGTTGATTGATCCTATGAATTCTTTTCAAAGTTAGGCTTTCATGTGAATCTGTAGCATGTCTTAGTTTTAATTTAAAAGTTTAGTGACTTCTGTAACACCATATTATTCTACTTTAAAGTCTGCTTCTTGGCCGGGCGTGGTGGCTCACACCTGTAATCCCAACACTGTGGGAGGCTGAGGCAGGCAGATCACCTGAGGTTAGGAGTTCAAGACCAGCCTGGCCAACATGGTCTCTACAAAAAATACAAAAATTAGCTGGGCATGATGGTGGGTGTCTGTAATCCCAGCTACTCAGGAGGCTGAGGCAGGAGAATCGCTTTTGAACCCAGGAGGCGAAGGTTGCACTGAGCTGAGATTGCGCCACTGCACTCCAGCCTGGGCGACAGAGCAAGATTTCATCTCAAAAATAAATAAATAAAATAAAAATAAAGTATTTTTCTTTATTCCATGGAAGATTAAAAGTGGATTCAGGTCAGTGACTTAGTGTTGTGTCCCTTTTTTTCTTACTCTTTATTACAGAAAATATCAAATATTCTGAAGTAGAGATAATTGTGTAGTAACCCCCACACACCTGTGACCTGGCTTCCACTGTTACCATCTCCTGGCCAGTGGGCTATCGGTATGCTCCCTTTCTCTCTGGATTATTACAAAGCAAACCCCAGACATTATTTCGCTCACAACTATTTTCACATGTGTGTATAACTCTAGAAGATGAGGACTCTTCTTACAATTACTCTTTTTACAACACCATTATCTATATGTGTGTGTTTTTTAAAGGGTGGACAGTTCAGATAAAGATTAGAGGGTTGATTCAGGTATCTTATTCCTGAAATAGTGATGTAGCATGTGGTACCCAAGAAAATATGCAACACTTGTGGAAAAGGGCATATTGTGAGCTACGCTTTTAACTTTTTATTAGACAGATGGAATGCTCTCCAATATTGATTAGCTAGATGAAAATGAGAACAGTTTACTACATGGCACATTTCTAAGTTCAGCATTTTGAATCTGAATAGTAACATGACTGAATTGAAAGTGATGGAGCCCTGCAGTTAGGGACACGATGTCTAATCTTAGGCATTTTATCTTCAACATTGTCCCAGTTCTCTTGTGTAGGGAAAAGGAAAAGGCACAGCATGACCTCTTCCAAGGACCTCAAACCTGGCCAGTTTAGTTGGTTATAACATGGTGACGATGAAAACAGCATGGTAAATTCAGGCCTCCTGGAGGGCCATGAACCTGTCTACATGTCTGTTTCTCTGTGTTGATCAGTGGCTGACAGTTGCAGGTGACTGTGACTGTCACAGTCGTTATCTCTCCTGCTGTGTAGCTCTCAGTATTAACCATAGTGTTTAATTCTAGGCCATTGACTTGAGGGAAAAAGTCATTGCAGTGAACTTCTGGTTGCCGTGATTTGAGTGCACCCTAAACATGCACAGTGTAGGCAAATCGGAGCCACATTTCATGCTAAACGATCCCATGAAATGATGAGCAAACATCACTCTTTTAAAAAAGAGTAAGACACATGGTGAATCACAATTGAACTTTTGGTTTCATTTGCTTAGAAACAGTGTCTTACTGTCTAGATTTTACTCAAGGAATACTTAACTAATCAATTGAGTCAAATCATTCTAGTATAACAAGATTGAGGTTTCCAACATATCGATTTGTGTTATTAGGTGTAATTACAAGGAACCCTTTAATATGACTTAGACGTCTTTTACCCATATTTTGCCTCTTAACTTGAAGTGTAGTTCAGGAAGTCTGCTGCCTTTTGTTAGCATGGTCTGCCACTTGTCCTTTAGGGATTGTGCTGTAGTTTGTAACTTTGAGGTTGTAATGATAAGAAGCTTTGCTATCAGTACTGTTCTACTGAGGAGTCAAGGGCTTTTCTGGAAACCCTCAATTCACATTTTACACCCATTTTTTTGGATGAAGAATCAAGGGCCCTTTGATCTAACAAGCCTACCATAGAATCTAAATGGAATGAAGGGGCTGGGTGCAGTGGCTTATGCCTGTAATCCCAGCACTTTGGGAGGCCAAGGCAGGTCAATCACCTGAGTTCAAGACCAGCCTGGCCAAGAAGGTGAAACCCCGTCTCCACTAAAAATACAAAAAAAAAATTAGCCAGGCATGGTGGCAGGTGCCTGTAATCCCAGCTACCCGGGAGGCTGAGGCAGGAGAATTGCTTGAACTCAGGAGGTAGAGGTTGCAGTGACCCAAGATGGTGCCACTGCACTCCAGCCTGGGCAATGAGAGCAAAACTCCATCTCAAAAAAAAAAAAAAAAAAAAAAAGATGATAATAAATGGAACTGTGGGTCTGAATGACATGAATCCTGAGAAGATTGCTCTTGTACCAATTCTGTAGTGACAAGAAAAGTTTGTGAGAAAAGTTTGGAAATTTAGTGTATGAGTTAGTATATGAGATATTTGGGTATAGGAAGACTTCAAGGAGGCAGTGGGCAAGCTGAGTCTTTTAAGGATAAATAGGTGTTCACCATGAAGACAAGAAAAGTAAATTCATTTCAGGAAGGATAGGTCAAGTATGTGCAGAGGCAGTTTGCAAAGATACCCTGTAAAGATCATATCACACATGTCTGAGAAGTGTGAAAAAAAAAAAAGCTAAAGTAAATGAATGCTGGCCAGTAAGTTTCCTGCTAGTTCCATTTCATTTTCTTGTAGAAATATGACTGTAAGTTACCCAGTATTATAATTAACTTTCCAATATAGTAATGGATTTGTTATATAAAAAATTACATTATGGAATCTTTGTTACAGTTAGAAAGCAACAGTCTATGAAGTTAGAGAACTTAGAACTTCTTCTTTGAATTTAGGGAGAAGGTAACATTTTGGATTGTATTAAGTTTTTGTTACACATAAAATTAAGTTAGTAGAAAATAATAGAATGATCTCTTTACAGATATAATTATGCTTCATCTATACCTGTCTTATTTCCTCACTGCTAATCCCTTCTATTCCTTTTTTCTTTTTCCTGTAGCGGCTCTTGTTTCTGAAATCCTAGTTAATATATTCCTGAAGAAGAGGTTTTCACTTCAATTCTAAAGTTATTTCAGTTTAGAACTATTTAATTTTATTTTCTCTAAAGTTTTATAATCCAGTTTTAAACAAATGGCAAAGATACCTAGTTTGCTTATCGTCTCATAACAAAAGAAGCGTGTTTTTGTGAAGCAGTGCTCATTTGTATAATTAGACTATTACCATTTTAAATGCATCCCATGTACTTCCATCTTCCTTCCTCCTGTCTTCTCATCTCTTCCCCCTTCTTTCTCCAGCTGTGTTGGAATTAGCCGTTGTTGTTCTCACTGTCCAGCAAGGAGAGATGGGGAGAGGGAGGGAGGAAAGAGAGGACTCTTCTGTCTTTTCTTTGTGCCAGGCACTAGGCTCCATGTGGATTGCCAGGACCTCAGCAAATGGAAACGTGTTCCTCATGTGTTCTTGGTGGAACTCTGGAAAATTTTTCCCAGGAAACCTTAAAGAAGTTTGGTTGGGATCTGTACTTCTGTTATTAGTACTTTAAAATACTTGCGGGTTTGATCTGTATAATGTTATCTTTAATAAAATAACTTCTAGGGCTCAAGGGAGGAACTTACAGCTGCATTTTAAAGTTGTAAAATGTTGTTTTAATATTGGTAAGGGCCCTTGTAAGGTAGTTGACAAGAAGCGAATATTAATATTAACTGCAGTTTTCTAAAATAATTGTGCTACCAGTTATTTGACATTTTCTTTGAAAGCATTCTTTAGTTTAACCTTGAATTCTAGTCTTCAACAACAAACGACTCTTAGTTCAGAGACTTAAGATTTGGAAAAGACCAGACTCTCACACCATCCCACCCATGTCCGTAGGCATTTCCAACATCTGTAGTGTCTGATGTGACAGTTTTTCCTTATAAGTGAGCTGAAGTCTGTTTCCTCTAGCTTTGACTCATTGACCCGAATTTTTCTATCTGGTAAAACGCAAGAAAATTCGACTCCCTTTCCTATTTAATAACCTCTCAATATTGTTGAGTTACCAGGATCTGTGCCCTTGCACTGCCCTGTCTGCTCCTTAGCAGTCTATTTTCAGCAGAAGTATCCCTGGCAATTCCAACAATTCCTTCTGTTGCTTGGTTCTCAGATACTTTATCTCATAGATTTTTTTGGGTGCTCTGATTTGTTGACATCCTTGCAGATCTCATCTGATCAGCACAGAGTATGTGACCGTTATTTTCCTTGCTTTAGACATTATGTCCAAAGTGAATTAGTTACCCATTTATTTGTGAGGTCAGCCCTAAAAGAAAATATTTTTGCTCTTTTGCTCCCTCAACTTGTTGACATATTTTCTAAACAATATAATTATTTACTGTATCAAATTGATGCTATAGTGACAACAATAATGCACATAGTAATAACTAACATTTTGGCAACTTTTACCATTTGGCAAGCACTGTTGAAGATACTTTGTAGTAGCCCTGTGAAGTAGGTGCTGATAACAATTCTATGAGGTTGGTTTTTTGTTGATTTTTTTTTTTTTTTTTTTTTTTTTGAGACAGGGTCTCACTGTGTCGCTCAAGCTGCTGTGCAGTGGCATGATTACAGTTCACTGCAGGCTTTGACCTTCCAGGCTCAAGTGATCCTCCCACCTCAGCCTCCCGAGTAACTGGGACCACAGGCATGCGCCACCACTCCCAGCTAATTTTTGTATTTTTTGTAGAGATGGGGTCTTGCCATGTTGCCGAGGCTGGCCTTGAGCTCCTGGGCTGAAGCAGTCCTCCCACCTTGGCCTCCCAAAGTACTGGGATGACAGGCACAAGCTACTGCGCCCAGCCTGTGGTTGGTTTTTAATATCAGAAGATAATATGTCTTAGATATTATTATCCCCATTTTGCAGATGAGGGAACTGATATATAAAGCGTTCAATTACTGCTTTATGCATTAAGTTCTACTACCTTACTCCTTTTACTTATTTGTACTTCCAGTGTTTTACAGTGGTTGGAAGAGACTGAAAACAAAGATTTAAATAATAACTAAGATTTACTGAAAATATCTCAATAAAGTACTTTATATACAGAGTTGGCAGCAGAATCCAGGCAGCCCAGTACTAAGACAAAAGGTAGTTTCTCAGGCAGTCTATTTATTGGAGTATGCTGCTAAAAGACACTTGAGCATAGTCACTCTACATTGCTCATTGATCTTCTTAAATGATGACCAAGAGTTATTTAAGAAATCTGAGATGCTTTCTGAGTCATTCAAAGCAGACTGAACTGTTTTCAATGGTGAGGGAACTACTGTTGTCTGATTCTTTGCAAACTGGTCAAATATTGATATATCAGGAATTTAGCGTATATGATTAACCAGATATCTGTATCTGGTCATGTTATATTTTAAAGTTAAATTCTTTTAATCTGAGAGTTTAGCCCAATTTAAATATATATCTACCAGGCGGCCAGACACGGTGGCTCATGCCTGTAATCCCACCACTTTGGGAAGCTGAGGCGGGTGGATCACCTGAGGTCAGGAGTTCGAGACCACCCTGGCCAACATGGTGAAACCCCATCTCTACTAAAAATACAAAAATTAGCCAGGCATTGTGGCACATGCCTGTAATTCCAGCTACTCAGGAGGCTGAGGCAGGAGAGTTGTTTGAACCCAGGAGGCGAAGCCAAGATCGCACCATTGCACTCCAGCCTGGATGATAGATTGAGATTCTGTCTCAAAAAAAAAAAAAAAAAAAATCTACCAGGCATGGTGAATGGTGGTTCATGCCTGTAATCCCAACACTTTGGGAGGCTGAGTGGGGAAGATCACTTGAGGCCAGGAGTTCAAGGCAAGCCTGGGCAACATAGCAAGGCCCTGTCTCTACAAAAAAAAAAAAAAAAAAAAAAAAAAAAAAAAAAAATATATATATCCTTTAAAGTTTAGTTCCCATTACGTACTTAGGATTTTTTGAGTCCCCAGTATTTTTAACCCAGAGTATTAAATTTTCTACGCCTACTCCGAAGGGTTAAATTCTTCTACCCACTGGTCTAATTTATTATTTTATAAAGTAGGAAGTAGTGGAGCAATTGAAAAAACAATCTATAAACTCTGTATTAAACATACTGAACCTTGTATATTAGACTTGGAAATTAAACATCAATTTTTTTTTTTTTTTTGTATTTAGAAACAAAACAGGCCGGGTGTGGTGGCTCACGCCTGTAATCCCAGCACTTTGGGAGGCCGAGGCAGGTGGATCACAAGGTCAGGAGTTTGAGACCAGCCTGGCCAACATGGTGAAACCCTGTCTCTACTAAAAATACAAAAATTAGCTGGGTGTGGTGGCAGGCACCTGTAATCCCAGCTACTCAGGAGGCTGAGGCAGGAGAATTGCTTGAACTCGGAAGGTGGAGGTTGCAGTGAGCTGAGATTGAGCTACTGCAATCCCGGATGGTGATGGAGCAAGACTCCATCTCGGGGGGGCGGGGGGGAAAACAAGTAGTTCATTTCTAGTAGTAGAACCACTTGAATAGTATTTGTATTATGTATTTTAATAGAAAGCTAGAGTGTAAGTTTTTTTGTGGTTCATTTCTCCTTTGTCAAGGCGATGACACCTTTGGGGGAATGCTGCCATGACGTTCAGAAACATTCTCAGGTAGTAACATTTTAAAGAGATTGTTTATACATATTTTGCCAATAAGGAACTGAGGAAGGAACTCTGAGTTCAGATTTGATCTCCACCCAAGTTGAACTCTATTTTTTTGTTGTTACTGAGAAACACAATGGGGTTTGTGTGTGTGGAAGGGAGATAACTGTTAGAGTGACACTGGTGGCTCATGATTTTGGAAAGCTGTTAGTGACATCTCCTCTGACCCTATACTGTTGCATCTGACTCCTAAAGAGTCCACATTTTCACTTTTGGCCGCATGATGAGCTCACTGGACAAATGCAGCAGAAGTGCCTGTGAATACGTGGCTCATTTTGTCAAGGGAGGGGACTGTGTCGGCACTGATGCTGTCGACGTGGAGCTCTGAGGATTGTTCTTGGCCCTGTGTGTGCTCTTATGGCACTGCTGCATCCTCTTTAGTGAATTACAGTTATTTAGATGTGTGTGTCCTCAAGAGGCTAAGCTTTTGGAGACAAAGACTGCATCTCTCCAGTACCTGGTATAGTTCCTGGTTCATAAAAGGCAAATAACAAATGTTTATTGAATGATTCATTCAGGTTAGCTTGATGGCCCCGCGCATGCTGCCTCCTCATCCCCATCCCCTCACCTCTGCTGGCAAAGAGAGCTGAGGATACCTTGGAGGATCTCTTGGTCTGGAGTTCTCTTGATTGGCTTTTTAAATATTGTTATAGCTTGGTCCTTGAACAGTGAGCCAGGGATTTTGTTTTGTTTTGTTTTCTTCCCCAGCCTGCAGTTGTTTCCATACTCTTATTTTTGGGTCTTTTAACTATATTTTAACAGGTACCTCATAGCCTATCATTTTAAAATCATAGATCCTACCTCTCCCACATGCTCTTGCCCTCAACAGAATACCATCTCTCATATTTATTTATTTATTTTTGAGATGGAGTCTTGCTCTGTCGCCTAGGCTGGAGTGCAGTGGTGCGATCTTGGCTCACTGCAACCTCCGCCTCCCGGATTCAAGAGATTCTCTTGCCTCAGTCTCCTGAGTAGCTGGGATTACAGGTGTGCGCCACCACACCCGGCTAATATTTGTATTTCTAGTGGAGACAGGGTTTCATTATGTTGGTCAGACTGGTCTCAAACTCCTGACCTCATGATCTGCCTGCCTCGGCCTCCCAAAGTGCTAGGATTACAGGCGTGAGCCACTGTGCCCAGCCCATCTCTCATTTTTAACCTATTGATGATAGCCTGTCTGGATTTTCCTGTTGTATTCATTGATTTGCTATGTCATTACCTCGAATCATTTTAAATGTTGTATAATTTGCGTAATCTTTTTTCTTTTCTTTTTTTTTTGAGACAAGATCTCCCTCTGTCACCCATGCTGGAGGGCAGTGGCACAATCATAGTTCACTGCAGCCTCAAGCTTCTGGGCTCAAGGATTCCTCCCACCTCAGCCTCCCATGTAGCTAGGACTATAGGCACGTGCCACCACACCTGGCCAATTTTTTAATTTAATTTTGTAGAGATGGGGTCTTGCTGTGTTGTCTGGGCTGGCCTCAATCTCCTGGACTCAAGTGGTCCTCCCGCCTCAGCCTCCCAAAGTGTAGAAATTACAGGCATGAGTCACTGTGCCTGGCCCTTATTTTATTGCTTATATATCTTTTTCCATCTCATTTAACCATTTAAGAAAAAGAAATGGTGAGATTCTGAAATTCCAGGTAGAATTTCATAAGTATAAAACTGGTAGCTTTGATATGCTTTTATTGGAACATTATGAAGATATATGATGTAATTAATTTTTATTTATTTATTTATTTTTTGAGATGGAGTCTCACTGTGTCACCCTGGCTGGAGTGCAGTGGCCCAATCTCGGCTCACTGCGAGCTCCGCCTCCTGGGTTCATGCCATTCTCCTGCCTCAGCCTCCCGAGTAGCTGGGACTACAGGCGCCTGCCGCCACGCCCGGCTAATTTTTTGTATTTTTAGTAGAGACGGGGTTTCACTGTGTTAGCCAGGATGGTCTCGATCTCCTGACATCATGATCCGCCCGCCTCGGCCTTCCAAAGTGCTGGGATTACAGGCGTGAGCCACCATGCCCGGCAGGTTGACAGCAGTGTTTCACTTCACACAAGCAGAATTATTTGTGGTATTTCAGCTGCTTTGACCAAGCCTTTTAGAGTCATTCTGGTTAATTTTGAGCATGCCATGCACATAAGAAGGATAAATACAACTTTACTAAAGTATAGAGGGGGCAAAATCATCACATTAATGTTACTGTGAACTTTCCCTTGCCTGTGAAAGACGATTATCCACTAACTGAACCAAGAAGAGTAATGGGAATGATGCAGAGTACTGTCCTCTTGCAAGGGAAGATGAGAATTTTGAAAGCGTGGCAGGGATAGGGTAAGGATAGGACAGATAGATTGGTTTACAAATGCAACCCAGCTACACTCAGAGGAGGGACGTTTTTGTCATAAGGGTCCTAATAATAGGCAAAGAAATGACTTAGGAAAGTGTCAAGCTGAGTTATATGTTAGAAATGTGTGGCCACCCATTGAGTCATCTGAAAATTTTGTTGTTCACATTAGCATTTTTTATAGTGCAGTGTTCTTTAGAGGAAATATTTTGAGGACCAAATGAACCCTCCTTCCCTTATGTATATTTACAAGTCATTTGGGAAAAAAAGAGACCACCTGAGCAGGTAGTTGGAAATTATGTTCATTTTGATGTATCTCTCAGGGTGTGTCCATCGTGGTAGAAAAGTCCCATTTAATTTACTAACTCAATTAGCCTTAATTTTTTTTCTTTTTTCTTTTTTTTTTTTGTTCTTGTTTCGTTTTGTTTTTGAGATGGAGTCTTGCTGTTGTTGCCCAGGCTGGAGTGCAGTGGCGCAATCTTGGCTCCCTGCAACCTCTGCCTCTCGGGTTCAAGCGATTCTCCTACCTCAGCCTCCTGAGTAGCTGGGATTACAGGTGCCCGCCACCCCACCCAGCTAATTTTTGTATTTTCAGTAGAGATGGAGTTTCCCCATGTTGGCCAGGCTGGTCTCGAACTCCTGACCTCAGGTGATCTGCCCCCCTCGGCCCCACAAAGTGCTGGGATTACAGGCGTGAGCCTCTGCCCCCAGCCTGTTATTGTTAATACAGACTAAAACTGACTTTCTATGGCACAGTTACCTTCAACTGATCACAACTTGAATCTCTTCGTCTATAGTTCATTGATGGTCTGGCTAATTGCAGTTTATCCTTATAACTGCTCAACGACGAGAGCATTGGCTTACATCGTAGTCTTTTTTGTTTTATAGACTTTTATTGCTTGGAGTGGTAGACATTGCTGTGGAGATACTTGGTCTACAGAGCCTCTCCTGATTTTTTAAAATGAATAAAATGGTATTACTGCAGCAACTTGTTAAGGTGATCAGGGCAGGTCTATTAGTCTATAAGACAGGACTTAGTCTATTTTAGAGATACGGAAACTTGAAGGACAGGTAAGCGAAGTGACTTATTCAAAGTCACGTTGCTAGTAAGTAGAACTGTTCCTACCTACCCCACATACTGTTAAGCTGGTGCCCTTTCTCCTGTATGTCAAGTTGTGTGGACCTCACCTTTGTGCCTTCAACTATCTTGTCTGTGGTTATAAGTACAGTAGCTTTTGCCAAAAGGAATTTATATTCTGAGATCCTTTAGAAGCTTTCTGTAACAGAGATTTGAGGCACTTTCTATATATGCCTGTTTCACTTCCCAAATATCTATAACCTCTTATACTTTTCCTGTAACCTTTAAAATTTTGATTAGGTGCTCACTGGATGGCATCACTGTTGCCCAGCTGGATAAGTTGTGTGGGATTGGAGTGGGCAGAGCCTATGATGTCAAGGAATAATGCCCCATGGGGATTCACCCCTCCTCGGAAATCTGTATTTGGTCAGCAGATGGTCTCTACTGCTTCTCCCGAGGAGGACTCACTGTCTCTGACCACCTTGTCTTCATTTCTAAGGCTTAAACATATCCTGAGGAGTACATCTAATTTTCTTTGCTGTAGTTATGTTATTTTATGATGGAGATTAGAGGAGCCTCCCTTCTGATGAGATCCAGGTCTTGACCTGATGGCATAGAGTTAATAGTACTGGCTCTTGTTCAAACTCTGATCCTGCTACTTTTTTTTTTTTTTTTTTTTGAGATGAAGTTTCGCTCTTGTCACCCAGGGTGGAGTGTGATGGCTCAATCTTGGTTCACTGCAATCTCCGCCTCCCAGGTTCAAGTGATTCTCCTGCCTCAGCCTCCTGAGTAACTGGAATTACAGGCACCCACCACCACGCCTGGTTAATTTTTGTATTTTTAGTAGAGAAGGGGTTTCACCATGTTGGCCAGGCTGGTCTCAAACTCCTGACCTCAAATGATCCACCCACCTCGGCCTCCCATAGTGTTGGGATTACAGGCATGAGCCCCTACACCCAGCCTGATCCTGCTGCTTTTTAAACTAAATGGCCTTGGGCGCACACTCTGTGACTCAGTTTAATCTTTATCTTTGAAACAGGGGTAAGTTCTTACTGCACAGGGTATTGGGAAGATTAAGCTAAATATTGTATCTTAAGCTCTTGGAAGAGTGCCTATCACAAAGAAGGCACTACTTAAATGTTAACTATTATTATTGTTACTTGGAAAAGGAAAACGCTAGAATAATAAAGCCTACTTGCTCTGAGGTGTGCACATGTGGTTTTTTGATTAATTTTTTTTATGTATGTAGGTCTTTCTTATTTCAGGCAGGATCTCAGTTTTAATAGCTGCTGTGTAGGTGGGTCACAGTTTCTTTGGATAGCCCAGCTGGTAGTTTTCTCATTTGGGAATCAAGCCATACCTTCTAAGTAGAGTGCTTTCCTGGTTCTTAACTCTTTGTGATAGAGCCCTGATGTGCCCAGGTTGCTCTGAGTAGAAGCACTTAAATCTCCCATTCTGTTGCAGCTTATGGGACTGGGCAGTGGTGTAGCTAGTGGTAGCTTTTGTGGTCACCTATGCAGCTCACTGCCTAGTGGCCATATTAACATGTTGAATTTATGTTCTCACGATAGACATTCCTAGTTCTACATAGCTCACACAGGACTGCCCTTGCTTGTAGCCTCGTTAATGTGGTTTCCTCCTCCTTGTTTCCAGCAGAAACAGCTTACGGTCTAGAAGGAGGAAAGGAAGCCAATACAACTTGATGTTAAATCATTTTCTCTTAGTTGTCCAAAGGGAGTATTTAGTGGGATGCTTCATTTGAAATGGAATTTGTCTTCTTCAAAGTGGTTGCCAAATGAAAGGATGCACTAGATGCAGAGGCCGCCTGGTGAGAAAGGAGGAGGTATAAGGTCGTCTTCTGGCCATTCTTCCAGCAAGATGTTTTGAGGGTCCTCCCAAGTACTCAACGTGGGGTTATATCAGTGAACAAAATAGAAAAATCCTTTCCTTTATGGAGCTTACAATCTAGAGACAAAGATAGAGAAAAAATAAGAAAATTCCATGGTACAGTAGGCCCTTCTTACTGCGAGTTTCCCATTTTCAGATTCAACTAACCGGGGATCAAAACCTGCCAACACGGAGGGCTGAGTGTACTATGGCATTTTATGTCAGGGACTTGAGCATCCGTGGATTTTGATACCTGCTGGGGTCCAGGAGCTAATCCCCAGTGGATATGGAGCGCCGACCATATGTTGGTGATCACCTCACACTTCTCAGAACCTTTCCACACATCCCATTTCACTCACCTTAAAAGCCAGAGTCCTTACAAGGCCTGAGGGTCCCACAGGATCTGCTGCTTACCCCATATCCCCTGCCCCCTTACCTTCTGACCTCATTGCCAGTCACTGTCTCCTTATTATCAGTGTTCTCAAGTCCCTCGGACATGCCAAGTGTGCTCCTTTTACAAATTTGAGACAGGGTCTGGCTGTATTGCCCAGGCTGGAGTGCAGTGGTGTGATCAAAGCTCACTGCAACCTCGACCTTCTGGGCTCAAGTGGTCCGTCCACCTCAGCCTCCCGAGTAGCTGGAACTATAGGCACGCACCACCACGCCCAGCTAATTAAAAAATTTTTTTATTAGTAGAGTTGGTGGTCTCACTATGTTGCCCAGGCTGATCTCGAACTTCTGGGCTCAAACAGTCCTCCCACCCCAGCCTCCCAAAGTGCTGGGATTACAGGCATGAGCCACCATGCCTAGCTAAGGCATGCTTCTCTAAGGGTCCTAACTCTGGGTACTTCCTCTGCCTGGCAGCATCTTCTTCCAGATAAATCCTATCTGCCAACTTCTCCGGTTTTTCCTTTCTAAATGTGGTCTTTTCAGTGGGCACCACTCTCACCAACCTATTTAAATTACAATCCACCACCTTCCCAGCAGTCTTGACCCCCTTTCTCAAGCTGTTTTTTTTTTCTCTGTAGTGCTTACCAATTTTTTTAACATATAATTTATTTATTTGTAAAGAAAGCTTAATAGGGGAGGGATCTTCATTTTGTTTTCTGAAGTATATTAAGGGCTCACCTAGAACGGTAATTGGCACCTCTAGTAGATATTCAGTAAACATGTTGAATGAATGAAAATGAAAAAAAGTACAATGGAAAAAATAAAGAAGGGTTGCATTAGTTTCCTGTGGCTGCTGTAACATATTAGCAAACCCTTGGTGGCTTAAAACAATAGAAATTTATGATCTCACGGTATATATTGCACATATAACTATTCATCCATCTAATATATGGAGGTGTGTGTGTATTGTATTAAAAATTGTTTTCATAAATGGAATGTGTCATGCTGCAGTTTGCATTTGTATCAAGTCAGATTGATACATATGGATCTAGTTCCTTCATTTTAACTGCAGCTCTAAGCAGCTGGTTCTCTTTCTTTCCTGGTTTCAGAATATGTAAATCCCAGAGAAGTCCTCTGATTAACCTAGCTTGGGTCCCATGCTAGCACCTGTTGGATCAGTCTGTGGCTTCAGCAGATAGGACACTCAGATTGCTCAGACCTGGAGTGCATGCTTACCCACGAATCCAGAGCATCTGGGTACTTTGTTTGCAGTTCCCCTTAGGATCATGAGTTTGAAGGAGAAAGGATTTGGGGCAAAAAACACAGATTTCTACTGAGGCTTCAAGTTTGGGCTTGGATATTACATCCTCTGGGAATCCTTTTCTGACCCCTGGGATTCTGTTCTGTGTCCTTGCACTTCCTATTCTTGTAACAGTTATCATGTAGTATCTTAATTACCCTCTCCTCTTGATGTGTACTCATTCAGGGCAGAGACTGTGTCTGTCTTGTTTTCCTTTTGTGTCTCAGGAAATAAAAGGCCTGCCACACACCATTAAGTAGATTCTCAACACATATTTTTGAATGAATGATTCCACTAGCTAGCAGAGGTTTCAAACTCACTTTCTATAAACAGGTTCCCATCCACTTCCTATGAATGCCGTAGGAATCCTGTGTAGCGTGGTGCTTTTGCACCTACTTTCAGGCCCATTAACATTCTATCTCTTTTTACATCTTTCTTTATATGAGTGGTTTGGCCCTGTTTGGAAGTTTCTTTTTCTTATTTAATGGTGAAAATTCACAGAAAGATAAAATTGGTAAAATGCAAACTCAGACTTTCTCAGTAAAGTCTTTAGAGATAAGTCCTGCCCAGCCTTTCTCACCCCAGTATACCTTTAGCTTTCATGTGTGCACAGTAGTTTCTCCTAAGCTCAAATATTCCATCAGCAGAACCTTTTTTTTTTTTTTTTTTGAGACACAGCCTCTCTCTGTTGCCCAGGCTGGACTGCAATGGCACGATCTCAGCTCACTGCAACCTCTGCCTCGTGGGTTCAAGCAATTCTGCTGCCTCAGCCTCCCGAGTAGCCGGGATTACAGGCACCCACCACTACGCCCAGCTAATTTTTGTATTTTTAGTAGAGTCGGGGTTTCACCATATTGGCCAGGCTGGTCTGGAACTTCTGACCTCAAATGATCCACCTGCCTTGGCCTCCCAAAGTGCTGGGATTACAGATGTGAGCCACCATACCTGATCTAGCAGAACATATCTTAGGCAGATTTACTTCTGGATACTTTTAGCATCAGGAGAGTATGAATTTTAGTGGATATAAAATGTGAATGAAGCTGGGTATGGTGGCTCATGCCTGTAATCCAGCGCTTTGGGAGGCTGACGTGAGAGGATCAACCTAGCCTAGTAGTTTGAGACCATCCTGGGCAACATGGCAAGACCTTGCCCCTACTTTATTATCTAAAAATATTTTTTTTAATAAAAAATAAAATGTGAATGATTTGATTTGGAAATGGTAGTGTTAGTAGTAGTACTAGTAATAGTAATAGCAGTTAACATTTATTGAGTGCTTTTTCTGTGCCAGGCATGTAGAAGTAGGTACCATCTTTATACGTGTTATACAGATGAGAAAACTGGATCTTAGATCAGTGATCTATTCAAGTTATCTCAGCTCCTGAGTGGTGGTGCTGGGCTATGAATCTGGACACTGAACTCAGAACCATACACCTAAGGACTACGTTCTACTGCCTTGTGTAATTAGGAACAGAAACCTGGGGTTTGGTAAAAGAAAAAGAGATCAGACTGATCACAGAGAAGCAGTGAAGTTTCTGCCCTAAAGCTTTGGTAAAGATAAATAGGGAGAATTAACCAAAGTTTTAGAACTGTACTCCCATTGCCTCTGTGAGGAGAGAAAACCAAGATGTGTGGAGGTGGGGCTGAAGCCATGTGCTTTAGCATAAATTGGCACTGTGTTACCTACAATATTGGGAAGAGCATTTGAGAAATACAGGGTGGTCAGTGCGTTTTCTGCTTCCCACATAAAAGTTGGTCTTTAGCCCTGAGATCCTGGCTGTGGGAGGAGTCATTTAACCAGGAAGGCATTGAACATCTGGATAAATATTTAGACATAAAATAAGTTTTACATAAAATACTTACATGAAGCAAAGCACAATGAATTTGTAAGCATTTCACTGAAACTGGGAGAGGCAGCCTGAAAAGTTTGTAGCAGACAGGCAATGGAATCTGATTCTACTGTACCATTAATTGAAGATGTGTACAAGGTCAGTGTAAAGGTCTTGTTCTTTTTCTTTATTTGTGCTATTTTAAATCAGTATATACAATGGCTTTTATATGTTCAGTTTAGATCTTAGTATCTGTCTCTTGACCGTGTATTTACTCGATAGCTCTGAATTCTCTTTCTGTCGGAGAGAATTATTCCTTATGTTTTCAGGAATAAAACTCCTGCATTGGAGGAGATTACTGATATCACTAAACCTGATGGAATAATCTATGTTCTTTCCAGCCTGTCTCCTATGCTAGGTTACTGTACATACCCTCCAGGCAGGGACATTTTCCTGCTTTTATAAAGTACTTGGCTCAAATACTAAGTACAGACATGCATCACTTAATGACAGGGATGTATCTTGAGAAATGTGTTGTTAGGCAGTTTCTTCATGGTGCAAACATCAGTGTGTACTTACACAAACCTAGATGGTGTTAGCCAACTACACACCTAGGCTATTGCTCCTAGGTTACAAACCTGTGTAGCATGTTACTGTACCGAATACTGTGGGCAGTTGTAACAAAATGGTAAATATTTGTGTATCTAAACATAGAAGGCAGTGTGTTGTGCTATGACATTATGATAGCTGCCATATCACTAGGTGATAGGACTTTTTCAGCTTCTTTATAATCTTGTGGGACTGCTGTGTGTGGTACGTTATTGACTGAAAGGTTGGTATGCGGCACATGACTGAATACTCTGTTGGTTTATATTTGGACTAACAGTGCTACTTTCATAGAATATCTGTTCCAAATTGGGATTATCTTATTTCTATCCATAGAAAGTAGTTATAGGATAAGTGGATGGTATTAAAATTAAGTTTTATCCCCCTTTAGGTTGCATCCCAGCGCATTAGCTCAGTGGACCTCTCGTGTTGTAGCCTGGAACATCTGCCTGCCAACCTCTTCTACAGCCAAGACCTCACTCATCTCAATTTAAAACAAAACTTCCTAAGGCAGAACCCTAGCCTTCCAGCTGCCAGGGGGCTTAATGAACTGCAAAGGTAAGCCTGCAGAAATGGGTAGATCATTAGGAAGGGGTGGGGGCAGAATGAACTTCTGCTTGTTATCTCTTGAATATTCTCATGAAAAAAGCTAGTGTGTAAACTTTCTCCTTCAGATAACAGGGTAATAGGACTTTGTTTATTAGTGAAGACATTACCAATTCTCAATCTGAAATTTTTTTTAAGGTTCTTGCTTTTGAAACTAATGATTTATGATATTTATTAACTGGATAGAGTTGTGTAAGAACAATTCTCCTTAAACAACTTTTATTCCTATCTAAAAATGCATGTGCAAAAAATTAATAACATTTGGTGTGTTACTTCTGAACTTCAGGTGTTTGTTCAGATTAAATTGTTTCTTTTGAAATTTATGAAAGGTCATTTTTTCCCATAAAAAGATATTTCCTTAGAAATTTAAGAACCAGCGTTTAAATCAACTTACATCATGTCATCTGGGTGATTAGTGTGTGGGTTTCAGGAGTCACATGTTAAATAAATAGAACCTGCTCCTTTATTTTTTATTTTTTTGAGACAGAGTCTTGCTCTGTCTCAGGCTGGAGTGCAGTGGCATGATCTCGGCTCACTGCAACCTCCTCCTCCTGGGCCCAAGTGATTCACCTGCCTCAGCCTCCCGAGTAGCTGGGATTACAGGCGCCCACGCCCTCTTAATTTTTGTATTTTTAGTAGAGATGGGGTTTTACCATGTTGGCCAGGCTGGTCTTGAACTCCTAACCTCAAGTGATCTGCCCTTCTTGGCCTCCCAAAGTGCTGTGATTATAGGCGTGAGACACCACGCCTGGCCTAGAATCTGCTCATTTAAACTAGAAGAGAGGGACTTGACTTGCATGTCTCCAAAACAGATTTAAGAATTTACCACATTCACTTCCTTTCCTCTTTGGAGCAGTGATCAGTCTTCATTCTGTGGTAAATTAAACCTTTGATACTTATATATTTGTTGCAAATATGTAAGACTATGTAACTGCAAAGAATATAACTTTTAAATAAATAATTGCTAGTTCATTTGTTTTTACATGACTGATATGATCAGGAATTAAAATGTGATAACCATTGTGATTCTGTTTATGGTTTTTAACATCCAGAAAAAATAATCCAATAGTTGCTTATAAAGTTTGTGGATGTAATTGGAAAATGGAAGAGTATTTTAATTGTCTTTTCAGGTAATTGTGAATATCCTTCCTTGATACTATACCAAAACTTGACAAGTGGTCATTTCTTAAATGTTAGTTCTAAAATGGAATCTAAAACCCTATTCGTGAGCTTTTTGAATTCTTTAACGGTAAGATCCATTGATCTGACTTGCAGTTTGATTTGACTCTTTACCCATGCATCACTTTATTGCATTAAGTGTTGGTCATTTGGAGAGTACTACTCCGTTGTGTAACACAGATACTCCAAATGTTAATGTATTTTATTATGGAATTTTAAGAATTCACATTTGTTAATATCACCACTGATCTTTTTTTTTTTCTTTTTTTGAGATGGAGTCTCACTCTGTCGCCCAGGCTAGAGTGTGGTGGCACAATCTCGGCTCACTGCAACCACTGCCTCCCGCGTTCTAGTGATTCTCCCGCCTCAGCCTCTGAAGTAGCTGGGATTACAGGCGCTCCCCCAACACCTGGCTAATTTTTTTGTATTTTTAGTAGAGATGGGGTTTCACCATGTTGGCCAGTCTGGTCTCGAACTCCTGACCTGAAGTGATCCGCCCACCTTGACCTCCCAAAGTGCTGGGATTACAGGTGTGAACCACTGCGCCCAGCCAATATCACCACTGATCTTATCAGTAAAGTCTTTTAAGTATTGGGATGTTGTTAAGCTTACTGTGGAAACGAGTTTTCCAAAATTTTAATT
The DNA here is from genome assembly GCF_000001405.40 of Homo sapiens. Classification (NCBI taxonomy): domain Eukaryota; kingdom Metazoa; phylum Chordata; class Mammalia; order Primates; family Hominidae; genus Homo; species Homo sapiens. The sequence continues at coordinate 62,862,471 of NC_000018.10, forward strand.
TTTCATTAGAAATTTGAAGGCCATTATTGGCAGCACATGCCATCAGTTGTTTTCTGGTAAGCAGACTTCTCACTTCATTTTTGAGAAAATGTCTGCCAAATACCCAAGTATGAATAATAATAGTTTGTCAGTTGCTCTTTCAAGTAAAAATGGGGTTCTCTATAAATAGCGACTGGTTTGGCCCACAGCTCACATAATCAGATAAGTGTTTTCCTTGAGATGACTATCATACTTCAGTGTGCACCAGAAGTGTTTTTTGTGTACTTCCTATTTTATCACCCAGAAAATTAAAAAGACATATACTCAGGGGTTGAGATGTAATAAGAAATAACTTTCGTGTGTCATCAAGGACATTCTTAAGTAAAACTGGCATTACAATTTTTTTAAAGAATATTTTTACTGTTAATATTGCCCGGAAGAAAAGAATAGAGAAGAATATAATGACAACTGGGACAGTTTGGTGCTGCAGTGAATTAATTACGTAGGCAATCGAGACTCTAATAAGGATATTTTGCTCCAGCAATTCCTGATTGTCCCCTGTAGCTGACGTGTACTATGAAAGTTATCACTGTGGTATTCTTTTTTTTTTTTTTTTAATTGAAAGCAAGTTTATTAAGAAAGTAAAGGAATAAAGAATGGCTTACTCCATAGGCAAAGCAGCCCTAAGGGCTGCTGGTTGGCTACTTTTATGGTTCTCTCTCTCTCTCTCTCTTTTCTCTCTCTCTTCTTTTCTTTCTTCTTTTCTTTCTTTCTTTTTTTAGACACTGTTTTGCTGTCACCCAGGCTGGAGTGCAGTGGTGGCTCACAGCAACCTTCGCCTCCCGTGCTCAAGTGATCCTCCTGCCTCAGCCTCCCAAATAGCTGGGATTACAGGCATGCACCACCACCACGCACAGCTAGAATTTATATTTTTAGTAGAGATGGGGTTTCACCATGTTGCCAGGCTGGTCTTGAACTCTTGGACTCAAGTGATCCACCCACCTCGGCCTCCCAAAGTGCTGGGATTACAGGCATGAGCCACCAGGCCCAGCCTATGGTTATTTCTTGATTATATGCTAAATATAATCAGTGGGGTAGATTATTTATGAGTGTTCTGGGAAAGGGGTAGCCAAGTCCCAGAACTAAGGGTCCCTCCCCTTTTTAGACCATATAGAGTAACTTTCTGATATTGCCATGGGATTTGTAAACTCATGGTGCTGGTGGGAGTGTCTCTTAGCATGCTAATGCATTATAATCAGCATACAATGAGCCGTGAGACAGCCAGAGGTCAACTTTTCATCACCATTTTGGTTTTGGTGGCTTTTGGCCAGCTTCTTTACCGCATCCTGTTTTATCAGCAAGATCTTTGTGACCTGTATCTTGTGCTGACCTCCTATTTCATCCTGTGAGTAAGAATGCCTAACCTCCTGGGAATGCAGCCCAGTAGGGGTAAACCTTATTTTACCCAGCCCCTATTCAAGATGGAGTCACTCAGGTTCGAATGCCTCTGACATATTTCCCCCTTCCCTTTTATTTTTTTAATTTTTAAAAATTTATTTGTTTATTTATTTTAATTAATTTATTTTTTTGAGACAGAGTCTCGCTCCTGTTGCCCAGACTGGAGTGCAGTGGCACAGTCTCGGCTCACTGCAACCTCCACCTCCCGGGTTCAAGCAATTCTCCTGCCTCAGCCTCCCGAGTAGCTGGGACTATAGGCGCCCGCCACCACTCCCAGCTAATTTTTGTATTTTTAGTAGAGGTGGGGTTTCACCATGTTGGCCAGGCTGGTCTCGAACTCCTGACCTCAGGTAATCCACCCACCTCGGCCTCCCAAAGTACTGGGATTACAGACGTGAGCTACTGCACCTGGCTGCCCCTCCCTTTTATAAGGAGATCTTTAATCCTAAGGGTTGTAGAGGAATGAAGATCCATCTTCTGTAACTTCTTCAGGCTGAATAGGGACAATGATATTCCTACCTAACTATGAGGGCCTCTTGTATTCAAGGTAGAGAGGAGGTCAGTCACAAAGCGTAGGTCTGGCGAGGGCCATTGATAACAGTGAGTTCCAACAAGAGGTGCTATCTGGAAGAATAGTAAGTGTTCAATTTAAGAAAACATTCAGTAAGCTTATCTGCATTCCTACACAAAGAGTACAACAGCAATATATTCTACAACAGTAAAACAAAATAAGTAAAATTATCCCAAGTAAACTAAATAAGAAGGCTTTCTATTAACTAGGCAGTTGTTGTGGAACCAAGCTGATATGGGGTCCCTGGCTGATTCCAGTACCTGCCCAGAATTAGAATACTGATCAGGATTTTTACATTACCCATCCCTTTTATTTCTTCTGAGCAGCAGCAGAGATCACTGGTTGGTTCACAGGAATAAGTAGGATTAGTCTAAATTGCAGGAAAAAACCTCAAAAACAACTGATACTAGAATCTAATAACAGGTATACCACAGTTCTTTAAACATAATTTTTCTGTCTTCAGTCTCGCATTTTCACCAAAGACAAATGGTAGGACTGATTTGTTTGCAAAATACTTAAGCTTAGGTTTTATATGCTCTATGTATTGTTACTAATTTTGGACTGGCTGGATGCAATGGCTCAGTCCTATAATCCCAACACTTTGGGAAACTGAGGCAGGAAGCTGGCTTGAGACCAGGAGTTTGAAACCAGCCTGTCAATGTCATGAGACCCCATCTCTATAAAGAAAAATTTAAAAATTAGCTGGGTATAGTAGCACATGCTTGTAGTCTCAGCTACTGGGGAGGCTGAGGCATGAGGATTGCTTGATCCCAGTAGTTTGAGGCTGCGGTGAGCCATGATTACACTATTGCACTCCAGCCTAGGCAACAGAGGGAAAACCTGTCTCAAAAATAAAATAAAAAGTTGTACTGGCACTACAACAGTAAAGTTAATATGCTTTTTTTTTTCTTTTTGGCTGAAAGGTTATAATCATTATTATCATTTTGTTTGTTTGTTTCTGGAGCTACCCATCATGAACTATCATCAATCAGTGTGTTCTGAGGTTTGAAATTATTGGGAAGTATTTTTGCATATTTCACAGAAGTGTAGACTTTTGCACTTCTATCATAGAACATCAAAGGCTTTCTATCATACTGCCAAATCCTGATGTCTTAGAACAGAATGGTGCATTAGAATTCATCCAGACTATCAACCCAAATGCCCATCAATGATAGGCTGGATAAAGAAATGTGGTACTTAATATACCATGGAATACTATGCAGCCATAAAAAGTGAGATTATGTCCTTTTCAGGGACATGGATGGAGCTGGAGGCTGTTATCCTTAGCAAATTAAGGCAGGAACAGAAAACCAAATACTGCATGTTCTTACTTATAAGTGGGTGTCAAGTGATGAGAATACATGGACACATAGAGGGGAACAACACACAGTGGGGCCTATTGGAGGCTGGAGGGCAGGAAGAAGGAGAGGATTAGGAAAAATAACTAACAGATACTAGGCGTAGTACCTGGGTGATGAAATATATGTGCAACAAACCCTCATGACACACGTTTACCTGTGTAACAAACCTGCTCATGTAGCTTTGAACTTAAAATAAAAGTTAAAAAAAATTCATCCAACCTAATGCTCTCTTTTAAAGTTGGGGTCTATGGGGATGTTAACTGCCAAATTCAGTTTAATGGTTACCTTTTAGGGAGACGGGGGATGGGGATTAGTGAATGGTTTGAACAAGGTTTCAACTATATCTGTAACGTTTATTTCTTTAAAAAGAAAAATGAGAGGCCAAAACGTTTTTGTTTTTGTGTTTTTTGTTTTTTTTTTTTTGGAGACAGAGCCTCACTCTGTTGCCCAGCGGGAGTGCAATGGTGCGATCTTGACTTACTGCAACCTCCGCCCCCCAGGTTCAAGCGATTCTCCTGCCTCAGCCTCCTGAGTAGCTGGGATTACAGGCACCCGCCACCATGCCTGGCTAATTTTTGTAGTTTTAGTAGAGACGGGGTTTTGCCATGTTGGCCAGGCTGGTCTCAAACTCCTGACCTCAGGTAGTCCACCCATCTTGGCCTCCCAAAGTGCTGGGATTACAGGCATGAGCCACCACGCCTGGCCCAAAAGGTTAGTATTTTAAAACGCTGTATAGTTAATGCCGATGAATGTTACAGTTTTCTGCATTTTTTAAATTTGAGTATTTCATAATAATCCAAACATTTTAAACCTAAATAAAAAGAAAATTAAAATGCTCCCAAAGAGCCAGTATTTGTGGAATAAATATCCAGGTGGAGGGATATTTTGGGCATGACCCACTTCAGGAGGATTCAGATTCTGTCTTGCCTTTTAGTTCTTACAGAGTCACCGACTTGATCCCCCATGTCTGTTGATTCTGTGTGATATCTTTTGAGCTCATCCTCTTTTCTCCTCTGCTCCCATCCCTCTACTGCACACACCCTCTCTCCCCAGCTGTTATAGTAAAAGTACTTCTCAACCCTCACCTGGTCTGTTGCGCTACCTTTGAGAGCTGATTGTCTTGTTGTCATTTTCCCTCTGCAGGTTAGCCCTATTTTTGTTGCCCACTGTTTTTTACATTTCTTGGTTTTGTTTTATTTTGTATTTTTAAAAATTTAAGCCTTTTTCCTTCATCAAAGTAACACCCTATATAGATTTTTAAAGATCTTAATAAGCAGTGAAGTTTACAATAAGAAGTAGGTGCCTGAAGCTCCAGCCCATCCCTACATCCAAGTCCTGCTCCCTAGACAACCCTTTTGAATCTTTTGGCTCTTTCTGCCGTTTTCCTTTCTCTTTCTAAATATTATGTGTATACTGCTATGTTTTGATTTTTTCATTATTGGACATTATATGTTGACTCATTACTATGGAAGATAAGGATTTCATTCATTTACATTGTCTCACGCCCCATCTACCCCACACCACATGTACTAACTTCTCTTTCCCCTATCCTCTCAATATATAGGTGTTAATTTTTGGTTAAGTCAGTACTCACTGTTTACGTTATTATGAACCTGGAACTTATTCACAGCTAAGGGATTTAATTGCAGTGATTATATTTCCTTTCTTGTGCTGGCTTGATAGCAGCCTCACTTTATCACTTGTATACTTTTCTTTTTCCCCTGGTATTTGTAAGCTTTCTGACGGAATTCTTATATTCCTCTCAGCACCTTTTTCTTGGAGACTTTTTTCTTCCTGGAGCCAGGGTATGTGCTTGTTCTTCTGGCCTGCTACACAGCAAAGACAGTGTGTGGACCTTTTCCTCAGGGGGTGTCAGTTTACTAGAGAAACCCTTTGGTATTCTGCCACGGCGATGCATGCCAAGATTTAGGGTAATGAGTGGAAAAGAGAGGAAGAATCTCAAGGTTTAGTATGTGGATTTTTTTTTTTTTAGATGGAGTCTGGCTCTGTTGTCCAGGCTGGAGCGCAGTGGGGCGATCTCGGCTCACTGCAAGCTCCGCCTCCCAGATTCACGCCATTCTCCTGCCTCAGCCTCCTGAGTAGCTGGGATTACAGGCGCCCACCACCACGCCCGGCTAATTTTTCTATTTTTAGTGGAGACAAGGTTTCACTGTTTTAGCCAGGATGGTCTCGATCTTCTGACCTTGTGATCCTCCCGCGTCAGCCTCCCAAAGTGCTGGGATTACAAGCGTGAGCCACTGTGCCCGGCCATATGTGGATTTTTATTTAACTTCCCTGTTTTCAGAACAGTGTTTTCTGTTATGCTTGATAACTTTTTTCTTTTCAATTTATGAGAGATATTTTGACACTTAAGTAATTACAAAGAATTAAACAATACTACAGATTATACCGTCATCCTTTGACAATCATGTCTTATTCATTTTAACTTCCATAAGCCAGTTTCTATAGCATTGCATGTGTACCAAATCAATAAGGGATAACTTCAGACTATTTTAGATGAAAATTGTATCTTGCCTGTAACTTTGGGAGGCTAAGGTGGGTGGATGATTTGAGGTCATGTTGGCCAGCCTGGCCAACATGGTGAAACCCGTCTCTACTAAAAATACAAAAAAATAGCTAGGCGTCATGGCGCACACCTATAATCCCAGCTCCTCAGGAGGCTAAGGCAAGAGAATCGCTTGAACCTGGGAGGCAGAGGTTGCAGTGAGCTGAAATGGCGCCACTGCACTCCAGCCTGAGTGACTGAGCGAGACTCTGTCTCAAAAAAAAAAAAAAAAAAAGTTGTATCTTAAAATTGTATATGTAAACATTAACATTAAATGTACAAATTTAGTTAATACTTTGTTTTCAGTGACATTTATTTTCTCTAATTTCCCAAACCTATCATTGATCAGAAAAATAATTGCAAAGAACACATGTCTGATAAGACAGTATTACTGAGCCATGTGGTATGAAAGGAGATAAAGGAGTCTTTGATGCTACCCAGATGGACTTCTGGAATTATCTTTTTAGAGATCATATGTTCAATAATCAGCATCTCAGAAAATGAGTATATTACACTGAGACTGAAATATTTTGAATATAAAAGTAAACCAAGTCACTGGACATGAGCCATCTTTCAGCTGTTGTTTAAAATCTCAAGATGAAGAAGAATCATTGAGAATACTCAAGCTGTATGTATAACTAAATAAGAAATTAACTCAGTGGTTTTCATTCTCTTATTGCTCTATAGTTTGACAAACTATTCTCTCTTTTCCAAATTACCTCCCTGATGCTTTGACAGACTATTCTCTTTCTTCCAAATTACCTCCCTGGGTCAAATGAAGGGCCGAAGAAAGCAGTTTCCCTGTTTGTCATGCTGTGATGTAGTATGCCTGATGTCTTTGAATCAGGGACTCTGGTTCGTTTTCTTCCAGGGAATAAACTGTCCTCTGCTGGAATTGGGGAGAGGATCTGGGGTCTTACTCCTCCTTCTGTAACCTTTTGAAAATTTGTAGAAGTATAAAAAAACATAGAAAAGGCAGATATGAGTGTATAACTTGATGGATTTCCACAAAGTGAACACATCCATGTAACCAGTACACATATGAGGAAGAGAATATTGCCAGCACTCCAGAAGCTGTCCTTGTACCCTTCTCTTTATTACCCTAAACATCATCACTATCCTGACTTAGAACATCATGAAGTAGTTTCACTTGTCTTTGTACTTGATCTAAATGGAGCACACAATATGTGTTTGAGTCCAGCTTCTTTCACTGACTTTTCTTTTAAAAAAGCAAAACAAAGCATACCAAGTGACATATTATCAGCTTGTACTTTGTACTGTGTAATATAAGGCAGTGATTTTGATTTGTTTAAGGTAGAGAATTTTAAAATTTTACACTGCAATAAAAGATTTCTGTTTTGTTCTTTCTGTTGCTTTAAGCATGGGGAAGATAGGCCTAGGGGACTTCCTATGTGGTATCGGAGTAACTGGTGAAGCTGCTGTTTTGCTGCTCTTTGTAAAAAACTAGGCTTTATACCAGTTTCTCTTTCTTTTTATTTTAAGACGGGCTCTTGCTCTGTCGCCCAGGCTGGAGTGCAGTGGCACGATCTCGCCTCGGCTTACTGCAACCTCTGCCTCCCAGGTTCAAGCGATTCTTCTGCCTCAGCCTCCCGAATGGATGGGACTACAGGTGCGCGCCAACACGCCTGGCTAATTTTTGTATTTTTAGTAGAGACGGAGGGGGGTCTCACCATATTGGCCAGGCTGGTCTCGAACTCCTGACCTTGTGATCTGCCAGCCTCGGTCTCCCACAATGCTGGAATTACAGGTGTGAGCCACTGTGCCCGGCCACCAGTTTCTCTTTCATTACACACTACTATGAGGTGTTTGTCTCCCACTTCCATTGTCCAAGAAAAATTTTTATTGCTAAGATTCCAGAGTAATAAGTTGATAAGTACACACATGCATATATACCCCCCTCTTATATACATATATTTAATACCAGGAATTAAATGTATAATGTGTATTTAAGAAAGTCATGTTAGTACTGCAGAAAGCATTAACGTGGTTTTTAAATGTCCAGTCACTTAGTGTGGTGGCTTCGAAATATGCCATATATTTAGTTGCTTATTTTTATTTGTGTGTTTAGGAATTTGTGGTAATCTCTAATGTATGTTTCACAGGGAACATTTTAGATGCCAAAGGGTAATTTATTTTTACGTTTTTACCTAAGTTTCAAGGAATTAAGTTTTAGGTTACAATGTTAGGACAAATAACCAGGGAGAAACTTAAAGTACAATATAATTATAACAGGTAGGAGTTCAGAGACATTTTATCTTAAGCACATATCCCCTTAATTTTTCTTTCTACTACAAATTTTTACCTTTAACAAATGAGCTATTTTCACAGAACATTTAAATTGGTATTTGCACCAACATTCTAAATCTGGAAAGATGGCATGCTGATGTACACACACAGGTCAGCAGTTTCAGAGGGAAAACATTGTTCTTGGAACTAGTGCTGTTTGTTTTTCCTTTATTGGCATTGGAACTCTTCAAGTTAGTTTTCAAAATATAGAGGAGAGGCAAACATCAGGGTAATTTTTGGTGGTGTTGATGGTTTCTTTCCTTATTATATGTGTCACTAATAACTATAATACATTGTTTATCTCTTTTATTAATAGTGCTTCATTTATGTTAACTATATCTCTAGATGACTCAGATAGTCTTAATACTAAGATTATTGTTATTTGCAATAGAGAATGATTTTTCATAAAATATGGTAAGTTTCTTTGTAGAGTCAGTGAAGAAGACAACTTTTTGCTGATTTAAATTTAAGGAATATATTTTTTCCCCCATGTCTTAATTTTATGTTTTTAATATGATAGCAAAGCTGTATGAACTTATTCACACTAAATTATAATGGTGTTTGAACATTTTACTGCCCTGGTAAATTCAAATTTAGCTCTGTTTATTTTTGTTTTTGTTTTTGTTTTTTTTGAGATGGAATTTCACTCTTGTCACCCAGGCTGGAGTGCAGTGGTGCAATCTCGGCTCACTGCAACCTCTGCCTCCTGGGTTCAAGCAATTCTCCTGCCTCAGCCTCCCAAGTAACTGGGATTACAGGCGTGCACCACCACACCCGGGCTAATTTTTGTATTATTGTAGAGACGGAGTTTCACCATGTCGGCCAGTCTGGTCACCAACTCCTGACCTCAGGTGATCTGACTGCCTCGGCCTCCGAAAGTGCTGGGATTACAGGCGTGAGTCACCACGCCTGGCCAAATTTAGCTCTGAAAATTTTTTTTTTTTTTTTTTTTTTTACAGTCTTGGTCTGTCCCCCAGGCTGGAGTACAGTGGCGTGATCTCAGCTCACTGCAGCCTCCATCTCCCAGACTTAGGCGATTCTCCTGCCTCAGCCTCCTGAGTAGCTGGGATTACAGGCACGCGCCACCACGCCCAGCAAATTTTTGTATTTTTAGTAGAGATGGGGTTTCACCATGTTGGCCAGGCTGGTCTTGAATTCCTCACCTCAAGTGATCCGCCTGCCTCGGCCTCCCAAAGGGCTGGGGTTATAGGCATGAGCCACTGCACCTGGCCTAGCTCTTATAAATGTGCCATTTATTTATCATTTATTAAGGATGTATAGGGAGGATCATTGAAGGACCTAGAGTTTGTAAATATAGAGGAGGCAAAACTTTACCCGTACCCTCTAAAAGCCTCCACCTGGTTCTGAGAACTAAATGGACATAAGGCATTAGCAGGAGAAAAGTATACAGATTTTTACATGTGCATAGGAACCCCCATGGGAAAATGAAGACCTAAAGAAGTGACAAAATCTAAGTGCTTATGTACTAGGTTGAACCCAGAAGAAATTGTGGAAAAGTAAGTCAAATATATGGGGAGACCAAAGGAAGATGAGTTATTTTAACAAATGATGTTTGTACAGAATTGTCTTAGCCTCCATTCCGTCTCTTGTGGTCAGAATGTTGCTTTCCTCCTGCTACATAGAGGGCATCTTTCACAAGGGAGTTTTGTTTCTTGATTTCAAGAAGGGGAGGTCAGAGGCCAGATGCAGTGGCTCAGGCTTATAATCCCAGCACTTTGGGAGGCCGAGGTGGGTGAATCATTTGAGGCCAGGAGTTTGAAACCAGCCTGGCCAACATGGTGAAACCTTGTCTCAACTAAAACTACAAAAATTAGCCAGTGTGGTGGTGGGTGCCTGTAATCCGAGCTACTCCAGAGGCTGAGGCAGGAGAATCGCTTGAACCCGGGAGGTGGAGGTTGCAGTGAGCAGAGATCGCGCCACTGGACTCTAGCCTGGGGGACAGAGCGAGACTCAGTCTCAAAAAAAAAATTAGGTGGGGCGTGGTGGCTCACGCCTGTAATCCCAGCACTTTGGGAGGCTGAGGTGAGTGGATTATTTGAGGTCAGGAGTTCAAGACCAGCCTGGCCAACATGGTAAAATCCCGCCACTACTAAAAATACAAAAATTAGCCAGGTGTAGTGGCGGGTACCTGTAGTCCCAGCTACTCGGGAGGCTGAAGCAGGAGAATCACTTGAATCTGGGAGGCGGAGGTTGCAGTGAGCCGAGACTGAGCCACTGCATTCCAGCCTGGGCGACAGAGCAAAACTCTGCCTCAAAAAAAAAAAAAAAAAAAAAGAAAAGGGGAGGTCAGAGCACTCCTTTTTACACCTGCTGTTTTTCAAGTGCGTTTGGCCCAGTATAATCCTTATGCCAAAGTGGTATATTTTGGGGTAGCGTATTCTGCAGTCCTTCATAAGGGATGATAGAGAGTTCTTTTATGGTGATATCCTGCCATGTTTAGAAAAAGAAATAGGAGAATGAAGTCAAAAGTAAAGTTTGATAGTAATAATTTGTATGTGTGTGTTTCCAGTAACTTTGTCCATGGTACTTGGAAAGTTTGTCACTTAAGTTCAACTAAAATGTCTTTATCTTAGACTATTTTAATTACTAGTTACTTATACCAACCAGTTTAAGAAAGAAGCCTGTGTTCTAGTAAGTACTTGCCAAATTGGTGACAATTAAAATACACTTAAATTGTTTAATTCTATGTGTGGAAATTAGACAAATTATAAAATAACTACTTCATAAATAGAAATTTATTATAATGTTTCAATTGTTTGTTTATGGTTGGTGGTTATCGCTTCCATTAATAAAGGAAGTGGATCCAGATGGATCTTTCTGGCTTTTGCTGTTTGTAAGTAAATTGGTATAGAGAAACAAAACTAGCACAGCTAGAAGGTCCTAGCTGGTTCTAGAAATGGAATTACTTTTATAGGGCTAGCACTATAATTTCAGTAGAAGTTGGTATTTTAAATGACTTGATAAATCATGTACAGTAACTCCTCATTTAATTTCATATGTAATGAAACCAGTTTTACCATAGGTTAATTGATATAAACAAGAGTTAAGTTCTTAGGGCATGTTTCTGGTTACAACACCACGAAACTACTAAATAAAGATCAAAACGCTTTTAATATTAAGCATTGAAATAAATATGAGCTATGCATATACTTAAGAAAGATAAATAAAGGGCCGGATGCGGTGGCTCACGCTTGTAATCCCAGCACTTTGGGGGGCCAAGGCAGGTGGATCACGAGATCAGCAGTTCAAGACCAGCCTGACCAACACAGTGAAACCCCGTCTCTACTAAAAATACAAAAATTAGCTGGGCCGTGGTGGTGCATGCCTGTAATCCCAGCTACTCGTGAGGCTGAGACAGGAGAATCGCTTCAACCCGAGAGGTGGAGTTTGTGGTGAGCCGAGATCACGCCATTGCACTCCAGCCTGAGCAATCAGAACGAAACTCTGTCTCAAAAAAAAAAAAAAAAGATTAATAAAAACAAGTAAGATATAGGCCGGTTGAGGTGACTCACGCCTGTAATCCCAGCACTTTGGGAGGCCAAGGCAGGTAGATTACCTGAGGTCAGGAGTTTGCGACCAGCCTGACCAACATGTTGAAACCCTATCTCTACTAAAAATACACAAACTTAGCCGGGCATGGTGGTGCGCACCTGTAATCCCAGGTATTTGGGAGGCTGAGGCATGAGAATCGCCTGACCCTGGGAGACAGAGGTTGCAGTGAGCTGAGATTGCGCCACTGCACTCCAGCCTGGGTGACAGAGCAAGACTCCATCTCAAAAAACAAACAAAAAAGGGCAATTATTTACCAAGTTTTTCCAGTTCAGGTTGCTGGTGGCTGGAGCTTCTCCCGGCAGCTAAGAGTGCCAGACAGGAACCAGCCCTGGGTAGGACAGCATCCCATCACAGGGCGCGCACGCACGCGCGCACACACACACACACACACACACACACACACACACTCTCGCTCTCTGTCTCTCTCTGTCTCTCTCACTTGCCATGTGGACACACTGGTGAACGTAATGTGCACAGCTTTAGGATGTGGGAGGAAGTGAGTACCCCAAGAAAACCACACAGACGGAGGAGAATGGGCAAACTTCACACAGACAGCGATCCTCACCAGGAATTGATTTTTTTCCTCATTAACATTATAGCTAAATGACATTGAATGAAATGACATTGTTCGAGGACCTGCTATGTATCTGTAGAATTATTATGATTATGATTATGATTATTATATTTGAGACGGAGTCTCGCTCTGCCACTCAGGCTGGAGTACAGTGGCGCGATCTTGGCTCACTGCAACTTCCGCCTCCCGGGTTCAAGCGATTCTCATGCCTCAGCCTCCCGAGTAGCTGGGACTATAGGTGCGTGCCACCACTCCTGGCTAATTTTTTGTATTTTTAGTAGAGATGGAGTTTCACTGTGTTAGCCAGGATGGTCTCAGTCTCCTGACCTCATTATCTGCCCACCTCGGCCTCCTGAAGTGCTGGGATTACAGGCATGAGGCACCACGTCCGGCCTATAGAATTCTTAATGTGATTTTTATCATATATGATATGGAAATAGGACAAAAAAAAGTATACCACCAGCGTTTTTGTTTTTCTTAACATTCTCCTTTGGATATTGAATTTTGCCATTGTGTGTTACTATTGTCCCCTGACAGTTTTATAAAATTCTGTGTAATAGTTAAGCCTGTTTTTGTAAAGATACTGTGACTCATGGGAATAGCAGTATGGCCTTAACTTTTATCACCTTTGTTTTCTATATTTATCTTGTGTGCTCTGCTTGGCTTTGCATTCTGAGAGGGCAGGAATCAAGTCCCCCTCAGAGGTCATTACTGTTGCTAGGTGAGCATTAAATAGATACTCCATAAATGAACGCACTCTTGAGTGAATGGTGGGGGAAGTGCCTTTATTCATTCAATTTTATGTATTCTTCGCAAAAGGTATTTGTAGCAACTTCTTTGCAAAAGGTATTTGTAGCAACTTTTTTTTTTTTAATTTTGTTTTTTGAGATCAGAGTCTCACTCTATCCTCCCCCCGAGGTTGGAGTGCAGTGACACGATTTCAGCTCACTGCAACCTGTGCCTCCTGCGTTCAAGTGATTCTCCTGCCTCAGCCTCCTGAGTAGCTGGGATTACAGGTGCCCGCCACCACATCCGGCTAATTTTTGTATTTTTAGTAAAGACGGGGTTTCACCATGTTGGCCAGGCTGGTCTCGAACTCCTGACCTGAGATGATCTGCCTGCCTCAGCCTCCCAAAGTGCTGGGATTACAGGTGTGAGCCACTGTGCCCGGCCTGTAGCAACTTTTAGAAGGAAGTGAGACTGGTAATTTATCATTGTATTTCTCTTTGGTTGAAAGTATGATAAAAGACAATATGCACAGTGAGATGATTCAGAAAACCTTACGTAGAAAAATGTAAGAGAGGATTTGAAGTTGGAAAAGGAGATACTAGTTTTAAAATGGACCGTATGAAACTGGACTTCTAAAAAAAAATCTATGGTTTATTTTACCATTCTCTAAACTCACTTCACATTCTCTTGCCACTCATCTTGCAAGAATGTGCCCCAACTTTTACCTTTGACCACCTGCCGAACCCAGGCTCAACCTAGCGACTCCTACCCCACCCTTCAAAGTGTATTTGTAATGGCATTTTTTCCTTGAAGCTTTTAGTTACTTCTCAATTCCATGTGACCTTTTGCTCTTCTGAATTGTTCACTTTTTAAATATTTTTTGTACTTATCAATCCTTTTATAGTAAGCATCTAAAAATTTCTAAAATTGCCATCTACTGTAAAGTCCTTAATAAATACTCACTGAACTGAATTGTTGGTTTTCCCACCACCAAGGATAATCAAAATAATGTGATCATAAAACTTTAGGAAGAGAACATTTAGAAATGCTTTGAGCAGCGGAACCATTTCTTGTATTTAGTATTCAAGGTGACTATTTTAAGGGGACATCAGTCACTTAGAATGATTATTGATCAACCACATTGCATTATGTGGCACCTACATATCAGTTTCAAGGAACTCAGGCTTGTGTGATTGTGTCTTAGAGGCTGTGGTATAAATTGAGTAAGTTTTCACCTGAAATAAGTAAAGATGACTTGGGTCAAGAGGGGAGTGAATTCAACACTTGGAGGAAAGACTTGATTTGAGCTCTGATTAGATGTGAAATTTGGTTTAGCTGAAAATGGAGAGATGGAGGGGCAGGTCCTCTCATGCGAGAAAGAGGGAAAGAGTGAATGGAGTTGGGCGTGCAAGGATGTGGGCATAATAGAATGAAAGTATGAAGAAATGAGCGATGAGAAACTCCTAATTATGCATGGCATTTATCAAGTACCTCTCTTCTTAGAAAGCTCAAATTTCTACATTTTTGGTTCCCTTGGAGTAGAAAACAAATGACCTTATTTCCTATTCTGCTCTTCTGCTCTTTTGGGGATGTTGGCATTCCAGATGTAAAGTGATTAATGTTAATTACTTATCATTACCAAAAGCCCACATTTCCAGGTTTTATTGAAAGATTTTAGTTTTTGTTTTTATACATAATTCATGAAGACTTCTTTTAATGGAAATAGTGATAATTCATTAGCATAGTGAAATAAAGAGTGGCATGCTAAAACATTTTTGCAGTTCATTTGATCGATTTAAACAGCAGCGCTTAGAACAATTTCAGCTTCTTTGAAGACACTGCTGTATAAAAAACGTTAGAGGCAAGCCAGCTGCAGACTGCTGAAGAAAGAGTAAAGCCTATGTAAAAGAAAAACAGCACAAATGCTGCTCAGGGTTAGAGATAACCTTGGGAAGGAATTTCCACTACCAGGGTTCCATGAGGCTTGCCAAATGTTAAAGGAATTTCATGGAATGTATGGAATGTCTTTTTGTCAGTTAACTGTTCCCAGAACTGGAAGTTCCTTTCTTATACAGCTTTGCTTTTCAGATGGAATTGTGATCCTCTTGGGAAGCTTTCCATTTCACAAGATTCCCATTTTCCTTCCCAGAGAATTTGAGCAAAGCAGAGCCGGCAGGTGGTGCTTGGGGCTCCGTGATTATATAGCCTTTGGTTCTCTTCTTGCCTAATGCTGCCGACCTAATTTATGGCAATGATGGCCCATTTTCTTATTCCCTCATATAGTACATTTTGAAGACGGAGCTCAGAAACAAAATATCAGCCAGGCTATATTAAATTAGTTTGCCCTGTTGACTTTTTGGGATAGTTTAAGATGTTCTTTAACATTTATTCCCACTTAAATAGAAGGGAGAGAGGCTGGTATCTTCAAAAGCCTTGGCTTGATTCCAATTCAGTTATTGTATTCTGTCCACTTCCATTCTTTGAGCTCTGTGGAGCTCTTTGCCGTATTCTCTGAGCTTTAACTTAACTGCAAGAGTTTAATGCCAACACTGTATTTGTAGATATTTGCTATTCTGAGTGGTAATCAACTTTACTCTGCACAGCTCCTAGTGCATAGTAATAAGTATAGAGTAAAAGGACCAAACTGATGCTTATTTTGTTGATGGTGAAGTGTCATCATAACTTGGGACTTGGGAACATAATTAACATCTTTGCTGATGACTTCTGAAATAATTCTTTGGTTGCCGGTATGAGAATGCTGATGGAGACCAATACTCCTCTCCTCCCTCTCTCTGCTACTTCATGTCAAATAAACACATCTAATTCTGGAGCTCATTCAGACAACACACGCATGTCAGTTTTGAAAACTAAGGACCCATGAAAATGTCTGTTTTTATTTAGTGGCTGTAATTTTGATGTCACTCACCATGCTCTAAACTAATGGAGCTTTGAATGGGAGGAGTCACATTCCTCTTGTCATTTCTCTGGAGTGGTGAGGATGATGACACCAGAACTGGCAGGATATTTGACAGTGACCTCTGTAAAAGCAGGGCACACCCATTCCTCCCTGGTGATGTCTTTTGGACGTATAATTAATAAGAAAACCTTGGGGAAAGGCTGACTTTCTAAATAGCTGTTTTTTTCCCCTAATTTTAAACTTTGTCAGAATGCATATTTATACTCCTCATATTGTGTGTGTGTGTGTGTGTGTCTGGAAGTGCAACAAAGGGGAGATATTATCTGATACATGTGATAAATATGTGCATGTTCAGATGTACTATTTCATTCAATTCAAAGTTTTTCATAGGCAAATACCAGTGTCTTCTTGACATGCTCTGTGATTAGACTTTAAGCATTCTTTACAACCACAGGGCTTCTTTCTCCTTAATAATTTGGTCTACTTAATGTTTCCCAATTACCTTGTAGTTTTTGCTTTCCAAATCAGTGTTTCACAAAATGATTCATGAAATGCCTACATCAGAATCACCTGTAGTGTTTATTGGTGCTATGGTTTGAATGTGTCCTCCAAAGTTGATGTGTTGGAAACATAATCCCCCATGCAACAGTATTAAGAGGTGGGACTTTAAAGAGGTGATTAGGCCATGAGGGCTCTACCTTCATGAATGTATTAATGCCCATTATCAAAGGGCCTGAGGCTGTGAGTTTGCTCTCTTGCTCTTACTGCTCTTCTGCCATGGGATGACACAGCAAGAAGGCCCTCAACAGATGCCAGCATCTTGAAATTGGACTTCCCAACCTTCAGAACTGTGAGAAATCAATTTTTTCTTTATAAATTACCCAATGGTATTCTGGATATGTGTGTGTGTGTGTGTGTGTGTGTGTGTCAGAGTCTTACTCTGTCACCCAGGCTGGAGTGCAGTGGTGTGATCTCGGCTCACTGCAACCTCCGCCTCCTGGGTTCAAGCGATTCTCCCACCTCCGCCTCCTGAGTAGCTTGGATTACAGGCGTGTGCCACCACGCTGGGCTAATTGTTTGTATTTTTAGTAGACAGGGTTCACCGTGTTAGTCAGGATGGTCTCGATCTCCTGACCTCGTGATCTGCCCACCTTGGCCTCCCAAAGTACTGGGATTACAGGCGTGAGCCACTGTGCCCAGCTGGTATTCTGTTATAGCAACACAAAATAGACTAAGATAACTAGAAACACAGATGCCTGTTTTTCATCCCAGACCTGAATCAGAACTTACAGTGATGGGGCCCAAGAATCTGCATTATAACATTGCATGCTGAAGTTTGAGAAATAGCCATACCATACGATTCTTTTTAAATGGTCTGTCTTCCAGTCCCCCTCTGTCTATTGAACTCCTACTCATGTTCCTTAGGTAAAAGTTTTCACTTTTGTAAACACTCATGGTACTTCCTCCCCCCACCCCCCAATGCCGCCAGTAAGTTTTCAGTTTTCACCTTCTGCTTTATTTTATAAGAGCTTTGTTCTCAAATTGTTTCAAGTTCCTGGAGGGTGAAAACCATGTCTAAATCACATTTGTATACTTCCAGCACCTTTGTGCATAGTAAGAACTCAAGAAATGTTTAGTGAATAATGGTTCAACCCTAGCATCAGACTTTTATTATACCTAGGAAACTTTTGGGTGTTAGGGTTTTTTTTTTTTCCCCATTTAGCTGTGAGATATGCTTAGCCTATTTGTTATATGGTGTTTAGGCTACTGTCTAAGGACATTTTTATGACCTAATTATTCTCACTGACTTTTGCTTATGCGCACTTTCTCATTTGTTTGGTAATCCAATATCCTTGATATAGATGCTATTTGGTTTTCCTTTTTATATATCTTTATGTGACTTGAGTGGGATTTTATCCAAGTATACTTGTGAATCTTCTCTCCTTTGGTTTGAGAAGAGGAGCAGAAATAGTGATCCATTTTCTGCCTTTTTAAGGAATTTTTTTGTTTTGTTTTGTTATTGTAATATTTTTATTTGTCCTAGTGTGGCGGTTAATATTAAACATCTCTTGAATATCATTGGCAATTAATGGGCTAACTATGGGCAGATATGTTGGTGAGAAAATGAAAAAAAAATGTAGTCATGGATAAATTGAGTAAAGAAACCATCTCAAAACAGATATGTTTAAGTGTAATGTGATAACATATTTCTTGGTTTTTGATTCTTATATTGCTAATTTATTAAAGAATCAAAATGACAAATTTATGCAGCTTATGACTCATTGTTTTCCTGAATTTAGTTAGTTCAGGCTTACTATAGATCTAGCGGCTGCTGTTTTCACGTAATTACCATCTTATGATCTAGAGTGGTTCTCTATGTAATTTACTTACTGGACTCATGGAGCCTTCCACTGCGTACCTCCCTCTCCACCATAGGCAGGAGCTGTGCCTTATTTGTTATTGTATCCATAGGATTAACCCAGCCTAAGGTTTGGCACATAGTAACCAGTAAGTACCTCTTGTTTGAATTACTTTAATTATTATTTTTTTGTTTGTTTGTTTGAATTATTTTAAAAGAGGAATTAAGATGAGTTTTCTCTTTAGGGCTGGTTGTAGTAGTCCCATGTACTGTGGACACTGATGCGTGGGAATTGCTTGAGCCAAGAAGGTCAAGGCTGCAGTGAGCTATGATCACACCACTGCACTCTAGCCTGGGTGACAGTGATACCTCATCACTTTAAAAAATAAATAATAAAGGGTTTTTTTTAATTAAAGAATTTTTCTCTTTAGGGAATACTTTAATTTGCCTTTACAGCAAAATGTCCATGGAAATTATTGTCAACACTGAGAATTCTTTATTTCTTTGATTATTACTTTTGAAAAATTATGAGTTTTAGCTTTGGTAAATTTATTCTGATTTTCAACATCTGTAGCAGTTCTTAAAAAAATTATAAAATTCTTTCATGACTGTAAATTTTAATTTTTACCTAAGTAAAATATGCATGTGCTTATTTTTGTTTTCTAGTTATATGAAAAGGTGATATGTTTATTTTACTTGTACCAGGAGGCATTTATGGTGACTAGGATTCAGATAGGATGATTTGTTTATTTTGGCTCAAGTGTTGACAAGCTGGTTGCATGCCACATTAGCATCCGTGCACTGCTAAGCCTCCCAGATGATGGCAGGTGCTCACTGGGAACAAGGCTGGTGGACTCCTTGGCCCTTGGAACAGAAGGGCATACGTAAGTTCATGTGGATTCATTTTAGAAGTCATATAGGGACGACAGGAAAAGCACTGTACCAAGAAACTGAGAAGATGTGAGAGTTCAGTTACAGGCCAATGGAGTTTGGGGGTGTGGACAACAGTGTGAAAGCCAAAAGGAGTTGAGTCATGCCTTCTGAAGGGTGGGTGTTCCCAGCAATTCTGAAGCAGGCACAATGAGCCAAATGTTTCTCATGCCATTGCCACCACAGATGAGTCCGAAAGGAACATGGGGCAAAAGGTGTTCCTTCCTTTCCTCATCCAGGAAAGACAGCCTCTCTCATGCATTTTAGAAATTATTTGGCTTCCTTATGTAACTATTATGGCACATGCAGGTTGCCCTATATCATAGTTGGATTGGGACAAGAATATTAACACATGACTGTAGGACAAACTTACCAAGCCAAAGAAGCACCACACGAAAGGAATTGGAATTTGAGGAGTTCATGGAAAAGGAAGTTGCTTACTGGGGGTCTGTGTCTCTCATTCATTCACTTAACTATTTTTTTTTTTTTTTTGAGATGGTGTCTTGCTCTGTCACCCAGGCTGGAGTGCAGTGGCGTGATCTCAGCTCACTGCAAGCTCTGCCTCCCAGGTTCACGCCATTCTCCTGCCTCAGCCTCCCGAGTAGCTGGGACTACAGGCGCCCGCCACCGCGCCTGGATAATTTTTTTTTGTATTTTTAGTAGAGACGGGGTTTCACCATGGTCTCAATCTCCTGACCTCGTGATCTGCCTGCCTCGGCCTCCCAAAGTGCTGGGATTACAGGCATGAGCCACCGCGCCCGGCCATTCACTTAACTATAGTTTCTAAAGAGCAAGTATATTCAATACACATTTTTAAAAGTACTTTGATACACTTCCCAAGATTATTTCTTCTAAAGATAAAAAAGAAAAGTTACTCTGTCAAACTTTAATGGTCTCAAAACCACAAGGTGTGCTCTTAAGAACAACAACATGTGCTTGGTTTTATAAATTCTTTTAGAAAAAAGTAAAGAGAAACATGAAGTAAGTGTAACTCATTTTACCCAAGCTTTTCTATTTTATTGGAAAAGCATTAAGCTTTCTCTTTTTGTTCTCCCTTCCCCTAGTATATAAAATTTATTTAAATTGAATGGATAAGGTTGATTTTATCTATTTATGTATTTATTTATTTTTGAGAGAGCAAGACCACATCTTAAAAAAAAAAAAAAAAGAAAAAAAGAAAGGATGACTTATTTAATAAATGTTGGTAACATAGCTAGGTACCAGAAAGAAAATAGTTGGCCCTCCATCTAACATTTCTTGTAAAACATGTCAGGTGGAATTAGGATCCAAATGTAAAAAATAAAATATATATACATGTTAGAAGGAAACATTAAGAGAACATCTGTACCACTTTGGGTGGAGTGAGAGGACCTTCTCAAGCAAAATTAAAAACAGGGATCCCATAAAGGAAGAGATTGCCAAATATGAGCAAATAAAAATTAAAAATTAGTGTGTGGCAAAAGTCACCATGAACAGAGTGGGAAACACCAGACAGCAGGCTGGGAGGGCGTGTTTGTAGCATTTGACAGTACACGGCAGGTGGTATTCAGGGAATGCCTGCAAACTAAGTGGCAGGTGAATAGTCCATTAGAAAAGTGGGCAAAGGATATGAATGTGTATCTCAAAGAAGATTTGCAATTACCATTTTCTTCTTTGCAAAAAGCAGCTCAACTTTACTGCAAAATAAAAATTGAAATGACCTATGTAATTTTTGCCCATTAGATTGGCAACAGTTGAAAAGATGCTAACATTAAATGCTAGCATGGGGAAAGGGACCCTCTCTTACATGACTGAATGGGAGTATGAATTTCTGTAACTTTTTTTTGTAGTTTTGTAGTACATATTTAAACTGTACATACTCTTGGGGCCATCAGTTATACTTTTAGAAGTATAGATTCACAGTCCCTTATTAAAACTCTTGAGGACAATTGTGTTTTCAGATTAAATGGAGATAACATGGTGCATATACTGTACATTATGTAACACCTCCAGCAGGGTTTAAGAGAGCACCCCATAAGTAGACACATTCATATTTCTAGAGAGATCAAATGAATATTCACATCAGTTCAGATCAGCTTTTGCCATCACATGAGTCAATTAAAAATCTTTGAATTTTCAGAGTCTCTTGGATTTCAGAATTAAGGATAAGGCCTATTAGGCACCAATAAGTACTGTAAAGTAAAATCATTAATACACAACCAGATACATCAGTGGATGTTTCTTGCAGAATTGTAACAGCAGAAAAACTGAGAGTACTCCTAATGTCAATCAGCGGAGGAATGGAATACATTATGGTTCATTTGTACTCTGTGTATTATGCAGCTGTCAAAAAGATTGAGTTAGGTTTTTATGTACTGACTCAATAAGATGATTTGTTTGTATTGGGTGAGTAAACAATTTGCAGAAAAAATATATGTGGTATAATCTGATTCAAAAAAATGTGGAGGGGGCTATCTCCTATTTATGCAGCTGTAAGGAGGAAAAGCTTTGGAAGGATATAAACCAAACTATTGACACTGCTTATCTCAGGAGGGTAGGATTTGAAATGAAGTGGGAGAGACTGTTAACTTTTTATGTGCTTCTATAGTTGGACTCACTTTGTTAAAATGAGCATTATTGTTTTGGTAATCAAATAAAATCTTTCTCTTAAAAGAAAATACAGTGAGTCTTACAGAGCACTGACAGCCTGGCAACTCCCCACTAAGGCAGAGCCACTCAAAGCCATTAGGGATCCTGCTTTTCATAATTGATGCAAAGTAGGGGGCAGGCCCAGAGCGACGCTTACAAGTCCAGCCGTTGAGCAGCTCCTTCATTACTTAATACTGAAGCCTAATAATTTCCAAAGTGGGCTAGCATGTGCCCCACAGAGGAAAAAACAAGTTAAACACGGGCTGTTACTGTGAAACGGAAATTTATTTACCTAGGGAGTCTTTTTAATTGACCCATTTGTGGTGAATAATACTGATTTCTCTCTATTAGAATCATTGACTAAAACAGTATGGTTTTCTCTTCCTGGGTGTTACTTGTGACACCCATTTTGAGCACATTTAGAATAGGTTTAAAAGTACAACTACTTCCATCATACTGTTATTTTAGTCAAGTTTTCAAGTGTATATGTCCCTAGTTCCTGGAAGAAAAATTACTCAAGACTTAGATATATCTAAAGCTAATTAATATTATGTCTCCAAATAGTCATCATGCTGTTTATTTGGTTTTATTTCCTAAATATGTACAAGCATATATAGCCATTCCCTGTAACTCACATGCAAAAATAGCTTTGTACCTACATTTTTGAGTATAGATTGAATAAGTGTTAAGAAAATGAAAAAGATTAAGCACATCTTATGACAAAACAAGCCCAGAAGGAGGAAGTATGTGAGGATTGGTAACATTTGTGTATATTTGTTTCTTTCTTTCAACTTTGACACTGTAAAACATTGGCTTTTTTGTTTTCTTTCCTGCCCTTGGATAAAAATGGCTCCACTTCATTTTCTAATGAGCATTGACTCCCAACTAGTTTTTTAGAGGCCAGACTCAAATAAGCTTGTTGAACCGTGGTTTACTTGTTTTAAAAACCTTTATATTGGCCGGGCGTGGTGGCTTATGCCTGTAATCCCAGCACTTTGGGAGGCTGAGGTGGGTGGATCACAAGGTCAGAAGTTCGAGACCAGCCTGGCCAATATGGTGAAACCCTGTCTCTACTAAAAATACAAAAATTAGCTGGGTGTGGGGGCATGCACCAGTAGTCCCAGCTACTCGGGAGGCTGAGGCAGAAGAATCGCTTGAACCTGGGAGGCGGAGGTTGCTGTGAGCTGAGATAGCACCACTGGACTCCAGCATGGGTGACAGAGTGAGACTCCGTCTCAAAAACAAAACAAAACAAAACAAAAAAACTTTATATTTACCTAATAAAGGTAGGGAAGTTGGATGCATGAATTTAGTGCATTTAAACTTTTCTGATTAAGAAACTAAACACTCTTTCCTTTTATAAATAATTTGCTTAAGTAGCTTGGAATATTACACCTCAAAATTTAGTAACTGGGGAAAAATTCCATTTAAAGCCAAGTGTAGACAGTGATACATTTACATGGTCTACTGTTGTCTAGATTACAGGGGAAACTAAGAAAATACAGGGATGGAACTGATTGCTCTATTCTCTCAATAGCAGTTTGAAGTTGTGTGCTGTTCTGTCTCTGCCATTTATTAGTCATGGCTGTGAAGCTGGAGAAAGGAAGGAAAAGGTAGGAACACTAGTAGATCACACCCCTAGATAGTTTAGCACATTTTGTGTATAAACGTACGGTGTCATTATTACCGTACTTTCATTTTATAATGTAAATATAGTAGGAGGTGCAAATTAAAGCAGTGTTAGTAATTTAATAGTGATAGTATCAGCTTGATTCTACCATCTCTTCCCTGTCCCCACTTTGACCTTCTGCCACTTGAGGGCCCCACCCTTGGCAAACAGTCATGCACATTGTTTGTTTGTTTGTTTAATTTATTTATTTTAGAGACAGGTTCTTGCTCTGTGGCCCAGGCTGGAGCACAGTGGCACGATCACAGCTCATTATTGCCTCAAGCTCCTGGGCTCAAGTGATCCAACCGAGTAGCTAGGACTACAGGTGCACACCACCACACCCAACTAATTTAAATTTTTTTTAGTAGAGATGGGATCTTGCTATGTTGCCCACTCTGGTCTTGAGCTCCTGGCCTCAAGTGGTCCTCCTGCCTCAGCTTCCCAAAGTGCTGGGGTTACAGGTGTGAGTCATGGCACCAGCCTTTGCACTTTGTTATAGGGCACTTAGGATACCTAGTTTGAAGGAGACTTCAGGTTTGTTTGCAAACATACTACAAGTACAGTTTTCTGTCTCTGTAGATTATCAAGTATATTTAGTTGATTGTGCTTTTCTGTGACACTTGGTATCAGTAACTAAAAGCGTGCCTTTGGAGTAAGTCAGACCTGAGTGATGCTCATTGCTGTTTGCTAAATATAATACTGTGACTGAAATAACTTCATTTTAATAATTAAGATTACTCTTGATTATGTGCTGCATAAATGTTAACTTCCTTTCTGTAGTGTGAACTCTGTATTGTAGGACAAATGAACATGAGTTATATTTCTTTCTTTAAAACATACTGCTTGTCCTGGAAAATGAAGTCAGTCTTTTCAGGTTGTTGAGTAGTTTGGGAGCACTGAGCTGTGCTTGAATTGGTTTGAAGGTAAATATAGTGTTCAGAATATTCACTGTCCTCCATTACTCATACTGCTACTCTTGGTAGGGGAAAATGAGAATGAAAAGATAGTGCTTTCCTGAGGCCATTCTTTGACCTGTGGCTTAGAATTATGAGTGATAGATATTTATTTATATTAAACTCTTTAATAAGGTTTAATAAAAGAGGAGGAGGAGAGATGAAAAGTAGTAATGACGTCGAAAGGCAGTAGATTCATAATTGCATGCAGTAGTCATACAGTTTCTCTGGGCCTGTTTTTTTTATCTATGAGCTTGGAAAATTAAAGAAAATGACTTCAAAGTCCCCTTCTAGTCTCATTTTTCAGTAGCACATGAGAAAAAAGAAAGATATATCCACTGCTTTAGTGCTTTAGTCTGTTTGGGCTGCTATATCAATTTACCTTAGAGTGGATAATTTATAAACAACAGAAATTTATTTCAGTTCTAGAGGCTGTGAAGTCCAGGATCAAGGCACCAGCAGGTTTGGTGTCTGGTGAGGACTCATTCTGTGCTTCAAGGATGCAGCTTTCCTCCTTTCGTCCTCACGTGGCTGAAGGGGCAAGGCAGCTCCCTTCAATTTATTTTACAGGGACACTAATCCCAATTGTAAGGACAAACCCTCATGACCTAATTACCTCCTAAAGACCGTACCTCTTATCACATTGGGGATTAAGTTTCAACATGGGAATTTTGTTTTTTGTTTTTATTTTTATTTTATTTTTTCTTTTTTTAGGTAGAGTCTCACTGTATTGCCTAGGCTGGCGTGCTGTGGTATAGTCACAGCTCACTGCAGCCTAAACCTTCTGGGTTCAAGCTGTCCTCCCACCTCAGCCTCCCAAGTAGCTGGGACCACAGGCACATACCACCCTGCCTGGCTAATTTTATTTTACTTTTTGTAGAGATGGGATCTCCCTGTGTTGCCCAGGCTAGTCTTGGACTCCTGGGCTCAAACAGTCCTCCCTCCTTTGTTTGCCTCCCCAAATGCTGGGATTACAGGCATGATGTTTTTTAAAAGCCACAGGTTTCTTGTCATTTTAAAGCATCAAGTAGAATTGTCCCTGGCTATGATTATAAACCGACCACTGTAGTTAGTACAATCATCATTAAAATATTTTTTAGTAATCTTAAAATCTGTGATGCTGTGATTCTCTTCCACTTATCTATGTTGAACAGCTATGAAGAAATATCTGTAGCCTCATTGAATGCAACGGTAGCACTGAAATATTAGTTTAAAATAGAATTATTTAAAATATTTCACAAAATGTGTGTGTGTGTGTGTGTGTGTGTGTGTGTGTGTGTGTGTGTGTGTATGTTTTTTTTTTCTTTTTAAAACCAGTCAATTTTATCTTGGAATCTGGGTCTGTGTGCATTTCATCATTTATCTGGCTTACCTGGCCAAGCGTGGTCACTCACACCTGTAATCCCAGTACTTTGGGAGGCTGAGGCAGGTAGACTGCTTGAGCTCAGGCCCTTGAGGCCAGCCTGGGCAACATGGAGAAATCCTGTCTTTACCAAAAATACAAAACTTAGCTGGACGTGGTGATGCACACCTGTGGTCCCAGCTACTTGCGAGGCTGAGGTGGGATTGCTGGAGCCTGGGAAGTCAAGACTGCAGTGAGCCGTTATCACACCACTGCACTCCAACCTGGCAGACACAGTGGACCCTGTCTCAAAATAATGAATGAATGAATTAATAAAAATATCTGGCTTACCTATTATGGCAAAGCTGAAAGTCTTATATTTTATTACAGAGACAGAGATTTCTAGACTTTTCCTCCATACCAGGGTGCTGTCACCTGGCTGTCTCCTTTGCATTCTTTTTAAATGAAGGTAAAGTGAAGAAAGGTCATCCATTCACCCTTTTGATCTCTTATCTCTCATAACTTAAACATTGCTTCCAAGTATGTGTTTCACTCATTCCAAATACTCGAGGGAAGTGAATTCTCTGTGGACCTCCCCTCTATCTTTCTCTGAAACAGTATTTGGATCTGCAAATGTCCTATAATCTGACTGCTTTCCACATCTAGAAAGGAAAAGTGGAACTCTGAGAAGGCTAAGGGTTAGTTACCACAACAGATGTGTTTTAATGTTGGTTGATACGTTCAGATCAAGAACTTAAGTTCTCAGAAACAATCCATGCTTTATTTGATAAGTATCTGCTGAATACCATGTCCTTCTCTGGGAAGAGTTTGGGGGATTGGCTGCACAGGGAGGAATGCAAAGGGGGTGGGGAATGTAGTGAGAAGGAGCAAGACTTTGAGGATACTTTTAAGTCAGAATCAGCTCTTAAAATTTATAGGTCTAGGGTACGAGTATAAATGGAGAGCCACATACCATATATCTGAATATTTAAGTTATAACCAAGCTAAGAAACTGTTAAGTAAAATATGTTATCTCCCTCTACCTTGTCAAATATAAAATTAATGTCCTGGAAACACAGATTCCAATTTAGAATCCTCAGACTCCCTGGGATTCTGCACTGAATATGATAACATGGGCAGAGCTGGGCCAGGGACCCCACCTCTTCTCTTCCTTCCTCCAGCTCCATTCCTCACCGTACCAGGGGTGTGGACACTGCAGCCCATATGTCCAAGCTCTGCCCATGCTAGGGCACATGGGTGCACACACTGGTGGGAGGATGAACCCAGGGAAGAACCCACACAAGCTCTGGAGGCAAGGTTGGTGTGCAGGGTAAGGAATTCCAGTCTCCTGCTTACTCTTAGTATGGAGAAGGCACTTCTCCAATGGGAATATAATATGAGCCACATGTAATTTCAATAATATATTCTTATTTAAGCCAATATATCAGTTGTTATCAGTTCTAAAAAGTTAATGAGATAGTTTATATTCTTTTTTGTACTCAGTCTTTGAAATCTACTCTATATTTTGTATTTCAAGAACATTTCCATTAGGACTAGTCCCATTTCAGGTGCCCAATGCTACCTGGCACTTGTGGTATTATACTGGACCTTGCAGCTCTTGGGAAAGGGTGCCCCCGACTCCTTGTTCTGTAGGGGGCACTTGGCACCTAGGACTGAGGGCAGTTCTCTTTACGTAAAGCTAGTAGAGTAGTGTTTTCTCATTTAGCTGATGCAGAGAATGGTTGTATCTCTTTCTCTTTATAATTAGAGGTAGGGGTCATTATCACTTTCACAATGTTCGTATATACATAAAATGAATGGGAGATACTTGTTAAGAGGTTTTTTTTCTCTCTTCCATTTTATTTATTTATAAATAATTTATTTATTTATTTTGTTTTGAGATGGAGTCTTGCTTTGTCACCCAGGCTGGAGTGCAGTGGCATGATCTCGGCTCACTGTAACCTCTGTCTCCCTGGTTCAAGTGATTCTCCTGCCTCAGCCTGCCGAGTAGCTGGACTACAGGCACCCGCCACCACGCTCGGCTAATTTTTATATTTTTAGTAGAGATGGGGTCTCACCATTTTGGCCAGGCTGGTCTCGAAGTCTTGACCTCAGGTGATCCACCCGCCTCAGCCTCCCAAAGTGCTGGGATTACAGGCGTGAGCCACTCCGCCAAGCCTTCTTTTCCATTTAAAACTTGTTAACTGCATTTTCCTCATTCAGCGTATTGCTGCTTTCCTTTATCCTCAGGAGTGATATCATCCTAGTAAATTTGTTTGCACAAATGAATTAAACACCACCGCCCCGCCACATTATTGACCTATACTTTTCCAAAAGCCAATGCTTTCATTTCTCATCTTGAGTAATTACTAGCTCTGCAGCCTTTCTGTTCCCCACTTTGAAAAGTTCACGTGCTCTATTATGTTGGATAATGTCTAGTGGATTTTTTTTCTTCCTAGAGGAACTTTTTTTTAAGTTAATTTAATTGGATGCAAATTTTAAAACTGGCCCATTCTCTCAAATGGGGAAAAATATCTAGAAAGTGGAATGCTGTTTTTGTTTGTACTAGAGCAGCAGTTTCATCTGTGATGCCTAGGATAAACATTTTATATCAGATAGAGTTGCCAGATTTAGGTTAGGGGATAGGGGAGGAAGCACCAGTTAAATTTGAATTTCATATAAACATTGAATAACTTTTTTCAGTGTAAGTGTGCCCCATGATGCAATGTTTGGGACATACTATTAAAAATATTTATTGTTTATCTGAAATTTAAATTTAACTGGATGTACTGTGTTTCATATGGCAATCTTATTTCAGGACTTCTTTGCTCTCAAATATTGAGGACCTTAAGCAACATTTATTTATGTCAATTATATATATCGATATTTGCTGAATTATAAATTTAACTAAGAAATATAGGCTGGGTGCAGTGGCTTACGCCTGTAATCCCAACAGTTTGGGAGGCCAAGGCGGGCGGATCACCTGAGGTCAGGAGTTCGAGACCAGCCTGGCCAACATAGTGAAACCCTGTCTCTACTAAAAATACAAAAATCAGCCAAATGTGGTTCTCGGCACCTGTAATCCCAGCTACCTGGGAGGCTGAGGCAGGAGAATTGCAACCCAGGAGGTGGAGGTTGCAGTGAGCCGAGATCACGCCACTGCACTCCAGCCTAGATGACAGAGCTAGACTCCGTCTCAAAAAAAGAAAAGAAATATTTTAGGGTAGGCACGATGACTCATGCCTTTAGTTCTAACACTTTGGGAGGCCAAGACAGGCAGATTGCTTGAGCCCAGGAGTTCAGGACCAGCCTGGGCAAAATGGCAAAACTTCGTCTCTACAAAAAAAAAAAAAAAAATTAGCTGGGTTTGGTGGTGCGTGCCTGTAGTCCCAGCTACTCAGGAGGCTGAGGTGGGAGGATCATCTGAGCCCAGGAGGTTGAGGCTGCAGTGACCCATGATCCCACCACTGCATTCCAGCCTTGTCGATAGAGACCCTTTCTCAAAAAAAAAAAAAAAAAAAAAAAAAGAAAGAAATATTTTAATGTATATTAATTCATTTAGACAGTAATAAAGCATATTAACATAAATGATGTTTTTAGTAACTTTTTAAATGAAAAAACAGTTTTTCAAAACAAAAATAGTAAGAAAAGTGTCATTGTTTTCTTTTCATTTTCTTTCTTTTCTTTCTTTCTTTCTTTTTTTTTTTTTTTTTTTTTTTTTTACGGAGTTTTGCTCCTGTCACCCAGGCTGGAATGCAATGGCACGATCTCGGCTCACTGTGACCTCCGCCTCCCAGGTTCAAGCGATTCTCCTGCCTCAGCCTCCTGAGTAGCTGGGACTACAGGTGCACACCACCACGCCCAGCTAATTTTTGTATTTTTAGTAGAGACAGGGTTTCACCATGTTGGCCAGGCTGGTCTCGAACTCCTGACTTCAGGTGATCCACCGGCCTCAGCCTCCCGAAGTGCTGGGATTACAGGCGTGAGTCACCACACCCGGCCAGAGTGTCGTTGTCTTCTATTTTGGTGAATCTTTTAATATCTGGCTGGATTCTCATATCTCTTTCTGTATTCCATCAGGTATGCTATTACAAAAGCAGGTACTGTCTGGAAGTCTCCACTGAAATATGAGAGTGACAGTTAGGTGTGCGGAAGAAAGTGGCACAAAGCAAGTAACATCTTAGTATTGTTATAAAAATAGTTTGAACAGCCAGGTGCGGTGGCTCACGCCTGTAATCCCAGCACTTTGAGAGGCTGAGGCGGGCGGATCACGAGGCCAGGAGATCGAGACCATCCTGGCCAACATGGTGAAACCCCGTCTCTAATAAAAATACAAAAAATTAGCCAGGCATGGTGGCGGGTGCCTGTAGTCCCAACTACTTGGGAGGCTGAGGCAGGAGAACAGCGTGA
This sequence comes from Homo sapiens, assembly GCF_000001405.40. NCBI lineage: Eukaryota > Metazoa > Chordata > Mammalia > Primates > Hominidae > Homo > Homo sapiens. Next base: position 62,892,797 of record NC_000018.10, read on the forward strand.
ACCCAGGAGGCGGAGCTTGCAGTGAGCCGAGATCGCACCACTGCACTCCAGCCTGGGCGACAGAGCAAGACTCCATCTCAAAAAAAAAAAAAAAAAAGTTTGACCATGTGGATCTTCTGAAAGGGTCTCGGGTACCTCCTCTGGGGTCCCCCAAGCATGCTTTTAGAATCACTGGACTAGGAATAAGAGGCTCTGTAATTCTAGCTTGTGTTTTGCAGTGATTATAAATAATCAGAATAGTGGATAGGCTTTTTTTTTTTTTTGAGGCAGAGTCTCGCTCTATCGCCCAGGCTGGAGTGCAGAGGCGTGATCTCGGTTCACCACAACCTCTGTCTCCCGGGTTCAAGCAATTCTTGTGCCTCAGCCTCCAGCATAGCTGGGACTACAGGTGCCCACCAACATGGCTGGCTAATTTTTTTTGTATTTTTAGTAGAGACAAAGTTTCATCATGTTGGCCAGGCTGGTCTTGAACTCCTGACCTCAGGTGATCTGCCCACCTCGGCCTCCCAAAGTGCTGGGATTACAGGTATGAGCCACTGCACCTGGCTGAGGATAAGCATTCTTTAAGAAGGCCTAACGGCCCTAATATAAAACAGTTTAAAAACGATTATCCAGATTTAGGAATAATTCTTCCCTAAGTGATTTTTTTTAAATTTAAAATACAATTAAGTCTATTATACTCAGCCATCCAAGTAAACAGGTATTATTTAAAAATCAAGGTAACACTCAACCTGTCAAATAGGTACATGGTCAGCTTTCCATTTAGAATCAACTTTTATTTAACTATTTAGAATACAGCTTAACATATACTGATTGGGTTGAATTGTGTTTATTTTTAGAGTGTGTGTGTCTCTTCTAGGCAGAGTGCATACTGTCTAGGATTAGACGTGGGCGGTTTTTAAAGGAGTTAGCATAACGCAGTCACTAATATGATTCTTATCTTACTTAGAGATGGTGTAGAGGTCGTTGATAGGCCAAATGTAAGAGTGCACAGAGAAGTAAAAAATTAAAGATAGCTTCTTTAATTGCTTAAGTTGCTTGGGCAACTGTGAAAATGAAAGGGCTATTAACAAAAATAGAGGAAAAAGAAGTGCCAGTTTGGAATAAAGATGGTAAGTTCAGTTTGGGGCTGGAAATGTGGGGTAGCTCAGGAGAGGAGCCAGCATGTGATAGGACTGAGATAATTGCTCACATAGGAGTCAAAACATTTCCAAGGAAAACAGTGTAGAGAGAGCATGAAACTGCTAAAAAACCTATCTATGAAGATTACTTCAATTTGGGTTGGGGAAGAAAAGATGAAGAAAAGGAAGGTAATACATGAGAAGAGGGCTTAAGAGAGCTAAGAAGAAGGGTGTGTGGTCAGCAGCATCAATCAAGTACTGTATTGAGATCGACGAATGATAATTGGTTCTTTTTTGAGATAGAGTGTCACTCTGTCGCCCAGGCTACATTCCAGGAGTGCAATCTCAGCTCACTGCAACCTCCACCTCCCAGGTTCAAGTGATTCTTGTGCCTCAGCCTCCTGAGTAGCTGGGATTACAGGGGTGCACCACCAGGCCCGGCTAATTTTTTGTGTTTTTGGTAGAGATGGGGTTTCACCATGTTGGCCAGGCTGGTCCCAAACTTCTGGCCTCAAGTGATCCACTCATCTCGGCTTCTCAAAGTGCTAGGATTACAGGCCTGAGCCACCAGGCCCAGCTGATAATTGGTTCTTAAATTTGGAACTGCGAAGTCCTGGTTACCTTAGAGAGAGTATTGTTTTGATAAGTTTTTATTATTTCAGTTTTGGGTTTGAGAAACATGAAACAGGAGTTTTTGACTTGTCTGAAACAGCACCGACTCCAGAAGGGCTAACGCCAGCTCTGCCTGGTCCCTTTCCTCCTTCACTGGGGCCATTTACACTGTGTTAATTAAGCTAATTGAGATACTGCTAGAAAGCTTTCTCCAGCAGAATTCACTTCCTGAAATATTCAACCTTATTTTAGAGGGAAAAGTTTGTTTTTAGATAGAATGTTTACATTTTAGGTAAAACACTGGCCTTAGAGTCAGCAGATGTGCATTCCAGTGCTGCTGCTCCTTAACCTCTCTGGGGCCCCCATTTCCTCTTTAGTTGAATTTGGGAGTTGGGCTAGATTATCTCTTAGGCTATGCTAAAATTATGATGTTAATGACATTTGTCTCTTTTTTCCCTTTTGTTTTGCTTTATTGTAATAGGTTCACCAAGTTGAAGAGTCTTAACCTTTCCAATAATCATTTAGGGGACTTCCCACTGGCAGTCTGCAGTATTCCAACCCTGGCAGAGCTGAACGTGTCCTGCAATGCCCTGCGATCAGTCCCGGCAGCCGTTGGAGTGATGCACAAGTGTGTACTTCAAACCCCACTGGCGGGTATATCCAGAAGCCCCAGGGAAGCTGCATTGGGGGTGTGGCACATGAGATTAGTTAACTTGTTATGTTGCTCATGTAAGTCTTGGCCCCAAATCAAGAGATCAGGGACTATGTAGTCCGTATGGAGTTCATATGTTGGATTTGTACTCCTTACAGTCTTGTAAAAAAATTAAATATTCTTGTTTAGAACTGAAGATCCCTACAGATGAGTATGTCTAAACATGGAATGTGGGTTATGTTCTCATTTTTCTGAGTTATATTGAATTTTAAGACTTAGAAATTAATTTTAAGAAATAACAAGGAAAGCCCAAAGGATATCTGAATCAATTCATATCACAGTTAGCTCACATTGCTCCCATTTAAGCCTATTCAAATTGGGAAAACTAGTCATGATTTTCATTTTCAATAAAAGATTAAGATGCTTATCTCTGATTATTTCTCTTTGGTCCATTATTGCCTCAGGCCCTGCCCTTAGGCATTTTGCGAAGAATAATACATTTTCTGGTAATACGGTCTACACTTATGGAACTTGTATGTTGATAATAAAGATGTAAAATTTATATGTTCTCTTTGTAATTCTTATGTTTTCTCTAATAGCTTACAGACATTTTTGTTGGATGGAAACTTTCTCCAATCCCTTCCTGCTGAGTTGGAGAACATGAAGCAGCTTAGTTATCTGGGTCTTTCTTTCAATGAATTTACTGACATTCCCGAAGTATTGGAGAAATTGACTGCTGTGGATAAACTTTGTATGTCTGGAAACTGTGTGGAGACCCTTAGGCTACAGGCTTTAAGAAAAATGCCTCACATTAAACATGTGGATCTAAGGTAACCATTTTTGAGAAATAGATCTCATTTGAGTGGCTGGCTTATATTGCAGGGGTGGGGAGTAGGTTATTAACCAAGGCAAACAAGCTGGGTAATTGAATGTGGGCCCGTTTTTCTATTTCTGCCTAGAGGGAAGAATTATGATTAATAGTAGGGTTTGCTATTACTGGAAACTCTCACTGATGTATGTCTTGAAGGTCTTTGTTTTGCAGATTGGAACCCAGTTGAGTGAGAGAGCTGTTTTTTGTTGTTGTTGTTGGTTTTTGTTTTTTTTGTTGTTCTTGTTTTTTTTTTTTTTGAGTCAAAGTCTCGCTCTGTCGCCCAGGCTGGAGTGCGGTGGCCTGATCTCGGCTTACTGCAAGCTCCGCCTGCCAGGTTCATGCCATTCTCCTGTCTCAGCCTCCCTAGTAGCTGGGACTACAGGCACCCACCACCATGCCTGGCTAATTTTTTTGTATTTTTAGTAGAGACGAAGTTTCACTGTGTTAGTAGCCAGGATGGTCTCGATCTCCTGACCTCGTGATCCACCCGCCTCGGCCTCCCAAAGTGCTGGGATTACAGGCATGAGCCACCATGCCCGTCCTGTTTTTTGTTGTTGTTTTTAAAGAGATGGGGCCTTGCTCTCTTGCCCGGCCTGGAGTGTAATGATGTGCTCAGAGCTCACTGCAGCCTCAAACTCCTGGGCTCAGGTGATCTTCCTGCCTCAGCCTCCCAAGTACTCAGGCATGTTCAGTTTCATCAGTGTAAAGGAGCATCACCTTTTGCTCCCCTTTCTTCTCCTTTCATATGGTTCAGCCTAGGAAACCTATACATTCCAGTCCCATAAAGAATTGCTTGGCTTCACCTTTCCTCAGAATAAAGGAATCAGACCTGTCCCTCCTAGGGAAGTATTAGCAATTTGCAGATATAAAATTCTTAATTTGGAGGTAAAAGTGGTTATAATTTATCTGATTTTTGAGAATTTCTTGGAATGTGACAAGATAAGGAACTCTAAACACTTTGTTAACTTGCTTTCTAAATTGTTAACATTATTTGCCTCTTGAGTTCCTTGTATTTAGAAAACCCTCATATTCCAGAATTTGAGCCCTATTTTATTCATCCACCAGTGGTAGAACTTCATTAGAGCCAAGGACAATGGCTTGCACTGACCTCAGGTAGTAAGAATGAGATGATTTCTGAGTTACCTGGTACATGTAGGGAGACATCATTTTTCTTGATCTGAATTAGCTTACACATAAGATCAATCTGAAATGTCTGGAAGTAATAAATCTTAGTAAGAGCTTTATAAATTCTTCAGATTCATAGTTCTAACTTGAGTTTTTAGATGACATCACCTACAGGATATTTAAATACCAGAATAGACATTAGACACTCTGTAAATGTTGCATGACCATGAGTAACTGCTTCCTTCCTGGCTCCTGAGCTGAGGAGGGGAAAATCAGATAGGTTTGTTCTAATTCTGCCTTAATACTTTATTTGTTGTTTATTGTTTTTGTTTTTGCTTCTGTTTTCAGAGATAGAGTATCTGTCTGTCGCCCAGGCTGGAGTGCAGTGGCATGATCTCAGCTCACTGCAACCTCCACCTCCTGGGTTCAAGAGATTCTCCTCCCTCAACCTCCCGAGTAGCTGGGATTACAAGTGCCCGCCACCACACCTGGCTAGTTTTTGTATTTTTACTGAAGACAGGGGTTCACCATATTGGCCAGACTGGTCTTGAACTCCTGACCTCAAGTGATCCACCTGCCTCGACCTCTCAAAGTGCTGGAATTACAGACATGAGCCACCACACCCAGCCTAATTCTGCCTTAATACTTAAAATCAAAGCTAGTGGAGTAATTTAAGGAGAGTCTTGCTTAGTTTCTCTAAGTAAAGGGCCACTTTTATTCAATTTTTTTTCCCTTTAAATGGAAATGGTACATCAGATTGATTATTTTTTTCTTTGCATTGATGTTGTTTGAGTTTGATATTATTTCTTCTGTGGCATCATTAATAATTCCTCCTCCCTTCTCCTCTTTCTCCTCTTTGTACAAAGTGTGGCTGTTACTTCTTGGTCAGTTCTCTTTCTATCCATGTTTTCTGCCTTGGGGGTTGCATATACTCTCAGGCTTCATTTTCACCTTTCATCTTGATGTTAATCATTCCCCAGTCTTTCCCTATTCCTTCTTTGACTTCTTGAGACCAGTTCCACTTAAGCTGCCAGCTGGATAACTTCTTGGTTTTCCCTATTCACACATTTAACCAAATACATGTAAAACAGAGTTCAGTGTCTTTCTTACTCAACCAATTCTTTCTCATGGATTTCTTTTTTTGCTGATAGCAACACCACCTCATTGGTTTTCCAGACACACAACTCTTGGCTGATTCTGTCAGCTCTTCTTTTACATGAGTTTCTGTCTTTTATCCCTTCCTTTTTCTTCTCACTGTGACTGTTGTCTTCTACCTGAGCCATTTGCTTCCATTGTGCAGCCTCCCAAGCAAGCACAATTTTGCTCAGAGCCTGCGGTTCTCTAGTTCAAGGTACTCAAGCCCTCATATTTGGTTTCAGCCCACTGGTATGTGAGTCATTTGAGGATGAGGCTCTATCTCTGAGCTGCTCATGTGTGGGCCTCCAACCTGTGGTGGCAAGTTAACTATTTGCTACTTTTCCACAATGAGATGTGTACAGAAGTTAAGACTAATATTTTAGTAACATATAATGATTTGACATTGCCACAATATCCAACTGCATTACGAGTTGATTCTTGCTGTACAGGGAATCAACTAGTTTTTTTTATTTTGTTTTATTTATTATTATTATTATTATTTTTTGAGACGGAATTTCTTGTTGCCCAGACTGGAGTGCAGTGGTGTGATCTCGGCTCACTGCAACCTCCGCTTCCCAGATTTAAGCAATTTTCCTGCCTCAGCCTCCCAAGTAACTGGGATTACAGGCGCCCATCACCATGACCGGCTAATTTTTTGTATTTTTAGTAGAGACAGGGTTTCACCATGTTGGCCAGGTTGGTCTCAAACTCCTGACCTCAAGTGATCCAACTGCTTCGGCCTCCCAAAGTGCTGGGATTACAGCCATGAGCCACTGCGCCTGGCCTCAACTAATTTAGATGTTGTCAAACTTGCACAGTGAGTTGCATGTGATGTGAGCTGTGTATGGGTTGTGTACTATACATCAGTCTGTCATGAATTACAACTTTAGAAAATAGGTCTCCTTCACCATAGATAATTTAAGCACTGTTTTTATTTATCCTTCAACCCCAGTGTGAGTCCTTAGTAGGTCCAGTCCTTGGTTAATTGCCTCACCCACCTTTGTAGCACAGACCCTTGCATCCCCTGCCCTCCTGTAGAAGCTATTCAGGCAGGCACCAAACTTGCCCTGTGCTCTTCTGTTTGATGCAGAGGCTGTTCCATTGCTTCCTCGCACCTGCTTTTCTTCTCCCATGTACACCTGTTCCATTCTGCCTACTCTTGGGAATCAGATGATTTGCTTCCTTTTCCATAGCCTCTTTTTTAAAAAACCATTCTCTACATTTTATACATCATTCGTGGCACTTACCACATACCTGTAGTTCCTGTATTTTATAAAACATATTTGACTCTCCTTACTAAATTGTGAAATCTGTTGAAAAACACCTTGTTTTATTCATCTCTTACTGCAACAAAGCCATAGGTCATCATCGTTGTCACCATCACCATAGCCCTTCTACAGGCTGGAGTGCAGCGGTACAAGCGCAGGTCATTAGAGCCTTGATCTCCTGGACTTAAGTGATCCCCCTCCCTCAGCCTCCTGTGTAGCTGGGATGAAAAGTACACACTACCACACTTGGCTAATTTTTAAATTTTTTAGAGAGATGGGACCGCAGTTTGTTGCCTAGGCTGGCTCAAACTCTTGGGCTCAAGTTGTTCTCCTGCCTTAGCCTCCCCAAGTGCTGAGAATTACAGGCATGAGTAACCACGCCTGGCCAGAAGGGAATTTTCATCATATTTTGCCTTTTAAAAAGTTTGTCTGGGCCAGGTGCAGTGGCTCCTGCCTGTAATCTCAGCACTTTGGGAGGCCGAGGCAGGTGGATCACCTGAGGTCAGGAGTTCAAGACCAGCCTGGCCAACATGGCAAAACCCCGCCTCTACTAAAAATGCAAAAATTAGCTGGCTGTGGTGGCATGTTCCTGTAGTCCCAACTACTCGGTAGGCTAAGGCAGGAGACTTGTTTGAACCCAGGAGGCGGAGGTTGCAGTGGGCCAAGATCGCACCACTGCACTCCAACCTGGGTGACAGAGCAAGACTTTGCCTTAAAATAATAAATAAATAAATAAATAAATAAATAAATAAATAAATAAATAAATAAAAAGTTTGTCCTAGTTACATCATGGTGACTGTGGTCAACAATATGTTGTAGTTGTTTGTATTCTTGTTTTTTCTTTTTCTTTCTTTTTTTTTTTTTTTTTTTTTTTTTTTTGAGACAGGGTCTCACTTTGTTACCCAAGCTGGAATGCAATCACAGCTTGTTACCCAAGCTGTGGTGCAATCACAGTTCACTGCAGCCTCAAACTCCTGGGTTCGAGTGATCTTCCTGCCCCAGCCTCTCAAATAGCTGGGAGTATAGGCACGTGCCACCATGGCTGGCTAATTTTTTATTTTTTGTAGAGATGGGGTCTTGCTCTGTTGCCCAGTCTGGTCTCAAACGAACCTTCTACTTCAGCCTCCCAAAGTGGTAGGATTACAGAGTTTGAGCTACCACACCCTGCCATAATATATTGTATTCTTGAACAATGCTAAGAGAGTGGATGTATTTTCACCACAAAAGTGAAATATCTCACAAATAACTATGTGAGATAGTGCATGTGAACTAGCTAGAATTAGTCACTTCACAGTTTACGTATATTTCAAAAGTCATGCTGTACACAATAAATATGTACAGTTTTATCTGTCAATTAAACAAATAATAAAACGGTTCATCCTAAGTAGCTGAATTACTGTGTGAACCTGAAAACTTGGTATTTCAGTCATGGTGAGAGTTAACAACTTAAGCCAAATGTTAGCTTTCTTTTTTGTTACATTAACTTTGCTTTTGTTATAGATTTTTTTGTCTCCTTATTAATTCAATGCTTATTATTTTAGTACTAATACAATTTCATTGTATTGAATGAAATTGTGTGTGGCTCTTTCAAGTGAAGATGATAAAGCCATTATGAAGGTTATTTGAAGTGTAGATTGGGAAGAAGATGGGACATTTGTTCCATTCCTGCAGTCTGTTGTACCCAAGATGAGATGTGTTTTTTCTTTTTTATTCTGTTTACACATTCTAGTAATCTAGTGAGCATTTGGAAATAAGCAGATTGCTGGGTCAAGGCCAGTTTTTAAATCTTACAACCTGGAATAAAAAAAGAGAAAGAGCCAAAAAAACATCCTCTTAGGGCCATTGGAAAAGGCCATATGCTGTGCTTGCGTGTTGACAAATCCCAGCTCTTTGCTGGAACTCATCCTTGTGTTTCAGTGGCTTTAGGATATTATTCTTAATTCATTTTCCATAGGTTTATTTTATTTTTTTAAAGGACAGAAATTCACTATAGAGAAACTCTAGCTTTTTCCTGTACTCTAGACTTATATTAATACTCCTTTTTTCTTTTTTTTTTTTTGAGATGGAGTCTCGCTCTGTCGCCCAGGCTAGAGTGCAATGGCGTGATCTTGGCTCACCACAACCTCCACCTCCTGGGTTTAAGCAGTTCTCCTGCCTCAGCTTCCCGAGTAGCTGGGATTACAGGCGTGTGCCACCATGCCCAGCTAATTTTTTGTATTTTTTTTTTAGTAGAGATGGGGTTTCACCATGCTGGCCAGGCTGGTCTCGAACTCCTGACCTCGTGAAACACCCACCTCAGCCTCCCAAAGTGCTGGGATTACAGGTGTGAGCCATCGCACCCATCCTATATTAATACTTTTCTAAACAAGTGCATCATCTCAGCACTTTGCTGGCTTTGTAATGGAAAATAGATGGTTTTTGTTGTTTGTTTTTAAAGGAGTTAGACATAGCCTAACAAACTGGAAATTGACATTTCCATCTATTTTTCTCCCTTTTGAAGCTAAATATGTCTTTGTTATTTTGGTTCCTAGTCCCCATTACTACTTATTTTCTGATAGTTCATCCACAGCAACTTCAGTCAGTTAGCTCACTAGTTCTTATGGCTAGAGATTCCGCCAGTTTTCCCCTGTGCCTTGCTTCATCACAGAGGTGTTGGTTCCCATTTTTGTCCGGCATTCTAAGATTTCTCAATGGATTCTAGATGCCGGATTTCAGTATTTTCTGCACTTCACTCTATCAAGCAGTATTTTATAGACAGAGATAGTTTTGGTGGTTCATCCTGGTCCTGAGCAGTTGGGAGTCATGTACTTGCATTCCCATCTCTGGTGCTCCCATTCAGTGTGCAACTCTTATTCGTTGTGTGACTCCCGTCCATTACTGTTTTTCCACCTCAACCTTTAATTCCATGCTACTCATCCGCCTGTTCATGCATCCTCTCTCCTTCATTAAATATTCGTTGTAGTTGTGATGTGCCTAACAGTTGTTCTGAGTTTTGTTTCTTATGTTCTTTTCGGTATGGTGTAGATAGTTTCACAGTTCCTTGGATGTCAGTTCCTAGTTCTTTGGAAGTCAGTGCTTAAGTGGAATTTTTTTCCCTCTTGAAGTGAATTAAGGTAAAGTCAATGTGCTTATTCCTCTCCCAGCTGTAGTGGTGTCACTTGTGTTTCAGAATATATTGTGAAGGTTAAAACCTCCTGGAATTATAGCTAAAAATAGATACTCTGGCTAGTTAAGAAAGGCCGGATGCTGAGATTCCAAAAATCATGGAGAACTATAATACAGAGAGAACTGAGTTCTTTCTCGCTATTTCTCATATTAGGGTGTGCCCATTTACTTATAGCATTGCAGTTAATTATAGTCTCTATGTCCTTTGCCCTCAAGGTTGAACGTAATTAGGAAGCTGATAGCAGATGAAGTGGACTTTCTACAGCATGTTACTCAGCTTGACCTACGAGACAATAAGCTTGGTGATCTAGATGCTATGATTTTCAACAACATTGAAGTTTTACACTGTGAAAGGAATCAACTGGTCACATTAGACATCTGTGGCTATTTCCTAAAAGCGCTCTATGCCTCTTCTAATGGTATGTATCATAGGCTACATCAAAGTTGCTCTTTTGGTTCCAGGAATTTACCCAGCATCATTATTTCTGCTTCTGATTATTCTTTGCTCAAGTAGTTAGTAAAATAGCTCAAATTTTGCTAAAATAAAAGTCACAAAAGAAAAATGCTGACTTATTGTTTAAAGGACTCAAAAAGGAAAATTTTATTGTCCCTAATTTTTTTCTCGTATTGTGATTTGGATAAGTTACTCCCACTTTTGATTTGATTTTTCTGCTTAAAGGAAGAGAGAAAAGTGAACTATTTCTTGGGCTACATTACCAAGATCTAGAGATCTTTACTACCTTATTACTAAATCTGGAACCTTTATTTAATACTGGAGAATGAAAGGAAGTTTTATTTTGACTCCATTCGGGATCTCCAGTTTCATGTTTGACTAACAAAGAACTCACCTTAATATAAACCAGAATGTTAGCTGGGCGTGGTGGTGTATGCCTGTAGTCCCAGCTACTTGGGAATGGGAAGCTGAGGCAGGAGGATTGCTGGAGCCCAGGAGGTGGAGGCTGCGGTCGTCTGAGATCACACTACTGCACTCCAGCCTGGTTGACAGAGCGAGACCCTGTCTCAAAAAAAAAAAAAAGACAAGAAAAGATAATTTAAAAAAGATAAACTAGAATGATATATGCACAAGAAGGACACCATGAAGCTAGAGTCTTAATCATTTAATAATATTTCTTCCTAAGAATCTGAAAATCAGGGCAGTTCCAAAAAAGAAAAGGTAGTATGGGCATATGTTTGCTAAGATGAAGGTTTCCATTCCCTACAGTCAGTAAACTGAATGAAAACAAGTGTTCACTACTGCAAGTTGAACATATGTTTATCACGCACTTGTTTTATGCATAGTGCAGCTCATGAGCTCTGAAAGATGAAGGATTTTTCAAATGTGATTACTGTTATCTCAGAAAAACAAGCCAAGCCTCAAATAGGTATATTTTCTAGTGTAATCAGTTTGGCTGAGCACTGAAGGGTTATAGGATTTAGATAACCAGTGGGAATGAAGTAGGAAGAAAGAATCTGAATGTGGCTTGTTCGGCAGTTGGGAGAAAACAGGGAATTCTGAACCCATAGAAGTAATTAGGGGATGCATGCTTTTGTCAGATGGTCAAGCATTGCCCTTAGCTTAGTAAGCGATAGAGAACCAGTAGAGACTCTAAAGTGGAGGAGACTTGATGGAAGTGATGCTTTAAGGCAGTTAATGTGAAAATAGTGTGTACAGAATGCATTTATAGAAGAAGGTTGAGGGTAATCCACTACTCCACTAATCCAAGTTATTGTGATGGGCTTCATGTGGGTTAATGGGAACTTGTAGTCAAGATTACATATGTTGATTTGAGACTTACCTGCTCAGAGGTGATACCTGAAACCAGGGAAGTAAGGTAACTGGAAGAGAGGAGAGTGCTAGTACCAAAGGTCAACTTACAAGCCCCTCACACTTAGCTGCAGCCAGACTGGGCAACCAGATAGGAGCTGCACCTGTGAATTACTTGGTAATTGTTTAGAGAAGCAGAAGGACATTTACAAACTACTCTTGTCCAAGAAACACAGTGACAGGGGACAGTGGTGTCATATTTCATAAAGTGTTCAGGAAGTGTTTCAGATTTAAGTAAAATAAGTCATTTGTGACCCACTGGAGTGCTGTTTCAGTAAGGTGATGAGGGCAAAAGACAAGAAGCATTACTTGGTTTTATGGAAGGACCCTTGGGTTTTAAAAGGATGGTACTCGTGGTTAATCTTTCAGATGTGATACAGCCTGCATAACAATAAGAGCAACAGTAAATGGATAGCAAAGAGGTAGGAAATTAGAATGCATGATGTATTTCAATCTCTGAAGAAGATCTTGTGATTAAAAGTTCTTTTTTACTTTTCCTGCACTTTCAAAGTTAAACAAATGATGTATTGTACTTCCTAAACTAAACAAACAATAGAGAATAAAGCACAGTAATGACGTTCCACATACAAAAAGAGTCTCTATGTCATTTGTATAGTAATGTCTTTGTGGGGTTTTTTTTTTTCTTCCTAGAACTTGTTCAACTTGATGTTTACCCAGTTCCAAATTATCTGTCCTACATGGATGTTTCAAGGTAAGAAGTCAAGTCTTAGAGCCCTCTAGAGTCTACTAGAAAATTATTTAGTAATTCTGTCTGAGCTTATGCACAAGTACTTTTTAATATTTTGAAGGTAAATGCTAAAAAATTAATGATTTTTACTTTATTCTCTAAAATTATATATATCTATTGATTAAAATACATTTGTAGTTCAAACCAGAGCATCAAAGTGCCTGTGCACACCAATTTGAACACACATTTGGACTTGAAAGGTGAGTAAGTTGAGGGCCATATGGCTTAAAGCTCTAATAACTCTTTTCATTATATGAATCATATTTTTTTGTCTTTCCCTGAAGTAATGTTAATTTTATTTTTTATTTTCAAAATTTTTTTTCAAACTCTGCCAAGTCTTAGGATGATTTAATTTTTTAAGTGCTTTATTTCTTTGGATTTCTTACACCCCTTGTTTAGACATATATCTCTTCGCTAAAAATTCTTAGGAAATAATGACAAAGCCTATCAAAATAGAAATTCTCTACAACCTGCTTGGTTTTCTTAGCTCCTTTTTGAATATGCTAACTATTTTACCTTTTATGGTAATTTGCTTCTGCAGTGTATTATATTTATTGCGGTTCCCACAAATATTATAGTAGACTTTTTCTTGAAGGCACAAAGGCTTGACAGTGTCTACAGTATGTATTTATACCACGTAAACTTAAAAATTTTTAACAATGAATTTTAAAATTGCAACTCATTTGGAAGGTAACTCCAAAGGAGATACACAAAAATGTTCTAAACATAGGGAGTTTGTGGCCCACTCAAGGTGACAACTGTTAACTCATTTCAGGGCTTAAATTCTGGTGTGTTTATTAACAGTCACCATGCTTTTTAATCACAACTATTGTATGATTTGTCTTCTACAGAATTTTGCCTTTTATCTTGAGATTACACAGGCTTAGCTATTTTAATAATCTATTCAATCATAATTATGCAAGATGTGTCAGTACTTAGCTATTGGGAAAATATTACAGTTAAATTTTTATTGGGGGAGGAGCCAAGATGGCCGAATAGGAACAGCTCCGGTCTACAGCTCCCAGCGTGAGCGACGCAGAAGACGGGTGATTTCTGCATTTCCATCTGAGGTACCGGGTTCATCTCACTAGGGAGTGCCAGACAGTGGGCGCAGGCCAGTGTGTGTGTGCACCATGCGCGAGCCGAAGCAGGGCGAGGCATTGCCTCACCTGGGAAGCGCAAGGGGTCAGGGAGTTCCCTTTCCGAGTCAAAGAAAGGGGTGACGGACGCACCTGGAAAATCGGGTCACTCCCACCCGAATATTGCGCTTTTCAGACCGGCTTAAGAAACGGCGCACCACGAGACTATATCCCACACCTGGCTCAGAGGGTCCTACGCCCACGGAATCTCGCTGATTGCTAGCACAGCAGTCTGAGATCAAACTGCAAGGCGGCAACGAGGCTGGGGGAGGGGCGCCCGCCATTGCCCAGGCTTGCTTAGGTAAACAAAGCAGCCGGGAAGCTCGAACTGGGTGGAGCCCACCACAGCTCAAGGAGGCCTGCCTGCCTCTGTAGGCTCCACCTCTGGGGGCAGGGCACAGACAAACAAAAAGACAGCAGTAACCTCTGCAGACTTAAGTGTCCCTGTCTGACAGCTTTGAAGAGAGCAGTGGTTCTCCCAGCACGCAGCTGGAGATCTGAGAACGGGCAGACTGCCTCCTCAAGTGGGTCCCTGACACCTGACCCCCGAGCAGCCTAACTGGGAGGCACCCCCCAGCAGGGGCACACTGACACCTCACACGGCAGGGTATTCCAACAGACCTGCAGCTGAGGGTCCTGTCTGTTAGAAGGAAAACTAACAACCAGAAAGGACATCTACACCGAAAACCCATCTGTACATCACCATCATCAAAGACCAAAAGTAGATAAAACCACAAAGATGGGGAAAAAACAGAACAGAAAAACTGGAAACTCTAAAACGCAGAGCGCCTCTCCTCCTCCAAAGGAACGCAGTTCCTCACCAGCAACAGAACAAAGCTGGATGGAGAATGATTTTGACGAGCTGAGAGAAGAAGGCTTCAGACGATCAAATTACTCTGAGCTACGGGAGGACATTCAAACCAAAGGCAAAGAAGTTGAAAACTTTGAAAAAAATTTAGAAGAATGTATAACTAGAATAACCAATACAGAGAAGTGCTTAAAGGAGCTGATGGAGCTGAAAACCAAGGCTCGAGAACTACGTGAAGAATGCAGAAGCCTCAGGAGCCGATGCGATCAACTGGAAGAAAGGGTATCAGCAATGGAAGATGAAATGAAGCGAGAAGGGAAGTTTAGAGAAAAAAGAATAAAAAGAAATGAGCAAAGCCTCCAAGAAATATGGGACTATGTGAAAAGACCAAATCTACGTCTGATTGGTGTACCTGAAAGTGATGTGGAGAATGGAACCAAGTTGGAAAACACTCTGCAGGATATTATCCAGGAGAACTTCCCCAATCTAGCAAGGCAGGCCAACGTTCAGATTCAGGAAATACAGAGAACGCCACAAAGATACTCCTCGAGAAGAGCAACTCCAAGACACATAATTGTCAGATTCACCAAAGTTGAAATGAAGGAAAAAATGTTAAGGGCAGCCAGAGAGAAAGGTCGGGTTACCCTCAAAGGAAAGCCCATCAGACTAACAGCGGATCTCTCGGCAGAAACCCTACAAGCCAGAAGAGAGTGGGGGCCAATATTCAACATTCTTAAAGAAAAGAATTTTCAAACCAGAATTTCATATCCAGCCAAACTAAGCTTCATAAGTGAAGGAGAAATAAAATACTTTATAGACAAGCAAATGCTGAGAGATTTTGTCACCACCAGGCCTGCCCTAAAAGAGCTCCTGAAGGAAGCGCTAAACATGGAAAGGAACAACCGGTACCAGCCGCTGCAAAATCATGCCAAAATGTAAAGACCATCGAGACTAGGAAGAAACTGCATCAACTAATGAGCAAAATCACCAGCTAACATCATAATGACAGGATCAAATTCACACATAACAATATTAACTTTAAATGTAAATGGACTAAATTCTGCAATTAAAAGACACAGACTGGCAAGTTGGATAAAGAGTCAAGACCCATCAGTGTGCTGTATTCAGGAAACCCATCTCACGTGCAGAGACACACATAGGCTCAAAATAAAAGGATGGAGGAAGATCTACCAAGCCAATGGAAAACAAAAAAAGGCAGGGGTTGCAATCCTAGTCTCTGATAAAACAGACTTTAAACCAACAAAGATCAAAAGAGACAAAGAAGGCCATTACATAATGGTAAAGGGATCAATCCAACAAGAGGAGCTAACTATCCTAAATATTTATGCACCCAATACAGGAGCACCCAGATTCATAAAGCAAGTCCTGAGTGACCTACAAAGAGACTTAGACTCCCACACATTAATAATGGGAGACTTTAACACCCCACTGTCAACATTAGACAGATCAATGAGACAGAAAGTCAACAAGGATACCCAGGAATTGAACTCAGCTCTGCACCAAGCAGACCTAATAGACATCTACAGAACTCTCCACCCCAAATCAACAGAATATACATTTTTTTCAGCACCACACCACACCTATTCCAAAATTGACCACATAGTTGGAAGTAAAGCTCTCCTCAGCAAATGTAAAAGAACAGAAATTATAACAAACTATCTCTCAGACCACAGTGCAATCAAACTAGAACTCAGGATTAAGAATCTCACTCAAAGCCGCTCAACTACATGGAAACTGAACAACCTGCTCCTGAATGACTACTGGGTACGTAACGAAATGAAGGCAGAAATAAAGATGTTCTTTGAAACCAACGAGAACAAAGACACCACATACCAGAATCTCTGGGACGCATTCAAAGCAGTGTGTAGAGGGAAATTTATAGCACTAAATGCCTACAAGAGAAAGCAGGAAAGATCCAAAATTGACACCCTAACATCACAATTAAAAGAACTAGAAAAGCAAGAGCAAACACATTCAAAAGCTAGCAGAAGGCAAGAAATAACTAAAATCAGAGCAGAACTGAAGGAAATAGAGACACAAAAAACCCTTCAAAAAATCAATGAATCCAGGAGCTGGTTTTTTGAAAGGATCAACAAAATTGATAGACCGCTAGCAAGACTAATAAAGAAAAAAAGAGAGAAGAATCAAATAGACACAATAAAAAATGATAAAGGGGATATCACCACCGATCCCACAGAAATACAAACTACCATCAGAGAATACTACAAACACCTCTACGCAAATAAACTAGAAAAGCTAGAAGAAATGGATACATTCCTCGACACATACACTCTCCCAAGACTAAACCAGGAAGAAGTTGAATCTCTGAATAGACCAATAACAGGCTCTGAAATTGTGGCAATAATCAATAGTTTACCAACCAAAAAGAGTCCAGGACCAGATGGATTCACAGCCGAATTCTACCAGAGGTACAAGGAGGAACTGGTACCATTCCTTCTGAAACTATTCCAATCAATAGAAAAAGAGGGAATCCTCCCTAACTCATTTTATGAGGCCAGCATCATTCTGATACCAAAGCCGGGCAGAGACACAACCAAAAAAGAGAATTTTAGACCAATATCCTTGATGAACATTGACGCAAAAATCCTCAATAAAATACTGGCAAACCGAATCCAGCAGCACATCAAAAAGCTTATCCACCATGATCAAGTGGGCTTCATCCCTGGGATGCAAGGCTGGTTCAATATATGCAAATCAATAAATGTAATCCAGCATATAAACAGAGCCAAAGACAAAAACCACATGATTATCTCAATAGATGCAGAAAATGCCTTTGACAAAATTCAACAACACTTCATGCTAAAAACTCTCAATAAATTAGGTATTGATGGGACGTATTTCAAAATAATAAGAGCTATCTATGACAAACCCACAGCCAATATCATTCTGAATGGGCAAAAACTGGAAACATTCCCTTTGAAAACTGGCACAAGACAGGGATGCCCTCTCTCACCGCTCCTATTCAACATAGTGTTGGAAGTTCTGGCCAGGGCAATCAGGCAGGAGAAGGAAATAAAGGGTATTCAATTAGGAAAAGAGGAAGTCAAATTGTCCCTGTTTGCAGACGACATGATTGTTTATCTAGAAAACCCCATCGTCTCAGCCCAAAATCTCCTTAAGCTGATAAGCAACTTCAGCAAAGTCTCAGGATACAAAATCAATGTACAAAAATCACAAGCATTCTTATACACCAACAACAGACAAACAGAGAGCCAAATCATGAGTGAACTCCCATTCACAATTGCTTCAAAGAGAATAAAATACGTAGGAATCCAACTTACAAGGGATGTGAAGGACCTCTTCAAGGAGAACTACAAACCACTGCTCAAGGAAATAAAAGAGGACACAAACAAATGGAAGAACATTCCATGCTCATGGGTAGGAAGAATCAATATCATGAAAATGGCCATACTGCCCAAGGTAATTTACAGATTCAATGCCATCCCCATCAAGCTACCAATGACTTTCTTCACAGAATTGGAAAAAACTACTTTAAAGTTCATATGGAACCAAAAAAGAGCCCACATCGCCAAGTCAATCCTAAGCCAAAAGAACAAAGCTGGAGGCATCACACTACCTGACTTCAAACTATACTACAAGGCTACAGTAACCAAAACAGCATGGTACTGGTACCAAAACAGAGATATAGATCAATGGAACAGAACAGAGCCCTCAGAAATAATGCCACATATCTACAACTATCTGATCTTTGACAAACCTGAGAAAAACAAGCAATGGGGAAAGGATTCCCTATTTAATAAATGGTGCTGGGAAAACTGGCTAGCCATATGTAGAAAGCTGAAACTGGATCCCTTCCTTACACCTTTTACAAAAATCAATTCAAGATGGATTAAAGATTTAAACGTTAGACCTAAAACCATAAAAACCCTAGAAGAAAACCTAGGCATTACCATTCAGGACATAGGCGTGGGCAAGGACTTCATGTCCAAAACACCAAAAGCAATGGCAACAAAAGCCAAAATTGACAAATGGGATCTAACGAAACTAAAGAGCTTCTGC
Organism: Homo sapiens; assembly: GCF_000001405.40. NCBI lineage: Eukaryota > Metazoa > Chordata > Mammalia > Primates > Hominidae > Homo > Homo sapiens. Next base: position 62,911,330 of record NC_000018.10, read on the forward strand.
ACAGCAAAAGAAACTACCATCAGAGTGAACAGGCAACCTACAACATGGGAGAAAATTTTCGCAACCTACTCATCTGACAAAGGGCTAATATCCAGAATCTACAATGAACTCAAACAAATTTACAAGAAAAAAACAAACAACCCCATCAAAAAGTGGGCGAAGGACATGAACAGACACTTCTCAAAAGAAGACATTTATGCAGCCAAAAAACACATGAAGAAATGCTCATCATCACTGGCCATCAGAGAAATGCAAATCAAAACCACTATGAGATATCATCTCACACCAGTTAGAATGGCAATCATTAAAAAGTCAGGAAACAACAGGTGCTGGAGAGGATGTGGAGAAATAGGAACACTTTTACACTGTTGGTGGGACTGTAAACTAGTTCAACCATTGTGGAAGTCAGTGTGGTGATTCCTCAGGGATCTAGAACTAGAAATACCATTTGACCCAGCCATCCCATTACTGGGTATATACCCAAAGGACTATAAATCATGCTGCTATAAAGACACATGCACACGTATGTTTATTGCGGCACTATTCACAATAGCAAAGACTTGGAACCAACCCAAATGTCCAACAATGATAGACTGGATTAAGAAAATGTGGCACATATACACCATGGAATACTATGCAGCCATAAAAAATGATGAGTTCATGTCCTTTGTAGGGACATGGATGAAATTGGAAACCATCATTCTCAGTAAACTATCGCAAGAACAAAAAACCAAACACCGCATATTCTCACTCATAGGTGGGAATTGAACAATGAGATCACTTGGACACAGGAAGGGGAATATCACACTCTGGGGACTGTGGTGGGGTCGGGGGAGGGGGGAGGGATAGCATTGGGAGATATACCTAATGCTAGATGACACGTTAGTGGGTGCAGCGCACTAGCATGGGACATGTATACATATGTAACTAACCTGCACAATGTGCACATGTACCCTAAAACTTAGAGTATAATAAAAAAAAAAAATTAAAAAAAAAATAATAAAAAACCTGATCCATCAAAAAAAAAATTTTTTTTTATTATAAATATATAATTATAAAATCATAAAACTCTTTGAGTAGTGCTTCATGCATTTCCTACTACCTATCAGATAATTTTATTTAATTAACTTAAATCAGACATTACCTAATTAGTTTTCTTTCCCCACCCACTCCTCCCACCCCCCAGCAACCCCAAATGTTATTTTCACATTTTGAATAAGAGCAGTATAGGAAGAGTATAGGAATGGGATTTGCGTACATGGATGCATATAAATATCTTGAACAGTTCTTTTCTTTTTTTGTTTTTTTGAGATGGAGTCTCGCTCTGTTGCCTAGGCTGGAGTGCAGTGGCGCAATCTTGGCTCACTGCAACCTCTACTTCCTGGGTTCAAATGATTCTCCTGCTCCAGCCTCCTGAGCAGCTGGGATTACAGGCACACACCACCATGCCTGGCTAATTTTCTTGTATTTCTGTAGAGATGGGGTTTCACCGTGTTGGCCAGGCTGGTCTGGAACTCCTGACCTCAAGTGATCCACCCGCCTTGGCCTCCCAAAGGGCTGGGATTATAGGCATGAACCACCATGCCCGGCCCAGATGTATTTTCAAGAATTAGTCATAGAGTTAAACTACTTTTTAAAAACAGTGTAATCAGCAAATGGTAGCCATTGAAACCCCTAAGTGAGACTGAATTGGAAACTCTTGTGTCATGCTTGTCTCTGAATTCTGCCTCTTAAATGATAATTCATCTTCCTGTGGCCACTCTCATGCCCAGAATCTTCACTATAACACACTACCTCATCCACCTCCCGTGCTGTCACCTATCACAGTGTTTACTAGGTCAGGTTCCTCCATGCAAAGTTCTAAGTTATTTTATCACTTACAGAAGTTTTAATTTTTGTATGTTGGGGTTGTTTTTACTAAAGAATACTTTCAATCCCCTATCCTGTTGAGATGTTTTAGATATTAACAATTAAAAAAAAAAATGAGCATGTCAATGTTTAGGGCTTCAAATCCAGAACTGTATGTGCTTATACAGACACTAAGCAGAAAATAATTCCTTCTATTTCTGTATTTTAATTGAGGAGTAGATATAATTGCAAAATTAAAGAACATAAATAGTGCATAATTCCACCACCCTAACATCAAAATTATTTTTCCTTTTGCTGTAATATCTTATAATTCTTATCCCAAGCATCATGTTTTCACAGAATTACTCATCTGTGTATAAAGAATTGTCATAATGTACGTACTGTTTGAAATTCTTTGTGCCTGATCATTTTATGTATTTTAAAAAGAAAGTAAAAAGCTAACCAGTGTGACTAGGGACACATTCAAATAGAGTAGTTTATCTAAGTAATGATCAATTCATTTAATAGTTAAAGACACCATTAGTTTAGTTCTCTCTCTCTCTTTTTTTTTTTTTTTTTTTTTGAGACAGAGTTTCGCTCTTGTTGCCCAGTCTGGAGTGCAATGGTGTGATCTTGGCTCACGGCAACCTCCGCCTCCCGGGTTCAAACGATTCTCGTGCCTCAGCCTCCTGAGTAGCTGGGATTATAGCCATGTGCCACCACACCCGGCTAATTTTTGTATTTTTTTAGTAGAGACAGGGTTTCACCATGTTAGTCAGGCTTGTGTCAAACTCCTGACCTCCGGTGATCTGCAGCCTGGGCCTCCCAAAGTGCCGGGATTACAAGCATGAGCTACCATGCCTGGCCTAGTTCTCTTTTTTATAGTAACTGTAATTACCATCTAGTGCCCAAGTAAATGTTTTTAAATAATTAATTCTGAGTCTTAACTGTCAGTGAACTTTTCACTGCCACCATTTTAAAACTGTTTCTCTCCCTTCCCATTTGTCCATGGCTGTGTTTTCATGATGACAGCTGGAGTTGGGAAATATTTTAATATTAAGTGTAAAAATACAAATTTGAAAATAAAACTATGATATGCCATTGACTTCGTGTGTTTTTATGTTCAATATAACACATATTCTCCCTGAACTTGGCATAGGTCTATAGACCCTTTAGGAAAGTAAATTTGGAGCTAGACTGTTTTTTTAGACTTTAGAGATGATACAGACTATGTAACTATGTCCTTCCTTCTTTTTAAAAGTTTAATTTAACCTAAAGATAGGGTCTCATGCTGTCACCCAGGTTGGAGTGCAGTGATGAGATCATAGCTCACTTGTAAACCTCGAACTCCTCTACTCCAGCAGTCCTCCCACTGTACCCTTTTGAGTAGCTGGGACTATAGGTGCATGCCACCATGAGCAACTAATTTTTTATGTTTTGTAGAAATGGAGTCTCGCTTTGTTGCCCAGGCTGATCTCGAACTCTTGGGCACAAGTGATCCTCCCATAGGCGTGAGCCACTGTGCTCTGCCTCTTCCTTACTTTTTCTTTATTTCTTCTCCCTATCACAATTCATCTTGCTTCTAGAGAAAAGCGAATCCACACATTCTTTCGATTTATGCCCTTGGTACTTTGGTATTTTATTTGAGGTTTTATTTATTCTTTGTAATCAATTTGAGTTTAGAACCACATTTGAGGACAAATTCAACCAATTACTTTTATGTTCTTGCATTTAGGAACCGCTTAGAAAATGTGCCTGAGTGGGTATGTGAAAGCCGAAAGCTAGAAGTTTTGGATATTGGCCATAATCAAATATGTGAACTTCCTGCCCGGTGAGTATTACAGATCAAATGAGAGGATCTCACAATAAATGAGCAATTTTAAAAATTGCTGATTCAGTGTTTAACTTGGTATCATAAGCCTAAAAGAGTTTGCTTTAAAAACTAATATGGTGTCTTTTACCCCATGTGGTGTCTTCAAGTTACACACTTGCTTCATGCAGTGCAGTGAGGAGTAGAGTGAGGCTTTGACTGTCAGCCAGACTTTTCAAAACCATGCAGGCAGTGGTGCTTGGTGGAAATTTTTAAGTAAGCCAAAAACAATCTTTGAAGCAAACAATATGATTGGCCCACTTCTGGAATCTTAAGTCTTTCAGAATCTTCCACCTCTGTTCATTGACTTAACATGTCTACTTTAACCATAAATACCTTTTGTTCTCCCTAGACTTTAACTTTGACGGGGGAAAAAGATGGTTAGGTCATGAAACCTAGAAAGAGCAAACTAGATTCTCTTTTTCTTGTTGTGAAATTTGGGAGTAGAAGGTTCAAGAACTTCTCTTTCCTTCTCTCTCTTAAATATGTTCTTATTTTTATTTTATAATTTTCACTTCAATGGCAGGATTTGCAAAACAGCCACGCGATGACTTCTATTGTCTGTAAATACAGACAGATATTTTCAAGTTGACTAATCATGGTCCAAAATATTAGTGGACTTTTAGTGACTAGCCATGCAGTTAGTAACCAAGAGTCTATCCAGTGCTGTCCTGTAGAACTTTCTGTGATGATTGAAGTGCTCTGCATCTGTGCTGGCCAGTATGGTATCCACTGGCCGTCTGTGGCTATTGAGCACTTGCAATGTGGCTAATGTGACTGAGGAACTGAATTTTGTGTATCCATTAATTCCAATTAACAAATTCATATAGTTACTTGTGGCTGCCTCAACCCAGGTCTTATTATTTCCACCATTCTCAGCCAGTCACTGAACAGAGGAAGTCAGTTATTTTTAGCTATGTGTAGTCAGAAACATCAGTGAAAATATTATAGAAGTATGTCACCATTTTGGAGTAAACTTTTACTTTAGTGCACAATCTTTAAAGGTATGTGATCACCATTCCTGTTTCCTTACCCAGAAGATATACTTGCTTGGTAAGCCTAGTAAACATGTTAGAGTTGAGCTGTCCAGTATGGTAGCCCCCAGCCAGCCATTAGCCAAGTGACTGTTGAGCACCTGAAATGTGACTAGTCCTAATTGAGAAGTGCTATAAGTGTAAAATGTACATGGAATATAAAATATTAATAATAGTGTACATTAATTACATGTTAATATTTGGGGTATATTCTGGGTTAAATGAAATAATACTCTGAGAATTCATTTACTTGTTCTTTTATTCTTTCTTTTAATGTGGCTACTAGATAATTTAAAATTACATGTGGCTTATATTTGATAACACTGTGTTAGAATGTAGCTCTTATTAAAGAAATCTGAGTTATATTTTCATCCCTGAAAAGCTCTGTTAATTTCATTATGTTCTGCAGCAATACATTTTACCTGTAAATACGATCCATTTGAAAGTGCTTTCTGCCCTAGAATATTATGTTGACTGAGCATTCAAGTGACCCATTGCAGCCATCACCATTAACAAGAGGGTGGGTGTGTGTGTGTGTGTGTGTGTGTGTCCATGCATGACCCTTTTAGTAGAGGAACAGGAAAAATGAAAACAGTAGGGAAAAAAATAATTCGTTGAAAAAAATTTTTTACCTTATCTTTTCTTCTATTTTCTTTCCTTCTATTCTTTTTTTTTTTTTTTTTTTTTTTTGAGACAGAGTCTCAGTCTGTTGCCCAGGCTGCAATGCAGTGGTGCGATCTTGGCTCACTGCAACCTCTGCCTCCCGGGTTCCAGCAATTCTCGTGCCTCAGCCTCCCGAGTAGCTGGGACTACAGGTACGCACCACCATGCCCAGCTAATTTTTGTATTTTTAGTAGAGACGGGGTTTCACTATGTTGACCAGGCTGTTCTTGAACTCCTGACCTCAGGTGATCCGCCTGCCTCAGCCTCCCAAAGTGCTGGGATTATAGCCATGAGCCACCACACCTAGCCTTTTCTATTTTCTCTGTTCTCTTTCCCACCTCCACCCCTCAATCCCACAGATAGCACATTGGCATCCAAGTTCTCTGTTTTGCTGAAGGCTACAAAGATATATTTTATATATTTTTTATATTTGTATATATTATACATTAACATATTATATATTTATATATTATATATTTATATATATAAACAAACAAATTCAAGATAACTGACATTTTATCCAATTTTCCTCCCAAATTTGTTGATCTTTAATTTGTTCTGTATCAGAACAGGCTTTTTGAGAATCTAAACAAATGCTTATTCAATGCAAATCCCAAATGCTCTATTGTTAAAGAATTTAAACAGTATTCTTTGTGTGTGTGTGTGTGTGTGTGTGTGTGTGTGTGTGTGTTTAACATGTGGGACAAAAAGAGTATGCATTGTTTTTCTGTTTATAGTGTTGTTCAATTGCAAACTCTGTGTGAGCCCTGTTGTTGATGTAATAGGCAAGGCTGGGCACCGTGGCTCTTGCCTGTAGTCTCAGCACGCTGGGAGGCCAAGGCAGGAAGATTGCTTGAGCCCAGGAGTTCAAGACCAGCCTGGGCAACACTGCAAGAACCTATCTCTGCAAAAAATAAAATTAGCTAGATATGGTGGCGTGTGCCTGTAGTCCCAGCTACTTGGAAGGCTTGAGGCAGGAGGATTGCTTGAGCCTAGGAGGTTGAGGTTACAGTGACCTATGATTGCATCACTGCACTCCAGCCTGGGCAACGGAGCTGAGACCCTGCCTCTTAAAAAGAAAAAGAAAAAAAAAAATTCAGGCAAGGCAATGATTCATTAAAATTGATTTAATACTCATACTTTGTCTATCCAAGTAAGGTATATAAAGAGTTTGACAGGGCCAGGCACAGTGGCTCATGCCTGTAATCCCAGCACATGGGGAGGCCGAGGCAGGCGGATCAACTGAGGTCAGGAGTTCAAGACCAGCCTGACCAACATGGTGAAACCCCGTCTCTACTAAAAAATATGAAAATTAGCTAGGCATGGTGGTGCACGCCTGTAGTCCCAGCTACTCTGGAGGCTGAGGCAGGAGAATCACTTGAACCCAGGAGGCGGAGGTTGCAGTGAGCCAAGATTGCGCCATTGCACTCCAGCCTGGGCGACAGAGTGAGACTCTGTCTCAAAAAAAAAAAAAAAAAAAAGAGTTTGACAAAAGAGAAATTATTAGAGGCGGAAATGTATTGAAAAGGAAAGAAAGTATTTTAATGTTTAGACAGTACCCAAAAGAATTGAACTAAACCCAATAATTAGCATTCAGTATTCGTCCTATAGTTGATCTTTTTTATTTGGAAAAATAAAGATAAAAGATTTTATCACCTTTTAGTTATTTATGTGGTAAAGGATAAATATATATATATATATATGATGAACCACATGCTGAGCTAATAGGCTGGAGTGACCATTACAGAGACTGCCCTGTGGTAATGGTAACTGCATAGATAATCTGGCCTGGATAATCTGTCTTGTCACACTGATAGCTAAACCTGCCAACTCAGGGATCTTTAATTGGGGCCTGTGGTGTCACAGGGTTGAGACAGGTTGCTAGCATCTTTGTGAGCAAAGAAACTCCATTTGCTATTTAAAGTGAATAAAGTTATTCCCTAATGTTATGGAGATTTTTAACTCTTGTGGATTGAAGGATACAAAATTTGGATTAGACAGGAAGAGTAAGTTCAAGAGACCTATTGCGCAGCATTGTAACTACAGTTAATAACAATGTCTTGTATTCTTGAAAATAGCTAAGGGAGTAGATATAAATGTTCTCATCACAAAAAAAAAAAGATAAATATGTGAGGTAATGCATATGATAATTAGCTTGATTTAGCCATCCCACAATGTATACGTATATTAAAACATGTTTTACACCATAAATATATGCTAATTTGTGTTAATTAAAAATTAACTTTAAAAAATTGTGGGCATTTGTGAGTGAGATCAGAATGGTGGAAAACAGGAGGTGGATGAGGAAGCCTCATTCTTTGACAGCAGATTAATAAATTAATTTATTAATTAGGCAGATTGATAAATTAATTCTTGATCTAAAGTGATCAGGATGCAAATTGTAACCTCACTTTTCCCCACCCCCCAGATGTCTGTTTAAACCCAGGGCCTGTTTTCTCTGTAATGTTGGAGAAGTCTGAAGTGGTCATAATGTAGATTTACATTAGATTAACAAGTATTCATCATCTCTGACAGTTCTGGTGACCTTTACAAGAAACACAGCCAAGCTTCCAAACAGCTCTTTAAGTCTCTCAAGAAAACAGTGGATTAAGTACATGCTGCTCTTTCGGGAGACAGTCTCTACCTTGGTCTAGGATTAAGCTAGAAAAAACAGACATACAGCCAGGGAAGTGAGGCAAAGAAGAAATAATTAGGATTGTGAAATAAATGCAACTGAGGAAAAACATAACATTTTCTCAGTGGACATTTGTAAAAGTTTGATTGAAGAACCCTTTATTTAATGCAGATCCTGTAGGTAAAGACTGCTCAGTTGTGTTTACTCAGAATCTCTTATGGGTAAAGCACCCAGCATTCTGGGACAATACAAGATACAAGCCCTACTCTGGAGAAGCATGCAGCCTTTGAAAGCTTGCCTTGTGACCCTAACAAGATTAGACTGATCTCTTCAGTGCGTACATCTATAGAACTTGTTTTTTGCTATGTAGAGCTTCTTTGCTCAATATTTGTTTACATAGTTTTTTCCTTCCTCCTTTTTTTGAGTATATAGAAAGTATTGAAACAAATAGTTTCAAGTTTGAATTTATATTAAAATGAATTTGTAGTTGCTCCAAGTGAATTTGTGATTTTTGGAGAGGTAATTTTAAGTATTCTTTACTCTTTTTCATTTTTTGGTCTTTTGTCCCTTTTTATACAGCTTATTTTGTAATAGCAGTCTCCGGAAACTACTGGCAGGACACAACCAGTTGGCAAGGCTGCCTGAAAGGCTAGAAAGAACCTCGGTGGAGGTCTTGGATGTGCAACACAACCAGCTCCTTGAGCTCCCACCTAACCTTCTGATGAAGGCTGACAGGTAAAGCCATTTGTCTTGTTTATCATCTGAGTCTATAAATATTCCCTCATTTGTATCTTTGTCTTTCGTGACCTGAGACTGTATAAACTTTCTGAGTATGTATCTGTCCCAGATTTGTGAAGGAAATAGTTTTGCCAGCCACTTTACTGACCATTTTGTAGGCGATGGAGTCAGGAGCAACCTATAGATTCTTTATTAACTTTGCTGCTCTCTGGAGCAAAGTAGGTTACATTGTCCATAAACATGTGTCATGGGGATGTAGGTGTAAAACAAGGATGAGAAGTGTGCTGCTCTGTTACTACCTGGTCACATCCCATGCCAGGCTTAGCTTAATTATCTTATGATTCTCTGTTCCCGCTTTCACATGTTTGGGACTTTGGGAGATGGAGATGAATTGTCCCAGAGTTAGCTTAGTTGTTATTGTTTTTTGTTGTTGGTGGTGTTTTTTGTTTTTTGATCTTTTGAGACAGAGTCGCACTCTGTCGCCTACGCTGGAGTGCAGTGGTGTGATCTCGGCTCACTGGAACCTCTGCCTCCCAGGTTCAAGCGATTCTCCTGCCTCAGCCTCCCAAGTAGCTGGAACTACAGGCATGTGCCACCACGCCCAGCTAATTTTTTGTATTTTTAGTAGAGGTGGGGTTTTGCCATGTTGGCCAGGCTGGTTTCGAACTCCTGGGCTCAAGTGATCCACCCACCTTGGCCTCCCAAAATACTGGGATTATAGGTATGAGCCACCACGCCTAGGACTTATTGTTTTTTAAACAGTCCTTCTTATCTTTATCATAATTAATTCCACATTCAATTCAATTATTTTGTTTTGAACAAACAAAATTTTCCTAAATTACTTGTATCATACACTAAGCATTTGAAGTTGTTTTGAATGGGAGGGAGAGGTTAATTTCAACATTAAATGAAGCTCTGTTATTTTGTTGTGATAAGTTGCCACATACAGAATTTTCTTTAAAGAAAGCTTTAAGTAACAGTGGCTGTTAACTTACTTTGGAGCATCTTGTTTGCTTCAGAACCCATGTGCATCATTCTCAAGTGTTTCATAACCTGAGTTATTTTGACTTCTGCTCCCATGTTTATTTTTAGGGAGTGACCATTACTTTAGAGACAATATGAAGGATCTAACTTTTAGTGTATCTCATAATGAAGACAAAAACGTTAAATTTAATTTTGCTTCTAGAAGTGCAGAGAAGAGAAGGAAATGATGACAGATCTTTTTACCTTACAAAATAAATGTTAGCTATGTTTCAGCATGTGTCATATTATGTGGGTGAAATGGCCGTCTGCGATCTCTGTCTCTCCTAAGCCGAATTAGATTTCCCACTGCATGTTCCTAACTCCCTGAGCTTACTCCTGCTGTAATACTCATCACACACTGTATTGTAATTTCTTGTTCACTTGTCTCTCTCCATTATTAGATTACTAACACCATGTGGCCAGTGACTGTGTCTTAATTATAGTTTTATCATCAACATCTTACACTGTGTCTGGAATAAAGGAAAGTGCTCAAAAAATATTTGTGTAATAAATGATAGAGAATTTAAGGAATTTCAAATACTACCTTCATTCCTGGCTTTATATTTTTTTCTTCCTCATCTTTTCCATAAATCTTTAATAAGAGTAAAAAAATCTTACTACAAAAATATGACTTACATTCAGTAAAGTGTCCAACTTTTAAGCCTACTGCTCAATGAATTTTTACATATTTATGGAAATGGTTGCAAGGACCACCTTACCCAGAACAAGATATAGAACATTTCTAGCACTCTTCTTTTTCCTTTCGTTCTGTTTTCCTCACTTAAAAAGAAAATTATTTTCAGTGTACTCATGTAAGTTATAATGAATTCCAACTGGAATAATTATAAAGAAACAATAGAACTATGAGAAAATGGGATTGTCATATTGTAATTGGCCAGTACTGTGTCATCCTCCTGGTAAAAAGTGAAATGTTTCAAGATCATTGAAAGAATTCTTGTTTTTTGGTTTTGGGTTTTTTGTTTGTTTGTTTGTTTGTTTGTTTGTTTGTTTTGGAGACGGAGTCTAGCTTTGTGGCCCAGGCTTGGAGTGCAGTGGTGTGATCTCAGCTCATTGCAACCTCCACCTCCTGGGTTCAAGTGATTCTCTTCCCTCAGCCTCCCAAATAGCCGGGATTACAGGCGCATGCCACCACTTCCAGCTAATTTTTGTAATTTTAGTAGAGATGGGGTTTCCCCATGTTGACCAGGCTGGTCTTAAACTTCTGATCTCAAGTGATCCACCCGCCTTGGCCTCCCAAAGTGCTGGGGTTACAGGCATGAGCCACCGCACCAGGCTAGAATTCTTGTTTTTACGTTAATATCAAAGCACAGTGTGCAGAGACAGATCACTTTAGACATATGCTTTTTGGTTGTGAATACTATAAAATTTGATTTCTTCTCCTATGGAGAATTATAAGTTATATCATAATGAGAATCCACTTGTTCCCCTAGAGTTCTACGCTGAATCTGTAGAACCAAATAAAGGAATGGATTTAGGTTTTAGGAGCCTGAATGAAATAAAAACCATTTCTGAATCTGGCCAATTCTGGTAAGTTCACAACTATTAGAGGTTATCAGTGCTAGAATTTCCAATAGATAATAATCATTCTTTATTCATTCCTGAGAATTTGATTTTACAAGGACGTTTCTGTATTTCATTCTCTGGAGACTGTATTTTCATGTTTAGATGTGTTTGGACAAGGATTTAAGTAAGAACAGTTGTAGTTTTAGGGGATTGTGGTGACTCCCAGGATTGAGAACCACTGCCTTCATTGTTGGCTTTGTAATTCTGTGCAGGTCATTCTAAACCTGGGTTTTCTCATTTTGCTTATTTGTGCAATTCCCAAACGGTACCTGTATGTTGGAAAAGGAAGGATTGTGTGAACTGGAACGTGAATGTGAACTGAACAAAGATGTGAACTGAGCCAGTGGAAGGACACTGCTATCATAAGCTAGGCCAGCAGTGTTAGCTAAAGGCATTTAGGCAGAAATCCCCATACAAATAGACTGACCTGTCTACAGCCAGCTGCATTTTTGAAAACAGGGACCGTGGGGGACAATTTGCCAGCCTTTGGAGGCTGCGAGGGGAGGACAGGGCAGGATAAATGCATTTCTGGCACAGGAGAGTTCTGGAGTAAAGGGTTGGGGGAATGAGAAGGGGCAAATATCTTTGTTTTATTTTATGAGAGTAAAACAAATGACCAAAAAATGGGAGAAATAAGAAACTTTTTCAAGAAGACATACTCCTGCACCTTTGTTTTCCAAGCTGTAATTGCTACATCTCCAGCATAGCATAGCAACTGATATAGTAGAATCAGAGAGAAAAGTTAAGATTGTTAATTATCTTGGGCAGACAGGATTATGTGAAGGGGGTGGGATAAATTTGATTAGCTGTTTTTTTAAACCTATTTTTGTATTAGTTCACTTGTTAGAAGATAAGAAAAATCATATTTTCTAATGATTTCCACCAAATTATTGCCTTTAAAGGTTAATACTTAGCCTCTTTGCACAACCTCAATAATGGAAATTTTTACCTACCTATTTTTAAAAATTTTATTACTTTTTTTTATTGAGGCATAATTTAAACTCAGGAAAATTGACAAATATCGTGTATTTGGTTTGATGAGTTTGAGGGGGAAATGAATAAACTAGTACTGACAGTTGTTGAAGTAGGCCAACCCGGAAAACATGAAATTTAAAATATTAAAGACAGTTTTTAGGAAAGATTCTTTGTGACTGGCTTCTTGCAGGTGGTTTCAGTTGTGATTTGTTTTTGTTCACATGGTTCAATGTAGCAGACATCTCAATGAGTTTAAATCACTGTGCTGGATGCATAGGACATTGAGAAATGACTAAACATAGGAATTATCCTCAAGAAGCTTACAATCGAATGAAGAGTTTAAACTAACTGCACAATAAACTATAGTGAAAGGTAGGTTTAAGAAGGTAGAATAGACGGAAAATTACACGGTTGGTCTAGTATAATTTAGGCTCATGGTATAATGAGCAACATTTTGTTGTTGGATGATACAAAGCTGTGTGTTTGGCAAATAGCTGCAGGCATTGGTGAGACTTTGCTTCAGTTGCCCTTCCATTCAGTTTGCTACTTAATACAAATCTTAAAAATATGGAAATTCCTTTTTTATATTTTTTTGTGATAATAAATTATGGTTACAGTTCTGTGTTTCGTTATATAACTGAGGAAAGGGCTTTATATGTTTCAGTGGTTCGTGTTCTGAAGTAGAACTTGCACTACCAAGTGTCAAGAGAAATATCAGAGAAGCATGTGTTGTTGGACACAGAGCAGAAGACCATATTTTGACTCATGAGAGTTTTCCTTTGCTCTGAATTTTGCCTGCTAAAGCCAGTCTCATAGTTTTAATTACGTGATACTGTCTGTTAAGTATTACAGGGCCAGACACAGTGGCTGACACCTATAATCCCAGAACTTTGGGAGGCCAACACGGGAGGATTGCTTGAGCCTAGGAGTTTGAGACCAGCCTGGGCAACATGGCAAGACCCTGTCACTACAAATTGAAAAAAAAAAAAAAAAAAAAAAAGTCAGGTGTGGTGGCACACACCTCTGGACTTGGAAGGCTGAGGTGGGAGGATCCCTTGAGCCTAGGAGTTCGAGGCTGCCGTGAGCTCTGATCACGCCACCTACACTCCAGCCTGGGTTACAGAGTGTGACCGTGTCTCAAAAAATGAAAAAAAGGTATTACAACTTTAGAATAGTATATATTAATCTGCTATACCTGGTAGCAGGAAGCTATTTGGTAACCAAATAACAAACAGGGGAATCTATGTTACATTAGACAACTTTTAGTTATCTTCATCTTCCTCTAAATACTTGAGGAAGATATTCTAATCTAGATCATGGGCCTAGATTTCTCATTTACCTGTCTTTTTAATTAGAGTTGAGGATTTTCCTGATGGAAACCCCAAAAGAGTTTCAGATAATTAGTTGTCATCAACAGATGGGTGCAAGGAGGGTAGACATTCTCCATGGGTCACCGGAGTGGATGAGACATTGCCAGAGGGATTGCCATCCTTCTGTTTCTTCCTGAAATCTTGGCATTGGCTGACTCCCTGTCCATCTAGCATCTGCATGCACATTTGATGGCCAGACCGCTTTTCCTATTAAAGTCAGCCTAATTAACAAAGCCGAAAATGGACCCTTTAAAGGGGAGTTATAGGTCCCTGCTCTGGGAGGGCAGCCAGGTCTGTTTTTATTCCTGGGTGGACTAGTACAAGGTATTTTCAGGGGCAGAAGTTGGGGAAGTGTATGTTCAAATGAGCTTTGTGGTAATTGCTCATGTGTGCTTATTAAATATTCCCAGAGTATTAGTCACATTACAGGCCATAAGTTTCAGTGACTCAGAATATGTGTAAATATCAAAGGGACTAAAAGGGAACAGAAAATTTAGAAGAGCATGATCGATTGACCATGACAACTGGTGCCTTTTGGCAAAGACAGATATTTCTGGCATTTTAAAAATCTGAGTTGTAGGCAACTATTTTTTTCAGTGACGAGGGCTATCTTTTGACATTCTGATGTATCGTGAAGTTCTGATGTTTTGAGAGTGAAGTTCTGATGTTTTCAGAGTCACAGTGGACTAAGATAGTGTTTCTCAAAGTGTTTTCAGAATTTCCTAGAGTACTTACCAAACATGCAGATTCTTGGCTCTTATCTCAGGTCTTCTCCCTTCGATTTTAGAGGGATAGTCTGGGAACTGTATGTTTATCAAGGCTCCCCCAGTGACTCCAGTGCAGATGGTCTGCTGAACACACTGAAAGCTTAAGGTGACCCAGGTACTACTGCTGAAACAAATAGATTTTTATAAAAGAAGGATTTTAATGGAAAAACTGAATGTGTCTAGAGATATTTCTAGATAACATATACATCCCCTCTCTGCTTTTTAAAGTGTTGTGTTCCTCAAATATTTTAAGGTATAGTTCTTAACCAGGGTTATTACATCAAAATCAACTGACAATTTTTTCAAAACTAGAGAATCAGTCAATGATGTTTAGAATACTATGAAGGGGAAGAGAATTTTCATTCTTTTCTCTCCCCTATTTCTCCCAAAAAAATCTACCTCAGTCCTGGAGAACGGAGTTGAGTGGGGGCATTGGAAAGTGGCCGATTATGTAATCTTAGCAAGGTTGGAGTTCTGGTGGCAAACTCCATTTTTCTTAACCAGAACAAACCAGAAAGGTTTAGCCAGAAGCTTCCAAGTATTCCTGTGTTCAGCTGTGAACATTGCTCTGAGATTGAAAAGAGGCCCTTCGTAGATTATCAGAAGAGTTCTGCCTGTACTCTGAGAGACTGCTTTGGTCATCTTTGCCCCTGTTTCTCTGATGCTCCTAAAATGGATGAGATGGGCGAGTCCACCCTGCCAGTGAGGGGTGTGCGTATCCCCAGAAACCATGAAAATGCATTAGGACAGGGGTTTTTGCACCACGATGATTCTCAACTCTGCCAGCCATCAGAATTCTGCTATATAGATTTTGAGGCCCTACCCTGACCTACTTAACAAGAATATCTCCGAGTTGAAGTTGAGAATTCTGCACTAAGGAAAGCTCCCTAGAGAATTAGGAAGTGCAGCCAGATTGCACCCTACTGAGCTAGAGCATCTTCTGTGAGAAATGTTGTTCCTTTAGCAGCTCCAAAGTGTGATAGCCCCCATCTTAATTCAGTGAGAGGATAATTTATAAATAAAAAGAGAAATAAGCATCAATTCCCAGCAATTACACTTTGACTGTATCCATGCTATACCCTAAGGTTTTGTGTCAAGCGACGGCAGATTCAGAAAAACTGGGGAAGAGAGAAGAGGAAAGCTGGTAGTGGGGCTTTAGGTGGGTCTACCACTACCACCTAAGTTTAGGTATAAGTAAGTGCAACTTGAAGGGATAGCAAGCCAGAAATACAGTAATTGAAGGAAAATTGGCAATTGGATTGGTAAAGAGGAAGCGAAGCAAATGGGGAAAACTAAAGGTTCTACAAGACAAGTGAACCAGAACATCAGAGGACACACAGCCCTTCCCTACTCAGTCCAAACAAAGAGATCCCTTAATGTATCTTCACTTATCTGTGCTGATAGAAGATATAGCATCGAACTAAGAAACTTGTAAAAACAACCTGATACCCTGAAAATGACTGGGAAAAAGATGAACAGATCCATATTGGGTTATTGGCTCCCAAAATAAGAAAGCAAAAAACAACATATGTCCACTGTCGAATAGTTCGTACCCCAAAAAATCTATTGTGAAGCCTAAGAAAACTATAAGACAACATTCCCAGCAAAATTAAATATAGTCAAGTGAACATTTTATGATATAAAACAAAGAAATTAAGGAACTGAGAACAAAGTGGACAAACAGGAAGGGCTGGAAAGAAGTGATTGAACTCAGAAAATGGAAGAAAATGACAGTTATCTGAGAAATGAGGAGTAATTACAGGGTGCCCAAGGGAGAATACACCCGAAAAATTAATAAGGGACATTAAAGAAACAAAGGAAAATGAAGAGGATGAAAATAAGATAAAGAATTATTTGAAAAAGTTAGAGATAAAACAGTGGAAATGGAAGACAGATCCAAAAGGCATAACATTTGTATATGTGTCCTTGAAGAACAAAGACAAAAAAAAAATTGACAGAACTATTATTTAAAAATACCATTCAAGGAATTTTTTCAACAACAAACAAAATACCTTAAAGTACATGTGAAAAAGAGTATCGATTGGATACCTGGAATAAACCCAGAATGTTCCATTTTAAAACTTATTATATTAAAACTATTAGATTTTGAAGATATAAATAATTATGACCACCAGTAAAAAGATAAAATAGTTTTAAAAGGCAAATATTTAGATTGTCATTAGACTTCTCAAAAACATTATACAATGCAAGGTAATAACGGAGTAATGTTTTTTAAAAACTTAATGAAAGATTGACTCAGGGTTTTTATATCAAGCCAAGTCTCCTTTAAGATCTAAGTTATAGAAAACTGTTAAACATGTAAGCACCAAAAACATAAGCAACAACTAAAAAAATAGATAAATTGGATTTGATCAAAATTTAAAACTTGTGTGCTTCAAAGGATACCATCAAGAAAGTGAACGTGCAACCCACAGAAATATATCTGATAGGGAACTTGAAAGAACTCTTACAATTCACAATAAAGAAGACAAATAGCTGAATGAAAAATATGCTCACAGGATTTGAATAGACATGTCTCAAAAGAAAATATACAAATGGCCAAGAAACACATAAAAAGATGCTTAACATCATTAGCCATTGGGGAAATGTAAACAAAAACCACAATCAGATATGACTTATACCCACTAGGGTGGCTATAATCAAAAACACAGTAACAAATATTGGACAAAATGGAGAGAAACTGAAACCTCGTACACTGCTGGCAGGAATGTAAAGTGATGCAAGTACTTTGGAAAACAGATTGTCAGTTCCTCAAATAATTAAACACAATATTACCCAGCAGTTCTACTCTTAGGTATATACCCAAGAGAAATGAAAGCATATATGTTTACACCAAACTTGTATATGAATGTTGATAGCAACATTATTCATAACAACTGGAAAGTAGAACTCAAATGTCTACCACTTGATTAATGGATAAACAAACTGTTATAATAGATAGTGGAATATTATTCACCAGTAAAAGGTACTAGTATATGCAGCAACATGGATAAACCCTGAAAGCAGTATGCTAAGTGAAAGAAGCCAGACACAAAAGGATACATGCTGTATGATTCTTTTTATATGAAATATTTGGATTTGGCAAATCCATACAGATAGAAAGTAGATCCAGGGGATGTGAGGAAGGGAGAAATGATGAGTGACTACAGATGGGTATAGGGTTTCTTTATGGAATGATGAAACTGTTGTGGAATTATATGGTGGTGATGGTTGCACAAGTTTGTGAAAAAAACTAAAAAATCACTAAGTCACACAATTTAAAAGGGTATATTTTATATTATGTGAATTACGTCCCTATAAAGCTGTTTTTTTAAAGACCTCAAGGACTTAGAGATCTGTGCACCCATGATCCCTTCTCCAGGAATCTGCTAAAGCTGTTAAGTCTGATTCAAAGCCTGTAGTCACATGTAGCTTTTTAGGTATACACACACCATAAAATTCATCCTCTTAAGAAAGTATATAATCCAGTGGCTTTTAGTAGTAATTTAAATAAATTGTAATTTATAAATATGTAAGAGTTAATTCATTGTATTAGTCAACATTTTAGGTGCTCAGTAGCCACATGTAATAGTGGGTACCATGCTGGAGAGTGAAGACATGGAACATTTCTGTCCACACAGAAAGCTGTTTGGGCGTGATGTACCAGAGGATGAACTTATCCCACCAAGAAATAACTAGTATATTTTAGCAAAAGGAATGATAGTGAGCATTTTGGTATATATAAATGTAGATTTGAGACTGAAAGGTGGGAAAGAGGGTGGAAGACTAATATACAAAAAGTGGTGACAAACTGTTAGTAACGCAGCTTGACTGGGAGTGGTGGCTCATGCGTGTTGTCCTAGCACTTTGGGAGGCCAAAGCAGGAGGATAGCTTGAGGTTAGGAGTTTGAGACAAGCCTGGGCAACATAGCAAGACCCTGTCTCTACAAAGAATTTTTAAAATTAGCCAGGCATGGTTACATACACTTAGAGTCACAGCTGCTTGAGAGGCTGAGGCAGGAGCCTCTCAGGAATCCTTGAGTCCAGGAACTTGAGGGTGCAGTGAGCTATGATTGGACCACTGCACTCTAGCCT
Source organism: Homo sapiens (assembly GCF_000001405.40). Classification (NCBI taxonomy): domain Eukaryota; kingdom Metazoa; phylum Chordata; class Mammalia; order Primates; family Hominidae; genus Homo; species Homo sapiens. The sequence continues at coordinate 62,929,932 of NC_000018.10, forward strand.
GAGTGACAGACCGTCTCTAAAAACAAAATAAAAAATAATGCGCTTAGAAATGGGAAGAGAGAAAAAGGAAAAAGTAAAGTAGAAGGAGCTTATCGATTGCCATCTAGGCAATAGGTGTAACTTACAGAATGCTGACAAAAACTGGCAAGCCAGATAAGAAATGATTAAATAAAAATCCAAGGGGATAAGGTCATTTAATAAGACATAAGTACAAAGATAACCATAGAACAAAAACACGAACTTCCTTAAATACCAGAAAAATTAATGTGTTAAAGAAGGCATAATATATATCCTATAGAGAGGGAAACATGGCAAATATGAATATGAAATAATTATGACAGAGTTGAGACTCAGATATATCAGTACATGTGCTTGAACCCAACCTTCTATTGCCTTCAAGAGACCCATCTCACATGTAATGACATCTATAGACTCAAAGTAAAGGGAAGGAGAGAGATCATGCAAATAGAAAACAAAAGAGTAGGAGTTGCTATTCTTGTATCAGATAAAACAGACTTTAAACCAACAACAGTAAAAAAAAATTGCATTATATAATAAAGGGTTCGATTCAACCAGAAGATTTAATTATCCTATGTACATACTCACCCAACATCAGAGCATCCAGATTTATAAAACGAATACCAGACCTAAGAAAAGAGATAGCGATACAGTAAAAGTAGGGGATTTCAGTATCTCATTAAACAGACTATCAAGGCAGAATACTAATTCTGGACTTAAATTTGACATTTGACCAAATAGACCTAATAGATGTCTAGAATACTCTATCCAACAACCACAGAATATACATTCTTCTTATCTATGCACAGAACATTCTCAAAGATTGACTACCTGCTCAGTCATAAAGCAAGCCTCAACAAATTCAAAAAATTGAAATCCTGTCAAGCATCTTCTCAGACCACAGTGGAATAAAACTAGAAATTAATACCAAGAGAAACTCTCAAAACCACACAAATAGGGCCGGGTGCGGTGGCTCATGCCTGTAATCACAGCACTTTGGGAGGCCGAGGCAGGAGGCTCACGAGGTCAGGAGATCAAGACCATCCTGGCTAACACAGTGAAAGTCCCATCTCTACTAAAAAAGAAAATACAAAAAAATTAGCCGGGAATGGTGGCACGTGCCTGTAGTCCTAGCTACTTGGGAGGCTGAGGCAGGAGAATTGCTTGAACCCGGGAGGCAGAGGTTGCAGTGAGCCAAGATCACACCACTGCACTCCAGCCTGGGTGACAGAGAGAGACTCCATCTAAAAAAAAAAAACAACAACAACAACAATGAATACATGGAAACTAAACAGTTTGGTCCTCTGATTGACTTTGGAATAAACACAAAATTGAGGGAATTCTTTAAAACAAATGAAAATAGAGACACAATATACCAAAGCCTCTGGGATACAGCAAAGGGAATGTTTATACCACTAAGTGCCTACATCAAGAAAACAGAAAAATCTCAAGTTAACAACTAATTGTTGGACCTAAAGGAACTAGAAAAAACAGAACACACTAAACCCAGAGCTAGCAGAAGAGAAGAAATAACTAAAATCAGAGGAGAACTAAATGAAATTGAGACCAAAAAAAAAAAAGAGTCAGTGAAACAAAAAGTTGGTTCTTTGAAAGGATAAACAAGATTGATAGACTACTCGCTAGATTAACAAAAAAAAAAAAGGGCCGGGCACGGTGGCTCATGCCTGTAATCCCAGCACTTTGGGAGGCTGAGGCAGGTGGATCATAAGGTCAAGAGTTTGAGACCAGCCTGGCCAATATGGTGAAACCCCATCTCTACTAAAAATACAAAACAATTAGCTGGGCATGGTGGCACATGTCTATAATCCCAGCTACTAGGGAGGCTGAGGCAGGAGAACTGCTTGAATCCGGGAGGCGGAGGTTACAGTGAGCCGAGATGGCGCCACTGCACTCCAGCCTGGGCGACAGAAAAAAAAAAAAAAAAAAAAAGATCCAAATAAGCACAAATTGAAAATGACAGAGATGAGATTACAGCTGATAGCACAGAAACAGAAAAGATCCTCAGAGAGTACTGCAAATATCTCTACACACACAAAGTAGAAAATCTAGAGGAAATGGATAAATCCCTGGAAACACACAGCTTCCCAAGGTTGAACCAGGAAGAAATCAAAATCCTGAACAGGCCAATAATGAGTTACAAAATTGAGTCAATAATAAAAATCTACCAATGGAAAAGAAAGCCCCGGAGCAGGTGAATTCACATCCGAATTCTACCAGACATGACAAAGAAGGGCTGGTACCAATCTTGTTGAAACTATTCCAAAAAGTTGAGGGGGCAGGATTCCTCCCTAACTCATTCTATGAAACCAGTATCATCCTGATACCAAAATCTGACAAGGATACAAAAAGGAAAATAACAAGCCAATATCTCTGATGAACATAGACACAAAAATCTTCATCAAATAAGTAGCCAGCTGAATTCAGCAGCATATCAAAAAGATAATTCATCATGCTCAAGAAAGCTTTATTCCTGGGATGCAAGGATGGTTCAATAAACACAAATCAATATATGTGATTCACCACATAAACAGAATTAAAAACAAAATCTGTATCATCTCAATAGATGTGAAAAAAGTCTTTGATTAAAATCCAGTATCCCAACATGATAAAAACTCTCAACAAACTAGGCATCAACGGAATGTACCTCAAAATAATAAGAGCCATCTATGACAAACCCACAGCCAACATCATACTGAATGGGCAAAAGTTGAAAGTGTTCCCCCTAACACTGGAACAAGACAAGTATGCCTACTCTCACCACTCCTATTGAACATAGTACTAAAAGTCCTAGCCAGAGCAGTCAGGCAAGAGAAAGAATAAAGGTCATCCAAATAGGAAAAGAGGAAATCAAATTATCCGTTCGTTGATGATACGATTCTATACCTAGAAAACCCTAAAAGTTCCTCCAAAAGACTCTCAGACTTGATAAACAACTTCAGTAAAGTTTCAGGATTCAGAATCAGCACCCGAAATCAGTAGCATTCCTATACACCAGTAACTTTCAAGCTGAGAACCAAATCAAGAATACAATCCCATTTACAATAGCAAAAAAATGAAATAAAATACCTAGGAATACATTTATCCGAGGAGGTGAAAGATCTCTAGAAGGAGAACTATAAGACACTGATGAAAGAAATCAGAGATGACACAAACAAGTGGAAAAACATTCCATGCTCGTGGATTGGAAGAATCAGTATCATTTAAATGGTTATACTGCCCAAACAGTCTACAGATTCAATGTAATTCCTATCAAACTACCAATGTCATTTTTCATGAAATTAGAAAAAAATTATAAAATTCATGTGGAAACACAAAAGAGCCAAATAGCCAAAACAATCCTAAGCAAAAAGAACAAAGTCTTAGGCATCACATTACCTGACTTCAAGGTAATATACTGCAAACACTGTAGGTAATGAAAACAGCATCGAACTGTTACAAAAACAGATGCATAGATCAAAGGAACAAAATAGAGACCTGGGAATAAAGCCATACACCTACAACCAACAGATCTTTTGACAAAGTCAACAAAAATAAACAATGAGGAAAGGACACTCTATTCAGTAAATAGTGCTGGGAAAACTGGTTAGCCATATGCAGAAGAATGAAACTGGACCCCTACCTCCCACCATATACAAAAACTAAAGATGGATTAAAAACTTAAATATAATACCTCAAAGGATACAAATCATAGAAGAAAAACTCTTCTGGACATTGGCCTGGGCAAAGAATTTATGACTAAGACCTCGAAGGCAAATGCAACAAAAACAAATATTGACAAATGGGACTTAATTAAACTAAAGAGCTTCTGCACAGCAAAAGAAACAACAGAATGAACAGACAATCTACAGAATGGTAGAAAATATTTGCAAACTATGCAACTGGCAAAGGACAAATATCTATAAGAAACTTAAATAAGAAAGAAACAACCCCATTAAAAAGTGAGCAAAGGACATGAATAGACACTTCTCAAAAGAAAAAATTCAGGCTGCCAGCAAACATGAAAAAATGCTCAACATCACAATCATCAGAGAAATGCAAGTTACAGCCATAATGAGATACCATCTCAACACCAGTCAGAATGACTATTAAGTCAAAATATAACACATGTTGTCAAGGATATGGAGAAAAGAGAACATACATTGTTGGTAGGAATGTGAATTAGTTCAACCCCTGTGGAAAACAGTATGAAGATTTCTCAAAGAGCTAAAAATAGAAATATCATTCCACCCAGCAATCACACTACTGAATATGTACCCAAAGGAAAAGAAATCATTTATCAAAAAGACACCTTCCCTGCACTCATATGTTTATTGCAACACTATTCACAATAGCAAAGTCATGGAATCAACCTATGTACCCGTCGGTGGTGAATTGGATAAAGAAAATATGGTACATATATACCATGGAATACTACACAGCCATAAAAAAGAACAAAATTATGTCCTTTGCAGCAACATGGATGCAGCTGGAGACTGTTATCCTCAGTGAATTAATACAGAAACAGAAAAATACTGCACATTATTTCTTAATACATGGGGGCTAAACAGTGTATACACATGGCCATAAAGCCGGAAACAAGAGACACTGAGGACTCTGAAAGAGATAAGGGATATACGGTTTGAAAAACTACCTATTGGGTACTATTTGGTGGTACCCAAATATTTGGGTGATGCCTAAATGCCAGCATTACACAATTTACCCGTTTAACAAACCTGCACATATACCTTCTGAATCTAAAATAAAATATACATGTACTTGAACTTAACTTACCCCCAAAATGGAAACAACCCAAATGTTCCTCAGCTCATGTGTGGATAAACAAGGTGTAGCCATATGTGAATTATGAATTATATCTCAATAAAGCTGTTAATAAAAAAATAAGGAAAATAGTACCTCAGGTATGGAGGGATACTTCTTTAACATTATATACACACACACTTAGTCCTAAAGCCAATTTCTTAATGGGGAAACCCCATTGGTATTTCTACTAAGATCAGTAACAGGACAAGAAAGCCCGTTATTTTCACTCTTATTCAATATTATATTAGATATATTAGCCAGGTAATTAGACAAGAAAAGATCAATTAGAGGCATGAGCGTTGGGTAAAGAAGAGAGAAACTATCTCTATTGCAGTTAACATGATAGTATACTTGGAAAACCCTAGAGAATCACTGATAAATGAATTCAGACAACAAAGTATTTCAACAAAGTAGCAGGGATATAAAGTTAATATGCAGAAATCAAAAGCCTTTGTATACACAAACATAGCCATTGGAAGACATATTATATTGGTAGTGAAAATCCCATTTAAAATAGCATCAAAGGAGGTTACTTAAGAATAAATAAGAAATGTGCAAAAACTGTATGAATAAAACGTTAAAACACTTCTGAAATTTGCAAATTTGAACAAATGAAACAATATTCCTTGTTCTTAGATAGGACGACTTAATATTATTAAGATATCAGTTTTTTGTAGATTACTTTGCAAATTTAACACAATCATCATGTAAATACCAAAATGCTTTTATGATCAAGTTAGACAAATTGATGCTACTGTTCATATGGTTAAAAGAATCATATAAGAATAGCCGGGAAAACACTGAAAAAGTAAAACTATTAATACAAGGGAGAGACAAACCTTACCAGACAGCTAAACATGTATGTTTTAGTTCTTTCTGCTGAGAAGAAGGCCTAGAAATAGTGACACGCCAGTACCAGGAAGTATATCTAACATCAAGACCTTGGTTTTTGGCCGGGTGCCATGGCTCCTGCCTGTAATCCCAGCACTTTGGGAGGCCGAGGTGGGCGGATCACCTGAGGTCAGGAGTTCGAGACCAGCCTGGCCAGTGTGGCAAAACCCCGTCTCTACTAAAAATACAAAAATTAGCCGGGCTGGTGATGCATGCCTGTAATCTCAGCTACTTGGGAGGCTGAGACAGGAGAATCACTTGAACCCAGGAGGTGGAGGTTGCAGTGAGCCGAGATCAAGCCATTGCACTCCAGCTTGGGCAACAGAGCAAGACTCCATCTCACAAAAAAATAAAATTAAATAAAAAGACTTTGCTTTTTAAGTATCATTCTTCAACAAAAGGAATCAGGTGTCCTTGGAAACAGGATTGAGTGTAGGGCTAGAGCAGGCTGAATACAAGATGAGCCCAAAAGTAAAGAAATGCTCACAAAATGACGGGAGCATGTCAAAGGATGCGTGAGTCAACTTGAAGGAGCTCCCAGTGGCCACATTTGGGACAACGTGAGCAAAAAGTACACAATGATAGTAATAAATTCTATCCAGCAGAATAAAATAAACATCAATATGACCATACTGAAATAAAGCAAGTAATTAGGTAAATAAATTGGGAGAGCTCTTGTAGGATAATTCCATTTAACAAACTGTAAGTAGAGGGAATCATGAAAATAGAAAAATCACTTGGCAAACAACACAGAAATGATTGTTACAAGCACAAATGCTAAATTAATGGGCAAAAGTATGAGAAACAGAAGAGTTTCATAGTCTCAAATGATCTCTCCACACGTTATTTAATTACAAAAGAAAAAATTATTACTTTGCAGTGGAGATGCTTGGCAGACACCACCTTAACCAAGTAATCAAAGTTAATATCTCCAATAATAAGACATTGGCCTCACATATATCCTGATGTGATGCCCTGAGAAGGGCACAACCTCTGCGATATTTTTGCCAAAAACGCATGACCTTACTCTAATGATGATGAAACATAAAACCTAAATTGAGAGACATTTTACAGAATGTTTGTCGAGTACACTTCAAAAACATCAAGGTCATCTAAGATAATAAGACTGATTGGAGAAGAAAGGAGGACTGATAATGAAATACAACGTGAAGTGTCAGCCTTGTGAAGATAGATGGAACTGTCAAAAGTACTTTGTTATAAAAACAAGCAATAATAAGAAACTTGGAATGTTTACACTTCTGGAATGCTTCGGAGACAGAAATCAGAGGGTTGCCTAAAAGTAAGAGTTTTGCTGGGGTTAGACAGTTGTGACTATGTAGAGTTTTAATGGTATATAAGTCCCAGTACAGATTTCCAGAAAAATCATTTTTACAATACCTGGTATGTCTACAAATAGATAAATCTGTTATGGTACCAAATCCTGTGCCCTGTTTCTAAGAGAATTTGGCTGTAAAATTTAAGGGTGTGCTGGAAATTACTAAAAAGCAAACAAAACAAAAAATATATAGATGAGTCAAATGGACAGAATATGCCAAGGAGAGCAGAGCAATTGCTCAAGAAGCAGGAAATGGATTTGTCTCACTGTTGTTGCGGGTGACTTTCCAAACACTTTAGGGCAGGAGCCATATCTGTGTGTCTTTTCTCTGAGACTTTTGAACTCTATGCTGAGAGAAGTTCTTGAGTACTGTGCTATTTACTAACTTGTTTTAAGAATTGAGTTTGAAATGCTGTGCACACGTGGTCTTCACATTACATGCAGGTGCCCTGCTTGACCCTCCAGCTCTTTTAGAAAAAAAGGACCTATGAAAATGTCCCCACAAAAAGGTTTTTATAATTATTTTTCAACATTTGAATTTTGGAGACACATGGTAGAAAACTGTGGACTTGAGACTGATGAAATCCGAGTTTTATTTCTGTCTCTGCCACTAGTTACTATTGAGCCATTGCCAAATAATGTTACTTTCTCAGCTTTGAGTTTTGTCTTTCGTGAAATATGAGAGGTTATATCTCTGGGGTGATGGAAAAATCAAATGAGATAGAAAATAGTGGCCAGGTGCAGTGGCTCACACCTGTAGTCCCAGCACTTTGGGAGGCCTAGGCAGGTGGGTCACTTGAAGTCAGGAGTTCGAGACCAGCCTGGCCAACATGGTGAAACCCTGTCTCTGCTAAAAATACAAAAATTACCTGGGCATGGTGGTGCATGCCTGTAATCCCAGCTACTCAGGAGGCTAAGGTGGGAGAATTGCTTGAACCTGGGAGGCGGAGGTTGCTGTGAGCCAAATGCCACTGCATTCCAGCCTGGGCAACAGAGCAAGACTCTGTCAAAAAAGAAAATAAAAAAGAAGAAGGAAGAAAGGTCTGTGGTGTCTGTGGAATCTACAAAGTACCTTACAAATGAAAAGAAAACAGTCATATGTTACTGCTTTTTCTCTAATTAGAAGAGGATTGCATAGTGAAAAATGTTATATGGATGAAGCATGAAACAGCTGTTGGCACATTAAACCATCTTTTTTATAGTATACTTATTACAAAATTCTGTAAGGAAGAAGCTTGAGGATAGTTATCACATCATACAGAGTTGAGACCTGACTCAGCCCTTTAAGAATTCAGCTTTTTTGCAAGGTTGAAAGCAGAGAGTGGGGTTCTGGAGCCTATTTATTTACTAAAATTGTTAACCATCCTGGAGAAACTTTGCAAAACTAAAGTATTTGTTCGTTCTGGTGGAAGGATGAAATGTAGACTATTAAACCAATTTAAATTGTCTCCTGCTGAAACATTGTGAGGTTTTAGGAAGAATGGCTTAAGTGAATGGGTATTGAATTTAATTTTCCTGATACTATGATAATAAAAAATATTTTTAGTCCAATTGTTTGCTCTTTGACTATTAACCAGCAAGGTGATTAAGTCAGACTTTATGCAGTTCAGATGATGTCCTTTGGAACCACTTCATGTGGTTTCAACTAACTAGTTTCATTTCTTGGAGGTGGATGATGCTGGCAGTTTCCCCCTTAATTTTGCATAAAAGGTATATAGTTCCTTAATTACAGACAACTTTCAAAAAGATGAGAGGATAAATCTTTGAGGAAATCACTTTCTTCCCTTTATTCAGATGCCATGAGGGGTTTTTTAAGTTGCTTGGCAGCTTTCTAGATGAGCATTCACTTGTCTGTTTTTAAAACATTCCCTCTTTTTCTGGCCTAAAAAATATGCAAACATGAATTCACTTTGTTTTATCGCATGTGTTTGTGTGTGTATAACTACATATTTCCTAGAGAATTCTATTTTTGTCTTTTTTCTTTCTTTCTTTCTTTCTTTTTTTTTTTTTGAGCCGGAGTTTCGCTCTTGTTGCCCAGGTTAGAGCACAATGGTGCAGTCTTGGCTCATTGCAACCTCTGCCTCCCGGGTTCAAGTGATTCTGCTGCCTCACCCTCTCGAGTAGCTGGGATTACAGGTGCCTGCCACCACACCCAGCTAATATTTGTATTTTTAGTAGAGGAGGGGGGTTTCACCATGTTGGCCAGGCTGGTCTCGAACTCCTGACCTCAGGTGATCCACCCGCCTCAGCCACCCAAAGTGCTGGGATTACAGGTGTGAGCCACTGCGCCCAGCTGAGAATTCTATTTTAATGAAATTATTTTATATAGTTTCCCAGCCAACACTAGTCCATGATATTTTAGGGCAATAAAATTTATTTCTTACATTGTAATTTATTCTAATGCTACACTAAAGAAATTCTTAACAGGAAATAAGGTGGTCTAAATGGGATCTAAAGAAACAGACTCATAAAAATACTCTAAACAGCGATGGTAAACAACTATGTTGCTGAAACTTGTTTCCTTCCTACTTCAAAACCATTTCAGAAACTGCAGGAGTGACCTTTATTTCCTTCTCTGTAGCACACACGACTATAATTTCCCGTGACTATTTATGGTCTGGATAGCCGTTCTCTAACTTCCTTTTTTTTTTTTTTAATGTCAACGGAATACGTGTTTCTTTAATGGAAAATGTTCTATTTTGGGGAAGCTGCTTTTCCTCAGATAAGTAATGGAGTTGGTGCTTGTGTGTTGAAGGGGTTGTACAAGATTGAAGAGTTTTAAATTAGTGGACTGAGAGCTTGAAGTGACAGTCCTGGTGAGGACTCCTAGTAGCCTTTTTTTTTCTCTCCAAGATTAAAAATAACTGCCTGGTATTCTGTATTCTTTTTAAGGATGATTTTATTCTTTTTTTTTTTAACAGATGGCAGAATAGTCCTGAATTGAATGGTGAAAGTTTCAAACCAAAGTGATTGAAATGAGGGAATAGTGTGGTTCATCAACAGGGTTGATCTGGGGGCCAGGGGGAGGCATGGGAGATTTCACCCTTCTAACTCTTGTAGGCAAGTGCTATGTACTGAGCACTGTCTCTTTCCCACCTGCTGCAGCTGCACAGTTGGACATTCGTCATGAATCAGGAGGGTCATCTCTGACTCTTGAGGGTGACACAGTCCGTCCCTTTGGAGTGATTTGGAACCTGATCACAGCAAGGATTTGTTGCCATTCCCCAGCTTTGCAATGTGCATTTAACTACATTTCACAATCACCGTGGAGGATTTTTTTTTTTTTGGGCAATTTTACTTATCTTAGTTATAAAACCATTCTTTATATTTTATCCACGTTTCTTTTTCTTTCTTTTCTTTTTTTTTTTTTTTTTTTTTTTTTTTTGAGATGGAATCTCGCTCTGTCGCCCAGGCTGGAGTACAGTGGTGCGATCTCCGCTCACTGCAAGCTCTGCCTCCTGGGTTCACGCCATTCTCCTGCCTCAGCCTCCCGAGTAGCTGGGACTGCAGGCGCCCGCCACCACACCCGGCTAATTTTTTGTATGTTTAGTAGAAACAGGGTTTCACCATGTTAGCCAGGATGGTCTCGATCTCCTGACCTTGTGATCCGCCTGCCTCGGCCTCCCAAAGTGCTGGGATTACAGGCGTGAGCCACCACGCCTGGCCTTTATCCTCTTTTCACTCTAGCATCTGAAAAGTGTGGCAGCAATATATTATCTTGTTTGTTTGTTTTAATGTAAAATTTATTTAAGTACAATATAAATACAGAAAAGAGGCCAGATCATAAGTGTAGCCCTTGATGCTTCGTCTCAAAGTGAGCACACTTGTGTAACCAGCACCTGGACTAAGAAACAGAACATTACAATATTTGAAACGTTACACGCCGTCTCCTGGATACTGCCTCCTTTCCCTCCCCACCTAAGAGTTACTGCCATCCTGACTTCTGTTACTACAGAGTAATTTTGCCTGACTTTGAACTTTATATAGTTATGGGATCATGCAGTGGGTCTCCTCTTGTATCTGGCTTCTTCTGGTCATTATGTGTTTGTGAGATTCATCCTGTTGATACATGTTGTTTTAGTTCTTTATTCTCATTGCTACATCATATTATGTTGTTTTAATAGAGAGCAAATTATCTCCTGCACTTGTGAAAGCCAGTAAAATGTGCTTTGGACTTTATACTGAAGAGGACTCAAGTCACTATGTGATTTAGTTGCATTGTGATCTAATACCTGTTTTATTACTATAAGAACCATTTATTTATTATTTATTTATTCACCTAATTTTTATAGAGGCAGGATCTTGCTTTGTTGCCCAGGCTGGTCTCAAACTCCTGGCATCCTCCTGCTTTAGCAAAAACTTTTGATTACAAAATAGGAAACTGTTTTTCTCTTCCTTAAGTCAGAATATTAACTTTACCATATCACTTTCTCTTCCACTCCCCGCCAACTATAAAAATAATTGCTTCCCCTTACCTTTGTGCTTCCATAAAAATTGGTTGTATCTCTGTGTTTAATACATATAGATAGCTATTGTGGTCATGATAGTTAGTGAATCACAGATACAAATACTTGCTAATTGAACTCCTTGAAGCCAGGGCTTGTCTTTTCAATTCATGTTTCTGATCCCAGCTTCTAATATGCCTGGTATCAAAGCTTTTAGGTTTCTTGAGGGTTTTTGTGACTTTTCAATGGCATTTTGTTGCGTTTTGTCATTGTAGCCTGAGATTCCTGAACGCCTCTGCGAACAAACTGGAAAGCCTTCCTCCAGCCACGCTTTCCGAAGAGACAAACAGTATCTTACAAGAGTTGTATTTGACAAATAACAGCCTCACAGACAAATGTGTGCCCTTGTTAACGGGACACCCCCATTTGAAGATCCTTCACATGGCCTATAACCGACTTCAGAGTTTTCCAGCAAGGTAAAGGACAGTTGTAAAGCTGCGTTCTGAATTGCATTTCTCAAAGTGTATTCATAGAAAGGTGAAGGCTGAAATATTTATTTCCCAGGTGATGTCAAGTTTGTTTGCTTGTTCCTGCTCCCTTCACAGTTTCCTTTATGTAAGCTATGATGACATTTCCCTAAAGAGAAGTAGATTGGTTTTCTTCATATGTGTCCAAAGACCTAATCACAAGAATGTTCTTAAGATTTTGAAATAAAATGTGTTGTTTAGCAGGTATGTTTTTTCTTTTACTTCTTTTTAACCAGTCAGATTAATTTTTTAAAAAACCATTATCCTAGAGCCAGGTGTGGCAGTGCGTGCCTGTAGTCCCAGCTACTCGGGAGGCTGACATGGGAGGGTCACTTGAGCTGAAGAATTCGAGACCAGCCTGGGCAACATAGTGAGACCCTATCTATTAAAAAATAAAGTAAATAATAAAGTTTCCAAAAACATTAACCTAATAGGGTATGTGGGAATTAGAATGTAAACCAGGAACCTGAAAATCCTTCATTATCTACCAAACTTTATATTCATATTCATGATGTACAGAGCAGTGGTAGACTCTACTACCATAGAAACTGTAACATTGCAAATTCTGGCTCTCAAAATAGTCCATTTTTAATTTGTTTTTACTTTAATTTCTAATTTTCGGTGAGCGGTGACATTATATCTAGCTTTGAGTGAATCTGCGTGCTGAGCCTGCCGTGAGGATTTACCGTGTTTCCATTTCATTGGCTTTTATCCATCTAACAAGTTAGGGCTTGAACACACACCCACGCATCAAAGAAACAAACACTAACCCTTCTGGTTTCTGCTTGGTAACTGCAACTCAGCATTGGGGCCAAATCAAAACACTATCATAGCTTCCCTCTGCTGCCTTCAGGGCTACCAGTCTGTTCGAGCCCTTGCTGAAGAAGGAAGGCCCGTGTATATGTTGACTTAAAGTATTGCTCTGTTTTTGGTGTAATGAAATATTTACTTTCCTCCTCATTTGATATTAATAATTAAACTATTTTATGCTTACTTCCATCTACTTTTACTTCACTATGGAATGGGGAAATGATATTTTTGGAAAAAACCATGATAATCACATAACAGCAACCTATCTGAAAGAGCTCATTGTCTTCTTTCAGATGATGAATGTCTAAACCCTGCAGAGGAAAGGATCATCAGCTCTAATTCTGAGGATATACCCCCAGTGACCCGTGCCAGGTGTAATCACCCACCCTAAGTGCAGAGAAACTTTTAACACACCTTGTAAAAAAATCCATCTAGGAATGAATTCTGTCTCCCTGTGGTTGTGATGTGGCTCAGTAGCTCCCCTGCAAACCAGAGCACCTTAAGAGCTGGGTCTGTGACCTTGCTGTATCCCTCAGCCTCATATCTCACACAAGGCCCACACTTAAATGGTTGCTGAATTAAAGAACGGGACCACCATCTAGTCATTTTGTCTTCACATCTTTTGCCACCTTCTTTTTATGTGGCGAGTTGGAAATTTCTTTAACTTTTTCTTTTGGGGGCCTGTTTTCTGTGCTTTTAATCATTTTTCATGCACCATTACCCATTAGTTTCAAGGCACACAAGGGCTGGCATCTGCTTCTGGTGAGTCTTCAGGAAGCTTACAATCATGGCAGAAGGTGAAGGGGAGCCATTGTGTCACATGGTGAGAGAGGGGGCAAAAGAGATGCCAGGGTCTTGCGTGAATGCACAGCGTGTGAATTCTCTGATTACCATGGGAAGGGCATCAAGCCATTCATGTGGTATCTGCCCCCATGACCAAAACACCTCCCACCGGGCCCCACCTCTGACACTGGGAATCACGTTTCAACATGAGATTTGGAGGGGACAAATAATCCAAACCGTATCACTATATTTTTTTCAAAATATGATGATAACATATTTAAATAATATTCTCAGAAATTCGGGCTATCATAGATGGATTACTTCATAGTCTGTGTACATATTGTTTGTAGTCTATTCTGATACCACACTGGATGTATATGATATTAAAAGGTCTGACTTCATAAGATAAAAACTTAGTTTTTACTGTATCTTAGGCATATATTTATTTTCAAGATAAACAAGATAATCTTTATATTTGAAAGATGACAAAAATAATACAGTGGTTTTTTTTTGTTAAATTCTTTAAAAGTGTATTGTGACAAATGAAACTATAACAGGTAGAAACAATACCAAAAAATGTAAACTATTATTCAGCTTATGAGTCTGGATCACACTAATGGGGAATCCTGTGCTTCTTGGAGTCTAACATCAGCAGGAGTGGAAAAAGGGTCAAAAAAGTGCCAGATACTATTACAGTGATTGCAGAGGTAGAGGCATTGTTTTTTCTTTCAAATTTATAAAGAATGCAAGAAACCCTGATTCTGGAATTTTTCTTTAGTTGGTTATTGTAATTATTGATGAAGATTATAGATGAGGAGGATTGAACAATAAAAGACATTCTTAAACAGAAGTATTAAATTAATTACATTAGAACATATTATTAAGATAAGGTTGGAGAGATTCCTTCTTGGTAGATGTTTAGCAACAATTGAGATAAATGTCTTTTGGCCCTGGTGTGAATTTGGGCTCTGCCAGAAGTCCAAGAGGTGATCCAAATGGGCTTTTAACACACCCCTTGCTCCTTACCACCACTTTGTATTCATCAGTGATGTCAGAGGAGTTGGGGGAGTGAGGGTTGAAGAAAAAGCTTATCTTAATATGAACTATAGACCTGTTCTCTACCTCCCCCTTGAGTTTTCAGTGCCACTACAAAGAAATCATACTCTCTGAGCTCTTTTAAGGCAGTTTTATTGTATTAGTGCTGGCTTTTGACCCATTTAAATAGTGTTTTCATTAGTGTTCAGACCAAGCTATACAGTAACATGATTATTGCCAGGGTAACTTAATTTCCACATAGACTTTTAGGAGGAAAAGGGCATCCATTTTCCTTCTTGTTGACAATTTGAAGAGTTGAATAGTTTTTGTTCTGTAGTGAGAAAGGAGGTGTTAAAATATTTCAGTACTCCAAAATGATAGTGAAAAAATGGTCTTGTTTGTAAAAATGACTGTTACAAATGAATCCTTAAAGTCATAGCAATTTAATTCATCCTTTGATTCTCGTCCTATATTATTTTCTTTTAAATTGCTTTATTTTCTCTTTTTTTAGTAAAATGGCGAAACTGGAGGAACTTGAAGAAATTGATCTCAGTGGGAATAAGCTGAAAGCCATCCCAACAACGATCATGAATTGCAGGCGCATGCACACCGTGATTGCTCACTCCAACTGCATCGAGGTCTTTCCCGAAGTTATGCAGCTCCCAGAGATCAAGGTATGTGGTTTCATTTCATAAACTCTAAGCTTCAGGTCGGCAAAGAAAGTTGACTTCCTAACTCATCAACTCAGGACGTTTGCATCTTTGTTGGATTTATTCAGAATGAAGGCCCCCATTAGCCCTTACTTCCTCCTTCCTAACCAATGGGCTACACCGTTGAGTCGGCAGAGTTAAAAAACAAAGCAAAACACTGGAGCAGGTTTTGGGAAAATTGGATTTCTAGGCTGAGTCCCTCACTTACTGTATGACATGAGGCTACCCACATAGCCACCCTATACTTCTTTATCTGTTAATAGTTGTTCCACTTATTTCCAGGGTGGTTATGAGGCTCAAAGGCTGACGCTGGTGTAATCGCAGTTTGAAAAGGTTAACAGTACCACTACACATCGCTCCCTACCAACTCACCCAGTTAAATAGCACACCCCACCATATTAGCCCACTAATGGTAATTCCCTATATAGACAGAGCATCATTGCTGTCACCAAACATTGATTTCAACGGAATGAAATTGGCAGAGCAGATATTATTGTCATTTGATAAGTAAGGACACTGAGGTGCTGAAAAGTGAAGCAATCTGTGTAAATTAAGACAGCAAATTGGTAGCAGAGGTAGTCTGCAAATCCTGACTGCTGACTTGAGGTAGATTCATGGGATGAAACCAGTTCACTAGAATGAAAGCCATGTAACAACCATGTGTTCCTATTTTGTTTCTTTTCTGGCAGGGAAATGGTACAGAAGTAAAAAGTTCTTTATATACAATGTAGTTTTTCATTTGTATCTTAGCATTTCTAGTAATCGATTTTATGCTTAATGAAAAATAATTTGGTGGTTACAGACTTGGAGCATATTCTAATCTCCTAACAGGGAACAAGAGCAGTCCAACTTAGCCATTCTTCACTTTCCAGGCACTTGCTGATATAAACCTTGTGTTTTAGATTAAGAAAGCAAATAGACATTTGAAGACATTTTAAATGGCTTGCATAACTTTTTTTTGTTTTGTTTTTGAGATGGAGTTTCACTCTTGTTGCCCAGGCTGGAGTGCAATGGTGCAATCTTGGCTCACTGCAACCTCTCTCTGTCTTCCGGGTTCAAGCGATTCGCTCGCCGCAGCCTCCCGACTAGCTGGGATTACAGGCGCCTGCCACCATGCCCAGCTAACTTTTGTATTTTTTTGTAGAGACAGGGTTTCACCATGTTGGCCAGGCTGGTCTTGAACTCCTGACCTCAAGGTGATCCACCCACCTCGGCCTCCCAAAGTGCTGGGATTACAAGCATGAGCCACCATGCCCGGCCGGCTTGCATAACTTTTTATCACAACAGTTTTTACACATTTATATGGTTGAGATGTGTACAAGCCATTTTGTTTGTGTGTGTGTGTGTGCGCACGCATGTGCACGTATGCTTTAAGCCACAAAATGTTTTACTTTGGGCTTTAAGAACACTGTCTCATACATCACAGTGGCATTTTAAGATGTTTGTTATAAATTTCCAGAATTTGGCTGGGCGCGGTGGCTCACGCCGGTAATCCCAGCACTTTGGGAGGCCAAGGCAGGCGGATCATGAGGTCAGGAGATCGAGACCATCCTGGCTAACACGGTGAAACCCTGTCTCTACTAAAAATAGAAAAAATTAGCCGGGCATGGTGGCTCGTGCCTGTAGTCCCAGCTACTCGGGAGGCTGAGGCAGGAGAATGTCATGAACCTGGGAGGCAGAGCTTGCAGTGAGCCGAGATCGTGCCACTGCGCTCCAGCCTGGGCAACAGAGCGAGACTCCGTCTCAAAAAACAAACAACAACAACAACAACAAAAATTTCCAGAATTTTTACTTTCTGTATAGTAACTTTCACATTGAGGAAGAGCCGTGCTCTGAAGGGAGACAGACCTCCAGTTGGATCCCAGCTGAAAATTCACTGCTCTGTTTCCTCGTATGTTAAAGAAAGAAAAGAATTGGTACTTCCTTTATAGTATTGTTATGGAGATGAAATGAAATAATACATGTAAAGCATTTGAAATAGGAGTGTCACATAGGAAGAACTCCCTAAATGTTAGCCATTATTAATCAACACATGCCCTCAATGTGGTTCATATGTGATGTTGATTATATAGAGCAACTATTTTGGCTGAAGCTCAACAAAATCCAAGAAATTTATTACTTAAGCAAATGTTTATTTGCCGTTCAGCACAGGAAAGATGTTGTCAGCTAGACCTTCCAGGGTTTCCTCAGCTGCCCATTACTTGACACAGTGGCTGTGCTGTGCCATCTTTTACTGGGGGTTGTTAAACTGGTCTCTATGTGTGGTGCAGGTGAAATTCTAGCACAAGAGAAAGTGAGAGTCTCAAGATTAAACCTCCTATTTGCTGGTCTTAGTGTCTGTATCTGTCTTTTAATGTTATAAACTCTTAAATGTAGATTTAGATTCTTGTTTTGGGGTTCTTTGTTTGTTTAAGTATTTGGTTTAAAATACAAATAGAGGCCTGGCTTGGTGGCTCACGCCTGTAATCCCAGCACTTTGGGAGGCTGAGGCAGGTGGATCATGAGGTCAGGAGTTCGAGACCAGCCTGGCCAACATGGTGAAACTCTGTCTCTACTAAAAATACAAAAATAAGCCAGGCATGGTGGTTGGCACCTGTAATCCCAGCTATCCAGGAAGCTGAGGCAGGAGAATCACTTGAACCCGAAGGCAGAGGTTGCAGTGAGCCGAGATTGCGCCACTGCACTCCAGCCTGGGCAACAAGAGCAAAATTCCATCTCAAAAAAATAAATAAATAAAATACAAATAGAAATTCAGGCCAGGCACGGCAGCTCCTTGGGAGACTGAGGCAGGTGGATCACCTGAGGTCAGGCTTTTGATACCAGCCTCACCAATATGGTGAAACACTGTCTCTACTAAAAATACAAAAATTAGCCAGGTGTGGTGGCACATTCCTGTAGTCCCAGCTACTTGGGAGGCTGAGGCAGGAGAATCACTTGAACCCGAGAGGGGGAAGCTACAGTGAGCCGAGATCACACCAATACACTCCAGCCTGGGTGACAGAGTGAGACTTCATCTCAAAAAAAAAAGAAATGTAAATGTTTTTAGATTATAACTAGATTTTGCAAAACACAAATTTTGCTGTATGAAAACTAATCCTCTCCTAGACTCTTGCTTGGATTCCTGGATTACAGAATCAGTACCTTTGTTGCTATTGAATTCCTTCCCCTGTTGTCTTCTCTCTGTACCTGCTTTACAACTCCTTTTCAATTTTACTTCCCATATTTTTAAATGGTTTCCATTTTTTTGCTCTTTGGTTGATTTTCCCCCCAGCTATTACACCTTAGCATTTTTCTTATGTTAACAATATCCATTCTTTCAGGCTGAGCTCCTCCATTACCAGTAGATAGAAGTTTTGTTGTTGGGATTTTTTTTTTTTTTATACTTTAAGTTTTAGGGTACGTGTGCACTGAGCAATATCAAGTATCCTTTATGTACAAACATGTAAATGTTTCATCCCTGGACAGATAGTATTCTTGAAAAAGATAGTAGTTATATTGTTTCAGAACTCTGAATTGATATTTTTGTGTCATATGAGAATATTTTAAGTTGCAATATAAGTATGTATATTTGAATATCTAAAAGAAAATCTTGTAAAAATTGTGCGTATCTTAAATGATAAATATACCTATGAAAGTCTTCATTGTAAAGTGTGCCTATTTTTATGTATTTTATGTAAACTAAGCATATTTTTAATGTAAAAGAAGTAATTTCATTTCTACGGTGATATATTCCAACCTGTATTAAAATTTTATTATTGAGTTAATAACTCTAGATTACATTAACACTGTTTCTTGAAAATAAAGTGCAGTAGGTGTTACTTGTAAAGCATATAAAGGTATTAAGATCATTGCAATTTTAAAAACTTAGCAGATAACATTTCAGAAAAGATAAGATCATGGTGTATTTAACTAGCTAGTTTCACCAAGCATTGCTATCTTTTCAGACATTAAAAGAAAGTGATTATTCATAGCTTTGTTACCAAAGTTTTAAAAACAGTTATTGTTTAAAAGAGCAAACAAATCTCCGTACTGAGATGTATGCTAAAATATGTTTTTAAAACACCTGAATAATTAATTATTCATGTACACCTTAAACAGACTATTTGCACCATCTAATCTTGGATAAAATTGAGCTCTGGCATTTTTTTCATTTTGATAATATCTAATGAGATCTGTAAAGTGATCATCAGGTGTTAATTTCTGTATTTGGATAGGGAGGTTATGTAAGTTATTAGTAGGAAAAATAAAATGAGTTTTTCAGAATTTTCCAGTGAGCCTGAGTGGATCATTAGTGTTATTATCCTCACCTTTGTTTAGCCCTTTCGCATTGATCTTTCAAACCCCTACCACCAGTCCAGTTTTGCTTGGAGCAGATTGTGTTCTCTTTTGGTTCTGAAACAGACAGGCCTCCCTCTGGATACAGATTAGCTCTTGATCATCTAGTAAGGAAAACAAGATCTGAGTCACACAGACGCCAGACTTGGTTTGGCTGGACCTGGACCTAAGGCCATGCTAAGGCTGCTCATGGCTGAGGAACCTCAGAAGCAGAGGTTGGATATGGCACTTGTTTCTCCTTCCACTGAACTGCATAGCAGTCACATTGGTAATATAGTAATTTTGCAACAAAAACCAAGCTATTAGTTAATAGTGACCTATTCTAAACCCTTCCCCCGCTTTTTTTGACATAGGTTCTCTGTCACCCAGGCTGGAGCCAGGTGTTCTAACCCGTTTTTGAAGTGTATTTTAAGCAGGTGAAATAAGTGTTGATACCTGCGGTGAATGAAGTTTGTAATTTGGGATTTAAACATCATGTCAGCAACTTCTTTGTCAAATTTCCATGTTCCTGTGGCTTACTGATTCTAAGAACAGCATCTTTTTAGATGTTTTAATTATCTTTAGAAGATTATTTTCATGTTTGTTCCATGCAGTAATAAACTACTTGGCTAAGTTGAGTGAACTTGTATCTAAAATCTGTGTTACCTTAACTGGGAAATGGAGTATGAAGTAGTTTTAATATGCTATACTCTTGAGGACAATGGCTATAGGAAGTTTAAAAAATAAACTGAATATAGATCAGCTCTCAATCAGCTAGAGAGAAAACCACAATCCCATAGTCACCATGTAGCCAGACTTCGCTTGGCTGGATTCCAGCAAGCCCTGTTTGTTGTTGTTCTTGTCTCTAAAGTAAAATGAAATAGAGAATATCAGCTCAATCACAAAGACACAAAGAACATGGGGAAATGGCTGGGTAGAATGGATGGAAGAAAGTGGGTTGATTCTTGGGGAAGTAGGAAATGGATATGAAGACAGGTCAGGAACCAAGTTTAGGCTTTAGTTGGGTGGCGTAGTTGACATAATAGACGTAAAAACGTCAGCTTGGCATAATGCATATCCAAAACCTGAAACCAGGAGCAGTCATTATTATGGTGCTGGAATCAAGTTAAGTAATAGTTACTGAGGAAATTTTCCAACCGTTGCGGAATCTAATGTCAATTCCTGTTTGGGACAAGGCTCGATACAAGGACTAAGGAAAGAGGAAGCAAGCAGTGTCTACTGGAAAGTGGCCATTGAAGCCACTCTGCACCCAGCCTCACCAGGAACAGACTAGCAGGAAGTTAAGACTGCATATTCTCTCTGTCTTTCAAAATTGGTGTAATGAGTTAACCCAGACTAGTTTTTTTTTTTTTTGAGTTGGAGTCTCTCTCGCTCTGTTGCCCAGGCTGGAGTGCAGTGGCACGATCTTTGTTCACCGCAAGTTCCGCCTCCCAGGTTCACGCCATTCTCCCACCTCAGCCTCCCAAGTAGCTGGGACTACAGGTGCCCGCCACCACGCCCGGCTATTTTTTTGTATTTTTAGTAGAGACAGGGTTTCACTGTGTTAGCCAGGATGGTCTCAACCTCCTGACCTCGTGATCCGCCCGCCTCGTCCTCCCAAAGTGCTGGGATTACAGGCGTGAGCCACCGCGCCTGGCCAACCCAGACTAGTTTTGTGTGTGTTTGTTTTTAACTCTGGTTTCAGCAGATCTTTCTAAATTCAAAGCCATGCCCATTCTAACAAAATATTGCATACATTTTATGGAATAGCTTATGTATCTATAAAGATGAACAATTAGTCCTTCATGAACTCATGCATTTTAGAAGGCATCTCTTTAGAGAGGCTTCTGGAGAAAGGAGCACCATGACTCAGTCCTCAGAAGAAGTGATCTGTGAGGTGGTTACTGTGGTGCTCTTCAGATCCTGAGGGCAAAGGGAAGTGCACTCACGCACCCAGAAATCTGGGAGATGCCTGGAATCACTTGTAAATTTCTTTTCAAGTCTCTTTTTCAGTCTAAAAATCATGCTCATTTTATGTTCTACTTTTTATCATTTCTCTTTTTTTTAATGTAAAAATAATGGCTCTTTCCCTTCTCAATCTGAGTAAAACTAAAGCCCCCAGATGCATGTGCCAGGCATCCTGTAACTTTGTAGTATACCATTGAGTACCCCCAAGGGCACACATAATTAATTTTTTTTTTTTTTTTTTTTTTGAGACGGAGTCTTGCTGTCGCCCAGGCTCGAGTGCAATGGCGCGATCTTGGCTCACTGCAAGCTCTGCCTCCCGGGTTCACGCCATTCTCCTGCCTCAGCCTCCCGAGTAGCTGGGACTACAGGTGCCCACCACCTCACCCAGCTAATTTTTTGTATTTTTTTTTAGTAGAGACGGGGTTTTGCCATGTTAGCCAGGATGGTCTCGATCTCCTGACCTCATGATCCACCCGCCTCGGCCTCCCAAAGTGCTGGGATTACAGGCGTGAGCCACCGCGCCCGGCCATAATCAATTTTAAGAAGTGCTGGTGGGCTAGGCACGGTGGCTCATGCCTGTAATTCCAACACTTTGGGTGGCTGAGGTTGGAGGATTGCTTAAGGCCAGGAGTTCAAGACCAGCCTGCGCAACATGGCAAGACCTTGTCTCTTTGGGGATAAAAAAAGAAGGGATGATGTAAAGAAATTGTTCAGTTTATACAGGATACATTTTCTTAAAGTCAAAATTTGCAGATAACTTAGTTTTAGTGTTTGAGGAAATTCTGTATTTGAACAAACAGAATGCTAAGGATTGTTACCCTGCTTGTCATTTTTATCACCTCAAATTCTTGCCAATTTTAAGGTTTCCCAAGGTTTCTTCTAGGCTTCCCAAATCTAAAATGCAGTTGAGAAAATCATGGAGACACTGTATGTAAATTTAAAAGGAATGCTTTATACAAGATTAAAGGTCTTTCTTTGCAGCTCCCTATAAGGTGAGGAAGTTTAAACATTAATGCACATTTCTCAGTAATTATATACAAATATGATTTTTTTAAAAAAGAGGGTCTTGCTCTGTTGCGCATGCCGGAGTGCAGTGGTGCAATCATAACTCACTGCAGCCTCAACTTCCTTGGCTCACAGGAAGCTCCCACCTCGGCTTCCTGAGTAGCTGAGACTCCAGGTGCTCAGGAGCCTGGCTAATTTCTTAAAATTTATGCGGAGATGGTCTTGCTATATTACCCAGGTGGATCTCGAACTCCTGGCCTCAAGCAATCCTTCCACAACGGTCTCCCAAAGTGCTGGAATTACAGACGTGAGCCACTGCACACAGCCATAAATACAATTTTATGTAGAATAATAGTACTACACTGTGACTCTCAGGTCTGTGTTTAGGGTAAAAGTTGAGTTCAGACTGACTCATTCAGTTAATAAACCTACTTAGTTGTATCAACATCCCACGTTAGTGATCACTTAGCCTTTTATAACACCAGGAATGTATAGTAGTTTAAGAGAATTTGACTAAAAGTTGTATATTGAGAAATAGTACATATGTGTGCATATTTATTTTACTATTAAGCTAAAATGTTCTAGTTCCTATAGCATCATAAGAAAGGGAGGCAGTGTAGACTACTTCTGTATGAGACACGATCTATAGGATCCACAGTTCATTATCTGATCCCTCTGCCTGCCCAGCCTTATCTTCTGCTCTGGGGCCCAATAGTCTCCAGCCTCAGCAACTGCTCATAGTGAGTTTCCTGATATGCCACACAAACGTTATTCTTGTCTCCTTCCTGCTGTACCTGCTATTAGCTCTCTCTAGATGTCCACCTGTTCTCACATGCCTGATTAACTTTGATTCTGCACAAAAATCTTCTCTGGAAAGGCCTCTCTGGGGTCTTGTTATCTGTCCCTGGGCTGCTATGACCTGTGCATACTTCTGCCATATCGTTGATCATACCAGCTAAAGGTGTATTGTTTATTTCCCCCCACTATCTTGGGAGTTCCTCAAGGGCAGGGACTGTGTCTGCCATCTCCATATGTCCCTGATGATGGCTTATTGCCTGCCGATTTGTAGGTCCTTAATACATTTTCTTTTGAAAGAATACTTGCATTTATTTACTTCTTATGAAGTCAGTAGGGAAATATGTTATACACTAGCAGCTTTTACCTTGCAAGGGCAAGGAAATCCAGACTGTGATTGGGATCCTCATTTTTGGAACTGACTGTGCCACTGGGGAGCACGGTGGAGGTGGTGGACTGGGGATAGTCTGCAGGAAGGAAGGAAGTAGGGTGTTACAGAATCTAGCAGCCGGTAGGTTAAGTTGCCATTTCAGGGCAGTACAGGCAGCTATTTGGCAGATGATATATAATACTTTGCTATGAACATTGATATGCCTGTTTCTTTGGTAATGTTCTGAGGAAAACATAATAAAGACAGGCTCCATGCAGCTTTTGTGATAGTTACACTTAAACTATACATCAAGTTGAATTTCTTTTTCTTTAAGATATAATGACTTTTTTATGCTCTTATCTAAATGTGTTTGTAATGATTTTCCTCTAAATCAAGAGTTCCTTCTCAGCTATGAGTTATCTCACTTTTTCTGAGGGTTGCATAATTTTTTGGGCATTCTTACCAGAATTTTGATTATAACAAAGTAATTTTTGTTAGCTATATTCTAGAATGGGCCTGAAAGAGGGAAAGATAATTTTCTTTTAGTCGTGTTTTAGCCAGATTTAACATTCTATTGAATATATTTTTAAGAAAGTTGTAGTACACTAACCATAGAGGTACATATATTAACAATATAAAGGGTCTTTTTTTATTCCAGTTTCACTCAAATATTTTCTATTTGCTTAGTGGTAACCATTATGATTCAGCCAACAAGTGTTTGTGGAGTACCTCAGCAGTCAGCCTTTGTTGAGGACTATTGAAAGAACATGACAGAGTGCTTCTAAGCGTGTTGCTCACTGTGTTAACACTGGGAGAGCAGCACCAGATACCAACATCCTGTAATTTTTTTTTCAACTTTCTATAATTTCTGTGAACGAACCTCCTTCCTGTGTGCAGAAGTATAAAAGGGTGTTTTTGCTTATCTGCCATTAAAGAAAATGGTTGCATTCTTATGTAGAAATAAACTATGATATTTAAAATGTATTAAAATTGCATTAAAATGCTATCTATTCTATGCTGAATTTAACCTAAGCACTGGTATCTCAGTTCCCATCCTAGCAGATTTAATTACTGAAACACCTTACAAGAGTCCTTCATAAACTCACTGAGAAAATGATTGTCATGTGCCAGGCAATCATTTGTTCATCCTTTTAATGAAACCATTTGTTGAACATCTACACTTTCCAGTGCACTGCGCTTAGGATATCCGGGGAGAAACAGCAGCAATCCCTGCTCTCTAGGAGGCCATAGTCTCATGGAAGAAATAAGTAAGCAGATAATTATAACAAGGGACACCAAATTGAAACAGGTTGTAGTAGAGTTGGCATTGAGTTGAGTCTTAAAAGGAATCAGGCATATTGCACCAGATAAAAAGCAAGAAAAGCATGAAGAAAAGAGTTCCAAGCACAGAGAGAAGCATGTGTTAAGGCACAGACAGATGAAAGCATGTCACATGCATGAGCTGCAGGCACTCTGGCATGGGTGGAACATGGAGTGTGAGGAAGCCAGTGTGCAAAGTTGGGGATGCCTTGTTGGACATTCTGAGGAGTTTGGTGTCGGGTTGAAGGACACCTGGGAGCAGGCTGACGGACTGAAGCTGGAGTGTGAGCAGGTGGAGTAAACCACACTGAGAAACCATCCTGACAGCATACAAGGAGTACATTGAGGGAAGCAAGACCAAAAGCAAATTTCTGGTGCAGCCAGAGCCCTCCGGGGGAAATGGGATGCAGGTCAGTCCAGGGTAGTGGAGCTCGACGGAAGGGAACCTGCTGCAGTGAATCAGAGACTCTGTCACAGGAGCCTTGGGGAGCAAACAGTCCTGGGCAGAGGGGAGGCACAGGAACATCATCTCTAAGAAGGTCTGCATTACAGCCTGCAGCATTATCTTCATAAGTAATTAGTTACCCTACTGAACTCATTTCATAATTTGATAATTTAGAGAATGAGCTAGTTTATATCTGTAGAAAAAATTTTTACCAATTTCATAAAATTCAATATTTCTGCAGAATGCCTTTAATCTTTGACCAAAGGCATTTTCTGACCCCTGAATTTTGTTGTCAACTACTTGCATCCTAAATTACTCACACTTATTAGCTCTTTATTTCCTGTCCCATCAGTGTCCAGTAGATTGTGTATATCCCCATTTGTTGTCCTGCTATGCTGATGTGTACTGACTCTGTTGGTAGCATGTCCCATTATTACCCAGTATTATCGGGTATCAGTTTTTCATTAAACTCTGGTTGACTGTTGATGTAACCATTATTTATAATTGAAAAAAACAAAACAAAGCAAAAAAGAGATGACTGTTTTCTCCAATATTTAGGTTAAGTAAATTAATGTACATCTACTAGAATTAGTATGGGGCTATTAAAGGTGGTGGTATATTAGGGCATTCAGGCTGCTATAACAACATGCCTTAGACTGGATAATTTATTAACAACAGAAATTTCTTGCTCGCAGTTCTAGAGGCTGGGAAGTCCAAGATGAAGGTACCAGCAGATTTGGTCTGATGAGGCCCCATTTCTCATAGATAGTTCCTTCCATGTATGCTTGTCAGGTGCAAAGAGTGAACAAGCTGACTGGGCCTGTTTTATAAGGCCACTAATCCCATGCATGAGGGCAAAGCCCTTATGACCTCATCTGTTCCCAAAGGCCCCACTTCTTAATACTATCACGTTGGGGATTAAGTTTCAGCATATGATGAAAATTTGTTGGGGGACAAACATTCAGACCATAGCAGATGGGAATGAAGATGGGGAAAATGGTTGCAGTAGAGTGATAGAAGAGTAAATGAAATGTAATGAAATTGCACCTATGTTTGAGATTTTTAAGGCTTTTAAAAAATATATATGAATAAGACTATAAGGAAAAAAAAACAGAATGCTAACCCTGGGTGTGTTAGGGTGGTAGATTTAAGGGTATATTTTTCTGAGCTTTTCTTTTTGCTCAGCTTTTTGTGGATAATGTGGTTATAATGCTCTCATAATAAAATATGATTATTTAGAATGGCAATATAATTTTTTTCATTGCTACTATTTGGAAGCAAC
The DNA here is from genome assembly GCF_000001405.40 of Homo sapiens. Classification (NCBI taxonomy): domain Eukaryota; kingdom Metazoa; phylum Chordata; class Mammalia; order Primates; family Hominidae; genus Homo; species Homo sapiens. The sequence goes on from NC_000018.10 coordinate 62,956,807, forward strand.
TGTATGAAACATTTTGTGTGAGAGCATTGTGTTGTTTGAAGCCTATTGAAAATATATTTACCCAAAAATACAGGTTTTCATTTTACCCAATCTCTACCCTTCCCCAATCCCTACTAGATTTAAATTCTTTGAGAATTTTTCCAAATAAAAGGAAGATTTTGTCCACTTTTAAGATCCTGAAGTTCTTGAGTATAATCTCCCTCCTCCCTTTTTTTAAAGGACTGAAGAGAGAACAAAACAATTCCCCTCTGATCGTTTCTGTAAGCACTTTTGAAACTTACAATAAGGTACTAATTCAGCCAGATAATTGAATGCTCTCCACCCCATACTATATACTATATATATTCTGCATTGTTGTATCTAGAGCGCTGACCACTCCGTTTCTCTTGTGTATGCTGAGCCTTCTCCACCTAGGTTCCCTGCTCCCTGAACACAAGGGCAGCCCCTCTTTTTACAGTACACCTTATTTAAGCTTTACATCAGTTTTGTGAGAAAGGAGCTATAATTTCTACTTACAGGTAAAACCTGATTTTTTTGTAACCAACATGACCCTTTTGTGATTTTTCTTTCAAGTTAAATTAGGGAGGACCTGTTGGAGAGTCCAGATGTTGATGCCTTGAGGGTAGGATCCATACTTGACTCAGCCCCTTTTTTTTTTTGACACAGATTAGGCAGGCTTACCTGCTCATCTTGCTTTTGCCAATTTCTTATTCAGTTTCTTTTGAAATATCTTCTCATTTTGAGTGTGTGTTACCTGCCTTTTCCTCATTTTACATGTTCTTTTCTTTGTTTTTTGTTTGTTTGTTTGTTTTCTGTTTTGTTTTGTTTTTTTTGAGACAGGGTCTTGCTCTGTCGCCCAGGCCAGAATGCAGTGGTGTGGTCTCTGCAACCTGCACCTCCCGGATTCTTATTTTTTTTTTTTTGGTGAGATGGAGATTTACTCTTGTTGCACAGGCTGGAGTGCAATGGTGCGATCTCGGCTCACTGCATCCTCCACCTCCCAGAATCAAGCGATTCTCCTGCCTCACCCTCTCTAGTAGCTGGGATTACAGGCATGTGCCTGGCTAATTTTGTATTTTTAGTAGAGATGGGGGTTTCACTGTGTTGCCCAGGCTGATCTCGAACTCCTGACCTCAGGTGATACGCCTGCCTCTGCCTCCCAAAGTGCTGGGTTTACAGATGTGAGCCACTGTGCCCGGTGCACCTACCGTATTCAAGTGATTCTCATGTGTCAGCCACCTTGAATAGCTGGGATTACAGGCTTGCGCCACCACCTGGCCAATTTTTGTATTTTTAGTAGAGATGGGGTTTCACCATGTTGGCCAGGCTGGTCTCAAACCCCTGACCTCAAGTGATCCACCCTACTCGGCCTCCCAAAGTGCTGGGATTATAAGCGTGAGCCTCTGTACTCAGCCTTCTTTGTTTTTTGTTTTGTTTTAAGAAATTCCTTTAAAGTTCATTTTAATGTTTGAGCTATAGTTCTCATGGCACGGAGATTTTGTGAGCAATAAGAAAATCTATTAGGATTTTTTAGTTAATGCTTAATTTTAAACGTGGAGATAAAATTAAGTGAAAAATATAGGAAGAATAAAGAACATGGATTTTCTGTTATTCAAAGAAAATTAAAAAATTTTTTTTGCATTTAGCAAAATCTATTTTAAATGTTTATGGCAAAGTAACAGATAAGCCTCCTTTTCCACATTTGTCTAGTGTATTATAATGAATGGTCAGACTGATTTGCATGCAAAGAGTAGGAGTATAGAATTCCCTGAAGAGCTTCTCTAGACCATCTCTTTCTTGTTTGCACTTGTTCTTTTTTCAGTGTGTGGACCTGAGCTGTAATGAGCTAAGTGAAGTCACATTACCAGAAAACCTGCCTCCCAAACTGCAGGAGCTAGACCTGACTGGAAACCCGCGCCTTGTCCTTGATCACAAAACCCTGGAACTACTGAAGTAAGTATTCTGTAAAGCACTGTATCCCCATCATTGTCCACTGGCAATGGGATTCATATCTTAGTGAAAATGGGAAACAAAATATGAAGCATCATTGACTTGTTAGCTGTGTTAACACACACAACAGGATATACAAGATGCAGGGAAGCAATGAACAACCAAGATGTAACTTAAATCTCAGTAGTCACTGATAACGTGGTTGTGACAGTTAATGCAAATATTAAGGAAGGATTTTAAAAGAGATGGATGATGTAGGGAAAATTAACAGTGTAGCGCTGAAATCCAGGTTATTTAAATAAAACCAAGAATGCGGAGTAGTTAGATCCTACCAATAGTTAGATCTTCACGGTTTGGGAAAGAGGTCATTGATGCTGTTTCATTCTTGATATTGATAAAAGAATTAGTGGTTGGAGTTTTCTATGTAAAACCTTAAAGGTCTGCAGTAGGAAAGATGTCTTAATGAGAATGTTCATCATGGAACTCTAAATGTCTATTAAGAATTAAATAATGTTCCACAATTGAATATTACAAAGCCATTTAAAATTATTTAGAGCTATATTGCTAACTCAAAAGATCTTTACAGTATATTAAGTGAAAATATTAATAAAATTCACAATGAAGTTTTATAGTATAATTCAATTTTTGCATTATAAATTTGTGTGCATTGGGTATATGTACATGTGTATGCATACACACATCTAGAAAATGCCTGAAAGGATATATAAAAAGAGTTAAAGTGGTGTTATTCTCTGGATAATAGTATTATGGGTAGTGTTTATTTTCTTCTTTAAACTTTTCTGAATTTTCAGAATTTTTTGGGGTATATCAGTAGCAGTTTTAAACATTGTCATACATTAGTCATTATGCATGCCATATATGTTTATTCAATGTTGGAATATTTGTTGCCGAAAGTCATCTTCCATTATCTTAAGAGAATCAGAAAAGAACGGTAGAATTTTGGTGACTGGTCCGTTAATACTATCCTAGGCTGTAGTGCAAACCAAAGTTTGAAAAGCACTTAAAGTGATTCCTGGATAGAATTGGCCTAATTAGTGCCTAATTTGTTGGCATTTTAGTACTTGATGAGAAAATTAATTTTGATACATAGTTGAAAAACACTGCCTGAGTGTCCTGAGGAAGGCGTAGAGACCGAGGTTCTCTCCATTGTTGATCACATGTATGAAACCTCGGCCTAAACCCCTCCATCTGTCCACACCTATAAGATGAGAAAAAAAATGGCCTACGTGATCTTTAAGGTACTTTTTAAGATCAAGAAAACATGGATTATCAAAATACATCATCTTTAAACAGATAGCTTTTGAGTATTTTTTATACGTAGGATACAAAAATTTTTGAGCATTTTTTTACAAATAAAATTTAAAAATAATTGCACCAAAATTTGTTAATAAATGGAAGTAGCCACTTAGAGAAAAATTAAAGTTGCATTCTTATATCACACCAAAATCCAGCTGAAATAGTTGAATCTGTAAAATTAAATGATTTTTAAAAGTAATAAATCATATGAATATCTTCACAAGTTAGAAAAAGACTTTTTAGGCCAAGAAATGAAGGGAGTAAGTCACAAGAAAAGAAATCAGTACATGTAGATTGGTTTCAATATTTATGTCGTATATGTTTACACGTAAATATACTTTTTATACATAAAAGTGTTAAATGTCTATTTCCTATTTCAGAAACTCTCAAGAGTAGATATAAATGGCAAATGACAAACTAGGAAGAGAAATACAAAAAATAAAAGCATTAATATGCTTACTAGAAAATGTTCTTATATGATAAGAAAAGTACTCAAAATAAACCAAGGACATTAACATTTAACAGATGCAGTACAAATAGTTACATGAAAAGATGTTCAAACTTATAAGTATATCAAGCAAATACAAAATAAAATATTTGAATAACATTTCCCCCCTCAAATTGGTGCTGCTGAAGGAGTATAATTTGGTATTACACTCTTCTTAAAAGCAGTTGTCGTACGTATCAAGCTTTTTAAAATATTCACTTACTCAGACCAAAGTTTCCTATAGCAAAAAATCATAATACTCTTAAAATGTTACCTTCTGTTTAACATCTGGAAGGTTGTGGATTCTTAATGACTTGGAAGATTTTCCGTATATTATTTGCACTTTTAGAGGGTTGGTTTGTTTTATGTGAGCCGATTAAGTGCATATGAGGACTCTTCTGTGAGATTGAGCTGTGGTTCACAGAACTCTGACTCATTTAAAGATATACAAGATGGCCGGGTGTGGTGGCTCACGCCTGTAATCCCAGCACTTTGGGAGGCCGAGGTGGGTAGATCACCTGAGGTCAGGAGTTTGCAACCAGCCTGACCAACATGATGAAAACCCGTCTCTACTAAATACAAAAAAATTGGCGGGCGAGGTGACGCATGCCTGCAATCCCAGCTACTCAGGAGGCTGAGGCAGGAGAGTCACTTGAACCTGGGGGCGGAGGTTGCAGTGAGCCGTGTTACGCTATTGTACTCCAGCCTGGGCAGCAAGAGCGAAACTCCGTCTCAAAAAATAAAAAATAAAGATATACAAGAGTCAGCATTCATTTCACTTCAGATAGCTGCTCAGCCACACTGTGTTCAGCTAGGTAGAGAAGAGAAATTGCTGCTTCACTAGAAAGAATTATTTGTGTGCTGGGGAGAGGGGGCAGTTAAGAGTTATTTTTTTTTTCCTTTAATAATCAGGCTAGGAAATGGAATTATTTCTCTGAAGACTTTGTGTTCTGTAAAAATTATAAATGCCTTTAAAAATGAGCCTTCACTTTTCCCTAGACTTCAGGATGGTATCTAAGAGCCTTAGGATATGTCTTAAGAAACCTATTGTATTGCTGACTGTTTTAGATGGATAAAATGGAGTACCAGGTCATATGGAGAGCAAATAATGGAGGACTGTCCTTTTTTTTGTTAATGCCTCTTTTATTTATAGAATTGAAAACTTTGAAAAAAAGATTTAGCTCCAGCCTTATTGTAAAACAAGGTATTAACTTGATTTGGGGATTTTCTATTGACACTATGATTTATGTTTTTCAAGACAAGATGGAAAGTAAATGTTTGCTAGTAATTGAGAGTAGAAACTTTTCTTTAACCATATATTTTTAAATTTCAGAAAAATTGCCATCAGTTATTTCTAGTTACAAAGGGAATACAAGTTAGATATTGATTTACTTCTTAGAGCTTTAACTGGTTCTTAGGAAGGATATACAGTATTTGTTAGATTTGGGAGTAATGAGTACCAACAGATAATTTTAATTCTTGTGGTCATGACCAGAACTATGTAGGTGTTGCTTCAGTTGTCAGCAGATAATACATATACTTTTTCCCTTGTTTAAATAATAATGAGGGGGAAACTTAGTGGCAATTTACAAGTAAGAGGACTTATTTCACCTTGTGGTAGCCAGCCTTTTAACAGACTACTTTACATCTGTTAATGACTCCCTGTTTAGGGGCACAGAATGCTTTCTAGAGGCTGATTTTATTTTATTTTATTTTATGTTCTTTTATGTTATGTTATGTTATGTGTTATGTTATTTATTTTTTGAGACAGAGTTTCGCTCTTGTTGCCCAGGCTGGAGTGCAGTGGCACAATCTTGGCTCACCGCAACCTCCACCTCCCGAGTTCAAGTGATCCTCCTGTCTCAGCCTCCCGAGTAGCTGGAGTTACAGGCATGCACCACCATGCCCAGCTAATTTTTTGTATTTTTAGTAGAGACAGGGTTTCTCCATGTTGGTCAGGCTGATCTCGAACTCCCGACCTCAGGTGATCCGCCCGCCTTGGCCTCCCAAAGTGCTGGGATTACAGGCGTGAGCCACCGCGCCTGGCAAGGCTGATTTTTAAGAAATGCTATTTGAGAATTTGTCCCTTTAGTATTTCTGTTTTGGGTCCTGTTGGATCAATTATGGCATATGAGGGCTGAGGAGAGGTAAGAAATCTCCCAGTTTAAATACATACAGTTAACTTGTAATTTATTAAATACCCTTCATTTGCTTTGTAATTTTACATATATGTTTTATTTTATGATATTAGTCTTAGCATACTTGGCTATACCCGTGAGGAGAGTATTGGAAGCTCCAGGGAACTGCAAGTCCATGATAATATTTGGAGGGGTTATATGGACAGAAATTGGATTTGGAGATGAATATTGCAGAATTCTCTCACATCATCTAAATGCAGTATAATTGTGGCTTAGGTGTTTTGTTGTTGTTCTTTCTGAGTATTCATGGTGTAAGAATACACCCATCCTATTACTTAAGTTTTGTTTTCTCATGCCAAGGCTGAGAGCTGTCCTTGTCATTCCCAGGAGAGAGCAGTCATCTAAAGTGGAATGTGTGAAAGTCTCTAATAGCTGCTTTACGATGCTCATTAAAACTAATTTTCGTGCTCTGTATATATGCCCCTCAGTTTTCATTACAACGAGTAGCTGGTTCTTGTTGCTGATAAGTATTTCAGACACATTAAACGCAGTAAGAAATGGTAAGTACAGAGTGTTTAACAGGTGTATTTTTTATTTCTTGGATAAAGGTAGCAATTTGCACACATTTGGTTTTAATGATTCCTGTTCCCTCCCTGTTTCTCTTGTTAGTAATATCCGCTGTTTCAAGATTGATCAGCCTTCTACAGGAGACGCTTCCGGAGCCCCAGCTGTATGGAGTCATGGTTACACTGAAGCTTCGGGGGTAAAAAACAAGTAAGTCAGATGAAACTTTAGAGGAAGAAGTGCCTCCTGCCTGTCTCACTCCTTTAGTTGGGTAGAAAGAAACTCAGTGCTGTAGCACACACTTTTCTCATGTAAAATTTCTTTGAGTATTGCAAGTTTCCCCAGAGTGAGGCTCCCTCACGACTTATGTTTGAACATTAAGGGAAGGCCCTGTTTGGAATCACATAGTCTCCCTTAGTAGGAGACGTTGCTAGGATACAAGGTAACTGACACATTATATCTATGTAAGACTCCAGTGTTTAGAAAAGGCCTAAGTATTGAAATGCATCCCTGCTCCTTTGAAAAGCTCCTTTATCTTCCTCTGACGCTTGTTTACCAAGCAAAACAGAGATAGTATTAAAGGAGAAGTAGCTTAATTGTGCATATTTAAGATCACTCATGTTATTGACTATGGAGCTGTTTTTACAATCTAAATTAGCTTGGCAGCAGTTTGATGTCCATTGTCTGTAATGTCATCTGCTTGTCTTGCCACCAGGACTTGCCCATCTTAATATCTTTTTCTTCTCCATTTTCCCCACCCTTCCCTCTCTTAGATACAGATATTGATTTTTCCTGAAAAATGTAACCAGGCTTTTCAGGCTTGCTTGTATTATATGAAGAGGTGCTAATAATTAGTACCTAGACAGGTAAAGAATCCTGTAAATTAGAACGGCCATAATTTAATTAGCTGAAGTATAAGAACACAGAAGTATTGTAAGGAAGAACAGAAAGTGGAGGTAGATCTAATAATAGCTAACATTAGTATTCAACCCTGGGCACACATTAGAATCAGTAAGGTAAGGAAAGTTTTTAAAAAGTCTCCCAACCTAGACTCATTAAATCAGAATGTTTTAAAATCTCCCCCAGGTGATTCTAGTATGGGTCTAGGCTTGAGAACCACCGACTAGCTGAATACTCTTCATAGAAAATAAAAGGTTTGGAATTGTTGCTGCCATTCTGCCTGCTTTTCTTTGGAACAGAAAACAGCATCAACTCAAATTCTGGATCTGACACATTGATCTTTTCCCCTTTCCCTAAGGTGTCATTTGGCCTTGTGCTCTCTAGAGAAGAGTTAACAACTCTGTTCTCTTTGCTCAGAAAAGGCAGAATAACCCGAGGAGGTGTGCCTCAGTTCTGCCTGGGCTCCAGCTACTCCCTCATTTCCATGGACTTTGCACAGTATGTCATTGTGTTGGGACAGAGGAGAATTCATATATTCTTTAGAGCACTCAGAGTTTCTTTCTGGAGATCATTACTTTTTAGATCAAAGGATCTTTTATGTCTTCCTTACAAACACCAGTAAATGAAACTGCTCATTTCTGAACACTAATGTGAAATCTAAGATTAGTTTTTAAATATCTCTGTATATTAATATCTAATATCTACTCGTGTCTTAATGGAGCAAGTAACCAATTAGATCTGGGTGGGCTTTTGGGCATAATTCCCCCTTCCACAATTGTGTCACATAGTACCATTTGTGTACAGCAAAGTGCACTGCAACCCTTTGAATTCTTGCAAAGTGAACACACCTTCAGACCACCACCTGTATCCAGAAATAAAAAATGAACAGAGTCATTGAAAGAGAAAAATAAATAAATAAATACAAGAAATAGAAAATGGACAGCATCCCAGTAGTCCCAGGCTATGCTTGGCCCTCCCTTTATATTTTCCCTTGCTTTTCTTACCCTTTGGTTTTGCCAATAAAAGTTTCTCGAGAGGTTTTTGTTTGTTTTTTGGTGTTTTTTGTTTTGTTTTTGTTTGCATTGTCAATAGTTATTTAAACACAGAGTTTGCTGCTTGCCACCTTAAAAGAAGGGGAAAACTGGTTGTCCTCTCTCCGAATCTCAATAGACATCTATTCTCTTCTCTCCCTCCCTCCTTTTCTCTGAGGTGTAGTATTGCCTTCCTGTCAGGTCATTTCAGATCCTTTGGGGAAACCCAAGAGGGAGCTACAGTTGGATAATCAGCCTCTTTTTTTTTTTTTTTTTTTTTTTTGAGATGGAGTTTCACTCTTGTCGCCCAGGCCGGAGTGCAATGGCGCAATCTCGGCTCACTGCAATTTCTGCCTCCCGGGTTCAAGTGATTATCCTGCCTCAGCCTCCCAAGTAGCTGGGATTACAGCGCCCACCACCATGCCCGACTAATTTTTGTATTTTTAGTAGAAACAGGGTTTCACCATGTTGGCTAGGCCAGTCTTGAACTCCTGACCTCAGGTGATCCACCTGCCTCAGCCTCCCAAAGTGCTGGGATTACAGATGTGAGCCACTACTCCCAACCTAGCCTCTTCTTTAGGTTAAAAACCAAACAGGAAACTTCACCAGAAAAGAAATGCTAAGAATGATCACCACTATACTTTAAAAAAAAAAAAAAGAAAGAAAAAAAAACTACGTTACTGTATTTTTTTTTCTCTTTCATACTACCTCATTCCAATTAGCAAGGGGAGCCTACAGAAGGAAGACGGAATAAAATGACTTTAAAATTTAACTTTGCCACTAATTGCCATATAATTTTGGATAACTTGTTTTTCATAATAAATAGAGGCAAGAATTTCAAAGGATTGAGATAGAAGCCAGGTTGCCTGGCTTTGCACCTGGGTTCTATACTTTCTTGCTGTGTGACCATGGGCAGTTTCTCAGTCTCTCTTTAGCTAAAATAGGAAATAAGAAAAAACTACCTATCCTCATGGGGTTGTTACAGGATCACGTGAGTTAATATGTATGACATACTTAGAACAATGTATGCCATATGATAAACCCTATTTAAGTGTTAACTACTAATATTATTAATGATAATGGTCATTACTATTATTATTTATCCCTGAGCTCCTTAAAGGGAGGGATTATATTTTTAAGTTTATATATCTGGTATGTAGCCATGATACATAGCAGGTGCTTAATAATTTTTTCTTTTTATTAATTTATATATGTAAGAGGTATAATCTATATTCAGTAAAATTCACCCTTTTTAATGTACAGTTCTACAAATTTTTTTTTTTTTTTTTTTTTTTGAGACGGAGTCTTGTGCCGTTGCCCAGGCTGGAGTACAGTGGTGCAGTCTGGGCTCGCTGCAAGCTCCACCTCCCGGGTTCACGCCATTCTCCTGCCTCAGCCTCCTGAGTAGCTGGGACCACAGGCGCCCGCCACCACGCCCGGCTAATTTTTGTATTTTTAGTAGAGACGGGGTTTCACTGTGTTAGCCAGGATGGTCTCGATCTCCTGACCTCATGATCCGCCCGCCTCGGCCTCCCAAAGTGCTGGGATTACAGGCGTGAGCTGCCGTGCCCGGCAGTTCTGCAAGTTTTGGTAAAAGAATATCATCATGTGTAACCACCACTGCAGGTTATAGACCAGTTCCTTCACCTACCAAAATTTACCCATGCCCATTTTTGTCAGTTCTTCTCCCCAACCCCTGTCCTTGGCAACTCCTGATCTGTTTTTTAATCTCATTAATTTTGCCTTTTCCAGGATGTCCTATAAACAGAATTATATAGTATATGGCCTTCTCAGTCTGACTTCTTTCCCATCACATAATGCGTTTGAGATTCATTTGTACTATTGCATGTGTCAGTAGTTCGTTTCTTTTCATTGCTTTTTATTGCTGAGTAGCATTCCATAGCATGGACATATTATGGTTTGTTTTTGTTTTACCCGTTCACCATTTGAAGGATGTTTAGATTGTTTCAAGTTTTTAGCAATTGCGAATGAAAGTGCTACAGGTTGCAAACAGTTACATACAGGTTTTTTATGAATGCTTGTTTTCATTTCTCTTGGAGAAATGCCTAGGGATAAGGATTGCTGGGTCATATGGTAAGTGTATATTTACTTTTGTAAGAAACTGCCAAACTGTTTCCAAAGTGCCTGTATCATTTCGCGCTCCCAACAGCAATGTCTAAGAGTTCCAGTAGCTACACATCCTTACCAGCAGGTGTTATTGTCAGGTTGTTGTTGTTTTGGCCATTCTAATAATAATATCTCATTGTGGTTTTAATTTGCATTTCCCTACTCTTTCCATATGTTTATTTATCATCCATATACCTTCTTTGGTGAAAACTTGTTCATTCACAATCAAATGTGATGTTAGCTCTCGGTATTTTTGTAGACACCCTTTATCAAGTTAATTCTCTTCTATATCTAGTTTGCTAAGATTTTATAATGAAATCTTAGTTTTTATAATAAACAGATAACACATTTTGTCATAGACTTTTTCTGTATCAATTGAGATGACTGTATGGTTTTTTTTCTTCTTCAGGCTGTTGATGTGTTTAATTACATTGATTGATTTTAAAATGTTAAATACACTTTGCATTCCAAGTATAAATGCATTTGGTCACGATGTAGTATATTTTTCTTTTTTTTTTTTTTAGACAGCGTTTCACTCTTATTGCCCAGGCTGGAGTGCAATGGCACGATCTCGGTTCACCGCAACCTCCGCCTCCCGGGTTCAAGCAGTTCTCCACCTCAGCCTCCCGAGTAGCTAGGATTTCAGGCATGCGCCACCATATCTGGCTTATTTTATATTTTTAGTAGAGACAGGGTTTCTCCATGTTGGTCAAGCTGGTCTCTAACTCCTGACCTCAAGTGATCTGCCCTCCTCTGCCTCCCAAAGAGCTAGGATTACAGGCGTGAGCTACCACACCCAGCCTAAAGTATTATATTTCTTACATGCTGCTGGATTAGATTTGCTGTTAATTTGTTGAGGATGTCTATATTCCATGGTGGATATTAGTCTGTAGCTCTCTTGTGATGTCTTTGGGTTTGGTATCAGGGTAATGCTGGCCTCATAGAATGAGTTGGGAAGTGTTTCCTCATCTTGAGTTTTCTGGAGGAGTTTGTATAAAATTGGTAATATAGCCTTCTTAAATATTTAAAAGAATTCACCAGTGAAGCCATCTGTTCTGGGTTTTTTTTAACCTACAATTTCTTTAAATAGGATTATCTCTTTCTTCTTGAACAAACTTTGGTAATTTGTGTCTTTCAAGGAATTAGTCTGCTTTATCTAGTTTTCAAATGTATTAACATAAGCCTGTTCATAATATCCCATTATTAGGCTTTTTTTTTTTTTTTTTTTTTTTTTTGAGATGGAGTCTCACTCTGTCACCCAGGCTGGAGTGCAGTGGCACAATCTCGGTTCACTGCAACCTTTCCCTTCTGGGTTCACGCAATTCTTCTGCCTCAGCCTTCTGAGTAGTTGGGACTGCAGGTGTGCGCCACCACGCCCAGCTAATTTTTTGTATTTTTAGTAGAGACGGAGTTTCACCATGTTGGCCAGGCTGATCTCGAACTCCTCAAATGGTCCACCCGCCTCAGCCTCCCAAAGTGCTGGGATTACAGGCATGAGCCACCATGCCCAGCCCATTATTATGCTTTTAAAATCTGTAGAATCTGTAGAGATGTTCCTCCACTCTCTCATTCCTAATGTTGGTAATTTGTGTTTTCTTTTTCCTGATCAGTTTGATTTGGTTTATCGATTTTATTGATATTCTCAAAGAACTAGATTTTTTGTTTTACTGATATTTCTCTATAATTTTTCTGTTTCACATTTCTTATGTTTTAATTTTTGTTTTATGGGTTTTTTGGGTTTTTTTGTTTGTTTTGTTTGTTTGTTTTTAAGAGACAGGGTCTTGTTCTGTTGCCCAGGCTGATCTTAAACTCCTGGCCTCAAGCAATCCTCCTGCCTTGGCCTCTCAAAGTACTGAGATTACAGGTGTGAGATATCACACTCAACTGCTTTTCTTATTTTTATGATTCCCTTTCTTCTTGCTTTGGGTTTGTTATGTACTTCTTTTTCTAGTTTCTTTAAATGGAAGCTTAGATTATTGATTTGAGACCTCTAATTCTGTAATATAAGCATTTAGAGTTGTAAATTTTTTTCTAAGTAATTTCACTAATATCGTTGGAGAACACGCTTTGTATGACTTGAATCCTTTAAACTTATTTAGACTTGATTTTTGGTCCAGAATCTTACCTATCTTGGTAAAAGTTCTGTGTGCATTTAAAAAAAAAAATTGCTGTTGGGTATGGTGCCAGTTAACTCAAGTTGGTTGATATTGTTGCTCAAGCCTCCTACCAGTTTTCTGTCTTCTTCTTCTGTTGATGATTGAGAGGCTATGAATATGGATTTGTCTGTTTCTCCTTGTAGTTCTGTCAGTTTTTGCTTCATACATCTTGAAGCTCTGTTAAGTATGTAAACATTTAGAATGATGTAGCCTCTTGATGAACTGACCCCTTTATCATTATGACTCTCTATTCCTATAATATTCTTTGTTCTGAAATATACTTTGTCTGATATTAACATAGCCATTTTAACTTTCTTTTGATTAATGTTAGCATGGTATACCTTTTAAAAAATCCTTTTACTTTTAACCTATTTGTCTCATATTTAAAATGGATTTCTTATAGGCGGCATATAATTAGGTCTTTTTTATTCAGTCTGAATTTTTTGTCTTTTCGGTAGTGTTAAGGCCTTTATATTTAATGAAATTATTGATATGGTTAGGTTTAAACCTTCCACCTTACTATTGTTTTCTATTTGTGCCATCTGTTCTTTATTTCCTTTTTCCTTTTTCTTCATTCTTTTGGATTATTTGTTATGATTTGATTTTATCTTTATTTATTCTTATTCTACCGTGTGTCTCTGTGTGTACATGTGTGGCTTGTTTAGAGTTTATAGTGTGATATTTAACTCATTACTGTTTACCTTCAAGTAATAGTAATGTCATTTCACATATAAGAACCTTGCAAATATGTACTTCTCCTTCTCCTGTCCTGGCCTTTATGCTGTTGTTGTCATATGTTCTGCTTCCATCTATGTTATAACCTCCAAAATACATTATTGTTATTTTTACTTTAGTTATTTTCTAAAGCAGTGTTTCTCAACTTCAATACCATTGACATTTTGAGCCAGATAATTCTTTGTTGTTGCCTCCCAATACCCATTAGAATATTATTGAATATTCTATTAAGAATCACTGTTCTAAGGTGATTTTTAAAATAAGAAAATGAGGCTGGGCATGGTGGCTCATGCCTGTAATCCCAGCACTTTGAGAGGCCGAGGCGGGCGGATCGCTCGAGATCAGGAGTATGAGACCAACCTGGCCAAGATGGTGAAATGCTGTCTCTACAGAAAATACAAAAATTAGCTGGGCGTGGTGGCGGGTGCCTGTAATCCCAGCTACTCAGGAGGCTGAGGGAGGAGAACCACTTGAACCCGGGAGGCAGAGATTGCAGTGAACCAAGATCACACCACTGCACTCCAGCCTGTGTGACAGAGTGAGACTCCATCTCAAAAAAAAATGAAACAAAAAATGAGGAAATGTTTCTGTTCACTCACCTGGCTGTCATTATCGTTGTGCTTCATTCTTTTGTACAGTTCCGGATTTCCATCTAGTGTCATTTTCTTGTGCCTCAAGGATTTCCTTTTCCATTTCTTTAGTGCCATCCTGCTGGTGGTAAATGCTTTTATTTGTGCATCTGGAAATGTCTTTATTTCCCCTTAACTTTTCAGAGCTGTTTGTACTGGCTTAGAAATCTAGGTTGTTTTCTAGTTGTTTTCCGTTGGTACGTTCAAGACGTTGCTCCACTGTCTCCTACCAGGTTTCCAGGGAGAAGCCTGCTGTTGGGCACGTCCTGGTTTCCCCTGCTCTACCTCCCGCCTTTGTTCCTGGTTTCTAGCAATTTGATTTTGATGTGTCTCAGTTAAGTCTTCTTCATGTTTGTCTTGCTTGCAGTATCTGTAGTTTTATAATTTTCTTCATATTGGAAATGTTTTCAGCCATCAACTCCTCAAAAGTGTTATCTGTCTCTTCTTTCGAAGACTCCAACTCCCTATAGTATAGTAGGCTGTTTGAAGTTATCCCACCACTCACTAAGGTCCTGGCCTTATTTTTTTTTTTTCCCAGTCTTTTTTTTTTCCTCTCTGTTTCATTTTGGACAGTTTCTGGGACACAGTTGCTTGGAAACAGTTTGATTCTTTTGAGTTTGGAGTGGAGACAGTCTCCAAACTTTCCACATTTGCCGGGAACCACTATCCTCCTCCAGTGCACTGACTGTGGACTCTGGCCACCTTGTCCTCCTTCAGCCCCCAGCTCCATCTCCTCAATGCACGGAGACCACAGCCTCCACCTGGGTCTTCCTCCCTGTGCTGCAGCCTGGACACTTCCCCAGGAGGAAGCTGGGCGGGAAGCAGGCTCTCTCCAGGATTACTGACCTGTGCTCTTATTGTCCAGTTGGGGTTTGTTTGTTTGTTTTTCCTGCCTTTTAAAAAGGTCATTTGAAGGCTGGACATAGTGGCTCACACCTGTAATCCCAGCACTTTGGGAGGCTGAGGCTGGCAGATTGCTTAAGCTCAGGAGTTCGAGACCAGCCTGGCCAACATGGTGAAATCCCATCTCTACTAAAAATACAAAATTAGCTGGGCATGGTGGCATACTCCTGTAGTCCTAGCTACTCAGGAGGCTGAGGTGGGAGAATCGCTTGAGCCCTAGAAGTGGAGACTGCAGTGAGCCGAGATCACACTACTGCACTGCAGCCTAGGTGATAGAGGGAGACCCTGTCTCAAAAAAAAATAAAAATAAAAATAATTTTTTAAAAGTCATTTGAGGCTTTTTCTGTATTTGTACATGCTTTTCATATAGGTTTCGTCTATTTTTCCCAGTGTTTTAGTTTTCTATTTTGGCTGGATGTGGAGATTGTGGTTAATAACTGCTTATTGAATGTATGTGTAGATATGGATTCATAATCTTCTCTTATTTCCCATGCCTCTTTTTCCCCTTCTGTCACTGACATTTAAAAATAAACTCATCAGAAGAGAAGCATGTAGGAAGGCATGTGTGAAGCATAATTTGTGCTCATCCTTCTCTGCTTATCAAAATTGGCTGTTGGAAATTAGCTGGAGTCAGTTTACCTGCCCTTAATCTGTCTGGAGTCATGAAGAAAGAGACAAAACTGAGTTAGGAAAATCTTGAAATAAGCACTGGGCTGGGCCTGGAGCAGGAGGATGAGTGGACTCAGCACAGAAGTGTGGTTGCCTTGCAGGTTGTGTGTCGCAGCCCTGTCGGTGAATAACTTCTGTGACAACCGCGAAGCCCTGTATGGTGTGTTTGACGGAGACCGGAATGTGGAGGTGCCCTACCTTCTCCAGTGCACTATGAGTGACATTTTGGCTGAAGAGCTGCAAAAAACAAAAAACGAAGAAGAATACATGGTCAATACATTCATTGTCATGCAAAGGTAAAACTCAGAGTTCCTGCTTACCTGCTGTGTGTTTTCTTGCTCTTTGAGTGTTTATCCTCTGTTTAGAAAAGCAGGTGCCCAATGGTCTCCAAGCCATGTTTTTTGACTATGAGTACCAAGATGCATTCAGGCAAGTTTGGTGTTGCCCAGGCATCAGGAATGGTGCTCCGGTTTGAGACATACTGATGTTCAGACAACTTTGTAGAAGGCTCAGACAATGACAAGGAATTAGTTTCTCTGAGAACTGGACCTCACTGGCCTGTGTTGATTGCAGATTTTCATCAGATTGTTTGCAATGCCATTTCTCCTCCCAAATCATGTGAGCTGTAGGGGCTTTTTAGACTTTCTGTTGTGGGGACCTCTCTTTGAAATGGACCGTTTCTATCCTAGTTTCTTGGCCCTTATGAAATACTATCACTGGTTTGAGATAGTGCAAACCTTTGTGAAATCAAGATGGTCAGATTTTAGCCCAAGAGTTAAATCATTCTTTATATTTTGTTTTCTCCTTTATTAAATGTTCAAGACAGTGTTACTGGCAGAATCCTAGGCCATAGCCTGGAGTTGCCACCAGCAGCAGAGCTTTAGGTTGCTGTAGAAATTGTGGAATATTGTTTGTAACTCTTAGAGGAATGAGGATTCCTTCATTCAGAGAATTGTTTATTCTTACCACCTTCATGGCTTTCTAGGTAATAATGGAATTGCCTGTCTATAAGTATTGTGCTGCAGACTCACTCATGTGGGACCCAGGAGTGATGAATGTACTGGTATTTGAGGTCATGAGAGCAGTCATGGTGTTTTATCCTTATCTGCTCTTTCTCTCCCTTGATATTCTGCCAGAGCAAGTAGCTTTGTTAGAGGGGTAGAAGTGGTGTCTGGGGAGGAGTGTTCAGAGCAGCCTTTACAGTGATACCTGCATCACAAATGGTTCCTCTCAGAGAGCTTGGTGGAGGCAAGCCTGGGGTGGTTCTTGCTGCTACACTCACCCCTGACTTTCAGATTCTCAGTGAGCATATACAATTAGCAACTGAACAATAATGGCTAATATCCAGCAAGCCCTTAATATGTACCAGTCATTGTTCTAAATTACCTTATGTGTCATAAATTGTTACCAGTTAGCTGGGTAATGTTACTGAAAGTGATGTACAGTGAGGTGAAGCACAGTGCCTACGGGCTAATAGGTAGTGCAGCCAGGACCTGACCTCAGGTTGTGAGACTCCCTTCAAAGGATGTTGTAACTAGCAGGCACATCAGCTTTCCTGTTTTTACCACCCTTTTGTTCTAGAAAAACAGCAAGCATGTATCATATGCACACACATACACATGTGCATACAGACCACAGCACAAACACATCCCTTCACAACCCCCAAAAGGTCTGCTTTTTATGCACCCTCAAGCACTGGGTAAGAATTAAAAACTGAGAACCCCAGTCTCGGATTACTTGCTATACTTTTTACAAATCACTGTGCCTGTGAAAGGGAGAAAGTAGAGATGCCTTGGAAGGGTCTAGAGCCAAATATCTGAAAGTTGGAGTTTAGGAACCTAAACTATAGGCCCTTCTCCAGGGTCTTTTGTATGTCTCTTATTTTCCCTATCTGTTAAGAGGGTACGGGTTGTGTGGTGAGCTTTTGGTCCTTAGGGGAACTGGTCTTTGTGCGGGATTTCCTAATGCATGCAAGTAGGCAGCCCTGGTTTCCATTGCTCTTCTTGCCAGTTGCTTACCTTACACACGTGATAGGAGCAGACAGTACCTGAGGGTCTGCCCTTGTAAAACGGGAGGCTGTTTTTCTTAACTTTCTTGCTCCTGTACCACTCAGGAACAGCAGGGGCCTGGGCAGTGTTACCATTTGTGGGGCTTGCCATAGTTGTTCATGAGGCCATGGGAGCAATAATGGTCTTTTGTCCGTCTCTGCCATTTCTCTCCCTTGATAATCTGCCAGAACAAGTAGCTTTGTAAGAGGGGTTTTTGATTTTTGATTTTCAGAATTTGCAGGTGCTTTCTGTATTTGGTAGGTCTGTGGATTCTCATGATTAAAAAGATAAATCACAAGCACTTGGTATTTGATTACTAGAATGTCCTTTCTATGAGTTTTCTAGAATAGATGGTGCTGGTCCAGAAAGTCTTTACTATATAGGGCAGGAACATGAACACTCCAATACTTCAAGGCTGCTACCAGCAAACACCCTTATAAGGGGGAGAGGGTTGTCAGGTTTTTCTAAAGTGTGCCTGTCAGTGGGGTAGGGTGTTTATACCTGCTCTTACATACATGGTTTTTTCAATGTTCCTTTCCTGGGGACAGAGGGGATTTAGAGAAGCAGATGGAGAAAGAAGTCATTTTCCTGCTGTCTTTGGAGTGTGCTGATAGGGCAGTGTGGTTGATGAGGGTAGCAGGCTGTACACAGCAGCCCAGGGGCACCCGCCTTCCAGAGCAGCACCTGTGGCTTTTAATGGTACAGTGATACTGTCTTCCAGTTGTGAGCCTCTCTGTGTGGATGTGTGTGATGTCAGATTCAGGGGCTCTTTTCATCAAAGAGGCAGAGCAGTGTGTGCTTTGATGAAGGAGGCGGAGTGGAATCCCCAGCTGTCTCCTTCCTGGCCCTGTCCAGTGGTGCGGTCTTGCTGTTGAATTTGCAGAACTGGCACTGATGGGCTGTGTTTGAGTGTCACCCCCTCTCTTCGGATTCCAGGAAACTTGGAACTGCTGGGCAGAAGCTTGGTGGTGCCGCTGTCCTTTGTCATATCAAGCATGACCCTGTGGATCCAGGAGGATCCTTCACCTTGACCTCTGCTAATGTGGGCAAGTGCCAAACAGTTCTCTGTCGAAATGGAAAGCCGCTGCCTCTGTCCAGATCTTACATCATGAGCTGTGAAGAAGAGCTGAAGAGGATTAAACAGCACAAGGCCATTATCACTGAGGTGAGAAAACAGGGGTGTTGCCCAGGATGGTGGAGAGGAGAGGAGAGGAGACCAGGTCATAGCAGAAACTAGCTAGGGAGCATTTGCCTTCAAAGAACACTTTTGAAGTTGGTTTGACATTAGAATTCCAAATCCATAGTATCACAAAGCAGATGTCTTACATTATGATGTATATGCTTGTTGGTTGCCTCTCTGCATCAGGCACTGTGCTGCGTGCTTCATGGGCATGATCCCATTCCATGTTTGCAGCCACTCTGCAGAGGGCTGCTTTGGTGGTTGAGGGCTCTACCCCTGACATCACACTGCTAGTTTTCATATCTTAGCTCTGCCACTTGTAGGTTGTGACCTTTAAACCTCTCTAAGCCTCAGTTTTCTCATCTGTAAAGTGGGAATAATCATGCATCTGTCCTATCTTACAAGGTTGGTATGACTTGTAAACTATGAACGTCTATGTAAGTGTACTAGTTGTTATTTTGGTTCATACCTCATGTCCCATTTGAGTACACAGTAAGCAGTTTTCAACTGGGGGCAGTTTGCTTCCCCACAAGACATTTGGCAACATATGGAGACATTTTTGGTCATCACAGCTGGGGCGGAGAGTGCAATTGACATGCAGTGGATTGAGGCCACTGAGCATCCTACAGCGCTGCTAGGACAATGCTGCTCAACACCCCACAATGCACAGGGCAGTCTCCACAACACAGACTGTGGTGTGTGTGTTTGGAGGGCGTGTCTCAAGGAAGAGAAGTAAAATACAATACAAAACAAAACCTCGTTGTTGAGTATTAAGCAATGCAAACAAAAGCAGGGAAGAGGCGAGGCACAGAAAACAAGAGAAGTCTGACGTGCAAACCATGATTCATGTAGGTCACAGAAATCATTTACCTTCAATTGTGTTTGGCATAATGTTGAACTAAAGTTGAAATCAGTGCATTCTGTACACATTAGACTGTCTTCTGCTCCCTAGCACAGTGTCTACCATCCATGTGCATCCTCTCTGCTCCAAGAATAGACAGAGAACAAATTCACACAGACTCATTTGCACAGAATCCCATGTATAGCTTGAGTCTTTCTGTTTCTTTCTTAAGGCCCTCATCAAAGCCTGTGTGGAGTCAGTCTTTTTTCTCTACTGGACTATAAGCTTTCACCAGAGTCCACCCCAAACTGTACATGGTTCTATGGGTTTTATCAACAATGTAAGACTGGAAACCTCTTGAAGGTAGATGTTTCTTTGCAGGTCACTGCTGTCTGCCCACGTCATTTTTTCAGGCACAGGGCAGATGACTGACACTTTGATGAATTAGCGAATGGAGCAGAACTCCTGGAGCCCATGGTGGAAGCTTCATTGCTCATGAATCACAAAACCATTGGTTTTGATAGAGAGAAATCTAAAGGGATGGACAGAACAGCAAGAACAGTTTCTGCCAAATTCCATGCTTTGGGGACAGATTATGTCAGTAGAATCAAGGCAGTTTAAGGTTGTGCTTGAAGCCCATCTTACTAATTTTACTAATAGGAATGCTTACCTGCTTATAAGTGTGGTGTGGCAAAGTTGTGTGAGAAGCTGGGAAAGACATCCCTAGGACAAGTAAACACCTTGCCAAATCCCAAATAAAGGGAAGTGGTAGGACTGGAAAGGAAATGGATATTCTGTGGAAGAAACACTTTGTCATCCCAGACAGGGATTTGTCATAATGAAGCCTTTCCTGGAAAGAAGTGTTAAAACTAGGGCATGTAGAGGTATGTCATGGACCTGAGAATCTCAAAATTTGAAGAATAAAGAACCAAGCAGGTACACGTGGCAAAAAAAAAAAAAAAAAAAAAAAAACCCAGGTCTTTTTATTGGCAAGTGGTCTGGCACTTTGGTAATTGATTTAAATAGCATGCACACAGCTGAACTAAAGCCAGCAGATCTTGCCTTCTCCATTGGTCAACAGGAAATCAAGTTCAAGGAAGTTGTAAGAATTGGCATTTCTTCTTTAGCATCTGTTCTCCTGACATGAGCATTCTTACCCACCTAGTCAAACCAAGGTTTTCTCCACCGCTTAAGTACTTTCAAGTCCTCTCTGGACCTTTAGACACTACTGCCTCTTGTGATCATGGAGAGCAATGGAAGATTTAGGAGCATTGTCTTGATATATGCCTGCGTCATGTGTCTTTGCTCAGGACTGGCTTCTATCAGAAAGTCTCTTGCTACCTCAGAGTCTTCCTACACCCAGCCCGTCTGAGGGCCGATCCTTGATCACCATGTTCACCAAGGGAGGGAAGATGTAAACCCATGTTTACAGGAGGAGCTAGCCAGCTATGCTTGCTGTGTAAGGCTAGATGATGGCTTGCTTTAGATAAACAGCAGGACTTGTGACCTAGTGTGAATGGGGTCCCAGTAACACACATAACCGAAATCTTTTCCTTTTGTCCCTACTGCTCCTTACCTGCCCAGGCCTACTACCTGGGGTTTCTGATGACAGGTGCACATTAACTACTCACTACAGAGTGAGCCCTTCTTTCCTCTGTGGGCCACACAGCACTTCTCTGTGGTCCTACAGTCGAGACAGTCGAGGGACCCGCAGGGAACCTGCACAGTTGCCGCAGGTGCTCTGTATTAACTGTCTGTCTGCAAACCCTTGTTCTTCCAGGATGGCAAGGTGAACGGAGTGACTGAGTCCACGCGCATCCTGGGCTACACCTTCCTCCATCCCAGTGTGGTGCCTCGCCCCCACGTGCAGTCCGTGCTCCTGACTCCCCAGGATGAGTTCTTCATCCTAGGCAGTAAGGGGTTGTGGGACAGCCTGTCCGTCGAGGAGGCCGTGGAAGCCGTGCGCAACGTGCCCGATGCCCTGGCTGCTGCCAAGAAGCTGTGTACCCTGGCCCAGAGCTACGGCTGCCACGACAGCATCAGCGCTGTGGTGGTGCAGCTCAGTGTCACTGAGGACAGCTTCTGCTGCTGCGAGCTCAGCGCCGGTGGGGCTGTGCCACCACCCAGTCCTGGCATCTTTCCTCCCTCAGTGAACATGGTGATCAAGGATCGGCCCTCAGATGGGCTGGGCGTGCCGTCCTCCAGCAGCGGCATGGCTTCCGAGATTAGCAGTGAGCTCTCCACTTCTGAGATGAGCAGCGAGGTGGGGTCAACAGCCTCCGATGAGCCCCCGCCCGGAGCCCTAAGCGAGAACAGCCCTGCCTACCCCAGTGAGCAGCGCTGCATGCTCCACCCCATCTGTCTGTCCAACTCCTTCCAGCGCCAGCTATCCAGCGCCACGTTCTCTAGCGCCTTCTCCGACAACGGCCTTGACAGTGACGATGAGGAGCCCATCGAGGGCGTCTTCACCAACGGCAGCCGGGTGGAGGTGGAGGTGGACATCCACTGCAGCCGGGCCAAGGAGAAGGAGAAACAGCAGCACCTGCTTCAGGTGCCAGCAGAGGCCAGTGATGAGGGCATTGTCATCAGCGCCAACGAGGATGAGCCAGGTCTGCCCAGGAAGGCAGACTTCTCTGCCGTTGGGACCATTGGGCGCCGGAGGGCCAATGGCTCTGTTGCGCCCCAGGAAAGGAGCCACAATGTGATAGAGGTGGCTACAGACGCACCTCTTCGAAAGCCTGGAGGCTATTTTGCTGCCCCGGCTCAGCCGGATCCTGATGATCAGTTTATCATACCCCCGGAGCTGGAAGAGGAGGTCAAAGAAATCATGAAGCATCACCAGGAGCAACAGCAGCAGCAGCAGCCGCCACCACCCCCTCAGCTCCAGCCGCAGCTGCCGCGGCACTACCAGCTGGACCAGCTGCCAGATTATTACGACACGCCACTATGACCCAGCCGAGCTGTTTAACAAATAAACTAACCACAAAAGACTGAGTTGCAAGAGTCTCCCAGGCTCACATTAAACCAGGGGTTTTACTCCACATCCTTCCCCCAGACACTGTTCCCAACCTGTCATCGCAGCTAATCTGTAGGTTCTCTTTCTTTGGGTTATTTTTTTAAGTAATCACCACTTTCTTCTAGTGATGCTTTACCAATATGATTTACATTTGTTAACTTCTCCCCCTAACATATCAGATATGTAAAGACAAAGAACAAAAGGTTTAATATATTACAGAGAAACAGTTAATGATAATGTAATATTTTTTAAAATGGCTTTTTGTTGTTTGTTTGGAAGGCAGGGCAGGCTGCCGTTGCTAAATGATTTAATAATATTGTAATTCTGTATTTCTTTGGGGGGAAAAGGCTTTTGTTTTGTTTTGTTTTGTTTTGTTTTGTTTTTGTCTTGAAAATAATAGACATTTGTAGAATATGGAGACTAACTCCTAGGAGTTGCTTTACTCTGTCAGGTGACTTAAGTCACTGGGATTCACTAATTTTCTCTGAGAGAACAGCTGATTGAGAATTTCCATTGTAAATAGCTCAGTGTTGTATAGTGAGGCTTACGATGTTTTGTAGTCTTGGCGTAAGGACACAGCCCAAGTAACTGACGTTTCCCCTCCCCCTCCCCTCTGAGGAGCCTGCCTGCCTCACAACTCACCCTCACTTCACTGAATGAGGAGGCTGAGCAGCTGCAGTGTTTCTGTCCGGAGGAAATGGATCTTAGGCCACTGGACAAGAACCTGCACCCAAGGGCCCTGAACCCATTTTCCTCCCCTGTCCCAGCCTTCCCACTTTGACAGACACTTTTAACTGTGTTCCTTACTGCTGCCACAATCAGCATGGTTGTATAGTGCCCCATTAGGCCATTTACATACCCAGAGTTATACTCAAGCAGAATGCACAAATGGACATGTCATAATTTTTGTTACAATAAATATGAAATTTACAAGTATTTACAAGTATCTGCTTTTGTCTCAGCAGCCAGATGTTTCTTGGAGACAGTCACACTAGCTTGCGTTTAGAAAGAATGGATGGAATATTGGGGTTATCAGATATTTCTGATTTTTTTTTTAAGAGAAAAACATCCAGTAAGTTAACCTACATTGAATGAAATGTGAAATTAACCAAATGGTAAGCAGTATAATTAGCTGATCTTACAGCTTTTCTTTTCTTTTCTTTTCTTTTTTTTTTTTTTTTGAAATGGAGTCTCGCTCTGTCTCCCAGGCTGGAGTGCAGTGGTGTGTTCTCTGCCCACTGCAACCTCCGCCTCCCGGGTTCAAGTGATTCTCCTGCCTCAGCCTCTGAATAGCTGGCATTACAGGCACCCGCCACCATGCCCAGCCAATTTTTGTATTTTTAGTAAAGATGGGGTTTCACCATGTTGGCCAGGCTGGTCTCATACTCCTAACCTCAAGTGATCTGCCCACCTCAGCCTCCCAAAGTGCTAGGATTACAGGTGTGAGCCACTGTGCCAGGCCTGATCTTACAGCTTTTCTATTTCTTCTTATGACTTAGGGTAAGATGTTTGGGTACTTCTTAGGGAAGATGTGAGAAGGGGGATAGACAGAGGTTGCATAGATAGGGGAGATCCCTGGACAACTTTACTCTCACGAAGCGAAGTTTTCAGTTTTCCTGGGGGGCCTGTAGCTCACATAAGCAGGTTAACCTGCCTCTTACTTGGACAGGGTCAATCAAGCTGGTTGGCTTGCCTTCCACCACCAGCAGGAATCGTGTAGGTGCAGCGGTGTGTACTTAAGAAAGCCAGTATTCCCAGCTACTAGTCAACTGCATTTACAGACAGGGACCTCCGCCTTCACCTCGCCCCCACCCTACACGTGTGAACCTTGTGTGGAAGATACTGTTGGTCTTCATCTCACATGGACCACCTTCCTATGTAGACCTGGCTTCCTTCTTTAGGTCTGCCCTTGGGTGGGACCTGGCTAATTCAGTGACAGGGCAGTTCTTATTTCTTAACTAGTAGACTTGGTGGTGGGCTCTGTGTCCCCCTCTAGGAGGCCGCTGGGTGGACTTTGTTTTCGTAATGGCCGTACTTCATTTCCACATCAGGCTACTTGCACACAGTGCTCTTTGGAAACCACTAAAGCCATGGAAGAGAATTGCCTCATCTCGGCCCAGTGAGAGACCCAGGGACCAAGGAAGCTGACTCCCCAGTACAGGCGGAGCGCTCTGGCTGAGACTGGAAGCTAAACCACCTTGGGACCCCTGCCCCGGTTCCACTTCCCAGCCCCTTACCTTGTCCCTCGGGCTGCCCCACTGGGTTGAAGCAGATGTGGACAACTCCAAGCTCTCACACCGACGCCTTAGTTCCTGCAGGTCTGGGCTGCTTCTCTGACTTCCTCAGTTCTTAAACCCCCTCTGGGCAGGGTTCACCTGTCCCCGGGGGTGGAGCACACCCCGGCCTTGTATGTGGATCTCTTCCACCGCAGCTCACTTCCAGAGTGGTCAGAACTGGCTGAGCGTGGTCCACGGAGGCAGCAATCGCTTCCAGATTCTAAAATGGGCCCCACAGCAACTCTGTGCCAGGGGCAGCCACTGGGCCCCACAAGCTCTGATGCAGGGACACCTCATTTCCTAACTTCTGTGTCTGCTGCAGGAGAAAGGGGTATGAGACTTGGAATTGCTTTTTTCCTGAGTCCTCCAGTTTATTTGTGCTTGCTGCTGGGTTTATTGTCTCTTTTCGGTCCCATTGTGCACATACTACATGTAAGGCACCTTGGAGTGAGACTGCCCTTTGGAGGCTTGGGGTAAGTAGGGCATTTAGATGAAAAGGTAATTCAGTCAAGCACATGTTGAGTGACCAAAGTGGCATAGACTTAGCTGATAGGTCTCCATGCGGTTGCATAGGAGCTGCCTCAGTTATTTCTGAGGAGTTTCTTTGCATTTCTGTTTATCCAGATAGCATCTAATAGTATATGTAGAGCTGCTTATACAACTGAAAGTGCTTTCTGAATATTAAAGTGCTTAATATTTGAAGATCCCTGAAGCCACAGTGTCTGCAGGGTAAGTATTAGGGAGAAGGGCATTCCCGCCTGCTCTATTCCCTGCTTCCTGCTGGAAATCCAGATAATTGGGAAAGGGCTTTGAGGGGAGAGAAAGGAAGAAATGAAACGGGAAGCGGAGAGCTGTGGTGAGCCTTGCTAGGAGAAGAACCCCTGATCGAGGACCCTAGAAACTGTTTGGTGTTGGATCCAGCGCATGCTGCCCGCCCTGTGCTGCCCTCAAGCTTCCTGCCCTTCGCTCCTGCTCCCGAGCACTGGCTTTGATGAGAGGTAGCAGAGCCGATCTCTGGGACCCAGAAACCCCACCTGCCTGCCTTGGTTTCTCTTGATTGCTTTTGTCACAGCACCACCTGCTGGTAAGCTTAGACTTTGGGTGGAAATGGGCTTCACTCTTTATCCTTCCTTCACTTTCCCAGAAGAAACAAAGTGTTTAAGTTTCTTATCACTGTATTTTCGTAAACACATGATAGCAAACTCCTATACCACTGTCAAGTATAGCCGAGAAGCTGTGTTTCCGCTTTGTAAGACAGTAGAAGTGATGACAGCTGGTTCCTGTGATGAGCCTGATTTTCCATGGGAAATTGACATGCAGAAATATTAAGATGGATAACCAGAATCATATAGTTTTGCTGGGAGAGAAGTCTGTCTTCAATGTCCATCTAATTCCCAATTCCCCTTTCCATGGTTAAAAAAAGCAAAACACAAAGCATCTGTTAACATGTTCTGGACCTTATAGGATAACACCTGAGAGTCCCCTCACCACTGGCACTGCAGGGGAGAGAAGAAGAATTCCATTTGATCATGTGAACATTCATCAAAGGGTATTTTGAGTTCATCCCTGACATGTTATCACAAGATAGAATTTCAGGCCGGGCACGGGGGCTCATGCCTATAATCCCAGCACTTAGGGAGGCCAAGGCGGGTGGATCACTTG
Organism: Homo sapiens; assembly: GCF_000001405.40. Classification (NCBI taxonomy): domain Eukaryota; kingdom Metazoa; phylum Chordata; class Mammalia; order Primates; family Hominidae; genus Homo; species Homo sapiens. The sequence goes on from NC_000018.10 coordinate 62,983,436, forward strand.
AGGTCAGGAGTTCGAGACCAGCCTGGCCAACATACTGAAATCTCGTCTCTACTAAAAATACAAAAATTAGCCAGGTGTAGTGGTGCATGCCTGTAATCCCAGCTACTCGGGAGGCTGAGGCAGGAGAATCGCTTGAACACAGGAGTCGGAGGTTACAATGAGCCGAGATTACGCCACTGCATTCCAGCCTGGAATGCAGAGACTGGAACAGCCTGGCGACAGAGACTCTGTCTCAAAAAAAATTTTTTTTTCTTTTATTATCATACTTTAAGTTCTAGGGTACATGTGCACAACGTGCAGGTTTGTTACATATATATACATGTGCCATGTTGGTGTGCTGCACCCATTAACTCGTCATTTACATTAGGTATATCTCCTAATGCTATCCCTCCCCGCTCCCCCACGCCACAACAGGCCCCGGTGTGTGATGTTCCCCACCCTATGTCCAAGTGTTCTTATTGTTCAATTCCCACCTATGAGTGAGAACATGCGGTGTTTGGTTTTCTGGCCTTGTGATAGTTTGCTGAGAATGATGATTTCTAGCTTCATCCATGTCCCTGCAAAGGACATGAACTCATCCTAAAAAAAGATAGAATTTCTATAAAGTGTGGGTTTCTGGTATCTGCCTTACCTACCTCTCCAGCAATCAAATTAGGTCATGTATTTGCAGTAATTTAAATACTAAAGCCTTATGTAAGTGTAAATATTGTCATTGTTACAAATGAAGGAACTAAGGGGCGTCTGAAAGAAAATAATGAGGAATGCAGCAAAAGCACCTTTTTAAGCCAGGTATGGTACTGTGGGCCTGAAGTTAGTCCCAGCAACTTGGGAGGCTGAGGCTAGAGGATCACTTGAGCCAACGAGTTCAAGGCCAGCCTGGGCAACACAGCAAGCCCCTGACTCTTAAAAAAAAAAAAAAAAGAAAGAAAAAAGTACCTTTTTGAAAATGGGAAACTCTTAAGTCACTTATTACAATTGTTATAGAAGGAAAAGCACTGGTAATGATGGAGAAAATGGGCTTCTCTCATTTGTTGCCATTTCATTTTTCTTTCATTGCATCCCCCTAACTCACACTGTGCAAACTAGTCTATGGAAACTCTTATCTCACTATTGTCATTTATCTGTCATGAACTGATTCTTATTGCTATGTATTTGAAAGACGGCTCTAAGGTGGTTTTTTTTTTCCCCTAAGCCTCACCCCACTCAGCACCAAAATTACAACAAAGTTCCAACTTAGTACGGCGAGTCTATTGCCCTGCTCACTAAGTGAATGTAGGAATTACATCTAGCAGACAAAGCTTTGGGCTGGTGATGGAAAGCACACCCCACCGCTCACACCCTCCTGCTTCACTGTGTGCATTCATTCAACGTGTTTAGGAAACACCAGTAAAGAGCTGGCTACTTTGCATGGCTCTGCCTCACCAGCACGGGGCCCTGAGAAAATGGCTTGGTGTGGAGGTGGCTGTGCTAACCTCATGAGGGTGTGAGCCAGCCTGACGATGGCCTACGGGCCCACATGAATGGCAGAAGCCAGTGTGGAGGCCCCATATATTGTCCTGTTCCTTCTGGAAGACTAAGGTTGAACACTGCCGAGGAAATTGGCAGATGGGTCCTCAAGGCAGCCGTCCATTTTCTGGGGTGTGTGGTAGAAAGCTGGAGGCTATGCTGTCCCCAGCCCTGATGTGAGTACCCATAAACAATCATGGCATTTCTCCAGCTTCGGTTCATGAGTCCCTTCATTTTATGCCCAATCAGAAACACAGTGTTCTTCTATCCTGTGCAGAGGGGGAAGCAACAGAACACTTGGAGAATTTTCTTCCATCTGCTCATGACTGGAATTGCTCTCATTGTCATTCCTCCGCTTTTCTAAGGACAGGGAAGGAAAACTGCCTTCACTGAAATCACAGGTACTTTCTAGTCATTCAGTTTCTTAGGTCTTATTCCATTCTGGTAAGCTGGCACTTTCCCCTAATTACCAATCTTACCTATTGAGAGAAAGTTGAAATGGCAACAAAGATGGTTTTCCCAAATGCTACACCTCCAGATGTTGACTTTTCTTGAACTCATAAATAAGTGATTTGCTCTTCTGAATTTTCAAGAAAACTGCTCCACAATTAACATTCAAAGTTTCTTAAACTAGTTTTCACTTAATAGAAATTGCCTTGTAAGCCACGAATAAATCAAGCACACAAAATAAATGTATTTTATTTGCCTTATGATCTGTAATACTGTAATGCTGTAATACACCTCCTCCTAGAGCATTTCAGATGGTTAAAAATAGCTTATTTAAATGTGTCACATCCATATACACCATGGAATACTATGCAGCCATAAAAAATGATGAGTTCATGTCCTTTGTAGGGACATGGATGAAATTGGAAATCATCATTCTCAGCAAACTATCGCAAGGACAAAAAACCAAACACCGCGTATTCTCACTCATCGGTGGGAATTGAACAATGAGAACACATGGACACAGGAAGGGGAACATCACACTCTGGGGACTGTTGTGGGGTGGGGGGAGGGGGGAGGGATAGCATTAGGAGATATACCTAATGCTAAATGACGAGTTGATGGGTGCAGCACACCAGCATGGCACATGTCTACATATGTAACTAACCTGCACATTGTGCACATGTACCCTAAAACTTAAAGTATAATAATAAAAGAAGAAAAAATAAATAAATGTGTCATATCACTGCACACCCTGCAAACAACAAGCCATACTTCTTCCTTATGAACAGCAATATGCTGAAACCACCATCTCTCACAAGTTAAGCCCATTAGGATTTTTTTCCCAAAAACTTCAGCAGACATGTGTTACAGTGTCACCTGTGTGTGTCGTTTGCATATAAGGACATAAAGTTTTGTGAGTCCTCCAGTTTTCAAATTTAAATTTTGTTATATTCCTTAGATTCTGGTGTGTTGGGTGTGTATTCTGTCACTATTCCTGGGACATTTCCTGAAGGACGATGGGGCGTGGGGGGAGAGAAAGGACAATGGATGGACATGGCCAAGAACAGCAGTTTGACCAGAGAGGGCTGTTTCCTTTCCATTCTGTTTTAGTCTCAGCTGTCTTAGCGTCACACAGCAGACACCATCTCAAGAGTTGACCTCAGACCCGTTTCTAGGCAGAATATCCACTGTGCTGTTTTGCTGAGTTGGTGTTGTGTTTGTTCCTGCTGGTGCTCCAAAGATAAAGGCTCCTTGGTGCCCCTTCCTAAACTGGTGAGCACCTCCATGCATAAGTGGAGCACTCACCCTGGGCAGAGTGCAGTGGGAGAGGCTCCCAGAGATGGACAATAAAACCACAGTTTAAAAGATGACAATGTGCTGGGGAGACTTAGAACCAACAAACACAGTGGAGTGACAGAGTGGGCTGGGGAGGGCCAAGCCCCACACATAACTGCTAATGGCCAACCCTGAGCTCCAAAGGGCCTCTAAACCCCAGCCCTGCAGTGTGACCCCTGAGAACCGGCTCAGTGGGAAGTTCTTACTGTCCAGCAGTGACCTCCAGGCTCTCCCATCTGCTGGCCTTATGAAGGATAATACTTCCCATCACCAGTGAACGAAGAGGGGCAAATGTCCACATCCCGCAAGCTGCTCCTCCCTGCCACCCAAACAGGCTCGTTCTTAGATGGAGTGCCCTTAGCCATTGCGCTGCAATGCCCAGGAGGCTCCGCAGAAGTTGAACCCCCTCCACATGCGCTGAGTGCAGACGACACAGGAGCAGATAAGAGCGGCCCTGTGCTGCACTGACACTCACTAAGACTCAAACTTGGAGCGCTGAGGGGGAGCAGGGCCAATGCTGCTGTGTGCTGTGCACCGTCAACACCATGGCAACCATTTCCCAGCTGCTTTTCTTGAATGAGCAGGTTTGATTTTGATCAACTTTCAGTCGTACGCGCATGGGGAAGGTGGATACTGCCGGCCATCCCTCGTTCCCATCCAGCACGCTTGCCTCACAGCTGCCTCTGCTGCAGGAACCCTTATCCTGCTCTGTGCACCCCCCTTTCTAGCACCCTGAGGACAGGCCACATGCCCATTAGCAATGAGGGTAGAAGGCCCTGGCATCTTGAGTGAAGATGGGAGGGAGGACACCTGGGGCTCAGCAAGCCCCGCCGTGAGTCTGAGTGGCCTCCGCTTTAGCCATGCTTTTGCTAGAAGCAGCCTGAGGGTCTCAAGGGGCTTATCCTTGACACGGGCCCAACCCTCTGCCCTCTTCTTCTGCCTAGGGCCATGGAGGTGGGTGCTGTCCACAGATTTCCAGCCTCAGTCCCCACTGAGTCCCAGGGCTGCTCAGCCACCCTTGCACTTGTCCCTTCCACACCTCACAGGCACCATTTACCCCCCTGTCCTCAAGCCTCCTTCAAGGAAACGGAGGCCCTGCCCTTCCCTGCTTTCACCTGTCTCCAAGAAAGTGTTCATCCTCTGACTACTTCCCCCTGCCTCTTTCTGACACTTCTGCAACCTGTAATTAGTGCAGGATTCATCTCGTTTACAAAAATAAAAATAAAACCTTCTCTCCTGTACCTGAGTCCGGCCTAGCTCTTCCCACTTCCTGCTCGTGTCCACCTGCTTCTCAGGCAGGCGCCGTCCCCGCCCACGTCCAGGCTGTCCAGGCTTTCCCGTGTGCTCCTCCTGCCACGGCTGCTGTGGTCTCCCCACAGACACTGATACCTTCAGGGACTTCAGGGACCCAGGGACCTGTTTCAGCCTTTGGCAGTGGCGTGGGCCTATCCCATCCCTCTTGTTTCGCCAGCTTTTGTTTGGCCTTTGGTCTGACTTGGAGCTGCTGCTTTGATGCCTCATTTTCCAGGCTCTCCCTGCCTGATCCTGAAGGGCTAAGGGGCCCCAGAGCCCTTCCCTTCACCTCCCTTTCACTTTAGGGGTGCTTCCTGGGCCACTGGGTCATTCCCACGGCTGCAGCCAGGCCCGTCCTCCTTCTGGACACCCCCCTCCCCTTGGGCACCACAAACCAGGGACGCAGAGCCCCTCGCCTCCAGCAAGGTTGGTGCAGGGAAGCGGCCCCCACACCACCCGCCAACCTCCAGGCTCACCCACTTCATCCCCACCTCCCCATCATCTGTCACCAAGTCCTGTCACTCTATGTCCCAAACACCCCCATGAGGGCCTCATCTCATCTCTCCCCCACATTTACTATGGGTTTTATTGGGACGCTCAGTTATCTCCCAGGTTTTTGGAACAGATTCCTGGTGCTTCTCCCAGTCACTTTCACTTTTATTTCTTTTCCCTCCGGTCTTGTCCTCCTCATGACTGCCCAAGAAATCTCTCTAAAACACTGATCGGATCATGTTTCTCTCCCACCTAAATCTCTGAGTTGCTTCTTCTCACATCCAATTAAAAATGCAAATCTTCAGTACAGCATAAAAGACTGCCCCAATTTGACCCTCGGGGATATGAGTTGGATCTGTGTCCCCGCCAAATCTCATGTGGAATTGTAATCCTGAGTGTTGGAGTTGGGGCCCGGTGAGAGGTGACTGGATTCTGGGGGTGCAGTTCTCATCAATTGTTTAGCACCGTCCCCTGGTGCTGTTCTCGTGAAAGTGAGTGAGTGGGTTGTCGTGAGAGCTGGTTGTTTAAAAGTGTGTAGCACTTTCCCCCTCTCTGTTTTCCTGCTCTGGCCATGTAAGACACACCTGCTTCCCCTTTGCCTTCCAACATAATTGTAAGTTTCCTGAGGCCTCCCCAGAAGCAGAAGCCACTATGCTTCCTGTATAGCCTGCAGAACCATGAGCCAAGTAAACCTCTTTTCTCTATAAAGTATCCAGGCTCGGGTATTTCTTGAGAACAGTGCGAGTACAGACTAATCCACCTGGCCACCTTCCCACCATCAGCACTCTCCCCACCCAGGGCACCCAACTTGTCCCAGTTCCCCCAGGACTTTGAGGATTTCAGCCCTGAAGTTCTGACACCCACTGAGTTGGCTGCTCACCCTGTCATCCCCGCCATGCCCTGCTCCTGCTGTCCCAAAGTGTGCATGGGTCCCACGGGAGCATCTCCTTCATGCTGTTGCTTGTTTGCAGTTTTTCCTCCAGTGCTGCTGCTCTGTCCTTTTTTATCGTTCACTTTTGTCTACGTCAAAGTATACATGTAAATCGTTTTTAAAGCCCAATAGTTGAGTGTGCCTGGAAAGAGAAGCATCAGTCCCCTGCTCCTCCCTCCCTCTCTTGTCCTCCCTGGCTCCCTGTCCTCCAGGGCAGCCTCTTTCAGCTGTTCTTGTGCAGTTCACCCCAACCAGAAAGGCTTTGATCACCAGCTCTTCATTTTTTTTTGTGCTTATTACCTTCCCTCTATGAGGATTTTGTGCTCTCACCCCCCTCATCCCATGCACACACACCCTTTTCTCCTGTCCTCCTGACGTTAAATCATATTTTGTTAGATCAATAATCAGTGTTTGTATCATTGTGAATATGTAAATATTATCTGCAGCTGAGCTAGGTAGTGCCTTTTGATTCTATCTCCTTTTCTGTACAGGTTTTTATTTGGAGTTAATACTTGCCTGTTTTTTGTTTCTTTGTTTTTGCTCTCTTGATTTTCTATGTAATTTTCACTTATCCCCGACCGCTCCATCAGAAGTATAAATATGTTCAAACACATTCAATAATCTATGAATTAAGTTATTCCTCTTTTTCTTTTCCTTTCTTTTTTTTTTAAGACAGAATCTCACACTGTCGCCCAGGCTGGAGTGCAGTGGCACACTCGGCTCACTGCAATCTTCCCCTCCTGGGTTCAAGAGATTCTCGTACTTCAGCCTCCTGAGTAGCTGGGATTATAGGCACGTGGCACCATGCCCGGCTAATTTTTGTATTTTTGGTAGAGATGGGGTTTCATCATGTTGGCCAGACTGGTCTCGAGCTCCTGACTCCAGGTGATCCGCCCATCTTGGCCTCCCAAAGTTCTGGGATTACAGGCGTGAACTACCACGCCTGGATGGATTATTCCTCTTTTTGTTAGTGACATCCCTCTGGCACCTCTATCTCCCTGTCCGGTCTAGCCTTTTCATCCCCAGGATTGCTACTAAGCTGTCATCCTTGTGCTTCCTTTTTCACTTCCTGGGAATTTTCTTTGCTCATCTCCTTTACTGGATCGCCTGTCCCTGCGTTTGTATTTTCTTCTTTCTTGGTGTACCCCTTCATTTTACCAGGAAAAAATCTCCAGTAACTTCCTTAGAAAATATGCATAGGAAGTCAGTTTCATGAGCCCCTACCTGTCTGAAGATATCTTTGTTTTTCCATAACACTTGATGGATGTGTGGTTGAGCATAGAATTCTGGCTGGAACTCTTTTCCTTCAAAAATTTCACAGCATTGCTTCCTGCTTCCACTGTTGAGTCTGAGACTGATACAATGATTGTGTTTCAGTAAAACTTTATCTGCACAACTACGTGTTGTGTTCCAACAAAACTTTATTATTTACATGTTCTCTACAGCTGCTTTTGTGTTATAGTGGCAGAATTGAGTAGCTGGGACAGAGGCTGTAAGGCCCACAATGTCTGAAATATTTACTATCTGGCCATTTACAGAAAAAGTTTATCAACCCCTGTCCTATTGAGATCTTTATAGTTCACACTGGACTACTGTGGCTAATCCTCAAGTTTTCTTATCTTTATGTCCCTTTTGTCTTTCTGAGAGATAACCTTATTTTATCCTCCAAATCTCTTAAAAAATCTCTTCTATCATATTTTAATTTCCAAGTGCTTTTTACAGTTCTCTGAATTTTCCTTTTTCCTAGCATCCTGTCTTTTCCTCTATGAGGATATAAACTGGAATAGGTGTTTTTGGTTTTGTTCCTTGAATTGTCTGTTTCTGTGTGTTTTGGTCCCTGTCTTGCCCTGGGGGCTGTCCTCAGGTGACCGGTGCTCCTGGGCTGCCAGTCCACACTGAATGAAGAGCGTCGCACCAGAACACTGCCAGCCCCTTGTGCCCTGGTGGGGCATGCCCACAGGAGGGTCTGTGCATGCAGGGGCGGCCTAGCTTCCTCGGGGCCCATCCCTATTGTTAGCATTTATCCACCTTTTCTTTTGAGCCAGCAGGAGCCCTCTAATGTCTCTCCTGGGGAGATGGGTAAGGGTGGGGTATTTATTTTGACTGTTCGCCTACTTTCAGCACGGAGAACCGATCCACTGAGCACTTCCTCTATTCCAGACACCATTCCAGCCCCTGAGGTTAGTGGGAAGGAGGTCAGAGAAGGCCAATGCCTTCAGGCAGCGCCTCCCGATGGAGAAGATGGACCAGGAATAAATACACTTTTTAAAATTAACACTATTATATTTCAGATTGCAAAAAAAGATATGAAGGAAATAGAAGAGGGTAAGTGATCGAGAGTGATATCTGACCTAAGACCTGGCCGAAAAGAAGTCAGATTAGGATCTGGAGGAAGGGAAGGAATTTCAAGCAGAGGCAACTGCAATGACCCGGAGCGGAAGCAAGAGCCGGGACGCTCTCGGGGAGTGGGCAAAAAAGAGCGTCCCTCTCTCCTCACCCCGGCATCTGACCAAGAGCAGAACAGGGCAGAGAAACATGCAGAAGAGGGCGAAAAGGTTGCGTGTGTGTCTTAAGGCTGGCCATGGAGCCTGTGCCCTGTGTCGCCGGTAAGTGAGCCAATGACTGAGAGCCTGGTTCAATCAGACTTGCCCCCGCAGCCAGAGAGCGCCCCCTGTAGGGAGCCCGGGCTCCCGAGGGAGGGAAGACGGGCTGCGCGTGCGCAGTTCATCCTCCCCTCAGGCGGGGAGGTCAGGGGCCATGCAGGGAGGTCCTCCTGGCTGCAAACTGGGCGCGCCCAGGCGCCCTGGGGAGGGTGGCGTGGCTGGAGCTCAGTGATTCAGGGGAAGAGTGTGTGAGATGGAGGCCAAGGCCAAGGGACATTAGTGAACACGATGCTCTGAATACAAGGAGAAATGGGAATTTCTAGCCTAGGAGCCGGGCTGCAGGTGAGCGGATGGAAAATTAAGAGGAAACATCAGGAGAACAGGGGATTCTGGCCAACGACACGACAGAATTCTTGCTGAAGGCAGGCCAGGTGATAAGATGTCAGGACTGGGCCGGCACGGGGTCTCACGCCTGTAATCCCAGTACTTTGTGAGGCTGAGGCAGGAGGATCACTTGAGGCCAGGCATTTGAGACCAGCCTGGGCAAAAAAGTGAGACCCCGTCTCTACTCTCCTGCGCCCCCCACAAAATAAAGCTGGGCGCAGTACTTGAGCCCAGGAGGTCGAGGCTGTAGTGAGCCATGATCACGCCACTGCACTCCCCAATGGGTTACAAGGCAAGATCCTATCTCCTAAAGTAAAAATAATGAGGGTTGTCGTGCAGAACCCCTGTTAACTCCAGTAGGGATGGTGCCATGTCCAATAGGCTGAGGAACAGACCTGGAGCCAGCTAAGGAGACGTAGGGTTTATTGGGGACTCACATACAGAGCTGTCCAGGAGCCCCAAGCTGGACAGGAAGATGGCTCTCATGTGTAAGAAGCATGCGGGTTATATGGCATTTTCACTTAGGAACCTCTACCTGGCAACCTCCACCTGGCAACCTCCACCTAGCAACCTTCATTTAACCCAAAACAAAGGGCCTCAATCCCCTGTACCGCCTGCCATTCCAAGGGATGGGCCAGGGGTCTGGACGTCCTTCAGATGAATCTCCGGGCGGCCACTCCTGGATTCCTTAGCTCAGAACTTCGAACACACATTCCTTAAGACCATGGAGTCATTCTCAGGGTGTGCTTGACTTATTGCTGTTAGGTGCATCTGCCCTACAGGGTGGGGAGGAGGAATTTGATCAAACATCAGGAGTGGTCAGAACAAGGGTGAAACATTTGCTGCTACACCTGCCTGCCTGCATTCTTGCTAAAACTGGACTAAATGGGCCAAGGTCAAGGATTTGTCAGAAAGAGGACTTGGCATCCTGACTCAAGTTTGGTCAAAGGAGACAGCCTTTGTCACTGTGACCCCAACAGTGGGAATTTGGACAACCCCCTTGGACTCATGCATCTTTGTTTGTGAAGGGAAGCTTTGGACGCAGGAACGTGGAGTCGTTTCCAGTCTTGTTATTCATGCTTCCAGGACACCACTGTTTCCCAGGGCACAGCCGCAGGGATGGGCACCCATAGGTTCATCCCCCAGAGCATGAATTTAGGGAGAGGAGAGTAGCCTTCCGCTGCACAGAACTGTCTGCTTCAGTGCTGAGGAAGCCAGCACTTTGGGTAGTTTGGGACCTTTTCATTCTAGATGGATGTGACTTGGCAAAATTTAGCTTAAAATGAAAAGAAAGAGGGCTTTAGTGGGGTGGGTGTGTGTGTGTGTGTGTGTGTGTGTGTGTGTGTGTGTATGTCTAGATCTTTTGCTAGTGACGGAACTGTGGCATCACTGTCCCAGTGAAATGAAGGGAAAAGGAGGCTCTCTAGGAGAGCGAGTGGGAGGGAGATTGGTCTGTATGTCAGGGAGGATCCAAGATGTCGCAATTCAGATTACAGAGCACGCTTGGAGAGATCTCCAGTTCATTACTGTGGAAGGCAAGATGTGTTAAACACGGCGCACTTTATGGGGAGAGGGGAGCTGCCTTTCGATAGAAGGAGGAAATGTGACCCAGAGGTAAGGCTTGAGTACAAACCATATTTGGGGAGGTTGCGATATCTTCCATTCCCTTCCTGGGAGCGGGTTTGAGCGGGAAGCGGGGGGATTTACAGCCATCCCTCCAGAAGGTAGTGAACAGGTTTTGGAAAACTATTTGGGACCCCATTTCTGTTATCACTCTTTTATATTTGGTCAAGATTGTTTGTTTAAATCCCTGGAAAGTTTTTCTTTTTTTTTTTTAATGGTAATGAAAGAAAAGTATTCATCTTCTTTAAGGATTTTTGTCCACCCTTGTTAAACATTTCTTTTTTCGTTCCAAGATTTTAAGTGGGCATCTCTCATCTTGTAAGATTCTTGGGAGAGTGACCTTGCCTTCCTAACATTTTTATCTCAGGGGCTCCCACTGTGCCTGGCACATTATAAGCTTCCAGCATAATTGTATGTATAAAAGAATGCACCAGCTTTGCAAACAACATGCCCCCGTTCTTTTTCATTGGCAGCCTTCTTATTTAGCACCATATATGACTAACCATCTTTACACAGGTGCTGGAAATGGAACAAAGCCTTATTTGCCCCAGAAGCTATGGACACATTTCAAAATATAACCAATAGTGCTTTTTCCCAACTATAAAATAATGCACACAGAAAAGTTGGAAAAGATAGAAACATTCAGGAAGAAAAAAAGATGGCTCCTGACCTCACAGTCTAGAGATAAACCTATTACCATTGTTTAATTTTTGTCCAGCTTTTTTGCTAAGCACCATTTTAAAATAATTGTGATTATGCTGTATTTTATATCCTTTTTGAAATTTCGTTGGGCATCTTCCCTTTTTCTTAAAAATTCTTAATAAATATTCCCAAATTCACCCAACAGAATTACTATGTATTCAAACGTATTAATAACACATTTATATGGTTTTCAGCTTTTTGCTATTGTAAATAACACTTTATTGAACATTGATAAGGTTTAACTGTGTCCCCACTGAAAATCTCATCTTGATTTGTAATCCCCATAAGCCCCACCTGTCATGGGAGGGACCAGGTGGAGGTAATTGAATCATGGGGCCGGTTTCCCCTGTGCTGTTCTCGTGATAGCGAGTGAGTTCTCACGAGATCTGATGGTTTTATAAGCGTCTGGCCTTTCCCCTGCTGGCGCTCATTCTCGCTTTTGCTGCCCTGGGAAGTGGTGTCTTCTGCCATGATTGTAAGTTTCTTGAGGCTTCCCCAGCCATGTGGAACTGTGAGTCAATTAAACCTGTTTTCTTTATAAATTACCCAGTCTAGGGTATTTCTTCATAGCAGCGTGAGAGCAGACTCACAAACATCTTTGCTATTATCTTTTTTCATTTTTTGAAACAGAGTCTCACTCTGTCACCCAGGCTAGAGTGCAGTGGCACAATCGCAGCTCACTGCAACTTCTGTCTCCGGGGTTCAAGCAATTCTCGTGCCTCAGCCTCCTGAGTAGATGGGATTACAGGTGTGCACCACTATGCCCAGCTAATTTTTGTATTTTTAGTAGAGACAGGGTTTTGCCATATTGGTCAGGCTGGTCTTGAACTCCTGGCCTCAAGTGATCTGCTCCCTCCCCCCGCCCTGGCCTCCCAAAGTGCTGGGATTACAGGCGTGAGCCACCGCACCTGGCCCCCTTTGCTGTTATCTTGATTAGACGTTATGAACAACTGGAGCAAGAGGTAGAGAGCTGTGGCTGTTCCTCTCTGCAGCATAGGAAGAATAGCTTTGGATTTCAGATGAGGGTGGGTGCAGCCCCGGTAACGCTGGTGAAGGGTGGGTGGGCCCAGGGCAGTGGAGCAAGAGTGAAGGAGAGTGCTGAGGTCAAAGCACCTACCACAAAGGGAAGCGTAATGTAGATTTTTTTTCCTTTTGGAAGAAAAAAGAAGTTGAGTGAAGAGAAAATTCTGATGTAGCATTGGATGATTTTTAAAGGGTTAAACAGCTCAGCTTTGAGAAGGAAAATCAAGATTTCATTCTTACCCTTTGCAAATGCTCCTTTAGTGGCTGGTGATGGATAGCAGATTTCTATGACCTGGCTTATGTGCTCTCAAATCTAGTAGCTGCAAGTTCATGGTAAGATGTAAAATGTTAAGATGAGTTCCAGATAGGTGGTACTTTGCCAATGTAGGACGCTGGTGTTCTCCATGAACTCAGCTTGGCATATTTTTTTCCTCAAGCATTTCACAGTCTATTAGAGTAAACGTCATTTTAAAAAATAATAGGAGCCAAGGGTTCTGGAGCAGACAGCTCTGAGTTCAAATCCTGGTGCTGCCCTCATTACTAGGTGACTGCTGTGGTCTGAATCCTTGTGTCCCCCCTAAAATTCGTATGTTGAAACCTAATCACCAATGTAATGGTATTTGGAGGTGGGGAACTTTGGGAGGTGATTAGTCATGACGGATCTGCCCTTATGAATGGGATTAGTGCCCTTATAAAAGAGGCCCAAGGGAACTGCCTTGCCTCTTCCACTGTGTGAGGACACAGGAAAGGTGCCATCTCTGAACCAGAAAAGTGGGACCTCACCAGACACCGAATCTGCTGACGCCCAGCCTCCAGAACGGTGAGCAATAAATTTCTGTTGTTTCTGGGCCATCCAGTATGTTAAGGTACTTTTGTAGTAGCAGCTCCGAGTCAGCGATCTTAGCAGTGTAACCTCCCAGTGCTTTGGTGACTTTATCTGTAAGCTGGGATTCACAGTACACAGCCATCAATGCAGTGAAACACTGTGCCTGATGTCATTAGCAGAGGCCTGGCCTGGGGAAGGGCTTAATTTCAAAGTGTCTCACATGCACAGAAAGGAGAAGAGCCACCCACCTCAGGAACAGAGATGGCTTCACGAAATAGGGGCACGTTCTCCAGTGGTTCTTATGGGATGTTTGGGAAGTGGCCCATGGAGAAGTGGGGTAACGACACCCCCGGCAGGGAACAGGTGTTTCAGGCATGTGAAGTGTGTCCTGACCCCTAACGGCTTCTACTGGATGATTCTGCATTTTTTGACATCTTCCTAGATCACGTGTAAGTGAGAATTGTCCTCCTGCCTCCTTAAAATAATTATTCTTCTAAGAATCAAAAATGATTAGATCTTAAGGAACTTTTTCTAGGCAAACAATAAGAGGAACATATCTTCCTCTATTCTTCTTTGATGTTGAATTTAGTATTGTTTAAGTAGTCTGGCATAAACTGGTAACTGTTGGTGGATTTCAGTGTCTCTTATGTACTTTAAATACCATCTGTCTGGTGCTAGCGCAGTGTCTACTGTCTTTCTGCCTGTGAATATGTAATAGGCATCACAAACACATCCCGTCCAAAACAGAACTCCCGGTTTGCTACTCCAAACTATTTCTCCCATAGTCTTTTTCATCACAAAAATGTCACCATTATCCACTCATTTGCTCTGCCCTAAACTCCAGGGATCATCCTCGATTCCTTTTTCCCTCCCTACTCTGACTTTGCACAGATGATTCATTGACAAGTCTGTTTCTTGCTTTCTTTCTTTCTTTCTTTTTTTTTTTTTTTAAGACAGAGTCTTGCTCTGTCTCCCAGGCTGAAGTGCAGTGGTGTGGTCTTGGCTCACTGCAACCTCTACCTCCCGGGTTCAAGCAATTCTCCTGCCTCAGCCTTGCAAGTAGCTGGGATTACAGGCACCTGCCACCATGCCCAGCTAATTTTTGTGTTTTTAGTAGAGACAGGGTTTCACCATGTTGGCTAGTCTTGTCTCGAACTCATGATCTCGTGATCCGCCTGCCCCGGCCTCCCAAAGTGCTGGGATTATAGACATGAGCCACTGCGCCCAGCCTCTGTGTGTGTGTCTGAGATGGAGTCTCGCTCTGTCACCCAGGCTGGAGTGCAGTGGCGCCATCTCGGCTCACTGCAACCTCTGCCTCCCGGATTCAAGCAGTTCTCCTGCCTCAGCCTCCCAAGTAGCTGGGATTACAGGCATGCACCACCATGCCCGGCTAATTTTGTATTTTTAGTAGAGACAGGGTTTCTCCATGTTGGTCAGGCTGGTCTCGAACTCGTGACCTCAGGTGATTCGCCCACCTCGGCCTCTCAAAGTGCTGGGATTACAGGCGTGAGCCACCACGCCCAGCCTCATTTTTAAAAAGACATATCCCAGCCATCCACTTCTGTCTGTCTCCACAGCTCCTGTAAGCTACCATCACCTCTCATTTGCACTTCTGTAGGAGGGTCCATTATGCACCCACAGCCATCTATTTCCCATCAGAGCCATCATTGTTAATGCACATCATGCCAGATTCCCGAGGGGAGGTCTCCAGTGGCCTTCCATCATTTTAGAATACAACCCAAACTCCTCATCAGGGCCCCCGTGGTCTTATGTGATCTGTCCACCTCCCAGCCATGGGCTTTTGCCCTCTTGCCCTCACTCCACCCTCTGGCCCCAAGATTCTCAGCCTCAGCACCAGGCACATTTCAGTCCAGATCATTCTTTGGTTGGGTGCTGTCCTGTGCATTGTGGGACAGTTAGTGCCATCTCTAGCCTCTACCTACTAGCTGCCACTAGCATCCTCCCACACTGCCGACAGCAACACTGTCTGCAGACATTGCCAGATATCCCCTGGGAGGCAAAGTCACCCCCAGTTACAGTGACTGGTCTAGTTACACCGGCTTCCTTCCTGCGGCGCGAGCCTGGCTGGTCTCCATTTAGACCCAGTGTAGTCGCTCTTCTTCAGTCTGCTGTGCTTCCTCCGAGAGTGTTGTGTCAGCTCCTTCTCTGTTCTGACCTCAGCTCAGATGTTGCCTCCCCACAGGGTAACTGAAGGGTCTTCTTTGACCACCCTGACTTGGAAGGCCCTCCCTTCCAAGTCACCCCACATTACATTACTGCATTTTAATTTCTTCCTGTCCTTCATCAATATCCGAAATGATCTCATTTATCTGCCTGTTCACAATCTCCCCATTAGGTTGGAAGCTTCATGAGAGTAGAAACTTACCTGTCTAAAGTGTCCCTAAAATGACCAACAGTGCCAGGCAGATAGCGGGTGCGTGGGAGACAACAGCTGTGGAGTGGAGACATCAATAACATATTTCTCCTTTACTGAGGTTCCTAGAAGGTTGGGGAGTGGTGGCATGGGGCTGCTTGGGATCATTCCAGGGTGTGATGACCTGAGAAAGTTGTGGGAGTAGGGGGGCTTGTTTTGTTTTTTGTTTTGTCAGCACCTTCTAGGCTCAGCCATCTTCTTCTGATGAGCTAAGTGCCAGGGGTCTCTGGTGAGTGACCCCACAGATCTTACCCAGAGGTGCCACACAGCCTTCTTGGCTCTGATAGAGGGGTCACTTCTGGAATAGCCTAAGCAGAAGTGCAGCAGGCCGAGAATAGCCTGGTCTTGGAGAGGTTTTTGACTAAAAGAGGTCATTGAGTGTTGTGTCTGGTCCAGGAAGCTAATCCAGGAACAGGAAGGTGCTGTACTGGGAGCCAAGGCATGGAGGCCAGAGCCTCCCTCCCTCCCGCAGAGCATGGCGCCCAGCCCGTCCTCCTGACTGCCCCGTGCTCTTTGCCTCCTCCCTCTCCAGGTCTCATGTGATGTGTTTCTGTGCGGCTGCTGGCCCAACCTCTTGACTCTCCTCTCTGCCAAATACCAAGGCCAGCTCTGTCTCCTTTTGACCTCCGAAGCTGTGGATACAGTGAATCACTTTTTCTCCTAATTGTCTCCTCTATTCTTGGCAGACTTCCTTAAAAGAAAAAAATCAATCGCAAGATTAATATTAACCACAAAGGACATGTTTTTCTACTTTTTTTTTTACATCTGATTTTTCAATCTCAATCGATTCAGTTTGTTGCAACTACAATAGATGATGGTTAAATATTAGAGGCAGGAGCTTGGTGGCAAAGGCATATTGATAGAATTTATATCAAATACTGAAGTTTGCAACATAAAAATGAATCACTTTATTATTTCCTATAGACATGCAGCTGCTCAAAACAGCATGCTCCCAGGTCACAAATGCGTGTATCGATTAGCATATAACACATGCCTATTGGCCTTGAGCTAAGCATCCAGGACTCTATGGCCCTTGTCCCCCAGGAGGAGGAAATTCAAGCAAAAGTCTTTGGTTCTCACTGCAACAACATCCATGTGTGCGCCCAGCCTGGGATACCTGGTGTCTTTGGACTCCTGAGAGTTCGTCATGTTTATAGCTCTGCAGTATGCTCCTGAGGACAGATGCTGTCACTCCAGGTGCTTCTCCACCTGGACAGACAGATCTCAGTGACAACGCTGAAGAAATAAATTTAAAAAGGAATTGGAGTCCCTGCGCAGTGGCTCACGCCTGTAACCCCAGCACTTTGGGAGGCGGAGGCGGTCGGATCACGAGGTCAAGAGATCGAGACCATCCTGGCCAAGATGGTGAAATCTTGTCTCTACTAAAAATACAAAAATTAGCTGGGTGTGGTGGCGGGCACCTGTAATCCCAGCAACTTGGGAGGCTGAGGCAGGAGAATTGCTTGAACCTGGGAGTCAGAGGTTGCAGTGAGCCGAGATCGTGCCACCACACTCCAGCCTGGGCGACAGAGCCAGACTCTGTCTAAAAAAACAAAAAGAGAGAGTTTTGAAATCTTGGTAGAATATACTGGTTCCATGGGAAGCTTTTTGTCTCAAAAAGGACGCTAAACCTTGTATGTCTTCTTTGGGGCTGACTCCAGCACAAAACCCACTTCCAATTCACAAATGTGAAGAGCCATTTTGTTCCAGGAAAGCCATGAAGTAAGGTGAATGCACATGTTTAGGCTGAAAGGCAGTCTTCTGTCTGGTTCTCTACAGCTCTCCTCTCCCCCATCCAGGTAAGCACTGCTGACATCTGACACGTACTGCCCTACTGCCTGGGCCCCCCACATCTCCCCATGCTCATGGACACTCATCATTGTTACCTGCATGCATATCTATTTTCATCATGCAATTCAAGGTGTAGGATAGATCCTTTGTTGCCTGAGCCACTTGAGTTGGGTTGGTTATGTGCGTATGAAAGCATCCTAACCCACAGAAGCTCACGCGGGAGGAAAGCTGTGAAAGGGACAGCCCTGGCTTACTGGCTTGTGCCTGAGTTTCCCAGAGCATCCGTAGCAATGCCCCACAAATCAGACTTCGAGCAACATTGATTCATTCTCTCTCAATGCTAGAGTCTGGAATCTACGCTCCAGGAGTCGGCAGGGCCATACTCCCTCTGAAGGCTGGAGGAGAACCCTTCCTGGCCTCTCCAGCTGCTGGCGGCTCCCGGCAGTCCTGGTGTTCCTTGGCTTGCAGATGCAATCCCTGTCTTTGTTGTCACATGGCCTTCCCCATGTGTTTGGGTCTCTGTGTCCAAAGTGTCCTCTTCTTACAAGGACACCAGTCACATTGGATTTGGGGCCCCCCCTAACCATGAATTCATGAGTATGACTTCATTTTACCTTAATGACATCTGTAAAATCCTGGTTCCTGAATAAGGTCACATTCACAGGATCTAGGTAGACATGAACTTTTTGGGTTTTGTTGTTGTTGTTGTTGTTTTGAAAGAGTCTCACTCTGTCGTCCAGGCTGGAGTGCAGTGGTACGATCTCAGCTCACTGCAACCTCTGCCTCCTGGGTTCAAATGATTCTCCTGCCTCAGCCTTCCGAGTAGCTGGGAAAACAGACACCCACCACCACGCCTGGCTAATTTTTGTGTTTTTAGTAGAGATAGGGTTTTGCTGTGTTGGCCAGGCTGGTCTTGAATTTCTGACCTCAGGTGATCTGTCTGCCTCGGCCTCCCAAAGTGCTGGGATTACAGGCATGAGCCACCACGCTGGGCCTTGACATGAACTTTTTGGGGACACTGTTCAACCCAGTGCATCCTTTCATAATGGTGTGGACTGGCAATGCCCTACCTTGTATCATTCACACACAGTGGTTGAGACTCCAGGAGAGGACGGAGTTGGACTATTGTGTCGGACATGAGTTCCCTGGCACTTACAGGGAAGAGCACCTAGCCTTCCTGAAGAGAGGCCGGGCCTGGTGGGGGAAAGTAGATCAGGAGGCCTGAGACGGGCTGTGGGAAACCCTGTCCTCTTATGGGACTCATGGGCTTGGGCTGAATTCTAAAGGGTGTGGACATTCACCATGGGAGGGGTGGTCCCTGACCCACAGGGAGGCAGGGGCACCCAGGAGGAGACATCTTTGGCTGTGAGAGGAGCTGCAGTTGTTTGGGGAGTGGCTGTCTGGGTCAGGCTTCCCTTCTAACACGCCCCTGCAGTTCCAGTCAAGTCCTTTGAGGTCAAGCTCAGTCTCCAGGTGGTGGGAGTTAGAGGCCTGTTCACTCAGGATCAAGGGCAAAGGGGAACCTAGTAGTGGGGTCAGAGGAAGGCTGTGCCCAAGTAAACGAGGGTCTCCTGAGAACCATGTGGCAGGAGGAGTGGAGGGGGTGGCTGGGCAGAGACTGGAAGGGAGCGGCATGGGGGCAAGCATTATTCTGTTCAGGCTGCCCTAACAGAACCACAGACTGAGGGCTCCATATGGTTTGGATCTGCGTCCCCACCCAAATCCCATTTGGAACTGTGATCCCCAGTATCCGAGGAGAGGCCTGGCGGGTGGTGGTTGGATCACAGGGTTGGTTTTCCCCCTTGGTGCTGTTTTTGTTGACAGTGAGTGAGTTCTTACGAGATCTGGTTGTTGAAAAGTGTGTGGCACCTCCCCTTTCACTCTCTTCCGCCTGCTCTGGCCACGTGAGAGAGATGTACCTGCTTCCCCTTCGCCTTCCACCGTGATTAAAAGGTTCCTGAGGCCTCCCTGTCATGCTTCCTGTGCAGCCTGTGGAACTGCAAGCCAATTAAGCCTCTTTTCTTTGTAAATTACCCAGTCTCAGGTAGTTCTTTATAGCCGTGTGAGGACAGACGAACACAGGGCTTAAACAACAGAAACAGGTGGCCTCATGGTTCTGGAGCTAGAAGTCCAAGAGCAAGGTATCGGCAGTGTTGGCGCCTTCTGATGCTTCGAGGAAGCATCTGTTCCACGCTCTCCCCCAGCTTGGGGGTTGCTGGCCATCTCTGGCATCCTGTGCCTTCATCTTCATGTGGCATTCCCCAGTGTGCTTATCTCTGTCCCAGTTTCCCCTTTGGTGATGGTTAACATTGAATATCAACTTGATTGGATCGAAGAATGCAAAGTATTTTTCCTGGGTGTGTCTGTGAGGGTGTTGCCAAAGGAGATTAACATTTGAGTCAGTGGACTGGGAGACAAAGACCCACCCCCAGTCTAGGTGGAGCCGTCTAATCAGCTGCCAGCAAGGCTAGAATAAAGCAGGCAGGAGAGGATGGAAGAGCAGGCCTGCTGAGTCTTCCGGCCTTCATTTTTCTCCCATGCTGGATGCTTCCTGCCCTCTAACCTCAGACTCCAAGTTCTTCAGCTTTTGGACTCTTGGACTTATACCAGTGGTTTACCAGGGGCTCTCGGGCCTTTGGCCACAGACTGAAGGCTTCTTGAGGTTTTGAGGACTGATCCACCACTGGCTTCCTGGCTCCTCAGCTTGCAGATGGCCTATTGTGGGACTTTACCTTGTGATCGTGTGAGTCAGTTCTCCTTGATAAACTCCCTTTCATACGTACATCTATCCTATTAGTTATGTCCCTCTGGAGAACCCTGTCTAATACACCTTTTAATAAGGAAACTAGTTGTATTGGACGAAAGGCCCACCCTGCCTCAGTGTGAACTCGTCTTAACCAATTACATCTGCAGCAACTCTGTTTCCAAATAAAATCACATTCTGAGGTCCTGGGGGTTAGGACTTCAACATAAGGATTGGTGGAAGACACAATTCAACCCATAACAGGTCCTGTCCAAGGAACTCCTGGGACAATGCCCTGAGTGTTCTCAGAAATAACTACAGGGAGCTCTGTGGGGTGCTCAGAGGCCCAGCCATTGTAGTGACCTCATGGTACGCTTGGATCGGTGATTCCCAAGTTGATCAGTTACATCTTAGGGACTCACCTGGGATTAGTCCACATCAGGAACTGACTTGGTCCTGGGACTTGGGCTGATTCATGAGTGTCAACAGTGGTGACACACCAGAGCCTTGGAGCCCAGGGATGAAGCGGACCTGCAGACAATTCTGGGGGTCAGCAAGGAAGCTGGACAGGAAGTGCCCCAACCAACAACTCTAATCCTCTTGGACAGGTCTGAAGTATTTGCAGGGAAGATGGTGGAAAAAAAAAAAGGAGAGTCTCGGAGTGCAGCACGGCTGGGGCTTGCTGAAAGTGCCACACTGATCCCCAGGGAGATGCTTGGGCCTGGCATAAAACTCCTTAATACCTGAACCTTTCCCTGGAGAAGGCCAGTGTGGCCAGAGCTCGTGTAGCCCGCAGCAGCTCCTGGCATGGCCCAGCCTCCAGACACTTGGGAGATTTGGAAGGAAGATAGTGGAGGAGGCTTCTCAGATTTTAGAAGGAACAGAGGTGCATGAAAAGTCAAGTATCCTGGGGGAGCACACATGGACACCGGGATGAGTAGGAGTGCTGGGCACCGATGGGCCAGAGGGAGTGAGGCAGGGCCCACCCTTGAGAGTCTTTGTGTTCTTCCAGCCAGCACTGCTGAAGATACTTGGGAGCTGGGCAGTCCAAGTTACCTGAGTGAGGGAAAGGTACGCATTTCTATGTTAAGGTGGAGACCCAGAGCCAGGAGGGAGAGGCCCGGGGAAGAGCCAAGGAGAGTAGCAGGGCTCAGCTGTGTCTTGACTGCAGGCAGTGTCTGCTGAGGCTCCAGGACCATAGCACGGGAGGGACAGAGGTGGGGCTGGGGCGATGCTGGATCTAGAGCTGGGGTGGGAGCTCTCTTTCCCCAGTGGAGGGGGGGCTGGATCACGGGCTGGCAGGGACCAATCAGGGCTGATAAGGCAGCATGAGGAAGTGACTGTGGCTGGAGTGGGCCCTCTGGGACCTGTAGGCTGCCCCAGAGTCCAAGGGCACTGAGGGACTGAGCATGGTCAGGGCTGCTGGCTTTCCCCAGCTGCACCTTAGAATCTGCTGGGGATCAGAATTCGGAAGAATGTTGATGCCAGGGCCTTACCCGAGACCCTGGTTCCATTGGCATGGGGTGGGGCCAACGTGAGTATTTCCTTAAGCCTCTAGTGAGTCTGTTGTCCTGCCAGGGTAGAAGATCACAGTGGGTAAAGGACCAGAGGAGAAATGGAGAGTCCTTTTTTCCAGCTCTTGCTGAAGAAAGGACCCAAGGACTCTGTTTAACACAAAGCTGAAACCAGGGCACTGGCGATTCCAAGAAGAGTAGGTTCCGACCAATGCTGTCACCTCTACAGCCTGTGGAGAGGGAGGACAGGGCCCTGCGCAGCTCGATGTCACAGTGTCACCGAGGAGCTGGCCTGAGCATAGGCCTCATTCCTGGCACAGGAGTTGCTTCCTCTCAGAATTTCTTTATCTGTGGACGAAGGCAGTGACAGGGCAGGACAGCAGCCCCTGAGGCACCCACTGCAGCCGCCAGCAGGAGTGGGGGTTGCCCAGGGCCGGGCCCAGCAGGTGCTTCTGGCAGAACACCAAGCAGGGGCCTTGAGGGACCCTGTGGGTGACTTAGGGGATGAGGCAGGGGTTGGGGGAGCTCCAGGTGCCCCCCACTGCCAGCACACCCTCCTCCCCACTCCCTCAGCAGACAGCGTCTTCCTCGTCAGCCTGGCTCTTCCACAGGCAGCAAATTCATTAACCTTTCAGCCTCAGCGGCATGGCCAAATACCAAATCACCCCACAGACTATCCAAAGGTTAATCACTTCCCATTTCAGTGTCTCGGAGGAGCATGGAGGTCCCTTGCCGTGGTCTCCTCTCCCCATGTACTATTCCCCTTCAGGCTTGATTTCCTATTCATTTAAATCCAGTTTCAGAGTGAGAACTATCTAAAATGACAGCGTTTTGAGTTTAGAGATTGACATGTTAGGAAAGCACCAGATTCTTAGTCACACTAATTTCTTCCATCAAGTTAAAAGTTAAAGGCATTTTATAATAGAGGTGCCAGTATTTGTAGAGTGCCCTGCAGTTTATGAAGCTCTTACCTGTTTATCATCTTACCAAATCATTAAGTTCTGAAGGCAGGTGTAAGTAGATCTGAACCTTGTACCATCTCTGCATGATGGGATACCCGAAGCTTTTCATCTCTAGCCCTCCTTAGAATGAGAGACTTTTGGTGCACTCAACAGCTGATGGCAAGTGTGATGAGAATGCACCTTTATATCATGGACAGTTTCCAGTAGACCCTGAAGAGGCATCTGTGGTTGACCTCGGCTGGGCTGATGCAGTGCGAATCCCATCCCATTTTCCTATCTGGCTTCCTCTGCCGTGGGTCTGGCTGGGATTGCCTTCTCTGCAAGGCCTATGTGTGGTGCCAGGTCCCGGTGAACCAGGCTATGTAGCAGAATCCTGCACACACGTACTGCACCAAGCTCTCCTGTGTATTGGCGTCCTGTCCTCCTATGGTAAGACCACCTCATGATTCAGCATGGCCAAGGGGCGTGAGCTCTGTGCTGGAGAGCATGGGAGGGGAGGCTTCTCAGGGGTGGAACGATCTGAGCAAAGACGACCCTAACAGCTTCGGTGATCCTCCTTTCTTGCCTTGCTTTTAGCACACATAAACACATGTCGCCTTACATAAATAGGATTGAACCATCCAAACTCCCCGCTCCCGGTGATCTATATTAACCTAGTGTTGTTTTCTACACTTTCCAATATATACATATTCCTATGGCCTATATGTTCATATAGATAGGTAATTAGCACATGCACATGGGGGATACCAAATATTGGTCAGCAGCTTCAGAGTATGTCAGTCTGATCAGTCCAAGATAAAATTCCTATCAACTTTTCACCGAGTGCTCTGACCCTCTGCTCATAATGCAGCCTAGGTCCATTATTCCGAGAGATGTTACAAAATGGCGATTTCTAGCTCTGTCATTCCTTCTGAAATAATTAGCTGGAATTCTTGGATAAAAGCAAACTGCCTTATGAACTGTTTGGTTGCCCTGAAATATGATTTGTTCAGGAAAGGCAGAATAAATGTTGGCTTCTTTTTCTGTATCAATTTTCAGAATAATGAACTGATGCCCTAGTGTTCTCCAACAGTGACCAATAATTTTTTTTAGTGCAATTGTTAATTCATGGATTTTGTGTATTTTATGTGTTTCAATACATTGCATTTATTGTTTTTTTAAATACTCAAATTGTTCCAGCTCACATCAGTGGGAGCCCTTTTAAGTTTTGGCTCCTGTGGCCAGTTTTAAATTATTTTGCTGTTCTTTCTTGTCCTGAGGGCATATTCCGCCAAGTATGTACAGTCAAAATACTGCCTCTAAAGGCCACCAAAGCCATTCTTTCTCTGTGAGACTCTGCCAGCTGATTAATATACATTAGGTTCATTATACATATCTTTCTATTTCTGCATGCTTGACAATTTCCATAATTTTAAAAATGTATGACTTCTTCAACAATTCCTCTCTTAGGGTTCCATCCTGTAGAAATGAAAGCGTCAGCATGTAAGGACATATGTGTAAGGATGTTTCTTGCAGCCTTGTGCAGAGTGACCTGGAACCAGGAAAAAGGGATGCTCGTTAGTAATTTTTTTAGTTACATGGCCCAAAGTTAAACCTATAAGAAGGTAATCTCAAGCAGTGTAGTTTCTGTTCTTGCTAACCATTTTTATTAGTTTTCTTTAATTCTTTTCTTTTCCTTTTTTTGAGGCAGGGTCTCCCCCTGTTGCCCAGGCTGGAGTGCGGTGGCAGAATCATGGCTCACTGCAGCCTGGAGGTCCTGGGCTCAAGGGAACCTCCCACCTCAGCCTCCCAAGTAGCTGGGACTACAGGTATGTGCCACCACACCCAGCTAATTTTTAAATTTTTGTAGAGACGGGGTCTCAATATGTTGCCCAGGCTGGTCTTGAACTCCTGGAGTCAAGCAATCCTCCCACCTCAGCCTCCCAAAGTTCTGGGATTACAGGTGTGAGTCACCGTGCCTGGGCATTTTGCTTTTTTTTTTTTTTTCCCAATATTTCCTTGGGATGGATTTCTAGAAGTGAATTTACCGAGTCAAAGGGTAAAGCATATGCAATTTTTGTAGATATTGCCAAATTCCCTTTCATAAAGGTCGTGCTGTTTTGCATTCTTTTTTTTTTTTTTTTTTTTTTTTTGAGATGGAGTCTTGCTCTGTCGCCCAGGCTGGAGTGCAGTGGCACGATCTCCACTCACTGCAAGCTCCGCCTCCCAGGTTCACGCCTTTCTCCTGCCTCAGCCTTCAGAGTAGCTGGGACTACAGGCGCCTGCCACCATGCCCGGCTAATTTTTTGTAATTTTAGTAGAGACGGGGTTTCACCTTGTTAGCCAGGATGGTCTCGATCTCCTGACCTCGTGATCCGCCTGCCTCGGCCTCCCAAAGTGCTGGGATTACAGGCGTGAGCCACCACGCCCGGCCTGCTGTTTCGCATTCTTAACAACAATATACGAAGGTGCCTGTTTCCTCCACCCTGATCACAGAACGCTTATCATAGCTGTGAATATTTGCCGATCTGATAGGTGAGAAATGGCACCGTAGTATGGCTTTAATTTGCCTTTCTCTTATGAGTGGAGTTTCATATTTTTTCATACCTTTAAGGGTCATTTGCATTCTTTTTTGGTGAATTATCTGTTGTGTCTTTTATCAGTTTTTTCATTCAAGTTGTTGGCCCTTCAATTTTCTGGTGCTTTATACATTCAGGAAATTAGTCTTTTGTCTGTAATACAAATTGCAAATATTTTTTTCCAGTCTTTTGACTTCGCTATGTTGTTCTTTTTAATTAATAGACTTCATTTTTAAGAACAGTTTTAGGTTTACAGAAAAAATTGCCCAGAAAGTACAGAGTTCCCAAATACCCTCTCTTCTCCCTACACACAGCTTCCCTTATTATCAGCATCTTACAAATTGTACACGTGTTACAGTTCAGGAGCCAATATTGACATAATTATCAACTGAAATCTGTAGTTTACATTAGGGTTCACTCCTTGTCTTGAACAATTCTATGCATTTTGACAAACGCAAAATGTCATGTATCCACTGTTATCATGTCGTGTGGAATCGTTTCATTGCCCTAAACCCGTCCTGGGCTCCAACTGTTCATCGCTCCCTTCCTCCCTTCCTTGCCCCAACTCTCTGGAAACCACTGATATTTTTACAGTCTCTATAGTTTTGCATTTTCCAGGATGTCATATAGATGACATTTGTCGGAAATATTTTCTGACTGGTTTCCTTCCCTTAGCAATATGCAATTAAGCTTCCTGCATGTCTTTTCGTAGCTTGATAGCTCATTAATTTTATTTCTGAATAATATTCCATTGTATGTAATGTATCACATTTACTTATCTATTCACCTACTGAGGGATATCTAGGCTGCTTCCACATTCTGGCCATTATGAAGAAAACTCCTATAAATATCCATGTGCAGGTTTTTGTGTGGCTATAAGTTTTAAACTCATTTGGATAAATACCAAGGAGCATGATTGCCAGATCGTATTGTAAGAATATGTTTAGCTTTGTAAGAAACTAACTGTCTTCCAAAGTGGCTGGACCCTTTTGCATCGTCACCAGCAGTGAATGAGGGCTCCTGTGTCTTCACATTCTCATCAGCATTTGATGCTGTCAGTGTTTTTGGTTTTAGCTATTCTAATAGATAGGTAGTAGTATCTTATTTTAATTTGCTATTGTCTAATTCTATATGATATTATGCATATTTTCATATGTTTATTTGCCATCTATATCTTCTTTGGTGAGATGCCCACTTATTTTGTTGTTTGTTTTCTTATTGTTGAGTTTTAAGAAGTTTTCTTTTTTTGGTATATGTTGGGTATAAGTCCTATATTTATTTATTTTACAAATATTTTCTCCCAGGCTGTGGCTTGTCTTCTCATTCTCTTGACAGTGTCTTTCACAGAAGTTTTAAATTTTAATAAAGTCCACCTTATCAAAATTTTCTCCTATAGCTTATGCTTTTGGTGTTGAAGCTGAAAGGTAATCACCAAGCCCAAGTTCACCTAGATTTTCTTCTATATTTTTCTCTTTATATTTTTGCATTTTGTATTTAGGTCTATGATGCATTTTGAATTAGTTTTAGTGAAAGGCGTAAAGTCAATGTCTAAATTCTTTTTTTTTTTTTTTTTTGGCATGTGAATATCCAGTTGTTCTAGTATTATTTGTTGAAAAGGCTATTTTTATCCCATTGAATTTCTCTTACTCCTTTGTCAAAGATTAGCTGACTAGATTTATATAGGTCTATTTCTAGACTCTATTCTTTTCCATTGATTGATTTGTCTCTTCTTTTACCAATACCACCTTGTAGTGATTACTGTAGCTTTGTTGTAGGTCTTGAAGCTGGGTAGTGCCCTCTGACTTTGTTTTTCTTCAGTATTCTATTGGCTATTTGAGGTCTTTTACCTTTCCATATAAACTTTTGAATCAGTTTGTTGATAGCCACAACATAATTTTCTGTAATTTTGATTGGAATTGCATTGGACCTATAAATAACGGTGCAAAGAACTGACATTTTAACAATTCTAAATCTTTGTATTTATGCACATGGAATATATCTCCATTCATTTAGCTATCCTTTGATTTATTTCATTAGAGTTTTGTAGTGTTTCTCTTATAGGTTTTGTGCATACTTTGTTAGATTTATACCTAAATATTTAATTTTGGGGGTGCTAATGTAAATGGTATTGTGTTTTTAATTTCAGATTTCACTTGTTAATTGCTGGTATATAGGAAAGCGATAGACTTTTGTATACTAACCTTGTATCCTGAAAACTTGCTGTAATGACTTATTAGTTCCTGGAGTTTTATTATCAGTTCTTTGGGATTTTCTATATAGATGAACATGTCATTTGCAAGCAAAGATGGTTTTATTTCCTCCTTTCCAATCTGCATATCTTGTATATCCTTTTCTTGTCTTATTGCATTATTTAGGACTTCCAATATGATGTTGGTTAGAGGTAGGGAAGGCAGACATCCTTGCTTTGTTGCTGATCTTAGTGGGAGAGCTTCTAGTTTCTCATCAAGTATGATTTTAACTGTAGGTTTTTGTAGATGTTCTTTATCAAATGGAGAAAGTTTCCCTCTATTTCTAGTTTCCTGTGAGTTTTTATCATGAATGGATGTTGGATTTGTCAAATGGCTTTTCTGCATCTATTGATGTGATTATATGATTTTCTTTTTTAGGCTGTTAGTGTGATATATTAATTGATTTTCAAATGTTGAACCAGCTTTGCATAACTAGAATAAATCCTACTTAATTGTGGTGTATAATTCTTTTTATACATTGTTGGATTTGATTTGTTAATATTTTGCTGAGAATTATTGCATCTACATTCATGAGAAACATTGGTCTGTAGTTTTCTCTTCTTGTAATATTTGTCTGGCTATAGTATGCTGGTAATGCTGGCCTCAGAATGAATTAGGAAGTGTTCCCTCCGCTTCTATTTTCTGGAAGAGATTGCAAGGAATTGGTGTAATTTCTTCCTTAAATGTTTGGTAGAATTCACCAGCAAATCCGTCTGGGCTTGGTGCTTTTCGTTTTGGAACATCCTTAATTACTGTACAATTTCTTTAATAGATATAGGCCTATTCAGATTATCTGTTTCTCTTTGTATGAGTTTTGGTAGATTGTGTCTTTCACGGAATTGGTCTATTTCATCCAAGTTATCAAATTTGGGGCATAGAGTTGTTTATATTCTTTTATTATTCTGTTAATGTCCATGCTTATGTTATTTTTTGCCATGTAAAAGTTTTTTTTAATATAGTCAAGTTTATAAATGTCTTTCTTTCACTAATTCTGGATTTTGAGACATGTGGCTGCTTCCTGGTAGTAGAGTAACTTACCCATGTTTTCCTCTGGGATTTGTGTGGCTTACTCTGGTATTTATCCTGTAGTATAGTGTGATAAGCAGATTCAATTGTATCTTTTCCCATATAGTTATTCAGTTGTTCAAACATCATTTATTAAAAATTGTTTTCTTTCTTTACTGATTTGAGACATTACCTTCATAGTATGGTATATTTCCTTGTGTAGTTTAGTCTATTTCTGGATTTTTGATTTTATTTAATTGGACTATTCATATGCCAATACAACATTGTTTTAATTATAAGGATTTTACATTATGTTTTAATATCTGGTAACCTCCCCTTTCCAACATACACATATTACTCTTTTTTTCCACGGGATTTTCCTAGGTA
This sequence comes from Homo sapiens, assembly GCF_000001405.40. Taxonomy (NCBI): domain Eukaryota; kingdom Metazoa; phylum Chordata; class Mammalia; order Primates; family Hominidae; genus Homo; species Homo sapiens. The sequence goes on from NC_000018.10 coordinate 63,012,247, forward strand.
TTCCTGCCTGATATTTCTTCCATATGATCTTTATAATTAACTTGGCTAGCTCCAGGAAAAAACAAAAACAAACCCCAATACCACATTGATTTTATACATAAATTAGGGAGAGTCAACATTTTTAAGATAGTGAGTCTATTCAAAAAAATACGTGTCTTTTCCTCAAATGTACTTTCATATCTTCAGGAGTATATAATAGTCTTCTCATATGGGTTTTACACATTTCACGTTATGTTTATGTCAAGCTATTTTACTTAAAATACTTTTGACATTATAAATTGATCATTGTTTAAATATATAAAAGCTATTGTTTTCCGGATGCTAAGTTTCTGTTATTTGTAATGAATTCCTTTATTGCTCGTAGTAGTTTTTCCATTAATTTTTTGTTTCCCAGATATATAGTCATGTCATCAACAAACAGAGATACTTTTACCTTTCAGTTTCCAGTTATTATTCCTCTAATTGCTTTCTCTTATTTGATTTATTGGTGGTTATCCCCAATGCAGTATTGAATATGGACATGTGGCCTACCTTGTCTTTCTTCTATTATTATTATTAGTGAGGCTACGTATAGTGTTTCTCCATTAAGTAAAATGTGGTCTTTGGGCTGAATTATATAGAATATATACCTTTTAAAAGTAAGCTTTGTATTGAACATTAACACACATAAGGAACAGTGCACAAATTATTCGTTTGCCAGTAAGAATTTTCATGAAGTTCACACACTTGTGTAGCCCGCACCATTACTATATGTCCAGAAGCCTCCTTCATGTCTCCTCTAGTCACCACCCATACAAGGGACCACTATCCTCCTCACTGCCAACACTACAGACTACTCTTGCCTGTTTTGGACTATATAAATAGGATCATCTTCTTTTCTTATTTGCCTTTCTTTTATTTGACATTTTTTTTTTTTTGTGAGATCCACCCGTATGTAATGTGTTAAGTAGTTTGTGTTTTTCATTGTTGTATAGTATTTCATTCTGTGGATATACAACCATATATTTATCCATTCTACTGTTAATGGACATTTGGGTAATTTCTGCTTTGGGATTTTTATGAATGCCATTGCTATTCACATTCATACTGAATTTCTGTTGGATTGTTACCCAGGAGTGGAATTTCTAGGCCATAAAGCATGCATACTCTCAGCTATAGGAGACATAGATAAACACTATCTGTACCGAGTTATGCTCTCACCAATACATTAGAGTTTTAGTTGCTCCAAAATCTCATCAACCTGTGGTACTCTGTGTTGTGTTTTGTTGCCATGTCTTTTTGTAGTTTAATTTTGATGTTGACCATCTTTGGATGTGTTTATTGGTCATTGGGGTATATTCTCACGTGCGGTCCCTGTTCAAGTCTTTTGACCACTTTTCTGTTGAGTTGTTTTGGTTTTTTTTGTTTTTTATTTTTGAGATGGCGTCTCGCTCTGTTGCCCAGGCTGGAGTGTGGTGGCACGATCTCGGCTCACTGCAACCTCCACCTCCCAGGTTCAAGCGATTCTCCTGCCTCAGCCTCCTGAGTAGCTGGGACTATAGGCATGCACCACCACACCCAGCTAATTTTTCTATTTTTAGTACAGATGGTGTTTCATTGTGTTGGCCAGGATGGTCTCGATCTCTTGAGAGCTGTCTTTTTCTTATTGATTTGCAGGGCATTTTATACATTGTTGAGTGTGTGTATTACACATATCTTCTCTCACTCCAAAGCTTGCCCTTTCATCTTAATGTGATCTTCTGATAAACAAAAATATTTTTATTTCAATTAAGTCTAGTTTACCAATCTGTTTCCTTAAGGTCAGTGCTTTGAGATATTGCCCTATGTTTTCTTCTAGGTGGCTTAGTATTTGATCTTTTCCATTTAGATCTACAACACAGAATTGATTTCTGTGTGTGGTGTGCATTAGGTGTTAAGACATATTTTGTCTGCATAAGGTTAACCAATTGACCCAACATCATTTTTTTAAATGGCCAGGTTTTCCTCATTCTACTGCATTGTCACTACTGTCATCAATTAGATGACCTTGTGTGTAAGCCTGTGTCTAGACTTTCTATGTTGTTCCATTGGTTTATTTGTTCTTATGCCTTTATTACACTGTCTTAATTGCTGTAGTTTTATAACAAGTCCTTTTTAAAAAAAATTGTGGTAGAATGCATATAACAAAATTAACCATTGTAACCATTTTTATGCATACAGTTCAATGTCAGTAAGTGTATTTGCATCATTGGGCAACCATCACCACCCTCCATCTCTAGAACTCTTTTTATCTTTCCAAACTGAAACTCTGTATCCGTTAAACAAACACTCTCCATTATCTCTCCCCTAAGCCTCTGGCAATCACCATCCTACTTTCTGTCTTGATAAGCTTGACTAGTCTAGGTACCTCATATAAGGAGAATCATATGACATTTGTCCTTTAGTGACTGGCATAGTTCAATTACCATAATGTCGTCAAGATTCATCCGTGTGGTAGCAGGTGTCAGAATTTTTTCCCTTCTAAGGCTGGATAATATTTCACTGCATGTGTACACCACATTTTGTCTACAGACACTGGGGTTGCTTCCACCTTTTGCTATTGCAAATAATGCTGGTGTGAACATGGGTGTACAAGTATCTGTTTAAGTCCTTGCTTTCAATGTTGTGGGGTATATACCCAGACATGGAATTATGTAATAAGCTTTGATATCTGATAATGTAACTCCTTTAGCGTTCTTCTTTAAGTAATTTTTAAAAAATTTCCCCATGAATTTTTAGAATCAGCTTGCCAATTTAAAAAAATCTGGCATTTTGATGGGAATTACTTTAAATCTATAAATATATTTTGGAATAATTGACATTTTTATACTTTTGAGGCTTTCATTCCATGAACGTTGCAAATTCCTCTGTTTACTTAGATCTTTAATTTCTTTCAATGATGTTTTGTATTTTCAGGGTAGGGGTCTTAGACATATTTTGTTAGATTTATTCCCAGGTATTTGTATTTGATGTTTTCTTGATGCAGTTGTAAAGGTGTCATTTAAAAAACTCATTTTCTAGTTAAGCTTGCTGGTGCAGAGAAACTCAATAGATCATATATTATGAATTCTTAGCAACTTGGTTCATGGGGCGGCTCTACCTGATCTTCGAGGACACAAGTTTAAATCTCATAATGACTGTAATCTCTGTTAATTTATCTGCTTACTGAATTTTGTGAAGTATGTTAAGTGGCCCAGATAAAGACAGGGTTTGCCTGGTCTGTGCTTCACCAAAAATCACTGGGGTTGGTGTTAGCGGTGGTCACACACTGTGAACAAACGCTGGGTTCATGTCTAGGATCCAATTCTAGTGGGTTATTCCAAACCAATGGTGTTTATGCAGAGAGCACAGGCAGGAGGTGGGACCCAGGAGCCAAGGCACATGGAAGAAAGGGGCTGTTCTTGGCCGGGACAGGAGGCTGGGGCTGGGAATGATGTGAAGGCTGGCTCAGGTCTAATTTGGGAGGTGCTGGTAGTAGAATGCGCCTGGGAAAGGTGTGGACGTTTCATGTTGGGTCAGCTGGGGCCATGGAGCAAGACCTCCCAGGGTGGTGGCCTCTATGAAGGGAAACGTCTACGATGGCCACCGATGAGGAATGAGAGGGAATTGCTTCTAAACTCCTGTGTTCTCTATGTCTAGGACGGTGCCTCTGACTGTACACATATATCCTTTTTCTTTTTCTCGCTCTCTTTTTTTTTTTTTCTTTTTTTGAGATGGAGTCTTGCTCTGTTGCCCAGGCTGGAGTACAGTGGCGTGATCTTGGCTCACTGCAACCTCCGCCTCCCGGGTTCCAGCGATTCTCCTGCCTCAGCCTCCCGAGTAGCTGGGATTACAGGCACATGCCACCACGCCCGGCTACTTTTTGTATTTTCAGTAGAGACGGGGTTTCACCTTGTTGGCCAGGCTGGTCTCAAACTCCTGACCTCAAGTGATCCCCCGACTTGGCCTCCCAAAGTGCTGGGATTACAGGTGTGAGCCACTGCGCCTGGCCCTGCACGCATATTTTCTGGAAAAAGTACAGAAGATTTATTTCATGTTAAGCAAGGGGAATTTTTAGGTTGCATAATTTTAAGAAAGTCTTTTTCACAAGCAATAATAAAAACAGTAAGAATAGGAGTAATGAAGAAAATTGAGAAGAAACGACGCGAAGGTTCTCACAGTTTGTCATGAAGCCACTAGGGGGCAGGGGAAGACAGCTATTTGGAGCCGCTGAAACCCATAGCAAACCCCATCCTTTTTTTTCCCACCAAAGGAAAGCTTGAGTTAAAAAAAAAAAAAAAGTATAGCCCAAACCAAAAATGGCTTTACTATTATCAAGAATTTCTAGTTTTGTGAGGTAGCATATATTTTTTATTTAGAGTGTTGAGCATCAAATGCAACTCTAGCTTTAACTTGAAATTCAGGCTGGGCACAGTGGCTCACACCTGTAATCCCAGCACTTTGGGAGGCCGACGCGGGCAGATCGCTTGAGGTCAGGAGTTCAAGACCAGCCTGGCCAACATGTTGAAACCCGGTCTCTACTGAAAATACAAAAAATAGCCGGATGTGGTGGGCGCCTGTAATCCCAGTTACTTGGGAGGCTGAGGCACGAGAATCGCTTGAACCCAGGAGGTGGAGGTTGCAGTGAACCAAGATTGTGCCATTGCCGACCAGCCTGGGTGACAGAGTGAGGATCCATCTCAAAAAAAACAAAAAAAGAAAGAAAGAAAGAAAGAAATTCAATGGGTCAGACAGAATTCAAACTTACTGTTTAGTACTGTGCTTCCTGCTTGACCATAGGAATATACAAATACATATATATTGTGGTCACTCTCCTCAAAGAGTGTTTGGTCAAGTTCGGAAAGTGAGGAACAGATAGTGGACATTTAAAGTGGACACAGCTGCTTTCTTGGTCACTGCCATTTGATTTTGAAGGATCCTAAACCCAAAGTATGCCCAAGGGAATCAGCTTCAGGTGCAGCTTTGTTCTGGTCTCAGAAAAGTTTGAAATTGTTGCTGCATGATGGATCTTTTCCATTGGAACTATTCCCGACTCACAGAGCACAAAGACAGACAGTAATGTTATAGTGAACCACTGCCAGGTGCAGTGGAGAAGCACAGTCAGTTACCTCTGCTGGCCCTTCACAGCTTGTGAGGGCTTTTTAGTTAATTATCTTATGCAGGGAATTAAGCATTTAATGTGACCCTCCTATGGATTGAATTACAGCACCTTTTGACCCTAAGAGTCTATGATATCCCGACAATCTTATGAGGTAAGGATGAAATATAACATCCCATTCAAAGAAGCTGAGGCTCTGAGGGCTGGCTTCTCCAAGTTCATTCATGCAACAAATGTTTATGAGCTCTGTGATAGACCTGAGGAATATTAAGGAGCTCTCAGAATAATAGAGGAAAGGGACATATAAGCTTCAGAACAGAGTGTGATGTGAGGTGCCATGGAGATGTGTGCAAGGTGCCATGCAAGTAGTGAGGAAAGGTTCCAAGACTCAGCTGATGGAAAGTGACCTGTGGCAGCACAGAAGTGGTGACTTTTTAATTGCCTTAACTATCTCCAAGACACCTGGCAAAAGCAAAATTGAAACCACTATGAAGGGACATGTCTAAGATCCAAGCTGCACAGAATTCCCACAGAAGACAAAACAGAATAAAACAAGACCATCTCTGAAAGAGAATTTTATAATAAAAAATTATGAAACACTAAAGTATATATTCCATCATGAGTGAAAGTAAGCATTCATCCCAAACATGGTAGCTTTCAGATAATAAAATGCTCAATTGAAAGAGTATAATATAATATGCTTAAAGTAAAAACCATAGAAGAGAGGCTAACTAAAGAGGACAACTATGACCAGGTGGATTTGAAAAACAAAAAACAAAATAGAACCTCTAGAAATGAAAAATAGGACCTCTAGAAATGAAAAATAGGACTGTTTAAACTAAACACTCAGTGGATGAGGTTAAGCAGCTGCTTAGACACAGCTAAAGAAAGAGTTTGTAAATTGGAAGATGGAGCCAAGGGGAGATAGGGAATATTAAAAGAAACTTAAGAGACATGGGGGTAGAATAACAAGAGCTATCATATCCCTAATAAGAATTTTAAGAGAGAATAGAAAAAAATAAGATGATGGCAATTCTCAAAGAGACAATGGCTGAAATTTTTAAAAGAATTGATAGGAGATATGATTCCACAGGTTCAAGCAGCAAAGAACCCTGAAATAAAAATAAAGGCACAGCTGGACACATGAAAATAAAACTGTAGAATAGCAGAGAGGGAAAAAGGGGATTAAATTTATCTGGATCAAGAAATGAGAGAGAGAGACAGAGAGAGAGGGAGAGAGCTTATCTACAAAAGAATGACATTGCTAGATTAACAACAGCCTCCTCAGTATCTACAAGAGAAGTCAGAAGACAAGGCACAAGCTAACAGAAAATAACTACCAGTGTAGACTTCAAAACCTAGTTAAACTATTTTTCAACTTTAAGGGCAAAATACAGTCCATCCTCTGTATTTGCAGGTTCCACATCCATAGATTCAATCAACCATGGATTGAGAATATTAAGAAAAAAAAGACACAACGATACAACAGAAAAAAATACTGATTAAGAACAACACATATAAAAAGGAGGATATGCATAGGTTATATTCAAATACAATGCCATTTTATATAATGCATTATAACATCTGTAGATTTTGGTATCTGCAGGGAGTTTTGGAATATTCTGCAGATACCAAGGGAGAACTGTAAAGAAATCTCTCTCTCTCTCTCTTTTTTTTTTTTTTTTTTTTTAGATGGAGTTTCACTCTGTCACCCAGGCTGGACTGCAGTGGTGCAATCTTGGCTCACTGCAGCCTCCACCTCCTGGGTTCAAGCGATTCTCCTGCCTCAGCCTCCTGAGTAGCTGGGATTACAGTCAGAGGCCACCATGCTCAGCTAATTTTTGTATTTTCAGTGGAGATGGGGTTTCACCATGTTGGCCAGAGGTCTTGAACTCCTGACCTCAGGTGATCTGCCCTCCTCAGCTTCCCAAATGTGTTAGGATTACAGGTGTGAGCCACCGTGCTTGGCCTGTAAATAAATCTTTAATCAAATAAAAATTGTGAGTTTACTCCTAGCAGGTCCTCCCTGAAAGAAACACTAAAAAGTGTACTTTACAGAACAAAAATAAGTTGAGTATAAAAGGAATGAGTAGAATGCAGGAAGGCTCCTATTTTCCCAGTCATTTTTCTCCCTCCACCTCCTATCTCACAGTTAAAAGGGACTGGTGAGGAGAATGTACACCGGATGGCGATGGCAGGAGAACACAATGGGTCCTTCTGTCGTCCAACTGTCCCGACACTCCCCTGATCTTTGTCTACAGGGCTCACTGTGTTCTGAACACCTCTGGCTGGGGTCCACCTCAGCCCTCCCTCCCAGGGCTGAAGGTGTACGTGGCATCCACAGGGTCCCTAAACTGCATCAGAGGAACTCTAAACTGTGTAGACTGCTCAGGCTCGAGAGATAGCCATAATTTCTGGTTTGGCAAGGGAATCTCCCAGATGTCTTCTGCTATCTCCCCAGCAATATCCCATTCATAGAGGATGCTTGACTTTGGGTTCCCTTTGAATCAGACTCTAAGACAAGATTCCAGATCATGTCGTTTATTTGAAAGATAAGACCCCAGGAGATGCTGGCAGGGGAGTGGGGAAGTGAGACAGGAAGAGAAGGCAGCCAGTAAAGCCTGTGTTATCCATTCAGCTACCACTGTGGGTGACTGAAGCTTAATTCCACTTGGGAAACTCTAGAAGCCAGTGTAGAACACACACATCGGAGTTTTTACCTGAAAAGCAAGGGAGCTGGGGTATATATATATACCAATTGTCAATCATCGTTGGGTGGCTGTTCCCAGGGGCATCAACTCCCTAGCACTTCAGGCAGTGGCACAGGTAGCAAAGGGAGCTCCAGGGCAAGAGAAAGTCCTCAGGCCATGTGCTGGCAGCTACCATGGGAGCCTGTCAGCACTGAAGAAGAAGGACAAGGGAAGGTATATTGGAATCTGGCAGCATCTACTATACCCCCTTAATTCAATACCTTTTGGGCAAATGCACTTTTTTACAGGTGAAGAGAGAAAGACCCCAATAAACTCAGGGCAATAATTGGTTGTCTTCCTCATAGATAATAAGTTCTTTAGAACTTCCTATTTCTTACTGATATTTTCCAAATGAACCCCTGTCCCCAGCTCCCAGTTCTCTGGCAAACATTGGGAGGGGGTGCAGGCAGCCTGGAGCTTTTCACAATCACTAAAGTGACAGAATCTAAAAACGCCCAAGTGCGTGATTTGGCCACTGGCTTTGCTAATGGCCTAGCAGGCAGTCCAGCAGGTGGACCTGTGCTCCGAAAACCACACAGGTGCAGCTGGCTCTGAAAACAGCAGGTGATGAATTCCAAAGAAGCAGGAAATCCAGGGTACTTCAACTTATCACTGACTTAAAATACAAAAACGAGGACACACGTTTATGTTACTGATATTTGCCCAGACTTGAGTACTATAAAAAGAACTGGAGAGAAATAGAATTAGAAACATACCTTTTGGCACTCCTAAAATAAATTGGAATAAAAAGCCTTTGAGAGTGACAGGAAGAGAACACTGGGGCAGATGGCATTGCACTCTGTAATTTAGCCTTGGCCATAACCACAGTTGGGGTGACCTGTCCTAGCTCATAGAATAACTTTAATGACCCTGTTCTTTCCCTTCTTTTGTTCATTTCTATGGCCTACAATTTTATTTTAAATGCATGGTATTTTATAAAGTCTGTAATAGCTTGGATATTTATTATTCAAAAGGAAGGTTGAGTTAGTTACCTCACCTGTAAAGTAAAGATGCTAACCCTTGCACCTCATTTCACCTTCCTCTTGCTCAAGAGGCAGGATCTCAGTTGAGAGCCCTGTATGTCTTGGCAGCTGTAAATGAAACTAGTTAAAAAAATTTATGAATTTTCCCATTTTTACTAGAAAAGAAGAGAATTATATCATCAATGCTTCTGTCCCTAAACCGAGACAAGCCACATTACTTGATGAGAGTCTTGTTATACTTCATTATCAATTTTTCAGCTTTCCATCATCCATTCCACCCATTAATCTATCATTTCATCCACCTACTCATTATTCCGTCACATCCAGCCAGCCAGTCAGTCAACCAACCGTCCTTTCTTCCATCCCAAACTTACTTCCATTTATCCATCCAACCAACCTAAGAATTCCCCTGTCTTCTTTCTGTCCTTTGTCTTCCCTTCTTTCTTTTCTCCCTCCATCCCTTCTTTTCCACCTTTTTTTCATTAGTGCATCACAATCTATCAATCTATCTGTCTGTCTATCCATCCATCCATCCATCCATCCATTTATCACAACCATCCAAAACTAATTAATATCACTGGTCTAAGTACTAAGCTAAATAAGCATTGAAATACAGAGTTAAAATGGTCTTACCGTCAAACAGTTTATCCTTTAATAACATTTTTTAAAATCTAGGAATGGTATCTATTTTTTCTTCTGTTTATTTAAATGGAAATAATTTTCTCTAGAAATATTTGTGAATCTCCTCACATTTAGTAGTAAGGACATTTGTGGGGAAAGTGAAAAGTGAATTCTTGAGAATTGTTCTGCGATTCAATGTGGGGGCCATCAAGCAAGTGGCTTCCAAGGGATGCTTCCCTGTTTAGCGTTTCCTTCTGTGGGTTTTTAAAAATCACCCAGTTTTGTGGGTGAAAATAATATTTCAGTGTTTGCTTTTTGTGAATGTGGCCCAGATTTTCTTTTGGGTTATTTCTTTTTCTTTTCTTCCTTTTTCTGGGAGCTCTTTATATATTAGGAAGATTAGGCCTTGTTTTTTATATGAATTACAAAAATTTTTTTTTCATTTGACATTTAAAAATTTAGCATATAGTAGTTTTTTCATTTTCATGCAAAAGGTTTAAAAATGTAGTGGAACATGTTAGTCTCTTTCTGTATGCTCCTGGATTTCGAAAAGGGGTGTTCTGGAGAGAGTATACCCTGGGCCTCTGCAAACCCATGGGCTCTGGGAGCCCAGAACTGTGCTGCGTGCCGTCCTGACCAAGCACCTGCTCCAGGTGACGGAGGGCGCTGCAGCTCCTTGGATTGGCTGCCTTCTCCTTTTCTTTTTGTTGAGCTTGGTTTCATGGGAACAGGAGCACTGTAAATATCTCACAAATCTATTTCAGAGGGAACGGAATTAGGAGTGGGCTTATGTCAGAAAAACAATACTACCAGGCCTCAGAATTCTGCGCCCTCCCTGCCCCTTCCCGCCTACCGCCCGGGAGGTCTCGCCTTGGGCTGCAGTGTGCGGACCGGCCAGAGGGGGCAGCACGGCCCAGTGGCAGGAGGTGTGCCCCGAGTGCGAGGGGGTCTTGAGCGCACTGCACGTGCTTTCGACTGCACTGAGCACAGCTCGGTAAATTACAAACTACGTCCTACCGAAGCAGATCCATTCGACCTCCCTCAGAAAGGAAGGATGCATGTGGATGATGCGTCTCACTCTTGTACTCAAGGGATCCCCACTCCTCAGCCTCCCAAAGTGCTGAGATTACAGGCGTGAGCCACCGCGCCCGGCCTCAGAATTTCATTCCTTTTGAAAATTCGGCAATATTCCACGAAATATATGTACCATGTTTTGTTTATCCATTCAGCTGCTGATGGACATCTGGGTTGTTTCCACCTTTGGGCCCTTGTAAATAGCTGCTATGAATGCTGCTGCGAACCCTGGTGTACATGTATCTGCTTGAGTCCCTCCCTCCAGCCATTGGAGTGCACACCTCGTAGTGGAATTGCTGGGTCTTATGGTAATTCTTATTTAACTTTCCGAGGAACTGCCAAACTTCTTTTATTTTTAAACAGGAGATTTATTTTTCCTCACTCAGGATCCTGGGCACACATCAGCTTGCTCATTATTTCCCTGGGCCAATGAGCAGGATTTTTCCAGCCTCTTCTCCCTGGTGCATCGCCTTTCTAGGGTCTGGTTCATGCAGGGGCTCAGCAATCTGTCCCACCTCACACAAACCCAAAGCCACACCCCATGAAGGAGAGGACATGTGGCATTTGCTCATGGATCTGTCTTCTCCTTATGTTGACTTTGCAACAGTCTTTGACCCAGCAGCCCGCCTCTTCCTTCTAGAACCACTTTCCACTTTTATTTCCTTCATCGTTTCTCCATCTCTAACAATATAAGTTGTGAGGACAGGGACATTTTCTCTCTTGTTTTCTATTGCAGCCTCCCAGCACAAAATGGTACCTGGCACACAGTAGGTGCTTAGAAATATTTGGTGAATAAGAGAAAGTGCTAAATCTTTTCTATACGTCGTCTCATTTAATGCTTATAACAACTCTATGAAGGGATAATTATCCTATTTTATACTCAAAAACAGGACCAGAGAGTTTAAGTAACTTCCCTAAGGTAACATAGCTAGTGAAATTCCTGTGCTATGTGTTATCCAAACTATAATAGAACAAGCCTGCACCATCTTCCCTGAAGAAAGCTGTTACTCCTCCAACTGCCCACTGGCTGTTCTGGAAAACCCCAGGAATGCTGCCCCTGCGATGGGTGGGTCCCTCCCTGAGTCCTGGGTCTGTACTCAAAGGTTCCCATCCTGTCCCAAAACTGTCCTCCTCTGTGCCCAGAGGAAGGGACCTGGTTCTCCCTTGACTACTCCATCCTCAGCAAGGACCTTCTCCTCTTTAACTTTTTTTTTCTTTTTCTTTTCTTTTTTTTTTTTTTTTTTTTTAGATGGAGTCTCACTCTGTCACCCAGGCTGGAGTACAGTGGCTCGATCCCAGCTCACTGCAACCTCCGCCTCCAAGGTTCAACTGATTCTCATGCCTCAGCCTCCCAGGTAGCTGGGACTACAGGCCCCCACCACCACACCCAGCTATTTTTTTTATTTTTAGTAGAGACTGGGTTTCACCATGTTGGCCAGGCTAGTCTCGAACTCCTGATCTCAGGTGATTCACCAGCCTAGGCCTCCCAAAGTGCTAGGATTACAGGCATGAGCCACCATGCCCAGCCAAGGACCCTCTCCTTTATGTCCCACAGCAATGCAGAGGTCAGGCAGTGACATTTAATAGGACTTTATTCATAGTTTGAGGCTAATGAAAGCACAAAACTGAAAAAAAAAATGACAAACATCCTTGGGCTCAGATCCATCCCAGGGCTCCTCGCTGGGCCACGCTGGCCTCCCAACCAGCCTGGCCCCCAGGGCCTTTACAAGCCAAGCAGCTCACCCGCCTCCCCAGCACACCCCAAGCATCTCTCTCGTGTTAGTCCGCTCGGCCTGTCATAACAAATTACTACAGACTGGCAGCTTAAGCAATGGAAATGTATTTCCTGGAGGCTGGTTCTGGAGGCTAGATGTCTGAGATCAAGGTGTTGGCAGGAATGGGTTCTTCTGAGGCCCCCCTCCTCAGCTTGTAGATGCCGCCTTCTGCCTGTCTTCGCGTGGTCGCCTCTCTGTGTGTATCTGTGTCCTATCTCTTCTGCTTATAAGGACATAGTCACATTAGATTAGGGCCCATTCTGACAACCTCATTTTAACTTAATTGACTCTTTAAAATCTCCACTTCCAAATGCAGTCACATCATGAGGTACTGCCAGCTAGAACTTTAATATATGAATTTGGGGGGGCAGGGGGCCTAGCCAGCCTGTCGCGACTCAGCAGAGAAGTACGTTTGCCCTTTCCCGGGAGTGTAGGGTACTCTGCCCCCATGTCACGGTAATCTTGTTGGCCTCTTCCAAAGACGACTGCCAGTGGCTCTATTTGTTTGTTTCTCCTTATCCAGTGGGGAAAATTCTCGAGTCACATGGCTCTGTGTAAAACAATGGGTGTCTGGTGGGGGATGACGGGCTAAAAGGGCCCACCAAACTGTAAAGTTGCAAAATTCTGTATTTCTAAAATATTTCCAGAGAATATCAATTAGGAGACGATATGGAAAGCGGGGAAGGGTCAAGAGACAGGTTGCTGAAAATAGAAGCCCATCCTCAGTCCGGAATTCTGCCTATCCTAGAGGCTAAGCCTCGCATTTCAGCCCTGTGGGTGGAGCTGTTGCCCATCCTGTGTGAATAGAGTACCTGGCTTCGTGGGTATCAATCCAGGACCACAAAGCACAGCTTTCTTTCTCTCCTGGAACCTTAAATTGAGGTCTGTTCTGTACTCGTCTGTGCGCCAGGTCTTGGCAGCCTTCTCCGGACCTTGGGGCTCTTTGAGTACTTACAGTCTTTGTTCAAATAAGCAGTCTCCTGACGGCTGGCCCAGATGTGGAGCCCACATCTGGAAGCTATCCCTAGTCTTGGCCCAGGCATTCAGGCTTAGGCGATGTGTGTTTCAGGTACAACCACACCCTGCCTGTTGGTCCAAACATAAGGGCCTGTGCAGGGCAGAGGTCTTGGAGGCTGGCGGCTGGCTTGGAGACAGTGTATTAGGTTAAATCCTAATGGGCAGTCATTTGGAAATATACAGGGACCCCCTGCCAATGACTTCATGCTGTGTTCCTGTCCTACCATCCTTCCCTGTTTTTTCTTGGCAGGGCTCGAAGTGCCAGGCCTGCCACAAGCACCCAGCAAGCAACTTCCCTTATCTCTCTGCAGCTTGCTGGTGGGGCATTTATCTTGGCCTATGGGTGGGGAGTGGTTATCCAAACCTCAGACTGAGTCTTCCAGTTGGGAGTTTATAGCTGAGACGTATGGTGCAGGCATGAGGGAGAAATATCCCTACATCACAAAGTGCTGAGTTTAGGAGGGTTCCTATACTTAAGGAAAACTGTGCTACAAAGCCCCAAATGCGGCACAGCTTGCTTCAGACCCACAGCACTTTTCCAAGAAAGGAAATACCCTGTTCATCATCCCCAAGAAGAGCAAGGACCAAGAGGGGTTTATGTGCAGGAAGGAGGGTGGCATTGCTGGGAGTTCGTCTGAGTAAATGCTTGTTTCAGGAGCTTGTGTCAAGCAGTTAGCGCCTGTTGATAGATTTCGGGTATGACAGGTCCAAGGAACCAGGATCCTCACTGAACCTGTCTGGCCTGACCTACGATAGATTTTTTTTTTCCTTGAATCAACTTAAAAGTTTCTCAAGTAGAAAATTTTAAAAATACAGATAAAGGGAAAAAAATCATTCCTCAAATCTCTACATCATAGATGCCAATGTTCACACTTTGGCTTATACACTACTATAATGGACTGAATGTTTATGCTCCCCCCAAATCCACATGTTGACATCCTAACCCCCAGGTGATGGTATATGGGAGGTGATCAGGTCGTGAGGTGGAGCTTGCACAATTGGCTTTTGTGCCCTTATAAAAGAGACCTCGGAGAGCTGTCTTGGCCCTTCTACCACCTGAGACACAGTGAGAAGAGCTGTCTGTGAACCAGGAAGAGGGCCCTCACCAGACACCAAATCTGCTGGCACCTTGATCTGGGACTTCTCAGCTTCTCAAACGATGAGAAATACATGTATGTTGTTTATAAGTCACCTAGTGTATGGTATTTTCTTACAGCAGCCAGGGATGGACTAAGACAACTGCCAGCCTTTCTCTTGTATGTATGAATAAACACTTTTCAAAATAATGACAGGGAATTATTCTGAAATATTATTTCCTAACCTGCTTTTCACTTCACAGATGGTAATAATTTTCTTTTCTGTTTTTTTGTTTGTTTGTTTGTTTTTGTTTTCTTTTTTTTTTTGAGATGGAGTCTAGCTCTGTCACCCAGGCTGGAATTCAGTGGCGTGATCTTGGCTCACTGCAACCTCCGCCTCCCGGGTTCAAGTGATTCTCCTGCCTCAGCCTCCCAAGTTACTGAGATTACAGACGTCCACCACCACATCCAGGTAATTATTGTATTTTTAATAGAGACTGGGTTTCACTATGTTGGCCAGGCTGGTCTAGAACTTCTGACCTCAGGTGACCCACCTGCATCGGCTTCCCAAAGTGCTGGGATTACAGGCGTGAACCACCACGCCCAGCCACGATAATAATTTTCCATGTGAAAAATGGTCTTTTCAGAATCACTGCTGCCTCTTTTTTTGGGGACCGAAAATCTGTGGAGACAGTTTTAGTTGTCATAATAATGAGAGGTGGGAGTGGGATGTGGTGGCAACGTGCAAATGACATTTAGAAGACAAAGGAGTGAAAAATTAGATGTCCTCCAAAACTCGAGTCCAGCCCCAGTTTTGAACATCCTAATGGACATTCATACAGGTAAAAAAAAAATTTATAATGATTTGAAACCCAAACCTAACTTCATTTTGCATATAAGCACGAAGCTTTTTGGTGTGGTTTTAGTATACACTAAATTTTCCAGCAATGCAACTAATAGTGTGTTTAGACCTTTTACTGTGAAATGTTGACTCAACCACCTGGAGAATCTCGTCAGCAATGGCAATGCCAGTGACAGCAGCTCAATCAACATCACAACATCACACCACCTGTATATAGGTGTGTGGTGGTCACTGTATCTGTGATGACTATACATAGAGGTGAATATACTTATTTAGCCTTCTATTTCTAAACATCATATAAATAAAGTGTCTACATTTAGTGGAACATTGTCTTATTCCTACTAAATCTCAACTTATTTAAAAGTAGATTCAAGCATCTGACTTCTTCATTGTATCTTCAAATGTAGTTGTGTCTAAAAATTGCAAATTGACACTGTGATCTCTTGGCAATGCACACTTCTTCTAAGCTCTGCCTTCTGCCTCTGGGGCTGGAAACCTCCAAGTTCCAGCTCCTAGATTCCTTCCCATCTTGCCTCACTTGAGGGTCTGCCAGTAGGAGACACTGGCTTCTGGTTCATCCTGGATCTTATGCTATGAAGGATGGCAGCCACAGCCTGGCTACCAGCGACTCTGAGTAACACCATTTCTGTTTTTGCTTCTCCAGTTCTCGGGGGTAGTCATTCCCTATAGTTACTAATCCTGGAAAACCCTACCTTCATCGATTTGCTCTTCCAGCCTTTCCAAAATCTTTGTAACCAATTCTCTACATTAACTCTCCTCTGAAATACCTACAGTAGTTGTTTTTGTGACTGGACATATATGGATAAAAAATGCATAGGTTTTATTCTATTTGAATTGTTTCTATTATGGTCAGGCCATTGTGTACATTCTTTTAAAAAATTATGCACCTGAGTAAATATATTATCTGTGAATTTAATTTCAGGGTAACAAAAGAGGGGTATTACAAAATATTTATTACTATTATAAAGGGGTGTTGAGCTTGACAGAGTTGAAAACCACTCATCTATGTCATCCTTTTTAGTGACTTCCTTTATCTTCTTACACCTTCCCCTGTTGTTTGACATTCAGGTTACTGCTCACATGTCATCCCCCCATTTATACCGTATTAGTTACTTGTTGCCTTCCTCCACCAAAAGATAAGCTTTATGAGGGCAGCCATTTAATCTGTTGCGTTCACCACTAGACTACTAGTATCTGAATATGTTAGCTACTCAGTAGATACCAAATCAGTACTTGCATATGTTAATTACTCAATAAATATTTTAAAAATAGATGGATGAATCTTTCAGATCTTGGCTTTGACATTATTTCTTCCTGTAAGTCTTTCCTGACATGCCTTGGTCAGATGAAATGTCCATCCTTGTGAATAAAATGATAGCAGAATTGTGGATGAGAACCAAATAACAAGCAAACAGTAACACATAGTATCCAATCAGACCATAGAGAGGTTATTAGAGTCCAAACAAATGATGAAGGAAATTGGTTACAATATGGGTAGGGGCACATCTACCCAACTCAGGTAATAAAGAGGTGAAAAGGGTTTGATTAAAAAGTGGATAAAATAGAAACACGATGCACTGGTTGAAGACTAAATCCCAGTTGAAAAGCGTGGCTTTGGGTTTCTGGTTGATGGAATTGGTTCAGTATATTCACCCATGCTTTGGTAGGGTCAGTCATGCCCACATCCCACTCAATCTCTGACCAATAAGCAATTTCACTGTAGTCCTGAAACTTCATCCCAGTCTTATCAGTGCTGTTCCAAGTGATAAGAATCTGTCCTCTCTACTTAAGTGGCTTTACAGTTCTAAGATTATATTAATATAAGCAGAGAAATGGTGAAGGAAAACAAACCTGTGGTATTAATATTTTGTGTTAAGTTTATTAATAAGTTTTATAATCAGGATAATCTACATAATAAATAAGGGGTAGAAACAATATACATTTGAAGCTCTGATATATCAATTTTGGGATTTCAATTTGAAATACATCATTGGTATTAGACCTGCAATTTTAATTCATAAAGTATAAGATAATTTGATTAAATTTTAAAACAGTATTTGAATGTTTAAGAAAAACTGACCTGAAATAAGTATGGTGTGTGTGCCTGTAATCGCATCTACTCAGCAGTCTGAGGCAGGAGGATCGCTCGAGCCCAGGAGTTTGAGGTCAGCCTGGGAAACATAGCAAGACCCTGTCTATAGAAAAAATAAAAAAAAGAAAAAGAAAATAAAAACTGGCTCACTATGTTTATAAGTTTGATTTGCAAGAGTTTCTTAAGAGTTTAGAAGATTTTGTTTTGTAAATCTGTCCAGTCAGGCATTAAAAATGTTTAAAAGAACATAATTATGTTTGTAAGTTGTATTTAATTGTTTTTTCTTTTCTTTTTTTTTTTTTTTTTGAGACAGAGTCTCGCCCTGTTGCCCAGGCTGGAGTGCAGTGGCACAATCTCAGCTCACTGCAAGCTCCGCACGCTGGGTTCACGCCATTTTCCTGCCTCAGCTTCCTGAGTAGCTGGGAATATAGGCGCCCGCCACTACGCCCGGCTAATTTTTTGTATATTTAGTAGAGACAGGGTTTCACCGTGTTAGCCAGGATTGTCTCGATCTCCTGATCTCGTGATCCACCCACCTCGACCTCCCAAAGTGCTGGGATTACAGGCGTGAGCCACCGCGCCCGGCCGGCGTATTTAATTGTTTAGAAGACTTTAACTATTAAGCTTAAGTTAATTTAAGATTAATCAAAGAACAAGTGAATATCATATTTCTTATTTTTGGACAAAAATTACTAGATTTATAAGTAGGATACAATTTGTAAATTAAACACAAGGGTGTAAGAATATTTACGTTTAAAATTTTACTATTAATAAATTGGTTATTAATTTTAATAATTATAATAAATAGGCCTGTTTACAAACTCTCTGCAATATAAAAATAATTCAGAAGATACTCCCCAAAGAGCATTAGAATTTTTTGTTTAATTTTCCATCTCCCCAGTTTGTCTCTAAATTCTTTAATTTTCCTGGAAAAATCAACTCTCTTTGTGTCAAACATATTTTTATGTTCTTTGTGTAATTGATCCTCTCCATTAATACACAATAATCCAGTTTTTACCACTAATATGGTTTGGCTGTGTCCCCACCCAAATCTCATCTTGAACTGTAGTTCCTCCAGTCCCATGTCATGGGAAGTACCCACTGGGAGATAATTGAATAATGGGGTGGTTACGCTCACGCTGTTCTTGTGATAGTGAGTTCTCATGAGATCTGATGTTTTTATAAGAGGCTTTTCCCCCTTTGCTTGGCGCTTCTCCTTCCTGCTACCATGTGAAGAAGGATATGTTTGTCTCCCCTTCCACTATGATTGTAAGTTTCCTGTGGCCTCCCCAGTCCTGCAGAACTGTGAGTCAATTAAACCTCTTCCTTTTATCAATTACCCAGTCTCAGGCAGTTCTTTACAGCATGTGAAAGTGGATTAATACACCTACTTATTGTATCCTTGGTCTTCTATGATCCTGAATTAACAATAACATTGCCCTAAGCCTGCAACAATAAGATGTATATAGGCAGTCTTCACAGCTTCCCTTAAATTCTGTTTTCCTTCAAGAATACCTGGTAACTTCTTCTAGCAATATGGCAGTCAGGTACACAATGACTGTCCTCACTGGAACAACTAAAATGGTTTTTAAAAAATTTTAAACCAAATTTTATAAATGATTATAAGTGAGGAATACACCAAGTCTAAAAATAAAATAAAATCAAGACCTCTGGGAGGTTAATAAGTTCCAAAGCTAGCTTTTCCTCTAAGGGTTTCCACCAGATCTTAAGATTTCACTTTGCAAGTACCTTGGGTGTAGGGGGCTGGAGATAAAGCCCAGATTCTGCCCAAGGAGGGAATATAATAGGAGGCCCCCATATATAGCTGGGACTTACACTGCATATGAGTGAGACATAAGCCCCACTGCACAGAAATTTATAGCAAAAAATTTGCTTTTCTCAGCCTTGCTGACAGGTGGAGAAGGAAAAAAATATATCCCTTGAGAATTTGCAACCATATGCCAGCCCTCATGCAAGATTTTATCTTAACTAACCACTTGTGTGATCTGGAAAACATCAAGCAGACTTTAAATTAAAATCCTTTGTTTGTAGCATCTCCAGATGATTCACAGAAGTAAGCGACCTTCCTAAAGAAAAAAAAACATAATTTAATTCAGTTCTGCAAGAATTCCCACAGGTAAAGTTGCAAAGAATATAAGTGGCTTAAAAAATTATGAAATTTATGAGGAATCAAGTTACTATGAATGAGAAGAGGCAGAAACAACAGATAGTAGAAATAGATCTTTTAAAAGTTCACATACTTATTTTCAGATAAAGAATACTCATTATCTACATCTAATATGTTCTTTTAAAATTAAAGATTTATAATCCCATGTAGATTTCAGGAAAAAAATTAAGTAGAAGCTTGGAAATTTGGACAGAAACATGTGGATTTAAAAACAAATCTAGTAGATCGTCAATAAATGAAAATTATAGCAATTACATACATATTACATTATAGCAATTATATATATATATACTTTTTTTTTTTTTTGAGACTGAGTCTCGCTCCGTCACCCAGGCTGGAGTGCAGTGACATGATCTCAACTCACTGCAACCTTCATCTCCTAGGTTCACACAATTATTATGCCTCAGCCTCCTGAGTAACTGGGATTACAGGTGTCCGTCACCACGCCTGGCTACTTTTTGTATTTTTGGTAGAGATGGGTTTTCACCATGTTGGCCAGTTTGGTCTTGAACTCCTGACTTCAAGTGATCCACCTGCCTAGGCCTCCCAAACTGCTGGGATTACAGGCGTGAGCCACGGCTCCTGGCCACAATTACATTTTTTAGAAAGATCAGCGGAGTAACTAATTAGGTAACAGCTAACATGGGTATTTGTTAATTGGAAGATGGGTGTGAAACAATTTAGAATGCAGTCTAGGGAAATAAAGATCAATGGATGAATGGATAAAGAAAATGTGGTGGCCAGGCATGGTGGCTCATGCCTGTAATCCAAGCACTTTGGGAGGCCAAGGCAGATGGATCACCTGAGGTCAGGAGTTCAAGACCAAGCTGGCCAACATGGTGAAAACCCATCTCTACCAAAAATACAAAAATTAGCCAGGCATGGTGACACATGCCTGTAATCCCAGCTACTTGGGAGGCTGAGGCAGAAGAACTGTTTGAACCTGGGAGGTAGAGGTTGCAGTGAGCCAAGATCATGCCATTGCACTCCAGCCTGGGCAACAGGAGCAAAACTCTGTCTCAAAAAAAAAAAAAAAAAAAAAGAAAAAGAAGAAAATGTGGTGTTAATATAAATACACAATGGAATACTATTTGGCCATAAAACAATAATGAAATCCTGTCATTTGTAGCAACATAGATGGAACTGGAGGCCATTATGTTAAGTAAAATAAGCCAGGTACAGAAAGACAAATATTGCATATTCTCACTCGTATGTGGGACCTAAAAAAGTTGATTTCATGGAGGTAGAGAGTAGAATGATAGTTATGAAAGGCTGGAAAGGATGTGCATGGGGGAGGAAGAGAGGTTGGTTAATGGGTTCAAATATACAGTGAAATAGAAGAAATAAATTCTAATGTTTGATAGGAGAGTAAGGTGACTATAGTTAACAATCATGTATTATATATTTCAAGATAGCTAGAAGAGAGAATTTAAAGGTGTTCCCAACACATAGAAATGATAAATACTCAAGGTGGTGAATACCCCAAATACCCCGACTTGATAATTACACATTCTATGCATGTAACAAAATATCACTTGTACTCCATAAATATGTACAAATATGTATCATTTTTAATTTTTTTAATTTTAATTTTAATTTTTTTTTTTTTTTTTTAGATAGAGTCTTGCTCTGTCACCCAGGCTGGAGTGCAGTGGTGCAATCTCAGCTTACTGCAATCTTCGCCTCCTGAATTCAAGAGATTCTCCTGCCTTAGTCTCCTGAGTAGCTGGGACTACAGGCGCCCACCACCATGCCCAGCTAATTTTTGTATTTTTAGTAGAGATGGGGTTTCACCGTGTTGGCCAGGCTGCCCTCAAACTCCTGACCTCTGGTGATCCACCTGCCTTGGCCTCCCAAAGTGCTGGGATTACAGGCATGAGCCACCGCACCCAGGCTAATTTTTTTTTTTTTAAATTAGGCAACATATAGAAGATTGAGTATATATTCTCTTCACAGTAATAATACACTGTAAATGCATAACAGAAATATAACTAGAAAAATTCCAAATGTTGGAAAATTAAGCAACATGTTTCTACAACCTGTGGTTTAAAGAAGAAATTACAGTGGAAATTACAAAAAATGATATAGAAAATATAAAGCAAAGGTTAAGAAAGATGGTGTACAACATGAGAATGTTTAATACGTGTCTAATCTGAGTCCTTAAGTAGAAAACAAGAATGAAGAATAGATAGCATTCAAAAAATAATTGCTGAAAATTTTCCAAAACTTTTTGAAATATACAAATCCTATATCCATCATAATAGAGCTAAAGAGTAGCAAAGGAAAGGACAAAATCTTTTTTTTTTATTATTATACTTTAAGTTCTAGGGTACATGTGCACAACGTGCAGGTTTGTTACATATGTATACATGTGCCATGTTGGTGTGCTGCACCCATTAACTCATCATTTACATTAGGTATATCTCCTAATGCTATCCCTCCCCCCTCCCCCGACCCCATGACAGGCCCCAGTGTGTGATGTTCCCCTTCCTGTGTCCAAGTGTTCTCATTGTTCAATTCCCACCTATGAGTGAGAACATGCGGTGTTTGGTTTTCTGTCCTTGCGATAGTTTGCTGAGAATGATGGTTTCCAGCTTCATCCATGTCCCTACAAAGGACACGAACTCATCCTTTTTTATGGCTGCATAGTATTCCATGGTGTATATGTGCCACATTTTCTTAATCCAGTCTATCATTGATGGACATTTGGGTTGGTTCCAAGTCTTCGCTATTGTGAATAGTGCCGCAATAAACATACGTGTGCATGTGTCTTTATAGCAACATGATTTATAATCCTTTGGGTATATACCCAGTAATGGGATGGCTGGGTCAAATGGTATTTCTAGTCCTAGATCCTTGAGAAATCACCACACCGTCTTCCACAATGGTTGAACTAGTTTACAGTCCCACCAACAGTGTAAAAGTGTTCCTATTTCTCCACATCCTCTCCAGCATCTGTTGTTTCCTGACTTTTTAATGATCGCCATTGTAACTGGTGTGAGATGGTATCTCATTGTGGTTTTGATTTGCGTTTCTCTGATGGCCAGTGATGATGAGCATTTTTTCATGTGTCTGTTGGCTGTATAAATGTCTTCTTTTGAGAAGTGTCTGTTCATATCCTTTGCCCACTTTTTGATGGGGTTGTTTGATTTTTTCTTGTAAATTTGTTTGAGTTCTTTGTAGATGCTGGATATTAGCCCTTTGTCAGATGGGTAGACTGCAAAAATTTGGAAAGGAGAAAACCTCAAAAGCAGCTAGAGAGACAAAAGAAAGATCACCCACAGCAAAGTGATCATTTGACTTACTACTGATTTCTTAGTCACAATAATGGAAGCCAGAAGACAGCAGAATACGTTGTCAATATGTGAAAGAATTAAAATATCTTATAAGAAGGAGACCAAAATAAAGACATTTTAATATAAATAGAAACATAAAGAGTTTATCATAAAACAACAACAACAAATCTCTGACTAATGGAAATTCTAAAGGATTTATTTCAAGCCAAAGGAAAGTGACTTCACTTGATTGATAGTAATATCTAATTTGTTTTTTTGTTGTTTGTTTTTTTGTTTGTTTTGTTTTTGAGATGGAGTCTCACTCTGTCGCCCAGGCTGAAGTGCAGTGGCGCGATCTGGGCTCACTGCAAGCTCTGCCTCCTGGGCTCACACCATTCTCCTGCCTCAGCCTCCCGAGTAGATGGGACTACAGGCGCCCACCACGCCCGGCTAATTTTTTTTGTATTTTTACTAGAGAAGGGGTTTCACCGTGTTAGCCAGATTGGTCTCCATCTCCTGACCTCGTGATCCGCCGGCCTCGGCCTCTCAAAGTGCTGGGATTACAGGTGTGAGCCACCGCGCCCGGCCTAATAATATCTAATTTGTAGGGAAAGGTAAGGATTAAATAACGGGCAAGAATAAAATATAAGTGGGGAGGAGCATGACTGTAGTTAAGGCTTTCTAAAGTCCTCAACAGGAGCATAAAGTTATTAATTAACTTTAAATGTTGTTAGCATGCTTGTTTGTCCTAGAGTAACCACTAAGAAAAAGACATATTGCATCATACTTTCCAAATAAGTGGAGGTGGGAGGAATGAAATAAAGAAAAAAAAGAAACATTTTAAAGAAGTAAAGAACGAAAAAACTACAAAATAGTAGAACAAATAGAAAGTACAAAATAAGATGTGGATAAAAATCCAGTAATTACTATAAATGTAAAAGAACTAAACTTTCTGGTAAAAAGGCAAAAATCGCATGGCTGGATTTTTTGTTTTAAGTGTAGGTGTATGCTGTTTAAGAGACATACGTCTTAAGCATAAGAGTACCGGAAGATTAAAAGTCAAGAATAAAAAAAAATCATACACCAAGGTAATGCTAACCCAAAGAGAAATTAAGTAGTGATATCAATATTAACATCAGACTAAGTAAACTTTAAGGCAAAAAGCGTTACTAGCACTAAAGGCCATGACATAATGAATGATGAAAGGTCCAATTTTCCAGAAATATGTAACAGTTCTCAATTTGAATGGAACTAACAGCAGACTCTCAAATGCACATAAATCAAAAATTGACAGCTCTACCAAAGAAGCTACCAAATTCACCATCTCTGTGGGAAACCTTAACATACGAATTTTGGTAAATATTCCATAGACTATACTCTTTAATCACAATTCAATAACTTAAAAACCTTGTGCATTTGGAAACTTACATAAAACACTTTAAATCTGTTAATGTATTAAAAACGAAATCACAATGGAAATTAGAAAATATTGGAGCTAAACTGTAACTGAAAGTTACCCATCAACATTTGTCAGGTGCAGCTAACATGATACTTAGAGAACAATTTATAGTTCTAGATGTTTGTATTAGGAAAGAAGAAAATCTAAAATGTAATAAGCCTAAGAGGCAACTGAAAAATTCCCATCCCCCCTCCGCCGAAAAAATATCAGAATAAGCCAAAAAGGGAAGAAATATAATAAAGGTAAAAGTAGACATTAATGAAATAGGAAATATATATAGTGAGGTTCAACAAAGCCAAAAGCTCTTTTCTAGGGGACAAAATTCCAAAATAAACATTTAGCAATATTAGTCAAGAAGAAAAGAAAACAAACACAAATAATAGTAGGAATTTAAATAGGGATTATAACTACAGATGCCGCGGAGGTTGAACAGATAGGGGAGATTATAGAACAACAGTAATTGTTGTATGTTGTCAGTGATCTTGAGTAAGTCTATTTTCTCCTTTATAAAATGTTTGAATTCGCTCTGATCTCAAATGTCTCCGAAAGCAGTGCTTCTCACAGTTCAATGGGGATTTCATTAAAATGCAGATTCTGACTCAGTGAATCTGGAGTGGGACCTGGGAATCTGCATTTCTAATGAGGGCCACCCCGCCCCCGCCCCGGTGATGTAGATATTGCTGGTCCATATTTGAGTAGCAAGGCCTTTAGACGCCATCATCCCTTACATCAGTATCACTGTCTTTTTAGACCAGTTCCATCCTGTATTTTGTGTTGCCTTTTTGCAACATTCACTCCCAACTTCCCAAATTCTTTCTCATGCCACCCAGATCTAGTAAAGCTAAGATTCATCAGAGTCAAAACCTTAAGTAACCTTTAAGAAGCAGAACAAAAAATAATGTAAAACAACCCCAGGACCCTCTAATTTTACTACAAGCTGTAACTAAAAGGACATCATTGCTAAAAAAAGGACACCTACCATTAAGCCCCCTTCTTTCTTTTGTTTTGTTTTGTTTTGTTCTGTTTAGATGAGCTGATTTACTCTACATTATGGGAAATGGGTGAATTGAAAACTGTCATATAGACACAATAGGTACCAATACTTGACTTACAATGATATACAATTGCATAATGCATTCATTGACGATAAACACTGTGGCAATTTTCTTTTTAAAGAAATTCCACTATATAAGTGGAATTTCTATTTGTCTCCACCCAGTGTTTCTGAGGCTTATCTTAATTATCCCAACATCATTAGCAGTTGAATAAAAAGTCAGTTCGATGTGCAGTGTGAGAGAAAAAAGTCTCCACAATAAAGCCTTCTAAAGCATGAACTTTAACTTCAGACTCCCTTTGTGTAAGTCAAGGAGAAATTGATTAAGTCATTTTGCTTGAGTGCACAAAATGAGAATTTTCTCTTACTCACAATCCCTAACAATAATAAGGGTTGTCATCTTTAATATTTAAGCCCAAGGCTAGAGGAGAAAAGGTATTTATGTACATATATGTACAGTCTGGCAAATATTAGCCATCTGTCCCCACGTACCTGGAACCAAGCAGAAAAATAAAGTAGGTTGCTCTGGCTATCCCAGAAAATGGGTAAGGAGAATTTTTAAATAAAACATGACATATAGTCACTGGCATGGCTGTCACCTGAGTGTCTCATTTCTTACTGCTGCTGCTGGTGCTGTTTGCCATGTCCCACTCCAGCCTGGGCTGGGGGTGAATGAGCAAGAGGAGACATTTGATGGAGGTCAGGACTGTCATTGGAACATTAAAGGCTAGAGGCCTGTGGAAGTACCCAGTTATTTATGCCATCTTCAGATGGGTTCTAATTAGCTGTGCCTCAGCACAAAATTCAACCGAAAACCAAGTAAGCCATTTACCAAGTCCAAAGTGCCAGCGTTCTTCTTGGCATGCACCATGAATCAAATGCACTGTGAAATCTGAGTGCGAGACCCGGGGCCAGGACCACAGAGCACTCAGCTATTGAGAGCATAGTTTTCTAGTTCTCTCCTTTTGGTCATGGAATCCCAGCAGAGACACAGTGATGGAGGGCTGGACAGTATCTATATCACCAATAACATTTGTATCCCAGGGTAGGTGGGAAACCGCCACCAAAACAGAGAAATAGACAAATAATTTCTTCAACCCTAGCACCTCTGTATAAGTTTTTCCAAGGAAATCTAATCTCATATTGAATACTGGGGACTTTTTTGATATATGGTTAAGAAACAGTCTTGCGAACACATTCCCTCATCAGGCTCTCCCGGCTCTCTGTGAGGTAGGATTGCTCCCACACTTTCACAGGTGAGCCCTGAGATCCAGACAGGTTCAGTAAGAGAGGCAAGGCCCCAGGAATTGGGTCAGCCTCTTCATTCAAACCCAGGTCTCTCAAATTTCACAGCTCCATGCATCTGCCCAACACAGCCATGCAGAGATGGCTCTGCTCTTACAAGCGCCAGGGGTCTCAGAGCACAAGTAAAAAAAATTGTACTTTCAACAAATTGCTCTACTCAGTCACGCCTAGGGAGTCAACCTGTTCTTCCCCAGAGGTGTGGATTTTGTGTGTGAAACAATCTAGTCACCGAAAGCTGTTGGACATAATCATCTGTGACTCTCTCCAGGGTTCATGAGAGGACGGAAGCTGTCTGTCTTGCTCACAGATACATCCCATGGCCAGAACAATTCCTAACACTTAGTTTGCACTCAACAAATATCTGTCACTGACGGCTCAAGAGCTACCTGCTCAAGGAATTCATTAATTCTTGGATGAATAAATGAGAGTTCAGGAAAGGACCAGAAAGTATGAGATCATCCCAAGGGTCTGGATTATGATGTAAGCCTCGTTCTTGGAAAGCCCATTCTGGGACAGATGGGATACCCTCATGTATATGGTAGGCCCAGGGGTACGAGATTGTTCTCTAGTGCATTCAATTAGAAAACAAAATTAGGAACATACATATGAAAGCCAATTGTTTGGTATTTTTATCTCTCTCTTTTTTTTTTTTTTTTTTTAACGGAGTCTCACTCTGCCATCCAGGCTGGAGGGCAGTGGGGTGATCTCGGCTCACTGCAACCTCCACCTACCGGGTTCAAGCGATTCTCGTGCCTCAGCCTCCCAAGTAGCTGGGACTACAGGCATGCCCCCTTCACACCTGGCTAGTTTTCACATTTTTAGTAGAGATGGGGTTTCACAATGTTGGCCAGGCTGGTCTCCAACTCCTGACCTCAAGTGATCTGCCTGCCTCAGCCTCCCAAAGTGCTGGGATTACAGGCATGAGCCACTGCGCCCGGCCTATTTTTACCTCTTTTGAGAAGTATTCCCTGAATAACCACACATCAGATTGATCGGTCCCTCACCTTCTCAGCCTATTAACTGATTCACAAAGCAATTCTTGAGCACTTTCAAGAGACCAGGCACTGTGGTTACAGAGGGGAATTAAAACCTCTGGACTCAGAGTGCCTCATGGTGAGCAGATAAGGAAACCAGGTAATGTGATAGATTTCTGGTCAGTGTGGTAGAGGAATGCATGCGAAACCTCCCCTTTCTAATGCCAAATATATATTTGATATATTTATACATGGAGATGATAGAGTATATATTTGAAGGATTAAAATATACAGTCACTAACTTAGCTTCCTGGGGATGTCAGGACAAAAGACCACAAACAGGGCAGCTTAAACAATACAGATGTATTGTCTCACAGTTCTCAAGGCTGGAAATCCAAGATCAGGGTGTCGGCAGGGTTGGTTCCTTCTGGGGACTGTGAGGAAGGCCCGTTCCGAGCTCTTCCCTGGCATCTGGTGGTTTGCTGGAATCTTCAGCACTCCTTGACTTGTGGAAGCACCGCCCTGGTGGTGCGCCCTGTGTCTCCTCACATTGTCTTCTCTCTGGGCATCTCTGTTTCCATAGTTCCCCTTTCGGCAAGGACACCAGTCAAATCCTAGGGTCCACACCCATGACCTCATCACCCCACTGACCTCATTTTAACTTGATTACCTCTGTAAAGACTCTCTTTCCAAATAGGTCACATTCTGAAGTACTGGGAGTTAGGACTTCAACATATCATTTTGGGGGACATTCAACATATCATTTCAGCCCATAACAGTCACAGTAAAAATAAAACAAAACAAAAACTAGATGTAAATCTCTGTGGACCAGGAGTGGAGACCCCTGTCGTGAGCAGGGGCTGAAGCTCTGGGTGAGCAGCCTGGAAGCCAGCAGTGGTGTGAGAAGAAGTCAACCCTATGGAGGAAGGGGGCTGGGCCACCTCCTTGGACAGTGAGAGTCAATGCCAGGTGCCCTGCCTGCTGGAAACTCCAGCCTGTGACCATTCTTTGCCTGTGAATAAAGCTAGAAAAGCTCCCCTCCCCCACTGCAAGGTTGCAGTAAGAAACAAGCAGTTTGCTGGGGTGGAAGGAGGCTCTAGACATGAACACGTGTCTGCTGGAGCCCTGATGTGCCCCAGAGAAGACTGCGCTGAGCTATTGTGGGCATGAATCCCAGGTCTGACCTGTCCTCCTAGGAGGCTGCACGGGAGCACTCAGAAACTTCCAGATACAGAAAGGTAAATGGAGAAGGGCAAGGAAATGTCCATGCAAGCAGAGTGTGCAAACTTACCATACAACAAAACTTACCATACAACAGGTGGGAAAATCCAACAGCAGAACAAAAGAACCAACAAAGCCAATAGCAGAGGGGAAATCATGCCTCCCAAAATAGAAACCAGAGAGCAACCAGGAAGGGACTTTCCCAAAGAGAAAGGAGGGGAAGTCATTCATAAATAGGAACAGGTGTTTACATCAGCAAATCACAAGCCCAAAGATGTTATGTGAAACGTATATGCATCACCTCTCCCTTCTGACACTTCTGATAAAATAATAGTAAGGAAGTAAAAAGGAATAAATCCCTAAGGACAAAGAATATAGAAGAAAACATCAGTAGAGAAGAGAGTTCAATGAAATTTTTCAGGACAAAAATTAGATGGACAATTGTCATTGACTTAGCAGAACTGAGAAAGACACAACCCAAAGTGCACTTAGAGAATGGAATCTACAGTAAGAAGGTCGTGGTGAACCCCAAGAGGTCAGAATGTGGGGGTACCAGGAATGTCAGACAGAGGGGCTGGGATACCCAGTTGAAAGCAGGGTCTTGCGTGGGGAGTCAGAGAATGTTTAACCCTCTTCTGCTGTCTCAGACAGGGTGCTAGCTGCCAGCCACTGCTTCCTGGCAGGAGGCTTGAGATCTATTTTCTGAAGGAACTGAATTGGAGGAGCTTAGCTTAAAGCCATTCACAAAATGGAGATGGGGATGAGGCTGAAAAGAGGGAGAGAATACTCAACGTCTGCCAATGGAATGGTCTTTTAGCCTGAGGGCAGGTCACAAGTAACCCACACCTTCTCTTCTCTCCACTTTCAGGAGATGGGAGGATTTCTCCTCCTTGGATTCCCTGGATAGCTCTAGGGAAAATATCATTTAGGGGACCCTCAAGGAACCATTAACAGATTCCACCTTGCACACAGAGCTTCCATTTAGTCTTTGATGATCTTCAATGCCAGACAACTGAGGTTTTCCAAACACACCAAGAGAACCCTCAACACGAGGAGGCCCCAAGTAAACAACTGCAAAATGGAACTCATGCAGGGAAGAGAGAACATTTAAAAAAATAAAGACCCAAATGCTATCCTTAGAAGCAGGAAACATTGCAGTTCTAAAACAAGGATAAAATGCTATAAAATGGTAACAATCAGAGATGAAGAATGCACCCTTGAAATTTAAAACAAATACAACACCAGATTTTAAAAAATTCACTGTAGGTGTTGGTACACAAAGCTGAGTAAATTAATATAAATGATAAAAAGATAGAAAATATGAAAGAAAAGAGACATGGGAGATTTCTGAAAGTCTGATTCATAGGGGTTTCAGAATGAAAGCACAGAGAAAATGGTCAGAAAAAATAATCACTGGGCACTTTCTAACACTGAGACTTAAATCTCTAGACTGAAAGAGCTGACTGAGTTATCAACACAGCAGAAGGAAAAGACCCACATCAAGGCACATTGCTGTGAACAATGAAGATAAATAAATGTCCCCAAAAGCTTTCCAAGCAGAGAAAAAAGCAGAGCATGGCATCAGACTCCTCAACACAGACTCTAGAAGATAAGGGAGCAATGCCTTCTAAATCTGGAGAAAACAGGAATGTAGAATTTGGCTCTGTGCTAAGCTCACTCACATGTGAGGCAAAATAGATTTTCAGGCACACTAGACTCAGATCTCTACCTTCCTTTCCTTCTGTTATCAGAAGTGGATGATCAAGGAGCAAACCTGGAAAGATGAAGCCCTGGGAGCAGGCAAGACTGGTGGTGAGCTGGGAGCATGGGGAGGAGGATGGAGGAGCAGTGGGCCAACCTGGAGCAGGAGGATGGGGGTTTAGGGAGAGGGGAATTCTGGAAAAAATGGGGGGCTCCCTAGATATCCGAGGGTGTCCACCACCAGGGTGAGAAAAGAGGCAGGCAGATGGTAGAGCTGACAGGGTGCTTGAAACAAAGTAAGTCATAAATAGTCATAAAAATATGACTTAATTTAAAATAGTGATCCATCATAACAGATGATAGATGCCATCTGAAATGGCTAGATCAAGAACTTTAGCATCGACGTGTATTACATAGTGCTGTGCAGGTAATTTCCAGAGCTGCAGCTGAAAGGGTTCAAAGTGGTTGCCTCGAGGTATGAGAACTGGAGTGTGGGGAGAGGGAAAGGAGGGGGAAAGAATCACTGTAATTTATTTCCAGCCCTTGGGCACTATTTGATTTTTAACTCCAAGCATGTATGACTTTGATGAAAAACTTTAAACTAAAGGAAAACAACCCCAATGTGATACATGCTACAGAAATGGGAGTAGAAAGATAGAAGTTCTGACTCCTGTGTGGTGAATGGAAGGGAACCTTCCTAGAAGAGGGTTGGTCAGAATTGTGTGACCCCATACTTCAACCCACTTGTGGTTTCATTCATTCATTCACTCTTCTACCATGCACCAGATACTGTCGTAAGTGCTGGGACTGTATCAGTGCATAAGGAGACCTGGATAGTATATCCGTTTCCCATGCCGTTTCCCCCACTGCTGGGAACAGCTCGTGCTTATGTGTCCTTCTCTTGAATCTCCACATAGCACTTTGAACGATGCTGTACTGACATAGCCAGGAAATGCTGATGAAATTAGTCAATGAATGAATGATGCAACCTGTAGAATCTGTGTGAATGGGCAAGTAGCCATGAGGATAAAGATAATTTTCTGGATTTGAAGTATAAGCAATTTCCCCTCTAATCAAATGACTATAAATTTAGGGAAAATTTAGAAATCCAATATCCCAGACAGAAAGATCCTGGATCTCTTCTTAGCTCAGGAACTATATATTCTTGGTTGTCACTTTATTTATCAGTATGGCAAAAGTCTCATCCATAATGGGACAAATGATAACATCTCATAGCATTGTTATAGGAATCATTTGAGACAGTGCTTTGTAAACTATAGAGCTCTATTAACATTTTAATTACTTTTTCCTTGGGATTATAAGTCAATTTTGCCTCTTTCTTTTAGAATAATGGGAGTTTAGAATCATGGCCTTCATGGAGTCCATCCTCTCATTTGGTAGAAGAGGAGACTGAGGCCCAGAGAAGGGCAGTGGGTTACCCAAGATCACACAGCCAGGCTGCGGCAGTGTTGAGACTGGGATCCACACTACTGAGTTTGGTGTACCTTCTTGTAAGACAGCTCAACCCAGTGTGTCTGCTTTGGGTTCAGAGATTTCAATTCAGAATTTTTTGTAAGTTCTATAATTTAAAAGTGAAATCGTGTAATTTAAAAGTGAGAAAAGAACTAGTCAAGTATGAAAGAATTCAAGGTTTTGCATATCAGAAAGTCCTAAGACTCAAATGAGCAAATTATAACAAGTTAGCTCCTGAGTCCAACAGAGTCTTCTGTCTTATTTCCAGTAAAGTGTTGATCCCTTCTTTCTTGAGTGCAGAGCAGACACCAACAATGTGACTGCTTTATGAGCAAACAGCAGTGCAGTAAAACGGCTGTTCTGGTTTCAGGATACTGTATATAGGTGTGTGTTGATGTTACTATGCTGCATTCTGGAAGGACCTGGGAAGAAATTAAGTTCTAGAAAATGAATTACATCCAATAAAGTCTTTGGAAATCTCATTCGAGGAACTCAATTCCCAAAATCATATGTGAATTTATATATTTTAGGAGGCAATGACAGAAAAACAGCTATTATTTATTGAGCTCTTTGCGATGCCAGGCATGGTGATTAAAAACCTGATCAGTATTATTTCCCCTAGTCCTTTCAACAACCATTTTTGAAATGAGAAAACTAAGGCTCAGAAATGTTAAGTGGCCTTCCCAAGTCAGAGAACAAATAAGTTGCAAGAGTGAGATTTAAACCAAGGTAATGTAGTTTTAAAGCCTGTGTGTTGAGTTCTTAGACTATCAGGCACGGAAGAAAGCTTGTTGCTGACTTAGCGACATGACTTAGAACTTGATAACGTCTCTGGAAGAAAACTAAGAGTGCCAGAATGTTACAGTCTCAAAATATACTAAGTGCTAAAAAATTATAGGAAAGACATGACTTTATTTTTAAAAGTGTGGGTTCTATTTAGCCCCTCATTTGGGATTAGATGGCATCGTATGTTTTTAAGAGAAAATCATCTGCGGACAAGGAAAACATGTATTATTCAAAAGCTTGGGGTAAGGTTGGAGAAAGGCTGGGGAGTCAATGCTGAGAACACCTTTCTCCATGGCAGACTCAGACAGGACTGGGAATAATGAACAACACATCCAATGATTTAAATTCCCACCGGCGCTTAGCAATAGTGGCCCCAGCCTCCAATGGCCCCCTTCAGATATGCTCTCCGGAGACACACAATGGAAGTGCACTTGCCAAACCACAGTGGCTTCGAGATGAGTCTACCAGAGCCTCACCCCACCCCAGCCTCTATAATATATGTCATATGATCTATGAGTTATAATATAATTTTATATATTATATAACACATGTATTATTTATAACTCATGTATAGTATATAATATTTTTACTTCACTATAATTAATATATATTTAATATAATTTTAATGTACCTATATTAAATATATTTAATGTACTATATATTATATATGAAATATATATATAATATATAATGTGTTATAATATTATATATAAATATATAGGAGGAGCTTAGGATTATATATAATATGGTAATAAACCCAGATAAATTATTTTTGGGATATTTAGAAACAAAGCCAATCATCAGAGGCCCATCCTGGGTGACTTAATAACTTGAGTCTTCTATTTAAATCACTTTAACAGCCTGTAATCACAGCACTTAGGGAGGCCGAGGCAGTAGGATCACCTGAGGTCAGGAGTTTGAGACCAGCCTGGCCAACATGGTGAAACCCCGTCCCTACTAAAAATACAAAAATTGGCCGGGCACGGTGGCTCATGCCTGTAATCCCAGCACTTTGGGAGGCCGAGGCGGGTGGATCACCTGAGGTCAGGAGTTCAAGACCAGCCTGACCAACCTGGAGAAACCCTGTTTCTACTAAAAATACAAAATTAGCCAGGTGTAGTGGCGCATGCCTGTAATTCCAGCTACTCGAGAGGCTGAGGCAGGAGAATCGCTTGAACCCAGAAGGTGGAGGTTGCGGTGAACCGAGATTGCGCCATTGCACTCCAGCCTGGGCAACAAGAGCAAAACTCCGTCTCAAAAACAAAACAAAAATTAACCCGGCGTGGTGGTGGATGCCTGCAATCCCAGCCACTTTGGGAGACTGAGGCAAGAGAATTGCTTGAACCTGGTATGTGGAGGCGGCAGTGAGCCGAGATCACACCATTGCATTCCAGCCTGGCAACAAGAGTGAGACTCCATCTCAGAAACAAACAAACAAATCACTTTAACAAACAAACTATAAAGTACTTACCATACATGCCAGGCACTCTGCCAGGCATCCTGGGCAATTCAAAGATGATTTGCCTCTGGCCTGCTTAGAGTGGCTTAGATGGAAAATTCCATTTCATGACCTCTCTTTCCTCCATGTCTTCTCAGACCTGTCTAAACTGGTAAGCGCTGCACCCATTCAGGTTGTGGGTAACAGCTGAGATTGCAGTGTGTGTCCCACACTGGCATCTACAGGGCTCCAAGAGTCTGAGGATGTGGTGGGGGCCATGAGTTCCGTACAATACATATTTTTTGATGCTAATTTTTAAAGATCTTAATAGAAGTGAATGCAGCATCATTTGGTGACCACTCCAAAACTAAATCCCTGCCCAGGAGTGAGGTACCTGCATTTGTATTTACAATCTTTTTGTCACCAAGGAACATATAATTGTCCTGGTCTACTGCCAGAAGAGTGGGGTCTGAAAAGGAGAGATCTTGGCAGACGAAACTGTGACACCACCTTGTGCCAACTGAACACAAAGATTTCAACTAGTTAGAGAAGAGGCAAGGAAATCACTGAGCCATTAGATGCCCCCCAAGAATACAGGGATGTCAAAATTAAACAAAACAACAAAACTGCTGCCACAGCAATGAGTGCTGTTTCATAGAGAGCAGCAATTTAGCTTCAACAAACAAGATCAACAGTCCTGTGAGGTAACATTTTAATTTTGTTGGCTTTGTGATTTGTTTTGTTTGTTTGTTTGTTTTTTGAGACGAAGTCTTGCTCTGTCGCCCAGGCTGCAGTGCAGTGGCATGATCTTGGCTCACTGCAACCTCTGCCTCCCAGGTTCAAGAGATTCTCCTGCCTTAGCCTCCTGAGTAGCTGGGATTACAGGCGCCCACCACCATGCCCTGCTAATTTTTGTATTTTTAGTACAGAGAGGGTTTCACCATGTTGGCCATGCTGGTGTTGAACTCCTGACCTCAGGTGATCGGCTCATCTCAGCCTCCCAAAGTGTTGGGATTACAGGCGTGAGCCACCATGCCCAGCCTGTGATTTGTTTTTGACTTGTAAATTTGTTTTTATAAATCAATGCATAAGAGCTATGAGTATAAAGGATTAAATATGGAGTTTTGTATTTGTAAGCAGCATTACTATAGAAAAAAATTTAAGGCAATAAAGGGGGTCCACAACATATTTTCCCCTGAAAAGGGGTCCAGGCCAGGCGTGGTGGCTCACACCTGGAGTTCCAGACTTTTGGAGGCTGAGGCGGGAGGGTTGCTTGAGCCCAGGAGTTCAAGAGCAGCCTGGGTAACATAGTAAGACTCCATCTCTAAAAAAATTTTAAAAATTAGCCAGGTGTGGTGGCATGCATCCGTAGTCCCAGCTACTCAGGAGGCTGAGGCAGGAGGATTGCTTGAGCTGAGGAGTTCAAAGCTACCATGAGCCATGATGGCACCACAGCACTCCAGCCTGGGCAACAGAGCGAGACCCTGTATCCAAAAATAAAAAATAAATTTAAAACTGTTCATATGTTGCTGAAGCTTAAAAACACTCAGGTGACAGCAAAGGGAACATTTAGCCACACCGGGCATTGGAGGCTGGTTGCCTGTTCACAGAAGCACAGGTGAAAGAGAATGAAAAACTGTTCTGTCTTATATCAAGAAACCCAAGTTACCTGAAGAATGGACTTCAGACCCTTCTCCTGTAGCTTATATAATAATTGAAACAAAACTAGATTTCTCTTGCACACATGTTTTGGCTGACATTTAATTTTTTCATCATATGTTAATATAGTCACAAAAGACATACTTTATGTTGTAAAAATTGGATTTAAAGAACTGTTGGAGTACTCTTTTACATATAAATAACGGAGTCTAAATACCATGAGCGTTGAAAACCATCAACATTGACTTAAAAAGGATGTGGACCTCTGTTGCTTAACTTTCAGAACTGTTTATAATTTCTTTCTCTTCTTGAACCCACATTTCCATTGTACTTCTCCCATGGAATTTTATCCCGTTGCAATATCTTTATGCTTCAAGGCATTAATCAATCACTCAGTCCTGATTCTTTGCCACAGAAATATGCCCATAAATTGGAATTTCAAGCTTTTTAAACTTTCAGTAGCCATAGGGTACTAGGCATTAATTTTTATCTGGACTGATTTATTGCTATAATTGTTATTAGTTTACAATTCATCAAAACAACATAAATATATTTCAAATGTTGACATATAATTATTATATATAAAAGTAAACTGCTGTTGAAAATGTCTCTCTAGATATGGATTTATCTATAGGTGAATATTACTTATTGCTGGAGTAAGACAAGGTTCAGCTTCAATTCTATTCCTAGTTTTCATTTTTACACATGTAAGCTCTAAAAAAATTTTGTTCTATAAATAAATGGCAGGCACTTTGTTACAACAGTGACATCCAACTCTTTGAACTCTTTCCAAGGGATATTCCAAAAATCACCTAATAATCCCTCATCAAAAATTAAAAAAAATCCATCATCGGCCGGGCGCCGTGGCTCACGCCTGTAATCCCAGTACTTTGGGAGGCTGACGCAGGCAGATCACGAGGTCAGGAGATCGAGACCATCATGGCTAACATGGTGAAACCCCATCTCTACTAAAAATACAAAAAATTAGCCAGGTGTGGTGGTGGGTGCCTGTAGTCCCAGCTACTCGGGAGGCTGGGGCAGGAGAATGGCGTGAACCCAAGAGGCGGAGCTTGCAGTGAGCTGAGATCGCGCCACTGCACTCCAAGCTGGGTAACAGGGCGAGACTCCGTCTCAAAAAAAAAAAAAAGAAAAAAATCCATCATCAAAAATTGTTTTTAGTATTCTATCAGGTGACAACTCAATTAGCTTCTCCTTTAATTATAATAAAAGCCAATACACTCTCCCTAAAAAAGGAAACCATCTGATTTACAAAAGATTCAAAAGATTTGTTATTCAATCATTGGAGTCATTTAATTTTCCAACTTTGGGAAAAATAACCAAAAATGATGATTAATTATATCTATTTATTCTTACATTTAGGCATTTTGTTTCACCCACTGTTACCAGAAAGTGTTAGGGAAATCTAAATACTGTTAATTTCAATATGCCTTTGCCAATAGACTATTTTTGATAAAATGCTTTTACCTTATCAAGGGCTTTACATCTATTTTATTTGAGACATTGGAGCTGCTAATTTAGTTCATTTAATTTATGGAAAATGTCTGTCATCCTATGAACAAATTGATAAAGTCAATCCTCATTGTCTAACCAATCAGTGAAATTACTGAGGCTTTCTGTTAGAAACAATCCGCCCTCATTCCTCAATTCAAGTGAATGTGTTAAGATGTGTCTCTGAGACAGTATCTCACTTCAAAGAGTGCTGTGGGATAAAGCTTACAGACTTGCCACCCACTGCATGTGAGTTTCTCTCCTTGCTTGCTTTCTCTCTGGTGGCAAGTTCTCTGTCAATACTTAGGAGATAGAAGAGGAGAAACAACAGTTTAAAACAGTCTGAGCATCTAAGTTGGATTAAAAAACTCCATCTCTGAAGCTATGTTTTCCTTTAACAGAAATATGTGTGACTGCAAGTTTATGATGTTTTGATTAAACACCAATATGTCAAATTGCCCTTGGCTTGATGCTCTAGTCTTTATGTTCTGGGGCACCCACAAGAGGTGCACTTTTCTTTTGTAAGGAGGGAGAAGAGCAGTTGTGAATGGGAGGTTGGCAAAGGAGACCTGGTCCGTTCTCAGCAGGTCAGTATCTGTCAAAATTCTCAAGGAAGTTGCAGATCTGGAAATCTGTTTGCATTAACCCAACTCTAGAGTGCCTACGCCTGTGGAGGCCCACAGACTTTTGAGGAGAGGTACAAAGAGTTGGATTAACAAAAATATACTCCCAGATCCCCAACTTCCCTGGGAGTCTTGCCTGATACTGATGTTCCTCTTGCCTGAAAGAGTTCCTACCACCACCCAGAAGGTTAGCAAAGCAACCCTCCTTTCTATTCTATAGGGTTTATGAATGAGGACCAGAGGCTTCCAGACCCTTCCCTTCACCCCTACCCCAGACCTGCACCCTCTCCAACCACATGCTCAATGTTGGGAAGAGTCAGGTGCATGGTGCCTTTAAATATGAAACTTAGAATGCAAGTTAGGACCAACATGATTAAAATATTCTTTTTTTCTTTTTGAGACAGGGTCTTGCTCTGTTGCCCAGGCTGGAGTGCAGTGGTGCAATCATAGCTCACTGCAGCCTCGACCTCCTGGGCTCAAGCTATCCTCCCCACCTCAGCTTCCTGAGTAGCTGGGACCACAGGCATGCGCCGCCACCCTGGCTAATTTTTTTTTTTTTTTTTTGTAGAGATGAGGTCTTGTCATATTGCCCCTGCTGGTCTTGAACTCCTAGGCTCAAGCAATCCTCCCACTTCAACGTCTTAAAGTGCTGGGATTACTGGTGTGAGCCACTGCACCCAGCCTAAAATATGGTTCTGATTCTAGTAGACAATGAGTTTTCTGGAATAGTAGTGCAAATTTTAATCCAACCTAAAAAAATTCAAAATAATTATTAGTCAATATTCTAATTCACATTGTGGAGGAAAAACTTTTTGCTAGATTCACACGTCAGTAGTTTTATAAGCAGGCGTGAAAACACAGTAGTCAAGAAAAGGAAACCTCAATCAAGTAACAGCAGGAAGCCTTCACTCACTCCACCTCCAGTAGCCTTTAAAAACAGAAACAAGGGGCCGAGCGTGGTGGCTCATGCCTGTAATCCCAGCACTTTGGGAGACTGAGGCAGGTGGATAACTTGAGGTCGGGAGTTCAAGACCAGCCTGGTCAACATGATGAAACCCCATCTCTACTAAAACACAAAAATTAGCTGGGCATGGTGGTATGCACCTGTAATCCCAGCTACTTGGGAGGCTGAAGCAGGTGAATTGTTTGAACCCAGGAAGCAGAGGTTGCAGTGAGCCAAGATTGTGCCAATGCACTCCAGCCTGGGCTGCAGAGCAAAACTCCATCTGCAAAAATAAAAATTAAAAAAAAAAAAGAAAACAGAAACAAGCAACATATGACACACAAAATACACCTCTCCTCGAGCAAAGGCTAGAGCATTTTTCCAAGATGGGTTTTTCTTGAAGTTTGTTTCAGAGGGAGTAGAAAGGCCAGGAATCACCGCAGATGCACTTGAGCCCCACTGGGAAGG
Organism: Homo sapiens; assembly: GCF_000001405.40. NCBI lineage: Eukaryota > Metazoa > Chordata > Mammalia > Primates > Hominidae > Homo > Homo sapiens. Next base: position 63,051,710 of record NC_000018.10, read on the forward strand.
GAGACGGCCTTATCTCGAGCACTGGCTTGGAGGATGGGGGCTGGGAATATGTAGGAGGGAAAAGAAAAGAATGAGCTTGTCAAGTTTTGGTTGTCTCAGTGCTTCTGAAATAGGTGGAAATTATAGCTCAAGTCCCTTCACCATGGGAACATCTGGAATATAAGTACTTCTGTGCACATTAAGAGGACTATTTATAGTTTTCTACGAATGTTAGGGAAGGCAATTATGTAAAATACTACTATATTATTAGGTATCTGAAAAATACCAGGCTTGCAATAACTGTTTGCAAAGATCTAAAAGCGATTCAGACTTTCACAGATCTGTCTTCTCCAAGTCGGTAAGTACTGGTTTATTTTCCTGATGCAGCAACACCACTCAATTTGAGCTCAAGTCTCTGCTGACACCAACAAAGTGATGTCATCAGGCGTGTTCATCCTGCTGGAGTCCTGTTGGTGCTGGTTATACCACTTGAACTGAGGAAATGTAAGCCCACTTCTGGGATTATCTGGAAAATCCTCCAGCACAGAACTGTGGCTGTTTCATGACCAAGTGGAAGAGGCTACAGATTCCCACAAAGAACTACAGGCATGAGGAGCTTGCTCTTTAGACACTGAGGTGTCTTGATTATGAAGACCTTCTGAGGGTGGCTGGCAACTTTCTGACTTTTAAATATCTGTACCTCCTCAACACTGGCAGCTTTTCAATTATATGAGGTTGTCATGTTAGGTTTCAAAGCATATTTCTGTGGTTGTTACAGCCCATGAGCCTGGGGCAGCGATGGTCAAGACTCTGGTCGACACTTGGGAAAAGCCATTGAGATTTGGCCCTTTGATCGCTTTACTGGTTTTGGACAAGTTTTGTTTTAGTGTCTTCCAAGAATTGATGGGAGGTGGGAGGAAAGGCAGGTGAATGCTTTGATGCCTAGGCTTCAGGTGTCTCCATAGCACTTAACACCGGACGGCTGTGTGTGTGCACTCAGCACTTGGAGACGTAGGGTTTTGGGGGCTGACAGGTGCTTTCCTGTCTCTATCTCATCTGGAAACTTTTCAGGGACATGATTAATAAGCCTAGGATTATTTCATGCTAGCTTATTGTAGGGAGATCTGTATAATATTGTAGTGAGGGTTTTTTTTTAAGTAACTAACAATGTAATTATAAATTACATTTTGCTCTAAGTTACAGTTATATGTATATATGTGTTTGTCTAGACAGATAGATAGATAGATAGATAGATAGATAGATAGATAGATAGATAGATAGATGATAGATAGATGGCTCTTTTGCTTTTGCGTGGCTCTGAAGGTTTTATTTTTCAGGCACTTTGGGAAGTGACCTAGTATGATGGAAAGAGCATGGAATGGAGATCCAGGAATCCTGGGTTTCAGTCTATGCTTTGAACTCATTCGCTAGGAGAATTTTCGTAAATTTCCTGGCTTCTCTAGGCCTTGACTGCATCTGTAAAATAAGTGACTTTGATGCTTGGGGATTCCTGGGATCACTCCTACGCCTAAGTTGTTTGTTGGTGAGATAAACCATACTGTTGGTTCATTCAAGCAACACCCCTGGCCAGGGAAGGGCTTCAACCCACAATATGGAGAAGGAAATTAGACAGCCAGGAAGCATGGGAATAGAGATAGACATAAGTACATACGTCATGGTTTTGTTGAAATAAATAGGAAAAAACTGGAAACACTGCCATGGTTAAATAAATGATCAACTGTCATAAGATGAAATAATATGTAATCATAAAAAGTATTATAAAGCATTTAATTATACAGAAAAAATCCTAATATGCATTAAGCTGTCAGAAAGCAGGCTATAAATAGTCTATCCAGCATATTCTCATTTTTGAAGAACAAAGGGGTTAGGATGGGACCGGGTGTCCAGGTAAAAGAATATTTTGGCAAATTTACAACTCAGAGTTGATTTACACATGGTTTTGCCATCATATACTGGAGCTTTTTCTCCTTTGAAATGTCTCCACTGTAATCAAGCAATTTTCTAAAGCAACACAAGACAATTAACAGTTCCTACCAACTCTCCACTCCACTGTTGCTTTAGGAAGCATTTCCCAGGCCTATTAAACAAGAACGTGAACGCTGCTCTCACGCAGAATAGGCGTGTGTTATACTGAGGGGTCCTCTTTTCTTGTCCCTTATTCTTTGAATCACATATTGAGAAACTGCTAGCAAAGAAGAAATTAAATTCCAGAGTAAACCAGTAGAGCCGTGAGAAGAGAAAAAGAGACATGAGAGAAAAGTTGTCTAAATCCTGTTCACTTAATAATGAAATAGAAAAGCGTAGGTGTGGAAGAAGGATTATGGAGCTGTTAGGGAGCTGGTCATCAGAGTGGCAATGAAACCACTGGCTACCAATGGAGAGGAGGAGGAGCACCATGCTTAGAAGGAAACCAGCAACTAGAAAATCCAAGAATGTAGCTTGGAGGCCGCTCATAATGCAGCCTCCTCAAGCATGTGATTTAATTTCATCTTGAACCACCCAAATCCTCTCTTGAATATTAAATTCCACTGAATGGTATTGTTTGCGGAACTCTCGTCTTCATCCACAAAAGAGGAACAAAATTACAAAGGCTGAAAGTAATTACATTTTCAATAACCTGAAGCTACTAATTCTTAAATGGGTCTTCTTAATTTCAGGGCACAGTTTTAGAAATATTTAACTATTATCTCTCCAAACTGCATTTCATTTTAGCAGTTGAGGATTGAGCAATTGATTGGTTATTATTTCTGCGAATCAAAAATATGAGAATATTTAAAATACAATACCCCCACGCTCTAAATCAAACACAAATGCAAGTTAAATGTCTGAGAGAAACTATGTTTCACTTTCCCAACATCATGGCAGACCTGAGTGCCATGTCCTGGCAGTTTAAGGAAAGGTCTGAAGGCCTTTCCTCAAACGCCAGTGAAGCCGGGATGGTTGAAGGGCGCCAGTCCTGCTGGATCCTAGGCTAAGACATGCATGTCCCCCACGTGGTGTCACCTCGTCATTCCTGAGAATCGATGATACCTTCCCTGTGTCAGACACACAAGAACTGACCTTCCACCTTCTCAACTGGAGCCTGAACTTTCTGCTTTTGGACGTATAAGCACAGCGTGACACAGTAGACAAGAAAGAGGGAGGCTTCCTTTTGTAGCCTAATGAATCAGTCTCCCAACGAGAAGACGATTCTCTAAGAAAAAGCCACCCCAAGGGTCCCACTTAATAGTAAATTATTGTTTTAGTGCATCGAATTGTACCCTAGAGGCCCAAAGGAATTACGATTTTACTTTTACAAAGTGATTTACATAGTGGAGTGTAATCTGTCTCCATAAATCTGAAGCCTCTACAAAACAAGCCACTCCTAAGGTAACACAAAGCAAGGCAATTTCAGTTATATAGTTATTTACCACCACTCAGCTCAGCTTCCCTCAGAGTCAAAGATAGAGAAAATAAACACAGGCCTTTTCTTCATTCTGCCACATGAAAGACCATTTTCTCATGTAATGCAAAAAAGGAAGGGGAGTTGCTGTAAGAGAAGAACTCCCTTCTCTCTCTCTTTCTCCCTCTTCTCTTTCTTTCTCTCTTCTCTGTCTCTCTTCTCCCCTCTTTCTTTCTCTCTCTCTCTTCTCTTTCTTCCTCTCTCTCTCCCCCTCCCTCCAGCCCTTCCTCCCTCTTTTCTTCTCTCTCTCCCTAGGCACAATCCTGAGATGCTTTCAGTTTGGTATGTTCTCAGACACTGCCAGGAAGATTTGCAACGAACATGAGTTCTTGTGCCCACAAATGATGGAACAAAGCATGTCTTACTTACAACATAACTGCTCATTTCACATTTATCTGCCTGTCCTTTGGTTTTGCAATTTGATGCATAATTGAAAGGTGAATTTCAGGTTCGATTAGGAGGAGAGTTCATTACCTTGAACACAGAATTGGTAGCTGAAAACAGATTTTAAATAAGGTCAATCTTCTGTGAATTCAAGTACTGTCTTGAGTTCACAAAACTCTTTTCAACTTGAATATTTATTGCGGGTATTTCCCCAAAGAACATTTGTGGAAGTTGCTGCTGCCAGAAGCTGAAAATATAGTTCACTTAAAAGCAGCTTTATTTATGCAACATTCACGCCTGTAATCCCAGCACTTTGGGAGGCCGAGGCGGGCAGATCACGAGGTTAGGAGATCGAGACCATCCTGGCTAACATGGTGAAAGCCCGTCTCTACTGAAAATACAAAAAAATTAGATGGGCATGGTGGCAGGTGCCTGTAGTCCCAGCTACTCGGAAGGCTGAGGCAGGGGAATGGCGTGAACCCAGGAGGCGGAGCTTGCAGTGAGCTGAGATCGCCCCACTGCGCTCCAGCCTGGGCAACAGAGGGAGACTCCGTCTCAAAAAAAAAAAAAAAAAAAAAAAAAAAAAAAAAAAAAAAAGACCCTGTCCCTATTTATGCAACTTGAGAATACTTTTGTAACTATTTTTATTGATTGAATGTTCAGTCCATTTTCTTATTAGTCATGTTCCACCCCCAAAATGAAGAGGGGGGATAAGACGCTGTGTGCGTAGAAGTATCAAGTTGGACAGAACTGTATTTAGAAAGAGATGCTGGAAGTCTGGAAAGGGCTGCCCATCTGTATAGTTGACCTCAATATATGGTCGTCTGTATAGTTGGTCAACTATATATGGTCAACTATACAGCTATAAAATATGGTTGACCACAATAAGGCACTGATTAAATTCAAAATCATAAGATACACGCACTCAGATTTATTCAGACAAATTGTTCCTCTTCCTGAAAGATGTTTTTTTAAGTCTGAAATTTCAATAAGAAAAGGATTCTAATCATTTCAAAGATCTTTTTTTAAAAAAACCTTCTTTCCCCTTCCCACCTCCCCCAATCCTTCTTAGTATATAGATGAAAACTCCAGCCACCCAGCCCCAACTTGACAGGTTCATTTTGTCTCCACCTGGGTTGTGCAATATGGTAACTTCTGTCCTTATGTAGTTATTAACCACTTGGAATGTGATTAGTCCCAATACAGAAGCTCTGTGCACACCAGATTTCTAAGACGTGTACAACAAAAGGAATGGAAAACATCACATTATATTTTAATATTGATTATGTGTTAAAATGATATTTTTTGATATATTGGATTAACAAAAATCTTAAAATTAATTTCTCCGTTTCTTTTCCTTTTTAAAACATGGCTACTAGAAATTTTTAAATTACACCTAGGGCTGGCGCTGTGTCTGTATTACACTGTGAGAAAATATACGGGCTCCTTAAAGGGAAACATCCTGAACATTGTCACCTACTCCTCCCCCTCTCCTTCCGCTGATGTCCCTCCCTCCCCAGCATGCTGCCCTCTTCCCATCCTCATCCTTCCCTTCCCATCCTGCCCTAAGATCATCAAAGGCATGGTTAAAATGGCTAAGTCCCGGGGGTGGGGAGCTGGGGTGAGGGCTCTTAGAACCTGGAGTCCAGGTCAGGGTTGGTGGCTCACACCTGTAATCCCAGCACTTTGGGAGGCCCAGGCTGGAGGATTGCTTGAGCCCAGGAGTTCAAGATCAGTGTGGCCGTCATGGAAAAACCCATCTCTACAAAAAAATTTCAAAATTAGCCAGACACGGTGACTCGGGCCTGTAATCCCAGCTACTTGGGAGGCTGAGGCATGAGAATCACTTGAGCCTGGGAGTTTGAGGTTGCAGTGAGCCGATATCGTGCCATTGCACTCCAGCCTGGGTGGCAGAGTGAGAGCCTGTCAAACAATCAAACAAAAAAACAAAAACAAACAAAGAAAAAACAACCAAGAGCACAATGGATCCACGCAAAAGGGGACCAAGGTTAGGAAATTAACTCAAGGTGCCCGCCCACCCCACAGCATCTTAACCTGCCACCTTCCTTCTTTCCAAGCAGCCTCCTGGCTCCCACGGCCCCCAGAGGTCCACCTTCAACCTCCCTCAGCCTGTACCCAGGAAAGCTCAGGAGGTTCCCCAACTCTGCCCCCTACCCTATTGCAAGATCTTGCGTCAGCCCCCAGGGACCCCAGAGTCTGGCCCCGTTCTCTGTGCTCCTTCTTGGAGCAGCTCCAGGACTCTGCAAGCTTCTTAGTGCTGAGTTGCCGCCCATGAGGATGGCATGCTCGGGATCAGCCCTGCTGGTTCCTGCCCACAGGGCCCAGTGCCCAAGGTCCCCACCTCGCGCCCTCCAGCTGCAATGGATGCCCGGGGAGGGGGTGGCAGAGGCGACTCATCCTGCGGGCGAAGTTGCGAGGGGGGCAGTCTTTTCCCAGGACAGTGGAGCCTGGACCACAGTAAGGGGCAGGGGGAGTCCTGCTGGTGGATGTGGGGGCACCAGGGTTACAAAGTGTCCGGCGTACAGTAGGCGCTTAATAAGCAGGTGTTTGGCACAGGTACATCAACGTGCCCAGGGAGTCAGCTAAAGCCCCGTAAACCAGCCCTAGTGGCTTCGCAGGATGCACCCAGGCTCTGCTCGAGGCCCGAGCACTCCACTTCAATTCTCCAGCCTCGCTCATGAAGGCAAATGGCTGGGGACAGCTGTATTGTAACAGGGCTCTCGAACTACCAGGACAAAACTCAGGTTTTCGGCAGCTCCAGCAGACAGGAAAGCTCTTGGGGACATAGATCTTGGGGGGACACACATTTCTGGGCCATTTCCAGGCCCAGAAATCACATCAAGAGGACAAGGGGTAAATGGTGGTGATCAAAGAGTCACAACCTACCTGTCTTAGCCCCTGCTTAGTGCCAGGGGCCTGGGCTGGGGATCCTGAGGTGAATAGAACTCAGTCCCAGCACACACCCTCTTCCCACTGGAGTTGCCCGTGTCTCAACGGGCATTACTTGCTGTCAGCCTGTGAATTCTTATGTGTGATTTATGTGGTTTCCAAAATACAAGCAGCAGCTCAGCTCTGGGTCTCCTGGCTGGACTTGAGCTGCAGTGGGTTGGAGGACACCGCTCCTGTGAGTGATGTGTGCCTGCACCAGTGACCATTCCCAGACCAGGACGGAGGCCACAGGGGCAACCACCTGGCCCACTGCCCTCAGCCATCTGTCTCAGTTTGGGATTCAGCTTGTAAATTCCTAGCTTGTGAAGACTGTTTTTTTCTGTGTGCAAGGTGGTGGTTGGTTTTAAAGGAAGCTTTTTAAACATCCCCTTCACAGTGATAGAGAAGGCTCATGGCTTAGAGCTGCATTAAAAATCACAAAAATTGCTGCTCATGAAAATGGTAATGACAGATACACTGGGCTTTCATCATGCTATTAGAAAATTAGGAAATAGAAATGTGTTCACTGTGTGGTTTGTTAATTTTATTTCTAACTTGTTCTTATTTTTATTTTTTAGAGATGAGGTCTCTGTCACTCAGGCTGGAGTGCAGGGGCATAATCATAGCTCAGTGCGGCCTCGAACCCCGGTCTCAAGCAATTCTCCTGCCTTTCCCTCCCTAGTAGCTAGGATTATAGGAGTGAGCTACCACACCTAGCTAATTTTATTTTTTTAAAAATAAGTTGGCTGCTAAGTGCCAAACACAGCGTCTCAACAGCCTAACTTTAGCACCCACTTTCTAATATGATGCTATGAGGATGCCCTGCTGTCTATCTGGCATTCTTGCTTAAAATGTTTAACCGGAATCTAATCATCAGGGAATAATCAGACAAATCTAGGACATAGGAGATGGTACAAGATAATTGGAGTGGACTTGAAAAAAAAATCTGAGTAATGTAAAACAGAAAAACGAGGCAAATCAAAAAGGCAAGGGGATCACTCTATGTTAAAAGACCCTAAAAGAGACATGGAAACCAAAGGTAATATATGACCTCAACTGTATAATAAAATTATTTTTAAGCTATAAAAGACATTTTGAAGAGTCTTGTGGAAATTGGAGCAGTGACCCTACATTAGATATTATATAATTAATGTTGATTTCCTTTGGTGTGGTCATGGTGTGGTTGAACGGGAGAACGTTGGTGGTGGTGGATGTTTGCTGAAGTGCTTCGGAGTGAAGGGTCATGATGTCTGAAACTCACTTTCAAATGGTTCAGCCAAAGTGTACATTGTATATAAAAGAAAAATAATATGCTGTCTAAGGGAGAGATAAAACTGGCTGCAGTTTTCTTATAGGACAGCATGTGTTCTAAGAAGCTCACCTGGGCTGGGTTCTCACATTTGTCCCTGGCGGAAGAGATGAAGATGGTTTTATTACTACCTGGGAATGAATGTAATGCTGCAACGCTAAAGAACAAGATGAGCAACTTTAGTGCCAGGAGTGGATTCGCTTTCCTTGGAAATGACAATTCTAATGTGGCTTTATGACAAATATCCTGCTAGCTCTTATTTTTAGTTCTGTCTGAAACAAACATCGATCGTGCTTCGGAGGACTGGAAGCAGACGGGTTGAGGCTGATCAAAGTGAAGACCAATATGGTGAATGCTTTGACAAGGACCTCTGGTTAGTGTGACCCATCTGCATTTGAAAAAAAAAAAATGAAGAGCTGTTTTACTATTTTCAGGATGGGGTTGGAGTGGGCGGGAACAAATTATATTTGGAGTGGCTCTCCATTTCTGTTATGTACCAGACACGTTTGGGATGCTGGAGCCCGGACATCTTCCTGTCCTCTTTCTGTGCAGGCCACTGTGGGGATCAACGTGGAGAAGAAGGTGCTGAATTCACTCCCTCGGGACTGGGAATGAGACCCAGTCAGGTGTTGAACTTGAAGTAATGCCCTTTTGTTGCATTGCTGGTGAACTATGTCAACCATAGATCAGTGCCACTACCAGATTTGAGAGAAAAGGACTGGATTTTAGAAAGCAATCTTGCAAATATTAAGATAAGCACTCTTTCGGTTTATACCACCGAACGCGTACACAGTATGGTAGCACAACTCCCCAAGTGGCCACATAAGCATTGGACCAAGGGCGGGGGGAGGAACATGAACATGATTTTGTGAATAACAACTTAGTTGAGTAATCAATAATTTCTAAAAATAAAAGTAATTTGATTGAAAGTTAACCTCTAATCACTGTATTTTTTGCAAATATTGACAAATTTTGTGCACTAAAGGATTTATTTTTTAAAAAACTTTTACTTCTTTAAGAATTTTTGTATGTTTTCCCAGAATTTCTCCAGTTGTTTTGTGTCTCCTTTTTTCTCTCTCTCTCCCTTATTTGTAATTTATTCTCATCCAATTATTCTGGCTTGGGTGGTTTGTTTCATCCAATTATTGGTTTCATCCAGTTATTCTGCTGATGATTTGTTAGGCCCAAATCGGAAGCAACCAAAATGTCTAACAATAGGACTTTAGTTGGCAATAACTCAAAAGTCTAACAATAAGGGATTGGTGAAATAAATTATAAAAAGTGTTTTGTGTTATGCAAAAGACTTTAAAAATATGAACTGGTAATTCATAATCTTTAACTTTGCCTAATTCTAAAATTTCATGAACACATTGGCAGATAACGCAAAGCAGATTCAAAGTAAAATAGAAAAATAATGTAAACCCTGAAAAATTCCAGATACTTTTTTCTGTTTTATTATATATGGCTTAAGATTATTTTATTTTTATAAAAGCAGCTGCATATTTATTACATTTAGAGGTACAGTCAAGCAATAATAAGATAATAATGACTTCAGCAGTTCTGGCCACCCAAAGACAACAACTCTCATCGTCTTGATGTTTCCAACCAGATGATTTTCTGTGCATTTGACCAGCTTTCACCTCTAAAACGTCATCAAAATGGCTTTTGTCAATGTCACCAATGACTTCCATGTGGTTAAATTCTCAGCCGTCATTCCACTTGACGTCACATCATGGCCAATGCTCTCAACACTTTGAGTTTCCAAAACAGCAGATGTCCTGGCTCTCCTCCCCCTTCCCAGGCTGGCCCTTCTCATTCTCCTTTGCAGCTCCCTCCTCATCTCCCGCACTTCTCCACGCTGGGACACTCTAGAGCTCAGTCCTGGGAAGTCCCAGTCTTCATTCATTCCCCTGATGCCCTCATGCCATGTTTTGTCTTCAAATACCTTTTTTTTTTTGAGATGGAATTTTGCTCTTATTGCCCAGGCTGGAGTGCAATGTTGTGATCTTGGCTCACTGCAACCTCCGCCTCCCGGGTTTAAGTGATTCTCCTGCCTCAGCCTCCGGAGTAGCTGGGATTACAGGCATGTGCCACCACACCAGGCTAATTTTGTATTTTTAGTAGAGACGGGATTTCTCCATGTTGGTCAGGATAGTCTCGAACTCCCGACTTCAGGTGATCCGCCCGCCTCGGCCTCCCAAAGTGCTGGAATTGCAGGCATAAGCCACCGCACCTGGCCCAAATACCATTTATTCTATTACACATACATTTATGGATTCAACAACTATCCATTGAGAATCTGTTAAGTGCTAGGCACTGTTCTAGTCACTGATGATTTTAAAACGGAACAAAAGGGGGGCAATTCCCTGTCTTCATGGAGCTTATCAAGAACATTTGCATGAGGAAGGGGCCTAGAAAATAAGCAAGAGCTATTCAAAATATTGCCTGATAAAGGGTCAAGTACTGGGTTAAATACTGTCCCCTCCCCCACTCCCCACTCAGTTCATGCCCACCCAGAACCATAGAATGTGACCTTGTTTGAAAACAGGATTTTTGCAGATGTGAATAGTCAAGATGAGGTCACACTGGATTTGAGAAGGCACTAAATTCAATGACTGGCATCTTGACAAGAAGGCCATGTGAGGACTCAGGGAGGCACAGAGGGAAGGCAGCCGTGGGAAGGAGGAGGTGGAGATGGGAGTGACGCAACTATGAGCCCAGAGTCACCCAGCAGTGCCGGGACCACCAGCAGTTAGGAGAGCGGCATGGGAGCTTTCTCCCCAAGTCTTCAGAAGGAACCAGTTCTGCCAGCACCTTGATTTTGGACCTCTGACCTCCAGCACTGTAAGTGAGTAAATTTCTGTGGCTTTAAGCTCCCTGGTCTGTGGTCATTTGTTACAACAACTCCAGGAATCTCATCCAGGTGAGAAGTGCTGTGAAGGTAGGGACAGAGGATTGGCCGGGTGCGGTGGCTCACGCCTGTAATCCCAGCACTTTGGAAGGCTGAGGCAGGCAGATCACTTGAGGCCAGGAGTTCGAGACCAGCCTGGCCAACATGGTGAAACCCCGTCTCTACTAAAAATACAAAAATTAGCTGGGCGTGGTGGTGCATGCCTATCATCTCAGCTACTCGGGAGGCTGAGACAGGATAATCGCTTGAGCCTCAGAGGCGGAGGTTGCAGTGAGCCAAGATCATGCCGCTGCACTCCAGCTGGGTGACAGAGTGAGACTCTGTCTAAAAAAAAAAAAAGTAGGGACAGAGGATGGAGTGTGTTTAGTAGGGGAGGAAGTTTGGAATTGTGGTGGGTAAGGTAGCCAGGGAAGCCCTCATTGTACAGGTCATGTTTGAATGAAAACATAAAGGCAACGTGAGAGATTCGTGCAGCCATCTGGGAGAAGAGTGTTCTAGGCATCTGTCTACAGCAGCAGTTCTCAAAGCGTGGGCTTGGACCAGCAGCGACAGCAGCACCCAGGAATTCCTTAGGAATGCAAACATCTTGGCCCCACCCCAGACCTACTGAATCAGAAACTCTGGAGAGGGGAATCGCGGGGATTCTGATACATCTCCAAGTTTCAGACCCACCATCTATATAACCTGGACTCCACCGAGCCTCCACCTCCACCTCCACCACTTTCTCTTGCCCATTCTGCTGCAGCACCAGGCTCTTCCCTCCGGGGCTTTGTCCTTGCTGTGGCCTCGCTCTGCACAGCTTCCCTCTTGCTGTCCCCACGTCTTGCATCCTTACCTCCACCAGATCTTTGTTTCAGCACCACGTTCTCACTGAGGCTTCTCCCAGACCACCCTCATTAAAACCACCACCCACACCCTGCAGGCCCCTTCCTATGTCCTGCTTTTCTCTTCTCTCTTTTCTTTTGTTTCTTTTTTCTTTTTCTTTTTTTTTTCTTTTTTTTTTTTTTTTTTTTTTTTTTTTTTTTTTTTTTTTTTTTTTTTTTGAGACGGGTTTCACTCTGTCGCCTAGGCTGGAGTACAGTGGCAATCATGGATCACTGCAGCCTTGACCTCCTGGGCTCCCACCTCAGCCTCCCAAGTAGCTGGGTCTATAGACGCACGCTTCCACACCTGGCTAGTTTTGTTTATTTTTTGTAGAGACAGGGTCTTACTCTGTTCCCCAGGCTGGTCTGGAACCCCCAGGCTCGAGCCATCTTCCCGCCTCTGCCTCCCAAAGTATTGAGATTACGGGTGTGAGCCACCGCCCCCGGCCTGTCCTGCGTTGTTTTTCTCAGTAGCACTTAGCTCTATTTAACAAATCCAAGTTTGTCAGAAATCTGGTTTCTGAGTCCTGGTGACCAACAACAGGTAGGGAACCCAGAGAGGGAGCGTGACACACGTGATTTGCAAATCAAAGTCACGCGGGTGGAGGAGTAGATTGGGCTCAGGAGAAGGAAAAAATGTTAGCACTGCAAGGGAAATGCGAGATCATCTCATCCTTGGGTGTCCAAACTTATTTAGATGTTTGCTTTTTAAAAAATTATATGACTAATTACAACTAATAAAGCAGATAAGAGCCGAGTTTTCTCTGCGTGGCAGACCCGGAAGGGCGTTGCAGGAGTCCCTAACCCAAGCATATTGTGGGAACTATTGACTTTGTTATCTCGTTTGTTAATGGTGAAATTGGGGCTTACAGTTGGATTTAATTTTACTTAAAAGAAATAAAAGGAGCTATCCATGTCAGATCAGATCATCCCTCAGGCATTATTTAACAAAAACATTCTGTAATTTAGTGGACTCTCAAGTCTCCTTCAGAGTCCTATGCCTGCAGATCCTGCCATCTGATTCCCCCGTGTTATCTAAGCTTCTCTTTAGGGATTCTCCAGCCCCCTCTTCTTCCCTGAGGGGCTCTCTCAGTGGTGTCATCGGTTTCTCCAAATTAGAAATGTTGACTTTTTTCCTGCTTTTTTCCCCCTGAATCCACATTCCCTTAGTCACTCTCTCCTGGTTTCAAATTCTTGTTTATTACACCTGAGCCTTCCAAGGGGAGAGACTGTTTTATAACTCCAGGCGTACTGGACTTACACAAGGTAAGTGATCCATGCATTAAATTGGCTTAAAAACAAAGCAATCGAGGCCGGGCATGGTGGCTTATGCCTGTAATTACAGCGCTTTGGGAGGCTGAGGCAGGTGGATCACTTTGACGCCAGGAGTTCGAGACCAGCCCAGCCAACATCGTGAAACCCCATCTCTACTAAAAATACAAAAATTAGCCGGGCATGGTGGTGTGCACCTGTAGTCCCAGCTACTCTAGAGGCTGAGGCAGGAGAATTGGTTGAACCTGAGAGGCAGAGGTTGCAGTGAGCTGAGGTCGTGCCACTGCACTCCAGCCTGGGCGACAAAGCGAGAACTAGTCTCAAAAAAAAAAAAAAAGAAGAGGGGAGCAAATGGATATGGGAGAAAATTGATCAATTCTAAGAAAGCAGGAGAGGAGAAGGTCCAGTGGCAGCTGGCTGCACTGAGATCTCGTGTTTGTGCTGAGATCTCGTGTTTGTGCTGAGATCTCGTGTTTGTCCTGAGATCTCGTGTTTGTCCTGAGATCTCGTGTTTGTGCTGAGATCTCGTGTTTGTCCTGAGATCTTGTGTTTGTCCTGAGATCTCGTGTTTGTGCTGAGATCTTGTGTTTGTGCTGAGATCTCGTGTTTGTGCTGAGATCTTGTGTTTCTGCTGAGATACTGTGTTTGTCCTGAGATCTCGTGTTTGTGCTGAGATCTTGTGTTTGTGCTCACCGTGACTTTTCCTTACCCATTCCAAGCAGGAAGGCAGCATGGCAGGTGAAAAAGTGAGCAATCTTAGGCAGTGCCCTTCCTGGCTCTGTGCTTCCTGACAGGCTGGTGCTGGGAACAAGGTATGGAAGTAGAAGTTCTGAGGAAAGGAAGAGAACTCTCCCTAGATTGGGAAGGGCTGAGGGTGTTGGGCTGCCCAAGTTGTGAAATATTAGTCAGGACTCTTCTTGCAGAACCCAACTTCAGGGAGCTGAAGGTTAAAGAGAATTTAATGACTTAGGCGACTGTGAACCTGGCTCAGACATGGCTGAATTCTGTTTCTCAGAAGGACCTGGTCCCTTTCTCCCCATCCTGTGCCTGTGCTGACCAACATGCTGGCTTCATTCTCCATCAGATTCTGTCCCTATAGAATATTCCCAGTATGGAGGCTACAGCCCACCGAATTGAAGTCCAACGACAAAACTTCTTGGAGAGGAATCCCAGGGCCTGACTTTCATTCATTGCTTCGAATTGGCCTAACTTAGGTCTGGAGCTTAAACAATCACTTTCCTTCAGGACGGAGGGGGTAGAATAACACCTTCTTCGATCTGGGGGAACATAATCTGGGATGGGGAAGGTGGCTTCCCAAAGAGAAAGTGAAGGTCTGTTACCAGAAGAAGGGAAGCTGTATTGGGCAGAGAAAAACATCAGATGTCCATTGCTGTACTCCATGGAAACTGATAACATCCGAGCAGTTAACAGCTTCTGAGGGGCATAGCTGCCGGGGAAGCCTAGGGAAACTCCCTGTCAGCCCCTGGAGACTCCCAGCCTGTGCAGGGATCCCTGTACTCCATGTGGCACAGAACCTAAAACAACTGGATTCCCATAAAAAATGAACCTCGACTTCTATCTCACTCCAACTGAAAGGAATATTTATTTATTTCTATCTAATTTTTAGATAGGGCCTCACTTCACTCTGTTGCCTAGGCTGGAGTGCAGTGGCACGATCACTGCTCACTGCAGCCTTGACCTCCCTGGCTCAAGCAATCCTCCCACCTCAGCCTCCTGAGTAGCTGGGACTACAGGCACGTGCCACCATGCCTGGCTAATATTTTTTTTTTTTTTTTTTTTTTTTTTTGTAGAGACGAGGTTTTGCCATTTTACCCAGGCTGGTCTCGAACTCCTGGGCTCAAGGGTTCTGGCTGCCTCGGCCTCCCAAAGTGCTGGGATTACAAGCATGAGCCACCGCACCCGGCCTTGAAGGGAATATTTAGGTTTGATCCTTAAGGACATCAGCTGTTAGCTTAATGGACTAGAAAGCAGAGGTGCCCTCTTCCTTCTGACCCTTCCCCACCCCAGCAATTTTTCAATCTCCTGGCAAAAGATTCTTCTGCAACCACAAGGAAGGAAAAATTTAAGGAAAATCTTAGACTGATTTTCCTATCAGCATGGAGGTATGAGAGCTTAAAGTTAGAGTGAATTTTAATTCAAGAAAATGAAACCAATGTGTCATTCATGTTGTTTGTGGGGCTTCCATATTGTTTATGTATGGTGCCTGAAAATATTGCTCCTTGTACTATGTACTAAGTACTATAATTTAATACATATAGGCTTTATTCTCTAAAAAATCAAGGGTTCTCTATCAGTCCCTTTAAAGACAAGACTGAAGTTGAGGAGTCTTGAGGACCCACTCTCCAGGTGAATGTGTTGCTTAAAAATAAAAGGTTAGTAACTCTAGAAATAGACCCATCCATATATAGCCCGTTGATGTCTTACCAAGATGCCAAGGCAGCCCAACAGGGAAAGGAAAGTCTTTTTAACAAATTTTGTTGAAAAAATTGGATATTCATATGGGAAAAAGTGATCTTCAACTTCCACATCATTCCATGCATAAAAATTAATTTGAGCTGAATTATAGATTTAAATGTAAGATCCAGAACCATAAGCTTCTGGAAAAAATATAGGCCTTTATCTTCATGATCCTGTGGTGGACAATGATTTCTTGAACAGAATCCCAAAACTGTTAACCATCAAGTAAAAAATAGATAACTTAGACTTTATTAAAATTAAGGTTTTCTGCTTATCAAAAGATACTGGTAAGAAAATCAACAGATAAGCCTGGACAGATTGGGAAAAACATTTGCGGCATATATATTTGACAGAAGACTTTACTCCAGAATACATAGGACTTTTACAAATCAACAATAAAGAGATGAACAGTCCCATTTTAAAATGGGCAAAAGCTGAGGCAGGAGGATTTGCTTGAGTCCAGGAGTTTGACACCAGCTTGGACAATATGTTGAGATCCTGTCTCTACAAAGTAAAAATTAAAAAATTAGCCAGGCATGGTGGCGTGTGCCTGTTGTCCCAGATACCTGGGAGGCAAAGGTGGGAGGATAGCTTCACCCCAGGAGTTTGAGGCTGCAGTGAGCTATGATTGCACCACAGCACTTCAGCCTGGGTGACAGAGTGAGACTCTGTCTCAAATAAAAAATAAAACAATTTTTAAAACTTTAAAAAATGAGCAAAAGACTTGAACAGATGCTTCTTAAAAGAAGATATATTAATGACAATAAGACATGAAAAGGTGCTCAGCATCTCTTACCATCAATCATCATGCAAGTCGAAACCACAGTGAGTCACCACGTCATACCTACTAGAAGAACTTAAAGCAAGGAGCACAACAGGACAAAACAACCCTCCCCCTACCAAACTGACAACACCAAATTTTGGGAAGAATCCAGAGCAACTGGAATTCTCATTTATTGCTGGTGGGAATGTGAAATGATACAACAGTTTTGGGGGACTACTGTAGTTGACAGTTTTATATAAAGTTAAACATATGTTTAATCTTATGATGCAGATATTCCATTCCTATGTGATATGGTTTGGCTGTGTCCCCACCCAAATCTCACCTTGGATTGTAATTCCCATAATCCCCACGTGTCGGGGGAGGGACCTGGTGGGAGGTAATTTAATCATGGAGGCTGTTACCCTAATGCTGTTCTCGTGATAGTGAATGAGTTCTCACGAGATCGATGGTTTTATAAGGGGCTTCCCCCCTTTTGCTTGGCACTTCTCCTTGCTGCCATCATGTGAAGAAGAACGTGTTTGCTTCCCCTTCTCCCATGATTGTAAGTTTCCTGAGACCTCTCTAGCCATGCTGAACTGTGAGTCAATTAAACCTCTTTCCTTTATAAATTACCCAGTCTCAGGTATGTCTTTATTAGCAGCATGAAAACAAACTAATACACTACATATTTACCCAAGATAACTGAAAACACATGTACACATAAGGATTTGTACATGACCACAACAACAGCTCTTTTCATAATAGACAAAATTGGAGATAACCCTAATGTTTATCAATAGGAGATTAGGTAAATTGTGACACATTCATACAATGGAATTCTGCTCAGTAATAATAAAAAAAACTACTGATTCATGCAACAATGTGGATGAACATTATGCTGAACTCAAAAGGCCAGAACCAAAAGAATGCAAATTATATGATTCCTTTTATATGAAATGCAAAAATAGGCAAAACTTCACCGTGGTGATGTAAATCAGAGAGATTGCTCTGCGGGGTGAGAGTGGGATCACCTGAGAGGGAGCAGAAGGAAATTTCCCAGAATGATGGAAATGTTCTATGTTTTGATTGAAGTGGTGGTTACATGGCATATAATTGTCAAAACTCATTAGACTAAACACTTAAGATCTGTGCATTTTACTGTTTTTATTCTACCTGTATAAAAATAAAACGTTGGCAAATGAGAATATTCAGCCTTGAGGATTATTAATATGGATTTGACTTCTATCAATGGTGTCCTGGGAGGCAGAGATGAATGCATAATTCACGAAGGCAAAATGCAGGAAGGACAAGAAGTCACATTTCCTTCTGTCTAAAACCCCTCCACATGTGGCGTGTGCTGTGTGTGGACTTGCTGGTGGAACATAGAGGTTATATGTGTTGTTCTTTGAATTCTCATTGCATTGGGATGGGAGGAAGAATGAAATCAGTCATTCAAATATATGTCTCTTCATATATTCAGCTGACTGAATATGTCATTCGGATGGCATATATTCCTCTGTGCCATGTCTCCCTTTCAATGGAGCTTACACCTGTAGGTGTGGGTCTTCTCCACACCTGTCTCTGTCCTCCATGTCCGTCAGGATTGCAGAAGGGAAGAGAAGGCAGCCACATCAGCTTCCTTCTTCATCCGACTTAGGATCCCCACTGGCAGCCCAGTGCTCACTCCACACTTGGTAAATACCCTATACTTGTATGTTCCTAAGTTCCTCCAGATGAAAGAAAGTGGCCTCTTCTTCTAGGACTGTTTGGGGAGCAGCACTGTGTGAAGCTCTGTGGGGCCTCTCCCAGGTATAAGAGCTCACAGTCATTTATGTCTTCTTGCCCTCCTCCCTATCTTCAGACAACTCCTGCCCACCTACACAAGGTTGAGTCCCAGGTAGCGTGGACTGAAGAGCAGTAAGCGAGGCCCCTCCTGGTCCTTTCTCAGAAACCTTGAAGTCTACTTGAAGGCACAAAGGGCAAGGTAACACAAAGAGCAAGGTAACATGAAGAGCAAGGTAACAAGAGCACAACACTCCCTTTGGTGAGCGTAGCATACATGGGGTAGACATCACTGGGTGGCTGATGCTCTGACCTGGGTCTTCAAGGAGAAAAGGACAATGAGGATTGCATATGGGGCAGAAAAATCAGTCTGGCTGGAGAGGGAAACTCCTATGTGGGACCAAAGGCAGAGAGAGAGAGACAGAGAGACAGAGGCAGAGAGAGAGAGAGAGAGAGAGATTGAAAGAGAGAGAATGTACAAAATAACACAGGGTAAGCAAGGCACTGAATGAGTGACAGACATTTGGACAGAGGCGGTGTGGTGTGCTAGGAAAATTAATCAGACATTGGTATAAGACTAAGAAGGATGACTATACCACTGTAAGTCTTCACATAGGACCTTGCAAAAATGTTTAACTTAGCCAGAACTCCAGTGTCTCTGAAGGTCAAGTATGAGTGTTAACAAAAAATGATTTTTAAAAGTTGTTATAGACATGGTTTCTTTGTTCAGATAATTTCACTCATCTGAACTGCTGGCTGATAGGTATTTCTTATTAAAATATGATAGCTTTATTGTTACTCTTACTCAACTAACATTGTTTTTCATCTTTTAAAGACAGCAGTACCTTTTTTTGCAAAGCATCTCGCTGTTTTTTGAGTGTTTCCATGAATGTGAGTTCGTGGGAGCCTTACAACATCTCTCTTTAGAGAGGACAGTCTGAGGTTCACAGAGATAAGGTGGGCAGCCCAGTGAGGCCGCACTGTGAGTGAAGGCCAGGGCGGAGATTCAGAGGCAGGTCTTCTGCTTTCCAAACTGTCTGAGATTAGGACCTCAGTGTTTCTGGATCTTGTACCTGGGTCGTGGTTTTCTGTTTTCCTTTGATACAGACTTGATCATTTCTCCATACTCAATTGTGTTTGACAGCCAACAACCAGGGTGCCAGGGCCCTGTTGTAAACCTGTAGGAGCTCTATTTTGATAAGACTAGCCATAATTTATTGCTGCTTTAACCTCTCTGTTGCTTAGGCAACCAATATCCTGAATTAAGACTTGGGTTATTTTAGTTAAGTTTAAGAATTTATTACCTTCCAACCACTCAGCCCACCACTTTGCTCATGCTCCATGCCTGTGAGTCACACTGACCCCCGAAGAGTTGCCCCAAACTCTAAGACCTGTGCTCGGGGGCACGTGAAGAGCCAGGACACATGCCTTGTGACTCAAACTGACAGCGTCTGCTCATGTCCTTGCTAAGTGCACCAAAGGGAATGGGCCGAGGAATGCTCCATGTTGATTTTTCAGCTGCTTGCCTTTTATTGCTGGATTACTATCTACTGCAGAATAGGCCAGCTTATTTCACAATAATGAGGCTGGCACTGGGTTAATTCTATAACATAGAAAGATTGCCAGTGCCAAGGTGTCAGTCTGTTCCGGCTGTTATAACAAAATAGACTGGGTGGCTTATAAACAATAGAAATTTATTTCTCATGGTTCTGGAGGCTGGCAGGTTCAAGATCCAGGCAGACTGGGTGTCTAGTGAGAACCCACTTTCTGGTTCATAGATGGCACTTTCTTGCTGTGTCCTCCTGTGGTTGAAGGAGCAAGGCAGCTCTCTAGGGTGTCTTTTATAAGGGCACTAATTCCATCTGACATAATCACCTGCAAAAGGCCCCACTTCCTATTGCCTTAGGGGTTAGAATTTCAACATATAAATCTTGTGGGTTTAGTGAGGAAAATAAACACACAATCTAACCTTTCCTGGACTGCTTGCAGGAGCATCAAGTCCTCTTGCTCTTCCATCTTGTTTAAATGTCCCTTCTTTCCCAACACCACTCTGCCACTCCGTCCTGAGCTCCCAGCACCGTTTGGCTGGATGACTGTGCTCATTTCTGGCCTTCCTGCCTCCACCTCATCCCGGCACATCATTCACCAAAGCAATATTTCTTTGCAGTCTGCTCTGCCCGGCATTCTGGGGATACTGAATAGCTCACAGTCCTGTAGAAGAGAAAGATGAGTAAGCAGTAATTGCAATGCATTTATTAGACCGTAACCTCCTAGGACAGGTCATGTTGGTCTTGCTCTCTGCACCTAGTATTTGTTGAATAGGGAAATGAATAAACAAATGAACAATTTCTGCAGGTTATAACTAAACACATATTCAAAGAGCTATGAAAATCCACAGAAGACAGAAACTGACTGAGTTGGCAGAGGAAAGGGATGTGCTTAATTAGGCTGCAGTCTCTTTGAGAGACTACAATTTATTTATTTCCTGTATACATAGACCAGGCATTCATAAATATGGTCACTTTTTAATAGAAATATTTTATATTTTGGGAACATCTTCCTATACATTTTATTTACTCACAGGACAAAAGTAATGTTCTCCTTTAAATAGAAGCTTTTTGGGGACCTGTAATTGTTAATTTGTAAACCTTTACTTACTTGCTAGAAAGTATGGGACAGGGTCAGAAAGAAACTGGAAAGTGCCGCCTGTAATCCCAGCACTTTGGGAGACCAAGGCAGGCGGATCACTTGAGGTTAGAGGTTCGAGACGAGCCTGGCCAACTGGTGAAACCCCATCTCTTCTAAAAATACAAAAAAAAATTAGCCAGGCGTGGTGGCGGGCACCTGTAATCCCAGTTACTTCGGAAGCTGAGCCAGGAGAATCGCTTGAACCCAGGAGGCGGAGGTTGCAGTGAGCCGAGATAGCGCCATTGCACTCCAGCCTGGGCAACAAGAGTGAAACTCCATCACAAAAACAAACAAACAAACAAAAAAAGAAATTGGAGAGTGCCAAGTATAACTATCAGTTGTGGTTCAATCAGAATGCAAATAAGTATCTTTGGGTAAGTAAAAGGAAAACGATACTTTGATTTACCCAACACTTCGATTTCAAAAATACATTGACTCATTAACAAACAATTTTAGAGAGGCTTAAATACTAGTGAATATGTTATTTTAAGTCAGTAATATATATATATATATATATATATATATATTTTTTTTTTTTTTTTTTTTTTTTTTTTTTTTTGAGACGGAGTCTCGCTCTGTTGCCCAGGCCGGACTGCGGACTGCAATGGCGCAATCTCGGCTCACTGCAAGCTCCGCTTCCTGGGTTCACGCCATTCTCCTGCCTCAGCCTCCCGAGTAGCTGGGACTACAGGCGCCCGCCACCGCACCCGGCTAATTTTTTGTATTTTTAGTAGAGACGGGGTTTCACCTTGTTAGCCAGGATGGTCTCGATCTCCTGACCTCGTGATCCACCCGCCTCGGCCTCCCAAAGTGCTGGGATTACAGGCGTGAGCCACCGCGCCCGGCCGTCAGTAATATATTAAGAGATGTCATGAGTCTATAAATGTAGCAATTGCACATGGCTGGCATAGAAATCTCAACTTCAATATGTGATGTTCAAAGTCCAATTTAAAGGGATTTTAATAATTAGCCATAACTAATAACTAAGGTAAGGTTTGTTGTATCTTGAATCTTAAATGGTTGCCATGTGTCTGTTTATTAAAAATAGAGTTTCCTTTTTTTCTTTCTTCATTCACCTTAAGTAAAAGTCTATTATAGCAAAAATGCAACAGTGGCATCCTGTGGCTTGGCCTGTGAATGACAGGTGCGTGTCACAGTTGTGATCTTGGAGGCTTGGTGTCATGGCTACACAGAGGTACAGGATCATTGTGAAGAACATGGCATGTTAGAAGGAAAAGCTCCATTACTTTATTTAAGACGTAAAATTATTATAAATGACTCATTATGATCTTTTATCTTTATTTCATGGGAGTAAATTGCATGCATAATTAAAAATTGAGTTGAGAATAAAGCCACAGAAATGTACTTGTTTTTTCAAAAGCTTATTTTTCCGGACTCTATGATGAAGTTTCCCTCTGTCATTTTTACACATAGAATATACCATTATTTCCTCTCATGTAATTCTTCTGTAAGTGTAGGAAATGGAGTGAAAGAATCCATATTAAACCATTAATAACTGTAAATACTTTATCTCTCCACCCCCCCAGAAATAAATACAACTAAATCTCGGAAGCCTTTTGATTGTGATGCTTGGCTGCTGAGCCCTCTACGCTGGAAAGGCAGCACTATCATATTTAGCAGTGCGTGCTTCCAGCTTCAAACTTTAAAAAATAGTTTAAAAACATCTTCAGGGGCCGGGCGCGGTGGCTCACACCTGTAATCCCAGCACTTTGGGAGGCCGAGGTGGGCGGATCACGAGGTCAGGAGATCGAGACCATCCTGGCTAACATGGTGAAACCCCGTCTCTACTAAAAATACAAAAAATTAGCCGGGCGTGGTGGCGGGCGCCTGTAGTCCCAGCTACTCGGGAGGCTGAGGCAGGAGAATGGCGTGAACCCGGGAGGCGGAGCTTGCAGTGAGCGGAGATCGCGCCACTGCATTCCAGCCTGGGCGACAGAGCGAGACTCCGTCTCAAAAAAAAAAAAAAAAAAAAAAAAAAAAAAAAAAACTTCATAAACAACATACAGTTATACTTTTTCTTATTTAAAATGTTTACATAAGTAGAATTATGATATTCACATTCCATGAAGTTTTGCACTGAAGATGTGGTTGAGGTCTCACGTACGCTTATCTTGTGTGAAGGAATGTATGGAATATGAATGCCATAATTTTACTTATGTAAATTGTAAAAATAAGAACAAATATATATAATAAAGACCTTTGGATTTCTGCTTCTGAGGACTTCCTGTTCTCCTTCCCTCCACTTTCCTATGGGCGTGCTTCTGTTCTTTATTTATCCGAGTTTTCTCCATTAAAGATAAATTCTCTGATAAGATAAATACAGTATATATCTTTATTAATTCCTTTGTTATAGATCCTGCAAATACCTTCTCGAGGCCTGTTTTTTCCTCTCTAACGTTGATGGGGTATGTTTTGTTATAAAGATGTTTTCTGTTCTGCAGGGTTGCGTGTCAGTTACAGTTGTCATTTGTAAGCAGTAGAATCCGGTCTGACCAGTTTAAGCAGAAAAGAACTTAGGAGAGACAGAAGGGAGTTCACACAACGTTTGGGACAGATGGGAAAAGAGGCCTGAGACAATGAAAGGGACACTCCCAGAACCAACTGACCCTTTCCGGAATCTGCTGCCCACCCCGGGACCACACCGCCTTTGCCCAGAATGCGCCACTGAAATGACAGCGGCTCCCGGAGACGCGCAGCCAGCCAGCTCCCTCCCGCGGCCCGAGGCCCCCGTGTCTGATTGGCAGGCCTGGTCACGTGCCCGCATTTTGGCTGGGAAAGAGTCAGGGAAGGCACCGATTCAGATTCTCCCTTGGGGAAACAACTAAAATGCACGCAAGGTGGCCTAAAAAGCTTGGCAGATTCACTTTGGGCCATAAAGATATTCTTCAAACTTAAAAATAAAAAAATAAAAATAAAAGAAACTAAACTAAAAAATATCTTCATGAACAACATACAGTTATGCTTTGTCTTATTTAAAAATTTTCCATACATAGAATTATGATATTCACATTCGATGAAATTTTGCATTCAAGATGTGGTTGAGGTCTCACGTCTCAGTAGTGTTTAGTTGCGATTTTTCGTGCTGAGGTCTTTAATTCTTCTGGAATTAATTTTTGTATAATTAGTGTAGGAGTCTTTTATATGAAAAGCCAATGCTTCCATCATCAATGATGGCACAAGCTCATCTTTCCCTGCTGATCTCTAGTGCCACCGCTATCATATTCCACATCCCACGTAGCCCCTACATGTGAATCCTGCATGAACATGGATTTGCACCAGGCTCTCTATTCTGTCCGCTGCCTCTTCCTCTGCTCAGACAACTATATTTTAATTTCTGTGACTGTCTAGAATGTTTCAGAATCCGCAGGCCAACTGCTCCTGCCCACCCATTGTTCTTATTTTTCGAAATTATCTTGGCAATGATAATTCACTTTTCCATATGAATTTTAGAATCACGTTACAAATGAACAGAAAAGTTCTGCTGAGATTTTATTTGGAATTTACTTAAATTTATAGATAATTTGGGCAGAATTGACATGTTTATGCTTTTGAGACCTCTTACCCATTATTCAGATCTTCTTTTATATCCTTTAATAAAACTATAATTTTTTCCCATAAAGCTCTTAAAAATGGTACGTAATGTATATTCTTTAGGTCCTTTATAGTTTTGCTGCTATTGTGAGCTGGCTTTTTTTTTTTCCAATTTTTTCCCATTTGTTATTGTTCACATTCAAAAGTTATTGAATTTTGCATGTTGATCTTGTAATCAGTAGCCTTGCTGAATCCTTTTTTAGTTCTAAAAGATTTTCTGTTGATATCTATGCATTTTCTTTGTTCTTTCTTTCTTATTTTATTTTATTTATTTATTTTTTTGAGACAGAGTTTTGCTCTTGTTGCTCAGGCTGGAGTGCAATGGTTCGATCTTGGCTCACTGCAACCTCTGCCTCCCAGTTCAAGTGATTCTCCTGCCTCAGCCTCCTGAGTAGCTGGGGTTACAGACACGTGCCACCACACCTGGCTAATTTTTTTGTATTTTTAGTAGAGATGGGGTTTCACCATGTTGGTCAGGCTGGTCTCAAACTCCCGACCTCAGGTGATCCACCTGCCTCGCCCTCTCAAAATGCTGGGATTACAGTCATAAGTCTCCGTGCGCCACCCATCTATGCATTTTCTATGCCTAAAAATAATAAATTTTCACTTCCTTTCCAAACCTTATGCATTTTATTTATTTGTTGCTTACTGCATTCGCTAGTATTTTCTGTGTAAAGTTGACTGGGGTGGTGATGGCTGCCCTGCTTGCCTTTTCTTGGTTTTAATAGGGATAATCCAGAAAGATGTGATATGATTGCTTTAGGTTTTTGATAAAAACCCTTCATCAAATTAAGGAAGTTCTCTTCCATTTCTAGCTTCCTAAGAGTTTTTCTTTTAGATAAGAGAAGGTGTTGAATTTATAGAATAAAATGTGTCATTTTATTTCTTTTTGATCTATAAATGTTGTAAAGTTCTCCTGATGGATATTTCTGACATTCTTACCTTCCTGGGAAACATCAAAATTAGTTGTGATCGTTAAAAAAAAAATACTCTGGTTGGATTCCATTTGCTAATATTTATTCAGGAATTTTAATCTACATTATAAGTGAGATAACCTATAGTTTCTGTCTCTTGTACTGTCCTTGTTTCATTTTGGTGTTAATTCTACACTATCTAAACTCAGTGGCCTACTGTCCTTTTCTGTTGTCTGGGAAGCTTATATAAGATAGCAATGACCTTTTCCTTAAAGGTTTGATGAAATTCACTGCTGAAATCAGCTAAGACTAGTGTCTTTTTGGGGAGGTGGCTTGAGGGCAGGTATATTTGATTGTCAAATCAATTTCTTTAATGCTAATTGTTTTATTCAGTTTTTCTATTTTAAAATTCAGCCAATTTCAGAATAGACATAAAATTGTGCCACAGATTCCCTTATGATTTTGTTTCTGCTGCATATGTGGTTACATTATATTTTCTATTCCTAATGTTTATTTGTTCATTTTTCTTTATTTATCAGCCTTAATGGGGATTTATTTTATTAGCATTATTTTTCTTTTCTAAGACTCATTCTGTCATTTCTATTTTACTTTTGTTTCCTTTTCTTATTTTTTTGTTTTTATCTTTAATATTTCTTTCCATCACATTTTTTTTGCCTAAACTCGTTGTTCTTTTTCTATCTTCTTGAATTGACATGAGTTCATTTATTTCATCTTTCTTATGGTTCTAAAAATATTTGTAGTGCTATAAATATTTCCCTTAACTATTGCTGTACCCTAAGTCTTGGTATTTTTCTGTGCTTTCATTAATAATCAGTTTTAAAATACTGTATTATTTTTAACAGCTTCATTGAGATATATTTCACACCCTATACAACTCATCCATTTAAAGTGTATAACTCAATGGCTTCTAATATATTCACAGAGTTGTTGATATGGTTTGGCTGTCCCTACTCATATCTCATCTTGAATTGTAGCTCCCATAATTCTCACGTATTGTGGGAGGGACCCAGTAGGAGATAACTGAATCATAGGGGCAGTTTTCCCCATACTGTTCTTGTGGTAGTGAATAAGTTTCATGAGATCAGATGGTTTATAACCATCTTTTCGCTTGGCTTTCATTCTGTTTGCCTGCCACCATGTAAGATATGGCTTTGCTCCTCCTTACCTTCCGCCATGATTGTGAGGTCCCCCCAGCTATGTTGAATTTTGAGTCAATTAAACCTCTTTTTTTAAATAAGTTACCCCATCTCAGGTATGTCTTTATCAGCAGTGTGAAAACGGACTAATACAGTTGTACAACCTATCATCACAATCAACTTTACTTACTCAGTTATCAGTTGATGCATACTTGGGTAGTTTCCAGTTTGGGCTATTATAAATAATGCTGCTATGAACATTTGTGTGCAAGTTTTTGTGGACATGTGATTCATTTGGCGTGAGTATATATGAGGAGTAGAATTGCTAGGTCATTTGGTAACTTTATGTTTAAGCTTTTGAGGAACTGAAGACTGTTTCCGAATGACTGTACCATGTCAGTGTAAGAGGGTTCTAATTTTTCAACATCCTCACCAATGCTTGCTATATTTGTCTTTTTTACTATAATCATCTTAGTGGCTGTGAAATGATATTTCGTTGTGGTTTGATTTGCATTTCCCTGATGGATATTTAAGGGTACTCCGTGATACTGGGTTGATCATTCTATTTCCAGGTGACTTCACTTCTAGGTATTTTTTCATTTATGTTTCCTAAAAAATTAATTTTTAAAGAGAAAAATCATCATAGGATACTCAAATTTC
The DNA here is from genome assembly GCF_000001405.40 of Homo sapiens. Classification (NCBI taxonomy): domain Eukaryota; kingdom Metazoa; phylum Chordata; class Mammalia; order Primates; family Hominidae; genus Homo; species Homo sapiens. The sequence goes on from NC_000018.10 coordinate 63,078,894, forward strand.
CATTTTAAATTTAAGATCACAGGGTTTTATTCTTTGGTTTGTATTTGGATCTCTTTTTCTCTCACATTGAAAATCTGGTTTCTAATGACATTAGCATAATTACATATTTGTTTCATTCTACAAAATACATATAATAGTTTCACAAGAACAAAACCAATATTTAAAAATTTTGTTCTATTCTTTTTGTCCTTATTGTATGCCAAACTGGATGTACAATTAGATTACTGCAATGCACCAAATTGGTGGTTCTTAACAGGAAACAGCTGCAATCCTAAGAATCTTTGAGAAGCGTCCATCAGCTGTCTAAGCATGCAGCAATGAAGCAGGTGGTTCTCAAGTATTCACTGGGCATATCAGGTCTGCCCCAACACCTGGTTACATCCTTATTTGGAGACTGATAGCCTCAACTCTTCCCCTACCAATCAGATTTCATGGGACTGCAAACTTTAACACAGAGTAATACAGAGAAGGGGATGCTGGGAAATGCAGTTTCAGGCTTCTACCTTACACAATTCAGAGAAGACTGTAGGAGGAAGTGGTGATGATGCCAAGCTGATACAGACACAGACACATCCATTCAGTGCATCAATCTTTATGTCTTCTCTTGTCTTACTAGCCTCCAGGAAAATGTTGAATGGAAGTACTGAGAGTGAACATCTTTGTCCCGTTCTTGATTTTATAGGGCATGCTTCCAACAATTCTTCTGTAAGGATGTTTTTTGTACATACTTTCTCAGGTTAAGGAAGTTTATTCACTTCTAATCCTAGTTTACTATGTTGTTTTTTTTTTTTAAATCATGAGTTAGTGTTGAATTTATCAAATGCTTTATCTGTAACTATTGAAACAATCATATGATCTTCTTTCTTAATCTTTTAAAGTGGTAAATATCATTTGATTATCTTTTCATCCTGAACCATCCTTGCATTCTAGGGATAAATCCTAAATGATTTTTTAAAAATAGATCTCTGGATTTCGTTTGCTAATATTATGTTAAGACTTTGATAATGTCTGTGATTGAGATTGGCTTGTGATTTTCCTTTCTTATCTTCCCCTTGTTTGGTTTTGGCATCCAGGTTTTACTAGTTTTATGGAATTCTTACTACAGCCACAGGCCCTGCATGAGACAGGCCATCACTACTTCTCTAATCGCATTTCCTACCACCCTCCCTGTTACACACTCTACTCAGTCTTACAGGTTCCATGCTGTTTCTCAGACAAATGAGTGCACATCCCCGCCTGACCACCCTCTCTTAAAGCTCTGTCTCCTCAATCTCTTTCATTGTTCTGCTTAGCTCTTATCATTACCTGATATATGATCAACTTACTGTGTTCTGTCTCCCTCCCTCTTCCAGAAGGCAGTGTCTATGAGGGCAAGGACTTTGCCTGTTTTGTTCCCTGTCATTCCCTCAGCACAGTGAACCATATTTATCAAATAATAAATATTTGTTCATCAGTGAATAAATGAATATATTTATCCATGTTTGAAGAAAAGAGGAAGGTTTCTGTACGTGATCCACTCAGAAGTCAGATTTTTCATTTGAAAAAATTGTAACTTCTATTTATACTAGAAAAGGGAGGAAATTCTTACACATAAGCAGCATGCAGAGAAATACTGCTGAAGATATCAGTCTGCTCTGCTGCAGCTGGTAGCAGGAATAAGACTGATTGGCCAACTGTCCATTCTATTCCAAACTTTCCTTGTCTTTTTCCAGCATCTCAGTTGGTTGAAATTCTTTGCTTGAGAAAGAGACCTACGTTTTCAGTCCTGAGGAGTTTGAGTCCTTGGTGATGCTGCCCATGTGGGGTTGATGTGTAGTGCTTTGTTAACCTTGACCATGAAGCAGGCAGTACAGACATCCTAAGGGGTACCCCTGGGCATCCATGAATACTGCTCCGGCTCCCACTGTGTAGCTCTCCCAGCGCCCTTGATAGTGCCAGTCTCTCCAGAAATCACTGGGGCCTCCCTTCTTGCTTATCCCCTCCATGACCTGAGGACATTGAAATGCCAGGCAGCAGTTTCAATGTCTACTCAATGAAACTGGTAATGGGTTCACAGCTGTGGGGATTGTTATTTAACTTCCTATGTGTGTGTTATGGTGTTGGGGAAAAACAGGCATGCAGAGTATAGCTATAGCTCTTTCTATCATCAAATGGCCCTCTAGCAATTCCACTCCTAGGTATATATCCAAAGGAATTGAAAACAGCCAGGAGCGTGTAGCCTGTGCTTGTAGTCCCAGTTGTGCAGAAGACTGGGGCAGGAGGATCACTTAAGCCAGGAGTTTGAGGCTGAGTAGGCAATGATGATTGCTCCTGTGAATAGCCCCTGCACTCCAGCCTGGGCAACATAGCAAGATCCCATTTCTTAAAAAAAAAAAAAGAATTGAAAACTGGTGACCAAACAAATCCATGTACCCACATGTTTATAGCTGCACTATTCACAATAGCCAAAAGGCAGAAACAGCCCAGATGTCCATCAATAGATGAATGGATAAACAAATTGTGGCATAGACATATAACAGAATATTATTAAGCTATAAAAAGGAATGAAGTACTGATTCATGTTACAATACGGATAAACCTCAAAAACATAATGCTAAGTGAAGGAAGCCATGCACAAAGGTCACATACTATAGGATTCCATTTATTTATTTATTTATTTATTTATTTTAAGACAGAGTCTTGCTCTGTCACCCAGGCTGGTGTGCAGTGGCACGATCTCGGCTCAGTGCAACCTCCACCTCCCAGGTTCAAGCGATTCTCCTTCCTCAGCCTCCTGAGTAGCTGTGATTACAGGGGTGTGCCACCATGCCTGGCTAATTTTTGTATTTTTAGTGGAGATGGGGTTTCACCATGTTGGCCAGGCTGGTCTCAAACTCCTGACCTCAGGTCATCTGCCCACCTCAGCCTCCCAAAGTGCTGGGATTACAGGCATGAGCCACCACGCCTGGCTGGGATTCCATTTATATGATATGTCCAGAAGAGGTGAATCCATGGAGACAGAGAGCAGGTTAGTAGTTGCCAGGGGCTGGGGAGAGGAAAGATTGAGGAACAACTGCTTGATAGGTACGGGGCTATTTTTTAAGGTGATGGAAATGATTTGCAAATAGGCAGAGGCGGTGGTTGCACAATATTGTGAACATATAAAATGTCACGGAATTGTTCACTTTAGAATAGTTAGTTTTATGTTTATTGTTGTTGTTGTTGTTGTTGTTTTTTGAGACAGAGTTTTGTTCTTATTGTCCAGGCTGGAGTGCAATGGCACAATCTCAGCTCACTACAACCTCCACCTCCCTGGTTCAAGTGATTCTCCTGCCTCAGCCTGCCAACTAGCTAGGATTACAAACATGTGCCACCATAACCAGCTAATTTTGTATTTTTAATAGAGGCAGCATTTTACCATGTTGGTCAGGCTGGTCTCAAACTCCTGACCTCAAGTGATCCACACGCCTCAGCCTCCCAAAGTGCTGGGATTACAGATGTGAGCCACCGTGCCCAACAATTTTATGTTAAGTGAATTTCACTTCAATAAAAACAGATGAAACCCTCTACGTTCTTACATGCAGAGATAGTCATTGCACATTTAAGAGACAGATTGAATGAGCATTTGTCTTTGATGGCATATGTGCTATAGAAACTCCTTTGAGAGAGCTGTGTTTTTAGTGAGAAATTAACACATAAACAAAATCATTTTTACTTATAAGCCTGGAGCCCCGTGAGACATCATTTATGTAGTGAGTGTTTTAAAGCTGAAGTAGCAGCCTACATTTTTGATGGTTACAATTGGTCCCTTTGAAGAGATGATGCCCTGTGGATGGAAGCAGCACAGCACAGTCCTTGCCCTCACCCCCACCTGCCAGGACAGCACGGGTGCCCTTTCCATGACAAGACCCTTTTCAGGATCATGATACAGACCAATTAGGTAGAGGCAAACCCAGATGCGTCTCAATTTGTCAGAAGCCTTGCTCTGTTTCCCCTACGTGGGTGGGGTCTGATAAAATCCCATATAGGGTTTGGCGGGGGTAGGGGGGCATTCTTCTTAGTATTTACATCCCAAAAGGAGTTTTAAGGGACATTTAATTTTCATGTTTCTGGTTCATTTCCCTTTAACTCATCAAAATGAGATTACGAAAGATTGCTTTGATCTTTAACAGGACTTGTTCACAGGAGACATGAAACCATTACCTTCTAAAAGGAAAGCTGTGCGTTGCCAAGAGTTTGGGGAGTTAACAGCATGATGTTTCAGCTTCGTCTGGGGCTCCAGACCCTTGATACCTAACTGGGTCCTAAACTTGGCTTAGGGAGGCCTCCCGACCTCCAGCCTAATAAAGCCCATTAATTAACTGTCAGGCCAGCTGTGTAACAAATGAACTTTTAGAGGCTGTGCCATTTTCTTGGTTCCAGGCCAGAAACTATCGTATAAAACTCACACCACTAGTGAGACATTTCAGAGGAAAACTGGTACTTGCGTAAGTGTTCCCTTATGAGTCAAATGTGCATCACCAGATGCGTATTTTTTTTTAATTAAAATGTAAATAACTCTGTTCCAGCAGCCTTTTTTTGGTTCTTCCAGATACTCTACACTTGAGCATGAGTGACTATGAGGCTAATTGGAATCTCTCCGATTGCTTTAATGTACGTGGACTTCGGCACTCAGGGTATAAGGACGGGAAATAAGAATATTATAAAATGATGACCCAAATCCCTTCTTAAATGAACTTGAACTATCTTCTGGTGAGATGATATTTAAAAGGCACGAGATGGGGGTTGCAGTTACAGTTCTTTAGTTTGTCAGTAGTAAGAACTGAGTCAGGTCAGTTTGAACATAGAGAGGAATTTGTTGCAAAGCTATCAAGGTGTTTTGCAATGTTAAAGCATGAGTTGGACACAATCCCAGGCACTGGAGCAGCTCAGAGGCCTCCACAGCTGCAGCTCCTGATGCTCCCTCACTTTCAGATGGTACTGAGGACTAAAAGCAGAAATGTCATAGAGAGTTAGGCATGGGAGAAGATTCTGCAGAAGGTTGAGAGGACAGGCTAGGTAATCTATGACCATCCTCCCAAATAAGGTGGCTACACAGCAGTTAAATATTTAAACAACCAGGGAGAATGCTTGATGTCATCCCTTCTTCAACAGCCCCAACACTTGGGCATTCAGCATCTGTTTGAACATCTTCCATGATGGGGAGCATACTACTTATGAGGACAACCTATCCCCATTATTGGACCATATGACATAAGAAAAAGTCATTATATTGAAGGGAAACTTGACTTATACCCTTTGGCCTGCCATCTAGACTTTGAGCACATAGATCAAGTCTTACTCAGTATCCACATGATTGTCTTTTGCATATTGAAGATAAATCAACACACAGTCTTCCTAGAGTTTTCTCTTATTCTAACTCAAGCGTATTTAATGCCTTCAGACAGTTTTCCTATGATGGTGGCTTTCACTCTGTCCAACCCCTTCTGCACATAATGGCTGTTTTAAAATGCAGTAGCCAGGATTTGATATATACTCCAGACGTGGTCTGGACAATAAGCTTCTAGGCCTGCGGCTTTGAATTGCATTAGCATCACTTCATTGGCTCGGGCTGTGCTTGCAGGCTATTCGTGAACCATCGCCAGATCAACTCTCTCCTGTTATATTTTTGTGCAATTAATTTTTAAAACACAAATGCAGGATGGTATACGAGTCAAATAAAAAAGGCACAATGAGTAGTCTTTATTCAGATTATTTTGATTTTGACCCTGCCTTTCATTATACTAACTGTCTTCCTACCACCAATTAAAAGACATAGATTCTATGTCTAATTCAAAGTCATTGATGGGAAAAAAATATTGAGCTGATTAGGGCAAGTGCAAAGCCTTTTGATCTAGACAGAACTAGCAATGTCTCTACAAATGGACACTGAGCAGTAGTCTCTGAGTACAGTTATTAAACCATCTATGAATCGTCCCAAATTCAGGCTATCTCAGAATGTGTCTGATAGAGGAACTGCTCCTCTAAATATTGATAAGACTTACTTTTAAAAAAGCTCTTGGCCGGGTGTGCTGGCTCATGCCCGTAATCTCAGCACTTTGGGAGGCCAAGGCGGGCAGATCATGAGGTCAAGAGATTGAGACCACCATGGCCAACATGGTGAAACCCCATCTCTACTAAAAATACAAAAATTAGCTGGGTGTAGTGGCGCACACCTGTAATCCCAGCTACGCAGGAGGCTGAGGCAGGAGAATCACCTGAACCTGGGAGGCGGAGGTTGCAGTGAGCGGAGATCGCGCCACTGCACTTCAGCCTGGTAAAAGAGCGAGACTCTGTCTCAAAAAAAAAAGAAATAAAATAAATAAATAAATAAATAAATGAATAAATAAAAAAGCTCTCAGGGTCTTTATTATTGTTGCTCCCAGGGACTTGTTAAGAATGCGGACTACTTTGTGTTATTGCTCCCAGGGACTTGTTAAGAATGCGGACTACTTTGTATATATGTGTCTGTATGTGAGGATATCTTCTTATGGAGTCCCATAAAACACACTCGGGAAACAGTGATCTAATTATGTTACCATGCAGCATGCAAGTTTCCAGTCTGTTCCACTGGGATTTAAATGAGAGGCTTTATCAAGTGTTCTGCTGTAATCGTGATATGCTATAGGCATAGTGTGTATGTCTGTGTTCTTCCAATCTATTAGCTCTATCAAAGCAGAAAATAAGGGGAAAGAATCAAGAACTGAGCCAGAGAGTTGAAGACTAATAAAGGTCCATGTTGACCAGGAGATTTCAGGGACATGAGATCCTGGGTCTTGGAGTGGCCCAAACGTCAGGTTGAAGAATGAAAGACAAAGATTGAATCATAGGTTGAGTCATTTACCAGTGAAGATCCAGAAGAAAACCCCCAAAATGGAGGTCAGGACAATCAGCTGGTGTGGTCATGAGCAGTGGCAGCTGAGTTTTAAGTCCAAATCCTGTGGCATCGGCTTCACCCAGTGTGGCTGAGGTGCTTCCAGAGTGGCCACTGGACCTGTTCCCTGACAGCCAGAGTTAAGAAGCTTCTTTCTCTTTGCTACCTGCTACGATTGTGCTGTCTACCCTCGCGGGGTCTAGCATGTCTTTGTCCTTCTAAGCTAGGGATGAAAATAATAAACTGTTTTTGTGGCCTTTAGGATAAACCACAAGCCTTGATTACTTTGGGCTTGAGTTCTCCTTTGACATGCTTCTTTTTTCTGCCTTCTTTTTAAAATCCCATCTTTTTATCTCTAATACATTTATTTATTTTTGTCTTTTACTTGTTCTACGTACTCAATATTAACACCTACATTTGTTCTTGGACTTAAATGGCAATATCTTATAGCTCGATTTATTAATGTTTGTAAAATAGGTGTATTCATGGAACATGCATTTTAGTATATTGAATGGTACTTTTAACATCTATAGGGAACTTGAAATTTACAGATACTTCCTAAGGATCTTTTTCTTTAAAGTTGAAAAATGCTTTTGTAGATCATATAACCTCTAATTTGCCAATTTTGTAAGTCTGTAGATTTAGTTTTTTTAAAAAAATCATGGTTAATCTGAATCAGTAAACACTACATTTTGAAGTTTAACAAGTAGCAGAGTGTCTGATCAGTTGACTAGAATTAATTGGTGTGATTTTAGGACTGTGTACGGCTTTACAGTATGATTTAAGATTGGCACTTAGTAAATTAAGTGAGATTATTTTATAACTACGCATAGTAGAAGGCTGACTCTTAATGTGTGATGTACATGATGGAATAATAACCCTACAGTAGCCCAGATTGTTCTTTCTTTCTTTTTCTTCCTTTCTTTCCTTCCTTCCTTCCTTCCTTCCTTCCTTCCTTCCTTTCTTTCTTTCCTTCTTTCTTTCTTTCTTTCTTTCTTTCTTTCTTTCTTTCTTTCTTTCTTTCTTTCTTTCTTTCTTTCTTTCTTTCTTCCTTTCTTCCCTCCTTCCTTTCTTTCTTTCTTTTTAAATAGAGATGAGCCTCACTATGTTGCCCAGGCTGGTCTTGAATTCCTGGGCTCAAGCAATCCTCCTGCCTTGTCCTCCCAACGTACTGAGATTACAGGCATGAGCCACCATGCCCCAGCCCAGATGGTACTTTCTGTTGTTGCCCTTAACATTACGTATTCATCCACCAAGTATTATTGAGTGCCTAGAATATTCTGGAAACTGGGAATACAAATGCCCCTGGTGTAATTCACATCACACAATTACTTAGAGTCATTCACTGTCAGGCACCCAATCCTACCTAATTAACATATTAGGCACCCAAACCTAATATGTTAATTACTAACTAGATAGGGACGAGCAAAGTCTAAGGAATTGATCAGGCCTACAGGCATTCTAGAATCAAACTGGAAAGATGTACAAATGGGACCTTCACCGATGATGGAACCCAAGCAAGGGCCTGTTCCTTGGACGTGGAAGGGGCCAAGATTCAATGTTGAGTCTATGGGAAACTGACAAATTTAAGTCCAATTCTAGTCCTGTTTTGGTAGCTAAGGGGATAAGAATAAGAATAGATAACATCTACTGTGTGCTCCCTGTGAGCCAGGCATTGTTCTAAGCACTGTGCATGTATTGATTCCTTCAGTCCTTATAACACCCCTATGATATAGATTCTGTTATAATGCCTGTCTTATAAATGAGGCTTCTGAGGCACAGAGAGGTTAAATATTTTACCCAAGGTTGCACAACATGTAAACAGCCAGGCTGGAGCCCAATCCAGGCAGTCTGTCCCTGGAGCCTATGCCTTGGTGGTCACAGGGCTAAAGCGAGGAAACAGTTGGTGGACAGCCTCTTGGCTCTGTGAAGATGCGCAAGTGGAGATATTATTAGGCGCTGCTGCAAATCACTGAGTCAGGATCTCAGCCTTTCTCCCCCACACAGATGCTCTTGATTTACCCAGTAATAACTTAATCGAATGATGTATACACACCATGTCCTGTTGGAACGAGTAAACAGCAACTTAGTTCTGGTGTGTTATGAAATAGAGATTTTAAAAATCCGAACGACTTGTGGCAAAACGGGTTTTACCCTGGGAATGGAGAGAGAGAGAATAGCTCAGGTCCAAGGAACCTCACGCGCTCCCTGTTTAGAATTCTGCCTCCCCCACCCCATTGTACACTTGACTATCTCCCACATCCTCATAAATCTGAGTGCCCTGGGTGTCTGGATAATGAATGAGAGATGGGTATTGATGGATGAGTACATATGAGATAGGACATTTAAAAAGTGATTCATTAACCTAGGCAACCCTTTATAGCAAAAAATATCAAAGCTAGGGGTTATCTTTTTAAAACACAAATCTGGCCATTTGTCCCCTCTGCTTAAAACTCATTAATGGCCCTCTTCTACCCACAGGGTAAATTCTTAATGCCATGCCTTGCTCAAGGCCCTCCCAAGGTTGACCCCTTCCCCACTGCCCCCAGCAGGCCCTGCATACCACAAATTCCGATCAGCTTCTGATACCCCATGGCCTTTTCTCCCTACCTCTGCACCTCACCCTCCAGCCTCCTGTTACCCAGGGTTCCTGCTGCTTCAGTCCCAGCTCAGATCCGCCTCCCAAGGAACCTCTTGTGTCAGACCTGGTGCTGAGACAGCCAAAGCATCCGGTCCAGCCCAGGCCAGAGCCAGGAAACCCTTGTGATCCGGAAAATTAGAAATGTGGTCAAGGTCGGGACCCGGAACTGAGCAGGCCTTCGGTGGGCTGTCCCAGGGTGGAGACCAAGGAGAAGGGGAGGCTCAGCCAAGACTTTCACCCAGGGCAACGAGGGGCAGCCAGTCCTACGGGGTCACCTTCAGGGCTCAGTGGCTGCAGTTATGATACTGAAGGGATAAGAGGAGTCAGAGGAAGGGAAGAAACCCCGTATCTGGCCAGGCGGAGAGCTCACTGGTTCTGGAGCAAAATCTTTCGGGACAACTGCAACAGGGCCGGGAGAGGTGAGAGCTCAACAACCTCAACGGAGGCAGAGAATCTCACAGCATCACCAGAGGTACGGAGTGGGGATGGCCTCTAAGCTGACATCTCCTGGACTCCACTTCATTACCAACCTATACTGAGAGCCCATTGGATGGTTCTTAAGAACACAGGAGATGATAGTGAATTAAAGCCCCCCAAGGATGGGCTGGTAGATTTCCAGCCAGGCACCTACTTTGCAGTTCATGTTATTCTTGTTCACTCATCTGTTCAATCCACAATTTACGTTTGTGGCCATGTGTCCCAGGCACTGTACTCTGGGCTGGGCGTGCAAAGCAGGAAAGACGGCCCCTGCCCTCCAGGAACTCGGGGACCCCTGGGCACCCAAGCACAAGGAGGCACAAAGGGAATCCTGGTGGTGTTAAGGGAGCCGCAGGGTTGATCAGAGAAGTGTGGAGGCTTCTTCCACAGGGGCTCACCCCGGGACTTGGCTTGTCTTCCCTCTCCTGGACCGGTTCTTCTCACCCGACTCCTCTGGTTCAGATTCGACTTCTCTATCGGGGTCTGCCTCAGCTTCCAGCTCCTCCACGAAGCATCTCCTCCTCCAGCTCTCAGCTGTCTCTCTCTTCCCGGCATTTGCACAGCCATAGTGACCTGTGGCATCAAATTAAGTGCTTGAGTAAATTGTTGTGTTTGGCTTTTTTTTTTTCTCCTGACTAGATTGGAAATGACTTGAGCCTAAAGGTTACATCTTATCTATTTATTTTAGAGACAGGGTCTCACTCTGTCACCCAGGCTGGAGTGCAATGGCATGATCACAGCTCACCGCAACCTTGAACTCCTGGGCTTAAGCAGTCCTCCTGCCTCAGCCTCCCAGGTAGCTGGGACTACAGCGAGCACTATCACACCTGGCTAATATATATATATTCTGTAGAGATGCGGGAGGGGTCTCACTATGTTACGCAGGCTGGTCTCCAAATCTTGGCCTCAAGGGATCCTCCTACCTTGGCCTCCCAAAGTGTTGGGATTACAGGCGTGAGCCATTGCACTCAGCCAAGGGGTTATACATCTTATACTTTGCTTTATCTGCGACAGTGCTTAGGACATAGTTAGTGTCCAACTAATGTTTGGGGTGGGTAAAAACGATGTAAAAGAAATTCTCTTTCTTTCTCCCTGCCTCCCTTCCTTGATCCCTGTCTCTCTTCTAACCTCTACCTCTTTCCCCCTCCTTCCCCCTCCCTCTCCCTCTCTTCCTTCTCTTTCTCCCTTCCATCCCTCTTTCCAGGATTTCAGCAGGCAGATTACACAGACTGAGCTGAGGACCTATGAGCCCCCTTTCTGGCTTGTCCAGGAAGGCCTCGTTGGGGAAGTTCTTTGGAGGGTGGAAGGAAGGATTTTGCAGATGGAGGACAAAATCAGGCTGTGGGCCTTTGGAGGAGGCAAAATTATCATTTGCATTTCTCTGTGGAGTGAGAACTCTGTAATTTCAGATTTTGCCTAATTGCTGTTTAGAGTTCCCCGGGCCGGCTGCTCTTCAGGCAGGCGTGTGTTTGTGGGAGAGGTGCACTGTTAATGGCTCTGAGGCTCTGAAGCTCCGTCCAACTATGGCTTAAAGGTAAGATGACTCAGATAGGGAGCGGGTCAATTCCAGAGTTCTGCTTTTCTTCAGGAGCGCAGATTTGTTCAGCCACAGGGAGGGGAGGAGAAGCTGGCGCTGCTGAGGAGTCCCAAGCACATATATTATTTGCAGGCAGCATCTTTGGTCTGTGACAGCTCCAATTTAAGCTCTGAGCAGCTGGTAGCCAGAAACCAGGCAACGTCAAAGACAGGCACATGCGTGTTCTCTCTTTAGCCATGGGCTCTCCCGGCACATGTGTGCGAGGCCGCAAGACTGTTTCTCATTTGCACCCTGGACATTTTGGAGAGTTACCTACTTCCTTTGAAAATTATTTTCAAGTGTTCCTAAGTGCTAGTGAGAATGACACACAGGCTGCCTGTGCCTGGGGAGGAACTGGGGCTACGGGCTACCCTCTCCCTGGGCTTCCCACGTGGATTCAAACTCAACCAAACCAAACCAAACCAAGCCTGCTCTGTCTCCCTCCATCTGAGGTTGGGTTGTCACCAGCAACTGATTTTTTTTTTTTTTAAGTAGAGCACATTAAAGGACGAGAAGGTATGGCCATTTTAATCTATCATTGGCAAACACCTTGGCAAATGTGAAACAAATGCATTTTGCTTTCAACTTTTTAGTAACTGGCAACTCCTTGTGCTTTTGAGTTAAGGCCACAGGGGTGAATGCCACAGGGAGTAGTTTCAGCTGGGCAGGGCCCAGCTAGGAGTGGGTGCTCTCCAGAGGTCGCTGTCCAGGGCCACGGCTGGATTCGGACCCCTTCCCCTCTGGCCAGACCTCTACACAGGCCAGGCCTGGCTGAAATGAACATCCTGGAAGTCTTGAAACGGACAAAAGCACATCAGAGTTTGCTGCCACACATGCAGGGCTACACACAGAGCAGAGGCTACTGGTGTGTGTGTGTGTGTGTGTTTATGGTAGTGTGATATGCATGATGTGTTGTGTGTTGTATGTTATGTGTGTGATTTATGTGGTGTGTATGTGGTGTGTCTTTGTGTCTTTGTGTGGTTTGTGTGTGGTGTGGTGTATTTGTGCGTGTCTGGTGTGGTCTATGTGGTGTGGTGCATAGTGTGGTTTGTGTGGGGTGTGTGTGCATGTGGTATGGTGTGTTTGTGTATTTGTGTGTATGGAGCATGTTGTGTTTGTATTTGTGTGTGTGTGTGGTGTATGGTATGGTGTGTGTGGCATGGTTTGTAGTGTGTGTGAGTGTGGTATGATGTGAGTGTGGTGTCATCTGTGTGAGTGTGGTGTGTGTACGGTGTGTAGTGTATGAGTGTGGTGTGGTGTGTAGGATGAGTGTGGTGTGTGTGGTGTGTGTAGTGTGTGTATTTGTGTGTGGTATGTAGTGTGTGAGTGGATGTTGTGTGTGTGGTGTGCGTGGTGTGTGTGAGAGCGTGGTGTGGTGTGTAGTGTGTGCATTTGTGAGTGTGGTGTGTGAGTCTGGTGTGTGTAGTGTATTTGTGGGTGTGGTATGTAGTATGTGAGTGGGTGTAGTGTGTGTGGTGTGTGTAGTGTGTGTGAATGGGTGTGGTGTGTGTGAGTGTGGTGTGGTATGTAGTGTGTGAGTGGGTGTGGTGTGTGGTGTGTGTAGTGTGTGTGAGTGTGGCATGGCATGTAGTGTGTGTGGTGTGTGTAGTGTGTGTGTGAGTGGATGTGGTGTGTAGCATGTGTACTTCTGTGCATGGTATGTATTGTGTGAGTGGGTGTGGTGTGTGTGGTGTGGTGTGTGTGTGGTGTGTGGTGTGAGTGGGTCTGGTGTGTGTGAGTGTGGTGTGGTATGTAGTGTGTGTATTTCTGTGCATAGTATGTATTGTGTGAGTGGGCGCAGTGTGTGTGGTGTGGTGTGTGTGTGTGGTGTGTAATGTGAGTGGGTGTGTGTGTGTGGTGTGTAGAGTGGGTGTGGTGTGTGTGAGTGTGGTGTGGTGTGTAGTGTGTATTTCTGCGCATGGTAGGTATTGTGTGAGTGTGTGTGGTGTGTGTGGTGTGGTGTGTAGTGTGTGTTTGCATGTGTAGGGAGGCAAGCACTGTTGACAGGAGTGGCGTCCTGTGGAGAGCCAGCCCCCTCAAAATTGCAGAACATCACCAACAGTGACCATGTATTGAGGACACATGAGGACATGCTCGGCACACATGTCCTTATTTAAATCTTGGAAAGAATGTGGCAAACCCTTTCACAACCTGTGAAACCCTGTGTGGCCCAGTTCCTAAGAGGCCACAGATAGTACCTAGGCCTGTGAGGAACCGGGCCATGCGGCAGGAGGTGAGCAGCAGGCGGGCAAACAAAACTTCCTCTGCATTTACAGCTGCCCCCCATCGCTCACATGACCACCTGCGCTCCGCCTCCTGTCAGATCAGCGGAGGCATTAGATTCTCATAGGACCGCGAACCCTATTGTGAACTGCACATGGGAGGGATCTAGGTTGCGGCTCCTTAGGAGAATCCAATGCTTGATGACCTGTTGCTGTCTCCATCACCCCTGGATGGGTCTGTCTAGTTGCAGGAAAACAAGCTCGGGGCTCCCATTGGTTCTACAATTATCATGAATTGTATAATTATTCCATTATATATTACCATGTAATCATAATATAAAGTGCACAGTAAATGCAATGCACTTGAATCATCCTGAAACCATCCCCCCCGGCCCCTGTCCGTGGAAAAATTGTCTCCACGAAACTAGTCCCTGGTGCCAAAAAGGTTGGGGAACATTACTGTAAAGTATCACTCTCCCACCTTTATAGATGAGGAAACTGAGACTCAGATAATGCACTAGTTTCCTAGGGCTGACACAGCAAAGCACCACAAACTGGATGGCTTAAAACAACAGAAACGTATCTGTCATAGTTCTGGAGGTTGGAAGCCAGAAAGCAAGGTGCCAGCAGGGCCATGCTCTCACCGACTCTAGATGGAACCTTTCCTTGCCTCTTCCTGGCTCCCGGTGGTTGTTGTTGACCCTCGACACTTTTTGGTTTGCAGCTGCGTCAGTTCCATCTCTGCCTCTGCCACCGTGGCATTCTTCTCTCTTATGAGGTATCTGTGTCTCCTCATAAGAACACCAGTCATGTTGAATTAAGGATCCACCCTACCCTAGTAAGACTTTATCTACTTAATTAATATCTCAATGACCCCGTTTCCAAATAAGGCCACATTCTGAGATACTGGGGATTAGGTCTTCAACGTGTCTTTTGGGAGACACAATTCAACTCGTTAAACATAAGGAAAATATCTTGCTTAAGATAACCCTACCTGCAAGTGGCAGAGAAAATTTGAATCCAATGCTGACTCCCAAACTCCTTTTCTTTTCTGTACACTAATTTATGCAATTGCATTGATTGATGTGTACAATTTACTTAGGTTCATTTAAGCTTTGTATTTTCTTTCCCACAACCCCCTTTGCACCGGCAGTTTCTCAGCTGCTATATTGCCCACATAAGATTTCCTATGATAGCTTTTCTTTCTTTTCATTAGCTCTCTCTTAGCTGAGTAGGAAGATGGAAGGTCAGGGCTGAGGAGCTAAGTCAGACTCAGGGATGGTGTCTGTGCCAGAGACACAGAGGGATCATGTCCAGTCAGGAAAAGAGAAATCAAGTATTTCAAACAGAGAGGATTTAACACAGGAATTGGTTATAGGAGCATTGGATTGGAAAGGCTGAGGGAAAGAGAGAGAAAGAGAGAGAGAGAGACTACAGTAGGAACAACAACAAAAAAAGACAGAAGCCATTAGTAGGAAATCATAGGTGGGCATATGGCAGCCAAGGTATCTGGAGAAACTTCTTTTATATAATGAAATCCCTCTTATATAATAGCTTGTATGGCAAAAGAAAAGGAAGCCATCAAATCCCCCAAATGACAGAAGAGAAGACCAAAGTTGTTGTTTGTTCCACAGGCATTTGTCATCCATGGTGGGCTTGACCTTGGGTTTTAAGAGGCTATGCCCCTGGTGGCAAAGGTTAAGCCCAGCACCACACAAGATAGAATGTTAGACCAGAGCTAGTACACAAAGCCGGATCCCTGAAGAGTGCCATTCCTGAACGAGAAAAAACGCCCAGACAGAGAAACACGAAGAATACTTGCTTATCTAGATCTTAGCTCTTGGTAAAGCGACAAACCAAACCAAAAGTTGCCCATGAAAAGACTCCCAAAAAAGTCTCTAATGAAAGAGGTTATACCTATTTATTTTCATTCTGACACTTGCTGATTGGGAGAGCTCTTGACTTATGTTTGATAGCAGGAAACTGCCTACTCAGAAGAAAATAGGTTACCTGCTTGGGAAAAGAAAGATCTAGAAAATCAAAAATTTTTAGTTATTTTGGTTGTCTTTTGCTTCTTGTTGTTGTTGTTGTTGTTTGTTTTATAGCATTTCTAATCCAGATTTTTATACTTCTTATACAAGATTATTTTTCTTGATAGAAAATAATAGAAGTTTTTTTGTTTTGTTTTTTGCTTTTGTTTTTGTTTTTGTGATGGAGTCTTGCTTTCTCGCTCTGTTGCCCAGGCTGGAGTGCAGTGGTGCCAGTATCGGCTCACTGCAGCCTCCGCCTACTGGGTTCAAGTGATTCTCCTGCCTCAGCCTCCCGGGTAGTTGGGATTGCAGGCATGTGCCACCACCCCAGCTAATTTTTGTATTTTTAGTAGAAACGGAGTTTCACCATGTTGACCAGTCTGGTCTCGAACTGGTGACCTCAGGCGATCCACCCGCCTCGGCATCCCAAAGTGTTAGGATTACAAGCATGAGCCACCATGCCCGGCAATAGGAATTCTTTTTAGAAAGAGAGAAAAATACATCAATTTAAAAGGGAGTGTGTTGTCCATGTATCTCTACTTGTAATGGGTGAAGAGTTGGAAAGTTGTTAAATAATCCCAGGTTCCACGCAGCTTCGTGGAAGCTGTCCCCTTCGACAGGCACCTGAACCCTTATTTGGATGTCATGGAGATGCGGCAAGAAGCTCGTGGTTTATCTTTAACACCAGTGATTTACACTAAGAATTTACTTTGGGCATTTCAGTGATGTCTTGTGGAGCCTGAACTAGGCTATCAAAAATAAATATGTAACAGTATTTTCCTGCAAGGAATACTGACGTACTTAAAATAAGGCATCCTTGGCAGGCAGTGTAAAGTCAGAGAGCTCCTGCCTTCAGCCCATGGTTCCAATTAATACGCTTCCAATAGCATCATAGCTACAACCTTGAGGATTTCTATCTCCCACCTGGACTAATAAATTGATCTCTTAGAAACAAGCTGTGAGCACAATTTTAAATTTAAATAACTATGTCTCTCAGATTGCTGTGCTTTCAGTCACGATATTAGCTCAAATGAAGGACATACTGAATTGAATATCTGGCTATGTTGGCAGAAGCCTTCAGCCTAATCAAAAAATTTATGGGCAGACAAATTTGCTCGGCAGCCAGACATCTTCTCTAAATCTAGACATACAAGTCATTTAACCACTGATCTACAGTGTCCCTGAGCTTCCTCGAGGTCAATTAGAGGACCTTATCCATTTAGTTCAGCTTCATGACTTTAACAAATGATTTGCTGTTTCTTTTTTTTTCTTGGTTACCAGAAGCTAATAAAAACTTCACGGAGATTTAGAGACAACTAATGACATCAGGAACGTTGGCTGCCATGCCTACCTGCTCTAGTTCTCGTTTGGAAATTCCCCATGCTCAGCTGTGAAAGAACAGAATGGAAACCAATCAAGGGACGGGGGATATTGATATCTAGCCTACATGGATGGAGAAGACATCGAAAGATAGGGAGAATGACATCACAAAACCTTCAATGCCTTCCAGTCCACAGGGAGGCGGTCACTCACAGATGCAATAACCTTTCGGGGTCTGCCTCTGAAAACATTCAGTGAAAGTTGGTGACTTGGTTCATTTTTCAGGCAAAGAAATGAAGGCATGGGTTGAAAATAGACAGAGCTATAAGGCTTTAAGAGTGGCAGCTTTCTGTCCAAATTCCAACAAAAATAGTTATCAGATCTCTCTCTCTTTTTTTTTAAAGGCAGCAGGAGAACATAGATCCAAAATTCTGTGTAATCCACTCAACTAAGACTATAACAACAACAAACAGTTCTATAGTGCAGTTTATGTTATTCTTGGCAGAGCTCAGATCTCAGGTGACATCAAAGGTGACTACATAGATATATATACAATGAAGTCAGCTTATAATTCATTTCTATTAGATTTACAAATTTAAACTGCTTAGGGCTTACAAGTTTCCGAGAGACAGAGAATACCACAAAGAAGTGGATAGATGGCAGATGACACATGCGAGACCCAAAGTGCTAATTTCCTGAATATACAAAGAGCTCTTACAAGTTAATCAAAAGACAAATAACTCAATGAAGTAATGGGCTCTTGCCTATGTTATGAATATTTTCATCTGGTATGACATTTACTCTTTGATTTCATTATTTTTGTGATTTTCATAGGCTTGTATTTTATGTAGTCAAATCTCTATGTCTTTCTATCACTTTTGTGTTTAGAAGGACGTTCCTCCTTCTGAAGTACACATATTTGATTTTGGATTTGAGATGGCATTCATTTCTGATCCATCTATAAAGTTTTTGGTGTGTGGTTAAAGGTAAAAATAGACTCACATTTTCCTAAATAATTAGCCAGTTGTTCCAGCTCCATTTATTGAGTGGTCCTTCCTTTCCCAACTGATGCGCGGTGTAACCTTTATCATATATTAAATACTCATGTGTGCTAAAAATAAAAAGTCATTTCAGTTGAGTGCTGTGAATTAATCCAAGGAGTTTGCAGAGGTGGCGTTTGCAGCATGAGATTGTCCTTCCTTTCCACTCCTCCCCAGAGACTGAAAACAGAGGGAAGGAAGCCAGGGAAACATTAAACAAGGTCTGCTGCTCTGGATAATGTCTATGAGGAAAAAAAACGCAGGCTGAGATTTTATGATTTAAAGACTATTATGCTGCTTAAAGAACCCTGCAAGAGTAACAATAGCTGCTATTTATTGGGCGCTTGCTCTATGCCAGGCACTGTTCCCAGCGGCCCCGCCATGACGTCACTCCATCCTTACGACCTAACCCTAACCCACGCTATGGACACTTTTATCATCGCCCCGATTTTAGACATGAGGAAACTGAGACTCTGAGACACTGTGTCCCTTACCCCACAGTCATTCAGAAGAACAACCACCCCAAATGTGGCTAAGCCAGCCAGTCAACAAGAGCGCTAGGATTGTTACCTTCTTCAAAACAATACCTCTCAGCAAAGCCATCAAATGTCAACCAACACACCAAGGAAGGTCCTTGCAGATGGAACACAGGGAAACTGTTATCTCACAGGAGTGGTACCAGCACGTAAGGGAGTCAAGCGCAGCAAATTCTAAGGTGCAGAGAAATGGACCACTGTCAATTTCCAGGAACTCATTTCACTCCTGTCTTTTCACATTAATGTTTCTCCTTTCCAGGAAAGCCAAGGAAAAGACTTTTCATCCAACTGGCTTAGGAGGCAAGACAGAAACCTTTTCCGCATAAGATCCTATCACAGCTGGGCAAATTCTGTACCTAAATCTTTGGAGATGAGTGGCCTCTCGGTGTTTTCATTATTTATAATTAATTGTTCATTTATCAGACTTTGTGGAGTGTCTCAATGGGCAGCGAGGTGTGAGGCACAGGGAGTATGTGGTAAAGCCCTCAAGCCCTCTGCCTTCACGCAGCATCCATTTGGGGGGATGCACCCCCAACCCAAGGCGGGGGTGTGTGCTGTGGTGTCACAGGAAGTGCTGCCTTTCTCGAATGGGGCTGTGTTTACACAGGGCCAGGAGAACTAGATGCTGAATTGGGGTCAGGCTTCAGGAGTCCTGGCTTTTGGGACCACTTTGACACTTCCTGTCTTCACAGCCGTCATCCTATTTCAGGATTCTTATCCCCAAAACAGGAATATTAACACAGCTCCGCCTGTCTCTGCAGGTCATCAAGAGCAAGCACCTAGTGAGTGTGAAAGCATCTTCAGTGTGGGAGTTGCTGTATAGATGCAGAGTTTTACTACTGAAAGGAGGAATACTACTGTTGATTTGTTTTTGTTTCTCGGTTGTTGTGCGTGTGTTTTGTTGTTGTTGTTGTTGTTTTACCATCTTGGTCCTAAGTAGCTCGTTTGCCGGCCCAGCCTTAATGGCCAGTTGGCTCCAAGTCAGAAGACATGATCTCCTCCCCCATTCTCCATGCCATTGTTTAAAGCCCCTCCTGAGGAATGGGCTGCCTTGGTGTTTTGTCAGTTCAAACCACATCCTGCCTGTTTCCACTTTCCATAAGACAACTCGCAACACCGGTGGTTTTCAGATGTGGCCGGCTTCTTGGTGAAGCGATAGCAGAGGCCTTGTTCACAGAAGTGAAAATAATTCACCCAGTGGTTAGCACATCAGGTGTGGGCATTGAGTGTACCCCGCTCCCTGCTTGATCCCAATCCCTGGTTGGGTTTGGGAGTGGACGGCTGCCCAACCTCCTGGCACTGTCTTGACCCACAGCCTTCTCTGGGATGAGGACTAAGCCAGAAGCAGTAAGGACAGAGGTGTCTCAGGCTGTCCAGGCCTGGCCTGAATCCCATGACAGCAAGGGTGTGGCCTGCAGAAGCTGGAAACGACCACGGTGGCCTTCTAGTAACTTTACAGATGAGGAAACTGAGTCCAGAGAGGGCTGGTCAGTTGCAGGCAGAGCCTGGACTGGCACCTGGGTCTCTGGGCTCCAGGCTCAAGTTCATTCTAAGCAGACCAGTTGTACCCATCGCTGTAATTGAAAGACTTGTTGGCATCAACAGAACTAGTAACTGGGTTTGGTCCTGGTGACCAAGGGGCACATCTCCCAGCTGGAAGCTGTTTGCTAAGAGCAAGGTTACGGCCCGCACTGGGCTACCAAACAACAGAGCAAGCCCACGCTCAGGGCATCAGCAAGCAGGGTTATGAAATAAAACAAACATTTGAAAGAATTCGACACTTGAAGAAGAAAAAGAGGAGGTGAAGGAGGGCAGAAGGAAAGTCGGAAGCAGCAGCAGCAGCCAGTCATCATGAGAAAATCAGAGCTTTGTGGGATTTTAAAACTTGTGGTTTGGAAACGTTTTTATTATTTAGATGCATGAGGGCAGACACCACCATCTTTTAAATGTTCACAGGAGGCCAAAGTATGCAAGAGCCACGGCCTAAAGCAGGGCTGTGGGCAGAGCCAGACCTGGGCCGTCAGAGTCCAGGGAAGGGCTCAGGACCGGGCTGTGCAGCGTGTCCCGAGTGTATCACCCACAGCCCCACGATGTGCAGTGGGCAGACCAGGCCAGCAGACACATGGCCCTCTATCTCTACTTCCTTCTGGGAGGGTCTGGGAGGCTAAGGTAGCCCTGACCATAGAAAACATGGATTTTCCAAGACGTCTTCCCTGGAGACTTCTGCTCTTGAACAATGCTTATCTATCACAAGGTTGAGGGCTCTCCTTATCTTTCAAGAGTATGAGGTGGCCTGTAAATGCTTCACTTATTAACTCAGCTCTGATTCTCCCTGGGAGGCCAAGGGCTGAGTGAAACTCTAACGTGGGCATGTGGACAGCTTGTGGTGCCCTGTAGCTCTGCACCATGGGCCTGCAGGTGCACAGCCAGTCCCATGGCCTCCAGAGGAGCAGCGCAAACCCTTAGCCTGGGTGGGGAAGGAGCACAGCGCCAACAGAACTACTGCTGGAGTGGGCCCCTGTCTATCACCAGCACCTGGAAGTGCCCCATCCCAGGCCTGTCCCAGCCCGGCATCTGAGCTAATTACAGCTCCGTTGTGGGGAGAGTCAGCCGTGTCAGTTTAACTGACAGCCCAGATAAGAGGTACTGGGCAGAGTCTCACAGGTTGCACAACAAACCACTCTGCCAACTGAGGGCAGAGGCAAGTCTTTTTCAGTCCCTATGGTCAGAAACGAATTTCCTGGATGGCTGTCTTCTCCACCTCCTCTCCATCTCTTATTTTTAGTTTTCAGGTTGGTCTGAATTAGGTTTTGGCTTTTTGGGGGTGGGGTGGGGGGAGGATGATGGGTGATTTTTTCTTTCACTCATTTAAGCATCAGCCTCGTATCTGGCATCTGGCCTGTGCCTTCCTTTCATGGTTCAAGATGTGCCCAGGGCTGTCGTATGTCATTGGCCAGGGTTGGGAGCCCATAACGCCAAGGCCACCAGCTCCACTGTGATGAGCAGATGAGCTTGGCCATGTGGCAAACAGTGAATTTAGTGCTGCAGCATGTTCAGCGGATTCATGAAGTCTTCTGCTCATTCAAGAAGGGATGTTCTCCCTGACAGCTGCATCCCCAAACTCACACCAAACAGCTTGCCAGTCAGGTGCCCCCACCCCCGTGCTATGAAGCTCTCCCCATAGAAGATCAATCAGCCTTCCTCTCCTGTGGGCTCCACCTGCACCCCTCGCTCCAACACCATCTGCCCACACCGTCCTGTGTAGTTGCTGTCCATTTATTCCATCTCCATTATAGTGTCTGTCTGAACAGCAAATATGAGGCTTCACAGAAGCATTGAAGATCTAAAAAGCATTTGTAACTGACTGTAAGCGAATTCAGCATGAGGCCTCAGGTGGCATACGAGCCTCTGGCACTTTCGTCTTACCCACACTTGAGACACTGTAGATCTCAAGGCAACATCAGGACCATCCAGGGCAGGTGGCAACAATTTTCTTTTAAAATTCCAAGGTAGCTTAAGCCAAGCCTGTAAGTGGATTGATAGGCCTCAGGTTCAAGACCAGAGAAAAAGAATAGGAGAGAAAAGTGACCCTCAAATGGCCAAGAAAAAGAAGGCAGGAGAGAAAAGAGGGAGGGCCACCCACGGTTTGCACAGGTGCCATCTCCAGAGCCATGGGGTGCTGCACCTGAGGCTGCAGCTCCTGGGCACAGCGGACCCGACCCTCCTGAACCAGGGGACCAGCAGCACAGGCAGCCGATGTGTGGCTCTCTCCAAGCTCTGAGCTTGGGGGCACTGAGTGGAGGGGAATATCCAGTTCGGAGGACCTGACGCTTCTGGCTCTCTGCTCCTCCAGGCTCAGCTGTTGAGTGCAGACACAGGCTCTGGGAGGCCAAGGACTTCATGACTGGGCTCACTCCCAGCAGGGCAAGTGGGGTCCTGGGGCCTGAGCCCCTGGCTATCTGCCACTGCTCTCTCAGACACCACGAAGGAGGCTCCGCAAAACACCATGTCCCTAACAAAACGGGATTTGACCGATTCTGTTGCACATTCAAGGTGTTAAAGCTCCAACCTGAATAAAGGCTGTGCAACTACATAATGCTGTAAACAGAGCCTCTGTGGAGCGCGTGCGTGTGTGAGCTTAGCTCCGAGCCCACATTCTCCTAGAGTGGTGGAGGGTCTCATCCCACCTCCCAGTCCCTCCTGGGCCCGCCCCCAGGAGCTAACCAGCGTCCGGAATGGCCTGGCTTTGGGTCTTCGCCGTGGCTATAGCCTCTCTACCTGGACCATCTGATTCCTGTTCTGAGCTGAGCCTCCAGCCCTAGGGTGTAGGGAGGCGGAGCTCACCCTCTTTTCCCTCCCCGTGAAGCCGCCTTCCTGTGCGCTAATGTTTTACCCTGGCTGAATTTAAACAGATGTGGTCAAGGATGGCGGGTCCCCAACGTGACCTCCCTGGCTCTGCTATGCATGCCTAATCCCCGTCCCCCAATCGATCACTCCCCGGACTCTCCCCTTCTCCCCTCTCCTATGCGACCACCAGTTGCTCACCAATAATTCGAAACTGCCTTTTTGACAGAGAAAATGAGTGTCAGCTGTTTGCCTACCACGCCTGATTCTAAGAATTAAAGTGAACAAAAAGTTAAGAGAGTGAATGTTGATCACAACAGAGTTCACTGGTAATGAAATGAGATTCCTGGAAACGTACTCTTCACCCTGGAGCTGGTTAAGAAGGAGATAGAGACCATCCTGGCTAACATGGTGAAACCCCGTCTCTACTAAAAATACAAAAAAATCAGCCGGGCGTGGTGGCGGGCGCCTGTAGTCCCAGCTACTCAGGAGGTTGAGGCGGGAGAACGGCCTGAACCCGGGAGGCGGAGCTTGGAGTGAGCCGAGATCGCACCTCTGCACTCCAGCCTGGGTGACAGAGCGAGACTCCGTCTCAAAAAGGAAGAATAAGAAAACACAGGCCAGGCACGGTGGCTCACGCCTGTAATCCCAGCACTTTGGGAGGCTGAGGCCGGCGGATCACTTGAGGTCAGGAGTTCGATGAAACCCCGTCTCTATTAAAAATACAAAAATTAGCCAGGAGTGGTGACGAACGCCTGTAATCCCAGCTACTCAGGAGGTTGAGGCACGAGAATTGCTTGAACCCAGGATGCGGAGGTTGCAATGAGCTGAGATGGTGCCACTGCACTCCAGACTGGGCGACAGAGCAAGACTCTGTCTCCAAAAAAGAAAAAAAAAGAAAAAGAAAAAGAAAAGAAATATTTTTCCTGGTCTGCTTCTCCATCCCCCATCATGGCTCTGACGGTCCCAGGTCACTGGTGGGAGCTTTCCCAACTGGGCCTGCCTGGGAATCCACAGCCTCTTGTCACTTGCTGTGAGCGAGTAGATGAACACCTGCTGAGTAAGAAGCTCCTCCTGGGATGTGGAGGTGGAGGCAGGGAATCCTCTCCTTGCAAATTAGCTCAGCCATAATGAAGAGGCGCTGATGGACCGATAGGAATTCACACCCTTCTTTATTCGGCATTCCAATGTGAAGTTGTCCACACTAGGACAAGAGGTTGAAAGGAGGATGATGTCACAGATTGAAATGGAAACTTGGTGGGAGACATGTGATGTGTGTGGTATGATATGTGTGTGGTGTGTGTGTATGCTGTGATGTGTGGTGTGTGTGTGATGTGTGGTGTGGTGTGATGTGTGGTGTGTGTGCAGGTGTGTAGTGTGGTTTGTGGTGTGATGTGTGGTGTGGTGTGTGTGTGGTGTGATGTGTGTTGTGCATGTGGTGTGATGTGTGGTTTGGTGTGTGTGTGGTGTGTGCATGTGTGTGTATAGTGTGGTGTGGTGTATAATATGGGTGTGGTGTGGTGTATAATATGGGTGTGGTGTGGTGTAGTGTGATATGTGGTGTGTTGTGTTGTGGCACATTGTGGTGTTTGTGGTTTGTTGTGGTTTGCTCTGTGTGTTGTGTGTGTGTGGGGGTGTGTATGGGTGTGGTGTGGTGTTTTGTGGTGTGGTCTGTGTGTGTGGTGGCGTGGTGTGTGTGATACGCGTGGTGTGGTGTCACATGTGTGTGGTGTTGTGTGTGGTGCTTTGTGATTTGGTCTGTGTGTGTGTGGTGTGTGCATGTGATGTGTGTATGGTGTGTGGGGTATGGTATGTTGTGTGTGTGGTGTGGAGTGTGTGTGTATAGTGTGTTGTGTGTGTATGGTGTGTGGTGTGGTGTGATTTTGTGTGTGGTGGGTGTGGTGTGGTATGTGTGTGTATGGTGTGTTGTGCTGTGGTGTGATGTGTGTGTGGTGTGATGTGGTATGGGGTGGGTGTGTGTGTGGTGTGTGGAGTTGTGTGTGGGGATGTATGTGTGTGTGTGTGTGTGTGTGTGTGTGTGTGTGTGGCGGGGGTGTATGTGGCGTGTGCATGTGCTGGAAAAGACAGGATTTCCGACATGAAGACCGGGGAAGCCTCTGGCTGCTGTGCCCCATCCTCAGCTGGGGGCAGCCCTCTCTGCTGCAGGGTGGAGGGAGGTAGGCGAGGATGCCGAGGCTCAGCTTCAAAAGGGGAGGACTCCCTGGAGTTGCGGAAGCCTTTAGTAGGGGGGAAGTAGGTGGAATGCGGGGGTCACTCCTTGCTTTCCGGAAACCCCAGTGTCCCCTGGGGTGGGGTTTCTGGAAACTTTCCCCTGGCCGTTTTCTCTCCATGCGCCTCTCCTGCTGCTCTCTCCTCTCCGCAGCTGTCGGGGAGCAGGCTGGGTACTTATTTCAGTCCCCTGTACCTGGCTCCTACAGCTAAGGGCCCTTCCAGAACAGGTTTTTCCCAAAGTCCCAGAGAAAGTGCTCACCAAGTGCGTGTTGATGATGAACCCCGAAATCAACGTGTGGATTTTCCTTCTGGTATTTGGGATTTTTTTTAAAAAAAGAGCACACCTTTGAGTTTTTCTCTCTTCTCTATAATATGCCACACGGCGAGGTTTCAAAGGTTATAGCAAATTGAGAACGAAAAAGGTTTTGAAGGAGCCAAGAGGAAAAGACTCCAGGTTCATCCTAATGTGAATATACAAGCAGGCCTCGTCTCATCTGTATAGAGCACAGGTCTATGGGACCACGCAGAGTGAGGGGATGAGACTCCTGCACTCAAGACTTTGCAGTCCTATTGGGGACCAGGTGGAAAACGTTATGGAACATGTGGAAACAGAGGAAAACCAAACCCATGCCTGCAGGAGAAGTGCAGGCTAGGGGATCTCTGCGCCGGGATTTTCGGGGAAGGATTCATGGGGGCGGTGGGAACGAGGGGGCCCCAGAGGATGAGTAAGGCCTACGTAGGGGGAAGGAGGGGAAGAAATCCTCGAAGCTGGTATGAGTGTGAGTGTATCTGAAGCGGGGTTTGCTGGGGATGTTTGGCTCTGAATGAGAGGGATGACCACTTGTTGAGCTTCCCATGTGCCCGGCCCCGCAGTGACATGTGTTAGCTCGCCTCATGCTTACCACAGCCCTGAGTCAGGTCTCATTATGTTCATTTTGCAGATGATAAAACCAAGGTTCAGAGAGGCTTGAGTCATGCGGTCCAGAAGGAAAAGCAATGGGACTCAAATTCATGTTGGCCTCCAAAGCCCCTGCTCTCAGTCCTACCTCTCAGGACCGGCCTGGGGGAAGACGGGAGTGTGGTGTTGAGTGGAAAAAATATGGCTGCCCAGAGAGGGTGAAGGGTCAATATGGGAGACACAAGACGGAGCAGAAAATCCTAGCCTTATCTCAGGAGGACGTAGAGAGTCATGGTAGTTCTTTGCTTATGGGAGGGATGTGGAGAAACGGGTGTTTAGAACAAATGAGTTGGTCTGGGTTTCCTGGAAGATGCCAGAGGGCAGGGAGACCACCCAGGAGTGGGCAACATGGCCCTGGCTCAAGGTGGAGGATGGCAGGAGAGGAGAGAATGGAGCAGACAGACATCTGCCCAAGTGTTCCATGGTACATTAGTCAGTGTCCCATAAAAAAGAAGGCCTATGGGTGGTCAAATTTGGAGTGTTCTGGGTTGAACAGAGTAACAGAGTAATAGAGTCATTGCTCTATTGTGGAACTTCTTTTTTTAAGATGGAGTTTCACTCTTGTTGCCCAGGCCGGAGTGCAATGGTGTGATCTCGGCTCACTGCCAGCCCCCCCTCTCAGGTTCAAGAGATTCTCCTGCTTCAGCCTCCCGAGTAGCTGGGGCTACAGGCGTGCGCCACCACACTCAGCTAATTTTTGTGTATTTTTAGTAGAGACGGAGTTTCACTATGTTGGCCAGGCTGGTCTCGAACTCCTGACCTCAAGCAATCTGCCTGCCTGCCTTGGCCTCCCAAAGGGCTGGGATTACAGGCGTAAGCCACCATGCCCGGCCTACTGTGGAACTTCTCATAACCTTTGATATGCTGATATGACTGCAGAGGGAAATGTAATCTGCAGTGTTTCTCAGACTCATTTGACCATGAAACCCAGTTTCTGCCAAGCACCTCCTGCAGCTGGCGTTCCACAGAACACTCTGAGAAATATTGTGGCGCCTGGTCGCCCTTACGTCATGGGTAATGTGGATGATACGCTAAGTTGGAACTTTGGGTGCAGAGCCCAGGCTCTTGTTTCACTGACCTACTGAGTTTTCTTGCTTGTTTTGTTTTCTGAACCTTGCTTTAACCTTCCCTAGCAACTGGGATCTCTTCCCCAGAGTGTGCTGCTGAGGGGATCTTGGGACAACGCACTTGCTCTCATTGTGCCAGGCCTGCAGGCGGGAGTGGACTCACCTTGCCAATGGCCCTTCTCTATCCTTGCTGAGGACCATGATGGGCTTATCCTGCTTGGCAGCTCTGGCCAGGCCTGGAAGACCTACACTCACATATGAGTAGTTACAACTCAGCCATCCTCTGTCTGAAGAACATTCTGCCCCAGGGAAGACATCAACAGGGATGTCAGAACAGCCTGGGGGTCATGGCCAGATCACAGTAAAAATGGCAATACGACTGGCTTGCTACAGAAGAGAATTCAGAATAAGAAGTTCTCTCGGACTCCATCCAGAGGGTGTTGCAAAGAAACCAAAAGAACCACCTTAGAAGGTCTCACTGGTGGGGCAGTTTTGAGCCCTCAGGGACTTCTAGATGGTAAGAGTGAAGAGTGTTTAGGAAGAAAGACTTGTCTGTCGGCGTAGCTACTAGCTACATGCATGTCTCCACTGAGGACACAAGGACCAGGCTCTAGAGACAATTCAGCCGATTGGGAGTCTAGAGACCAGAACTTCTAACATCAGCCCAGACACCAATGGGCTGGCTGACCTCAGGGCAAATCATTTTATGTGGTTTCCTCCTTTGGAAAAAAAAAAGAGAGA
Source organism: Homo sapiens (assembly GCF_000001405.40). Taxonomy (NCBI): domain Eukaryota; kingdom Metazoa; phylum Chordata; class Mammalia; order Primates; family Hominidae; genus Homo; species Homo sapiens. The sequence continues at coordinate 63,106,970 of NC_000018.10, forward strand.
GAGAGATATATATATAAAATCTGATCTACCTCTTAGAGGTTCAGGGTGGTTTCTGTTTTGCTTTTTGTGAGGAGCAACTCATAAAAATGATACCAAACTCCTCTGAAAATAAATACAGGCTCTATGCATTTCTAACAATAATAGCAAGTATTCTCATTGGGATTGTGGCTCAATTTACCATGATAAAATCACTGGTAAATTTCTAAAAAGTTACCTCTTTGTGCACATACCTTCTCTTAGAAAATGGTTTTCTGTTAGAGGAAAATTAAAGGACACTCGGAGTTACTCATTTGGGAGTTTATGTTTTTCCTTTCCCCCATTGAATAGCTCTCTGGGGAGGTTTCCATTTTGGTCATATTTCAGAAATGACTGAACGTCAGATTCTGCACTCTCACTTACTGAGAACGAATTTAGAAAAAATAGTGAGATTAGCAGATAAGTAAACAAACATTAATTGAGGCTCAAATTGTAGAAGTACTTCGGGCAGTATGGAATTACATGTTTCCATATTCTTTGTTAGTCTGCATGAAACCAAAACCCAGAAGGTTATATTAAACATAATCACCTAACTCCATGGGGCCCTGGGAGGAATTTTTAATGTGGCAATTGAAAGGCGTGTGATTGTGCAAAACACAATGGCACAAATGAGTGTTCCTGTTGCTTTCGTTTCTTTCAGAAGGGAATTAGCTCTGGGGGAGCACAGAAGAGTACCAAATTTCAGACCTCCCTCCCACCCCAAAGAGGAGAAACACCCTGTTGGACCTCACTGATCCCCTAGGAAGGTGGATATGAGTCCTATCTGGAATGAGGTCTTAATACAGGTTTTATGTTGTGAGAACCTGGCCCCTGGCTCCCAGGAGTGCTTCTAAGTTAAAAACTTCATTGCATTCATTTTTTTTGTTGGTATTTAATACATATTTCATAGACTCCCATCTTAAAAGCTTTCTGATTGATTGGCGGCAGAGAGCCAGCTCCCTTATCTAACAGGACTAAGTCCCCGCTTTCTCCGTAGTGGCCAAGTCATCGGTGTCTGCAGTTAGACTGAGAACATCCAAAAAGGCCGAACAGAAGGTGGAAGAGGCTGCTCTGTTATTTCTCGTCTGATGTCATGCCCTTAGTTAGTTGCACCTGATAAGTATTCACCCAGTTCCTCATCCTTTCTCCTTTGGAGCCTAAGTGGTCTTGCGGGTGTGTGGTTTACTGGGTACTGTGGCCTTCCCTTCTGCATCCAGCTGCCAGTGGCTGAGAGGTCCTTTTAGCAGAGGAGTAGCTCTCCGCAGTAGGATAACTATAGACCTGGATCCCAAGGCCTTCCTGCTCAGCCCTGGGGTATTCACCTCTACCTCTCCATTGTATTTACATCAACGAGGAACCCCTTGGACCTGTCCTGTCCAATACATAACCACTAGCCACATGTGGCTATTTAAATTTAGATTAAGTTAAATTAAATTAATTTTTTTCTCAGTCATTTCAGTCACATTTCAAGTGCTCAATAGCCGCCCTGTGGCAGGTGGCTACTGTATCAGACAGTGAAGGTGCAGAATACTGCTGTCATTGCGGAAGGTCTATTGGAAGGTGCTGCTTCAGAGATCACCCAGCCAATGCCTTGATTTTTCTAGAATAAGAAACGGAGACCCATAAAGTTTAAATGACTTTTCCAAGAATATCCAGGAACGTATAATAATATGTTTCCTGGCCATTTTGGAATTCTTATCAGAGGAAGATGTTCTTTATTTAAGTCTTGATTTTTGAAAGAAATATTCCCCTTCAGATATAATTTGATTTTTACAAGTAAGATAATGTAATATAACAATGGTCTTGAACTATGAAAACACTGGATACATTTTGGAGAGGCTCACCGTGATATATTCAATACTATCGAAATGATTTTCTTATCTTTAGTGGCCAGTGAAATTTCACAAGAGAGAAGTCTAGATTAGTTTTTGGAGACCAAGAAACATTGGTGTATTTATTCCTTACCTGGGAGTGTGCTATTAATACGATTATGCTCCTGAAGACTCTTGGAAACCTGAGATCAGTTATATGAGAAAACCAAAGGGCCAGCTGTGCCCTGGAGTCATAGGAATCATTATTATAACGTCCACAGTCTGTCGGCATCATTGGTCAGACACAGGGTGAGAGGACAGTAATACAGGCTCACCACGACACGTGTGTCTTTAACATACTTCATAAACACTTAGCCTCCCTTACAGCCAAGACAGACAATAAATGTCTCTCTCACTCAACTGTGTCCAGGATTTACACAGTGCCTCATGCAAGGTCTCACTGCAGGCCAGAATTCACAGAGGGTGGGAGGGCTGAAGACTTGCTCCATTGCAGAAATCAACACAAAGAGCCATTGAGTGTTAAAGATGGGGGAATTCAGCACTTGAGGACTCAAAAAAGGTCCTCCTGTAGAAGGGGCCCAAAAAGTTCCTCTGAGAGTCGCCTTTCTTGCTAGACTTCTTTGTATACAATTTGTCGCTATGGAGAGAGATCAAAGGGAATTCTAGGCAATTGTTTTTAGTTACTAACTCAATGAAATTGATCTGCAATTATTCTAACAGGTAACTGAACCATGGTACAGAGAGAACATAAAATAAAGAATCTGGGCTTGCTGTGGTCTTTATTAATTTCTTCTTTATTATGAATACCTCTGCTATGTTCTTCTAAGCCCCCACCCTACCATATGCGATAAGAAAATATAAAAGAGAGCAGCATAGTGTCTACCATTGGCACAATGGGTTGTGTTTCTCTGACTTTGGGGCCTCGACTTGTTGGAGAAGACATCATGAAATGCTTGTGTCCCCCAAGGATGTGAGTTTATTGAGCAGACCCTCGAAACTGGGGCAGCAGTAGAAGCTCTGGTGAGCGTTTGGGGTAAATTTTATGATAGGAGGCTAGCATGCCAGAATAGGAAACCAACTTGTAAGGATGCAGAGGGCAAGACACTAGGTCCAGACGGGTCAGAGAGCACCAATCAAATGACACACATCTGGGTGAGTCAAATTCAGAGCCCAGAAGGTCAGAAAATTAGCAAACTCAACACTGGTATGCTGCTCTCTTTTGTAATTCTACCCCATATGAGTAAGCAAGGGCTCCTTGAATTTTCTGACAGTCAAGAGGGAGGATTAAGGAAGGACAGATGATGGGGTCTTCATAGTGGTTCCAAGAGTATCTTCCACCTATCGGGATGGGCCTTTCTCCCACTTGGGACTCAGCCTGGAGATGTGCATGCAGCTTCCTTGATGGGGCTGCTGGTTCACAGCACCCTAACCATTCAGGGGCTGGTAAATTTCCCTTTCTTGGGAATAATTCTTGGTCCCACAAGGTATTCTTCCTTACTCTTGACCTATTTTGAGGAGGAAATGGGGACAGGAACGATTATACAGCAGGTATTATCCCTGTATACTTTGGGAATAGAGCTAGGGAAGAATTTTGAGAGATTCAGAGTGGCGGTGAGGGCAAGATGAAATGAAACTGGAGAAAATTGCTGAGCTGTGGCTGTGTAATTGGAGGAGGCTAATCCTTGCAGAGAGGCACTTCTGGGCACCAGAACTTCTCTTCTGCAGATGACCATCTCCCTGAAGGCTGGCGCTTCTGGTTCAAGATGGCATGGATGGCTGGGAGCTGCCTGCACCAGCTGGTGGTGGTGGTGGGGACCCACAGGCCTGGGTGATATGGTCTGGCTGTGCCCCCACCCAAATCTCATCTTGAATTATAATCCCCACATGTTACAGGAGGGACCCAGTGGGAGGTAACTGAATCATGGGAGTGGTTTCCCCCATGCTTTTCTCGTGATAGTGAGTTCTCTTGAAATCTGATGGTTTTATAATCATCTGGCATTACTCCTGTGGGCGCTCATTCTCTCTCCTGCCACCCTGTGAAGAGGTGCCTTCTGCCATGATTGTAAGTTTCCTGAGGCCTCCCCAGCCATGTGGAACTCTGAGTCAATTAAATCTTCTTTCTTTATAAATTAGCAGCATTAATTTAGACAGACTAATACACTGAGGAAGAGTAGGGTGAAGGTTAGACTTTACATACATAGTACCATGCTGAGTTTGGTTTCAAGGGCCAAACTGGTGAACTCAGAAAGGGAAGCCTGATGTAGTTGGAAAAGTCAAACCTCAGCTCCACTACTACTAGCTATGAGGCTTTGTGAAAATAAATTAACCACTCTGAACCTCAGCCTCTTTATCTGTGGTGGTAGGCTGAATAATGACTCCTCCAAAGATGTCCACATCCAAATGTTCTGAAACTTGTGAATATGTAAACTTACATGGTAAAATTGACTTTGCAGTTGTGATTTAGTTAAGGATCTTGAGATGGGGGCAGAATTTTGGATTGTCTGGGTGGGCCCAACCTAACCCTAGAGTTGTTGTAAGAGAGAGGCAGATCAGAGTGAGAGTGAGGAAAGCAAAGGCTGGAGTGATGGGAGGAAGGGTCACCACCTACGGAATGTTGGGGGGCCTCTAGAAGCTGGAAAAGGCAAGGATACAATTCTCCCCTAGGGCCTCCAGAAGGGAGGCAGCTCTGTCTACAACTTGATTTTAGCCCAGTGAGACCTATAAAATGCAAAATAAAGGTACTCATCTCATAAGGCTGTTGCCACAGATTAAAGGAGACAATGTATCTGAAGCACTTAGCATAGTGTCTGCCACACACTAGGTGCTGGGTAAAAGGTAGATTATTTTATGCTTTTTTTTTAGAAATTATACGATCCGAGCCAGGGTTGGATTCCATCTGACTTAAAGCCCAACCACTACATTATAGTTAAAACAACTTGTAGTGGTTGGAAGTGGATGCAGTTCTTCCAAAGAATCCGTGGTAAAACATTTTAGGATTGCTGGAACTCAAGGAGATGCTTCCAAATTCTTTATCTCAGAAAACTTTTGGGACCCCAGCATCCCCTTTGGATAACCTGTTGCATCATCAGGCCTCCAGACATGAGGCTGAATTCCTGCATCTGAGTTCTGCACATCTTGGTGGTTTTTGCAGGATTGCATGTGCTCTTGAAGCACTGTCTCATATAATGTGGCAATGGAGACAAAAAAATGTCACCAAGGTGTGGCTATGGAGTGGGAGAGGAGGACTTAGAGGATGTCATTAGCAAATTGCTGGGTGGCTGCCAGGGTGTTGCAGAAGTCTGGTGACTTCATTTGATAATTTGCTGATCATTCAAGTTTATTCCTTTCTAGGTTCCTGTCATCCTCACTGGCTTTGTTTTGCAGCTGAGAGACTGAATATACAAATGGGCAATGGCCAGACCAGATATAAAAATAGAATTCAGACCCACAGTCTACAGCAGCCAGCCCAGGAAACCAGCTCATGACCTACTGTTACCGGCCCAGGAAACAGGTCTGCTATAAATCAGACTTGCAGGAAGTCAGATCACTGTCTGTAGAAACAACCCATGAAGCCAGACAATAACCTCTGTACAATTGCCCCCAAATGGCCAGGAGTTAATTAATAATGGACTGCTTCCTTGATTTTCTTCCCTGATTCCAATTTAGGACCAACCAGAGAAAGCCAATATGCACCTCTAATTATTCATGTAGGATGTCCTGCTTCTAATTAGCCCACCTCCATGTAGGCGCCCCCACCCTATGCCAACAACCTCCCATCAGGGTGAGCTCAAAGCCTTCCCTCTTTGCCATTTTAAAGCTTTCCCACTTATCTGTTTGCCTTTGATTCTCTGCCAAAATGCAAAAGATAGTGAGTGGCCGACTCCCTTAGTATATATAGCAAGCTCTGAATAAATAGCCTTTGCTTTTCTCATTTGGTTGGTCTGCATTTATTTCCACATGCCGTACAACTAGCACATGTGAATTTGGAGGTAAGGACACGTTCTACACTCTTGGACCCAGACAAATTTGGTCTCACGTGATTGGATCAGAGGGACAACACTTGTGGTCTCATGAAGCGCCAAGGCCTTCTTGGTTCCTGTCTTTGTGGCGTGTGGATGACTTCTCTAGGAGCAGGAGATGACTGTGATGGAATAGTGACTAAGTTCTATTTGAACTTGAATTAGTTATGGCACAAATGGGTGGAACATAAAAGAAGTAATTAGTAAAGGCAAATGGGAAAAGCCCAAAATTGGAATTTTGTTTTTAAATAACACTTGGGAGAGAACAAATTAGGAATGAAGACAACCTATTTCCCCATTCCCTGGCACACAGATCTCATTTTAAATAAAACAATAAGGAGGTAAGTTTTAAGTGGTGTCATAGGGAATGTTAGAAGCTAATGTTACTAATCTAAAAACTATCACTGCAAGGAAATATCCAGGTGGTTATGGGGCAGAGATATTGCAGGAAGTCTCTGCAGATATCTCAAATTGTTGGTCTTTGAAAAAAAGGTCCACATGTGATGCTCTCTGCAGTGTCATTGTCAAGATCATAACTAAGTTTATTGTAAGCCATTATCAAGATGCATTCTCATGTTGTGTACCTGGCTCCAAGGACCACAGTTGATTATTATCTTGGGGGACGTTTATTATTCCCTCTCTGTCTTTGTAAATAAAAATGACAAGTCAAAGTTTGGTAGTAGTTGAGAAAATTGTTGACGTGTAATTACAGGAATTTGCTTCTTTGGTTCAGTTTGTTACTTTGAATCTTTACACTGTCTGCGTAGCTATTGTGGATTTATTATTTTCTGTAGCTGCACAGAAAATAATGTTTTAATGGTTTTTCATAATAAATAATATTATTTTCCATTTTATGTGGCATGAAAACTCTTTCACATTCATCACTTTGATCTCCCTGACTCCACTACCCCGTATGAGGCTGGTAGAATATGGTGGGACAAGTGTCACAACCCATTGAACTGATGATCAAAGATGCAAAGAGGCCACATGTTTTGCCCAAAGTCGTGCACTTAGCAAGCCAGAATTCAAACCCTGACCTGATATCAAGAGTTTACTGCCTGTCAAGAGGACTTGCAATCCTTCCACTGGACACATTTCAGATTTAGTTTCCCCTTTGAACTGATAACAACTGTTTCAAAAGTAAGAACCTTTTTGGATTAAGCTTGAAAAAGGAGAATTGAGGGAGTTGGAGAAGATGTTTTCCTGTTTTAACAACTTAATTAACAAGTATGGGGTGAGGTGGGGAGCAGCGGGGGCCTGAAGAGGAAGTCGTTTTGCAGACACATCACTTGTGCATGAGATGTCAAATATCTGTACACAGGGTCTGGTCCGGTGCTATGGTCCAGCATGGTGGCCACCAGCCACATGTGGCTCTTGAGCACTTGAAATGTGGCTCACTCACACTGAGATATGCTGCCACTGTCAATTCCACATTGACTTCAAAGCCTTAGTATGAAAAAAAAAAAATAGCCTATTGTGGTGTTATGATAGGTACTGGTTTTCCTCCGTGGTTCCTGGCTTGTGACTCGCATAGCCTTTGTTACCATCTTTTATTATGATGTTGGGTGTGTTAAGTCTCTGACCTACTTCTGCCCCTTTTCACCTGCCCCAGGGCAGGACTCTACTGCTTTTCTGATTGAGGTTCTTTTCTTTTTTTCAGGCTTAATTCACTTTATTTTTCTTGTATAAAAACCCTATGTTGTAGCCACAGCTGGAGCCTAGGTCCACTGCACAGAGACTCCGTGCAGCTGATTGAGGTCCTTAAGACCTTCCTATGAGTGGTTCCTACCCTGTGCCCTGGGGAAAGGAATGCTGACATCATGAAGCTTCCATAAAAACCCAGCGGACAGGGTTCAAGGAGCCTCCAGACAGCTGAACATGCTGAGGTTCCTGGAGGGTGGCACCGAGGGAGGGCGTAGAAGCTCCACACCCTGTCCCCCATTCCTCATCCCACGTGTCTCTTCATCTGTATCCTTTGCAATATCTTTTACCATAAACCGGTAAACATAAGTAAGTACTTCCCTGAGTTCTGTGAGCTGCTCCAGCAAATTCACTGAAGCCAAAGAGGGGGCTCTGGGGACCCCAACTTGAAGCTTGTTGGTCAGCAGTTCCAAAGGCCTGGACTTCTGACTGGTGTGGTCGGAGGCAGTCTTGGGGACTGAGCCCTCAACCTGTGGGATCTGACAAGGTCTCCAGGTAGACAGTGTTGGAACTGAATTAGAGGACAGCCAGCTAGTGTTCCCTGCTTGGTGTGTGGGGAAAAATACCCATACATTAGGTCACAGAAGTCTTCTGTGTTGATGATTGTTGTGGTATGATGGTAGAGGAAAGACACAGTTTGAGAGTTTTCCCTACATGCCTATCTCAAAATTTTTGTATTATATGTTAACATGATAAATTGGGTTAAATAAAATATATTTAACAATTAATTTCATGGGTTTATTGAAAAAATTTTTAAATGTGGCTACTAACAAATTAAAAATTACATACGCCGGCCAGGTACAGTGGCTCATGCCTGTAATCCTAGCACTTCGGGAAGCTGAGGCAGGCAGATTGCGAGTTCAGGGGTTCAAGACCACCCTGGGTAACATGGTGAAACCCTGTCTCTACTAAATGTACAAAAACTACCCTAGCATGGTGGCATGCACCGGTAGTCCTAGCTACTTGGGAGGCTGAGGCAGGAGAATTGCTTGATCCCAGGAGGCGGAGGTTGCAGTGAGCCGAGATCGTGCCACTGCACTCCAGCCTGGGTGGCAGAGAGAGACTCCGTCTGACAAAAAAAAAAAAAAAATTACATATGTGGCTCACACCTGTGGCTCACATTTAATTTCTGTTGGGTAGTGCTGTTCCCGAGGTTTACCCTTTGTATATGACAGTCACTTTGTAGGTGAGGGTGAGGCCAGGAGTCCAGCTGTGGCTCAAATAGGACAGAGACACTTGCAGTAGAGGGTGGAAAGAAAGACCGCTGGTCCACCCTGCTTTCCCCTGGGAATGGGATTCTTGTTATGCAAGAACATTAAAGAAGAGGCAAGAGCTCCATGTGGCATTTTCAGTGGAAGCATATTCACTTCTGAAACCTAGTTTCTCTCCTAAACTCCACCCAAGGCAAAATGGATTATTGCTTCCTGGAAATCGAACCAGGGGACTTTAAAGTGTTTCATATTAAAAACAGAAAAGCCCAAGAAGGAGAAAAATAATTACATTTCTAAAAGCTCTTAGAACAAATGCTTGCTTGTGAGAAATAACTTTTCTATAAATATTTTATTCCTCTTTTTTCCTCTTTTTGTTCTCCAGCTGAGAGGTTCCACATGGATATAGGAGATGATGTTCCCCTTGGGAGAGAGGATCAAAGCTCCCCTGAGCTGCTTGCTGCTGAGTTTTACTCATAATAATCTTTGTGGCTTCTACCCCAACCTGCCTGCAGGGCTCTGAGATGGAGTAAGCTCAAAACTGTGGAAAAACAAAGAATACGGAGAAAAATCCATTGCTCCTTAGCATCCAAGCTGGTGTTCCAAACAGAAAGATCCAAGGCTTGGCTGCAGAGAGAGAGAGAGAGAGAGAGAGAAATGTTTATGGTTTACCTGTGGGAACCCAGCCTGGGTCTTAATAATTTATAAAGCCTGGAGCCCACCTCACCACCCTCTGCATGAAGCTCAACACATATTTGTCAAATGGCTGGATCCATTCATCAACCCACAAAATGAGCACTGTGTGAGCTGAGGTGCCTACGGTGTTGAACCTGGAAACCTGAGGAAATGATGATACCAGCAAGAGGAAGGGGAAGCTGAGGAAGGACCTAGTCTTGGGAGTAGGTTGTAAATTTGATTTGGCCCATGAATGGCCTTAGATAATATGATAGTCAAGATCCAGTGTCCGTGGACAGCAGGTGGCTGAAAAAAGAGGACTTAAGGTTGACTTTGATGATCAGCAGCATAGAGTCAGTTCTCGCCTAGGGAAACATGATCATATTTGGAGTTTTAAAGAGATGTTGCTATGTGAAATATGTCCAAATGGAGGAACTAGGATGGTGTAGGGCTGAGATTGTGGCTAGAACATTTGGCTTCATAGAGCAATGCCTATAAGGATATATTTTGCTGTCATTGCATTTGATCACCTCACATGCAACAAGAGTAGACTTGTCCTGTGTCACTGCTGATGGATAATTCTCCATGGATCTCTCATGTTTCTGTCTATGTTGTAAGTAAGGTGCTGATTGCTCTGTTCTGGACTCTTTTCAAAAACACGTATATAGCGAACAGCCTTGGAACACAGAGATAATATCTCTTTCCAGAACAAAAGGCAGACATGCTTACTGCCTAATACAGAAGATTCAAGCTCCCTAAATTCAGACTTCTCCTATATTATGACTCATTGTGTCTGTCATATCCACATTTTCCTGAGAGAATTGGGGCTTGGGGACCCCACTTAAATATGCTGATAACTCTGGCAACTGCAATTACTGAGTAATCTGACCCCAGGAGTGTTACGTTTTCAACCAGCATCCATAAAATTGTGGCCGACCGACTTGATAACTTGCAAGTAGGGAAAAACTCAGGCCTTTCAGAGTTTTTGACAGTCACCCTCTGAGATTCTTGTTGTGGGGTCCATGGAGGAGCTGTAGGAGACTCTGAAAGGAGTCTGTAATTAAAGTCAAGTCACCTGCTATAGGCAGTGAGAGAAAAGAACAGGGCCTGATTGCTTTGGGGCTATGGCTTTCATTGTGGATGTGGGCTGAGATAGCTGTGATTCAGGATACAGACAGACAGACAGAAAAAACTAATGACAAGTATGGTAAGGTGGGCAATGAGCTACCATTTTTTAATGCAAAATAACAAAAAGGAATTTTTGCATATGTTTGCAACAAAAAGAATACAAACAGGCACAGATATTTACAGATGATATAGAGAAAGAAGAAGACTTGGCTCTTTCTTTTGCCTTTATTCAGCAAATTATGAAGTGCAAAAAGATAAAAAGAAGAAATTATAGTCTGTGTTTGATGGAGAGCTATTTGGAGAACAGCACAGGGCTCTATTTTTGGCCTTGACCTGTTTTGTAATTTTATCAAAGACTTAGACAAAGGTGTAGAAGACTGTCTTATCAGATCTGTAGACGACACAAATTTGGAGGGCTAGATAATGAGACACAGGTAAGAATTGAGACTCAGAATGTTCACATGGCTTGGCATGGAGGGCAGAGACCAAGAAAATGAAATTTTACAGAGGTGTCAAGACTTGAGTTTGTGCTAAAAGAAATCAATTGTGTAAATTTTCACAGGCATCCTAGTGGTTCATGAAAAAAAAAAAAGAGCTGGGGTTAATGTCAATCTCAATGTAACAGACAACAATACAGAACACTGGGTAAAACATGAATGTGGCTCTGATCCCTGTCACTAAGATGTGGCTTCCAGGCTAGGAAGGGAGTAGCCCCAAAGCACTTGGGACAGGACAGTTGCTGACCAGGGAATGATATTCATTTGGTGTCATCTTCTAAAGGGATGTCGAAAAATTAAGTGCATTCAAATGGGGGCAACTAGGATAATGAAGGCTTGTAAATGGCTGGGACATTCAGCGTGAAGGAGCAAAACCCATTGAGACATATTTTACTGTCTTTGCATTTGCTGTTTTGACAGCTTCAGGTGTTTGTGAACCTCCTGTTGAAGATGATGGCATCACAAAATAGAAAGAGGTTGGGTTCCTCAGTCACTTCCTGGATAAGAGGTTCTCAGGAAGAGTTTCCCAACCTACATTAGATTATGGCATGAGCGTACATCTCTTTGTCGAGGTACTTATATTTGGAGGTTTATTTGTTATTGCAGCCTAATTTAGCCTACCTTAACTAATGTACCTCTCTTAGCCTCATTTTCTACATCTGGACAATGGGGATAATCACATCTACTTCATGAAATTCCTGTGAGATTCAAGTAAGATGATGACACAATAATCATAATAGAAGGCTTCCTACTTCCTTAGACATCCTTCTCTTTTAAAATTTTTATTTATTTATTTATTTTTGTAGAGATATGGTCTAACTATGTTTCCCAGACTGGTCTCAAACTCCTGAGCTCAATTGATCCTCCCTCCTTGGCCCCCCAAAGTGCTGGGGTTACAGGCATGAGCCAACACACCCAGCCCTCTTTTTGTGCTGGTTCCTTTGTGAAAGTTCTGCTGTTGGAAGTGCTCTAGGACCCTACCCTCACCTACTGTCTCCTTCCCCAGGAAATGTCACACAAATCCATGTCTATATACTATCCATATGCTGATGACTGATTGAAGTTCTGTATCGAGATTGAGACCCCTACTATCTATTCAAGAGGAGACTTAGACATGAGTCTGGCACTCAGGAGAGATACAGGATGGAGTTATCAACTGACAAGAGTTTTCTCTTGATTCTCCTCCACTAGATCTGATCCTCACTCACCTCACTTTCTCAATCCTTTTCTAATTCAATAAATGACACCACTATCCACTCAGTTGTTTGGGCAAAAATCCCAGCAGTCATGTTTGAACTCACCAGGGCAGATGGCCCATGCTTTGCTAAGGAAGGTCCCTTGAGAGTGGTGTTAGTAACCAGAGAGACATATGTAGCAAAGTAGAGAAGCTAATCAACTTTAAACATTAAAAAATAGCACCCAAAATTAAATAGGGGGAGAGGGGTAAAAAATGTAAATTTGGGGAGTAAAAGAAACAATGTCAAATTTCTGTTACAAGAAAACTTGTTTCTGTGTTTTCCATGTAGATGGTGTTTGAGTGTTAAATCATTGAGGGACTTAGATTCCCATTGTATACATTTACAGTTTGTATACATTTGCATACAGTTGAATAGTTTTTTGTGTATGTATCTCTTCCAAAAAGAATTGCTGAATGGCCAAATTGGCCCAGAAATGGTCCTGTCTGGCAAATCCTCCGTTCTTAGTATGAGGTTGCCAGGGACCTGAGATGCCGTCCTCCACTTGGTGGCAGTGTGTGGTGGGACACCAAAAAAGGGTGACTAAATCCATTGCCTTCTCCACATTCTTCCAGTAAATGTGGGATTGTAGAGGGTTTTGAGGGTAGAGTCCTGGAGCACTTCAACAGCAGAACTTTCACAAAGGAACCAGCACAAAAACAAAGAGGGCTGAGCGCAGTGGCTCATGCCTATGTTGATAGGAATCACAACCAGATTTGTTTTATATCACTTTAAAAATGTATACAATGGAAGCTAAGTACCACAATGGTTTGATAATTGAAAACTATCTACATAAAACATACAGAAACAAGTTCTTTTTTAACACTTGGAAATTTGGCACTTTCTCTCCTCAAATTCACATTTTCACCCCCATTTTTTCCCAGATGAGATTCCTTAATGTTAACATTTAAAATTGATTAGCTTTTCATACTTTTCTACAGCCAAGATTAAGCTTATGCATTTAAATGCATTTTAGTGACCTTAAGGCTTTACTTTTTGTTCCCAGATTGAGTAATTATTACAACTATTATTTTTATCCAATTACTTGTTTCCTTGGTGCTGACAGAAAGATTAATTTAAATAAAATACTCCGCTGGGTAGTATCTGCTTTTCAGTTTCCAATAAAGTCCAGAGGAGTGCCTGGAGGGGCCTTCCGGGAAGGGGTCTTCTGATGAATCAGCCGATGTGCCACCCCAACTTGACAGAAGGCCCCCTTGTCAGCAGTTTGAAAGACATATACCACGCTTGCCCATGTATGACGGTTCATTTTTAAAATTTAAATGTCAATAGTTGCTAAGGATATAATTTCCAATGCACTCTTTAATAGCATAAGAAAGAAAATTGTTCCCAAACTGTCTGTGGCAGAACTTTTTTGTATGATGTCATTTGTAACCCCTTCCATGAAGTAATTATGATTCCTGATAAAATGCTTGGGTAATTTCCGGATAGACTTTAATGGGATTAAGAACTGCTGAGAAGTCAGGGTCTCCACTCAGCTCTCTAAACCACGCCAACCAGTCTCGAGCTGTTCTTCTGTTGTGGTGCCATTTCTTTTTTCTGTTTGTGTCTCTTCCAAAAAAGAATCACTGAATTGGCTGGCTTGCTGGGAGCCTCTTCTCTTGAGGCCAGTCTGAAATAGAATTCTGACACAGGCTAATAACAAGTTTGTCTGACAAGTTATTTTAAGAATTCACATTTTAAAAATAAATTTGTTACATCATTTTCAAACGATATCCATTGGAATCGAAATACCATACTGGCATGATACTCAATACCCTACATGAAAAATATAGGAGTTACTTTTTGACACTTGGACATTTTACATTTCTTTTTCTTCTCCTCAAATTCATAATTCTGCCTCTCATTTTATCCTAATATAATATTTCTTACAACTAAATTTACAACTTACAATTTCTTAAAATTGATTTACCTCAGGATCATCTATGGCAAATCTGTAAATTTTTGTGGCCATAAGGTTTTTTGTGTTCCTGAGTTGAGTATACAATTACTATTACCCAACTCATAAAAATGCACAAATATATTACAGTTTTGACAAATAATTATTAAGTATAAAATTTAAATTTTATTGGAAATAAATCTCTTAAAAGAGATGGGACTAGTTTATTCCCTCTCTCCTCCATCCCCAGAAAGACACATAACCATAAATAAAAACTACATAATGCTAGAGGGAACTAGTGTTCACCAGTGAGTCTATTCTTGTTTTTTATCTTTACGGATATAAGCTCTGAGGAGGGCTGTTCATGTAACAACTACATGAGATTGGAAAGAGTTTTGTTATAGCAACGTTATTCAACTATTTGAATTTCTGGTATATTCAAAAGTCACATTAAAAAATCTATCGGCTGTCTTCACTAGAAACTCTTTCAACTTTGTTGAAAGCAAAGAATTGGAAAACCAGTTTCCAAAAAGATTTGCTCCCCAGTCATTACAGTCCAATATAGCTCCAGGATTTCAAATCATGCCTTTCAGTAACCCAAGAATTCTAACACTCCAGGGCCATGCCCAGTGGTGTGTAGGTAAATTTACTCTCTGGGGAAAAAAGAAAAAGGCAAAGAAAAGAAAGCCCTGCTTTATAGCTTTTGTTCGTTTACATGGTATAAAGGCTTCCACCACAGCCAATTTTTTTTTCTTTTTCTTTCTTTTTTTTTTTTTTTTTTTAATGTTCATGTTTTGCTCTGTCACCCAGGCTGGAGTACAATGGTGTGATCTCAGCTCACTGCAACCTCCACCTATTGGGTTCAAGCAATTCTCCTGCCTCAGCCTCCCGAGTAGCTGGGATTACAGGTGCCCGCCACCACACCCTGCTAGTTTTTGTATTTTTAGTAGAGATGGCGTTTCACCACGTTGGCCAGGCTGGTCTCAAACTCTTGACCTCATGATCCGCTGGCCTCGGCCTCCCAAAGTGCTGGGATTACAGGCGTGAGCCACCGCACCCGGCCACCAAGGCCAATTACAAGCCACTAACCTGACCTCACTGACACACGCTTGGGATGACAGGCACACAGTCAGCTCTCCGGGCCAGTATGAGACACTCAGTACCGCAGGGCATCACAGTTAGATTCAGACAGAGGGAGGAGTGTGTCCCTCTTCTGAGAAGTGTGACAGATGATTGTGAAAGGGGAGAGTGAGGAGAGTTGTCTGAACTCAGGGGTGTGCTCACGGAAATCGGTTTATGAAGGAGTACCCATGGGTGTTGAGAACATTGATTCTTCTAAACATCCCATGCCTGGGTACTCCTTGGGAAGGCTGTGCCACCATGGTTCCAAGTGCAGCAATTTGGAGGCTACCGATTCAAAGGATGGAGTATGGACCTTGGAGTCAGCCACACCAGGGCTCAAATACTGCCTCTGTAATTTATGATTATTGAGAACTTGGGCATATAGTTTCAACGTCTTGAGTCTCAGTTATCTCCTACAAAATACAAGAGGCCAATACCTACCTTGAAAGGTTTGAGAGCAAAAGGTAGTATGCATACAGTGTTGTATCCAGCAGGTGCTCAACAGATGAATGCTACTATCAGAGTCCTTTTAATTGAGTCTAAGTGATGTGACTTGAAGGGTTGAGGATTAGGGTATCAGGACCTGAACCCAGTGGGAAACATCAGATCCCTTGCCATTTAGGGTTCACCTGCTCCAAAGCAAGTAGCTGCTTTGGTTCCATCTAAAAATGTTGACTTCAAAACAGAACTTTCAGCTTATTTCCCTCTTTTTCATACACATTTCATCTTATAAAATGCAGAGGCTGGGATCTCTGGTCTATATGGAAGAACACACTCAACAGCAACAGTAGCTCTCCCAGGGAGTAGAACTCAAGACTGGTCTATCTTGTACCTAACCAGGAGGGTTATTACCAAGAAACAAGAGTCTCCTTCTAAGGTGGTTTCACCTGTAAGGCAATCCCTTAGCCTGGTCCCTGAGGGCTTCATTAGAGTAGGGTCCTGGTGATTTTACTGGCTTGTTAAGAAGGCTTTTCAAAGTCTTGTGTAATGATGATGAATGGCAGGGCAAAATCATGTTAACACATTATAAACAATTCCAGGCACAACCAGTATCTCACACTGTACTTTATTTTTCTTCACAATATTAACTAGACAGACAAGGAAAGTTTAATGGCAATGTGACTTTTTCCAACAACACAAACAAAGTGCCATTATAGCTAATGGTGGCCAACTGGAGACTTACTTTACCTTAACCATGTAAAGTATCCTTACCGTATTTTTTATGTGTACAGTGTTGCAGAATATCAGCCACCTCTTAAAAGTATCAATCTTAAAAAGAGCCATGGAAGGTAAAAGTATGAAAATCTTGATAACAAAAGCTTTCAATACAAAAACACTTATTGTACACTTATTTTTATTTAAAACAAAAATAACCCCAGTAACTCAAAACAAAAGCAAACCTTGGTTGAAAACTTAAGAAGGTATAATAAACAAAACCACCAAAAGAAAGCTTCCCCAAAAGAAATGCAATCCACTGTCACTCTTGCAAATTCTACCTTGGAGGGAAAAACTTAATGAAATGAGCTATCTGGAGGGCCCACGGCAGATTTTCCAAAAGGTTTAGGTGCATGGATTTACTCAGTATCTACACTACAGTCTTATTTATTAATAGTCTCAGAATTTTCTTGATTGAGCGAGCCTTTCCATCCTCCACCAGTGTTCCCATCTTCTGTGCTCAGCTTGGTATGCAGAACAACCTTGTTGTTGATAGGATGTTTGCTTGAAGTTATTTTTCTGGGGCAGTCCAGATGAACCGGTACAGTACCATTCATGCTCCATCTGATTTTCTTTGCATCCAGTGAGATGCATATTTCATGATTGTCCAAGGTCATGGTTGTCCAAAGACATGGAACAGAATGATTCACTGGGTAAGACTAAAGGACTTGTATTATCACTCTCCAATTCAGTTTCACATTGCTTAATTTTATAAAATTTTTTTCTGTATTGTACATAATAAACATTTAGAAACAGATGTCCCTACCAACCAGAAGGTTGTCATTAAATATCCTGTTAGTTAAAACTGCACATTTATTGTTTAAATACCCATTAGACATATCCAGCTTGAAATTTATACCATTGCACTGCCAAACGGAGCTGCACTTTGAGCCATGCTGATGTCTCTGGAATCTAAAGGTCGTACCACAAACTTCAAAATGTTTCTCATTTGTCACACAAGGTTCTTCGCAGAGGCATCACATCGACCCCAATACAGGTCCTTCATACCCTTAGTTCTGGTTATTCTGAAAACTTCCAACTCCCTGATCCAAACTTGGGAATGTTTTACATTTAAAAATTCTTCCTCCCTCCCACCCCTCCAACAAATGTCCTTTGTCCCATAATAATTTAAAAAAAAAATCCCTGAAAGATCCAAATTGAATAACAATAAAGATCTGATTGGAACCTTCATAAGCTTGACAATGTAGAATTGTATTTCTTAAAAAGTGTGTAACCACATTTGTCTGGGCTGCAAAAGACACCACAGAATAAGATCAGAATAGAATTTCAACTGACTCCCTAATTTCCTTAGAATGGCTTGTATTTCGAGCCTTTCCTGTTTTTCTCTGATAGAGTAGGTGTACATTACTAACTATAAGTGATAAGAAAGTCTAAAAACAGCCACTGCCTTAAAAGTACAGTTGGAATTAATTAGAGTTTAAGTTCACATTTATAAACTATTTGTTTTAGGATAAGTTCAATTACAAATAGAGACTATTTGCAATTCTGTTCACTCAATAGATCCTGGAGGTGAAAGCTAGACATGTGTTGGGATTGCCCTGATTATTTACATTTAATCTTGATTATTATAACTCCTCTCGATTTATAATCACTTCCTAATTTTTCCCACTGGGCCAGAGCTACATCTTTAGATGATAAGCATTTACTAATAAAACAAAGATCACATATAAATGGAAGGCCACATCTGAACACAGAGAGGTAAGTGAGCTGTGGAGAGAATGTTGGCGTCTTGTTTGAACTAAATTGAGGTGCTTCCTTAATTCTGTGACTTTATTCCAAATCTTAAGCCTGCCAGAGTTTTCTGCCCCTGCCAAATCTTCGGAGACGACCCGATGGCCATAGACCCTGTCAGCTGTCATTCTGGCCTCTCTTGCGGAGTATTTGTGCAGCGAGGGACTGGGAGGGCCGAGGAGGTTCTCAGATGTTCTTCTCCTTTTGGGGCTTTTTTTAGAGCCCTTGTCCCCAATTTGGAAAGTGCATATACTCTATTTAACTCTGACCCTGGCCAGTGTAAAGAGGAGTACATACAGAGGACTGTTTTTTCATTCATAAAGAGCAGTTAAGATGCAGATGTGAATCCCTCTTCAATACAAAATAGGGATGGTTCTCTGTTGCCCAACTGCAAAATAATTAGATATAATGAAAAAAAAGAAGAGGAGAAAAAAATGACTAGTTGAGGCTTTTATATACATTCATTGCTTCTAACATGTTTTTAACAATAAGGAAAATGCAACATCAACTACTCTTAGAGCAAGTGCAGCCACAATACTGTACAGTTCTGGGGCCAAGAGGCTGGGCACATTTACTGTTATTAAAACCAGGTAACAAAACCCCACAGCAAAAGGCAGCCAGCCAGCAATTAGCCCCCGTGACCTCTTAATATATATACATTTTTCAAATACTCTGTGAATCCCGTTTGAACAACAACAAAAGACAAAACAGGCTTTATATTAAAAACGTCCACGTTCTTCATTGTTACTTCTAAAGCAGCTTGGAGGATCTTACCACGTGGAGCATACTGCAAACTGACTCCATTAAAATGATTTTGGCAGGATAGCAGCACAGGATTGGATATTCCATATTCATCACTTTGACAATGTAAACCTTTCATAAAATAATATTTTGCTTAAAAATTAGAATCATTCAAAGGTCTGATCATTCTGTTCCCTGAGGCCCGCCGGGGAGGTCTGGCTTCATACCACAGGTTTCCTGCTTTCTTGGTGGAGCGTAAGCACCACTGCATTTCAGGAAGACCCTGAAGGACAGCCATGAGAAAGCCCCCGCGGAAGGAGGGCAGGAGGGCTCTGGGTGGGTCTGTGTTGAAACAGGCCACGTAAAGCAACTCTCTAAAGGTCAAACCACCATAGATTTGAATCTGCTGGTCATTTGCCATCTGGATTTTTAACTGAATGAATCTCATGGGTTTAACCAAACATGCATGTAATCCTGAATACCATGAATTAAATGCGGAATTGCCCAGGGACGAGGAAACCTTCAAGAAACAAGGTCAAAGGGACAACAGATATAACTGTCACAATAAACAATTCTGTTGACGTGGAAATGCACATGACTTGGTTGAAACAAAGCTCCTCAGTGGCCAGTGACATCCAGGTTTTTCTTAGGTAGCTGAGACTCAGGGCTTATCTCACCTTCTCAGAATGCTTTTGAAGAATCAAGAGATAAAAATCTCAAACAGAAAACGATCACCTTTGCTCACAAATAGTGTATAGGCCATAACTAAATACAATTAAAAACAAAAAAACGCTGAGATGCATGTATTTTTTTAAAGCAGCTTTCGAAATATCAACCACAGCATTAAACATTGAACAGAGTACATTCCAAAGTTAATACAGATAAATGGTATATAATGCAATAATGCCACAGAGTTATTCCATCAATGTTTCAAGGCTGATTCTAAACTGGAAGAAAAAAAAATTTCCTAGTTTATTTGCTGAAGATGTCACTTCTTTTGTTACTTCTTTATAGTTCCCCACCATTGATTTTTTTTTTAATGCCCCAGGATGTACAGATAACCCCCATATTCCACACCTGGAACTTTTTTTTTGTCAGGTTTTCAAATAAAACCAAACTACAGTGACAAGATAATGTTTTACATGTAATTCCATAGACAGGGGTCAATTAATCCATGACACCTCACTTCAATGCTTCTTTTAGGATTTGTGACCCTCTCCAAAGTCATTTAAAGCCTTGCTTTAAACTCACAGGTGGGCCAAGGCCACACAGCCAACGTGCCATGTGCTACAGCCAAAATGGGCCGTGGCCATTGCCTCTCCTCACGTTCCCAGCCTTCACCATGTCCTTCTGATAGGAAGGGCCCAGGGCCTCTGTTCCTTCCCTCTACAGTGATACATGTCTTAAGAAGGGTCGTGGCTCCCATGCTCCACGTGAAAACGGGCCTACCTGGAGGGCCCCAGGGTGACAGGCCCAGCCACACCCCTCTACTGCTCTTTCTTGACAGTGGAATTCTGAGCTCCATCAGCTTCCAGACATTCGGAGACCACACTGCCCTGTTGATCATCCCTGGAGGAGGCCAGTGAGGGCCCCGGCTCAGTTCCAGGACCAGGCCTCCAAGCTGGGACACAGGCAGGTTCTGCGGACTTCGGTCTCCTAAAAGCAGGCACTTGTGGCGGCCTGATGCTCTGGGTAACTCTAGCCTTCCTGATGCGGAAGTCACCGAAATGTTCACTTCCTCAAGTTCCAGAGGATTCTGTTTCTTACTCAGACAGAGCCAGTATTGGGAGTTGGGGGGTGCGTATCCAAAATATATGAATATACACAATCAGGGCTTAAGGTACTGGATGATATTGTATAAATTGCTAAAATGCTTTTCTCGGCACAATTGGTAGCTTAAAAAAATACTTTCCTATGATTTAAGGGCATTTTTCCCATCGCTGTCCTTCGGCGTGGAAATCTCAGTGGGTACTAGGTCCATCTGAAGTTCCCAACTCTTTTCCTCCCACCAGGTATGCATCATGTGAGTCATATGCAAAGAGTCTCTTCTTCAGGCCAGGGAGGCATGGACTTCCCCCCACAGGAACCCTCCCTCTGTTAATATCACAGCCCCCAGGGCAAAGAAATGCAAGTGAATGAACACCTTCTCCCCAGCCTCCAGCAGCCAGAAAGCCAGCTTCCCCAATGATCAGGTCCTTTTTCCATCCGTCTGCTCTTCAGATGGTGATCCGGCCAACAACATGGAAAGCGAATCTATGTTTACAGGCACAGAACATCCAGGTGGAGCCACACGAAGCGGTGCTTGGCAATTAGTGGTCGGATTTCCAAAGACAGGAGTTTTGATGGGACTGTCTTAAATAAATAAATCTTTTTTTCTTAATAATGTAAAAAATAAATGATATTTCCCTTTGGCAGTAAATAGCTGATTCGACGTTTTGCCTGAAGACTGTTAATTGTTGTGTGTGTGTGTGTCTGTCTGTGTGTGTGATGTTTATATGTGTGTTATTTTTTCTTAAACAGCCTGCAGCTTTGTTTCATGGTACATCACTGACAATGCATATTATTTCTACTGCTTTAGTGAACCTTTTGCATATTTGTTTGGGGCAGGCATGTTGACTTCACTTGTGGCCCAGATAGGCACCCAGGGTGATGCAAGCTCCCACCAGGGCCAAACTGAGCAGAGTCTTCAGAGACAGCCAGGAGAAATCAAACAGAGGCCGCATGCTGGGGCCGTACAGTTCCACAAAGGCATCCTGCAGTTGGGGGAGAGGAGGGAAGAAAAAGAAAGAGTATTAGAGAGAGAGCAGAGAATGCCACCCCACAGAGAAAGAGGCATCCTGCCAGGGCAGCCTGGGCACCTTCAGAAGGGTGAGAGGGGAAAAGGCAAATGCTCTTTGGAGGCCATGATTCAGAAACCACTGTTTTCATTAATTCAAGGCATATTTATTGAGACCCTCTTTACGTGCCAGCCATCTTAGAGATACAGCAGTGCATAAAATAGACTAAAAGTTCCTACTTCACGAAGCTTCCATTGAGTGGAACAGTATAGACAGCAATCAATATAAATTATCACATGGTGTAGGAGAGAGTGCTAAGGGCCGAGGAGAAAAACAGCAGAGGCAGTTAGAAAATATTAGAGGTTTTGCAATTTTAGCTAGCATGCCCATCCATAAAAGTAATAAAATCTAGCAATGATGATGACCGTCACACTCCTCGATTGAGTGTTGACATCTTATCAAATGTCTGACATGCATTATTTTAGTCTTTGTACCAAACTTTTTCTTTCTTTTTTTTTTTTTAGAGACAAGAGTCTTGCTCTGTTGCCCAGGCTGCAGTGCAGTGGTGCAATCATGACCCACTGCAGCCTCGAACTGTTGGACTCAAGAGTGATCCTCCTGCCTCCGCCTCCTGAGTACCTAGGATTACCATGCTTGGCTAATTTTTAAATTTTTTGTAGAGATAGGGTCTTACTATACTTTCCAGGCTGGTCTTGAACTCCTGGGCTCAAGTGAGTCTCCTGCCTCAGCCTCCCAAAGTTCTGGGATTAAAGGCATGCGCTTTCTCATCCAGCTAATTCTTTGTACCAATCTTATGAAGTTATTTTATTTGTTTCTGTTCTGAAGATGAAAAAGCTGAGAATCGCAGGGAATAAGAGACTTTTTAACAAGTGGCAGAGCCAGGCTTTGAACCCAGATAGAAACCAGCACCCTTCTCTCTGCTGATGCCCTGGCGTGGCTAACGGCAGCTCTATGAGAGCATTTGGTCAGTCAAGGGCTCAGTCAGTGGAGGGGCCAAGGGCGGCCTTGACTGGTGCAGTGCCAACCTCTAAGGTCAAGGTTCTCCTGGGGAAAGGGAGCTGTCAGGGGGTTTCTCTTGGGGGTGGCTAGACTGGACGACCACAACTCTGCATTTACTCAAATTGTGGATCTCACAAGGCAGGAGATCAGGGGTGTGTCACTGGATGTGCAGGTCCCTGAGAGACAAAAAGTGTCTCCCTTCCATTCCTATCTCTCCATCTCAAGTCGGGTCTGTAGTGTGTTGTAGCAAAGTCTACCCTCTGGATGGGCTTGGATTGAGCAAATCACCAATTGCTCATTTCCTAGATTTTGGGGAGATTATGTTTCACATTTGGGTCCAATGAGTATTTGGACAACTTTCTGAATGAATATTTGAATATATAAATCAGTAAATGAATTCTTTTTACTTCTGATTTATTCAGGATGAAGAAGAAAACAAGAATAGTTTCACATTATTCCCAACAACCCTGACTCAAAGCACACAGTTTTATTACAGGAAACAGTAACATACCATGACCCTGGACATCGCTGTTGGGAGGGGCTCCAACAGTGCACAGAGGGGTTCCCTTTCTCTGGGGCAAGGGCTGTAGCAGTGGGACCAGGGATTCTCTTTGTCTCCCTCATGCTGGGCATGGTTGTGGTGCACTATAGGTGCGTAGTAAATGTTTGTTCACTTAAGCTTTCTGAATACAATCATTGGTCTTTGGCTTAATGCTTTACCCAAATGCTTATGAATCTGTTTGAAATTACTCCTTCTATATGTAACAGCCTCTGAGAATCCTGAGGTAGTCTTGATGAGGATTTAAAGCATTGTTAGGGTAACTTTCCACATTATTAAATATAGATTTATACAATTATTTTCATGATATATAAAATGTGCCATACTTTAAAAAATTCATGTTTATAGTGTTTAAAACTTTTGCTATTATAAACAATATCATGATATATTTTTGTATATAAATTCTTGTCTATTTGTTCAGTTGCTTTTTTGAAACAAACTCCTAGAAGTGACCTCAGTTAACCAGTCATCAATATTGCTTCCAGACATCATGAAGGGCTTGCCTTGAGCCATCCTCACATTCTCATGGATTGCCCTCCAACCAATGCCACCTTTTACAAAAGGCAGGCAAGAATTTAGGGCGAGGGTCACACTGAGAGTGATCCTGTCCCCCAGGGGACATTTGGCAATGTTTGGAAGCATTTTTAGTGGTCATGATTTGGGGTGAGGGTGCTACTGGTATCTAGTGGGCAGAGGCCGCGGATGCTGTTCAACATCCCACAATGCACAGGGCAGCCCCCCAATGCTAACAGGGCCGAGGCTGAGAAACTCTGGTTTATAAGATGCTCTGTAATCACAGACCATAGAAGAACAGATGACCCATCCTGTGTGTCAACAGCATTGGTCAAATCAGCACAATCAGCTAGCCCAGACCAGCGACTGCTAACCCAGTGGGCCTTCTGCATCTTTGGAGGTCCTTGGTTAACTTTTACCAGGAGAGGGCGCAAGGGCTTTCTTCTTCTTTTTAAATATCTATTGTTAAACATTTCTAAATTTCAGTGTTAGAAAAGCGAGGCAATAGACGTACATAAAATGTGTGTTTAGTGCTCTTAGCACAGAGCTAAGGCACAATCATGATTGTCTGCCAAGATGCACACCCCTCTCCATATAAGCAGGGATCAGTGGGGCAGGAAGGAGTCAGGACTTCTCCACAAGCCAGAACTCTGCCTCTTCCAGGGAGCAACCCAAGACATCACAGACACGGCTGCAAATGTCAACTAGTCCTCCCATCCATGCTTCTCTCTCTGAGGGATGGGTAGGCTGAAACCCCCAATAGCCCAGCCAAAAGACACCCCAAATTTGTCAGGGCACTGGCAATAGGTTGTCTGCAATTTGGCTTGACATTGAGAAGGTCAGTGGCCGGGCTCTGAATCCCTTTAGTAATCAACAGAGTTTTGTGTGGCAAAATCTGAACCAGACTAAGCCCCTGATCATTTGTCCTGTCTGGACCTGAAGCCATCCTGGGAAACCGGAGGATGCAGGGACATACTCCAGCTGGCATTTTCTCCCAGTTGGTCTGGCACACAGTGCTGGAGAGCAGAAGAAATGCTGTCCCAAATATCCCCACCTCCTCAGAGCTGGAATAATTCCCTCTCACCACCCTCACCCCCACACAAATAACAGTGCTTCTCATGAACCTAACAGGCCATTTCTGATATGCATTACGTAGAACAATGTCATTTCTAGAGTGAGATGAGCTAAACTAGCAGCTCTTGGCCCAAAGCCTCAGCATAGAGATGCTGTTGCCATCCCAGGGGGCTGAGAAGGGCATGGGACTTGGAGGAGGAGTGTGGGTGAACCCTGGCTTTGATATTTTATTAGTTTATAACCTTCAGCAGATAACCCAGCCCCGAGCCTCATTTACTTCATCCATAGCCATAAAATTCATTATTGTGAAGATTAACGTAGGTCACTCAAAGCCATTTGTAAATTGGATACAGAAAGTGAGCTCGTGGCAGAACAAACACCTTGCTCTTGTCTGTCCTCTTGCAGACCTGCTCCGCACCTACTCAACCTGCCCTTCCCCCAAGAAGTTCTGCTGAGCCTGCCGTTTTGCAGAAGCAATTTCCTCTCTTAGCTTTCTGATCTGAGGATAGTCCGTAATTTCTATAGGAATTATGAATTAAAATGTATACATCCCGTGTTCTGGTCAAAGATGGGAAGTGATAATACAATGCCTACCTATCTGTCCTTCTTTACACATTATTAGAGTGTAGGGCTAGAGGGCAAGTCATTTAACCCCCTGGAGGTTGGAGCTGGCCTCTAAACTTTGCCCTTCTACAATTCCAAAGTGCAAAGGAGACCCTGCGGCTTCGGGACTAAAATGACCTGAAAGCTTCTTTCGTAGAAAGTCTTCCTGATTTTTCAAACATCCTGATTGGGGCGATTTCCGAAGTCTGTTTGAACAGTCTGTCATTATTTGTTTGAGTTTGAAAGCTGTTTTAAATAAACACATGCTCATTTTATGTATTAAAAGCAACAAAGAGGGAAAAAGAAAACCTGGGTCGTCATGTGATTCGGACAAAATCCCAGTCTATATATTTAGGAAGCTCTGTGTCCCTTGCTCATGTCAGGACTGGCAAGGGCTTACCCGACTTCACGGATCACAGGTTCACACGGAAAGGCTGGCACCGGCTCCTCCTATGAGGAGGAGATGGGCAGGGCCTCAGCTCTGGTGGCTCTGTCCACAGTGGCTTCCCCATAAATTTCCAATTCAGAGGCCACAGAGGATCTGAGTTCCACCCAGGGCTGGCCCAAGGGGACAGGATGGCTAAACTCCCAGCCGCAGCCTTGCTGCAGGTTTGGAACCAGGCCAGGTAGGTGTGGACGGGAACAGACCAGGGTCAAGACTCCTAAACTCAGCAAAGGTGTCCTCACCCCTCCGGGCCATGGAGCACTCCCACCTGGGAGGCAGCCATCCTCCAACATTTTCCTTTTCCGTTCAGAACCTTCAAGAATTTTTTTTTTTTTTTTTTTTTGAGATGGAGCCACTGTCACTCAGGCTGGAGTGCAGTGGCTCCCAGGTTCAAGCAATTCTTCTGCCTCAGCCTCCCGTGTAACTGGGACTACAGGTACCCTCTACTACGCCCGGCTAATTTTTGTATTTTTAGTAGAGAAAGGGTTTCATGTTGGCCAGGCTGGATTCAAACTCCTGGCCTCAAGTGATCCTCCCACCTTGGCCTCCCAAAGTGCTGGGATTACAGGCATGAGCCACCACCCCTGGTCCACTTCGAGAAATTTCACGTAAACCTAAAATGAGAATTTTTTTTAAAAAAGGTCAGATTGTCAAGAATGGAAGAGAAGGTTAATTCTAAGTGCTGAAAAGAATGGCATGCGGTTGGGGATATGGGCGGGGGTCCCAAAATAACCCTTATGCCCAGGTAAAGGTAAACATGGAGACCTTTTGAATTTGGTAATGCATATCAAAAGGCTTTTAAAAAGCTTTTGTTAGTAATTTCACTTCCAGTTATTTATTTTGGAAAAATAATAAAGTGCACAGATTATGTATAATAGCATAAACCTGGAAACAAATGTCTGAAAATAGATGACTGACAGCGCGTCCACATGATGGAGTGCTGTTCAGCATTAAAAGTCATACCCTATAGTTATTGGCAAGAAATTGTGTTCCTAAGGTCATATTGAGTAAAGCAGGACAAAACGGTCAGCAAAACACGATTCCACTTCTGTAAAAACCTAACATATACATGTGCGCGTTTACAAACAGAAAAAAATAATATAAAGGAAAACGCAAAGATGTTAACAGTGATTATCGTTGAAGGCAGAAGTAGGCATGAGGACATGGCATTTAAGAGGCTATTCTGATTTTTTTCCTTAGCTGTCTTTTCTAATTCAATACAAACATGTATATTACTATTTATGAAATATATTTCAATATATACTACATAGAATAATGTTACATTCTAAGTGCTTACTTAATCTGAAAAAAATCCAGACTCCATAATTTGACAGACAAAAATGCTGGGAGATGATGTCTAGTAGTGGGGAGACATGGGCTCCCAGGCAGCAGCCATGACCTAGAACCATGCAACAGGCCCCCGGTTAAGTGAGGGCCTCCTTAGACCCTGGCCCAGAAGAACTCTCATGAGCTCTGCCCCTCAGACCAATGCCTGCAATAAGAGGTTCAGGCCCCGAGCTCAGTGTGTGTTCTCAGCTCTCTATATACTGGGGAAATTTAATATGGCTTGGCTGGCTATAAGCAAATTCGAAATTCAGCTACATTCCACAGTCTTTGAGCTGACTATGCATGCAGACGTTATACAATCGAAGGGAATTCTAAGGGAGAAAAGCCACCCTGTCCCCAAAGAGCTTACACTCTAGAGAGAGGTAATGCCTCTATGTGCACATTTGAACTAAACTAAATCAATGGGTGCCGCCATTTTGTTCCTGCAGACTGCAGAGTCTCATCGGCAGTAAGAAGAAAGTAAAAAGAAAATCAGACCATGCCAATGGGAAATCAAACACAGCTATCGAATGACTTTGATATTTTCTATTTTTCATGAGTTTATAATTTTGTCTCCATGGGGACCTCTGGGGATCTCTTCTCTCATGACAACTTTAGGGTTAGGAAGAAAAAAGGAAAGGGAGAATCACTGTAACAGAAAACTCTGGGCTGGAAGGAACCTCAAAGTATGTTCAGATTCCCTGAATTGGTTTAATAATGTCTAATAAAGATATTAGCTCTTTTTTTAAATAGGTGAGGTGAGTGAAACTTTGACAGGTAAAGCAAATTCCTTACAGTGTGTATTCATAAGGAAATTCGTGGTGGACAGGAGCGTGAAGGCTGGGTTTCACCTGCCTCCTGCATGTCACTGGTTAGAATGCTGGCAAGCAGCTGGTTCTTCTCTCTACCCAGGGAACCTCCTCCCTGCCTCCCTCAACTTGCTTCCTCCCATCCCGACCTTCCTCTCTGCCCCAACTTGGACTCCAGCCCAAAACAAGTCTCATCTGGGCTTCCAAGTGGTGCTGAAGAAAGTTACCCAACCTTGCAGGCAGGTGCTGCTGGAAATTCATGGTCTCTAAACTCAGTGAGTTCTGACACCACCTAGCAATTCTTTATTCTTTGTCAGATCTTTTCTGTTCCTTTTGATGACTGTTCCCAACAGCCACCACTTGTCTCACACATCTTCCTCACCTTTTGGCAGTGAACACTGCCTTTTACTTCTCTGAGAAAACTGGGATCATTGGGCAAGAATTACCACAGCTTTCCACCCTGGCCCATGCACAAATGTCCATTTCTGCCTGTCCTTCCCTGCTCCTCTCCACACTTCACCCTGATTCCACCATCTCCCATTGCTTCAGGAACCTTCCTCCGTCAATTGTCCCTGCTCTCAATTACAATTTCAATCGCATCCTTCCTTTCTGACCTCAGGTATCCTCAAAATGTCTGTGCTGATGCGTGCTCCACCCTAACCATTATCTTCTCTGTCTCTGCCCTCCTAGAAAAGCTGCCAAGCCACACTCATTGGCTCACTTCCCACCCACATTTGAACCCATTCAGTCTGGCTTCTTCCTATACTGTGCCTCTGAAACCACCCCCACAGAGACCACCAATACCCTCCATGTGGCTAAATTCACTGGGTGTGAGGTTGTATCTTAGTAGGTGCTCTGATGCCCCGGACACCAAGACCACTGAGGGTCTTCCGTGACTCTGCTCCCTTTGGGCTACCTCCTTCCTCCTGAAGAATTTCCTCTCTGTCTCCCTCAGGGGCACCTCCTCCCTGGCCTATTCTGATAAGTTCTCGATGCTGCCCATCAGGCTTCTGTCTGGACATTTTCTTTTCTCTCTTTGACCAATCTCTTTCACTCTCTTGGTCTTATATACCACCCCTATGATAATGTTCCTAACATCTTTATATCCAGTCTCACTTTCTCCCCTAACTGGCAAATACTTATTCCAATTGCTTTCTAAGACATCCCCTAGGGAGTTCGATCAACCTGCCCCAAACTCAAGCTATCATCACTCCCTCCATCAAGCCTCCCTCTCTTCCTGTCTTCAACCTGGCTATGGCATCAAGTAAACCTACAGCCTCAGAGTCTCCTAGATGTTTTTCTCTTCCTCATGCCCCATATTCATTCAACAGTAAATCCCATGGCCATAGGTTAGACTCCCTTAGAAACAGACCCTAAGACAAAGATTTGAGTGCAAGTGGTTTATTTGGGAGATGATGCTAGGAACTCTAAGGGGAGCAGGGAAGGGAGAGAAAAAAAGGAAAAGACTCATGCATGAGTTACCTCATCAAGCAAGTTATTGCTACCGGCAAACAGAGCTTACTCCTGCCAGGGAAATCTGAGGGCCGGTGTAGACCATGCATCTCTTGTTAACCCACTGAGGGACTAGGGAGCTGGGGTATTTATACACCAACTCCTGCTATTCATTGGTTGAAGGTTGCTCCTATGGAATGTCAATACCCCAGCACTCCTAGCTGGCCATGTCACAGGTGAAGTACCAATCAAGGAAATAGATACAGATGCCACATCTCTTATAGCTGGAGGTGAAGTTAGTGAGCACTGAAGTGGTAAAGGCCAGGGGACAGGACAGAACAGGGCAGTAGATGCACTGCCAATTTTACCACCTGAACACTTCTCTCTCCCTTTACCTTCTCTCCCCAGGATCACTGCTGTGATTTCCAGTCTGATCTCTCTGCCTCTGTCTGAGTCTTGTGCTTTGCCTGTAAATCTCTTCTGTGTACTGCAGCCAGAGTGATCCATTCAGAATCAAATCTGTTGCTTCCATGCTTAAGTCTAAGGTTCCCAATGCTCTGGCTCCAACCTAGTTCTCCTGCTCAGCTTGTCACTCTTAAGTCAACTTTGGTTCATTCAGAGATTCAGCTCAATCATTTTCTGCAAGCAACTTTCTCCAAATCCCTAGGTTGAGCTAAATAATCCTCGGCTGTTCCCTGTTCACAGTATTATACGAAGATCATCTGTTTACATGTCTGCCTTCCCCATTCAACTATTAGCACCTGGAGGTGCAGGACCATGTTTTATTTATCTTTGGATCCCTGGAGCATGTGTCTGTCATACGTTAGGAACTCAGCAAATGTTTGTGGAGCTGAAACAAACTGATTTGTTTTACTATATGGCAGATTTTTCAAACATCCTAATAGATAATATTTTTTTAAAAGGGGAGTATTCAGAGACCAAATAAAGGACTGGCTTAGATAAAATTCAGTGCTTTTTTTTTCTTTCAGCAGCAGCCTCTAGTGTCCTCCTCCCAGGGACTGATGGTTAGCCGGTTCCCAAGGACACAGAGGGATCTGACTGGTCAGTGTCCCTGCTATATTGGTTAGTAAATATTATCACCCCCACTCACAGGTGCTTGATTCTCCAAGAAAGGGAGTAGCATTTTCCAAACTCATTTGGCCCCTAACCCCTCTGTCAAGGAGACTGCTGCTATGTTTGGAGTATTAGGAAGACAAACTTTGACAAGTGCTGCCTAAGAGGGTGAAAGGACAATAGCAGGGCATTGGCAAGAGGGGCAGCATTGGTGCCTGTGGTGCAGGGCAGGGGAGACGACCAGAGGTCAAAGGCTGTTTCTAGACATCTATGCAAACGTAGAGACCACTGGGTATGTCCTGATCCTAGATTCCACCAAGAGGGCTGGAGACTCATTGGCAATACTATCTGTGACTACTGCGGCCACACAGAATCTATGACATGCAACCGTCAGGTGAGAGAGAACGCCAGGAGAAAGAGAAAGGACATGAAGGAGGAAGTGGGGTAGACAGACACTTGTCTTGCAGAAAGAGCGCTCCATGAAGCCAAGCAAGATTCTCCTGACACCAGAGTTGGCTCAGAGCAAGAGGGGGAGCAAGCCGCACTGGCGGCTGGGAGTGGTGGCCGGCAGAGCACACGCAAGGAAGTGAGGACTTTTTTCTACCTGAATAAAGCAGCTGGTGAGGAAGTGACTCCATTTCCCCCCTTATCATCGGCTCGGCAGGATTTCCTCCACAGCCACATTGTGCTGAATGAGTCTAGAGGGTTCCGTCTGCAGAGCAGTGTGGCTTTGGCAGCTGCATGCTTGCTTCTGTCCCCTGTGACTCTTCCTCCCGCACCCTCCCTTTACTCCCAAAATATTGTTTCCGGGTTTGGGGGAAAAGGAAAGGGAAAAAAATAACCCTTGAGCATATAACTGAAGGACACACAGCTGCCTGGGCCGGAGATGGTGAAGAGGCACGGGAGCGTGAGAAGCACAAGGATTTGCCTTCCTCCAGGCTGGCGAAGGCTGCTCCCCAAAGCCATCTCCAGTGCCTGGGGGTTGATCTTGGAGGAACTCTGGGTCCAGGGGGAGGGGCTGGTTGAAACATGGGCCAATGACATTCGTGAAACCTAATCTCCATGTCATTTGGATGTAACAAGAAACCTGCTGGAGACATGGCAGGAGATGAAAAACCCAAACAAAACAAAAACAAAACTTGCCCGCTTACCACAGTTGGTCCAGGGAAGTTCTGGTGTGTTCTGTTATGCAAATTTAGCTAAGAATGCAAATCAGGCAGGGGCCCTCAGGAGCTGGGGAGGCTGAAAAATGAGAAGCCCAAATGGGTGCTTCCTTTCTCTGGCATTATTTTCACAGTTTGAAAATAATGTGCAAAGATGGCTTATGCCATGGGCCAGGGCAGAGGAAGCTTGGCCCCAACCACCTGCTAATGGAGACTTCAGCCGGAGCTGGCTATTCCAGAGATGGACCTCAGAGGATTCCTTAGTCTAATTACCTTCTGGGCTGGGGTAGAAGATGGTGTCTGGAGGGAAGCACAGAACCAAGTTCCCTACTGCCGCACTAGCTATGCAAATACTGCAGGGCACCTGTGGGCTCATGTCCCTCCTGCAAGAAGGTGTGGTCAGTCCAGTAATTCAAAAGACGTACTTCTGAAATAGGTGGAGAAATGCATTTATAGCAAAAAGTGCTAAAAATATGTTAATAGTTATGCTATTTGGTTCACCAGGTTAGTGTAATAAACCATAACAAGAGAGACTAAAGGCCGTATCTATATGACCTTGAAATCTCATCTTCAGCGGGCTTATTCATTCAGTAACCAAACTATTTTTGTAAGGTGCTGAGTATTTAGCTTAAAGCTAAATAAGACACATGCCCTGCCCTATAGTAACTGCTTGGTAATATTCCCAGTGGCTTCCATGGGCCTGATAATTTTCTTAGTACTGAATTCAAAGCACTTTGTGTCTTGTCTGCAGGCCCATTTGCCCAGCAGTGGCCTTGCCAGGAGAGAACAGGCCCATGCTCCTGTCCTCATTTTAAGGCACACCTGAAGAGGCCCTAAAGAAAGGGCCTATATACACACAGGCCTCAGTCACCTGCTTTCCAGTGTTTTGGCTTTAAAACGAAGTTTCTTCATTTTTCTTCCTACCTTCCTCATTCCATTACCTTCTTTTGGCTAGAGCTTCCGAGGGCCCTGCCTGTTGTGGTGCTCAGCCCTCTCTTGTTTTGGGCTTATGCTATTTCACTGTTTCGGGGGGAAGTATCAAGCATAAAGTGACAAACTTAACACTTTTATGATATTGTGTTGGACATGAAAATATGTCCAGCAAAAAACTTAATTATTATAACTCAACAATAAAAACGTAAGTAGCTAAATTTTAAAAAAGGCCAAAGGATTCTGGTAGACATTTTACCAGTGAAGGTACACAAATGGCCAGTAAGTGCATGAAGAGATGCTTCACTATCATTAGTCATTAGGGAAATGCAAATCGAAACCACAAGGAGAGATCACATCCACTAGAGTGGCTCTAATTTTAAAAATAGATAATAACAAGTGTTGGCAAGGATGTTGAGAAATTGAAACCCCTGCACATGACTGGTGGGAATGTAAACTGGTGCAGCCATTGTGGGAAAACAGTTTGCTGATTCCTCAAAGAGTTAAACAGAGTCACCACATGACCCAGCAATTCAACTCCTAGTACACCCAAAGGAATTGAAATTGCACGTTCACACGAAAACTTGTACACAAATGTTCACATCAGCATTATTCATAATAGCCAAAAGTGGAAATGACCCAAATATCCACTAACTGATGAACAAATAAACAAAATGTGGTCTACCCACATAATGGAATCTTACAACTCAGCCAAAAAAAGGAGCGAAGCATTGACACATGCAACAACATGGATGACCCTCAAAAACATGAGGCCAAGTGAAGGATCCAGGCACAAAGGCCACCCACTGTCTATGAGTCCATTGACATGCAATGTCCAAAATAGGCAAGGCCATCAAGACAAAAAGTGGATTAGAGGTTCCCAGGAGATGGGGAGACGGGGAGACTAGGGAGTCATTGCTAATGGGTACAGGGCTTCTTTTTGGAGTGATGGAAAAGTTCTGGAATTAGCTAAGGGTGATGGCTGTATAACCTTTTGAATATGCTAAAAACCAATGCGCTGATCACTTTAAATGGAATTTTATGGCACGTGAACTATATCCCAATAAAAGAGCTTAATTATGTTCCTTACACGACATGAAGAGGGACTAAACTATTTTTATACCATATGGAATTCCACAGAAGTACTGGCTTGTGATGGATCCTCGGCTCACAAGTGTAATGAGGAATGAGACGCTGCTGGTTAGAAAATGTGCACCACTGTCATTCTCCAAAAGAAAAAAAGGAAGAACTGTAGTAGGAGGTGGCATGGTTTGTGTTCTGGATGAGAAGTTAGGGGTCGGATGCATGAGCAGCAATCGGGGCACTCCTACTTGTAAGGTGAGCAGCTCACTTCACCCCTGGGACCTTCAATTTTCCTCATCTGAAAACTCCGCCGTAGCGAACCTCTAAGAAGTCTCTCTCCGCTCTACCATCTGGGCT
The DNA here is from genome assembly GCF_000001405.40 of Homo sapiens. Classification (NCBI taxonomy): domain Eukaryota; kingdom Metazoa; phylum Chordata; class Mammalia; order Primates; family Hominidae; genus Homo; species Homo sapiens. The sequence goes on from NC_000018.10 coordinate 63,141,192, forward strand.
TACCTAGTTAGTGACCTTATTCTTCACCCTTTCTCGTGCATCCTTGAGGATGTGACTTGGGTTCTGTTGGTGCGTGCCAGAGCTGTGTTACTGTAACTATTGCAGAGGATCTCCTGCTTCCTCTCTGTGTGGTCCATCTCTTCCATCCGCCACTTCTCCACTGCTCTTCTCCCCACCTGGCCTCAGACCCTCCTGCTGTGAGTTAGGAGGAGGCCTTTCTTGGCACAGCACTGAAGCTGTGACCTCTGATGTGCCTCTGTGCTTCCAATCTCTTTGCTTTTATGAGCATAATCCAAGTTATTTGTCCCAGACCCCAACCCCCATATGCCCACAAAGCCCTCTGCCTCTCATGCCAGTTTTAATTAGAACTGGTGACATCAGTGTGGCTTAAAGTAGGGAGCAGGTGGGAAGCTCTGATTATATTCAATACCGAACAGGACTCTCCACTGCCTGACAGGGGCTGGGGATTCCACAGGCAGACTGGCGTTTGGAATAGATCCACCAACTCTTTTTTCTTGGGATCTGGAGCCACACATGTGGCTCTCCTCCCCACCCCACGCCACTGTCCATACCTGTCTCCGTATGTGAGTAGAACATAATCACTGTGTGCTCCACAGGGATTGGCGACAGGCAAATATGCTCTACTTGTCGGTCATGATTTGGGCCAAGCGTGCCGTGGCTCCTGTACCTGCCATGTGACTCGTGAACACGGGGCATGGCCCAGGCTGCCTCCCTCTATTTTTGTCACTGCAAGAGTTAATTCATGAAAATACGCCAAAAATGGGAACTGAAAGCAGATGCTTGTTAAGTTCTGCAGCTTGGCCTAATCGCTGTCATCAGGACATCGCTGCTGGGGGCAGTGAGGGGAGGGAGTCCTTCATTTATTAAACGTGGAGGGCCAGAGTTAGGGGCCAAATGTTTGGTTTTCACTTGTTTAAATCAGTAAGTGTTGACTGAGGCTGGTGGTGTGGGGAGTACAAAGAACCTGCATGTCCTAATAGGAATTTGCTGAAAGTGGCCTCAGACCTGGAGGAGGGTATGTAGAAGAAAAAGAGCAAAGCAGACTAGGCTGGAGGATGCGGCATCCTCAGCCAGCTGGGCACTGCCAGCCTCCAGCCCTGCCTTGTCTGGCACTTGCTTTTTGGGACTGGTTAAGAAATCAGCCTGGGCATCTTTTCTGGAAGCTCCACACTGCATTAGCTCCAGGGAGCCCTGATGACCTACCGCAGGCCCAGACATCTGTCGAGGACCAGATGCACCCCGGATGGTGCTGGTTCTGTTGTTCTTGGTTTGGGGCAGGTAAGTCACAAATGGCTGAAACTTCACAGCCTGCTTACATCCCACTCAAAAGCACCCCAACGTATAATAGTCTTACTCAGATCCCAGCTCCCCAGTTCTGCAGCTCAATGGGTCATTCTGTGACCGTCAAAGTGACTGCGATGATCCTCTGAGAAGCCCATGGGAGAGGCTTCTTATCCACACCATCAATCTACCGATCAGGAAGAGAAGAACAATTACATCCTCTGTGCTCTGGGGGACAAGGGGAGCTGACGGATGGTGGTGAACTCCTCAGTGAGCTCCATATGGGCATGCTAAGAAAAATCTGCTTTCATTTTGTAGTTTATGATTTAGTTCAGTTCACCTGGAAAGACTCAACATGAATAAAACCAGATGCATTTCAAGGAACACTGCTTGGCTCTTTGACAATCCTCTTCCTTCCTCATCAGACAGTCTTCCTGTGCCCAGGGAAGACAGCAGACCTCTCTATCACAAGGAAAATGCAGTCTCTGTCAGTGGCAGCAGCTGTTAGTACCAGGACAGGTAAATGGTGGGCCAGGTCAGCCTGTGGTTCTGGATCCTGGCTCATTAACATATGGACAAGATACGCTGGCGTGGCCTCTCATCTGAATAGCTGTTTACGGCGAAGGACCTCTGACAGTATGCTTTCTGTTGCAAGAAGGATACTGCTGTATATAGAACTAGAGAGAGAAGCAAAAACAGAAACTCAGAGAGAGAAACGGGAGACCCAGAGACCCAGAAAGACAAAGAGAAAGAGAAAAAGAGAAGCTGAAAGCAATCATGGATGAGTTTTAAGTGAGTGGAGGGGCTGAAATATCTTCCATCAGCACAACCTACAGGGGCACAGTTGACAGCTGGCTGACCTGACCCAAGGACACGCTCTCACAGTGAAGCCAGTGAAGCTGGCCTCCTGGGGGCAGGAGCAAGGTCAGAACACTACACGTGCCCACTGTACAAGGCCTGTCAGCATTGTCAGCAGTGGGCACTTAACACGAGAAAAGTCGTGCCCCTGGGAGATCCACTTCCAAGGCAACTGTCACTTCCCGTCAAACGCTCAGGACCGGTCAGACACTTTTGCAGCTTGCAGCGGCGAGCCTGGGGGACCCTGCCTGCAGAAGGGATGCAAGTATGTGCTGGCTGCATTGCAAATGGAATTTGAACTGTGCTACGGGGCCTTTATACACCGACTATTCCTCAGGCAAAAATGGCAGAGCCAGAATATTCCAGGTGGGACTGGCAGCTGAGTGGTCAGTGGCCATGCCTATGCATGTGTAGCACTGGCAGAACCTTGCTGCCATTGCAGAAACCTTGGAGCGAGTTGGCTCAGGTTGCATTCAGGGATGCAAACATTTACTGACCGCCTGAGTTGCACACAGCATTGTGCAGAGTGCTGCAGGGGAGATAGTGAGCTTGACTCCATGACAATGAGCTCCTTAAGGCAGGACATCATGCTCATCACCCAAATCAGGTACTCAGTAAACGCTCTTCCAATGGGATGACTCAGAGATATGCACACCTAAGGTCGTAGGAATAAGCTCAAGTTTGGGCTGGTGAAGGCTTCAAGAGAAATTTTAGGTCAAGCAAATTGCTATTTCCACTGAGGAAACCCCTTGGCCAATCTTGGATCCACAGGCAACATGTTTTTCATAGTATAATTGGCGCTAACTTTGGATAGCTCGTTTTAGCTCTTTCTTTCCTCTAGCTTTGATCTATCTTTTGGACATATCTGAATCGAGCAATCCAACCATAGGCAAACCACTTTAAAAAGTATTTATTTAGCATCTACTTCTGGCTAGGCACTAAATCTGGGATGACAAGAGATATTTAACTGTGGTGCCAAAGCCCATTAAGGTGGCTTTTACAAACAACTCTAGACAGAAGAGACTGCCATCAGAAAGGTCACACAACTTGCTCAAAGTCACTCAGCTCATTGCAGCAAAGCCGGGGTTCGAATCCAGGACTATATGACTGCCAGGCATGTACCTTTTCAACTATATTTTGCTTCTCCCAAAGGAAGCAGAAAAGACATACAAGATCCAACTCCGGCTCCCCCGGAGCAATAAATATGAGAGGCTAAACAGGAAGTCCCGAGGAGTGACAGGGAACGCTCAAGAAATGTACCAAGAGTGTTTAAGATGGGCTGGAAGGCGGACAGAAAGTGAGACAGGAGCTGAGGCCTCAGGACTTCAAATAAAAGCAAGAAAACCAAGGATGGTGTTTCAGGGCAAGGAAGTGGCATGGGAGTTTGGGGCCACCCTGGTGGGTCCTAAAGCAAGCCGGTGTATGCCGTCAGGGGTGAGTCAGAGCGAATGGGGCCACATCAACAGAAAGAAGACCCTGTGACCATGGAGAAACCACCAGTCACAGGACCTTCCCCATCACCCCCGCCCCCGCCGCCCTGGGCACTGTGCAAGGCTGGATCCCACGGGAACGTGTGCGGCACACTCTGGAAGCCCTTGACTGTGGTCTGGCCCTGTTGCTAGGGCTGCACGTGCCATCTCAAGAGTATTTTAAAATGTTGTATGATATAGACTCAAATCCCCAAAGAGAAATTCTTTCCATATTATTCAGGAAAAGCCCTCCTATTTACAGGGCTGCTTCACAGGGAATTCTAGAATGTGAAAGAGAACAAAATTTCCTTGAGTCACAAAAACAAATCCAACTTGAGGCCTAATTTAGAATATTAAAATATGTGGCCCCAGAGCTTCCACAGTGGCAACTGGATTTTGATCCTTTCAAGTGATCAGCTCAACTATTCTTGCTGGACCAAAAGTGGTTGTGTCTGCAACGTGCATGAACAAGAGTGGCTCCACACCACGGACAGAGCATAAGCCCTCAAAGAAGAGACCCAGGGGGATACAGGGGGCTTCCCTGGCCACTCGCCCCACTGCCCAAGAGATCCAGGGGGTGGGGGGGCTTCTCTGGGCCGCTCGCCCCACTGCCCCGTCACCTGCTTCTTGCATGGTCTCTCTCCTCCTGGAGGCACCCCTCGTGACTCCTCATGACTGGAAACAGCTTTTCTCTACTCACATTTAAAAAATCTTCATAATTTAACAAAGGCAGATACCTTTAAATTCCTAGGAACCTACCTGCCAAGTGTTTTACAAGAACCTAGCTCTGCTCACCAAGCATTTAATCCTTTAATGTTCGATGTGTTACTGGAAGGCCAGAAGTTTGCAAGGCAAGTTTGTGATTGTTGCAGTCAGACCCAACAAGCCAAACACTTTCTTTCAGCATTTTGGCAGTTGCATGCTGAGAGGGAATGTGTTCAGTGCAACATCTCTAATACACCAAATTAAAGATGAACAAACAAAAAAGCAGAATCACAGCATCCTTCATGCACAGTGACTATAAGCTCAGCTCTGTCCTCAGCACACAGGATGCCCAAGACCCTGCTCTGTGGGGTAGCTGAACAGCGAGGAGTTGGTGGGAGACAAAAAATGGCTGGACACGGCCCAGGTCCCCAAGATCCCCCAAACCTCTCTCCCCTGCCTTCACTATAACCCAGACAGGACTCCCGTCCTATCTCCCAAATCCCTTTTCCCTGCCAAAATTCCCTTTATTTTTTTCTCCTTCACTTTGTCCTTTGCTTTCCTGTTCCCTCCTTGTCTTGCATTTTATCAGCTGAAGTTCATTCCTCAGCTCCGATCCCCACAACCCGTTCTCCATTTGCCTGTTGTAGTCTAGGACAGAAAACTCAGAGCCTGAATTTCCTGGAAGACACTAATTCCCCACTCCCTCAGATACATAAAGAAATTAAGTGTTGGCCGAGTGAAACAAGTGAGACTTCTGCAGCCGCAGCCAGGGCTTGGCCATAGCTGCGAGGGACCTTCCAGCCCGCCTCCTGGCAGAAGGACGCTGGTCGTGGACACTGATGGGGAAATGGCGGCTGTCCCTGAGCCCCCCAAGAAATGGAGCGAGGTAACTAGAGGCAGTGTGGTTACCATTTGACCGTGGAAGTCTGACAGGACGCCAGGCCTGCGATCCACGCTGGAGTCAGCCAGAGGCCCGCTCTACAAGCCTCCTTTAACCCTTGAGGAGTTAAATGCTGGCATTGTGGTTATGGGACAACTGGAGAGGGATTTGTGTTGGATAAAGGAGCAGAATAAAAACGTCTAAATTTCATCTTTTCTTTGTGTGTTTTCACCTCTGCCAAATTCTTGGAATTCTTATGTCTTACAATTTTATGTGCTTTTCATTTCCGTTTGAACCAGAAACATCATTTAAATGTCTTTGGAGGTAATCCTAACCTACTGAAACACCCCGAGAAACTGTGAAAAAAGTATTAGGATCACGCCTGGTGGGTTTTAAGAAATTTTTGATCCCCAGGCATAAGTTCATGGTTGATGGAATATAGATTCAAACAGGTATGTTTTACTAACTTGGTACACCACCTGAAGAAAGTGATTTTATTAAGGGTAACTTTAAATGCGAAAAAAATAATTTCACTGCCATCATGTCTACAATACCTTTTGGCGAGAAAACAAGAATTCGGAGCTTTTAATGTTTGGCAATGGAACACATCCTTTGGAGGGGAGGAGTCCCAGGAGAGCTCAACCCCTGGCTCTGAAGCTCATCATGTTATCCTAGATTTATAACCGGATAAGCTGGTCTGTTCTGATGTCTTGGTTCTATCACAAGCCACACAATGGCAAGCTGTGGGGTCTGAGTGTCGACGCACCCTTTCTCAGTTCCTCCACTTGTGGTCCAGGGATTCACCTTTCCAGGCTTTGAGAGCCTCATTTGTAACAGGAAGAGATGCCCCATGGTCCTCTAAAGGTCCTTGGTGACACTCAAGTGACATCACTTTTAGATTCTGGGACTCCGTTTTATGTTTGTGCATCAAAAGCAGGGAGGATGAAAAGGGTTTGATACAGTTGGGGCACTGGGAGAAACAGGTGCCTGCAGCCCTGCTGGCTTGCATTCAAAGTCGCAATGTGCCATCACATTTATTACCGGTGCAAATAGAGGCTTGAATCCTAGAGGGGATTTTACTAGAAGAAGCCGGGACGTGACCTGCCGTAATATAGAAGCTAGGAATGTTCTTGATATTCTAGACATCAAAAGAAACACAAGCCAAAATCTTCATGGCACCAGACATTAGAATCCCAGGCAGGGTTTGTAAAGTCCCAACTATTTCTGCTTAAGAATCTACCCAAGAGATACTCCGACAGCTCAAATGGCATGAAAAACATATTCCAATAACACTGAGATGATTTTATGAAAAATTAAGGGATGTCTTCTCTGGATGTGTCCTACTTCTCAGCCATAAACAATATCCATTATTTATGGTAACTTTTGATGATAAGTTAATACCCCAACCAAAGGAGTTTATGGTTTTCATCCCTATTCCTCGGGCAATGGAACCATACATCACTCAAGATTACAGTGTTATTCCCTTTGGATGCCCCCAGGAGATATTTCTTGTATCTCCTAGAATACCCTCTTGAACCAAAAGTTTCCACATTTAAGTCTTTTCTCAGAATGTTTCATTCTCCATGCCCGACCCCTCCCTGCTTGGAAAATGCAGAGAAAATCCATCAGTCATTTTTGGGTTATCAGACTGTGACAAATTTGTTTTTCAAGCTTCAGAAGATTGTTGAACTGCGCTTCCCCGCTCCCCCCCATTTCAGATAACTCAAAACTGGTTTGGATCCGTGACATCAACCTTGGCATGTATGAAGAACGAGGAATGAGGACTTTGCCTTGTTTGGAACCAAAAGAGAAGAATATCCATTTTCTCTCTCTCTCTCTTTTCCATTTTTATTAAGTCAGTATTTTTTCCTTTTAGCCAGATGATGTATACTTTTAACATTCCAGGAAAAAAGTGTCAGTGATATGCGAGTCATAATAAAAGAAAATCAAAAGAAATGCAATTACAAGGGACAGGGAACTGTATCATTTTTAATATAAAATGCCCAGATGAAAATCTAATTTAAAAAATTACCAGCACCATATAAATGAGAAAAGAATATAAGAAAACATTTGTTATTTTAAAAATTAGCTTAATCCTTAATCTTTCTGGCTCTTGGACTTTCAACTTTATTTTTAAAGGCCAAAAATGGTCTTTCGGTGCTGGATCAGGAGTAAACCTCTCAATGATGCAATGAGATACTGTGAAGTGGCAACGAATTTCCCTGGCCTCTGGCCTGCTGCCTGGAATGTAGTAGGAAAAAAAAAAAAAGTTGTTAAATAAAAACAGTGAACAAACAGGATGAAATAATAACCTTCTCATTCTCCTTATTATAGAGGTATCTATTACAAACAAAAACAAATATTCACATGGCACGCTGTTGTTGAGAAAGTGCTTCCATATAGATCATCTAGTGTGGTCCTCCCAACAAGCCACAGATAAGTTATTACTGCTGTCACCCCTCTTTTAGAGATGACCAAGAATACGTAACTTTTCCAAGGACACCTAGTTAATCAATTATGAAACCAGAACTCAAACCCAGAATTCTGACATAAAATATCCTGCCTTTCCACTCAATCACGCGGCCTCCCTAAATGTAGCTATGACTCCCAGCTAAACGGGCCTGCCCAGAGCCACGAAGTCATAAGTGTGCATGGAGCAGCGACGTGCTTATGCTGACACCTCTGTCTCTTTGATAACGTTTACATTATGAGAAAAGAATCAAGCTCATTTATGTCAGCAGTCCACAACCTTTTTGGCACCAGGGACGTGTTTTGTGGAGGACAATTTTTCCACGAATGGGGTGGGGGATCATTTCAGGATGAAACTGTTCCAACACAGATCATCAGGCATTCGGTTCCCATAAGGAGCACACAACCTAGATCCCTTGTGGGCACAGTTCACAATAGGGTTTGCACTCCTAGGAAAACCTAATGTCGCCACTGATCTGACAGGAGCCGGAGCTCAGGCAGTGATGCTCGCCAGCTGCTCACCTCCTGCTGTGCGGCCCTGTTCCTAACAGGCCACAGACCCATACCGGTCCCGGGCTATATGTATAAGTTGCAACTGTTGGCTGGTGCCAGACGACTTTCGCTTGTTCTGTCTCTGTTTCTCTTCTAGCCCAGGGAGATGTCATTCTGTTACCCTCAACCCATGTGAGGGGAAGCTGGAACTATTCACGTATTTACAGGGAGAGTCCGAATAATCATGCAGTAACCCAGCCTTCCTTTCAAACTCTTTGCTTGATGTAATCGCCAATTTTCATTTCAGGCCTGAAAAATAACACTGTTATGACAGTGACCGGCAGATGATTAACAGTGAAGAAGAGAGGAGATGTCACTAATAATATTGATTTTTAACCCTTTCTCTAGTTTTTGTTTGGAACAAACACAGTGCTTAATTATATGGCTCTCTACAGAAAGGGTTCTCCTGACATGAGGCATTTATTTATTTATTTATTTATTTATTTATTTATTTATTTATTTATTTTGAGACAGCGTCTCCCTCTGTCAGTTACCCAGGCTGGAGTGCAGTGGTGCGATCTCGGCTCACTGCAGCCTCTGCCTCCCAGGTTCAAGCAATTCTCCTGCCTCAGTCTTCCCGAATGGCTGGGATTACAGGCACCCACCGCCATGCCTGGCTAATTTTTGTAGTTTTTTTGTAGAATTGGGGTTTCACCATGTTGGCCAGGCTGGCCTGAAACTCCTGACCTCAAGTGATCCTCCTGACTCAGCCTCCCATAGTGCTGGGATTACAGGCGTGAGCCACCGCGCCCAGCCTGACATGAGGCTTTTAGGTACAGAAAGAGAAGTTTCCTTTGTCCAGATGCAATTTTCCCCTATTTTGCTTGGGTCAGCCTGAAAACGAAAGAAAGAGAGTGACCTGGTGGCAAGATGGCTAAGGTTTCTCTCTTCTTCAGCAACACCCAGCTGAAGAGTGGACACCAGTGAATGCACTCTGCTCCTATCTTCAATACTGTGGGCCCAGGAGGGCTGAAAGAAAAGCAGAAAAATCACTTTCCTGCCCAACGGGCATTGTGATGGTTTTTTTTCTTTTATTGCTAACGTACGTCTTCTCTTGTTTTTCTTTCCCTCTGCGTCTGAGGTTGCCATTCCCCACTTTCTCTCCGCATTTTCTTGGCTCCCTCCAGTTTTCTCTGGAGTGACTTTTCCCTTTCTCTGTGAAACCATCACTTCTATGTATTTTCCGTGTCCCATGAACATGCCACAAGTTCTAGAATTAGACTCTGCTCAGCCTTCCCGTGAGCTGTTTTAGTCTGATATTCCAGCAGTCTCCAGGTAGGAAAAAAGAAGTCGATTTAAATATGAATTCCTATAAGGCTGAAGCTAAGCTAACACATTCTGGAGACCTTGTGGCAGAAAAATGTCCAGAAATATTGGACTATAACATAAGATTTGATGCTTAAGAATGAGTTATCAGGTTTGGGGGTGAGAAGGGGTATTAGGTCTCCAACCTCCACTGGGCTACTCCTGTCATATTTTTCCTAGCAAGACAGGCAACACTCCTCAAAGGTTACTAAGCTGCGCCTCCACCAAGAAGGAAAATGGGACTCCTTTCACCTTGAGCTCTCTTTGTACCTTCAGCAAATGACTTCTGAAGTCATCTTGATCTCCTCTTCTATAATGCAATCAGGGGCATTCCCTGCTTCTCTGTCATCTCTCTAATTACTGAAAGAAATTTTCCCCCTTCTTGTGTTTTTTTCTATAATTAGCCTCATAGATTGGTCAAATTCGTCTGTCCAGATTTCCCCCCAAAATTCCCTTCTCCACACTGACTGCGGTGACCCTAAGCTACTTTTTTGCCTATGGCCGGGCTACCTCCCCTAACACCAATCTACCCTGCAACTGACTAACATCTAACCCAGCAGAAATTACTGGGCATCTGTAACATGACTGGCATGATCAAAACCCTGGGGTGGATTCAAGAGAAAAATGCAACTACTCCTTTCCTTCTATGAGGTCAGGAGCAAGCAATACAAGCAAGAATGTCCTGGTGGCAGAAGGGGTGGCCATGACGGTTCAGAGAAGGGCGAGTTCACTCAGGCAAGGGGGGCGATAATAGATGGGGGGCGATAACAGATGAGGGGCTGGGGGCGAGGGGAGGGGACAGCATAGGCTACAGGGGGAGGATAAATGTGTGCATAGGGAATGCTAATGGCTTGGCCCGACTTTGTGGGTTTCAAAACAAAATCTCATGGAAAAGATAATTTAAATGAAAATCGGAGCTTATTAATTTTCTGTAGGCCCAGCCCAATTTCTCATAGTTCTCAGTCATGTTGGTACATGCTAGTTTCCGTGGCAGCCTAAGATAAAGCTCTTAATGCGATGTGAGTCCCTTAGAGATTAGCACTATTATAAATATAAATGCTCAAACACAAGCAAGTTGAAACCAAATGCCCCCCAAACACTGGCTTTCTGTTATATGAAGGTTTCCAGTGGTGCACTGAACCCTTGGATAAATGAGCTAGAAAACAGAGAGTTAAATGGGCTCATTGGCTAAATCTCATGGCCGGGCTCCTTCATGGGAGGGAAGAAGGAAACTTAGTAGCTGCTCCTTACCTATTTAATCTATAGCAGTTGGCAGGACAGTTTTGGAGGACAATCAGAGAAATGCCCTCAGAACTTCGAGTAGGGGATTGAGCAGGGCATCCAAGACCCTGATCAAAACAGAGGGTCTTTACTCAAAGCCAACCTGCAAAACACCTTCTTGTTCTCACTGCTTTGTATGACTTCCAAGAGACTCACTAACAACTAGTCATAAATAGACATCAAGGAGTTTGTTTATCTAACTAAGAGAAAACAATGTTTGAGTTCTTTAGAAACATGCATTTGACACCACACCAATGTGCTGCTCTGGGAGCAGAATCGGAGCCTGCTTCCTTGGGGCTGGTGTTTTGATGTGGTCATTATTTGCTCAGCAGAGCCTCTACTTGGCAACACCTCGTTTGCCCAATTCTAGGTATTTGAAATTTTAAAAACATATCTCTTTTAAGAAAATTCTAAAATGAAAGAGTTTTTTTAAAAATTAATTCGTAAATACCTTCCCCAAAGTTATTCTAAAATGCCTGAGACTTTAAAGAACCATATCTAAGTCAAGTCTGGTGAGGGCAAACAGACATGACAATGACCAAATCTATTCTTTAATTTTCTAACATTTGTGTACAAAGCCAAACAATCAACATACATACAGAGTGCTACTCCTAAATCTTCTTGCTACTAAAAAATAAAGGGCCAACCAAGTATTCCCAGGAGGCAAAACAATAGCTTATCATGTGCTTGTCCTCAGTGCCTACTAGAGCCTCCTTTTCTCCTGGAAGACATAATGACTTGGGCTGGGTGAAATTGTACACCACCTATGAGAGCAGGATGCTGGGTTGATCAGGTGATAATGCTTCACCATATCTTCAATTTTTGTATTTTCCACCTATTTGATAATGGGTCCTTCAGCGGAGACTACAAGACGTGAGTATACCCACATAACTTCAGCTCAGATTTCTGACGGCGTCCAACTTGCTTGCACGAATATCCACTGCCTGCCCACTCTCTCTCATCTGAGAAAACTATTTGACTCAGCTTTTGCCTCTGCCTCCCACTTTTCACCCTCTCCAGAATGCTCACAGCTCACCCATGCTAGTAGCATTGGAGAGGAAAGAGCACACACATTAGAGTCAGACAGATCTGTGCTTGAACCTCAACTCTGCAAATTACTAGATTCGTCAATGAGTTGAATGAGTTATCAGTTCTCCTCTCGTTCTCTGCAATGCTTAAATCTAACTCATGTTAGATGAGTTATTTAACCTCCCTGAGCCTAAATTTATGAATTCATAAAACAGAGAAAAATAAAAGGCTGTAGTTGTCGAGTGGTCAGGAGGATGAAATGACTTCTGTGAAGTGCCTGGCAGCAAAGGCACTAAAATTCAGTCATGACTCCCTCTCATTCCTCTCTCATTTTTGCATTGAACTGTCAGAGATGGCAATTTTCCTTTCCTAGGTACCTTCTTTATTTACAAGTAGCTTACAGAAAATGCATATATGAAAGGAGTTGTGTGAAACTTTTGAAGCCAGTTAAGCTCTTTTTGCAGAGTCCGTAATTTTTAATTTTAGGATCTTATTTTCTAACATCTTTAGTCAAGGTAAGTTCTTAAAGAAAAAATTCAAATGAAGCTCAATACCTGTATATTATCAGCTAGGGGCCTGGAAGTAGAGTTCTGGAGTTAGCAGAAGTGATTTCTTGAAATCGTCAGGGCAGAGCGGCCAGCCAAATCCTGAGACTCATCAAGGCAGGATTTCCTACCCAACAGCAAGAACATCGGACCTTGTACTAAGCCATGAGGTCCCCACCTGGAATGGTCCATTCAGAATTCTCTACACAGACCTGGCCACTCCAAAAAGCCAGTGGTGAGTCCAGAGGAGGGCAGCTGAAATGGGACAAACTAGGCTTCTAGAAGACAATGATGACTCTGGGAAGGGCAGGCCTGAATGTGGATTTTGGGACATTCATGAAGTCTTCATAGTACAGAAAGGATTAAGCTATAACCCTATTGTGAAGCCTTTAGGCTCATGACTCTTGAATCTCTTTTGAACCTCAAACCCTAGTTTGCGACCAAACAGATCTGCATATCCATCAGGTACATCAAACCCAACACAGCACAAAGGGAACTGATTACACCTTCCCAAAATCTGCCTCTAAGGGTCTAATCAGCCCCCTTGACAGCCCTCAGCCTATATCCTAGCAGAAAAACCGGGGTGATCCTCAACTCCTCCCTCTTCTTTTCCTATGGACACACCATCACTGTCATCTCCACCTTACAGAAGTCTCTTAGGATGTCTCCTCTTTCTGGTCTTACAGAAGCCACTTCTGTTCACCCCACTGCATGGCTTACCTAGACAGTGGCAAGAAGCTCCCAACCGATCTTCCCTCATCTTGCCCCATTCAGCTTCCCTCTGGAGTATTCCCAGGGTGTCTGCTAGACCCACAAAGCAGTTGCGTCCCTCTCTCTTATCCAAATGCCCTGAGTGGCTCCTGTTATCCACAGGGCGAGCTGGCCCTGACCCACGCTTCCAGACTCCCCTCTCCCCACACCCACTGCTTGCCTTGAACTCCATGTGATTACTGGCAGCATCAGCTGCAGCCTCGTTCCTCTACAGATCCTGGCTCACATGCATCCTCAGGCTGGGATGCCACTCTGCCTTTTGCACACCTCTCCACACTCAGCTCAAATACCACCTCCTCTGTGAAGCCTTTCTTGACCAAGCCCCCACCTCCCCATCATGCCCTTTTCTTATTCTGCCCCCTCAAGGCTCACCAGTGAACTCACTGCCACCTGTCTCTCTCCTCCTTGGGGGCACTGGCTACATTTTCTTCATCTTGGTTTTCCCAGGTTCTGATAGTGCCTGGCACCTTGTAAAAGCTGTGTGCATGTTTGCAGAATGAATGAGTAAACACATGGAAATTAAAACTATTTAAACAGGTCCATAAAGATTGTGTTATGCTCAAGGAAGATGGATTCATTACACATCTCAAAAGAACCTCAGGACCTTCTGGGACTGGAATGGCAACACCGTGTGGGGTAAGGAGCCTAGAACGTTCAGTTATGTTCTCAAGTCGTCACAGCTTCACCTTACCCAAGATATCTAACATCTCTGAGCCTCAACTTATTCATCTATAAGAATAAGAGGACGCTACAACATCAACCACAAAGGCTGGGGTGAGAACGACACGGGCTCATGATGCCAAACGTCTGGTGGAGGTCGGCACAGGGCGGGCAGAGGTGGCAAATGGCAGTGTCCTTTGTCCCCAATCAACAGAACTGAGCTGAACATGAGACTCTGAGAAAGGCTCGGGACAGCAGGGCCACAGCACGTCTCCTGGCCTCCAGGGACAGTCAACTTGAGGAGGCGACAAATCTCATTTGCAAAGGTGAGAAACTGTACAGCAAGTCAACAGTATCGGATGAGTCACGAGACAGGACGTGATTGATGTCGGGTGGGCGTGGAATGTGCTGTGCATTGCGTGGGGAGGGCCCTTAGTGGGGGTGAGCTTGGTGGGAAAAGGAGGGTCTCGGAGGGTCCAGCTGCTGGGGTGGAGGCCACAGGGGCCCAGGAGTGCAGGGTGGGCGCGGTAAAGAGACTGCCGTTGTTGCCTTTAGGCTGTTCTGCTGCTCTCTGCTTCCCCCTGTTGGCTTGGGAGGGAAGAGTAGGGCTGTTGGCTGAGACGGACGTTAGAGCGAGCAGGTGAGAAGAGGCTGGGAGGAACCGGCAATGCAGCGACCAGGAGCAGGTGGTGGAGCGGGGAAGAGAGAGGGAGGGCTGCTTGGCCAGATGCCAGGCACTCTGCCAATTGCAGGCCCTGCAGATCTTGCCCCGAGCTCAGGGTCACCTTGAACCCTCTCCTTTCTTTCTCCAGAGTGCTTGTCGCACCCTCTCCCTTCCTGGGGCCCTCACTCATGTTCTCCTTGGAGGTTAGAGGCCCATCCTCCCTCTCCCAGGACCCTTCCCCGCCTCCCCAGCCAGTGTGGGCCATTGGTGTGACCAAGGTGAGGGGCACTTGGTGTTCTTGGGACTCTTGTTCTTTTTCTTGCTTGAGGGCATTTCTCAAGTAAGACCAGAGATCATTTTAGCCCTGAGTGTCCCAGTTAATATTCATGAGGCTTGCTGAGAAGCCAAAAAAAAAAAAAAAAAAAGGCTTGGACGGCATCAGACGGGCTGGCAGGGGAGGGGGGTGTTCAAAGAGGAGAAGAAAGCAAGAGCCAACATAGAGTCTTGCCCAGCAATAGCATGGAAGGGAGTGGCAGCCCATTGTCCCTCAGGAAAATAAACTGCAAATAACTTTTCCCGTTTGTGTCAATCTAGTGCTTTCAACTTACAAACTATTAGTAGGCTTTAGAACTTAGATCAATTGACATTCTGGGTCAGGTAATTCTTTGTTGTGGGGAGGACGGGCTGCCCTGTGCACTGGAGGATGTTTAGCAGCTTCTCTGGCCTCTGCCCACGACATGCCAGCGGAAACCCTTGTCTAGTGTGAAAACCCGAAATGTCTCCAGGCCGTGCCAAATGTCCCCTGGAAGGCAAAGTCATCCCCATGGAGAACCACTGCCTTAGATTATTGTTAGGTGCTACCCAAATGCCCAACACCTGTACTGGCCCCTCCAGTCTCACCCTCATCTGAGCACTGCAAGAACGTCCCACCCTGGCGTCCACCTCCCCCGTCCACCTGATGTTTACGTAAACAGAAACAGAAGCTTCTTTCAGAAGCCAAGGAATCTCCTCCCAAGTCCAGACGTTGTGGGTTGGGGGTGGGGGTGCAGGAATGCCTCTAACTCTGCTCAGTAACTGCAACCCCATGGACTTCATAATGGCCAAGGGGACTCCACACCCAAAGCCCTCATTCCCCAATTTCCTGGGCAGCCAGGGATCCAGGTAGAAACGCTTGCCCAGGAGGCGTCTCTCTGGTGGAGGAGTAAACCTTGGAGAATTTGCCCTCCGTTTTCTTCCCTCGCTTTCTTCTCCATTTTCTCTCCCAGGAGCTAGCTGGTGAGTAGCTACCGCAGCTACTCATGTGAACATGAATCTGGGGCCACCCTTTTTCAAATTTCAACAGCAAGTCCTGGAACTAAACAAGAAAGCCTTTGCACAAATAAACAATTAAGTTAATTGTGGGTCTGACAAATATTTTGTTTTCCCGAGGAATTAAGTATGCATCTGGGGTTAGGCTTCTGGGCTGAGCCTCTTGTGTAAAAAACCAGAAGGCAAGAAACTGAAGGAATATGGTCAAAGTCCCTTATTTTAAAATCAAGGACACTGAGTCCCGGAGAGGTGAACTGCCTGTCAGCACGGAAAACAGGACCAGACATAATCATGGTACCTTGTTCCAAGTGAAGTTACCTAATGCTCCCTTCCCATCCAAACAAGGATTTGGGATATGCCGCCCAGGAGGGTGGTCCCAAAGGGGATCCTCAGAGGATGCATCACTAAGTATTTCTGTACCCCAGGAGGTGGCTTATTTCATGGAAACCCTTCACCTGGGGCTGTTCATAGAACCATGCACGCGGCAGTTGAAAAGGGGCACCTACGCCTTGCTCTGTGACATTGTTTTCAGTGAAAATTAGCGTTCGCTGTTTTCAGCGTTAACCTTAAACTCCAGCTGGCTTTATCTCCTCTCACTTATTATAATTGTAACGCAGTGCACTGTGTAAAGGTCACACCTGTGTTTATACGCCATATGCCATCAAAATACCATGAAGAGAACACTATGTGGTCTCTATCAGAAGATCAAAAGAGAAGGGGTGAGAAGCAGACCTTCCTCCTAATTCAGGGCCCTTCAGTCCTTCCCAAACACTGAAATAGGCCCATGTGCACCACTGCTCCCGCAGGAGTTTATGTCTAGGCCAAGTACGTGCTGTTTATTGACAGAGAAACAAATACCGCTCAGCACCTGTCCGGTTTCAGAGTGATGAGGGAGTTTCCAATCTGGATCTGAGAAAACTTTTACACTGTACCCAAACATTCTTTTTCTTTTCTTTTCTTCTTTTTTTTTTCTGAAGCCAAAATTAGAACAAAAACAAACATATACAGAGTTCGGCGTAGCAGGAAAAAGAAACTCAGCTCAAGACATTTCATAAGAAAAGCTCCAAGTCCATCTATACTCACCTGGCCTGGAACCCTGGGATTCATTTGATTGAGGAGGGTCACAAGCTGTACCCCAGAGGCTCGGGAGGCACCACTCGGTAGGAAGACCCTCCTGGTTTCTCAAGCTGGAGGAGCAGACTGAAAGGATGTTTGGGGAGTGAGGAAGTAATAGGGGAGTGGATGCAGAAGGTATTTTGTTGTCTAACCTAGTGGTTCCTTGAGGCGTATTAATGAGTAATATTCATGCACCTTCTCCTTCTGCCAAGGCAGAAATAACCTGGTACTTTTTACCTGGTGGCCGAGTGACCTGGCCCTACCAGGGACTTCACTAATTAGCATAGTCTCTCATAGCCTGGCCTTGGGACTGGCTGTCACACGCTCTCCTCCACACCAGCCATCAGTTGCTCTGGACCCTCCGAGACCCCCAGGCAGCCTGACAGCCAGTGAGCAGAAAGACCTGACTCCTTCCTGGGGCCCCTTCCTCCAGAGGCCCCCCACGAAGCTGTGCTGGCCCTGTTTAGGCAGTGGACACAAGCCTGTTCCAACCCCAGAATCCAAGGTCTAAGTCATCTTCAATAAGGTATTGCCTGAAACCATGTGGGATAAAAAGCTTCTTCCTTTAAAATAACCTTCAATGAAGCCAGGCCATTACTGGAACTTATCATATATAATGACACACAAAATGCCAAGAGAAATTTATAGCGCCGCCTGTCTGCCCACCATTTAGGCACTGGTGAGTCATTAATTCATGAGAGATTTATCAGTTTATAAAAGATGCTAGATAAGTTAATTTTTAAAAATCATGTGAGTATAGATTTATGCTCAGGTTATCTACTTTAAAAAAAGGATCTCTCTTGGGCTGTTTTTCCAAAGCAGTGCAATTCACGTTAACCCCCCATCCCACTGCCTCCAGCCCATGCCCTAGAGAGCTGCTGAAGGACACTGGAGTCTGACTAGAGGCAGGGCTGGGCCCACTGAGTGTCACCAAAATCACAAAAACACAACTGAAAGAGAACTGTTCTTAAATACTCATGTACCATAAAAGGGGAATTTCCAGAGGTCTCTGATATTAGCAATTTGCCCTTCCATTCCCTTCCTCTCTAGTTTCAAGATGAGATGATGACAAAAAGACTGACTAGTGAGAAAAAGCATGAAACTCCATCTACAAACGTGCAAACCGACACAGAGCAAACCTGCAGGAATTTCCACACCCGGTCTTCTGATTTGCCTTGAAAAGGGGGAAAAAGAGAGAAAGGAAGCGTACCTTCGCCTCCACTAAGACATCAACATTAACTCTGTTTTCTTAATTTCACACGAACATCACTGCGTCTGGAGTCTATGTTTTATTTTTCCTGTTAGGCAAAAGCAATTTTTCCCAAGTAAAAGTTCTGAAACGGATTTCTTTTAGAAGCAGAGATAACTGGGAATTTTCTCAAAACTAGTACAAGTATGAATGTTTCTCCTTTTACTTTCCATTTTTACAAATGCATTTAGGGCCAAATGCACTGGCTAATTTTGATAGAATGTAACAGAGACAGGAGAAGCAGTCCATCTCAGTGAGTGAGTGGACATTTATTAGGCATTCACTTTTCACAGGCCTGGGATATTAGGTATTGCGGGGGTGTTGTATTCAGGAAATAGAAGTCAAAATCCAATTGAGTAGGGAAATGAGCCAAACAGAAATGGACACAAAGACACCAAAAACACCTACAAAAACACAGATGAATGTGCAGAATCAGCTGGAGTTTCTATGAGCTGAGCTGAATCTGCTCACCTTGCAAAGATTTCCCCGCACAGTGGGGACTGCCCACGCGTACGCATTTCTTAGTTTCTGCTGGCCAACTCGAATCGTTTTCAGCGGGGTCATTTACATCGTGTCCACTTTTTCTGGTTTCCAAACTCAACCCACTTTATTATCTTAAGAGTTTTCATTCTCAGTATCATTTACATACAACAAAATGAATATATCATGTGTACAGTTTTATGAATATTGACAAAGGCATACATCCCTTTAACTCACTCCCCTATCAAGATATGCAGCATTTCCATCCTCCCAGAAAGAGCCCTTGGAGCCACTTTGTTTTTAAATTATTTGCATCTGAATATTTTTGAGTGGAGATTATCAAAGCCAAATGTGTGGGAAGAAAGCCTAATCATTAATCATCTACTACAAATACAGGTAGTAAAGGTTTTGAAGATGGTGCGTGAGCCTGCACAGACAAGTCTGCGGGATTGGGTCCTGTTATGAAATGCCAAAGGGGCTTTTTAGCGACAGGCACGTGGGCCCCTCTCAGCCGCCCTGTCGGCACTCAGATACGCAACTAAGACCGAGTGGGTTTCTTTTCTGGTTTTGTTCTTTAGGCATCAGAGTTTACATGTTTAGAAAGAGGGAAGTTGAGGCTGAATAGTCACATCCACCATATTCTCATAGGGGCAAATGTTCTCTGATTAGGAGGGCTCAACCACAGTGCAGAGTCCCCTCTTCCAAAATTCTGTTTCAACACCGAGAGGAGTTCACATGACCAGGCAAATTAGAGATTTTCTTAGCATTTCCTGTTTCCCAGATTTCAGAGGAGCCCTTCAGGGAATGTCTGGCCCAGGGTAGCACATTCAGGATGAGGGAAAAATGGTTATTTTTAGGTCCCTCCAACCATCACATTCCTCCCTGTCTCCACTTGGGCACTCTGTTGTTCTAGTGACCTGTCAAAGGGATGGGGGCGGGGCTGCGAGAAAAAAGCCACATCGCTTCCTTTGGGGTGGGGGTAAGGGTACCCCTGCTCCAGGGGTCCTAAACTGCTCACTAGCCCTTCTGCTGGAGAGGGACCAGAGGTGGAAGACCTGCCAGAGTGAGTGCCAGGCAGCTCTAGACTTCTGGGTATTCATTTCTCATAAAAGGTTGCAGTATTTCCTGGACACCTGAATTCTATGTCTTCACGGCAAAAACAATTCAAAATGTCCCAAAACATTATGCAGGAAGGAGTTTTTAATTTTTTTTAAATCACTTTTCCAAAATGGTACCCTGAGGTGATCCTGTCTTCAATCTCCCAGCAATGAAAACAATGTGGTTGAAAAGTTGACAGCTTTCAACCCTTGAAAAGGTCACCTCCCTGCCTCACACCCTCTCGTAAGTATTAAGAGCATAACGGATATTTTGAGTCACATGTATTGTTCTTTGTTCATTTGCATTTGGTGAAATCCCCCCCTTGGACCAATTTAGTAAGCAGTGCCTTGGGCTTCCTTGGTGATTGTTCTCTTGTCTTCTGTATATTTTTTCCTGTGAAAAAAATTTAGACTCAGCCAGTGAAATGAAGTTGCAGCCTCTGTCACTGATGCTTTCTTTTTGCTCAGATGATCTTTCCATCTCGCTTGGGACAGAATTCCTTCTTCTTTGCAACGAATGAAGACCTTCGAGGCTCAGCTGAGGCCCTTGTACTCCAAGACTTTCTGAAAGCTCCCTCGCCCCTCCCCATCTGACCTTCTGTTGGACTGACATACTTCTCCATATTTCAGCCTCAGATGGCTTGGTGTTCACCACTAGACTGTGTTACTGAAAGTTAATCAAGGGTCCTAGGGCCATTTACAAAGTGGGACTGTAAGAGAAAGTCTAGCTAGATGGAAATGTATCCTAAATACCCCCAAGTCCCAGCACAGGGGTTCCCATCAACAAAAAGCCTCACCTCCAAATACATTGCTGAGGACGCAGGGCCCCGTCTTCCCACCTGACGCACTACACACCACGTCAGCTGTCACAGGAGGTCTGAGTGCTTTATGAAGCTGCCTGCTTTCTCTCTTACCTCCATGTGTAAGCCAACCACTCTGGCTTTCAGAAACATATTTCTTTCTCTATGAGTAATTTAAAAGTGACTCATCCTCAGCCTCACCAGCCGGTCCATGTGACCTGCAGTGCTGGTTGAGTGTTATCTATAGATGTGTAAACCAAAGCAGTTCTTAGAACACAGATTCCCCCTCCCACGTGCTGTTGATTTCCCTTTGCTACACAGGGAGGGAACGATGTCAGACATGAGCAGCCAGGGACTGCCCGCTCCGCACTCAAATCTGGAATGTGTCCATTAGAGGAAACAAAGGCCATCACCCAGTGACAGAAAAGAAGAGACAGGCAAAAGGCCTAATATATTTATTTTAGTATTAGCAGACCATCAAGAAGCTCTGAGAAAACTCCACAAAAATTGAAGACGATGATGACCCATATAAACAAAAAACTGCTCAAAGTTCTTTTTCTGAGCCAGTAGAAATTTAGACCTCATGAAACAGAGATGACACCCACACCCACCCCAACCAAAACCCCACCAACACGTCTTCATTGCTCAATCAGAAACACATTCCTGGGATCTGCTGTGGTTTGTCTTGGGAACTCACATATATGAACATGTTTTTATTTCTTCAACTTGCCTTTATTCCACCATCACCAAAGAATGGTGTCAGGCCCAGCTCGGGGACACTACTGGTGCAGGCAGGCACGCGGGTGACACAGCTGGCCAGCATTCTAGATCGTGTTTCTTACCTCTTTCTCACTTCCTATTTTCTATTAAACCAAATCTGAACTCATTTGCCTGCTTTGTGAAGACCTTCATAATCCAGCTACTGTCGCCTGATTTTCTAGCACCATCTATGCTCTTGGCACAATTAATCCTTGGCTACCACTAGGGCAGCATCCTCACTGCTCCTCCAAGGAAGACACCAGAGCCTTCATTTCCATGCCTTCACCCTCCCAAACCCCCAAACTCTGCCCTCCTTCCTTCTTTCCTTCCCTCCTTCCTTCCTTCTTTCCATCCCTCCTTCCTTCCCTCCTTCCTTCCTTTAAATTGAGAAACTTTTGCTCTGTCACTCAGGCTGGAGTGCAGTCGCAATTATAGCTCACTGCAGCCTTGAATTCCCAGGATCAAGTGATCCTCTTGCCTCAACCTCCTGAGTAGCTGGGACTATAGGCATGTGCCACTATGTCTGGCTAGTTTTTGTAGAGATGGGGTCTGGCTATGTTGCCAAGGTTGGTCTTGAACTCCTCGGTTCAAGTCATTGGTCCACCTCGGCCTCCCAAAGTGCTGGGATTACAGGTGTGAGTCACCATGGCTGGCCACCCTTCCTTACCACTGTCTGTATCTTTACCTTCTGGGAGCACTCTTACCTTCATCACCCAAATCTTAACCCATTCTTCCAGCTCAGCTCATCCCACCTGAAAATCTCCTTACCTTCCTCACCTGACCATTCAAGCTGTCACTAATGTCTACATCTCCTAAACTTCTCCAATAGTTCATCACATCTGCTCTTCAGTTTTGTTTTGCTACCTAATATATCACTTCTTATATTTTCCAATATTGTTTGATTGCAAGTTCTTTTGGGAGGGGTATCACATATTTCACTCCTATTGGCCCCACAGTGCCTAGCCCTATAACAGCAGATGAAGCAACCTTTAGATTGAAACAAATATTATTTTAATATTGCCAAAAAGGTGTAATAAGCAAGGTCTTACTAAACTTTTGGCCAGCTGTTAAATTTGATTGCATGTTGCCTGAAAGAGAAACTTTACTTTTTATCCTAGTAGGAAGTTATGTGGAGAGGAATAATGTATTGGATATTCAGTAAAATGAAAAAAAACACACAACAATAGTCATTTATATAGCACTGTGTACAAGCACTGATCTAAGCACTTAACAAATATCCATTCATCTTAAACTTCATAGTGACTTTAAAAAGTAGGCACTATTATATTCCCCACTTCACACATGAGGAGATCAAAGTATTGGAGGGAAGTTGTCCAAAGTCACATAGTGGCTAAGCTAGACTCAAACTCTGGCAATCTGGCAATCAGACTCTTCAGAGTCTGTGCTCTTAGTGGCTGTGCTATATTCCTGTTAATAGGTGTGTGCTTTTATATGGCCTTTTTCATTGAAGCAAAGAGGAGCTTATCTTCTGTATGGATACCATGTTACAGTTATGTGTACTAAATCCATCATGAGTCAAGTCCAGTGTAAAGAAAACTGATGGTGAGATGTCATCTTCCAGGGAAGCTTCAGAAAGAAGTATGGTGGTGGTATGGGAGCTGAACAAATAGAGTTTTCTTTGAAATGAATGGAGTAAAATCTTCCAGTCCGCCCTCAGGACCCTGTGATATGGTACCACCCTTCCATGCTCTGTAGAAATAAGAGATTTGAACCTCTGGGCAATCTTTAGGTAGGCTTGCTCCAGAAAAATATTACTACATACCCAAGAGAATCTTCCCAAATCCTACTTTCTCAACATAAACTCAATACAACTCAAATCACAGCTGCCATTAGATTTGCTTACAAATTTTAAATATGATCTGGCAGCCCCAGACATGGTATGCCTGAGAACTCCAGATTAGGTACAAGAAGAAAACCTCATCCTGGTGGTCAAATCACGGCAGGAAGTGATGCCACTGACAATTATTCCTGTATTAGCAGTTGCTTAAGTACCATGAGGCTTTTAGGGGGAAAGACTGGGAGGCAGTGGTTGGAAATGAAGCCCATTATTAATGTAGTCAAGCTCTTCAGCTGGATTCAATAAAATAAAAAGCCCTGCCCAGACCAGTGTCTGTAGTAGAAGATGCTAAAGAGCTGTTTTTCAAAAATCTGGCTTTATTGAATCCAGGCTTTATACACAGCATTCCTTCTTCCTGAATGGCTGAAAAATCATTCCATGCATTTGAAACCACTGGAGGAGAAATGAACTTAAGCCATGGCAAGAAAGCACAGTTAGATTTAAGGCGTGAACGTCAGCGTTCAAGGTAATGGAAACCTTGGTAGCCCTGTAGATAGATTTTCAAGAGAGACTGTGAAATCCTCAAGTCAATTAATAGAAGAATATTTTTCACAATAGCAAAGACTTGGAACCAACCCAAATGTCCAACAATGATAGAC
This sequence comes from Homo sapiens, assembly GCF_000001405.40. NCBI lineage: Eukaryota > Metazoa > Chordata > Mammalia > Primates > Hominidae > Homo > Homo sapiens. Next base: position 63,164,948 of record NC_000018.10, read on the forward strand.
TGGATTAAGAAAATGTGAATGCTAGATGACGAGTTAGTTGGTGCAGCGCACCAGCATGGCACATGTATACATATGTAACTAACCTGCACATTGTGCACATGTACCCTAAAACTTAAAGTATAATAATAAATAAATAAATAAATAAAAATAGAAGAATATTTTTATTAATTCAATTCAGGTTCAAAATTATTATTGGGCGCCTACCATGTGCCAGCCCCCATGTGGTGCCCTGCAAGGCTCTAAGGATACCAAGATGAATAAACACAACCACTGCTCAGGAGGAATTTACAACCCAAGGGAGGAAACAGGAGCTCAGGGCTGACAACCATGGAGGGAAGTGTCTTGGTTTGGATGAACCTCATTGGGTGTGACTCTGTTGGTCTCTGTCCCTCTCTCTGGGTTTGCTGCTGTCACTTTTCATGGCTCTGGCTCTGTCTTCATTGTTCTCTGACTGCCTTGTCTCCATCTTCCAGGCCCCTAGCTGCAGACCTCCCTGGCTTGGGGAGCCGCAGGCATCTTCTGTGTTTATCCCTCCAACCACATCCCTGGCCAATGGCTGCTTCTGCTTCCATACCCTGCTCAGCAGGCTCATCCACACTCATCAGGAATCCTGGAGAGACCTCTCCTATCCCAAACCTCTCTCAGGCTAAATGGCTACACAACCGGAAAAGGAGCCGTGGAGAAACTGACTCCTTGGGGGTGAAGGCCTCGGGCCTAGGTGTTTTACAGTCACCTGTGCAACAAACATTTACAAAGGGATGCAAAGGGCCCAGACACTGGCGGGAGACAAAAAGAGATTGAGCAAGACTCTGTCCTCAAGGACCTTAGGATCTAGAGAAGGCTTGCAGGGGAGGGGGGTGGAATCTAAGCCCGAGGGGATGTCCGAATAACAAACAAGCTATATGACAATGTTGAAAACAGAGTTCACTCCCAGGTTGGGTCTAATTGAGCCAGACAGTCATTGTCAAAAATCACATGCCCCAAATGGGCAGAGTTCGTTTGCTGGATCGCTTTAAAGCTGTGCCGTCTGCCTTGAAGCAAGTCCACTGTCATTTTGTTAAACAAGGGTCCTTCATCCAATACTGGTTATGGCCAGGGTTGCAGACCCACAGGACACAAAGCCTGGCCCTCAGTATGAGGACCAGCTGCTGGCTGGCTTCCTCGGAGGGGGACTGTGGGCTTGGGGGGCACTCACGGCTTTATAGACTGCCCAGTCCCATGCCCCAGAGAGAGGTGGTTGGCAGGAAGAAATGTGACACCAGGAAGTGCTAAGGAGAAAGACAAGGCAGCTCCCAGAGTGGGGAGAAGGATCCGCTGTGGAGGAGGAGAAACTTGGCCAACCTTGGAATGGGCCTTGGAAGACGAGAGGATTTGGACTGGGGGATGTAAGGCGAGGAGTCAAGCCAGCTCCAGGACCCTGGACGGGGCAGGGACGGCGTCCCTGGACCCTGGACAGCACGCATATCCTGACTGGGGAACGAGGTACCTGCAGAAGCCACACTGTCACTGGCTGGGAGGACACCCTGCAGTTGACTGCGCCAGCTCTCACTGGCCAAGCCCATACGATATCATGATCAGATCATGGAAAACGTATACATATTAACAGGGAACCCTGGTGAAATACATTTTTTGGAAATTATTTAGGAGACAAACAGTATAATAATGAACTGGTGTCCCTTAGAACAGTGTTAAACAGGAGTGAGCATTAACACACCCCTCCAACACTGGGCAGATGCTATCACTGTATTGACTTGGAGTATGACAGCTTACCGACGGGATATGAGGTATCACATAGGTTAAGTTTGGTTAGTAAAACATTAATGATTGCAGCATTAGAAATGATGCATTCCTGACAAGGGACACTATCGTCTTATACAGGTTTCTTTATCATATTGGTTGACTGATGTACTTCCCTCCCCTCCTTCTTTCCTTTTGTCTTTCCTTCCATGGAGCACTGACCAGGTGCTAGGCACTGGGCTAGATGCTGAGACTACACGGCAGAATGAGATGTAATCCCTGCTTTATGGTCGCATGCTCCAGCCAGGGAGACCAACAGCTAACAAATTCTAATGTTGCAACATGAGAAGGTGCTGGAGTAGAGGGATGTGGGAAAGGTGATGGGAGCACGAAGGAAGGTGGCTTCTGTTTTGAATGGGTTTTAAGAGGCCTCCTTTGGTGTATAATTCTATAATAAATATGTCTCATTGCTAGGGGGTTGGCTGTCTCTTACAGTCACCTATTTCCTGTCTTTCTCGCCTTCCTTCATTCATCTATCTACCTCCCTTTCTCTTTCATCTATCTATTCATCTATCATGAATATCATCTATTCATTTATCTACTTCTTTTTCTCTTTCTCTCCATCCAACATCCATCATCCATCCATCTAGCCTTCTAGGACATTTTAAATACATAACTTTTCTCTCTAAGTCAGATTTCTCTTCTTGCTATAGGAAAAGCCTAGCTACCAAGGATCATTTTGCTAAAGTGAAGGCTGACAAAGGAGATTTAGAATTCCTTCTTTGGGCACATTTAAAAATAAAATAGGACTGGGGCCAGGTGTGATGGCTCATGACTATCATCCTAGTGCTTTGGGAGGCCGAGGCAGGAGGATCACTTGAGCCTAAGAGTTTGAAACCAGCCTGGGCAACATAGCAAGACCTCCATCTCTACAAAAAAAATTAAGAATTAGCCGGATGTTGGCTGGGCGTGGTGGCTCCTGTCTGTAATCCCAGCATATGGGGAGGCCAAGGCGGGTGGATCATAAGGTCAAGAGATCAAGACTATCCTGGCCAACATGGTGAAACCCTGTCTCTACTAAAAATACAAAAATTAGCTGGGTGTGATGGTGCATGCCTGTGGTCCCACCTACTCAGGAGGCTGAGGTAGGAGAATCATTTAAACCCGGGAGGCAGAGGTTGCAGTGAGCAGAGATCACACCACTGCACTCCAGCCTGGGTGACAGAGTGAGACTCCGTCTCAAAAAAAAAAAAAAATAAATAAAGGAATTAGCAGGACTGAGGCAGGAGGATCACTTGAGCCCGGGAGTTTGTGGCTGCAGTGACCTATGATCATGCCACTGCACTCCAGGCTGGACAAGAGAGTGGGGCCCTTTCTCTAAACAACAACAACAACATGATTGTTGCCATCTGGCTGGAATGGGCAGGTGGTTCTGCCTAAAGGCAGAGGGGCCTATTGGAGAATGTGTCAAGAGTGCCCATGCCTCCTTGTTCCATCCATTGCCAATGTACCAAGGATCATTTTGCCAAAGTGAAGTCTGACAAAGGAGGTTTAGAATTCCTTCCCTGGGCACATTTAAAAACAGGACTGGGGTCAGGTGTGATGGCTCATGGGCAGGAGGATCACTTGAGCCCATGAGCTTGAGACCAGCCTGGGCAACATAGCAAGACCTCCATGTCTACAAAACAATTAAAAATGTCCTAAGTCCCCTTGGACCACCAGCAGCTGCCACCTGTCAACACTGGAACTGATCGCCCAGGCCAAATGTTGAGGTGGGGACTGAGGCCCTGGAGGATGCACATCCATAGTCTCTGAGGTCATTCTTTGCTGGCTGCAGTTCTAACACGGACTGATGACTCTGCATGGAGAGTCACAGGAGGCTTATCGTCATCCATAGCTGACGTCCACAGCCAGACATCCACGAGATGCTCAAACTCAGAATGCTATGTGGCTAGCATTTTCCAATGCCTAAAGCTTCTGATCTGTTTCCAACTGGGGGGAAATGTGGACTGCTCCGTTTATTGGTATGTCTGGCCTCTGTCGCCTAAATTTCCAAAGATTCCCTCATCTTCTGTGAAGTATAAAGTCCTCCTGGAATGCCAGGGCTTTTTAGGCGGTCTGCATGTTGTAGGAAGAGAAAAGGTGACCTGAGGGTGGGATCTAGAAACATTGCACTTTCCCTATTGGAATCCAAAGTGGGGAGCCATTCTCAACAACTAACTAGCAACAACCCAAGTCCTCAGGATTGAACACGCTCAGCGGTCATCTGTCTTTATCTTGGGGTCTTAACTGTATTTGATGAAAGCTGCTTATTGGCCTAACAGCATTGAATAAACAGGCAAAATTCCCAGCCTCTGGCTGACTCTCCTGAAGTATCTCCAGCCTTGATTCTGAGAATCTAACATGGGCTTCCCAGCACTACAGGCACAGGCAGGCACCTGATCATCCCTGGTGACACTTATTTCCTAATCGATTCCATGGAGGGCTTCTTTTGGGCGGTCAGAAACAACAGGCCCTTGTTTTCTAAGTTAAATGCAGACAGAATAGTTTTTCCCCTTCGTGTTTTTCTTTCTTTCTTTCTTTCTTTCTTTCTTTCTTTCTTTCTTTCTTTCTTTCTTTCTTTCTTCCTTCCTTCCTTCTTTCCTTTCCTTCCTTTCTTTCTTTCTTTCTTTCTTTCTTTCTTTCTCTTTCTTTCTTTCTTTCTTTTTCTTTCTTTCTTTTTCTTTCTCTCTCTCTCTCTCTCTTTCTTTTTCTTTCTTTCCTTTCTCCCTCTCTCTCCCTCCCTGTCTCCCTCCCTCCCTCCCTCCCTCCTCTCTTTCTTTTCTCTTCTCTTCTCTTTTTTTTCTTCCTTCCTTTTCAATGGAGTCTCGCTCTGTCACCCAGGCTGGAGTGCAGTGGCATGATCTTGGCTCACTGCAACCTCCACCTCCTGGGTTCAAGCAATTCTCCTGCTCTAGTCACCCGAGTAGCTGGGACTACAGTGTGTGTGACACCATGCCCAGCTAATTTTTGTATTTTTAGTAGAGAAGGGGGTTTCACCATGTTGGCCAGGCTGGTCTTGATCTCTTGACCTCATGATCCACCCGCCTCGGCCTCCCAAAGTGCTGGGATTACAGGTGTGAGCCACCGTGCCCAGCGCGTTTTCTTTAAGGGGTAGATGCCGGTGGCCGTCATCAAAGTAATTCTAATGCTATTTAAAATTCTTATCTCTTGAGAAGAATAGAGATGATCCTTTAATGTTCTTTTACACATTTTTCAATGTTTTCCTTGCAACTGTAACAAGCAAACTCATGTCATCAATAGCCATATTATGACCGTAATCAGTGATCAGTATGTGGAAGGAAGCCTAACTTGGTGACTAACAGCACACACATGGCTTTAAACCTGGCTCAGTCACTTACCACTGCATGACCTTGCGCAAGCTGCTAAATGCCTCTGTGCCTCAGTTTTTTTCATCTATAAAATGGGGCTAATGATAGTGCATACCTCATTAGGTTCTTGGGAGTATAAAATATGTTACTATATACGACATGCTTAAAACAGTGACGGGCACATGGTAAGTGTGAGCTCTCATACTAATGAATGAATAACTCATTGAACTAAGCAACACCAAGCAGACAAGGCAGCATCTAGAAACTTGGGTTTTCAATGGGCTACAATAATATAGCAATGAGCTTGGAATGGTGCCTTGTGCATAGTCAGTGTTCAATGTTAGCAACTCGTAATATGGACACCTGGGCCCCACTTTTGCTTGGAACTGTTTTATATGACCTTGACTTAATCCATCCAAAGCTCAGCTACATTACATTTTGCTTCCTTTCTTCCATCTTTGGTGTTTATGCGGAAAAGACCCAACCCCAGGTCAGAGAAAGTCCTCCACTAACACTGTGAGATGCAAGTCACATTCGGTATATGACCAGTAAATTGGGTCCCACTTTGGAGTTCTTCTCCCATTTCATTATCCTTCTGCAAATTTTCCTTGTGTCTGCCCTTTATATGTGCTCAAGACTTCAAATCATGGGGCCATCTGCACTCTTTAAAACTTTCATTCAGTCGTACTTCTATTTTGCACATAAGGAAACACAAGTACAAACGATAATGTGCAAAGCAGGTATGAAATTAATCAGGCTTGTCATGGACGGTCACTGGGCTCACAAGCTACAGGTCGCACATGGGTGACTGTCAACAGTTGGCTGGACACTGATAGAGAGTTACACCAATCGAGTGTCTTCTTCCAAAAACTTAGAATCAGGTAGACGCCAATGTTTTCTTAGGTATTCTTAGTAAATAGACTTTTTTGAGCAGATTAGAAAAGGAACGATTTATTTTTGAAATAATGCTAGTAAAATATATAAATTCAGCTTTTATGAGATTTTCTTACTGTTATAATGTTTTCCTCTATTCTGAATTCAAAGTGAACTTTTAAAATGTCTAAAAACCATGCTTTGCCTAAGTATTCATAAGCCATGTGTGATACGTGTCCATCATTTGACAATGGCCAGAGTTTACTAGTGTAATTTTCAAGTATCAGTCCCTGTGCCAGGTTAATGGATTTAAGAAAAAAAACAAAAACCAACACCTTAATTTCTAAGATCTGGCCTTTTAACCTTTTAGGAAATGAAAGGATTTAAATAGCCTGCTGATATATCTCATAGTGTGTCTACCCTGCAATTCCACTAGCACGGTGTGAATGAGCCTGATTCACTGCTGGAGTGAGGGAGGTTAGGAGATCCTGATAAACTCAGATAACATGTAAAGAAAATGCTTAGCAACTGGTGGCCCAGGAGCATTCAGAAGGCTTGCAAGGGCAAAGCACTTATAATCATGAAATGAGAAGGGATGTTACTGACAATAACCAACTGATTGATAACATCTAGTTATAATAGAGTCTAGTTAAGTGCACTCACAAAACAGCTATATGATGCCACAGGTAAAATGAAACTTTGAAAGAAAGCTAGTCCATATATGGTAAATATGCTTCAAGCTGTAAGAGATAAAAATAATAAATATGGCCAGGCACATAGCTCATGCCTGTGATCCCAGCACTTGGGAGGCCAAAGCTGGAGGATTCCTTGAGCCTTGAAGTTTGAGACTAGCCTAGGTGACAGAGCAAGACCTTGTCTCTACAAAAAATTAAAAGAAAAAAATTATCTGGGAGTGGTGGCACAGGCCTGTAGTCCCACATACTCATGAGGCCCAGGCAGAAGGATTGCTTGAGTCCAGGGGTTTGAGGCTGCAGTGAGCTATGATCACACCACTGCACTCCAGCCTGGGTGACAAAGCGAGACCCCATCTCTAATAAATAGATACATACATAAATATATACACAAATTAGATAGAATATCAAATACATTTGTTATATATCAGAGTTAGATTTCAACTCTGACCTGTAATTGGGCTAATACCTATAAGGCACAGGATGATTCTGACTCCCATGATTCAGAGCATGTTGAGCTTAGCATGGTCTTATGTATTAATAGTTTAAAAACACAGTGAATGAACACAATCCTAATGAACAATTTCTAAAGATGGACAGAGCACTTCACCTGGTAATTACTTTTCACATCCTTTCATTCACGTACTCACTTGCTGCACAGCTACTATCTCCTCACTCGTGAGTATTATTCCTCACTTATCTGTCTGTTGAGCAAGAACAACGCAGACACTAAACACCCTGATGCTGCTTGGTCCTGAAGAACTGGTGAGATGGATCTGGCTTTTTCATCAGAATATTATTATTTTCCCACTTGAGTCTTTGGGGACTCAACAATCATGCCCTGAGAGTAGGCATCAAAATGGTAAACAGTGAATTCCCGGCCGGGCGTGGTGGTTCACGCCTGTAATCCCAGCACTTTGGGAGGCCGAGGCGGGTGGATCACAAGGTCAGGAGATCGAGACCATCCTAGCTAACACGGTGAAACCCTGTCTCTACTAAAAATATAAAAAATTAGCCAGGTGTGGTGGCGGGCGCCTGTAGTCCCAGCTACTCGGGAGGCTGAGGCAGGAGAATGGCGTGAACCTGGGAGGTGGAGCTGGCAGTGAGCCGAGATCGTGCCACTGCACTCCAGCCTGGGCGACAGAGGAAGACTGTGTCTCAAAAACAAAAAACAAAAAACAAAAACAGTGAATTCCCATCTAAATGACCAACTCTACCTGAAAATGTAAAAGTATTCAATGAGATCATGAAGGCAGAAAAGTCATGATGCACCAACGGATCTCAACTCCGCATTCATTCCTCCTTTAGGTCAGCTTTGTCTTCACTTGCACCATAGCCTGCATTCCCATTGATTGACTCTACGCAGGATGTCTATAAATAGTAATTAAAAACTGAAAAAAGACATCATATTGTTTAACTTGAAATAACCTTTCAAAACCACAAAAAGTTTAGCTCCAATATAGAAGTTGTGATCAATTCTCCTTTTTGTTTTATTCCAGAAAGAAACTGGCACATAATCGTAATTAAAAACTGAAAAAAGACATCATATTGTTTAACTTGAAATAACCTTTCACAACCACAAGAAGTTTAGCTCCAATATAGAAGTTGTGATCAATTCTCCTTTTTGTTTTATTCCAGAAAGAAACTGGCACATGTAAGATGAAGAAAAATTCTGTTTCCAACATATATTTTGCTAGGCTCACCGTTAAAATACACACAAGCCAAAAACACCGACTCTACCTGAACATTTTGGGGGTTGTTTAAACATGTTTGTTTTCTTAGTGAAGCTAAAAATGTTTTTCCCTGGTGTTTTTGAAGAGACATTTAGACTAAAATAAAAATAAAAATAAATGACATGTATAAAAAGTTATAGTCATCAGACCTGGAGCAGAATTCGGAAAGCGGATGGAGGAAGTGAATTTTAAGACCTGTGCAGCAGTTTTCCTATTTTGGTTGCTCTAAATAGACGTGGAAAAACAAATCGAAAGAAAAAAGCCCATCTCTCTCCACCCTGTACAAATGAGATATAAAAACTGATTCCTCATCTGGAGTTAAGCTCAGGAATAGATTAATGTATGTCCATGCAATATTTTTTCTGTTATTATAGATCAAATGCTATTACTATGAACTCTAATAGGACAAGACTTCTTGTTTGTATCAGACTTCTTATCATTTGGTATATTCTAGACATGACTGAGCTTAAAAATCTTAGGGGGATGAAAACCACAAAGAAATATTTATTGTAGAATACTGACTATAATCAAATTTGACTTGCAGTTTCCTTTTAAGTGAGAAAAACATAATAAGAATTTCAGTATAGAAAGGGTTTCCTCACTTGGATAATTGGAATGAGGCCCATGGCTTTGGAAAATCTCTGAAAATATTAGGCTAAGTTTCTTGTGTTTGTGAATTTTTCTGGAGAGAGGATACATAGCTGTAATTTAATTATCAAAGGATGCACACACACATCTATAATACTATATGTATATATGACTATATATAGACACATACACATATGTATATTTACTCATTTAATTCTTAAAACCTCTATGAAATGAGTACTCTTTTGTTCCTCATTTTACAGATAATAAATAAACAAAGATTACCTACTTCCTAGGTTAGCAGTTGTTTCACTTAATGCTAAGGGACCCAGCCAAGACTATGAACCCAAAACTCAATGAGAAACACAATTGAAACTCAGAATTTCTAGTACGCATGGACGGGTGGATGAATGGATGTCTCAGGTCTTTTATTGTTGTTTTTTTTTTCTTCTCTGCTCCTCTTTTTCTGATGTATGTGGATGGCTCTCCTGTCAATTTACAACCTAGTCTAATGTTAAACACCAACTCATACTTGTCTTTTCTGAGACCCAAGTAAAAAATGGTACATTCATTTTCTGTTATAAAGAGCATAAAGAGGCTGGGCATGGTGGCTCATGCCTGTAATCCCAGCACTTTGGGAGGCCGAGGCGGGTGTATCACCTGAGGTCAGGAGTTCGAGACCAGCCTGGCCAACATGGTGAAACCCCGTCTCTACTAAAAATACCAAAACTAGCCGGGCGTAGTGGCAGGCACCTGTAATCCCAGCTACTCGGGGGGCTGAGGCAGGAGAATTGCTTGAACCCAGGAGGCGGAAGTTGCAGGGAGTCGAGATCATGCCACTGCACTCCAGCATGGGGGACAAGAGTGAGACTTTGTCTCAAAAAAAAAAAAAAAAAAAAGCATTAAGAAGTTCTACGGTCTTCCCTCAATCTCTCTGTCATCTCCCCCAAAACACTAAATTTTGTGGAATTCCATTAAGAACTATATAGCATACTCCTAAAAACACATGTCTGCCGTTTTCACCTAAGATGCCACACTGACCCACAAATCCAGGTTGAGGGGTATCTGTCTTGACATTGTTTGAAGTCTACCACATTTTGTCAAAAGCCACCTTCCTCAAATATTATCGTCATTCGCAAGCCCCCCACAAGCACTTCCTCAGTCACTCTCCAAAGCTTGGATAAAGTTCATTCCCTGGAACTTTGGGCAACCAAATCACTAGCATTCATGAAAAAATACTGGAAAAGAAGGCTCAGCCCTAAACACTGAATAACTTCTTTGTTGACCCTCAAAAGATACAGGCAAATTTAAAGATTGTTCCATTTGTCAATTGATTAAAAAAATTATGAAACATAATTTAAGTTAGACGTGGGAGTGGTACTAGCCAAATGCTATAGTCGAATTAGCTAACCATCTGTTGTACTGCCTAGAGACTTTCACATATATTATTTCCAAAAGTCATATTCAAAACATCTAGCAACCAGCATAGTGTGCACCTAGGCCAATCAGACTAGGCTTCAGCCAGCTGTAAGCAGCCAGCACAGCTGGGCAACCTAGGTGAATTCCAGCCCTGTTAGTTCATGTAAGGTCCCCATTGGTGCTAAACCTGTTTTACCAATGGATTTAAGAAGGAACCCAAAGTGTGAAAATTCAGGCTTCAGGAAGTGAAGGGGTGGCCTGGATCAATCAGCTGGTAAATGATAGAGAGGAGATTCAAAGTCAGATTTCCCAACCCTTGCTCTCTCCTCCTCCCACTACACAGGTGCCCAAAAATACTCTCAGGGAGACAAAGTTGTCTGGAGCTCCACGCCACATCAGACAGCAAAGCTATTGGGACTACTCAGGAGACAATCTATTTAGACACCTTCTTAAGAGTATCAGGAGCCTGAGAGACGGGCATCCTCTGATCTCCAGCTTTCTACGGGGCTCACACCTCTCTGAATAGTTTCACTGTAATCTTCTCTGCTGCCTGTGACATGGGAGGCACTCACACTGGAGATGTGACTTGTTATGATGGAAGGATACATGACTTGGGATGATGGGAAGGTGGGTGAAAATTGTGGATGGAATTTTCAAGCAAAGGGAAATCTAAAAAATGATCTCAGCTTGAACTCCCACAGCGTGGTTTGGTTGCCTGCTTCCCTAGACGAGCTGTTCTGTTCGCTCTGGTCAGGACTTGGCATGGTCTATTGAAAGAATTTTCCTTTATTAGCATGGGGAGCAATGGCAGGATGGAAATGAGTGTTTTGAGAATGCTTGAGATAAAATCACTGGCAGACTATTCAATATTTTCTATAATGATGAGACCTAACCTAACAAATTGGTCTGTCTCTCATCCTCTGGCCAGTCCTTTCTGACACTAGAGACCCAGTGGGCCTGAGGAGGGCAGCCTAGGAGGCCAATGTGGGTGGTCAGGCACCTGGGGACCAGGGTTCCAAAACCCTCCTCCTGTCGGCTCCCAATAGGGTGTTTGCCTGCCTAGACCGTGTCAGGCACAGAGTCAGCATTTGTTCAGGGACTGCTTGTTGATTGAATGAGTGAGTGAACGAGTGAAAGAAAGGATGAATAAATCAAACAGTGAATAAGTCAGTGAATAAAAGAGTGAGTGGGTGGTAGTAGCGGGTAAATGGGCAAGGGCAGTAATAGTCTTTTCTTTCTTTTTTTTACAATTGATACATAGTAATTATACATATTTATAGAGTACATGTGATATTTTGATACATGCATACAATACCTAACAAATCAGAGTGTTTAGGATACTCATCACCTCACTTATCATTTCTTTGTGTTGGGAACATTTAAAATCTTCTCTTCCAGCTATTTTGAAATATATAATAAATTGCTAACTATAGCCAACTTACTGTGCTATTAAACACAATAACTTATTCCTTCATCTAACTGTATGTTTGTACCCATTAATCAGCCTCTCTTTATCACCTCCCAACCCTTCCCGAAGAACTTGATGTTTTTCTTCTTTTCTTTTTTTTTTTTTGAGACAGGGTCTCACTCCCATCTTCTGGGCTGGAGTGCAGTGGTACAATCACAGCTCTCTGCAGCCTCGACTTCCTGGGCTCAGGTGATTCTCTCACCTCAGCCTCCCGAGTAGCTGGGACCACAGGTGCACACCCCCACGCCCATGTAATTTTTCTATTTTTAGTAGAGACGGGTTTTCATCATGTTGATCAGGCTGGTCTCAAACTCTTGGGCTCAAGTAATTCACCCGCTTCCATAGGGGTGAGTCACTGCACCCTGCCAACATTTTTCAAAAGTAAAAAATAAATTAAAAAAAAAGTCTTTAGTGGATTGCTGAGTCCCCTCTGACAGGAGGTACCAAATGTGCTTTTCCTGAGGACAGGGGAAGAGTTCACTATTCAGCCATACCTTTGCATATTTTACAAAATTCACTTCTACCAAGGATGCCTCTCCACAAAATGAGGAGTAGCACAAAGAACACCTAAGAAACCAGGCCTGACCCAGGGCCTCTGATGCTGGGGCAGGTTCCCCGCGTGCTAATATCCCAGGGGACCCTGTTGCAGTTCTCTGAATACCGGCTGTGAGCTTTCCAACTTCAGCTGAGTCCCAGCATCCTCCTCACACCACTTATCCTCCTTGCCTGTCCCTGGCGCGTTTAGACAACTGGAATCTTTGCTGACATTTTAAATGGGCTGGCTACTTCTCCAGCGTGGAGGCACCTAGCACAAGGTGTGATAGATCAGTATTTGTTGATGAGTAACAAAGTTATTCTGGCAAATTGGACTTTTCCCCTGAAACGTTTTGGCTTTTACATTTTTAATGATGGGTCAAGAAACAGCCCCCAAGAAGAAGGGGCGGAGATAGGGGGTAGGACCCTGCCTGAAGCTTCCAAGCTGACTCTGTTTGCAGTCACTTAATTCACTAGGGAGGGCTGGATCTGCCTCCCTGTGGTGGACTCTCCGCATCTCCAGAAAGTGCAGGGGTGGAGAATTAACTCAGCCCCCCTCCTCCCCATAAGAGCCCCGCCAGGTCAGCCTGCATGAGGAGGGCACGTGCACACCTCCAAAAGGACTGGTGCAGCCACTTCCCTAAGCTCACAGTCCCAGTGTGAGCTCAGGGCCCAGACTCGGGGCCTCTGGTGTTTCAGGCGTGAGCCAAGTCCCCTGAGCAAGAGGCCTCATGATAAATCAGTTGGAGCCTGGGGGCCATGAAAGCATTGGTTATGGCAGAAACTACCAGCTCGTCACCGTTTATGCTGCTTTGCTTAAAAATGACACCGCGTAAGGGATTTTGCCAATTCCCAACCTCGGGAGATCACCCACCACCTGGCTGTGGTCCGCCGCTGAACAGGAAAGCACTCCGAGATGCCAAGAGACTAAAAGGCTCGTAACTGTTGTTTAGAAATGAAAATGGCCCTAAATTATAACCAGAGATGGAAGCGCGTCTCAGGGGAGGGCGGGGCGCTGTGTAATCGAGCCTCCCATGCGCAAGGCGGATACAAACGGTTTATGGATGTGGGCGAAGGTTCTCAGAGCAAAGAATGTCCATTTCCATCAGATTAAAATACAGTTTGGGAAAACAATTACCTGCCTGAGATCCTGGGAAAGTAAAACTTCCTGGTTTCTTTGCCAGGAAGAACGATTGTAAAACAAGGGCTGAGAATCTCCCAAACAAGATTTTAGAATTTTATCCAAACAGCTGCAGTTCACCTTTGAGGAGCCCCAGACTCACTTGGGTCTGATGGATGTTGCAACACCAAGTTTGAGGTCTCCCCAGCCTGGTGCCAAGAGTGGGCCCCAGGGGACAAACAGAGAACAGTTGCTCTCTTAATCGGAGTAGAAAACAAAACTCCCTCCCCTTCCCACCCCCAACCTCCCTGCTTTGTTGTGAAATTGTCACTGCGCCTTTGAGGAGTGATTAAAATCCCAGCCATGACCAATTTAAAGGGCAGGTTCCCAGGCAGGGAAGGGAAAGGGGTTCAAGGCAAAAAAAAAAAAAAAAAGTCAGTTGAAGTGAGTTTATGGAGGATTTGGGGATCACAAAAGTCATGGGACTTGAGTCAATTAAAATTAATGGAAAAGCACCAACATGCAATTTAAAAAATAATAATAAAATAAAGCAGTAAGGATATTTCTGGCTTGCTCTCTGCTTCCATTCTTGAGCCTGCTTGGGAATCTTGGAGCAGACTTCCTGAAGCACAGCATGAGTGCCCAATGGCTGTTTTAACCTATTTTCCTGCCCTTCACACACAAAGATTCTGCAATGGAGAGTGGGAATGAATGGTCCACCCACCCCTGAACATTTCCTGTGAGTTGGGAATGCGCTCAGTAAGGCTGCTGGAGTGGAGGGAAAAGAAAAGGTGTCTGAGTTCTCTAGACATGGGCAGAAAAGGAGAGAATTTGAGACAGGCTGAGAGAAAGCTGCTCCGGTTGGCAGCATTGCCAGATTCTCAGACACACCGTACATTCCAGCCCCCGAAAAGGCCATCCTGAGTCCCTCTAGGGCCCCTGGGGCTCTCATCTCATCCCAAATATTTGGAACTGTCTGTGCCTGCTATAATACACAAGAGCCCCTTCCCATGTTTTCTCCTGGTGCTATTTGTAAAGGTGAGGAAAGGTAACGATACCAAAGGAGTTCTAATCCTATGGGCTTGGTTCCCAGAAAGCCCTATGTTGCGGTGCGGAAGGCAGGTAAGGAGGCGAAGGTTCCCAACTCCACCTAGGGGAGGGAGCATATCTCAGCAAAGGACTCAGTCTTTACCCAGCCTGAATCTTACCTGTGGTCCTTGGATGGACACTCACATTGATTAAGTCAAGAGATTCCGATCAAGCCCTCTCATCCTCATTCCTACGGTGGGGATGATAATAGTACCTAACTCGCCGGTGAGAGTTCTTATGACGATGAAATGAGTTGCCAGGTATTATAGTGTTTAGAATGCAGCATAGCACACAGTAGCTCAACAGATGCTCGATTTCATTGCTGTTGTAAGTGTCCTTATTCTCTGATTGATCATTCATTTAGCTTTCTCTTTTCTCACTCAATGAGACTTCTGCAGTATTGTGATGAATGTCTTATAGCTATCCCTTTCATGAAAGACCTCAGAGCCCCAAGTTACAAAAGCACATGGCCATCTACGCAATCTATCAATTAAGCACTATGCTTCACCTGATTAGGAAACCCTTACCTTTCGGCATCATTCCTTCTTCCCTTTCATTTTCCTCCCTTCTTCTCCCTTCCAAACCCACTACACATGCCTAGCTGATATTTTATTAACCCCTGACGGCTTATGGAAAATGTGTTTTAGCCATAGGAACACTGATGTCCTATAGCCAAGTTGCTTTTCTGAATCAGACACCAGCTCCCTAGCCAAATGGGGAAGAGCAGGGAAGGGAGATATTAAAATCCTTTGCTAAAGCAGAAGCTCTGGGTGTTGCTAGGAAGTCTTGCTCTTCAGCAAAAACTGCAGCAGGAATCCCTTCTCCTCCTTTGTGAAACGGAAAACAAACGGCTTGCTCCGATTCCCCGGCTCTATGGGGGCTGCTGAGCAGCACTGCTTCCCCTGGAGAGAGAAGGTGGAGGCAGAAGCTGTCCGCCCACCCCACCCCAGACCGCCCATCCCACCCCAGGCTTAATCTCCATGGCGTTTTCCACTTTCCCAGGCTGACCACGGCAACGTGAATGCTTCGCTGCCAGCCAGCTGAGTACTGCCCTTGGTGAGAACTCTGCCTCGGAGAAGCAGGGGGAACTGAAGCTGCATTGTAGGATAGGGGGTCTCCAGCCAATGCTCCTAGACCCCCTACTAGTGATGGGGCTCTCAAACTACTAGTGATGGGGCTCTCCATCATCAAGGTCCCTTAGCCCTCCAGCTCCCGGGCCTCTCAGGGCTCCTACGGTAGCTGCTCCTATGGGCAGACACATCCCTTTTCCTATTATAGTTACAGCAAAAACAATAAGCAGTAAATCCACCAAGGGTCCTGTGGGCTCCCACAGACCAACATTCCCACAATGCCCAGTGGAAACGTGTCAGTGTACAGACGCTTTGATTCATTGTGATCCAAGGGGCTTTTCATGCCTTTAAAAACAAATATTAATGTGGAGAAGATGCTTTGTTTCACCATGCACTCTCATGGCTCACGACGGAGGCCCCAAATGTAAAGCTTTCAGGACAAGCAAGTGCAACATGCAAGACAGACCAGTCATTTTTACCTCTGCCACCAGAAATGAAAAAGCGTTTTCTCCTTGTTTGGCTGCAGGTTACTAATTTGGAGGATGCCAGTTTTAGAGTTCATCTCAGTTTGACTTGTAAATGAAAGGTGGAACCTAGCCAAAATTACCCCTGTGTGGCTGCTGGCCCTGGCACGCCTCGCATACCCCTCTTTCCTATGTTGAGGTGGGACAGTCACTGAAATCATTAGAAAGAGCAACTAGGAGGTGCAAAACAAGCCCTGGAAGGCAGTAAAGCTCTGTGAGCAACACAGAATCTCTCTCTCTTAGCTTTGCGATTGGGACCTTCACCTGTAGAGAGGATCCCAAGCACTGGCCGTCAGAATCACCCAGGGCGCTTGGGAAAAATGCAGATGCCTGGACCCGTCAGTGAGCCCGGACCTCTGTGTTTCTTTTTAGCTCTCCTAAAACAACATTTCAGAACCACTGCCTTTCAGCACAGCAGAGAGAACGAAGTTATGGGGAGGGTTAACTTGAAATAGAGTTGTGGACTTCTTCTAAGGTCTATCATCATTAAGCTTCCCTTGCAGAATGTCAGACATGTGTCCAACTTCACCATCATCCTATCAAATCCACATGACAACCTGCAAGTACGATTTGACGTCTCTGTTTTGTGGATGAAGAAACAGAAGCTAAGAGACATTCCAGTGAACTCTGGATCTGGAAATCCACGGCTAGGAAGCAGTCTGTCTGATGGGAAGGGCAGATGCATGCAGGTTCCACAGAAGGAGCCCTGCCTCCTCTTCTGAGCCTCTCTTGGTTCCTCACGTCCAAGTGCAGGGTCAGAGATGGGGCAGGCACATCGTCCTTTTGCTGGGGATCTCCAGGCACCTGCTGGGGGGCACCTCCTTACTTCACCACCTCTGGCCAGCCCTTGATTTCTTCCTTCTCCCTGGTTCCAATCTTCTCCCCTTATCTTGCTCTGCCTTCCTCTTTCCTCCTTTCTCTTTTCCCAGAGAGTAGTTAGTCTCAATCTTGCAAACACAGTGAAATCACTTGGAGAGCACTGGGTCTTATCCTTAGGGAGTGTGGCAGAATTGATTTGGGGTGTGGCTTGGACACCAGAACTTTTAAATACTCCAGGCTGATTCTAGTGGACAGCCAAGGTTGGAAGCTGTTCCCTATCCAGAGCTGTCAGCCACAGCCTGCACAATCAGGAGATTCACCTGGACATGCTCAGGCTGAAGAGGGTCTGGCCACCAGCCCACGGTTTGAAACAGAGCCCTGTGAAGAAGGATCAGGTGGTCCCAGTGCCAGTCCAGCCACATCTGTACTGAGAAAACACAGAGCTACCACCAGCTGACCGCATGGAGCGAGGATCCTAACACCTGATGGACAAAATGCGTCCTTGGCTGGCCTCTGCAGAGAAGGGACTGTGGAAAAACATATGCTGCTCCCTTGAGACCGGGGGATGTCCACAGGGTGGGTGACAGGAAGAAGAGAGAGCAGCTACCACAGCCACCCTGCATATTAAACAGCCTGAAACAAGGGGTGGCTGTGCAAACTCCATTCTCCTGCCATAAATTAGACCATAAAACAGGCTTCATTGGCCCATTCTGCAAATCAACTCTGCAGTTTTATTACACACACAAACATGCATACCACATGTAGGACAAAAAAATTTTGCATAGAGTTCTGCTTTGCACTAATCTCTTTAAGGAAATTTTACAGACGGTAAATAAAACCTCATGTCCCTACCTGGGGTATTTGCCTGAAGATAAGAGCAACTCATTGCAAAAGGATTCCTGCTGTAAGACAGACTGTAGCCCATCAGGGGAGAGCAGGATGGAAACAGAGGCTTCCTGAAATACTTGAAGGGTTCTGCAAACTGTTGAAGCCACGGTACTGCCTGGAGCACTCAGCACCGAGCTGGGCATGCCTAGGTCACTGACGAATCTCTGTCAATGCACAAATGAGCAGATGCATGTCACACTGATGGTGGGGCTCAGACCCACCCCTTGCTATGGACAAGGAAGTGCTGGGGAAGGAAAACAAACACAAAACCTTCCACCCGAAGTAAGATCAGCTGGCAGATGAGCGTGCAGAAGGGGTAACAGCAACTCATGGAGGGCAAGCCACCAGAGAGGGCAGGAAATGACCCCTCTGGACACCTCCCTCTTGGCTGTGGGCTAGCAGTGAGGGAGAGAAAGAAGAGGGCAGGTGTCTGCTCCTCTATTGCTCCAGGAGAGGAAAATGCCCCCCACCCCCACCCAGGAGTTGGTGTTGTGGCTCACATCACAGCAGGCTTCATGGAAGTTGAGCTATTATGGCGAAGAGGGTGAGGTGGGGCACAGAGCTGTTTGGGACACAGGACTTGCTCTCCCCATGGGCATGGGACAGCTGTTCCTCATGAGAGACAGCTGCAGATGGGGCCTCCGCGCTTGGCCATCAGCTCAGCTGTGCCCGTGGGTACCTCAGAGGGCCAAAGCAGCCTCTAGATGAGAGAAAATTCAAAGACAACAAGAAGTAAACCAATTCTGAAAAAGGCGACTGAAGACAAGGGCTGGCAATGGCATCATTCCATGTGTGGAAGGAGTTCAGAAGAAAGGAAACACGCCATCGCCTTCTGCATGGGGCGGGGGCGGGGGGCTTAAACAGATGTCTGAGAATTGTATATGGACATCTGTAATCACACAGTTTCCATAGTAAACATTTGCCTGGAGAGAATTCTTTTGCTCTCTTCTTTTTCCCATCTCTTGTGTACATTAAACAGTGCAATTTATGTTAGCAAGAATAACCACACACCTCTCTCACCACCCTTCTTTGAGTGTATCTTAAGGCAGCACTCCATTATGCTGTGGAAGGAGCCTGCATGGGGCCCTGCCCTCAAACATACCATCCCCAGGACCACAGTGGCACAGACGCATGACAGAGCAGAAGAGAAAAAGGCCCCGCAAAGAAACAGAATGGTCCCAATCCTGAAGTGTTTGATTACAACTCAACTGAGTACCTGCAGGAGACAGAGCTACCAATCAGAGCAGGGACTCATCGGCTGCTGGTTGAGAGGCCAACGCTGGCCTTGGCCATGGATAAGGAGCCTTGACCAACTACCTAAGAAGACCTTGGGAATGCACGTGTGGGCTCAGCTTGACACCGACCCACTCTTCTAACTTCCTGTATTCAGATTCTGTGCTCACCAAGCTGCCTCTGCAGCATATCTGGCTTCCTAGGAAAACTTCCCTGCAGAGAGAGCATGGGCTGGCCAGGCAAGCATGAATATTAATCTGAAATATTCTCATTACAGATGAATACACTGGCATTCTTGTTTGAACACCTATATAGTTGGCTTTTAATGGGTGTCAGCCCCTAAGAGATGGATCTGGCCTTTGAGGGATGAACAGATCAGATCTTCAAGCATGCCAGGAGGAAGTCCATAGAGCTCTGCTTTGCACCAATCTCTTTAGGGAAATTTTGCAGACTGTAAATAAAACCTCATATCCCCATCTGGGGCATTTGCCTGAAGATAAGTGCAACTCATTGCAAAAGGATTCCTGCTGTAATACAGACTGTAGCCCATCAGGGGAGAGTAGGATGGAAGCAGAGGCTTCCTGAAATATTTGAAGGCTTCTGTAAACTGTTGAAGCCCCCCGACCATGATGAATTCAGCAAGTAATGCCATCCTTGAAGGCGCCTTGAGGGCCATACTCTTAGTCTTCCCCTGATGACATCCGAGTAAGTTGTTGAAAGTCTTTCTTGGCCACTTCTTGAATTTCTACCCTTCTTCTTGAATGTAGACTGTAGACTCAGAAACGACCCTGAGTTTTCCAGGGTCTGGATGTCTGAATGTGATCAATGTGGCCCCAGAAGCAGTGGGCATCTTGGTTCCACTCCTTAGCGACACTGCCAACTTCACAGCTGATAATCACTCCTGACCTGCTAAATCCTCTGGTCCTGTCCAATTCTGATCCAATCAGACTGAAAGCCAGGCAAGAAAGGCTAACCAGAGGGAGTTATGAGAGATGCTTGCTCTCACAGAACACAGGCTTTGGTTGGGAAGACATAACATATACATGAAATGGTCAAACATATTCAGTGTCACAAATGAAAATACAGCCCACACTGATCAAGAAGTGAGTAGGCCAGAATTGGGTGGCATTAATCTTAAAAGGATTTCTGAAGGAAGTATTTCTATGGAAAAGCAGTGTCGTGATAAAAGGACAGGTCTTCAGGTCAATTCTTTGGGTTCTAACGTCTGACTATTTGTGATTTCACAAAGTATGGTCAAGGCTAGGTGAGTGGGGTAGGAACAAAGTGCTTGACATACAGAGATGCTAAAAAAAGTGTCCTTACAAATATCCCTGCAAGGGAAAGGATGAGAAGAGACAAGAAGAAGAAAATCTGAAGTGTTTCCTTCAGGGCTAGCTGCTTTCCATATGGTATCTCATTTGATTCTCACAGTCACACTGTAAGATGTTTATTATCCTTTGCATCTTACAAAGAAGAAACCAAAGGTCAAGGTTAAGTAACCTATCTAAAGTCATTCTGCTGATCTGTGGCAGAGTCTAGGTAGTAACCCTCACTCTGTGTCAGGCATTATTCTAAATGTTTTATTTGTATTAATTATTTCGGCTTCACAACCCTATGAGGTAGGTACTATCCTTAACCCCACTTACTAAGGAGGAAACTGAGGCACAGAGAGGTTAAGTAACTTGCCCAAAGTCAACACAGCTAGTAAGTAACAGAGCCAGGACTTGAACCCAGGCAATCTGGGTCCTGAGTTTGGAATGCTAACCACTTTACTATCTTTTTCCATTACATATGCCATACTGCCTCTCTTTGAAGAATATTTATGAACAGACAAAACTGTCAAAACAGCTTGGAGCTTTAGGATGAATATTTTAAATATTATAAATCCCTCACTCGTAGGGGAGTGGTTGTTTGATATGGTTTCTGCTGATCACTCAGTAATCTATCCAAGACAGTGATGTGCACAGACTATTTTGGTTTCAGTTAATATATAGCACCATATAAACATTGACTCAACTGGAGAGCCTGAACAATAAATTATCACTAGCTCAAGTGCTAAAATAGCACTTGCTTTTCTCTGTGCCTGAGCATGCTATCTATTTATACTTTGCTTACTTCTGTGGAGTTCAAACTGCTTTATGCACATTTCATCATTGCTGTACTTACATGGATTTATTGTCTTTATTATACACATGTGACTAATGTACCACACAACGCTTAATATTTACTACAGGAATCTCAGTTTTCAACTAGCTTTTTAATCTATGGGTATTACTGACTGCCTTTAATTTATAATTAGTGGAAGTCTGCTAACAATAAAAACCATAGCATTTTACTGTTTATCTTTTAGCTCAATTCATTTTGTACATGATATGACCATTCTTGTTCTTGAGTATGAACCATATATTATTTTCTGGCCTTTCTTTACAATTCCACTTATGGCTGACCTTGAACCAGAATAGGTCTGTGATTTTACTTTCCAAAGTCCAATACATGTATTTTTCTTTTGTTCATGTTGATATCTGCATTGGCACACGTGAATTTCCAAATTTGGTCTTCACCTTTTCAGTTTTCATAGGCAAAAAATAAATTTGGATGATGCAATAGTCAGTAAAGAACTCCAAACAAAGGTTTTCTTGACTAGCTGGAGGATATATGGAAATCCCTAACTGTGGTGTATATAAACTGTAAACCCAAGTTTATACATTGTCAGGAGTTAATAGAACTTAAGATTTAGTAGCATTCTTTAGTACTAGATTCATAAAGAGAAATGAAGAAAGAATTGTCATTTGATGTTTTTGTCCTGACAAATAAAAATAGCCAACTGCTTAGCCCACAGCTGGGGCATTCTGTTTTCTTTTGTCTTCTTTTCATGTGAATATCCATCTTCATTATTGAAAACAGAAACTCCAACCTTAAGCATTTCCCTGTTTTTGCAAAAAGGATATTATATCAACAGTCCCTTTTAAGAACAGGAAGTTATCGTTTCATTCTACACAAGTCCCTACAGTTTTCATCTTGCCCTGGTGTGTCATCTGTCAGTGTGACTTTAGGAAGGTGAGACAGGTATGGCCAGATATGAGAGATTTTTAAAAGTCACAGTGTCAACAATGGTGTTATAAGGGGAGTGTTTAGTAACAGAGCCATTTATTTTAGGAATGTTTTTGTACCCTGGTAATCCTGATATGATAAGGCTTTAACAAGGTCAACTAAGTAACCTGTAGTCAATATCCTCATTCAAGAGAGGTCAGATGCTTGGGGACTCACAGCTGTACAGATGTACTGTGTGCCCTTTTATCTCTCCCTTATGCACATGCCGTTCTCTCTACCTAGATAAGTGGGCACCTCTACCTCTATGATTTCTCTTTCAGGACTCCGTGTAGTTATCATTTCCTCTAAAAAGCCTTTCCTAAAACCAAGTTGGATGTCTGTTTTGTGGGCACAGCCCCCTACACCCACCCCACTTATCCTAATGGGTTGAAAATACCAGGAAAAACTTCAGATAAAGACCATGCCCCAGTAAATAGCTGAATAAAGAACAGGTGAAGGGTGTCAGAAAAGCAAGAAATGGAGACAGAGGCTTGGAATGGTCTTCCTAGTATTGTTGTTGTTACCTCTACATGGCCACCCTGGGGGTACACGTGGAGCTGTGGAAATCTCTAAAATCAAAACCAGGCCAGGCTTAGAATTAGTTCGACTAATACAGATTACGTTACTTGAATGTTTTCAAATGCAGATTTTGCTTTTTTATTTTTCTTTGCTCTTTATCTCATTAAAATAAACAGTGGTATGGCATTCCCATTTGAACCAGGTCCAGCTCTGAAAGCTGGAGCAGTCTTCAGATGGCATGCTCCATTTGGCCCCTGCTCATAGGGCTGGCGTTCAGACCATGGAAATATCAGCAGAATCGAATGCACTTGGGCAGTTTCCATAAACTTTGTAAGTATACGATCAAAGTTAAGACAAATGGGAAACACAGAATAATTAATAACAATGGTGAGTGGAAAATGCTAGCAAGCCATAACAATCCAAAGCATGTTTTCTATCTCTTTTTAAGCAGCTATCTGTCTTACCCACAAAGACACTGCCTGAAAAATGAATTCACCAGCTCTATATCTGAGGCAGAATGACATATGGAAATAGTACAGTCTTTGGCGTTAGACCTGAGTTTCAGTGCTAGCTCTGAAACTTACTTGCTGGCTGCATGGCTTTAGCAAGTTCCTTAAGATGGCAGGGCCTCTGCTTCCTCATCAACTTTTACAATTTTGGAGGTTTAGAGAAAATATAAGTACAAGTGTTTAGCACATCATAGGGGTTCAATAAGGGATGACTAGTGCCATCATCATTATCTTCAACACTACTGAAGAAACAGTAAAATAATCAGTTTGGAAATTATGAATGACCCTAAACTGAATTGGAGTTTAATTATATAGGTGATAGAAATAAAGATTGGAATAAGCAAATTAGAACATAAACTGGAAAATATTTAACAAATGTAAGAAAGCAAACTTTTGAATAATTTAATTATACTCATTTTACCATAATACTATGTATACATCAACAAATCTTAATTTGTATTAATTTGTAATAATATTAATTTCAATTTATAATACTCATAATCCTTAAATTATATATTAGCTGAACAGTATATTATATATCCTTCCAGAAAATGCTATGAATATACATGCATTTGTATATGTATCTAATTTTTTTCTCATCAATAAAATAATATTATCCATACAGACTTCCACTTTTTCCCTCTACAATAAATCTCAGACATTTTAAAATGTGAGTTCATATGTATCCATCACCTTTCTTAATAGCAGCATTTTATTTCATATCAGTTTACCAATTTAGCCAGTACCCTACACAGACATTTCTTTTTTTCCCCAAGTTTTTTTTTTTTTTTTGCTGCAAAATTAAAATACATAATGCTGTAATAGACATCCTTACACATAGGTAGAAAAAACTTGTAGAAGTGAAATTACCAAGACAAAGGCTATGTAAACTTAGCATTTTCAAAATTAAGGTCAAAGCGCTCTCCAAAAACTTTACAAGAATTTACCCTCCCATTAACAGCATATAAAAAAAAAAAAAAAAGAAAAAGAAAAACAACCTAGGCTTTTTTACACTTGCTTCTCCCAACTCTCTCTGTCTAGGCTTGTCCCAGGGCAGAAGGTACAATCCAGTCATACTAATAACTGATTTAAAGGGTCACCATTCAGCATTTAGCCATAATTCATGATAGTTCCTTGTAGTTATCTTCTGTTGTTGCTTAGTCTGAAACCATAAACAACGCTGGAGGTCAAAAAGTTCCTGCTTGTCCTAGGTTAGGTATATCAAGTTCCTCTAGTTGAAGGTCCCTTAACTATGTAGGAAGAGCTCCCCCACCCCTAAAAGAAAAAAGCAAAAGTAAACCAAACCAATCACAGATAAACTGAGTCAAGTCATCTTGTATGTACTGAATGTTTTTCTGCGTTAGGCTCAGCACTAGGGGGCTTTTCATACATTATCTATTTTAGGTTCTACGTATTTTTGAGGAAGCCCCCCAGATTGCCGAATTATACCTGGGAAAACGAGAACTGGTGTCCCACCCCCCACCCACCGCATCCAATGAAGTGCTGCTTTCAATCAGCAAAAACAGGCCATCCCACTATCAGCCAGAAATCCCTATTAACAGCCGTTTCTGAGATAACTGATGTTCTCCGTGTGACTCTGAGGCTTGGTGAGATATTTAAGTGTCTTTTAAGTCATTAGAAGAGATAAATATGTGTTCAGTATAGTTGTGGTGTCAAGTATATTTTGTTGTATTTGAATTCTATAAAAATCTGTTGTGGAAAAGTGGTCTATTGGGTATTCCCAGATTAAATAGAATGTTGAACTAACCAGAATACGTCACTCTTCTAGCTGCCTGGGGGTTTACTGCACTTAAGATAAACTGGGATTTACCATATTACTCAGCCCTGATCTTGGCATCATAAATCTTCTCTTCACTTCACTCTCACTGTCACACTGAGCGAAAGAATAGAGGCCCCCTCTCCCAGGATAAAAAAATGTGAAAAAGGGTAATTTCCCATCATTCTCCCTAAAAAGAATCCCATGTAAGACTGTTGAATCCACCCTAAATAATAATCTCCAAATTAACAATTACCACCCTGAGATGAGAGCAAATAAAAAATTGGATTGGAATGCAGAGCTTGACAAAATGATTCCATGCCACGGGACATTCTCTGTGATTTGCGAATACAAATGATAGCCCATTCTTTATTTAAAACATCTTTTCTAAGGTCAGGTTTTTGAAACTTAATCTACATCTTCTCTCTAAATTAATAAGGTTAGATCCCAAGTACAAAGGAATGTCCCATGAAGTATCAGAAGCTGGACACCAATAGTATTGTGAGATATAAGTCAACATTTAAAGTCCACTTTTCACTTTCAGATGGCAGGGACACAACTGCCACCCAGCCCATGCTCCCTGCAAGGGAAGAAGGGATTCTCCCTTCCTGAGGGTCAAGCCCCTGGAGATTGTTCTCAACCCTAGAAACCATGGGCCTGCCCCAGTAAGTGAAAGTCTTATTTTACTTTATTTATTTTTTAAAATTTTACTTTAAGTTCTGGGATACATGTGCACCATGTACAGGCTTGTGACATAGGTAAACGTGTGCCATGGTGGTTTGCTGCACCTATCAACCATCACCTAGGTATTAAGCCCCACATGCATTAGCTATTTGTCCTGATGCTCTCCCTCTCCTCGCCCACCCTCAACAGGCTCCAGTGTGTTGTTCCCCTCCCTGTGTCCATGTGTTCTCATTGTTCAGCTCCCATTTATAAGTGAGAACATGCAGTGTTTGGTTTTCTGTTCCTGTGTTAGTTTGCTGAGGATGATGGCTTCCAGCTTCATCTATGTCCCTGCAAAGGACATGATCTTATTCCTTTTTATGGCTGCATAGTATTCCATGATGTACATGTACCACATTTTCTTTATCCAGTCTATCATTGAGGGGCATTTGGGTTGGCTCCATGTCTTTGCGATTGTGAATAGTACTGCAATAAACATACATGTGCATGTATCTTTATAACAGAATGATTTATATTCCTTTGGGTATATACCCAGTAATGGGATTGATGGCTCAAATGGTATTTCTGGTTCTAGATCCTTGAGGAATCGCTATACTATCTTCCACAATGGTTCAACTAATTTACATTCCCACCAACAGTGTAAAAGCATTCCTATTTCTCCACAGCCTTGCCAGCATCTGTTGTTTTTTGAAGTCTTTATTTTATTTATTTTTATTTTAGCAACTATAATAACTTGGTCTTCTAAGGACAGACCCATCTTCAACTGAATTCCACTTCTGAGGCAGAAAAAACTTTGTGAGATTCCAGTATATTCAAAAACAGTTAATTTGTATTCAGTAGTGTCACTAACCTACTCATATGAAAAAACACTTTGTGTGTATGAAATACATCACACTTTAAGTAGCTGAGGTGGGTTTCTGGTGAAATCACTCATTGTAGGCATCCATGCATAAGCAGCTGCTTACTGAAGAAGTTAAGCCAGCCTTGGAGTTCAGGATAAGCCCTAAAGGTTTCTGATGTGTTAAGTGGAGATTCTGAAATCTGTGCCAGAGAGTAGGTTTTAGGCCGGTGCATTTGCAAATCACTGGAAAAAGCAGTGCATTTGAACCCCCTCAGGACAGACTGTTGCATGTGATTAATTAATCTCTGACCAATCAGAAATAACTAAGCGTTGAGGCTGAAATATGAAATTAAAAAAGAAAATTGGCCTAGTCTTCATTTCTTTTGCATTATTAAAAAATAACCTACAAATACGTTTGTTACATTTAAATCATCTACAGCCTGAGTGCCTCCTTCCTTCATTTGACAAACTACTCATTGAACTACTATGTGCAGGGTGCTCACCTAGGGCTTGGGAGCACTGTCGGGACTATGACAGGCATGGTCCCTGCTTTCATGGATCTCAAAGAATAAACAAGCACAGCATTGACTGTATAGAAATATTCAGAGAATTAAAGTAGGGTGATAGGAGAGGGAATGATTGGGTGTTCCAGGGGAGCCTCTCAAAGGAAGTGACATTTAAGCTGAGATTTGAAAGGCAAGAAGGAGCCAGCCCTGGGAAAGTTAGGGGCAGTACAATGTAGGCAGAAGTCACAAGTAGTGGAAGATCCCAAGGAGGGAGCAACCTGATGTGTTTGGAGGATCAGGAAGTCAGTTCGAGTGGCCCACAAGCAATGGGGGAGTGTGCAGTTGGTGAGAGCTGAGGCTTGAGAATCAGTGCGAAGGCAGTGTAAGATTTTGGAAATCAGATCGAGAGCCTGGATATTATTCTAGGATGACGGGAAGTATTTGGGGTGATAAGACAAGCTAAAAAGCATGGCCCATACATCTTTTCCACAAAGACCCCAAACTAGAGAGATGGCCAACAAGATGGCAGGTGTCCTGAGGTGCACGTCTATCCCTTGGTGCCCCTCACCCAAAGAGCCAGACTCTTGAAAGCACTGATGGCAGCTGGCTCCTTGGAATGACATCACCAGGGGATACCACGGCCACAGCACTTGCCATTGCATCAGCTCCAACCTGGTCAAGACCTACATCATCAAGACCTCCTCCTTCACCCCTGCCCCAGCATCCAGACTTAATACAGCTTCTCACTCCTCCCCAGAAATGCTTCCCTGTCTACTTCTGCATTTTCAATACACAGAAGGGTTTTGTCCCCAAGCACTGACAGATTCCATACTTCTGTGTAACTAATTTTGGCCAAAAATATTTTCAATATCTTTGAAATTCTGAATGCGTTTCATCAAGGAAACAAGGGTAATCAATTCTACAGCCATACTTGTTTCATGTATGAAGAGAAAAACTCCCAAATAACACCCCGTGATGAAATGTCACACTCAACCATTAAAGACCTATTTTTAGCAAAGTCAACCGCTGAGTTCTCAGCCAAATGAAAGGTCATGTGTTATCTGAGAAGCACATGTTACTGTGGTCATCAAATTGCTAATCTGGGGCAAGGTATTCCATGGAAGATGCCTGTTATGAAAGGAGAGTGTACTGTAGTGATTACTGCTATTCAGAAATGAGGATCAATCTACAAAAATGATAAGGAGAACATGAACTTAACAACTACATTTCAAATGATGTTTTAAACATGTCCATTAAAGTGACATTTGTGTGTGTCTGTGTGTGAGTGTGTGTGTTAAGAACTCTTAACATGAGATTTGCTTATTCTTTATTCCTGTTGAAGGGCAACTCCCCATTTCTCTCTTCCCCTAGGCCCTGACAACCACCACTGTGTTCTCGGCTTCTGTGAATTTGGCTACTGTAGATGCTCATATAAGTGGAATCATGCAGTATTTGTCCTTCTGTGACTGGTTTATTTCACTGAGCATGATGTCCTCAAGAATCATCCATGTAGTTGCATATGAAAATATTCTTAAGGCGGAGTAGTATGTATGTGTGTGTGTGTGTGTGTGTGTGTGTGTATACACACACACACATACAAATACACACACACATATATATACACATACATATATATACACACACACACACATTTTCCGTATCCATGCATCTGTGAAATGACATTCCTTGATATATATTATTAGTGGACAAAAATGTGCCCTGAGGTTTCAGTATGGTGGTCCATATATCAAACATATGGTTCTAAAATGATATCATCACATCTAGCATGGTATTGAAAAGACTGATGTAGATTTATTTCCTCACTAGTATGACCTTAAGCAAGATATATTATATTCCTAAATCTTGGTTCTTCATCTGTAAAAAATAAAAATAATCATATTCATCTTTCACAGGGCTGCTGTGATGATTAAATGAGATAAACCACACAACACAGCATATGACATAGTCACTGATATTCAATACATATGAGTTCCCTTTTCCTTTAGCTCTCTGCTCCCACAGTAATCCAAATTTTTGGCAAGCTAATAGTTTTTATTTTTCGATACAGTTATTAGCACCATCCAATCCCATATAAACCACAAACAGGCTGGAATTTTTGTCTATTTGTTTGATGCTGAAGCAGAAAAGTGTCTGCCAGATAGTAGGTGCTCAATAAATAGCCATTGAATGAAATGAATGAATGGGAAGTTACACTGGAATGAGGCTGAATGTGAAGGTCAGTCAAATATCTTAGCAGAATTATTGGATATGTTTTTAATGGAAGAGATACATTTTTAAACTTTTTTCTTTTTTTTTTTTTGAGATGGAGTCTCACTCTATTGTCCAGGCTGGAGTGCAGTGGCATGATCTCGGCTCACTGCAACCTCTGCCCCACAGGATTCAAGCAATTCTCCTGCCTCAGTCTCCCTAGTAGCTGGGATTACAGGCGTGCGCTACCACGCCCAGCTAATTTTTGTATTTTTAGTAGAGACGGGATTTCACCATGTTGGCCAGGCTGTAATAATATAGTGATTATTATAGTATACTCTATACTGTAGCATAGAGATTGAGGTTGGCACATCTCACATATGACTATGAATACCCAATCATTATGCTTATGAACTACAAAAAAATCAGCAGATAACTTACAAGTGCAGCCATGTTACAAAATAATTAAGTATAAAAACCATCTAATAAAGACAGCAGTGGTCCCACTAAACTCTGTGATATTTTAACCATAAACAAAGCATTAATGGGAAAAGTCTGATCCCAAGGGTTCCTGGATCAGCAGTAGGTCAGTGATACCCAGGAGAGCAGGAACCATGGCGTATAAGGCTTGCCTTGGACTCAGCTTCAGGATCTGAGAGTCGGCCTGGGGAAGTCCTGGTAACCTGCAAGGTCACCTCTATAGAAGAGCCAGTGGTGGCAGGCATCGCCTCTCCAGCTCTTCCAGCTTATTTTCCCATGATAGTGCAGTGATATATCATTTTAGAATTATGATTCTAGAATTATGTAGTCACATGGAGGGGGCATACCCAACATCACAGTGGATGGAAATCGACCAGAGTGACCCCAGAACACCAAGAAAACATCATAGTGGGGATGGAAACCTCCCTTGCTCACAAAGCTGGGGATTGGGAGCTAACTCTGCCACCAACAAGCTGTGTAGCTTTGGGTAAGTCATTGAATCTTGGTCCAGCAGGCCTTGGTTTCATCATCTGTCATTTATCAATACAGGCCGCTTTCATCTCTATCTCCTCACTTCAGAAGTCCCATGCCTGGACTGTGGCGGCCCTGGCTGGTATCCCTTCCCATGCCTTGCTGTTTTGGAAAAGTTACATGTGTAGAAACTACAGATGGTAGTAGGGGAGACAATAAGGAAGAAAAAGTCACTCCTTCACCTTCTTTTAAAGTACTATGCTCACAACTGCTCACATCTGGCACACTTCAATAGCAATCACTTGCAAGGTCCAAAAATCTTGAACCATGAAAGTGAAAGAAGGAGCTTTATCTTCAAAAGGAAAATTAAAGACCTGGAGAGGACCACTTGGGACCTTTTTATTACACCTAGATAATGGCAGGTATTATTGCTCTATGCAGCAGTATGTTTTTATGAATAGACTAACACACACCCTTAGGCTGTAAAATAGTGCTTTAGGATATAACATGTTGATTCAGATACAAAATAAAATACTGTTTGTATTGTAGGCTTTTAATGAAAAGTCTAAAAACACACCTATTTAACAAACCTCTATTTTTATAGGGCCTGCCTAAAAAAGCCTGCTTTAAAAAAAATCTAAGTATGGGTGGTCTCACACCTAGAAGTGGCACAAGAATCCTTTGTCAGACGACGTGTCTTAATTTTTGCCATGGAAAATGTGGTCACCATAATTATAGCCCAGAGAAAATAAAAGGTTTTTAAAATTCCATGCAGGAGGGGAATAAGAGTTTGTTAGCATTCAATAAAACTATAATTTAACCAGCTTTTAGGTACAGCGGAATCAGCAGTTAAATTACAGCACTGGACAATTCTCTATTTTACCTTGTGGCTATTTGTCGAAGTGTCTTATTTCCTCTTGGAGACCTAAGCTCCTTGGGAACAAATGCCAAGTTATCTGTATCCCTGTAACCTCTACCAGACCTGGTACACGGTTTGTTTTTTGTGTTCAATGAACCACAAAGAATCTTTCAGGAAAAATCACTTGAGAAATATTTCAGAGTAAGAGGAAATCAATGCATAACTTGTTAAAAACTATTTTCTTAGGCTGAAAGATATTTCAAATACACATTTTAAAAGGTTCATTTATGGAAAAAGTTCAGTTGTGCAGGCTCTGAAATGAGATTTAGCCAAGAAAAGCATCAATACTAATTAAGTATTGATAAAGAAGGAGGGGGGAGTTTAGCTAGGTAACTTAGTCACTTGGTTACTAAAACCTTCTTCTCGATGGAAAGAAACCATTAGAGATTGAGCGACTCATATTGAAGGAGGAGCTATAATGCAATCGTTTCTCTCTATGTATGGTCTTTTTTTTGGCTTTGAAATAAAAGGGTCAAAGGTAAATGAGCCTATTGAAAATTAATGAGAGCTGAACGCTGCATGCTGTTAATATGCTCACTTAACTCAGGCATCAAGAAAGAACCGTGCGGCCCTTTATCATACGGGATAAAATACAAAAGCCTTTATATACAATTTTTGTTTGTCAATTAAAAATAACTAAATAAAAATTTTAAAAACTTTTTTAAATAAAAGCTTTCCAGGAAGGTTGGGCGCAGAAGGACCTGAAGTTTCCTGCACATGGAAACATCATAGTTATGAGTTTTTCTCAGCTTGGATTTCCTGTATTTCTCAGATTTCTTAACTCCACAGTGCAACTTACTTTCCCTCTAACCATGAATATGCATCAATCAGAAATTCCAATATTTTAGCATCTGAACTCCATCTTCCTAACTGCATCTCATCATCAGAAGTAGCCAAAAAAAGGTCTTCTTCAAATCTATCTTCTTCACGTTTTGATTTCTTGCAACAGAAATAGGATGACGATAAATACAGGTGAGAGAAAATAATGTTTTCCCGAAATAGGTAAGAAAGTTATGGCTTGTTGACATGTGGCTGCCAAACACACATGGGTGGAAATCGATTTGAAGGGTTTGGGTCTGTGTAAAGATGCTGCATGACCTTCAGAGTCCAACCCGGCTAAGCGCCCCCTGCCACTTCCTAGCTGTGTGACCACTGACAAATCGTTCACTTTCTTTGAGCTGCTGTCTCCTGGTCTGAAAATGGAGCAAATGCTCGTACCTGCTACAGGTGTTCAGGGCTCAGACAGTGCAAGTCACAAGCTTATAGCAGCACCGTGTCTGTCATGTGGTGAGAACCCACTACATGGTGGCTATTTCTGGTGTCATCTTCTGCAGCAATTTGTCCTGCTTGAATTGTGCAGAATGCAATCAAATGCCAAACTCTTCTTGCATTTTCAGTGACAATCCTCTGGTGACAGCTACCTCAGAGGACGGTGTCTGTGAGGCGCCAGTCACTCCTACAGTTGACTCCCCCATGTCCACGTCTGCTCAATCAGGGGAACGGTCACAGCAGGAACAGAAAAGGGAAGGGAGAGAGGAAAGGAGGGAGGGAAAAAGGGAGAGAAAGGAGGAAGAAAGGAAGAAGGAAGTGAGGGAGGAGGAAGCTTTCATAAGATGATGTAATATTCAATTTCCCATCCTCATTCTTTGCCAATCGTCACCAAATATTTTGAATTCAAATGAAAAGCATGTTAGTCAGACATTGAGGGGTGAACCTGTCCCCTGTGAGAGAGCATAGTTTTGTTGGCAAATGGGAGTGGAGAGTAGAAAAGAAATATAAAACAAACAGAGACTCCAGTTAAACTGATCTGTCTTCCTCAGTCTGGTGTGGGATTTTCTCCATTGAAAATTTCTGTTTCTTAATATTGTATCATAAGGTGGATTTTATTTGAGCTTTTCAGGTTATTTGGTCTTTCTTTTGTAAGAAAGTAGTTTATTTGTTTTCACAACAAAGCAGAGTGGCTTCTGGTTGAGGAAGGAGAGAACTATGAGTTGAAGGAAGACGGTTTTGCATGACTATGCTATGCCCCTGTATACGCAAAGATGTAGAGACACACACACACAGACATACACACACACACACACACAGAGACACACACAGACACACACAAACACACACAGACACACACTGACATAGAGACACACACACAGACACACACTGACACAGAGACACACATAGACACAGAGACACACACAGACACACACTGACACAGACACAGAGACACACACACAGACACAGAGACACACACAGACACACACTGACATAGACACACACAGACACCCATTGACACACAGACACACATAGACACAGAGACACACACAGACACACACTGACACACAGACACAGAGACACACACAGACACACACTGACAGAGACACACACAGACACACATTGACACACAGACACACATAGACACAGACACACATTGACACACAGACACACATAGACACAGACACACATTGACACACAGACACATAGACACAGAGACACACACACAGACACACACTGACACACAGACACAGAGACACACACACAGACATACACAGACACACACAGACACAAAGACACAACAGACACAGACACACACACTGACACACAGAGACACACACACACAGACACACACAGACACAGGGACACACACAGACACACACTGACACAGAGACACACAGACACAGAGACACAGACACACACTGACACAGAGACACACAGACACACAGACATACACAGACACACATAGACACAGAGACACACACAAAGACACACAGTGACACACAGACACAGAGACACACACACAGACATATACAGACACACACAGACACAGAGACACACACTGACACAGAGACACACACAGACACACACTGACACACAGACACAGAGACACCCACAGACATACACAGACACACACAGACACACACTGACATACAGACACAGACATACAAAAGACACACACACTACACAACACATGCACACATAGAGACACACAAATGCACACACACAACACACACACAGACCCATGTACAGGCACAGACACAGAGACGCAGACACACACACCACACACATCACATAGACACATACACAGACACGCACAACACACAGACACACACAACACACACACTACACAACACATGCACACAGAAACACACAGACAAATGCACACACACAACACACACAGACACATGCACAGACACAGAGACACACACATATACTACACAACATGCACACACAAGACACACAGGCACACAGACACAGAGACACACACAACACACACAGACATGCATAGACACACACAACACACACAGCCATAAACATACAAACACTACACAACATAGGCACATACACAGAGACACACGCAGACAAATGCACATAGACAACACACACAGAGACACATGCATACACAGACACAGAGACACACACAACACACAGACACATGCACAGACCCACACACACAGATACCACACAACACACACACAGATACAGACACAACATAGACACACATACAACACATGCACAGACACATACACAGAGACACACACATACACGCAGACACATGTACACAGACATACACACAGGTACAGACACGCAGACACACTACATATGCACAGACACACAGACACTGGCACAGAAACACATGGAGATGACACAGACATAAACACACAGACGCACACGTATACACCATAGTGAGGCTCATCCCACTTCTGTGCTGTGAGTGGCATAATCTCTTATTTCCTTTTTCAATCAAGAAACCCTGACATTTCCAACCACCACACATGGGGTAAATACGGTAGCACGGACCAAAACCGTAACAAACAAAACAACGCGCACACATGCACACACACACACGCACACACACACACACGAAGGATATTTTCAAGCAAGCCAGTCTCTCATGAACTTTTCAAGGCTCAGCTCGTAACCTTAGTTCCAGACGTATACCTCTGACTGTTTCCAACATGTTCCTGTTTTGTTTGTTTGGGTTTACTTGCCTTCGTTCTGCAGGAAGCCCTCACAGATATGACAGGGTGATTTAATTCTGCACAAACCTCGCCTCCCTCAGTTCTTAGAATGAAGATAGATACCACTACCGGTATTCTTAGAGTTAGACTTACACAGCCTCCCACACCAAACAGAGTGAAGCAGAACCCACATTTCACTGGAATCCTTACTTTTAGGTATTTGCAGGTTTTTCTTTATGACACAGGAAACCAAATATGAGGTACCATTGCAGATAGTAATAAATGGGCTTCTAAAATGTTCCCAGTGGCTGGCAGAACAATAACTGATTTATATCCCAAAAGGGGCAATACATCTGACCCCTTACACTTTGTAAAGGAAAGGAAGATTCTAGACACTCTTTTGTCAGGTGTTCAAATTTATTCAGGACAACAGATTGTCAAAGCCATCTTTGAAGGGACTGGCAAAAGTTTCTCCCTACACTCCCGCGTATAAGACAGTCAAGAGCCAAAAATGATAGAGTTGGCAGTGGGCCATGGGATGGGAAAACAAATCAAGCTTTATTTTTTGTTTTGTTTTCTTTTAGAGCCAGGGTCTTGCTCTATCACTCAGGCTGGAGTGCAATGGTGCAACATAGCTCAACACGGGTGGGAGAAAACTCATCAACTCCTGGGAAAAAGTGATTCTCCCACCTCAGTTTCCCAAATAGCTGGGACACGCCTGGTTAATTTTTTAATATTTTTATAGAGATGGGGTCTCGCTAGGTTGCCTAGGCTGGTCTTGAACTCCTGGGCTCAAGTGATCCTCCCACCTCAGCCTTCCAAAGTGCTGAGATACAGGCATGAGCCACTGCGCCTGGGCCAAATTGAGCTTTGAATGAAGGGGTCCATTCCTATGGAGCTAATGAATCCGCTGCATCCTCAGCTCCAGCAGGCACGGGATGTTTGAAACAAGCCAGGCATAACCTGCACCAAATGGGCAATGTGCAGGCAGCATTACGGAGCAGAAGTCAAGTGACAGGCTGGGGGGTCCACGGTCTTGATGATTTCTGCTCCTGCTGCTACGCTGATAGCCAGTTTACTGACGTACACATAGAGACCACTCTTAACCGCAGGCTGAATTGTCCCTACCAAGCTATCTGCACCTTGAGCATATAACAAACCATTGTGAGAAAAGTTAAATTTTTTTCACCCAATTCTGACATTTAAGACTTTCTGTAAGATGGCCAAAATGTCTTAAGACCCAAATTCCTGAAAGTCTTTCAAAAGACGCTAGTCAATTCATCCTTATAACCCTCCCTTTTCCCACCGCCCCTAATAGAAAGTACCTTGGGGGAATCTCCTTTGGTTAATACATAAGTAAATTAAGGAGATGACTTTCCATGATTTTACGGAATCAGTGACTCTTAAATAAATCTCTTTAAAAAGGAAATAAATGTGTCTTCATAGTAGAAGGATTTATGCACATGTATGTTTGTTGTGGCACTATTCACAATAGCGACGACTTGGAACCAACCCAAATGTCCATCAATAATAGACTGGATAAAGAAACTGTGGCACATATACACCATGGAATACTATGCAGCTCTAAAAAAGGATGAGTTCATGTCCTTTGCAGGAACATGAATGAAACTGGAAACCATCATTCTCAGCAAACTATCACAAGAACAGAAAACCTAACACCACATGTTCTCACTCGTAAGTAGGAGTTGAACAATGAGAACAACATGAACCTAGGGAGGAGAACATCACACACTGGGGCCTGTTAGGGGGTGGGGGTCTAGGGGAGGGATAGCATTAGGAGAAATACCTAATGTATGTGACAGGGTGATGAGTGCAGCAAACCACCATGGCACGTGTATACCTATGTAAGAAGCCTGCACGTTCTGCACATGTACCCCAGAAATTAAAGTATAATAATAATAATAAATTCTACAATGAAAAAAAGGAAATAAATGTATTCCTTTGGCTGGGCACAGTGTCTCATGCCTGTAATCCCAGCACTTGGAGAGGCCGAAGCAGGCGGATCACTTGAGGTCAGGAGTTTCTGACCAGCCTGGCGAACATGGTGAAACCCTGTCTCTACTAAAAATACAAAAATTAGCCAGGCATGGTGGTGCATGCCTGTAATCCCAGGTACTTGGGTGCCTGAGGCAGGAGAATCACTTGAACTCAGGAGGCGGAGGTTGCAGTGAGACGAGATCGGGCCACTGCACTCCAGCCTGGGCGACAGAGCAAGACTCAGTCTCAAAAAAAATAAAATATTCCTACATTCACATAACATTTGTTAGAATACTGGCAGCACAATTTTATGACAACTACTTCACTAAGATTTAGAAGACCTGGTCTGACTCAGAACAACTGAGGCCACTTACCTAACCTGTCTGTACCTCTGTTAACTCATTCCTAAAATGGTGAGGCCTGGACAAGACGGTTTGTAAGATAATTTTCAGCTCTAACATTTTGTGACTATATATTTATGCAGATTCTACTTGTAAAAGACACGCTGTTAGATGCCACAGAGACAAACATGCAAAGACATGATCTGTACCTCGTTCTGTTTACAGTATTATTGCTTGGCTGTATTTCCAAACTTCCATCATAGGCTACTTTGATTAGGCATCAAATTTCTATCTTTCTTTAACTCTCTTTGATGTTTAGAGGTTCTTAGACAAATGGGGATCAGTACCATATGCACAGGCTTTGCCTAAACATCTTTATATTCACCTTCACTCTGTGTGTCTTGTGCAGCCATGGTTTTCTTGGCACCCAACACCATCAGGGGCTCTCTAAACAAGGACTATGTTGGCCTGCCCTGCTGTGTCTTGGGAATTCTATAATATAGCTTAATTCTTGCCCCCGGAGTGGATTTCTTCTCCTCTCTTCTCCCTCAAGAACAAGCGTCCTGGCCTACAGCCTGCAGCCTGGGGACTGGCGACCTGCTTGAAAATCTGTGCATGTCGGACCTGTCAGCATCCAGGCTGGGGAAAACAGGCTGCCCTTGAGCAGAACAGCTTTGCTAATCAATCACGCTTCAGGAAAGTGGGTGGTTTGTATGTGAGGCCCACTTTGCCAGGACCAAGCCCCTTACGAAAACGTCTGAGTGTGAATTAAAAGAAAGAAAACAGTCTACCTTCTGCATCCATTGCGGGAGGGCCAGACAAGGTTTTATTTAAAAAAACTCCTCTTTTCTGAAGTCTGAAAGCAAGACCCTGGGCTTAAAGAGAATTCCTCCGTCAAGATTTACTAGAGGCTATGATCAGGAGATGGAGCTCTCAACCTGGATGCCAATGACATGTGTAAAACAAGAGAAAACTTCAGGGAGGTTCCCCACCTATTCAGAAATTAGAAATTAACTACTTATATATTTTTAAAAAGAGCCTCCTGAGGTGATATCATATATGATTGTGATTGTACTAGCAAAGCAATTAGCAAGTTGAGCACATGTATATCTTTAGAAGCTAAGCCAGATACAAGATACAAGTCCCTACTAGTAAGATGCGATTAATGGGACAACGTCAAGTTTATTGTCACAGGGCTGGGTATATATTCTGGCTATTACTTGTTAGTTGGGGCAAGTTAGGTAACTTCTCTAAGCCTTTAAATACATTCATACATATGCACACGCACACACACACACACATACACACACATAATGGGGCCAATTATACTTTCAACTCATAGAATTGTTCTGAGAATTGAGATACTAAAAGCAAACTAAGTGTTTCTATGCTGTAAACACAACAGAAATGTAAAGTATTGTTATAACAGACATACTTGTATTTCTTCAAATAATGTACACATTACTTTACTCAAAATTATTTGATTTCTATTCTAGCTTTCATGTTTTTTGTTATTTTAGGAGTGAGTTTCTAATTAATTCAGTTTATATGCATTTCCTATCTAAAGTCTTTTCACATTTTCAAAGCTCCTGCACGAGTGACAGAAAAACACAAGCTTAAAATATCTAGAGAAACAGCACCACAGAAATAGGATAGATAGATAATTGAGAAGGCATCTGCCCTCTATCCAGCACAGGGTCAGTACTACTTCTGGTACTTACCCTGCTCACATATGAACTGACTAATATACAAGATTATCTATTGGAGCATTATCTGCAATACCAAAAGACTGGAAATAAACAGGTGTCCATCATCAGGGGCTGGTTAATTACTCCATGGGTAGTAAATAGTTACATAATGACATCTAATGAATTTCTCATCCTGAAATTGCTTCCACATTGACTCTGGGCTTGGCCCCATGACCTGCTTTTGCCAATGGAACATTAACCAATGGGATTCAAGTAGAAGCTTAATAAAACCTCCACAGCGGGGCCAACCCCTCTCTGTTTTTGTGGGACCCAGTCGCCATATGAAGCAGCTGGGGCTGGTTTACTCAAGGCACATATTCCAACTGAGGTCAGACTCTCCCAACAACCTGCTAGTGAGGCCATCTTAGACCATCTAGCCCCAAATAATCACATCCATATGAACAAATCCAGGCAAAAGCAGCAGTAAAAAACCCTTGGCAGATCTCAGGCCAAATAGTTCACCCATAGAATTATGACTAATAAAAGGGTTGTTGTTTTAAACCACTATGTTATGGAGTAATCTGTTATGCAGCTAATTGATAACTGGCACACTCTGATATCTCCAAAACGATGCAATACTAGGAAGTATTATACTACCTAGGAAGAAAGGAAAAGCATGCATTCTATGTACTGACATGGTACATCTCAAGATGTACCATGATAAGATCTTACATGGTAAAATCTCAAGATATACTGTTAAATTAACAGGGCAAACAGTAAGCTGCCTTTTGTGTAAGAAAGGGAAAATTTTAAAATGTGTATATGTTATTTTGCATGGATGGGCGCTGGATATATACTCAAGAAATTAATAGACAATGGTTCCTTATTCTGATGGAAGAGCGAGTAGTGAATTGGGTGGATGG
Organism: Homo sapiens; assembly: GCF_000001405.40. Classification (NCBI taxonomy): domain Eukaryota; kingdom Metazoa; phylum Chordata; class Mammalia; order Primates; family Hominidae; genus Homo; species Homo sapiens. The sequence continues at coordinate 63,205,013 of NC_000018.10, forward strand.
GGACGGAGGTGCTAGCGAGACTTTCCAATAAACACCTTTCTAAACTGTTCCAGTATAGGAACCATGTGACTAATACCTATGCAAATAAGTATTTTGAAAAAGGGAAAAATAAGGCTAATACAAGATAGAAATGACAAAGCTTGAAAAAGTTGAATTTCAAACTGACGATTATAATTCTGCTATGCAACCATCCTTCATCAACAACAGCCTTCCTTTGAACCGGAATAATCGTTTCTTTGTAACACATATGATTATTTGTACACCTGGCTGTCTTCCCTGCTAGATTGTAAGTGCTTTAAAAGCAGGGACCATATCTCATGCATCTTTGTCTCTTCAGCAAGTGGCAAGCATCTTGCCGGGCACAGAAGAAAGCCTTGCTCAATAACTGTTTGTTGAGTCAAAAAAATAAACAAAAACATTCGGACCTCACTAACAGTGTCTGTTGTTAATGCTGATGAGTTCAATAAAATCTTCAACAGCCTAGCTTCTATCTGTACACATCCTCCACACACCATCTTTCAGGAAAATGGTGAGCATTCCTCATGATCTGGGCTCATGAATGTACTCTGAACTACTGGGGAGAGTATATACAAAAGCTAAATTCGAACACTACGAAAAGAAAAATGCAAAACAACCTCCTCTATTTAAAAAAACAACAACATTTGACTAGAGGGGGTCTAGAAAAAGAAAAGAAGAAGGATCTTTTATTATTTCTCATAAGTAACACATTTGACTACTGTGGTTGGAATAAGCAGCCCCGCTCCCACCCCCTGCTTGCAAAGCAAACTAAGCCACCCGAATAAGTGGACCATGGGGATATAGAGGCAGAAAACTCCCGGCCCCATCCCCAGGCCTCCAGAGAATTTGACACTCAAGCCACGGTGGAGAGGTTTTCTGTTATGAGTTTAGCATTTCTAAGAAAGAGGAGACCACAGGCTTTCCCTGTAGTCCATTTCAAGAGTCTGATAGCTCTCACTGGAAATCTTCACTTCCTTTGAACTTGTACCTTCCTGCTGTGCCTCAGGCCTCTCCCTCTTCTGAGAGTTCTTGTCTCCATGTCTGATCCCTGTGAAAGTGCAGGCATTTAAGGAGGAGGTCTGGGCCCCCTTCACGGTGGTGTCCACACCTCTCCCAGGGGGATGTGCTCGGTAAGTGTGCATGCAGCACCATCTCAGCCCTGTGCATCCTGGACCGCACCAACAAACAGCACCACACAGCTTGGGGACCATGTCCAGATTCACACGCAGACGATAAGCACCGTGGCCAATACCCAAGCGTTAGATAATTAAAGGTCCCTCCAAGGATAAACACAAGTAAGAGTGGAAGCAAAGGAAGTGCACACGCTTGTCTCAAGAAAGACAGGGCATGTAGCCTTTTCCCTAGGATCTCTCATCATCTTCGCTTCTCTTTCTCACATCAAATGATGCCAATTCTTTAACTTTCCTAGGTTCCATTTCCCAATGCTTTCATCAGTTTCACTGTCTTCTGCGAGGCTGAATTTCCCTAATTAAGGGCAGTGGGAGACGCTCCACATTTGGAGTCCCTGTGAGGCAGCAAAGATGGAGAGCTGAGACTGACCATCCAGAATCCAGGTGTGCCTTCGCCACACAGAACAACAAGCATCGTTGATGCCTCTAGTAAGTGCCAGGTGTTGGGTTAGATGCTGTTGGAGATATAAAAGGTGGAGACATCATCTCTGTCACTTAATGAGAGTGACACTGATCGGACAGGATTTAAAGAAGGGGACTCTGGTGTGGGTGGGAAGAGCACAGTGGGAGGGTTGGGGCAGGGGCACGGCCTTGGGACTAGAGTAGGTGGAGGCAGTGGGGCGGGGAGGAGGAAAAGAAGGAAGGAAGAGGCCGGTCAGAGGAAGCCCAAAAGTGGATTCCTGGACACACAGTAAAAAGGGGAGGACGACTTAAAGACGGTTTCCAGATGTGGGGGTCTGGGGAGAAGGGAAGCTTTTACAGCTGCTGACAGAGGCTGACAGATGCAGAGAGGGCTCGTGGTGAGCTGGCTGAATTCGGGGTAAACAAGAGGAGATTTCATGCTTCACCTCAGATGAGGAAATAGGACTAGGAATACAGTTTTATGATTGAAGCCGTGACAGAAAAGCCTTTCCAAAGGAGCACAGTGGAGGAGAGAACTGGAGAAGAGGCACGGAGACCGCCAAGCGTTCCAGGTGCAGGCGGCAGGAGGGAGCCCAGGATGCCGGCAGAGCGAGCCTTGGTCTGTGAACCCCAGGGCCGATGGGCACCGGCTCATCTAATTCATTTGTGTACAGATCCACAAAACTGCACCTGGCTGTGGCCGTCAGTAAGTGCTATATAAATGCTTCATAAGTGTTTGTTGAAGGAAGTTGAAATGTAGTCGTCAGAAGAGTGAGAGGGAAACCAGCGACAGAGCCTTGTAAGTCTAAGAAAAAGAATTCAAAGATGGTCAAGAGCTAACATTGCACAGGGAATTACAGTATTTCCGGAAGACCAAGGGCAACTCTGATTGTTCCAGACTGCCTGGGAGCACCAGAGTCTGATTGTTCCAGACTGCCTGGGAGCACCAGAGTCTGATTGTTCCAGACTGCCTGGGAGCACCAGAGGTCTGGGTGGGGGCAGGAGTCAGTCCACCTGGAACTTCTGCCTCCAGTGCACTGAGTCTGCACGGACCACCAGGGCTGACACTGCCTTACTTAATATGGGGGTGGGGGAAGTCCCTGCGATATATAATGGTCTCAATTTAAATTCTGTGCTGTTTTTATTTTAGCTGTGTAATTTGGAAACTTCAAATAAAAAGCCTGAAAGGAAAGTTGGACTATTTAAGCTTACACAGACTCTATTAATGCTATATGGTTATTCTACCCCTGACTTTGGAAGAAGGAGAAACTGGCATGGGAATACACTTTTCTAAAAAAAATACTATTTAAAAATATGAAAGTTTATTTAACATCTAAGGAAAGGTACTTAATTAGAGGGACACTCAACAAGAAGAATTGAGGATCTAAGTAAATAGTCCCCATCTGCTCCTGGTCCTACCACCTGGCGATTACTTCCTCTTCTTCTCTGATAGATTTTAGCCAACCAATTTTGTTTTATTTGTGCAAGTTGAGAGGCCACCTGTTATGGAATATACTTCCACATTAAACAAAGTGAACATTTCCTATTTCTGTGCTTCCCATATGATTTTTAAAACACAAAGCACTCACTTTCACCTTAAACAGATTTAAGAAATGCTGACTCTGATGAACAGGTATAAACAAGGCAATCTTTTGTTTATGAAAATTGTTAACGACCTACCCACAGAAAGACATGCCCTGCGCCACACTGTACCCCCCACCCCCGCCCACCCGGCTCCCCGATGCTGGTGAATTAATCTATCCACACGTTTTTGCTCATTTCCCTGGCTGTTACCAGCTGAAGTGAAGAAAAGACATTTTACAAGGGGACATGGTATATTTGTGCTAAAACAGGCACCACACAAATCCAGAGAAAGGAGCCAAAAGGAAATACCAGGCAGAGGGAACAGCGTGGATAAAGGCAAAGCTGAGAAGAGGGTAAGTGTTTCGTGTTGGGGGATGGTGTATCTGGGGGCTGGGGGGAGTGGGGTACAGTGTATTGGGTTGAGGATTTATAGCCAGGAAAACTGGAAATAAAGGGGAAGGAGACTTTGTGAAGGGTTTTAACTATCGGGCTAAGGAAAGCTGCATTGTTCCTAACAACTGGGCACCAGTGGAAGTTTAGAGCCAGGAATATAATTGTCACAGAGGTGCTTTGGACTGAATAATACTGTGGCTGTAGGCAGCTCTGGGTTGGGGGTTGGGAGGTACAAGCCTCCAGGAATCCACTGCAGCAGTGTGGGCCCTGCCACGTTGTCCTGAACAAAGTGCTATGGGGATGGACACAAACATGAAGTGAAAACTCCAGAGATCACCTGACCTCCACGTGCCACTGCTCTGACTGCTGGACCACAGTGATGTTTGGGGTCTCCTGGAATTAGTGTCAGCTCAGAGCCAGTCACCAGTAGTCCCCAAAAGGTCTGATTAATTCCTTTTCCCCAGTGCACAGTCACCCTGGCAAAAGGCTATAGGTCCCTTTGGGGAAGGCTGGGAGAAAAAGCAACAGTATTAATTCTTGACAGTGTGGTAGGGTCCTTCGTCAAGGAGACCCGGCCTCCTCTTCATTCAAGGGCTTCTGGGTCGGTAAATTGGTGCAAGTGTGTGAATTGATCGAGGGGCCGTGACTCTCTGTTTTCAGGGTGCAAGTTGGGCTTTTGTTCCCTTCACCTAGAACTCCTCCACTTATACAGACCAAGTAAGGGTTTAGTAGATGTCCGCCTATGTCATTTCTAGGAACGCCATGAGGACAGGGTTGGAAGTGGGGGAAATGAAGTGTTAGTCTGTGTACGGATACAAAGAAAGTGAGATGATGGAACTGAAGATGACTAAGATGTGGGGAGCCAGGACTAGTGGTTCCCATTGGCAGGTGGTCTCCTAACTGGCAATGCTAGGGAGAAGTGTATAAATCCTCAACCCAATACACTGTACCCAATACACTGTTAGTGGCGGAGGGAGAGGCAGAGCTTGGTTTGAAATGGTGGGGGATTCTCCAAGGTGGCATGGACATACAGGATGGAAATGGGAGACGTGTCAGGCCTGGAGATATGGGTTTTGGAACAACCTGCATTAAAATTGGAAGGATTAGAGAGAGTAGGTGAGATCTCCGAGACAGAGGAAACAGAGCGAGGAAGCTAAGACCTAGGCTGGGGCAAATGTCTGAATTTACCTGAGTGGGGGAAGACAGAGAAGCTGGCATGTTGGACAGAGATGACTGGTCACCAAGACAGAAGGAAGAATCAGGCCGTTTAACAGGATCAAGAGGGTCTAGTGTTTAAAGAGAGATCTTTCCAACTGCTACAGGAAAGTAAAATGTTATGGCTCCAGACACCTGCTGAAATTGGTGCATGATCCCCTCAAAGACAGTGTTTCCTTAAAAACCTGGGAAAAGAAGAGCCCCTGGTGTGGTGGAGGGTGGCAGTAGGGACAGTTGGGAGTGAAGCTGTGCAGTCAGGAAGAAACCATCCAGCTTGAGGAAGCTAAAGACATGGGGAGGAGACACAGTGCAGACCAAAGGAGCAGCCAAGCTAAAGGCAACTTTTTTCTAGGACTTCGGGGTCCTAAGTAAACTTGTGGGCAGTGAACATGCTGGAAGTGTCTGGACTGTTCAGGTGGAGAACAGGCAGTACAAGGGACGAAAAGCAAATGTCCAGATGGCGATTAGTGGAGGCCTTGGGGGTGGAAGATCTCAGGGCTCACCCCTGTGGTTATCATCTTAGTGAGGGGGCTAGTGTGGACTTCAGGCCCAAGGAAGAATAATATTTTATTCTTTACAAAATAGTGCATGAAAGATTAGCTCTGAGTCTTTATAATCTTATCATTGGCTTCAAATTTCAATCCCATATTATACTTTCCAAGTATATTTTGTTAAAATTTCCTTAATTCATAATATTCTAATCAGCAATGAGTTTCTATCCACATGTCTATGAGCACATATATTAATTTAAAAATCTGCATTGCTCTTGTATGAATGAAATATAAAGAAACTGAACTTCTAACGAATGAAAGACGCTGGATGAAAAGATAATATTTTATCTGAGTTTCAGTTCAGTCATATGTCTGAGAATGAGTTTATCTAGCCCATAAGCCTTCTGCTTTCCTTTCAGTTCTTTTTTTTCCACTGCCATTCATAGGTTTTTTAAAGATCTTTCCATTCACTTCTGCAGGACTCTGCTAAATAATGCTGGTTGCTTGCAGCTTAGCCCTACCCTGGAGATGTGGCTCCTCCTGGCAGTCCTGGCGACCCACACTTTGGACCCCATTCACCATCTCATTGTTCTGTGACCCACTTCTGACTTCTCCAGCCCTTTTCTTTATTTCATTTCACCTAAGCCCAAATAGCAAGTCTCACGCTCAAATCCTGCTCTGTCCTTGCTTTCCGCCCTGAATCTGTCCATTTGTCCTTTTGCAGCTTTTATTTCTTCCCATCTTTTTCTTTTCATTTCTTTTTTTTTTTTTTTTTTTTTTTTTGAGACAGAGTCTCACTCTGTCACCCAGGCTGGAGTGCAGTGGTGCGATCTTGGCTCACTGCAACCACCACCTCCTGGGTTCCAGCGATTCTCCCGAGTAGCTGGGACTACAGGTGGGCATCACCACACCCAGCTAATTTTTGTATTTTCAGTAGAGACGGGATTTCACTATGTTGGCCAGGCTGGTCTCAAACTCCTGACCTCAAGTGACCTGCCTGTCTCAGCCTCCCAAGGTGCTGGGATTCCAGGTGTGACCCACCGCGCCTGGCCATATTTATTTCCATCTTTCCAAAGACTGCAGAAATCTGCCACTTGAGAGAGGCTGGCCTTGTTTTCTCTCGACTCAAATCTCCTCCTGGTTTTCTAAGCTCATGAAAATCTCTATGTGACATTTTTTTATTTGCAGTTTTAAGCTATCTATATATTTTTAAGTCTTCACCTTTAAACCTTCACTGACTTCCCTTTGCAGGTGCACTGTCATTTTGGTAACTCAACACTGTCTGCATTTTATTTTGGTGCATGGGCGGGGGGCTCTGGCTTCGATTTAGTCCTTCAGACACATACAGTGAAATAAATAGGTACTCGACGATAGTATGTGTTGTTGCTGTGTAGTTCTTTTGCTCCTGAACAGCAAATACCATTGGACTTGGCATTGTCCTACTGTGGCTGCAAGCTGTGTCTCACCACAGCTAACGCCAGTGCAGAGGAGCCATGCCACGCAAAGGTCCCCTGCGGCAGCACCAGCCTGAAGCTCTTCAGTCATGAAAATCAGGGAACACGTCATTGATGACTGTCCTGGTCCTGGCACAGGTTTTACCAAAATGCAATCAGGTTTCGCCAGAAATGCAGTCATGTGACTCCTTTCTTCTCTGAGGGAGGATGGTGTTCATGAATGCAATGGTAGCATATGACATTTTTAGTTGCCCCTAACCATGTGGCCCTAAAAATACTCCATTTAGGTCAGGTGTGGTGGCTCACGCCTGTAATCCCAGCACTTTGGGAGGCTGAGGCAGGTGGATCACAAGGTCAGGAGTTCGAGACCATCCTGGCCAACATGGTGAAACCCCGTCTCTACTAAAAATACAAAAATTAGCTGGGCGTGGTGGCGGGCGCCTGTAGTCCCAGCTACTCGGGAGGCTGAGGCGAGACAGAATTGCTTGAACCCAGGAGGCAGAGGTTGCAGTGAGCCAAGAGCATGCCACTGCACTCCAGCCTGGGCGACAGAGCGAGACTCTGTCTCAAACAAACAAACAAACAACAACAACAAAAAAAACACAAAAAAACTCCATTTAGTAGCTTTGAAAATTCCAAGTTTCCTTTAAAGAAGGGAGGTAAGGAAGGAAATTATGATGCATTTAACAGCCACGTGAAGTAGACAGTCTCATTTTAGAGATCAGAAAACCAAGGGTAGAGAGTGAGTATCACAATAGGTGGCCACAAGCCACAGTGGGAACTCAGGGAGCTTAGGTCAGGATTCCAAGCTTTCTCAAATAAAAGTTGCTACCTTGGCCGGGTGCGGTGGCTCACAACTGTAATCCCAGCACTTTGGGAGATCCAGGCGGGCGGATCACGAGGTCAGGAGTTCGAGAGCAGCCTGGCCAACATGGTGAAATCCTGTCTCTACTAAAAATATAAAAAATTAGCCAGTCACAGTGGCACATGCCTGTAGTCCCAGTTACTCAGGAGGCTGAGGCAGGAGAATCACTTGAACCCAGAAGGCGGAGGTTGCAGTGAGCCGAGATCACACTGCTGCACTCCAGCCTGGGCAACGGAGCGAGACTCTGTCTCAAAAAACAAAAAAAAAGTTGCTACCTTTACACAAAGGATGAAAAAGTAGGAAAGAGACTGCAGGAAAGGAATGTGAGAGAGGAAAAACATAAAGAAATTTCAAATTTGTGAATACACCTTTCCCCTAACTCATGTGTTGTTCATGATTAGGACTAAGTGCTGAAGCCAGAGGTGACCCAAATTCTTAGGAGCAGAGGAGGACAGAGGCAGGCAGGTAGGCCGATTCCTGCTGGTTCTCTGTGTTACTTTTGCTCCCATAACCTCCCCTACATAGGTTGGTTTCAGATTCTCCAATAAAAATGTATGTTAAAACTGTAAAAACAATAAAACATGCAAATCTCTTCCATTTGCAGCCAATTGTTACCATGCAGGTATTCTTCCTGGCAAATATTCAAATGTCACCAGCATCACGTGCTTAATATTATTTTAGTCAATATGATTTGTGTCAAAATCGCCTGAATTCAGTGATTGTTGGATCTCATTATCACCAATGTAGGTCCTCACACCACACCCCTCACTGCTGATGAACTCACAAGAAAGACTTCATACTTTAAGAACTAGTATTTTCTTAGAAAAGGAAGAAAAAAAGCAGTTCTCAGTAAAAGATAAACCACAGAGCAACTGGGTTCAGATGAGTTGTACACATTAAACCACACACACACACACACATAAACACACACACACACACACACACACACACACACTATGAAAATGATGTTGAGGCATTGTCTAATCCACAAATGTGAGTAAGTTCATAATTTAGGAGTTAAAACGAGAACCCTACTCATGACTTTTCCCGGCACTGAGAATGCACTGAAGAATGATGAAATCACACTCCAGATTACCCCATTTGTTCTCCTGACAGCTCTGTGGACCATTATCATATAGAGGCCCTTTGCTTGGTGAGACCCTGACCACTTGACATTCTTTCTCAGAGCGGGCTGGTCAGAGTTCTCTCGACGGCAGAATCTACAGGGCCCACCTCAACGCACAAGGAAGCCCCAGGCCCTCAGGGACCTCTAGGTCCCAAAAAACAGTGTCAGATAAAGAAATTAAGAGGGGGCTGGGAGAAGCACTCTGTCAAATAGAAAGCCTATCCACAGAAAACTTAGGGATGAACAGAGCTAAGATGGGCTGATGACCTTGAAGTTGCAGCCAAAATGATGAGGCCAGGTGGGCTTGCTGGCCAAGAAATGCAATCTCAAGAGTGGGCCATGGCTGTGATGCCCAAGCCTTTTTGTGATAAAGCTAAGAAATACGGGAGAAATGGAAGGGAGAGGGGCAGAACAGACAAGGAAGATGGGAAGCAAGAAGGACAGGAAGTGCCAGCAGACACCAGCAGCAGGGACGAGTGCAGAAAGTGTCAGACAATCCATGAATTGGAGGAGGACACCCAGTGAGGAGGGAAAAGGGATTGGACTGTGCCACCATCTCTGTAGGGGAGGTGAGACAAACGTCCGGTGCAGCTCGGAAGATGGCCTGGAAGGCCTAACCCTTCCACCTGCCTGACTCCTGACACCACGACATACACAGTTATTTTTAAAGTGTTTAAAATATAAACCACATTCATGGGAACTTGAAGTCAGGTCTCACCCTGACATCCATCCATCTGTGTATTTTCAAGGTTGACTCAAATGTTGAAAAGTCACCTGTGATGTGTTGTACCATTTGAGCTTTTGACAAAAACTATAAAGAAGCAAATTAAACCAGGAGGGAAATTTCTAGCTGCCACACTAATCAAAAACTGTCGGGTAATAAAAAAAAAAATCATGCTAAAAATAAAATTACATTTCGGGCCCTAAGGCTCATTTCTTTTCTTTTTTATTTATTTATTTATTTATTTATCTATTTTTGAGACATACGCTCACTCTGTCACCCAGGCTGGAGTGGAGTGGCACGATCTTGGCTCACTGCAACCTCCGCCTCCTGGTTTCAAGTGTTTCTCATGCCTCAGCCCCCCAAGTAGCTGGGACTACAGGCATGTGCCACCATGCCCAGCTAATTTTTGTATTTTTAGTAAATGGGGTTTCACCATGTTGGCCAGGCTGGTCTCAAACTCCTGACCTCAAGTGACCCACCTGCCTCTGCCTCCCAAAATGCTGGGATTACAGACGTGAGCCAGTGTGCCTGGCCTCCTAAGGCTCATTTCTATAAATAATACTTCCCCAGAACCCAACTCTAGAAAGCGATAATCATCCCTTAATGAATTCTCTTTTATATATATTATTGTGATGGTCATATTATTGCCCCATATTTGTCTTGATGTTTTGGATTTCAAATGGACAAGGCATCCCACCCTTTCTTGCAATTTAGAGGCATCGTCCCTTGGCAAGATACAGAAAGACTTGCTGGTAGAAATACGAATCACCATGCCATTTAGAAAGCAATCTGGAAATGTCTATTCCAATCTAAAAATCTATTCTTTTCTTAATCAAGTCATCTCACGTCCTGTAAGCACAGAAATGTTTATTACAGTATTATTTGTCATAGCTACATTCAATAATTCATGCTACAGTCAATCAAGGAATAGTACGCAGTCATGAAAAAACAAAAGAGGGATTTCAGCAATCTATCACTGTTAAATGAGAAAAAGAAAGATGCATAAAGGGACATATGATATGATCTGATTTGTATAAAAAACAATCACAACATATATTTGTGACTACAAAACATTTGGTAAGATTGTAGAAGCATAAAGTATGGAAGGACACAGACAAGGCTGATGCCACTGGCAATCTAGAAGAGAGGAATTAGAGTGGAAGGAGGGAAGGGAATGAGAGGAAAAAAGTAAATAAGTGAAAAATGAAAGCAAGTGTCCATGATAAGAACCGCATGGGTGCTCCTATCTCATTTATGGGAAATCATGTGTGTGGAGGTGACATAAACACATGGTGGTGAGATGGTCCCCAAAATATCAATGGCTTTTATTTCAGGGTGGTGAGATTTTTTTTAATAAGGTGAAATGTTTTTAAAAATAATTTTTACTTTATTTTCCTTATAGGTACTATTGGAAATATGTACAACCACATGAATTATTTACATAATCAGAAAAAATTCATTGAGAGAGAAATATGAAAAGTCTTATGCCAGGCAATGTATGTCCCCAGAGGAGGTGCAAGCAGGGAGATGAGGTTGTAAAGTTAATTTAGAACCTGACTAGGAGGGTTCTAAGTGCTAGGCAAAGACAGGAGCCTATCAACATATTAACAATAGGGCTGTGGTTTTGTTTGTTTGTTTGTTTTTGGTGGTGGGTTATGAGTGATTTTTTTTTCTTCTGTTTGCTTTTCTCTATTTTCCGGATTTTTCTGCAAAAATTCTATCTTGCTTTTGTAACCAGAACAAAAATATTATGTAAAAAATAACACAGTGGAAGTGGAAGTGGATAATCATCAAAGTGCTGACCCCCAGCAAAAGAAATGAAAATCCATTTATGAATCAGTAACGTCAAGGTGAGTCAGTAAGGACCCCAGATAAAGAAGAAACAGCGAACACTGAAAGGAACATAGGAGGCCTTAAATGTTTTCTAAAAAAAAAAAAAAAAAGAATGAGTGAAACTTTGCTTAGGAAGAACTGCTAAGGCTCAGTGGCCCTCTGTAAAGTTTACACTGATGTCTGCAAAAACACATTCAACCAAATGTCAAAGCTGGTTGATAGGATCCAAAAATTACAGAGAACTGTAATTGCTTTAGAGACTGGCCTATTTTTACCATCAAGTCTTTAAGTACAGCTACATCTTGGAACCCATATCAAGGAAAGGTACAATACCAAGGGAAAAGGCAATAGAAGTGATAGAAACCACAGAAGTGGAAGACACTGTGCTAAGATGATGTAAAGAGCCTTCCTCTGCACAGGAGAGACGTGCACCACTGAAAGCACTGCCTCAAAGAAACACTGGGATTTTGCACACCAAAAAAAGATTCCAATGTGATTCTGGCTTGATTCGTTTTGCAGTGCAGTCAACATAACAAATCTACGATCCATGTTAGGATAAATTAATTTAAAAGTTTCTATTCAATTGTGGTTTTCCTTCTTCTAACAGTTGGCACATTCTGAGAACTGCCTTTTGTTAGACACATTCAGGGGGAGGATGGTGGCATCACGTTGAAGAAGGCGGCAGCAGGAGGCTTCCAAAAGAACCTCCCAGCTTCAAGATTCTCTGACTCGAGATGAGACGCCATGCCAACCACCAGATTTTATGCTTTCTCTCTCTCAGATGCTCCAACTGAGGTAGTTTAGTAAATAAACTGTGTTTATGTTCTCTAGCATTCCTGAAGCAGATGTAATATAACTGAAGGCAAACAATTTTAGTAATGCAATTCATGCATTGCCATCTAAACACCACGTCATCATGAAACTGAAATGTTTACCAAATAATCAAAGCCCAAGACAAAGAAACCGAAAGGCATTCTGTAAGGCAAAGTACCAGCCAGTACTTCCAATAAAATAATTTATTGAGAGTTATCCTGGAGTGGCTTGTCAGAAAAAGTCAATGTGACTTGGTTTCTAATCACTAAAAGGACTGTCTTGCTGTTATTCCCAATGGTCAGGAAAAAAATGAGGAGAAACTGGGTTTGTTTTCATAGAGTAGTAGGGTTTTCCTAACAGAGTTTCAGGATAGGCTGGTCAGAAGGTAAGCAACGTTCTCCTTCCAATGATCCCCAATAGTTCACCCACATTTCCCAAAAGCATCAAATCTTGTCTTGACAACCTGGCAAGTGCTGACCGCCAAATGACAGGCCTCCTCCTTATGATGTTGTGAAATAAGAGTGACCATCCTTTGAGTTCAGTCCCAGCTTTTCCACTAACTGGCCACGTGTCTGTGGGCAAATGGCTTTATCAGTGTTGAGCCTCAGTTTCCTTAAGTAAAATGCTAAGGTTAGACAAAGTGATCTTTAGAAACCTTTTGATCTCTGGCAATCCATGACCCTTTACAATCAATTCCAGGTTTTGTTTACTACGTTCTAGGTTTAACACAAAATTAGACGTTGAGTGTTCACTTTAAGCAAAATGGCAAACAATAGGTTAGTCCTATGGGTTCCTTGTACTACGAAGATGTGAAATTCCCAAGAAAATGTCACAGAGTTGAGTTCAGAAAAATAGAAGAATGGAAAAAAGGAAGGAAGGGAGGGATAGAGGGAAGGATAGAAAGATAGGCCCCAGAACATGCAGAAACTGCCTCCAAGGTCAGTCAGCATCCTTCTCTTTCTCTGCATCGGTGGTGTGTTTTCTTCCGTCTTCCTTCTTGCCTTCACAACTTCTACTCCCATAATTCTCAGTATGGCCTTTTCATCAACCCAATTCTCTTTCTTTCTTCAAATGTGGCTCAAGCTCATGTCTTTTCTGTCTGACACCAGCAAGTTCTGATCTTCTGTTCTTTCTGAGTCCCCTCTTGGTGTGCCACCTAACTAACATGAAACCAGCAGCAAGTCTATTGGTAGGAACAGCCCAGGAAAAATGCCCACCAGATCTCCTAAAACCCTCAATGTCTCTCCCTACTGGGGCACAGCAGAGAGGTAGAGAGAAGGGAAAAGCTCCTTCTTCCCTTTCTTTTTTTTCTTTCGTTCCTTCCCTTTTTCTTTCAATTTAATGTTCATTGAATATCTCCTTTATGCAAAGCATTGTTCAAAGTTCTTTCACATACTATTTCATCTTATCTCTCCACAACCTCCCTGGAAATCCAGAGTCTTGGCCAATCAAATTCTGATCCTCTCTGTGTCTCTCCACCACCATCCACTCATCCCCCTCCACTCATCCCATCCACTCATCCCATCCTCCACTCATCCCCATCCTCCAGTCATCCCCATCCTCCACTCATCCCATTCTCCACTCATCCCCATCCTCCACTCCTCCCCATCCTCCACTCATCTCCATCCTCCACTCATCCCCCTCTACTCATCCCCATCCTCCACTCATCCCCATCTACTCATCCCCCTCCACTCATCCCCATCCACTCTGTCCCTTGGGATTGTGTTTGGTTGTTCTCTCCACCTTGGCCCTTCCTTCAATCAACTGCCAATTCTGAATCTCATTTCTGGCTCCTTTTTCTTCTCCTGCCTTTATATCTCTCCTGAACACCTAAGCCTCTTCTTAACTGGTCTCCCTGCAACCAGGTTCTCATTCTAAAGCATGAGTTGGTTGATATCACTGCACTCATCCAACACTTTATGTGACTCCATTTTCTATATAACATAACCTGAGTTCCATCATTTGACATTAAAGGACTTCTAACTTCCCCAAACCAACATCATTAAATCTTATCTTCTGAACATACCAGGCTTTTTCTGATTCTCCAAATATGGCTTGCAATTTTACTCTTGCAGGTTTTTGTTTGTGCTGTTCCTACCATGTGGAACAGCCTTCTCTCACCTCAGTCCTAGAGAAAAATCTTATTTTTCAAACCTAGCTCAAGTGCTACCTCATTCCTCCAAGTCAAAAGTGATTGTCCTTTCTCCTGAACTTTCTAAATTTTAGTGGCTTATGGTTCTAAAGTTGCCTCTAGGTCACAAAGTTCTGGAGGGCAGGGATCTTCTCTATTTTTCTTTGCATTCCAACACCATGTATCAACCACAGCAGAACTTTTTTTTTTTTTTTTTTTTTTTGAGACGGATTCTCGCTCTGTCGCCCAGGGTAGAACACAGTGGCACAATCTCAGCTCACTGCAACCTCTGCCTCCCTGGTTCAAGCAATTCTCCTGTCTCAGCCTCCTCACGCAGCACTTTTTAAGCGTAAGCAGAAATGAAGTTGCTAACCCTGATAATTAATTTACCAGCCACCATTGTCTTCCAAGTGTGCCTCCGAATTTAAAATCTACAAGCATTGATGAGGGCCTACTATGTACAAAGCACTCTGGCAGGAGATGCAAGGGCAAGTGAGCTCAGGAACAATGATGTTTATAATGAGCCATTTTAAAGACCTACCTCACCTCACTATGCTAGGCCACCAAATACACCATTATCATGAACACATAATCCAGTTTGGGGATCATCAATCCTTCAGAAGCCTTCCTTCCTCACTGAATATACTAGCGGTAAAATCCGTATGTTTCAAAATGCACCCAAGAAAAGTAGGCTCAGAACTCCAGAAATCGGGGCCTTTATTTCCTTCCAGAAGACAGAGTGGTTGATAAAGAAGAATGAAGGCATTTGTTACTCAGCAGTACTAATCTTCAAATCTACAATCTAGTTTAACTTCAGTTATAATGCGCATTTGGAGCCATGGAAGTAGCTGAAAAAACAAGAATGTCTGGAAAAACTAAAAATTTTATTACCTGTAAAGTTGGGCTCGTGGATGAAAACTTTTGTAAGGGATGATAATTTTTTGTTTGAAAGACTGGTATCAAGAGCAGCTGTGCAAATAGTTCTGACGAGCTCAAGGTGATCTAGAACATAAGTTGACCGTCTGTCCCAGCATGTTAGGGAAAGTCCCAATTTATACCTGTTGTCCCTGCACAATTATTACCATTGCCCCCTTTCACTCTGAAAACTGTCCCAGCTTGCATGAAAAATTTTACAACCACTGTATCAGTGCTATTGTCAGACACCAGTAGTTTCTCCATACAACATCGGTGGTTTGCATAGGTCTACCAGGGAGCAGAGAAATGGGGCAGAATCCAGGCTTCCTGACACCAAACTCAGGCTCTATCTAAAAGAACATATTTCCTCTAGGTTTTTCGTCATCAACTCATCCACAGGAAAACACTTTGGAAAATGGTAAAGATATATAAGCCATGGTTTCTGCAAGCTAGCACTTACAATCTTGGGGAGATGAAGCACATACATATTCAACAATTAAAGAGGATCAGATGAATTCATCATATGGTGCTAATGACATGGTTCAAATGACAATTTCAAAAGGAGCTAGAAAAGGTGAAAAACCCTCTAAGAGCTTCAGACTTCAGGGAAGGTTTCCGGTAGGTGATGGATCCTGAAAGATGTCTTCAAGGAGAAAAAAAAAAAGGCGTTTTTCTTTGAAAAAATAAAGGTAGAAAAACAAACAAACTGGCACAGCAATAAGCCACTTAAATAATTCAACAAGCATTACTACTCTGTATTCAAGAAGAGAAAAACACAACAGCAAGTCAAGACAAACACAAATGGTATATGTGGCTTTTCCAAAATGTCTCAGTGACTTAAGGCTCAACAAGCATTGGATCTTGGTGTCTTGATAACCTGGCAAGTGCTGTCAGATGTTCCTCCTTGTGATGCTGTGAGATAAAAGTGACCACTCTTTGAGGTCAGTCCCACCTTTTCCACTAACTGGCCACGTGTCTGTGGGCAAGTGGTTTTATCAGTGTTGAGGCTCAGTTTCCTTAAGTAAAATGCTAGGGTTGGACAACGGATCTTTAAATGCCTTTTGATCTCTGGCAACCCATGACCCTTTACAACCAATTCCAGGTTTGTTTAGTATGTTCCAGGTTTAACACAAAATTAGATGTGAGTGTTCATTTTCAGCAAAATGGCAAACAACAGGTTAATCATATGGGTCCCTTCCCACTACAAGGATGTGAAATTCCCAAGAAAATATCACAGAGTTAAGTTTGGGGGAAAAAAAGGGAAAAAAGGAAGGAAAAGGGGGATAGAGGAAGGGAGAGAAACAGAGGCCCCAGAAATAAAGATAAAATTGAAGCCAGAGCTTTTATGTAAGGCTGACTACACAGTGCTCAAGGAAGTTTCAGACTCTCGCAAATGCTCCCGAAGCCCTGGGAATAGTGGTGAGATTCTAATGCCCATGCAGGGACATGACCTTGGTCTTGCATGAGGTAGCGGGGCCAGAACTGAGCCCCTTTCCTAAATCTCAAAGCCTCAAAAAGTCACCCTAACCATGAAAAGGTGGACTAAAGCACTCTGCCCACTGCCTCAGAGATAAAGAGCAGAACATTCCCTTGTATCCCTAGCTCAGGACACCTTTGGGAAATCAGAACCTTAAGCATGAACCACTTTCAGTTGTAAGATCGGAATTTATACTACCTGTGTATCTGAGTAGGGGAATCCCATGACAATAAATTAATACAAACACAGTTCTAGGATCATTGAAAGTCCTTAGATCTCCAGAAAAGACAAACATATGTCCACTATGTAGAAACGATTTCACAACTCAGGACTCACAAGATTCCTATAGAAAAGAGGCCGGGCATGGCAGCACATGCCTGTAATCCCAGCACTTTTGGAGGCTGAGGCAGGCAGATCACTTGAGGTCAGGAGTTCAAAACTAGCCTGGCCAACAAGGCTAAATCCCATTTCAATACAAAAATTAGCCAGGCATACTGGCATATGCCTGTAGTCTCAGCTACTAGGGAGACTGAGGCAGGAGTAATATCTGAACTTGGGAGGCAGAGGTTTCAGTGAGCCGAGATCGCACCACTGCACTCCAGCCTGGGCAACTAAGTGAGACTCCACCTCAAAAAAAAAAAAAAAGAAAAAGAAAAAAGAAAGAAAGAAAGAAAAAAGAAACAAAGAAAAGGAAAAATATCTGAGGTTGAACTGCCAGTATCACCCCCCAACACACACACAAATAAACTGCCATGAGGGACAGTGATAAAGGGAAAAAAAAAACTTTAAATCCTAAGAACTGGAAAGATACAATCTCAAATGGAGTACAAAATAAGATTGTTTAAAAATATTATAGTGATAAAGACTAAAAGCCATAAGGAGAAAATTAGGATTACATGAAAAAAAGAGAATAAGCAGATTTGAAAAAATAAAGTAGAACTCCTAGTAATCACTCAATGGAAAGGTTAGACAGTAGAGTAACACAAAACAGGCCATCAGTGAACCGGAAGACAGCCTTGAGAAAATTAAACCAAAATGTAACACAGGACTTCCAAGCAAAAATGGAGAATTGAACACACTGTATCTAATATGGCTTTCACCTGAAACGTCACTGTAACGAGGGAAGATGACCTTTTAAAAGACATAAAACCACCAGGACAATAGGAGAGGAGATTTTAAATACCTTTTGATCTCTGGCAATCCATGACCCTTTTACAACCAATTCCAGGATTGTTTAGTATGTTGTAGGTTTAACAAGTAACAAGATTTTAGAAATAACAGTAATAAGATTTTAGAAGACGGAAAGCAGATGGAGAAGCAGTGATAGAATTAACAGACAAAGGAAGCTGAATCCTCAGTGAGGAGCAGGAAAGTTAGGAACAACCAGTGGATCCTCCAAAGGCTCAGGAACAGATAGCACCGGTGACCTCTGGAACTGTGCGGAAGGGAGATGAGTCACTAAAATAAGAAGAACAGGGCAGGGCGTGGTGGCTCACGCCTGTAATCCCAGCACTTTGGGAGGCCAACGTGGGCGGATCACGAGGTCAGGAGATTGAGACCATCCTGGCTAACAGGTGAAACCCCGTCTCTACTAAAAATAGAAAAAGTTAGCCGGGCGTGGTGGCGGGCACCTGTAGTCCCAGCTACTTGGGAGGCTGAGGCAGGAGCATGGTGTGAACCCGGGAGGCGGAGCTTGCAGTGAGCCAAGATGGCGTCACTGCACTCCAGCCTGGGCGACAGAGCAAGACTCCGTTTCAAAAAAAAAAAATAAATAAAGAAGAATGTGAGGGAAACTGTTTAAGAATCAGTTAGATCCCTGGATCCTTTCCTTGAATCCACCCTGCTAGGCAGCAGCCTTTATCACAACTGCTAATACTGGAGGTTTGAACTCTGGGAGAGGATTTTGGAATTGGGAGATGCCACACATCAAATAAAAGGAAATATGCATGCTGAAGGCTGAACCCTCCAGTCTCATTCCTCATCTCAGCTCCCAGCCTGGGACAGGCAGGGCGGCATCTTGCAGCCAGGAGTCTGGAAGAGTGTTCTCTGGAGAATCTGACCATTCCCTGGTTTTCCCATTAGGAGACTTTAGGAGTTGTTAGCATTAGGAGTTCTCCAACCTATGACAGAAACATTTTATTCTACAGTGATGCTCAGAGTTGACAAGTCCCTCACGCATCCTCAGAGCTTTCAATACATCTGTTATTCATTCTTAAATATGGTCAGACAATCAGGACTGCCCGACATGCAAGGAAAGTCTCTACAGGAAAGACAGAGTTCAAAACAAACAGACTGAAAAAGACAACATGGAGGAGACAGAGACCAGGAGAGGCAAAGACAATTTCTGAAAAGAAAAAAAAATGCAGAAAACTAAGAGAATGACACACATCCTGAAAACAGAACAGAATGCTTAAAAAACTATTTATAGATGAAAAGAGGAAACTTAAGACGGTAACAGAAATGAACCCAATAGATGGGTTGGAAATTGAAGTTAAAGAAATTGTACAAAAAGAGTGAAAAAAGATAAAGAGATGGAAAACAGGTGAGAAAATATGAAAAAATCACAAAACTGTCCAGGAAGTTCAACTCCCAAATAATAGAAGTTCTGGAAAGAAAGAGCAGCTTACAGAGAGAACACAGTCTTGACAGATTGAAAGACCACAATGATCACTGAGTACAACAGGTGAAAACAGACCCACAATTAGAACAGTCATCGTGAAATTTAGAATATAGGGGGACAGGAAAAATCAGAGGTTCCAGGGGAAAAGAAAAATAAGGTAAGGCACAGAACATCAAGAATCAGAACAGTGGCAGCTTTCTGATAGCAACATTGGGAGATTGCGTGCAATAAAGCAATATCTTCAAACTTCTGGGGAAAACTGTTTTTTAACCTGGATTTTCCCGTACAAGACAGACAAGTCATCATGTGACACAACAGAATGAAGACAATTTCAGACATGTGAAGTGTGAATGTGTCTCTCAGGGATCCATTTTCCATAGGCTACTGTAAGCTGGGAGCCACAGAAATGAGAGAGTGTAAAGGGAGTTTTATGAGAACTAACACAGGACCACAACAGAGGGATGACGGCACTGAAGTGAGATACCCCAGGATGATGACTGGCTCAGCCACAGGACCAGTCATCCAGACAGGGCCAGCAGACCAAGAGCAAGGCATATGAAGGCTGTTACCACTGCACCAGGTTTTAATTCTGATAGCTGCTGGAGGCTGTGCTTCCTCAAACAATGGGGTAAAACAAGAGAGAGAATCCAACACAGAAGAAAAGGCAAAGGGAAGTTCTAGAATAACAGTGAAGACAAATCTCAGGATGTCAGCTATCTAGCAGGCCGAGAGAGAAGTCTAGCTAGAAGGAAAATGTAGGTCTCCAGCAGAGATATCACCAAGAAAAGAAGGAGAACTGACAGATTACTAATGTGATCAGCTTTGTGGAAAAAGGTACTGTGAGCCTATGGAAGATAGAGGAAAAGTCTGTACCAGGTACAAAGATCAATTAAGGACATGAAAAAAAGACAGATATTAACTTCATTGTTAAAGGTTTAGCTGTTAATGCCATTTATTTTGACAAAATAGTGAAAACACTAGGGGCTGATTTACCCCCAAATTGTAATATAACTACACTGGGAGAAAGAGGGGAGAGGAAGCTGTGGATATGATCATATCAGACAGGTAAATTTTTATCTACTATAATATAAGGTTAAGATATACATAAAATTGATGAAACAAAAGATAACAGTATATACATTATTTAGAAATGCAGAGACATATATATGCTAGAAGAAAAAGCTAAAATATACAAAGTTATATTCTTTGAGAATAGGGACTGGGGTAAGTAAAGTGGCATTGAATTGGCTTCCACAGAAATTAAGGAACCAGCACATAAGTAAATATGCACAAGGATGTTTATGGCCACAATGTTTGTGGTGATGAAGCAGGATTATTTCCCTGAACGCTTCATGGGTGGGAACTGGAGTGCATGGGCGCTGGAACTTGCCAGCCACTCTGGCACTGGCAGGGGTGAACTCCACTCATGAAGACATGCTGCACTCCACCCCTCACGGAGGTGGAGCACGCAGGTGAGTAGATGCAGGAGCCAGGTGAGTGCTTTTTGGGTGCTGGAAGGAGCGAATTCCATACCAGCCCCACAGCAGCGTCTGGAGCAGTGCCTGCAACCCCTGAAGCCCAAGAGGACAGGTTACAGTACTCTTTTAGCTCTGCCATCCATGGACGCCTTAAGTGCTAACAGCTCAGTGGGGGCGGTCAGTGTGACACAGCATTTTACACCTGCATTGTGGCACCCAAGTTCTTGTCCGGCGTCCAGGAGAAATGAGGTCGCACAAACAAACTGAAGATGGTAAATACAGAGGATTTTACTGCCAATGAAAGTGGCTTTCAGTAGGAAGGGGAGCTGAAAAGGGGACGGGGATGGAAGGTAATCTTCCCCTGAAGTCCAGCCATCCCTGGCCAAACTCCTGTCTGAAGCTACACCGTCAAACTGTCCCTCTGAACTCAAGCCACTTCTCTCCAACGTCCAACTGTAGTCTTCAACATCCAGCTGCTTCTCTTCTCTCTGCCAGTGGAGCCAGGGATTTTTTATGGGCTCAGGATGGGAGGCAGGGCAGGCCATGGGTGGTTTTGGAAAAGGCAACATTCGAGTGGGAAAACAGGGATGTAAATTCTCCCTTTGGACCATGGTATCAGGCTTTTCAGCTTGAGGGTGGGGCCCTCACTGGGACCCACCCTCTTCTGCCCAGAATTTCCCTGTCTCCTGTCCCTATCAGTGACATAAAACTGAAAACAATCTGAATGCTCATTAATAGGGAGAAGGTTGAATAAACTATAATATAGCCATAACATGGAATTTTACTTAGCTATTTTTAAAAATGAATTAAATTTGTATCCATTTATCTGGAGATTATCCTTCATGTACTATCAAGAGAGAAAAACAAGTTGTGAAAAAATACATGCTGTATGATTGGATTTTTTTTGCAAACAACAGTAACAAAACACCCTTATTTAAGATATATATGAATATATATGTGCATGTGTTTATAGGAGCTTGGAGAAACATGTAGAAGAATGCATACCAAGTGTTAACATTGGTTACCTTGGAGGGACAGGAATAAAAAAGGTAGGGAGATGTTAAAGAAAAAAATAGAACACAAAAAAGAGAGACATGAGAAATCTGAAAAACACATTCAGAGACATGAAAAAGAGAATAACAAGGTCCAATATACATATAAAAGAGGACTCAGATAGATAAATAGAGGACTGAGGAGAGAAAATATTCAGAGACTAGGACAAAATTTTTCAGAATCGGTGAATGTCAGGAATTCTTAGTCTTGAATCCCAAGCAGGATTGTGGTGAAACCGCAGATCACCAAAGATAAAAACAAAAAAAAATTTTAAAGCAATATGAGAGAGAGAGAGAGAACCCTCTAAATAAATGACAGCCTGAAGCAGACTACACCTTATCAATTACACAAATCAAAAGGTAATGAAATAATATACTCAAATGCTGAGGGAAGATATCTATGTAAAATTCTATACCTAGAAAAATTATTATTCAAGACCAAGAGTGAATTAAAGATACTTTCAGTCAGAGACTGAGATGCTTTAATATTCCCAAATCCTTAATGAAATAGCTATTCAAGGATGTACTTCAGTAAGAAGGAATTTGAACTGGGACTACAGGTGCATGCCATGCCTGGCTAATTTTTTGTATTTTTGGTAGAGACGTGGTTTCACCGTATTGCCCAGGCTAGTCTCAAAACTCCTGGACTCAAGCAATCTGCCTGCCTCAGCCTCTCAAAGTGCTGGGATTACAGGTGTTAGCCACCACGCCCAGCTCTCAAATATAATTTTTAATGTTTGAGGGTAACAACTGTCAAAACAATAGGACAAAATGTATACATTACAAATCAGTGGAAAACAGTGTAAGAAAAAGTCAAGTAATTTAATGTGAGGCAGAATAAGAAGAAAAAACAAGTAAAGAAGTAGCATGGTATATAGAAAACATTCAGGCTCCTAGTGAATTCCAAATATATGAGTAATCATAATAAATATAAATGACTTTAACCTGTTAGAAGACAGAAAACCTCAGATTGGATTTTTTAAAACTCCAGCTCTTTACAAGAAAGAAGCCTAAAACACAAGGATTAACATAAAGGAAGAGAAAGCAATACCATAGGGAAATGCTCACAAGAACTTGGTATAGTCATTAGACAAATCAGCTTGGGCTGTCATACCAAAATGCCACAGACCAGGTGTCTTAAACAGCAGAAGTTTACTTCTCACAGTTCTGGAGGCTGGTAAGTCCAAAATCAAGGTGCTGGCTGATTTCATTTCTGGTGAGGCCTCTCTTTTTGGCCTACAGATGGCCGCCTTCTTGCTGTGTCCTCACATGGTCTTTCCTCAGGTGTACATACAGAAAGAAAAATCTCTTCCTTCTTTTTCTTAAAAGATCACTAATGCCATTGTGAGGGCCCTGCTGTTCTGACCTAATGACATGGGAAGAGAACACTCCACCCAATAAGCATGGAATACACAGTAGAGAATGTAACTTTAATTACTTCCCAAAGGCCTCATCTCCAAATATTATCACATTAGAGGTTGGAGCTTCTGCGTATGAATTTTGGTGGGACACAAACATTCAGTTTATATAAGCAATATAAACATCAGGTGGCTCCTTCAGGCCTCTGCTCAAGTGTCAACTAATCCAAGAGCTGCCCACGACTACATGATATAGAACAGCATAACTTTATACCCCCCAGCATAACTTTATCTACCTCACCTTGCCTTATTTTTCTTTATAGCACTATACCACCTGACAAATTATATATTTTGTTTGTTTATTATCTGTGATCTCCAAATAAAATATAAGATCTCTCAGATCCAAGAGAGTAGGGACTTTCTCATTTGTTCACTACTGTATCTCCAGTGTTTAGGACATTCCTTAAAAACAATAAATGTTCAATAAATGTTTATTTTAATTGAATCAGTGAATGAATAAATGAACGGATCTGATAAAACAGACTTTACAGCCAAAAGCAATTTTTTTTTTTTTTTGAGACAGAATCTTGTTCTGCCGCCCAGCTGGAGTGCAGTGGCATGATCTCCGCTTACTGCAACCTCCGCCTCCCGGGCTCAAGTAATTCTTGTGCCTCAGCCTCTCGAGTAGCTGGGACTACAGGCATGTGCCACCAGGCTCAACTGGTTTTTTGTATTTTTAGTGGAGATAAGGTTTCGCCATGTTGGCGAGGATGGTCTCTAACTCCTGACCTTGAGTGATCTGCCCGCCTCTGCCTCCCAAAGTGCTGGGATTACAGGCATGAGCCACCACGCCCGGCCTACAGCCAAAAGCATTTTGAGGGATAAAGAGGATCACTTGTTAATATGAAGATATATTCACCAGAATCCTTTTGTATGCCTCATGACGCAGTGTCAAATATTTACAGCAAAAATTGAATTAACTACAAGAAAGTAACAATTCAAAATTATAGTGGGAGATTTTATTTATTTATTTATTTATATTTTATTTTTTATGTCTCTATTGAACTTAATACATTAAAAATAGAAGAAAATCATTTTACATGTATTCAATTTATTATTTTAAAAATTGAGGTATTCAATGAAAATGTCAAAAATATGCAAGAAAATAGAATACAGGAAAGTGGTATTTAGGTGGTGTGATTGTGTGCCTTTGCATTTAGAATGAAGTCCTCTGTTATTAACTGATATATTTGAGTATTTGTCCCCCCGAATCTCATATTGAAATATAATCCCCAATGCTGAAGGAGGAGGTGACTGGATCATGGGTCTGGATTTCTCATGAATGGTTTAGCACTATCCCCTTGGTGTCTTCTTTGTGATAGTGAGTTCTCATGACATCTAGTTGTTTCAAAGTGTTTGGCACCTTCCCCGTCTCCTCTCTCTTACTCCTTCTCTGGCTATGTGATGTGCCTGCACCCATTTCACCTTCTGCTACGAGTAAAAGCTCCCTGTGGCTTTCCTAGAAGCTGAGCAGATTCTGGCACCATGACTGTACAGCCTGCAGAACCGTAAGTCAATTAAACCTCTTTTGTTTATAAATTACCCAGTCTCCGGTGTTCCTCTATGGCAATGCAAGAATTTCTTGGCCTACTCCTGTTCAGCTAAAATGTCACATCCATGAGGATCTTCTTTATCCTCCTGCAAGGATGGGTGCCTTGGATATGCTGTTTCATTTACCACATTTGTGATTCCTTAACACACATGATCTGCCAGAAGCATATAGTGGGAGATTTTTAGTACACATCTCTATGAAATTGACAGCTCAAGTTTTTTTTTTAAAAAAGGGAAAAGATTTAATATTGAAATAAGGCATTATACAAGCTTCAGCTAATGACATGGGAAGAGAATTCTCTACCCAATAAATAGAGAATGCACATGAAATGTTCATAAAAATTGAACAGGTTCCAGGCCACAGAACAAATAACAAATTTCAAAGAACTGTTATCATACAGACCACATTCTTCAACCAAAATACAATAAAAAAATTGAGATAGATAAAACCACAATCCCTAAACCCAAGTACATTTTGAAATTTCAGAAGCACACTGCTAAATTATTAATATGAAATCAAAATGAAAGTAAAACATATTTAGGACTGAACAACTGAAGCCCTAAATTTCAGTTGAAGAAAATGTTTAGCATTGAATTTAATATTAGTAAACAAGAAAAATTTTAAGAAAGTTAGAGAAAGGGCAACAATGTAAACTCAAAAACAATAGAAGAAAATCCTTTTTCCACACATGGTTAAAGTAGCAGGAAGGCAATAATAAAGACAACAAATCAATAGAATCAAAACAGAAACAATAGAGAATAGAAACAAAATAGAGGCTGATTCTTTAAAAAGACTAATAAAATAGGTAAATATTTGACAAGATTGAGCAAGGAAAAAGAAAGAGCACAAATAAACACTATTAGGCATAAAATGGGTCATAACTAAATAGAGTAAAGATTTTAAAGCATGAGAATTCTTTTCTGTATTTTAAAGCAATAAATCTAAAAACAGATAAAATGGAAAACCTTTTAGAAAAATATGTTACCAAAGTTGACACATAAAAATATGGAAAAAGAACAAAGAATCCTGAATGTATTTTTATGAGTTCAGTCTAAACCTACATTGTAGAAAAACACTAAGACAATACAAAAAAAGGCAAGTATTGGTCAATCTCAGTTAAAGTATCAATGCAAAAAATCTGAAAAAAAAAATTAGCAAAAATTCCAGCAGTATAGTGTGTGCACAAATATATAGTATTTCTTTAATATACATATTTGAGATTATATCTATCAAAATATCATGTTTATCACACAATAAATATACGGAATGTGTGTGAGATGACCCAGTAGGTTTTATCCCAGAAGCTCAAGTAAGAGTCAACATTAGAAAATCTTAATGTAATTCCCCACATTGGCAAATTAGGAAGGAAAAACCATATAATCATCTCAATAGATGCAGAAAAATCATTTAACAAATTTAACCCCCATTCACAATTTAAAAATAAAATAAAATACCTAGCCAACAGAAACAGAAGGAAGTTTCTCCTAAGAACCTACAAGAAACTTTAGGAACATTTCCTTTAAAATCAGCAACTAGATAAATATGTCTTCTCTCTCACCACTCTATTCATTATTGTATGAGATACCTTGCTGATGTAATAAAGCAAGAAAAAGGAGTAAGAAAATCAGAATTAGAAATGAAGGGGGAATATGTGGCATTATTTGCAAATGATAAGATTGTCTACATAGATAATCCATGAGAAACTATGAACAATTACAAGAAATAAGAGGGTTTGGCAGGGACGCTGGAGACAAGATTAATATACAAACATCCATGGCATCAGTAACAACCAATTAGAAAATGTAATTTTCATAAGATGTCATTAGCAATAGAGATCTTACACCTGTGAGGTACCTAGGAATAAATCTAAAGAAAGAGGTGCAAGGCCTATATGGAAAAAAAAATTATAAAACTTCATTGAAACTCATAAGACCTAAATAAACAGAGATATATCTCATGCTCAGGAGTGAGAAGATTCCACAATTTCAACATCAAATCCCCTAAAATTAATACATAAATTGAATGAAATTCATATAAAAATCCCAGAAAGGTTTTCTTCATGGATATTTGTAACCGGTTTTAAAATTGTGGTCCAAAAGCAGCCAAGATAACTTTGAAAAAGAATAATATGGGGACTTGTCCTACCAGATATCAAGACATATACAATATACTTAATTATGCCATAAAATTAAGACACTATAGTATTGGTGTAAATATAGATAACTAGACTAACGCAATAGAGAGAGCCCCACACATGTGGGAATTTGGTATGTGACAGAGATAGCATTACAAACTATGGGGAAAACAAAAACTAAACTAATAGGTGGTTCGCAGACAACTGTTACCCATATGGAGAAAAAAAATAGATCACTAACTCACACTATATCCAAAAATGAATTCCAAGAGAATTACAGTTAACTTTAAAACATTTAGGAAAAAATGTTTTTTAGACACTATTTTTATGGTCTTAAGTGAGGGACTGACAAAAAAAAATACAAACCATAAAGTAAAAAAGAAGAAGAAGGAAAGAAGATAAAATTGAGAAATTTGATGTTAAACATTCTGTGATGAAGGATGCCAAAAAACAATGTTTAAAGGCAATAAATAGCCTTGGAGAGAGAAAATTTCTGTAAGTATTCATAATATTTAGTGAACACTTAGTACTCTATAAGGAAAAAACAACCCACTACAAAAAAGTGAGCAAAGTCTAGAGTCAGGTAATACAAAGAGAAAGAAAAAAATCCCAAATGATGAAAAACCGTAGGAAAAACCAACACTAAACACATAACCTCATAAGTAATCAGAGAAATACAAATCAAGACAATTAAATACCTTTTCAATACATCAGATTAGCAAATTTTAAAAGCCCAACAATGTCAAGAGTGGGAGAAGATGCAGAATAATAAGAATTGTACACATTGTTGCTGAAAGCAAACTGAGAGCAATTTGGCAACGCCTACCAACCTTTATGATGTTTGTACCCCAAGACCCAGTAATTCCACTTCTTCTGTATCTTTGAAAAGTTCAACAAATCCACATGGAAACAAGTCCAGAGAAGGTCACAATAGAACTGTTTATAAAATGACAACCTGGAAACATCAGTTAGGGAGTGGATATATTATGATATATTTATAGAAAGAAATTGGTTTATGTCTGAGTCTTTTCAGGTTGCTATAACACAAATACCATAGACTGGGTGACTTATGTAACATTTATCTTTCAGTTCTGAAGGATGGAATCCCAGATCAAGGAGCCAGCAGATGTGGTGGTGTGGACCCACTTCCTGGTTCATAGAGGACCTTCCCACTGTGCCCTCATACAGTGAAGGGGTAAGAGAGCTCCGTGGGGTCTCTTTTAGAAGGGCACTAAACCCACTCATGAGGGCTCTACCCTTGTGACCTAATCACCTCCAAAATCCTGCCTCCTAATAGCATCGTATTTGGGATTAGGATTTCAGCATATGAATTTTGCAGGGAAAGAAACATTCAGTTTATAACAATATAACAGTTAAAGGAATTAGCTCTACATACATTAATTAGGATAAATCTCAGAAACATAACTTCAAGTGATAAAGCAAGTTCCAGAAAGATGGATTATTGATAACATTACCATTCGTTTTTTAAACTTGCAAAATGATACTAGTTATTGTTTATGACAGTGGTCCCCAACCTTTCTGGCACTGGTTTAATAGAAGACAGTTTTTCCATAGACGGGGGTGGGGGATGGTTTCAGGATGACTCAAGCACATTACATTTATCATTAGATTCTCATAAGGAGCGAGCAACCAAGATCCCTCGGGTGCACAGTTCACAATAGGGTTGCGCTCCTATGAGAATCTAATGCCGTGGCTGATCTGACAGGAGGTGGGGCTCAGGTGGTCATGCTGGCTCTCCTGCAGCTCACCTTCTGCGGTGCTGCCAGGTTCCTAACAGGCCACGGACCTGTACCGGTCCATGGCCTGGGGGCTGGGGACCCCTGGCTTATGACACATAATCACATAGCAAAATGCAACAGGTATGTAACAGTGCAACTTCTAAAGAGTGTTTACTGCTGGGAAAGCTGTGGAAGAATGCTGTCAGTTTGGGGTCACAAAAGAGGCTTAAACTACAACATTTTCTGTTAAAAAATATTTTTAAAATGTGGCTAATGTCAATATTTATTAAATCTGAGTTGGGGTACCTGATTGTTTGCTATATTATTCTCTGTAAATTTTGTATTTTAAATATTAAATAGTTCATAATTTTTAAAGTTACTGTTTAAAAGGGTATACATGATCTTTTTCTGCACATTTCCCCAACATTTTCTTTTTCTTTTAAAATTTAATTTTATTTTATTTTAAGCACTGGGATACATTTGTAGGATGTGCAGGTTAGTTACATAGGTAAACGTGTGCCATGGTGGTTTGCTGCACCTATCAACCCATCACCTAGGTATTAAGCTCCGTATGCATTAGCTATTTATTCTGATGCTCTCCCTCCTCCTGCCCCCTCCAATAGGCCCCAGTGTGTGTTGTCTCCCTCCCTGCATCAATGTGTTTTCATTGTTCAGCTCCCACTTATAAGTGAGAACATGCAGTATTTGGTTTTCTGTTCCCGTGTTAGTTTGCTGAGGATAATGGCTTCCAGTTCCATCCATGTCCCTGCAAAGGACATGATCTCATTCCTTTTTATGGCTGCGTAGTATTCCATGGTGTATATGTATCACATTTCCTTTATCTAGTCTATCACCGATCATTTCCCCAACATTTCAATCTAGGTATACAGTTGTGTTGGCAGTCTGGGACCTGAGGAACAGTCCTTGTTCCAACACTACCACGCTGAGTGACTCTGAGCAAATCAGTGAACCTCTCTGGGCCTTATCTGTGTGCTCATCTGTAAAATGGGGATACTCATAGTAGTTATGACTTAGAGGCAGTGGTTAAGCGCATGGGCTCTGGAATTCGATCTGGACTTGATCCTCAGCTCTGCTACTTACCAGCTGTGAGACCTTAGTCAATTTACTTAAACTCTCTAAGATGTACTATCCTCATCTAAAAATGCAAACAGAGATAGCATCTAGCTCACAGATCTCTTATGAGAATAAAACAAAAGGAATAATGAAAATCTCTTAGCAGACCATCATCAACAAAATAAAATTA
This sequence comes from Homo sapiens, assembly GCF_000001405.40. Classification (NCBI taxonomy): domain Eukaryota; kingdom Metazoa; phylum Chordata; class Mammalia; order Primates; family Hominidae; genus Homo; species Homo sapiens. The sequence goes on from NC_000018.10 coordinate 63,234,901, forward strand.
CAAAACCAAGAGAAGATATTTGCTGTGCATATAATGGACAAGGGAGTGGTGTCAAGCATACATTACATACTCCAATAAGCCAATAAAGAAACAACGAACCAATAGAAAAACGGGCCAAGGAAAGAAAGAGATAACTCATGGAGGAAATCCTGACTACTCGGTATGCAAATGAAAATATGCTCAACCTCACTGGTAATCAGGAAATTGCAACTGAAACCTGAAACAACTATCAGATTGGCAAAGGAAAAAAATTTTTAAATATGACTCTAACAAGTATTGAAGAGAATACTGAGCATTAGGAATTCTCAGACCCTGCTGCTGAGAAGGGGCTTGCACTTTGGAGAGCAATTTGGCAACATCCAGGGAAGACGATGTGCTAATTCATCACTTTGCTACTGGCTACATATCCAAGAGAAACTACCAGGCATGGTGTGCAAAGAACATATCAAAAAGCTAGACACACCTGTAGCATTCTTCCAAAGGACATCTTAAAATTAGAAATAACTTCCATGTCCTCCATCTGATAACTACAACACAGCATGGAAAATGTATAGAGGTCCATGTTTTGCAACGGACAAATCTTACAAATACAATGTAGAACACAAACTCCATGATATCCTTTATATAAAGTTTAAATACATTTAAAAATATATATATATAGTTTAAGGATACACACATGTGAAAGATAAAACCATGCATGGTTATAATGAGCATTGAGCATCACATTTAAACTGATGACTGTGACGTTCAGGGAAGGAAAAAGCGGGTGGAAATGGGGAAAGTCTATCTCTTTTTTACAAAAAAGAACAAGGACATGACAAAATAGTGGTGAATGCACATTTATACACAATCTTATTCTCTGCATTTTCTGTTTGCTCGAGATCTTTCACAATAAAAAAATACTGTGTGATGCTCAATGCTCATTATCACCATGCATGGTTTTATCTTTCACATGTGTGTATCCTTAAACTATATATATATATTTTTAAATGTATTTAAACTTTATATAAAGGATATCATGGAGTTTGTGTTCTACATTTATAAGATGATATGATTTGGCTGTGTCTCCACCCAAATCTCACCTTGAATTGTAGCTCCCATAATCCCCACGTATCATGGGAGGCACCTGGTGGGAGGCAACTGAATCATGGAGGTGGGTTTTTCCCAAGTTCTCGTATATTGAATAAGTCTCACAAGATCTGATGGTTTTATAAATGGGAGTTCCCCTGCACATGGCTCTCTTGCCTGCCCTCATGTAAGACGTGCCTTTGCTCCTCCTTCACCTTCCACAGATTGTGAGGCCTCCCCAGCCATGTGGAACTGTGAGTCCATTAAAACTTTTTCTTTACAAATTACCCAGTCTCGGGTATTTCTTCATAGCAGTATGAAAACAGACTAATACATAACCTGTCAATAAATATTTGTTTTTAGGAGCCCCCTAAAGTAGGTAGGAGAGTGTTAATATGATCATTTGACAGATAATAGAGGTGCGGGACAAAAAGCTGACAGAGTGGGCTCGTGGTCTATTGTCCCATAATGTCAACGCCCTACCCTTGACATTATGATGTTCATTCCACTCATTTAGTAATTTACTTAATACAGGGAACTGGAACTTGACGCAACTTAGGGCAGGCGGGTGAAGAAGACAACCTCTTCCTTTCTGGAACAAACCACAGTTTGAGGAACACAATGACAGAACTCGATAAAAAGGGAAGAAACCAGACTGCTCCAGTCATCTGACGGCTCTTCAATGAATCTGTAATTCACTCACGGAGGGCCTGACCATTCACTGCGCATCTGCCGAAGAGGAGGAAGGGGCCGGAGGAAGTGAGATCGATGGCCTCCGTTCCAGCATGATTTCGCCTTTCCAGCACCCTATCTAAATTAAGAACAGGGCACTGCGCTGCGTTTAGGGGCATTAGCTCTGAGATCTTGTCCGGGACAGGTCCCTTTTCTGCTCTGGGCTCTTCTTGTTTAAAATTGAGGAGTAGACTACCATCTCGAGGCCAGTGAAATTCTAGACTCTTCATTCTGTTTTTCAGGATTTTTTCTTTTCTTTTCTTTTAAAATCTGAAACGGGAGCTTCCGCATTTATTATTTGCACGTGGTTTTGAGGCGCACTCCTGGCCACATCACAGCTATGTTCTCTTGCCTCTGGGAAATACATAAAATGCCTAGCAACAGTTCCTGGTGGCGGCTGGTCCCCATAAACGCCGCTGGTCGGCCCCCACCCCACCTCTATACCACGACCCCTCTCCCAGCCCGGGGACTGTGGTATGGAGGCCGAGAGAGGCCCATTTTAAGGAAGAAGCAAGACATATGCACCATCCCATCCAAGGAGTAAACAGGCGGGGGGGAGGTGGGCGTGGCCTCGATCAATCACCTCCCCTGAAGCTGCACCACATGCACATTTTAGGCTGGAAATAAGAAAGAATTTCCTGGCTGTAGGAATTGTTAAATAATAGGGCGGATGACCAAGGGAGGTTCCGGAATCTCCTCTTGAGATCTTTAAAAATGCGATACAAGATCGCATGTCTGAGATGATTTCTTGCAGTCCTGGCTAGAGACAGACGGACTAGGTGCCTTAACGGGCCTGACCCTCCTCCCAAGGCATATGATTCTGTCTTTTGCTTTCTCTTACCCTTAGCAATATCCTCAGTGCCTCCTTTATATGTTCATCCCCCTGGTGAAGCTCACTTACTGCCATCCCTCAGGCTAGTTTTCACCCAATCCCTAGCCTCCTCACACCTTTCCTTGTTATTTTATGGAAAGCTGGTCAAAGGTCAGAGTTGCCCAACTCCCCACACATAGTTTGGTGGTAGCATCTGATACCCAGACAAAACACGGCAAGGATTCCAATACCAGCATATTGAAGCTTAAACACCAAATCTGGATGGAAACAGAGAATTAGCTGTTGCTAACAACCCATTGTAAATGAAAATATGATCTTGGTAATTGATTTTAAATAGTTTTTTTTAAAAGAACCCTTGGCCGCATTTCATCAAGAATACAGAGTTTCAAAAGCGTTCATTCCAGGGTTGGATTTTTTTTTTTTCCTCTTTCTTCTGGCTTAAACCCCAAATGGCCAAGATCCCAGTCTGAATAAACAATGTGGGTGGTGACTTTTCTGTGAGGCCCAGTAGAGGATGCAATCACTTTCTTATTCGGTTCAACATTAAATCATGTGAAACTAGCCTGATTACTCCACACAACTTTTACTCCGTAATGGAGGGCAACACAACATGTATTCTTTCTCTGCTTCTCAGGGAGAAAGAAATGAATTCTCCTAACTGGGAGTGTTTAATTATGTATAAAGTTCGTTGACCTCACAGGCGGCTGTCAGATGATCTTGCTAAGGCCTGTGAACGGCATCCCAGGAATGCAGTGATGTGGGCAGAAACCGAGTGAGTTCATGCCACCGAATGCTTTAAATGGGACCGAATCAGCAGCCGTCCAGAAAGACTCCAGCGAAAACAGAACTTTTGGATAATCAGTAATTTAATCTCACCTAAGCATTTTGAGGCCTTCAAAAGTGATTGTTATAAATCAGAAACTCAGGAAAAATCCCATAGGCATGGGGCCCATAACAACGGGGTGAAGTAATTTTGTTTGCTGGTTATTGCCACAGCTGGTTGGAAATGTATGTATTTGCAATGTTCTGTCCCCGTTTTAGAGGTAATGCTTTCTGACTTCCCTGCTACTGACATTAAAAGAAAATGATGAAGCAATCCCATTCATAAATACATGGTGGGGCCTGAAGGAGTGTGCAGAGTCTATGTTTATTTACAGTTTTGATATAATGCAGCCTCCACATGTGTATGCAGTAACTATACCTACTTGTCAGTAAATGCCTTGAAATGTGTTCTTCCTACGCAGAGGGCTGGGTTCTCCTCTTTGGGCTCAGGGAGCGGAAGGGTACCAGCAAGATGAGCGTATGGATTGTGTGTTCTCTTTTGTCTCTACCTGGAGCATCCCCATCTGTCTATTGTGAAAGGACCAGGAAACGCTGGGAGACGGGCTGGCATGTGCTTCTTGGTAACGAGAGAGCAGAGCCCCTGGAGAGCTGTGGGATGGCTAACTGCGGGAGCCCTGCTACTCCGGGTAGGGGAGAGGCGGGGGCCTGTGAAATAGGTGGGCTTGGTGCTTCCTATAACATTTAAATTACCTGATTGGGGGTCCAATATTATGTTCCTTCAGTAGCTTTCTCACCAAACACACATTTTATCCATCCAAATATTATGCTTTCGGCTGGTAAAACTTCACAGGATTATATTCTAAAACAAAACTCTGCTGCATTCATGCTGGTACCTTTATTGTTATGAGTATAAAGAAAGGGAGGCTGGAATTTAGCCAATAACTTTGACACCCTGCTGGAAGCAAAATGGAAGGGGCCTCCCCTGAGCATCTCTTAGACTAACCTAAAAGTCTTGAATCTTTTTCCAAATCAATCACCTAGGTTTTGAGTGCACAATGTCTGTCTGCATCCAATTCGAGTTAATTCAATAGATATTTGGAAAACACAAATAATGGACAAGGCAATTCTGGTGACACAAAAATCAGGCCAGGCGCAGTGACTCACACCTGTAATCACAGCCCTTTGGGAGGCCAAGATGAGCGGATCACCTGAGGTCAGGAGTTTGAGACCAGCCTGGCCAACATGGTGAAACCCCGTCTCTACAAAAATAAAAAATTAGCCGGGCATGGCAATGCATGCCTGTAATCCCAGCTACTTGGGAGGCTAAGGCAGGAGAATTGCTTGAACCCGAGAGGTGGAGGTTGCAGTGAGCTGAGATCGCGCCACTGCACTCCAGCCTGGGAGACAGAGAGAGACTCTGTCTCAAAAAAAAAAAAAAATCAGAACTCTTTATCAGGTCACATTAATCCCAACTGGGAGGATTTGGGTAGTTTTCATGCATGGAATCTTCCCAGGGTTGGGGGCTGAACCCTTAAAGGGGTTCAATAGGCCAAAGGGAAATGGGAACTTACCAAAATCTCAGTTCACACTCGCATGCATTGTGGAGAAGAGAGAGATGTAATTGTCACTGAGTCCTGCTATTCCATGGTTAGGGTTCTATAATTTTATCTTGATTTTTTGTTTGTTTGTTTTAAGACAGGGTCTCGCTGTGTCTCCCAGGCTGGAGTGCAGTGGCATAAACTTGGCTCACTACAATCTCTCCCTCCTGGGCTCAAGCAATCCTCCCACCTCAGACTCCCAAGTAGCTGGGACTACAGACGTGCCACCACGTTTGGTTAATTTTTGTATTTCTTGGTAGAGACGGGGTCTTGCCACCTTGCCCAGGCTGGTCTTGAACTCCTGGGCTCAAGTGATCCATCCACCTTGGCCTCCCAAAGTGCTGGGATTACCGCTGTGAGCCACTGCACCCAGCCTATCTTGTTTTTATAGTCCACTTGATATTTGAGGGTTTCCCCACAGAAGCCTTTCTTTAAGACCCATAGCATTTAATATTACACTGTGAAGTGAACAATCAGCAAAAAAGAAAAGGAATTCCTTCTGTCTTCCCACCCTGATAAAGGAAGCCTTCCTTCAAATGTTCAAAAATTTTCTATAAATATGATCATCCCCATAGTTACAGGGGAAATATGCTTCTAGATAAAGGAATCTGGACACAAAGTAATATTCTAAATCACTTCCACTCTTTTGGATACTACAATTTATAAAATTCCATGAAGGAAATTAGCCTGATTTCTCATGAAGTTCCCTATTGGGAAATCACTGTGTGCCACAGTTATGGAAGCAATATCTTTGTGCATTTCCCAATTCCCTGCCTTTGTCGGAGGCTCTCATCATCTCTAAACTACCACAGCAATTTAGCTATTTCTTGTCTGTAGTACGTGCTGCATTCTGCCTGGTCAGAGGTAAAGATGAATACATGACTTGTCTCTGTTATTTGAGTACATAACTTGTCTCTGTTACATTATAAGCTCTTGGAAATTAGAGACTGATGTACTTATCTTTACATTCCCCAGCGTCATTAACAGGGTTGGTGTCCACTGAAAGAATGAACAAACGAGTCAGTAAATAAATACCATGAAAATATCTATAGCATGGGTTGGAAAACATTTCCAGTGAAAAACCAGATAGCAAATATCTTAAGCCATATGGTCTCTATCATAATTACTCAACTCTGATGTTGCAGTGTGAAAGCAGACATAGACAATACATAGCAAATGGGCATAGCTATGTTCCAATAAAACTTTATTTACAAAAGCACGTGGTGAGCAAGATTTGGCCCACAGGCCATAGCTTTCTAACTCCCGGTCTTTGGTGGTTATCCTTGCTGTAAACCTCAGTATATTCTTTACGCTTTTACATAGCGCTTGTTATTTTCAATAATGAGACAAAGTGCAGAAAACATAAATGTTAAAGGGTTGTTTTGGAACTCTATAGCAATAAATTCACTTAAAAACCAATCACAAAGCACATATGGAAATTAGCTGACCCACCAAGCATATTTCATGGTCACCTATTTTGTATATTGTATTCCTTTAAAGCGAAAAATTCTTATCCCAAGAAATAAGGGTAGTAGTTTTGCCATTTACGTCATCATGACTGAGATAACTTGATATGATAAGATCTCAGAGTTACTGAGTGAAAGGTCTGGTGCTAGGTCATGCTGAACTTGACACTCTCCTGGGAAAGGGGAAGAAATGCTCCCCCATCCTGCTGTCCAGCAGATCATCTGGTCTCTAATTTTACTGCTAAAATCCTTCCCGAGGTTATTAATGCAGAAGATACTCCTTTTTCTTGATAACCCTCTGGAAAATATCCAGCTAGAAAGAGCACAATAGAATCTCACAAGTTCAGCAAACACACAGAAAAGTCAAGAGTAACTACGAGAATCTGATGAAAACAAGATGTCCCGGCCTGCCACCCTGGCCTGATTTGAGAGTGCCTCACCCGTCATTACTCTTGTCTCGCTATCAGGTCACCTTTCGTAAAAAATACAACTTTGAAAAGGAGTTGGATTTGAATTGTGGCCGACACTAATAGGATGCAAAGTCCTAGGTCAATTGCTTGGTTTGGAACAAATTCAACTAGTCCTTTCCAAGGTATGAGGAAATATACAACAAACAATGTACCAATGAGCACCCCGGCTGACATTTTGTGAGATGGGTGACTCCAAGGTGTAGATCTTCAAACTGCGTCAGCTATCCACAGGTTGTGATGAAACAGTTCTACAGATTTCTTCTAAGAAGGAAAAAAAAATGAAATTTGAGTCTTTCCATTATGCCAAGCTTCTCCTCAACACCAGACCAAGTAATGGGATGAATTCTGTGCCTTAAGAATATGAGAAAACAGAGGCTTGGAAATGGAAGGTGCCATGAGGCAGTCAAAAGACCTGAGATCACATCTACCACATTCAACCCATGTGACATGAGGCAGATTATCTGACTTCAATGTCACTTGATGTCCTAATTTTCAATGCAGGGCTGGGAAGCACACATTATTGAGGAGAAATCAGGGAACACATGATATAGAGCCCAATTTATTTCAACAAACCCTGAGACCCCATTGTGTGCCAGTGTTGGAGAGTGCAAAACGGCTGTCAGGGATTCTGAGTATAGCGTAGGTGAGCATTCCATGGGGAGAGCATCACATATTGCTTTATTTGCAACACTCCAGTGCCCAACTATCCTGAGTTCCTCTCTTCTGTTTATTGAATTTCCTCCCCTGCCAGTTCACCACAATCCCTTATTACCAGTCTCTCCTCATTAAAACATCCCCCCTCACCCCTGCCACAAAACAAGGAGGGCATTCTCACCGTTCTCCAGAACAGGGCTGTAGCAAACAACTTCACGTATGTGAAGTGGTATGATTTATACCAGCTTAATTGATATTAGATAAAATTTCAAATTGCTGAAAATGCATGTGGCAATGCACATAGGAATCTTACTGCAATCTGGGTTTGGGGTAAGATGTATAAAAATAAAGACAAGAGTTTGAAAGAGGGATCAGGTGGAGAAGACAATGAAAGGGAACGGAGAGGCGCTGGAATATTGTGAAATGCCCCAAAAAGTTGTTTACAGTAATTTAGGACAAATTCCTACACCTCAGTTACGGTCGTCTTCAAGTAACATGGATTGGGTAAGGTATGTTCTTCAAGGCGAAAATCACTGAATATGAAGTGCAAATTCATCAGCATCTGCACTACTCACAATAGCAAAGACACAGAAACAACCTCAATGCCCATCAGTGATAGACTGGATAAAGAAAATTTGGTACATATACACCATGGAATGAATACTTACTATACAGCCATAAAAAAGAATTAGATCATGTCTTTTGCAGGAACATGGATGGAGCTGGAGGCCATTATCCTAAGTAAACTAACATCAGGAACAGAAAACCAAATACTGCATGTTCTTACTTATTAGTGGGAGCTAACTGATGAGAACACATGGACATATACAGGGGAACAACACACACTAGGACCTATCAGAGGATGAAGGGTGGGAGGAGGGAGAGGATCAGGAAAAATAACTAATGAGTACTGGGCTTAAAACCTGGGTGACAAAATAATCTGTACAACAAAGCCCCATGACACAAGTTTATCTGTGTAACAAACCTGCACATGTACCGCTGAACTTAAAATAAAAGTTAAATTTAAAAATAAAAATTAACATTAAAAAATTCACCAGCATCCCACTGTGAAGTCTGTGCAGGGAGGAGGGGTAATGTCCCAGGGTGAGGGCTGAAACTCTTTGCTCATAATTCTCTCCTGCTCCCACTCCGGGAAATCGAGCATGGGAATCTATGGAGAACACCTGATCTCCATTTCCTTTAAAATAGCCTCTTAGGCTGTGTTTACAGAACACAAACCAATGGCTCAAGAGAAAAAATATGAATAAGTCAAGGGACTAATATGACAAATTTTCAATTCAATCTAATATCGAGATAGATGCTCCTAATGTCTTCTGAGGCTTCATGAGAACATTATCTGCTCCTCTCTTCTGGCTTTCAACTTCATTATTACTGAAAACTTCTACTTGAAATACAAAATATTGGAAGAGTCACTCTCAAGATTTCTAGAAGTTTCGCGGCCGGGTGCAGTGGCTCACGCCTGTAATCCCAGCACTTTGGGAGACCACAGCAGGTGGATCACTTGAGGTCAGGAGTTCGAGACCAGCCTGTCCAACATAGTGAGACCTCGTCTCTATTAAAAATACAAAAATTAGGCCCGGCACAGTGGCTCATGCTTGTAATCCCAGCATTTTGCGAGGCCGAGGTGGGTAGATTGTGAGGTCAGGAATTCAAGACTGGCCTGGCCAAGATGGTGAAACCCTGTCTCTACCAAAAATACAAAAATTAGCTGGGCGTGGTGGCAGGCACCTGTAATCCCAGCTACTCGGGAGGCTGAGGCAGGAGAATCACTTGAACCTGGGAGGCGGAGGTTGCAGTGAGCCGAGATCGCGCCACTGCACTCCAGCTTGGGCGACAGAGCAAGACTCTGTCTCAAAAACAACAACAACAACAACAAATACAAAAATTAGCCAGGCATGGTGACGGGTGCCTGTAATTCCTGCTACTCAGGAGGCTGAGGCAGGAGAATCACTTGAATCTAGGAGGCGGAGGTTACAGTGAGCCAAGATCGCACCGCTGCACTCCAGCCTGGGTGACAGAGCAAGACTGTCTTTAAAAAAAAAGATTTCCAGAAGTTTCGTTTGGCAGAGTAAATGGACTCCCCTTATCAGTATGTCTAGAATAATCCAGGTAAAATGTTGCTGCAACCAACTGTTCTAAAGTTAACTTCTCTGGCGTGCTACTTCAGCATTGAGAAACAGGACCAGATGAGTTCATTTCATCCGTCCTAGGCAGTATTCTGGGCAGAGCAAACAGAAAATCTCAAGGAAAGAAAGAAACTTTCAGAGCCCGCTTTGGGCCTCTGTGGATTCCTTTTTTAAGCGTTACAAGATTGGTCCTAGACCACAGATGCAACTTTTGGATGTCAGATCCACCAGACAGATGTTTTCCCTTAAAGCTGTTGTCTCTCTCTCAATCTGTTTATAGCGTGTTTCCATTTCAGCCTGCACCTTCCTTAAGTTCTCACTGCTAACTGCACGTCCTAAAGGTTTCTTGCCTCCACACACAAAAGGCTATTTTTCTATCATGTGTTCTGTTTTCCATAAGGAATGCACCCACTCTTCGGGTGACCTGTTAACCCATTACTGGTGTGTCTGCTTCCTGGGTCATCTTCGAGAAATGTGCCAAACGCTCCATATATATATTATTAATCCCCCAAGTTGTGTGGTGCCAGAAAGAGTTTTCTTCTTAGAAATAAACTACTCAGGCCACATGACTGGTATTAGCTTCTTAAACCAATTGAGCATCAACTGATGGACTCTCATAATGTGGTCAGGGTTACTTATTCAAACCTGTGTTTTTTGGTTCTGAGCTTGTAGATGGTCTTCATATAAGTCAGACCAAGGAACTCCATTTCTATATCAATTAAGCAGATTCTCAGTGCCAATACATTTCAACCAATAGATTTCAAAGACTCATCCACCTTCTCTCACTGTAGATTTTTCCAGAATATGATTCAGACTAAAAGCAGGACAGCATCTGCTGCCATTTCTCATACATAAAAGTACAGGGAGACAAGGGAGTTTCTTGGTAGGGATGGAATAACCCTGTGTCCTGATGGCGGTGGTGGTTACAGGAATCTAGACATGGGGTGAGATACACACACACATACAAATCAGTGCACATAAACCATGGTGAAATCTGTTTAAGGCCTAATACTAACGTCAGTTTCCTGGTATTGATAATGTGATGCTATATACATGATACCATTTACTATTGTTATGCAAGACGTTACCATTCAAGAAGCAGGATGAAGAGTACATGGGCCCTCTCTGTACTATTTTTGCAACTTCCCACAAGTCTATAATTATTGCAAAATAAAACTTTTTAAAGTTCTATGAGAAAGTTACTGCCTATAAGGCAGTAGCTTGCCCAACTTAGCCCGATTGAATTTGAAGCTCTAAACTGCTTCTTTCTTCTACTCACAGTATTTTTAAGTATTTTCCACAACTTTCCTCTAAGAAATGGAGTCTACTGACTTTCTAATCTGTGAAAGGTATCCTTTGTCAATATGAGAGCTCTAGAGAGTGGGTGGGGTGGGATCAATAGGTTTTTGAAAAGTTCACACTGGGTTCACCAGCATCCTGCATTACAACGAGCATTCTAACAAAACAGCATCTTTCAGCTGTTTTGTGGATGTTCCCAATGACCTAGAGGTTTAAAGAGGCATCAGGTCATAGTCCCAAGTGGCAAACATATACATGAGGTCATTCAGTGGGAGAGGAGTCCGTTTGTTCTTCCTTCTGTCTCCAAGTTTTTCCTCAGGACTTCTCAGGGCTGGCTCCTCATCTCACAGGCCTCAAGCCAAAGAAACAGGTCCTGTGAAACTCATATTTAAACTAGCCTTCCCCCTGTATTAGTCCGTGTTCACGCTGCTGGTAAAGATATACCCAAGACTGTGTAATTTATAAAGAAAATTATAAATCACAATCATGGTGGAAGGCGAAAGACATGGCGGCAAACAAGAGAAAATAACAGAACTTGTGCAGGCAAACTCCCCTTTATAAAACCACCAGGTCTCATGAGACTTATTCATTATCACAACAGCACAGGAAAGACCCGCCCCCATGATTCAATTACATCCTACCCGCTCCCTCCCATGACATGTGGGAATTGTGGGAGCTACGATCCAAGATGAAATTTGGGTGGGGACACAGCCAAACCATATCACCATCCTCCCCAGTTACACCCTACGTTATCCATTTTGTTGTCTGCCACGTTCTTATTTTTCGGTTTTACTTATTGCCCATGTGGCACCATGAGAATTGTGTCCCTTTGCTCACACTGTGTCCCCAGCACCTAGGACAGTGTGTTATTTGTTGACTGAAAGACTGAAGAAATGAATGAAACATTCCTAAAGCCATGGCCCATTCTTAGACAATGGTGATTGTCAAACATGCAGATCATTATTAAATAGCCTCAATTAATGATCATCTAGGTTAGTTTATGTAGGTAATGATCATTTTTATGTTTGGCTACGAGAATAAACAAGACAAATTTGAGTGATGTCTTCAACACTAGCAGCTGAGCTCAAGTGCTATGGGGAATCCCAATGAAAAGCCATGATTCCTATTGAATTTTCTGACCGGGCTAGAAAGAGATCAGTAGGCAGGTAGATAGATGGGGAGATAGGAATGAACATATACTCAAGTACACATACACACGCACATTTTCTCATCTTTGAAGATGCAACAGGATTTTTTTTTTTTTTTTGAGACGAAGTTTTATTCTGTTGCTCAGGCTGGAGTGCAATGATGCAATCTCGGCTCACTGCAACCTCCCCCTCCCAAGTTCAAGCAATTCTCCTGCCTAAGCCTCCCGAGTAGCTGGGATTATAGGCGCCCGCCACCACCCCCAGCTAATTTTGTATTTTTAGTAGAGATGGGGTTTTGCCATGTTGACCAGGCTGGTCTTGAACTCCTGATCTCAGGTGATCTGCCCACCTTGACCTCCCAAAGTGCTGGCATTACAAGTGTGAGCCACCGCGCCCGGCCACAATAGGATCTTGGTACTTCCTTTATCCTTGCAAGTCAACCTGCAAAGAATGGAAATCTTCTACTAGGGGAAGAACCAGAAAAACATCAGGGAGATAGGTTTTCTGGGCATAGGTAGGCAGAGCACTAGGGAGAAGGAGTTCCCTGTTGCGGCTGGTGGAGAGCGTCCTGAATGGTGTCATCACCTCCACTGTCTGGACTCACAAGGTCATGAGAGGTCAGGAGTGAGGGATGCCCTGTCACCAAGCCACCATTCCAGTGCCAAGCTGGCCTCCCCATCACGTCACATCAATGTTTAAAAGAGGAGAGGCTTCAGATAATCTACCATGCCCAAGATGTCGTAAGAAAACTTAGAGGGTTATGTTTATAGACATAGTGAAATATATTTTTTTAATTACTAACCTTACATGCATCTGCTTTAGCAAGGAAAAAAAAATTCCCCCAAAAGACTCCTTCAAAATCATGGGAATAAGAAACAAAGAGGCCAATGACCCCATAACTTTAAAAGCATACATGGTGCCAAGCAGCCCAAAAGTTAGCCTTCTGATACCAGAGTCAGCATGTGCTGACTGACTCCCCTTCATTTCACGCTTCTCTTAAAAGAAAACAGGCTGGATTGTTTCAGTAAATAACAAAAGGTCAGAGAAACGCTACTCACAACATGAGCAAAATAACTGCTCAATCTGCCAAAATGTTTCCAAAGGCCTAACAGGCAGAAAAATCCAGTGGTGAAATAATCCACGGATCTGACCGGTGAGAAAAGGTCCTTCCCAGTAAAATCTGCCATCAGGCCTCTGGCTCATCTTTCATCAATGAGAAATAAAAACAAACTACGTCGTCAGGTTCTGCCAACATTGAGATGCCATGTCCTTCACAGTAAAGCAAGGTTGTCTACTACATAGTTTTTAGACTTCTCGCCTTAGATTATATTTTGACTTTAAGGCCAAGTGTAGAAATGGTGGTCAAATAACTATGTACTCAAAAACGAAGTCCAAAGAGTCCATTTTGTAAAATCTTCTCCTGAATGAAACTTCCCATTGGTTTAGCTCCTACGTTCATTTTATCTGCAGAATTTCTCCGTGGTGAACTGGATGCTAATACCATTATAAGAGCTTCATAGAGAGACAGAGAATAAGCACATCCGAGAGAGAAATCAGGACTTTGCACCCTGGGGATACTGCCTCAACTGAATCTGCATCAGTAATTCGGTGGGATATTGTCTCCCCCAAGGCATCCCTGCTATTAGCCATGTAGACAATGCCACCACTAATGGCTTATTGCCAGCCTTGTTGCAGAGGTGGGATCTTATCCATTTCCGCCCTCCACAGGATCTTGCGAGGTCAGTGCTCAGCACATTCACTGGGTTGAGTCAATGCCCCTATATTGTACCTCATTCTTGGTTTAAAACCATAGAGCAGCACTTCACAGAGTATTTTCCATGAAATACTGGTCCTGTAAGATGCTACTTGGGTGCAACATAATTCTGATTCCATGAAGAAATAAGCTTTAGAAATGCTTCCTACTATGACTACATTCCCCAATTTCAGAATCATCATGCATATGGGCATATTAAAGAATCAGAGAAGTCCTGCAGGAAAGAAACCTGGTGAAGTTAGCATTTCCCAAATGCTTTTCAGAAACCTTTTTTCAATTAACATCTATTCCCATCCTCAGCAACTAGTGTTTTGGAGAGGGCATCCTGGGGAACATTACCTCAAAATAGTTTCCAATTCATGTCTAATCACATTTAATGTGTCACTAAGTCCAATTGGTTCTTCCTTCACCATATAAGATTGTGATCAGTCCTGTCCATTTAACACCCTACTGTTAATCTCCTAGTCTCAACTTAATGCTTCATAGTATCATAGCATCACAGAAGGATAGATCTGGAAGTGCTTTAGAAATAATCATAAAGTAAAGGTCAACTGGCCAAGTGTGGTGGCTCACACCTGTAATCCCAGCACTCTGGGAGGCCGAGGTGGGTGGATCACTTGAGGTCAGGAATTCAAGACCAGCCTGGCCAACATGGTGAAACCCAGTCTCTACTAAAAATGCCAAAAAAATTAGCTGGGCATGGTGGTGCGTGACTGTAGCTCCAGCTACTCGGGAGGCTGAGGCAGGAGAATCGCTTGAACCCAGGAGGCGGAAGTTGCAGTGAGCTGAGATTGCACCACTGCACTCCAGCCTGGGTGACAGAGTAAGACTCCGCCTCAAAAAAAAAAAAAAAAAAAAAAAGGCAAGCTCTGAATTTAACAGAGGAGTTAACCAAGACCCCCAGGGTGAAGGGACATGCCTAAGATGTCACAACATGACACGTTTGACTCACTAAAAAAAATGGTAGTTTCAGGCACCACTCTCTTCCTCCCCGTCTACTTGGTGAACAGGAATTAGAGGAGCAGGCCCCCAGTGTGGAAGGAAAGGGAAGCCAGTGCTGTGGAGTACCCACCGAATGCCGCACCGCACACTTGCACATACATCCTCTCACTTCAACTCAGCAAGAACTCTGCAGGGCGGGTATTTTACAGACCAGGAAGCCCAAGACCACACAGTAAGCAAGTAGCTGTGCCAGGATCTGAGCCAAGAACAGTTTGACTCCAAAACATATACTCCTGCTAGTGTATTATACTCTCTCTCGACAAGGAGGCCCTCAATAAAAGCACACTGAATCACATAGTAAACTAGGAACTGCACATCTGAAGTTGGTGGCTGCAACTACTACCGCTACTGCAAAGGAGAACATATAGTGAGTCTTTGGTTTTCCATCAAAATAGCCTATCATTTGTGAATGTAGGAAAGAGTGAATTTTTACCATTCATGAAAAATGAATTAAGTTAATGAAGTCATAAACACTAATTGAGAGTATTACTGAATACACAAATAATATACCTGCAAACTTTTACAGGACCATTTAATGTTAGGGCTTGTTGGCTTCTCCTGTCAAGTCATTTTTGATGGTTGGTTATTTTTCATGAAATCTACAATGGGCACAAGCCCAGTTAATATGATGACGATGATGATGGTTTATTTTCATTGTATACACAAAAGCATATACTATTCAAAGCCGTTGGAGTCTTAATGGAGAATGGAAACTTTCTCCAGGGATAGACAATTGATAAACTCTAGGAGTACCCTTTTTCATATTCATCTTTCCATATTTGCATCTTTTGAGGTACTTGGAATACTGTTAAGTGATTTTTCTTCCCACTTACTAGGGATTTGCTGTCTTTTGAAGAATTTCTGAAACAAACATGTGGTCCATAAGTCCAAGTAAAATATTTTAAAAACAACAACAAACCAATAAACAGCAAATAATAATGGTCACAAATCCATGAATAATCAAATTTAATAAAATATTGACATGCAAGGATTTTTATTGCTTATTACAATCACTAACATGCAACCCAGCTTATGGATACCACGGAGTTCCAATATTGGTGGGTGGGGACATTTTTAATTTTAGTATTTAAAAGTTGTAGGGGAGAGAGAAATGGCTTTCCTCCACCGCTCTGGGTTTCTTGGCTGGGTTATGAATTGACGTAAGACAAATTAACAGAAAGAAACCCCATATTTAATAATGTAGGTGCACATGGGAGTCCCACAAAATATGAGACTTGAAGAAGGGTCACACGGTTGAAACTCATTTAGCATCCTGAGCTATGGAACGGAATAGGGGCTTGGGGCTTCTGGGGGTGGTGGGGACACAAGCTGTGCGTTGATGAGGGGAGGCTCTGTATGGTGGGTCAAGTGTGTCTTATTATGCAGAGAAAGTCTCTCAGGTACTAGAAATTATATTGGAACAGTCCTTGGAAAAGGAGATGATAGTCTGGGGTGGCATGTCCTGAGCCCCTACAAAGTCAACCATGACTGTGTAACCTTAAGAAAAAGAGTGACTACCCAGCACTTTGGGAGGCCGAGGCAGGCGGATCACCAGGTCAGGAGATCGAGACCATCCCGGCTAACACGGTGAAACCCCGTCTCTACTAAAAAATACAAAAAAATTAGCCAGGCGTGGTGGCGGGCGCCTGTAGTCCCAGCTACTGAGGAGGCTGAGGCAGGAGAATGGCGTGAACCCGGGAGGCGGAGCTTGCAGTGAGCCGAGATCCCGCCACTGCACTCCAGCCTGGGTGACAGAGCAAGACTCTGTCTCAAAAAAAAAAAGAAAGAAAGAAAAGAAAAAGAGTGACTGACACTAAGGAAGGTTTTTTTTTCTTTTTTTTTTTGACGTAGTTTCTCTCTTGTTGCCCAGGCTGGAGTGCAATGGCGTGATCTCGTCTCACTACAAACTCCACCTTCCGGGTTCAAGCGATTCTCCTGCCTCAGCCTCCCAAGTAGCTGGGATTACAAGCACCTGCCACCACGCCCAGCTAATTTTTGTATTTTTAGTAGAGATGGGGTTTCACCATGTTGGTCAGGCTGGTCTCAAACTCCTAACCTCAGGTGATCTACCCATGTCGACCTCCCAAAGTGCTGGGATTACAGGCGTGAGCCACTGTGCCCAGCCCAAAGAAGGTATTTTATATCTGATTGTCAAGACATTTTTATTCAATCTTAAGTACTGAACTTTAGCATTAAAGTATGCAAAGAAGCCACAAGGATAGAATTATGTCTCTACCAATCTTTTAGTCCTCAAATATAAGTAATCCTAATATTCTTAATATCTTAAAAAAGACACCAATGAGATCTTCATTCACAAAGATTATTAGATATAGTGAAGTAAATATTTACAAGGAAACAAAACCTGTTAAAACTTTAACATTCGTGTCACATCTTACTGACAGAAAATTTGCTTTTGAAAGCCAATTTTGAGTTTTATTTCCTCACTTTCTTTGAGTTTTATTTCCTCACTTTCTGCATATGTCCTCATATCTTAGTGGGAGAGCTCTTACCAAAAAATAGTATTTTACTTCCTTCCATACCTATTGATACGGTTTGGCTGTGTCCCCACCCAAATCTCATCTTGAGTTGTAACTCCCACAATTCCCACATGCTGTGGGAGGAACCCGGTGGGAGGCAATTGAATTATGGTGGTAGGTCTTTCTGCACTGTTCTCATGATAATGAATGAGTCTCACAAGATGTGATGGTTTTAAAAATGGGAGTTCCCTGCACAAGCTCTCTTTGCCTGCCACCATCCATGTAAGATGTGACTTGATCCTCTCCTCTTGTCTGCCACGTGAGATGTGCCTTTCACCATCCACCGTGATTGTGAGGTCTCCCCAGCCACGTGGAACTGTATGTCCAATAAACCTCTTTCTTTTGTAAATTGTCCAGTCTAAGGTATATCTTTATCAACAGCGTGAAAACAGACTAATACACTTTGTAAATTTGATGGGGTCAGTTCTGCATTGGTTGTACATAGGAGCAACCCTGCACAGAGAAACAGATCAAGTCTGGAACTAGAATAGAGTAGGTAGCAAGCAGAAAGTAGAAGGAAGAGCAAGCAAAATAAATAGGTTCCTAACATCTGCTATTTCCCGATTTTTAAAAAGTGAATGCACAGACAACAGACACCAACTCTGTACACAAAAACACACTTTAATGTTAACTAGAATTATTCCTCAGATGCACACAGTTTGCGTTTGTTTATGCATGGTGTAGCTGCCACTTACGTAGTGTTTATTACATAGCTGGCACTGTTCTAAGCAGTTAACTCATAAACGCATTTAAAGCTCACAGCAGCCCTATGAGGAAAATGCTGTAATACGTGGCACTTAGCAGATGAGCAGAAGGAGCCCCAGAAAAGCCTGGGTAGGAAAGGACAGAGCAGAGGTTTGAATCCAGGCAGACCATCTCCAGTCCATACTGCTCACACCTGACACTACACTGATCGCCTACGAAGTCTGCTGTACTTACTCTGCTGACATGCTTGGAAAAGAAACACATTCTAAGTAGTTAATAATCAATCATTTCCCATATAAGAATATATTGCAACATTCAGAAAAGGGTTAAAATATTCTGTAATCCTACCACTATATCACATTGCTGGGGTAGCCCAATCACCGCAGAGACTTTATGAAAGAGGTTTCTGAGTCCTATTTCAAAACATCAGTGACTAGGGCAAAACCCCTCCCTAAACCTAAGCCGTTTACAGTATAAATTTGGGAAGGAAACTATTTGAGATGGCCGTTGGAGATTTCTACTAGAACAATTTGATTATTTCTTTTACAGTCTACATATGAATAGTTGAATCATTTAATTGCAGGAGTTAAAAGACTTGTCTGTGTTTAGAAAAATGAGATTTTTATTTGGGATTCCCCAGTATATTAGAAAGATGATTCTCAGTAAATTGTGGGCAAGAAGGAAATAATATACATATTTGTGGCTATGAGAGCTAACCAGAAAAAAAAAAAAGAAAGAAAGAAAGAAAGAAACTCTCTGGACTCGCACAGTTCCAAAAACTGCTGAATGTTGTCTTTTTTTTTTTTCCACCCTACTAAGCATTTCTCTCTTATCGAGGAGGATTCATTTCCCACCTGTTTCTTTTACGTTCTTGAAATACATATAAAGTTAGTGTTTATTTTCTACCCACTGAAATCTTGTTCAAGTTATTCTTTCTTTGGTCTCTACTTTCAGAAGTCACAACTTGTTTTGAAAACATTAGCATGAGAGAAGGCTTCTTTTTATGTACCACAAACTCTCAACTATTTAGAATGCTTGCTTCAGAGGTAAAGAGATGCCTGGTGGCTTTTCTGCTTTGTAACAATGGCCGTGTAAACAACATGACTGGACAAAACCAAAAATGTGCTTAGACAGAGTTCCTTCTTCCTGTCCAGGCAAGGTGGCTCACGTCTATAATCCCAACACTTTAGGAGGCTGAGGCGGGTGGATCACTTGAGGTCAGGAGTTCAAGACCAGCCTGGGCGGCATAGGGAAACCCTGTCTTTGCTAAAAAAAAAAAAAAAAAAAAAAAAAAGCTGGGTGTGGTGGTGCACTCCTGTGATCTCAGCTACTTGGGAGGCTGAGGTGGGAGGATCGCTTGAACCAGGGAGGCAGAGGTTGCAGGAGCTGAAATCATGTCACTGCACTCAAGCCTGGGCAACAGAGCAAGACCCTGCCTTAAAAAAAAAAAATGGAATTCCTTCTTCTTCTGATGAGTGCTTCTCATCATTGGGGTCACAATTATCAATACCAGTTTTTTATAGCCCAACGTTATTTGAAACATCCATATGTTTGTGTTATAAATTAATACACGTATTTAAAATATGGGTTATAGAAAAGATACCATATGCAGTGGTCCAGAATTTTGAGTTGTACTGTCCTTGTTCTTCACATGGGGTATTAGATTTCAACCAAAATGAAGATCATATCTTCAAGTAGATTGCCAGAAGGCACCATACTGGAAGCTCACGGGTAGTGCACTCTGTTCAATGAGGGCAGAAAGACAGTGACATATGAGGTCTTCCAAAGGTGACATGGAATGCAGGCAGAGATGAAATGTAGAGGAGAAAGAATGCAAAGCTGCAAAACATGGGCCCTATCTGTACTTGGATCTGGTCCTTGGATTGCAGAGCTCACTGCTGTGTGCATAGACCTGGCAAGTGTACGGCTGCCAGTTTGATTCCGATGAAGGGCATTTAGAAGAATCAAAGGATGAAAGACAACGGAAAGGAGTTAACATCATGACCTCCATTTTACTGATGGCATGGCTGAGGTCCAAAAGAGTTAAGTGACACAGAGCTAGAGCAGCATAAAGCCAGCACTTGTCACCTTCTCTAGTTTCATAATTCATAACTTTTCTGTGGTATATGTTCCTGGTCACCAATAAAATGGGATGACAGTGTGGACAGCTCTATCCAAACCATTACTTCTGATAAACAAATCAAACTCAGGGATGCTGCTGGTTCAGAGCTGCTTCCTCCTCTCTGGGGACTGGCCTATGTCCCAGGGGCTCAAAAGCATCACCACCTTCATTTATCCTTACAATGAAACCTTGAGGGACACGACTGTCTACACTTCTAATTGGAAAGCCGTATCTGATTCATTCAAATGTTCAGATCTTCAAAAAGTAAAGTGGCCTAGAGTGGAATCTTAAAGTTGAGAGTATGGACTCAGGGAGATGCTGTTCATTAGCCAGGATAAGAGATGTGGTTTGAAAGAGCTGGACTTCCTTTTCTCACTTTGCAATTGACCTGCTGACTAAACTTGGGCTACTCACTTCTTAACCTCAGTCTGTCTTGAATTTCCCCTGTGCAAAAAAACATGGGAAGACAATATCTAAATGCCTCTCAGGGATGTTGTGAAGAGGACCTCATCGATGTTTTAAACCACATGGTCCTAGGAAGGTGCTATATATTACCATCATTAAAATCACCTGTGGTTGGCTGCAGCCCTCCCCCCCCGCCACACACACAAACATTTCTTACCAAAAAAAAAAAAGTAAGAAATTAATTTTCTTCTTATCTGAAGGGATTTCACAAAACTTCCTATTAAAGCATTAACATTCTGAAAACTGAATTCAATTCAATGTGGCAAGGGTATGACTGATAACCAATCTTAATCCCAATCTCTTCTTCCTTAAGGAGAGAAAGAATTTTACCTGATGGTTAATTAATCAAATATAGTCGATGGGATACATTTAGTCAATAATATTCCATTTTAGACTTAGTTTAGTCAGAGAAGATTAGAAAAATGGTGTCATTGTGCATTGGTTGAATGCTTAAGTTTTACTAGTTATATTACCTCAAGCTGGTAAAATATATATGGGAAGACAACATTATGGAAAAAAATTATTATTATTTGAGACCGAGTCTCGCTCTGTCACCCAGGCTCAAGTACAGTGGTGTGATCTCAGCTCACTGCAACCTCCACCTTCCAGGTTCAAGCGATTCTTCTGCCACAGCTTCCTAAGTAACTGGGACTACAGGTGTGCACCACCACACCCAGCTAATTTTTGTGTTTTTAGTACAGACGGGGTTTCACCATGTTGGCCAGGCTGGTCTTGAACTTCCGACCTCGAGTGATCTGCCCGCCTTGACCTCCCAAAGTGCTGGGATTACAGGCGTGAGCCACCATGCCCGGCCAACTTTATGGTAATAAATTAAGACAGTGAAAGCGTGACTTACTCAAGGGCTACATATATAAAGGTGACAGATCTGTATGTATCTACTTAAATTCATGCCCAACACAGCACATGTTGGGCAAGAATTTGTGAGCTAGCTCAGCTTACAAATGGCTTAGACTAGGGGCATGTGGCAAGGGGTATGGGGTTCTACTTACAGTTTAGGGTCACAAAATAGGGCGATCCAACTCTCCCACTTCACACAAAGCCTGCCCCCTTCTCCTGCACATCTTCCATACCAGGTCCTAATCAATCAACCTAACCATCTACAGAGTAAGCAGAGTCATTAACAGTATGTTCTACTCTATTAAAACCAGACACATGGCCACTAAACAAGGTTGATCTAGGACAACCATTCCATTCAGAATGTTTTCACCAGTCTATGCCAAATGGGAAAAATGAGGGAAAGTAATGAGTTCTTTGAAAGTTAAATTCATTCAAAATTTTTAAAATTGTGTAACTTATTCCAAGGTTATGTCCTTACTATTTTGTTTTTCATGTTAAATGTTCTTATTTTACCAGTGAGAGTAAATAATAGCTGATTTATTAATATCCCATTCTGGCAAAATAAAAAGTTAGCATCTCTGTATTGGTCTTTAAAAAAAAGAAATGAAAAGCATTGAAATCCAAAGTTTGGCTAGCACTACCTTAGAATGGCTTACCTGTTGCTAAAAACTCACAGAGAGACCCATGCGGCTACTGTGTCATGTGATCAAACATTTATAAGACACAAAGCCTCATTTCAATATGTAATGCCAAAGGACATCAAGAAAAACGAATAGACAGTTTCCCAATTCAGAGCAAGCAAAGTATGCTGCCATCTAAAATCAAATAAATGTAGATTCTAAAGTACTAAACAAACAGAAATTATGCTGTCATTTTTCAAATGGTATAAAGTATTTTAATTAAAACCCAGAGGGCATGCAAAGGTATAATAATCCAGGAGACAGAGTCACGATAACACTGTTTATTGGTTTTCAACTTTCAGATCCTATCAATAGAAGCTGTAGACAAATATCCATTCTTCGTCTGAGGACAAATGACAGAGGATTTAACCATTCAGGGAACTGAAAAGAACACGGATGGCATCAAGCTTGGCCCTAGCTGACAGAGGCTCAGAGGTAGAAGATGGGAGCCGAAAGAGTGAATGCTTTCATTTTTTAAATGAGTAATTAAGTGATGCTCTCTAAGGTCAACAGAATGAGAAATGAGGTTTCCAAGAATTTGTTTGAGAAATAAGCAATGTCCTTTAAGTGGAGGGACGGAGCATGGAGAGGGAAGAGGTCTGAGAGAAGACACAGACGAGGCTGAATCAGGGAGAGAAACCCCATTGACTATAAAAGGAAGGCAATAAACTGAGAAAGAGTAGTGTTATGGGTCGAATTATGTCCCCTCAAAAGATATGTTCAAGTCCCCAGTACCTGTAAATGTGACTTAATTTGGAAACACGGTCTTTGTAAATGTAATCAAGTTAAGAGGAGGTCGTTAGGGTGGGCTCTAACCCAATAGGACTGCGTCCTTATAGGCAGAGGAAAATGCCATGTGAGGAGGGACACACAGGGACACAGAGGGCAAGCTAAGGACCGATGGCACTTCCAGGAGCTGGAAGAGGTGGGGGGTGGATCCCCCTGAGCCTTCAGAACAAGTGTGGCCATGCTGGCACCTTGATTACAGACTTCCAGCCCTCAGAACTATGAGATAATAAATTTCTATTGTTTTAAGCCACCCAGTTTACGGTATTTTGTCACAGCAGCCCTAGAAAACTAGTACAAATGGTACTACCATATATTATTTAAAGATATGAAGGTAGCCACCCAAAGAACTTTCAACAAAGCTGGGAGGGTTCAAAGGTGTTTCCTCTGGAAAGTGGGACCAAGGAAGGACAGGACCCAGGCAGGGCTGTTATTTTTTATTAAAAGCCTTCTGTGTTATTTGGCTTTTTAACCACACAGATGTCACTCTGATCATCTTTTAAAAAGTATAAAATATCTATGTGATGTTATCAGAACAAAACCTGGCCAGCTTTCTTCATAGTGGATGACAAACTCTGAGGATTGATAGCCACCTCCTCCACTTGTTCTCTGGCGTTGCCCTCCGGTCCCCCAGATCCCTATACACGGTCTCCGGCTTCAGGGGGAGCAGAGCCGAGTTGGGAGGGCATTGGCCTGGACCTCAAAGTAGCCTAAATGTCTTGGCACGTTTTGTTCACATGCCTACCATCTCCATCTCAAAATCAAACACAAATTATTTTTGGACTTTTTACGGGTTTGCGTCATCGATGATGGTGATTTTCTCTATTGACTTGGATGATTAAGAACCGACTAAAGGGAAAACAGAGAACAGTGGTGAGCTTGTCACTGGCTTCCTTTGTAGATAAAAATGCAAAACAATGCCTGACAAAGATTTCAGTAATTATGTTACATATGATCAGAAAACCTCACAATAGAGCTTCACCACAAACATTTGTTCATCACATTTTATTGAACCCATAAAAAGACATTCTAAGTGCTCCCCATGGCCCAGATGGAGGATCTTCGCACTGTGGTGCAGGCTGTGACTTCCCTGGCCGTCAGAAGTCCCATGCCCTTTGCTCACTCTAAGAAGAATGTTCACATTGAGCCCTGCAGCCTGTAATGTGGCAAAATGTTGCTGTCACCTCCCACATGAACAGGGCTATTGATGACTGTGGGGGCCTAGTGCAAAGGCACCAGCCCCCATCACAGAAAGAAAGCGGGCAGCGTGTAAGTGTCCCAAGCATGGCCCCGAGAGAAAAGCAGAATGCAAAAGGCAAACGCAGTTTGCATGCACGCAGGGCTTCGCTGAGGTCTATTTGTACCCGGCTCCCCATGGCAGCTGGGGAGCACCTTGCCGTTGGTTGGCACTGAAGCAGTGCCAGGTGGGTGAAAGCTGAATGAAATGTCTAACAGCTATCATATGGATGAACACGCAGGAAGCAGAACAAAGGAGCAGCATTTTATCAGCAGCAGAATCCTGATGGCAGTCATTGCCCAAGGGGAAACCGTTTGCTTTTATTTTCATCCTGGCCTTCAGTTTCCCTGGGTAACACCTTCCAGCCATCCCAGTGGTTACCTTACCCACCTACGTGGTTATCAGACGTCTAGACTCAGCCAGGTGTTTTCCCATTCCATATTGCAGGGGGCAAGGTCACCTCGGAATGGACTTCCAAAGGCAGGTGGGAATTACGCCAATGAGAAAGCAAGTCACAATTCAAATACTCGCTGTATGTGGGAATCTATATTGAACAGAAAGAATAAAATGACTCCATTTTTATTCTGTGAACTCTCCCTTCCAGACCCTCATACAGAAGAGAGTGTGGATCCATTTAAGGCTGACTACATTCAATTGCACACATCTGCTTTCTAATTGTCTCAGTTACCATTCTCCACAGCTGGCCTTTTCTCCGTTTTTGCTTTTAAAACATCACCTCTCAACATATTGTGAGGAAGACCAAACCCTTAGACTCAGATGTTCCAGAAACCTGATCTATTAGTTGTGTTTTGAACACGTCTGGCTACTTTTCATCTGCTTTTTTTTTTCTTGGTCACATGAACACTGCTGTAAACAAATTCTGTAGTTTGAGTTATGATATCCATCAGAAAAGCCTAACAACACTGTAGCCTTCACTACAATGCATAAGCATGAAACACCTAATTTTCCTCATTCCATACATACACACACATGCATGCACATGTACACGCACACACACAGCAATGTATCATTTGAAAACGGAGGCATAGTTCCCTAGCAACATAACCAAAAACATGGCAATATCTTTTGGATCTCCAAGTTCTGGATTTATTATGTAAATTGTTTGAGGCTCATGATTGAAGGCTTCAAGATCTCATTTTATCAAAAAAGATCTTAGCAGTTACTAGTCCATAGAACTTTCCCTGACAGCAGGGTACCTCTGCAAGGAGCTGCCCTGTCCATGAGCCAGGCACGCCCTGGTCAGCAGGGGCGGACGATAGCACAGACAGCAAAGGGCCAACCAGGCCAGAACAGTGCCTTAATCCCTAGGAATAAACATAACCCAACTTCTTAAGGGTCAGGTTCGTTACTAATGAGGCTCTGCGTTATGAAACAAACTCACGAGAGAAAGGTGATATCTAGCCAATTGATTTTAAAAATGGAAAAAAAAAAGTGGCCCATGTCTTCTCCTATTCTCCTGGCAGATAACGGGGGTAGATGAAGTGGGAGAAATAAGAGGAACAATAACTCCTTCAAAAAGAAGAAATAAAATGAAAAAGAAAAACAAACATGAGCTGGATCAGGAAAAAAAATAGGGCAAAACAAGCAGAAATGATCTTTAGATAAGAACAGTATTACATAAAACAGCACCCATAATATGTTAAAGCCACTCTGCAGTACAAATCACTTTTCCACAAAGAATTAAAAGAAGAAGAACAAATACAAAAATCAATTAAGGTCCAGGGAAGGGCTCCATTCCTTCTCGAGGGGCTGCTTCTTATCCAAACACTGGCTGATTCATGCAGGTACTGCCAGGCTGCCTCAGAGAGGGTATTTTTTATTTCTGCTTGACTTTGTCCATAGAGTGATTTTCCCATTTTAGTTTGCAAGGAAAGGTTAAGCAGGAGGAGTAGAATGTTATTCCACTTAGAAAAGAATCCAACCCATCCCAGGGCCTCAGGCTCAGTGCTTCCCTTTGGTGAACTAGTTTTCCAAGAGCCGACAACTAGCTGCTTGGTTGTGAGTGACATGAAACACTGCCCTTCCTCTCCTGGAGGAAGAAACCATCAGCATCCTTCCAACTGCTCCCACTGGGAACAAGGCAGATGGAAGAAGACCAGCACGATGCTTGATCCATAGGGAGCACGAACTAGATATTCACTGAAGGAGTAAGGAGCAAGAAATAGATCTCTGACCCAAAGTGATAAAACACCAAAGCCAACTGCTCATTTCATTAGCTGCAAGAGAGCCATGCAGGGCAGCCTTTCCTCCCATAAGACAACTCAGCGTGGAGTTGTTGAATGAATAGGAAAAAGGGAGAGCTTTGAAACTCACATAGAAATAAAAACGGTCTTAGGGGATAAACCATATTTATATTATACTACCTACGCCATTTAAGGAATGTGGTTATACATTTTCTGAAAAATAAAATGTCCTATCCTGTCTTAAAAAACTGAATTTGTATAATATTGGGTTTGCCTAAAGAGTAAAGCACATATACTAATTTTCTTTTTTGTTGTTATTTTTTCTTTTTTTTTTTTTATTTTGAGACAGAATCTCGCTCTGGAGTGCAGTGGCATGATCCCAGGTCACTGCAACCTCTACCTCCCAGGTTCAAGCAATTCTCTTGTCTCAGCTTCCCAAGTAGCTGGGACCAGAGGCTCCTGCCACCATGCCCAGTTAATGTTTGTATTTTTAGTAGAGACAATGTTTCCCCATGTTGGCCAGGCTGGTCTCGAACTCCTGACCTCAAGTGATCTGCCCGCCTCGGCCTCCCAAAGTGCTGGGATTACAGGCATGAGCCACTGCGCCCAGCCAATTTTTTTATATTTTTAGTATAGGTGGGGTTTCACCATGTTGTCCAGGCTGGTCTTGAACTCCTGGCTTCAAGTGATCCACCTGCCTCGGCCTCCCACAGTGCTGGGATTACAGGCGTGAGTCACTGTGCCCAGCCACATATACTAATTTTCTTTGGAGTAAAGGCACAAGTACATTCATTGTACAAGTACAGAATCCAGGAAAATCATCAGAAGAGCTTTGACGTAAAGAGTATTTGTTACCCATCAGTAGTTGGTAGTGTGGCTGATCATCTCCTTGAAATGTGCAAACGTGTGTGGTAAAAGTAAAGAATCGGAGGTAGGGAACTTATACCAGGCTCACAACTCCACCTCCTGTTCAGAGTAAGTGCTGGGTTGCTGACCAAATTAGGTCTTCTTGGACCTCCGGAGCAGCCCTTCTGCATTTCCAGGAAGGAGGTGGACAAGTGGCTATTTTGGTCTGTCTGTCCATCTGGCTTGTTTGTGGCTGGCTAGTTCACCACCCAGCTCATGGTCAGGCTGGAGGATTGGGTACCTTTGCTCCGACCAGTCAGACATCCCACTATGACACAGGCCACTCACTGCAGACTAGAGGGATTCAACAGGAAAGTCCCACGGGGTAAGCAAATACCACCACTACCCAAAGTAAAATTCCAGGCTAGGGGTCAGTGGTGTCCTCATCATAGGAAAAAGGGAAAGTACATCAGAATTTGACAGAGGAACAAGTACCAAACTGCTGTCCCCAAATAAAGAACTTACATCAACAAGGAATATAAAAATGTTATTTAGGACTTCTGTTCTCAGATGTTTAATACAAAGGAGAGATTGTTGTGCCAGGGAACAAAGTGATCCAATATCCACAAAGCCAGAATTCTCCTACTGCACATTTTGTTTCCAAAACACTAAGGAATACAGCAAGATTTCAAGTTGGAGTAAAGAAGCTACTTCTGGAAACAAGAGAGGAGATAACTGAAGACTTTCACAGAGGGGCTGAAATCCTTCCCGGAAAACTGTGCTCATCAGGGAACCTCAGCCTAGGGGGCAGCGAGGGTGGACGGTGAGCTGACCTATCCCCAGACATGTGGAATAGGTATTGGGTGTGCGGGGGGTGCAGTGCAGAATGAAGGCTGGGAGTTGTTAAAGCTACAGAATATTCTAGTAGCATACCACGGGAACTCAGGAACCTCAAACGTTTTTCAAAAATTAACGCTTTGGGCTCAGAGTTTCAGGCAGTCCAGTGTAATTTTACTTCCACTGGGATTGTTGCCAGAAAGAAACAAGCAGTGCTCCTTGACTACAGATTTTTAAAACCTGTTTTGTTACATGCAGGTGTGTGAGATCCTAAGGAGACTTATTTAATTAAGATGGGGGTGAGGGAGCAGGAGGGCTGATGAGTGGCCCTTCTCCCTTGAATGGCCACCACATTGGACTGTATTACAGAACAAAAACCCAAAAGCCCTAACCAGAAAGACAACTCAAGGGTGTCAATCTGTTTCTCCCGTTTCTAGTTCATTACTTTTACTCTTCACTGGAAGCAGTCACATCATTGCATCATCACTCTCTCCTTTACTGGACTGAGCATTTCCAGAGGGTAATGCAATAGGACTGAGGTGATGGGGCTGGGAAACCAGGTCCCCTGGATCTAATCTTGGCTCCACTGTACAATGGGATCAATGTCAAGTTACTCCTCTTCAACTCAGTATCCTCACCCATACAATCGGAATAATGGGGCCTACCTTCTGGACTGCTGCAAATTTTTTTTTTAGACGGAGTTTCACTCTCATCACCCAGGCTGGAGTGCAATAGTGCAATCTCAGCTTACTGCAACCTCTGCTTCCCGGGTTTAAGCGAATCTCATTTTTGTATTTTTAGCAGAGACCGGGTTTCACCATGTTGGCCAGGCTGGTCACGAACGTCTGACCTCAGGTGATCCACCTGCCTTGGCCTCCCAATGTGCTGGGATTACAGGCGTGAGCCACCACGCCCAGCCTGCTGCGAATCTTAAATGGAATAGTATAGTAAAACGCTCAGCATGCAGATGGCCCCGCCTTTGAATCCGCGGACTGCACCTTACCCGTCTTCACATCCTCCTTCATATTTGCTCATAGTAGGGCCTCATATTAAAATTTTTTAAAGAACAACAAAATGTTTTATTTCCTCTAGTTTATTTTTTTCCTGATAACATGCTCCCTGCCTGTGCCCTAAACCCTCTCCCTGGCACTGGACTGGATGCTTCAGATCAGTTGTGATTAACATTTTACACACCCCCTGTAAAACTGGACACTAGCACTCAAGCATTATTTTAATTAACGGCCAGAGAGTGGCAAAATTAAATATGAGATGACCTACCTCAATGCTCCACTGTGTCTCCTACCCCTGGAATTTCAAGGGGCCTTTGTTAAAAGTGAGTGTACAAAGGAAACACAAACAGGCAAAGGAGAGGAGAAGGGAGCAGCAGAGACAGATAAAAGCCAGGAAATCACAGCCCGATTCCCTGCACTGTCTCCAAATTACTGGTGTCTTTGAACAGCTTGCATGATATTAAATATTTTTAAGAAGTTACAATCCATGACAATAAAAACTGTAGTAAATATTAACAGAAACTGACATCGTAGAAATTTTTAAGGGGATCATCCACTAAAGAAATACATGATTTGGAATAATTCCTTCCTGTGTAATCAATGGGAACGAAGAGATAGCCAAGAGATTTGTGGCTCTTCCAGTCAATATGACACCCCAAACCTCTTACTTCTCCTAACTTCTTTGGTCAAAGATATTTACAGGGCACCCATGTGGGGAGTACGCTGTCTCAAGTCCTCTCGGGATGAGGCCTCTGTGGCAAGGGGCTGCAGGGGGCCCAAAGGAAAGAACACGGACTCTCACCGGTGACCCATGGAAAGAAACCAAGTGCCAAGATCTGGAGAGGCGCCAGGGTCCTCAAGGGACTGGGAGAACAGCTGCGTGGCAAGTGGAGAAGCACCTGTGGCACTCCAGGTGGCTCCAGCCAGAACTCCAGGCCTCTCTGTCGCCAATCAAAATAAACAGTGAAGCAATCAAAGTGAGCACTCGAGTCCCATCAGCAGAGCACCACGCTAAGGTCTTGCTGGCAGCAGAGTTTGGGAAGGGGAAGGGCCACAATGGCAAGGGGAAAGCAAAAGAAAGAGAAGAAAGGGCCCTTGTTCTTGTGCAATTATTATTAAACTTGGAGAAAATAACACAATAAAAACAGCTATCAGTAATTTAATACAGGACGATTTCCTATATTGTGGTATGTGATCTTCATAGTCACCTGTAACCCTGGGATATAGATATTACTAACCCATTAAACATTTCATCCAAGATTAAAGAAATAGAGATGAAACCAGGGCAGTTAGGTCAGTCTGACTCCACAGTTGGTTTTCTCAGCGATTACACTCTATCACTTCTTTCTTTGAAACAACCTCACACACCCATGCATGCACATAGAAGAGGATTTTATAATTTAGGCGTGGGGAAGGTCAGTCTTAACTATGACTCAAACCCCAGAGGCTATAAAAGAAAAAAAACTGATAAATCTGATTTCATGAAAATAAAAATTTTCTGCATGGGGAAAAAACACCATCAACAAATGACAAACCAGGGACCTATCTGGAACATAGATCACAGACAAAGGATATATTTCTTTAATATATAGGAAATGCCTATAAATCAATATGAAAAGAGCCAACGAATACTAAATCAGCTAATAAAGAAAATCAAGATAGTTCATAAACACATTAAAAGATGCATAACGACTCATAACAAGAAAAAAGCTGGTTAAAAATACTAGAAGGGTGAACATCAAAACATTTTATTATATAGGCAAGGGTGAGGCTAAGAAGGAAGGGGCAATCTCATAAACTACTAATGAGAAAATAAATGAGTACATCCGTTATGAGGGACAATCTGGCACTATCTATCAAAATTATAAATGCACCTGCCCTTTGGCCGCAAATTCCAATTCCAGGATTTTATCCTGCAGATCAACTCGTATGTGTGCAAAATGATGTCTGTAGGAAGCTAATCTCTGCGGCACTGATTGTACTAGAAAATGTTTGAGAACAACCTAAATATCCAAAAAGGAGACTGATTAAATAAACTATGGTATATCCCTACAATGGGCTATTATGTAGACACAGAAGAGAAGAGGAAGCTCTTAATATATTGATATGGAACAAGCCCCAAGGTATACTGTTAATCAAACAAAGCAAATTAAAAATCTCAAGCAGAATAGGCTATCATAAATATAAAAGAAAATCACATAGTGTCTACATATATATTTGTAAATATCCCTGGAAAGATACACAGGGCATGGGTGACAGGAGCTGCTTTTGGGGAGAAGTGGGAGGTAAAGTGAGGAGGGAGGCTCCTGTCACTGTATACACTTTGTATTTTTTGAATTTTATAATATGTGCTTCTATTGTCTATTCAAAAAATAAATTGTATATATAATTTATTATATATTAAATATACAGATGACAAACCCGGAACCAATTTGGAACATAAATCTCTCTCTCTCTCTCTCTCTCTCTCTCTCTCTCACACACACACACACACACAAAAATATATATATTTATACTACATACAAATCAAAATCAGGAGCCACACAAAGGCAGAAGTAGCTTCTGGCCCACAAGGCTGTGTGACCTTGGGCAAGCTGCTTCACCACTCAAGCAAGGTCTCAGCTTCCTCATCCATAAAATGGGGACTGGAATCCTCCCTTTCTCCTAAAGTTTGGAGAAGTAAAGGAAGGAATATATGTAAAGCCTTTAGGTCAGTGCCTGGCACACAGTAAATTTATGCAAGTGTTTGTTAAATAAGTCTACTCGGTTGGTCAAGGAAGACATCTCTGAAAAGTGCCCTCAAAGTCAGATTAGAAAGCTCAGTAGGAGTTAGGCAAGGAGGAGAGAAGCAGGGGAAACAGAGAGTGCTCCTCAGAAGGAGTGGCTTGTGCAAAGGTCAGGAGGTGAGGAGATGCTCGCACTGAGGGAAGCCTGGGTGACTGGCACAGAGCCTGGGAGGGCAGGGGACAGCACGATGCAAGGCCGAGGAAGTGAGAGCGTGGATCAGTCACGACAGTTTCTCTGGGGGTGCTCAGCAACCCATGGAGCATTTATACAGGGGCATTCCGTGCTTGGGTAGGTTTTCCTAGAAAAATTTCTCTGGCAAGAGTCAGGAGGACAGGTTGGAGAGAGGCAAAAACTGGGTGGCAGAGAGGCCAGCTGGAGATTGTTGCAGCAACTCAAGGAGGAAATGATGAGGCTGTGAACTAAGGCAGTGGCAGCAGGCAGGGGATGGAGTGGGGAAGACACAAAGGAGGTGCAGTCAGCTGGGCTGTTTGACCTAGATGGTGGCTAGAGGTGGGACAGAAGAAAGAATTGAGGATAATTACCAGAGTTTTGACCTCATCAGTTTGGAGGACTGTGATGCAACTCACTGAGATAAGAAGATCAAGCAAAGGAAGTGGCGGAGGGAGTAAGATGATGGGTTAAGTCCCAAATTTGTTGAGGTTGAAACATCTTATAGGTGATCTGTAGCTAGCTACATGTGTCTGAATTTCAGATGAAGGACCTGCAGTAAATATATATCCTTGAGAGGTATCAGCTAAGTTTTTAATACTGAAAGTTCTGGACTGTGGTTAAGGGAGCTGCCACCAATGGTCCCTCTGGTCCACAAAGGAGACTTTGGAGAAGGTATGCTACCTGTAATGCAGGTAAATCCCTGCTCTCTCCCTCCTTCCCTCTGTCTTTCTCTTCCTCCCTCTCTCCCTTCTTCCTTCCCTTTCCTTCTCTGTTTTTCTCTTCTGTCTTTCTTCCTTCCTTCCTAAAAATATAATAAAAGTCTTTACAAGAGGTTTCCTTACATGCTTCACGTGAAGTAACCCATCTCTGATCAGTCCCAGCTAATCAGCGGCGATGCCTTTATTTTCTCTAACATTCCTGCATTCCTTTTGCATCTCTTTTCACGCATGGCGGAAGCCACTAGAAAGCTGTCACTGTTGTGTATGTGCGTCTGCACACCACCGTGAGTAGCCTGAAGACCTTATTTTTCCAACAGGGGAGTAATTTACAGCCTACCAATGAAAAAGAGAGGGAGGGAACACCAAGTGTATGCCTCATGAGTGCTGTCTAGATGTTTCTTAGAAAGAGCATTCTGTGGTTTTCTCTTGTGCTCACTGTCTTCAGCAAAACCAACCCCCAGTTAAGGATGACCTACCACATGGTTTTACTAAGAGACCTTAGAACTGATTTCTAAAAGGGCATACATTCTTCCACTACAAAAAAAGTGTGTTTAGGCAAGATTTCTGGAACAATTTAGCCAGGTGAGGTCTGGGGCCAAGATTCAAGGATGCCAGCTTTGTAACTCACTCATTCACTCACTTGCTAACATGTTCCTAACCTTGCCCCAGCTTCAGTTTTTTTCACTTATAAAATTGAGACGAACTGCTGGACCATCTCCAAACCTCCTTCTGGCTCTAAAATTTTGTGAGTCTAGTTCTGAGCAAGGGTTTACATTGGTTTCACGACAGTGTGGAATACTTTAACAATTCAAAATTGCCATTACACACTTAAAGCAACTTCATTTTGGAGGTTTGTTGATTTCATGACTGGGCAACAGAAATATTATTCACAAACTTTGTGGCAATGACAAATATATTTATCCCAAAGGTAAATCTCTACTATTATAATTCAGCAGATGGTCAGTTTTCAAATTTCATATTTGCCAGACAAGCTTTCTTTTTATGGCCTGAAGGAAACATAGGCAGGGACTCACAGGGGAGGGAAAACAGTACCCAATCCATGAAAGTATTAAATATTACATATTATTATTATTATTCGGTCTTTTTTTCTTTTTCCATTTTTTTTTTAAATACAGAGTCTTTCTCTGTTGCCCAGGCTGGAGTGCAGTGGTGTCATCATAGCTCACTGCAGCCTCAAATTCCTGGGCTCAAATGGTCTTCCTGAGTCAGCCTCCCAAGTAGCTAGGACTATAGGTGCATACACACCACCATGATCGGTAATTTTTTAAAAAATTCTATAGAGATGGGGTCTCACTATGCTGCCCAGGCTGGTCTCAAACTCCTGGGCTCAATTAATCCTACCACATCGGCCTCCCAAAATGCTGAGATTATAGGTGTGACCCACCATGCTTTGGCCCATTGGTCTTTAGCTATGTAAAGTATGGACTTACAGTTTTAAAATATGACATGGAAAGTTCGGTGTGCCAAGAAATGGGCAATTTATTTTCCCACTTGTAGAGATTCATGAGACTTTTGTGGGACCCACCAAGAAATATGGACAAGGAAACCTAACAAATAACAGACTCTCACCTTTCTCTGTTGAGGGACGTGGGATCATCTAGATGAATTCAGTTATTACATTAAAGAAATAGTCATTAAAATTTGCCACAAGGGATTTTCATCTAAATCTCAACCCATAGAAAAATATCAAGGAGAAAGTGGCCATTTTTATCTAAAAGAACTTTGCTTTTTTATCATGTCAGTCACTTGGTGAGTTCTCCATAATCTGTGTGCTTTTGGTAAAAAGCAACATACATCAGAGTTTAATTGACTTAAAATATTGTATCTTAAAAGATATCATGTAATGTGCCCTTACAAATCAAAACTTGATTTGATTAGTTTGAAATGTATTATTTTGAAAAATAATGTCAGTCGAAATTGGATTTCAGCAATATGTTTTTGGTAATCACATGAAGGAGAATGTTAGGTATCTTCCAACATTTGCAGCATATTTACTGTTAATAACACACCAATATAGAAATTAGCTATCTAATTTACTAGAAACTAGGTATAATTTCCTAGTGTTTTGAGGGGGTAGAAAGGAAAATGCACAAACAGGTTTCCACCTTTGAAATGTATATATATACATCTAACTACAAAAATTTATCTTTTTTCCTTTAAAGTGCTCATTATACTCAACATCACTCAAAATAAGTGAAAGGGCAAATTAAACCATAAGCTGGGATCATTATTTCACCTACTATTTTCACAAGTATGAAAAAAGCTGACGAGTATTCATATTGCTAGCAGAATTGTTAACTGTTAACGTCTATGGAGGGCAATTTGACAAAATCAATCGAAATGATAAATGTACTTACTTTCAGCTGCAACAATTCCATTTCTAGGATCTTTTTCCTAGAGATATACAAAATAATGTGATACAGAGCTATTCACTGAATCACTGTTCATCCTGGGAAAAACTGGAAACAGCCCAAATGTCTATCAGTCAGGAAGTAGTTAATAAGTCATCATACAGTAGTATAATGTAGCCTTAACAAAGAAAGAAGAAGCTCTTAACCTACCGATAGGCAGTACATTCCAAAATGCATTTAAAAGGTATATGCAGAACAGCATATATGTTTGCCACCCTCTGCATAAAAAGAGGGAAAGTATTTACATATATATGTACCTATGCATATATCCATCTATACACATATGTGTATACATAAATACAAATATATGTACACACAAGACCCTGACAACATAGATTCTGCGGAAAGGAAACCCTTTTCCCAGAATAGAAGTCTGGGGACAATAGGAGGAGGAGGAAAGAAATCACTGCATACCTTTTGGGACCTTTTCAATTTTGAACCATGATAACATGTTACTTATTCAGAAATAAGCTAACAAATTTGACTAATAAATTGTTCACTGATAAGCAGTAAATACATACTCATATGTATTATCATTTAATAAGAACTTGAAGAATTTTTTTTTTTTGAGACAGTCTGGCTCTGTCGCCCAGGCTGGAGTACGGTGGTGCGATCTCAGCTCATTTTGACCTCCGCCTCTCAAGAGTTCAAGCAATTCTTGTGCCTCAGCCTCCTGAGTAGCTGGAACTACAGGCATGTGGCCACCACACCTGGCTAATTTTTGTGTTTTTTAGTAGAGATGGGGTTTCACCATGTTGGCCAGAATGGTCTCGAACTCCTGGCCTCAAGTGATCCACCCACCTCGGCCTTCCGAAGTGCTGAGATTACAAGCATGAGCCACTGCGCCTGGCCAAAGAACCATACTTTTAAAACACCAAAATAGTTAGGCCAAGATTGCTCTTTTTTAAAGCAAAAGAGATATATAGTTAAAGACATGAAGAATAAAAATTAGGCACTCTTCCTCTTTCCCAGTCTCTTGGAATTCTTATAAAATAATAAATTAAACCTAACAGTTTGGAGGAAAACCAATTAAAGGGACATAAATCATCATTAACCCCTTCTCCAGATGAATGACAAAGAGACACGTGTTCTAATTAACACCGAGTAACATTGTGTAAAGAGCAGTTTGCAGTGGAAATGAACAGATGGCAAACAAGCAAAAGAGGTATTGGAGAGCAAGAAAGAAAACTTGATCTGATGCTGAAAACTTCAAGCAACTGAAAGAAATTATATCTCAATGAAAATAGCTCTAAAAGGATGGATGAACTCGCCGATTCAACTTTAGTTTTTAGGTACATCCAGTTTTGCTGCTTTCAATATTCAGCCCCCACAAGGCCAATACTATTCCAATCCCCATCCCACTTTCTGTATTTGCAAACAAAGCCACACACCAACCAACCAACCACCTCTTTACAACAGAAAGATTTTCTATCCCTAGGCAATGAATGGCTCAGTTATTTCAAACCAAGCTAGCATTTCAGTTCAACAAAAGGTTTTGGACATCATCTTGGGGTCTAATGTAACAAGAGCTGACCTGGAGGTTTATGCTTTAACAACCATCCCCTTTCTTTCCTTTGAAACAGAGATTTATGACAGGAGGCAGAGAAGGGGGCAAGATCCCAGGGTTGATGAACCCCTGGTATGAACCACCGTGCAGGTACGTAAGAAGTTCCTCCTTCTGCTTCCCCCTTGCTCAAAGGCAAACTGGAGCTAAAGTCATGGGGAAGCATAGCACCACTTCCTCTTGTTTTCAAGTTCATCCTGTTTTTAGGCTCTTTTTGGTGGAAACAAGAGTGCCACAAGCAATCAAGTCTCATTAGCTGAACCCTCAGCAAAGAACCAGTGACTGACTCCATATGCGGGAGACTTCAACCCAGCTGACAGATGCTATTTCTCTCTGTCCCTGCTGACCCAGGCTGGGGAGACAGCATATTTCAGACAGGATGCCCTCCCAAGAGTTGTGATGCAACCCTGGAAAAAATATCTGTTCAAGATCCCAAGCCAGGATCTGGTTTCTGCCAATTCAGAGTGACAGGGATCAGCGGCTAAGACACTGGCCATTACAGGAGGTATGTTGAATTTACACATATTTAACAATAGCAGACACTTAATATTCTCGTGTCTTTTATTGTTTAACCTACATAGAGCATTTTAAATTGTACATTCTGTAGTGCATAATGGTTGGATAAAAAACAAAAAACTTCGGGTAAACATCCGAGACAATTCTTGCTCTCCATGTAAAAAAAACAGAAATGTTTTTTGTTTGTTTGATTTTTGAACTCCAAATAACCACTCAAAGAAAAAAGGGAGATAATTGGCCAATCAGGTTATCTTTAGCTATATCAACAACAACATTTAAGGCTGAGAATTATAAGTACAAATGATTTGTGTAATCTGAATGTTCAGACTTAGACTGACACTTTAACTCATGTGTTTAGAGAGGAATATAGAGATACAGATCATAAATACACACACAGCAGGCTGCCGTATATATTTTATATAAAACAGGCAGTTTCTACTAAATTACTTGAGGCATTAGGATTCAAACTCAATTCCCTTCTCTATCTGAGACAGCAGACTCCTCTGGTCTGAGGATATTTTTAAATATAAAAGCTAATTATCCTATCTCACTGCCTATAAATTCAATTTCTATTTCTGAGGCTGCTTCTGTTGTAGATCTCTTGGTAGTCCATTCACATTATAGCTTGTTTACAACCCAGTCTAAAATCACAGCAAAGACAGAGATTGAAAAAAAAAAAAAAGCTTTTTAACCTTTTAGGAAGATTTGATAATGCAGCAGGATTTTCATAATGATACAGATAATCAAGTCCATTTTCTATGAAACAAGAGTTTTTAAGTGGCAAATTTTATAGACAAAATGTAGAAAGTATAAAGTAGACTCATGAGTGGGGCTAACGCCAGGGTCGGAATGCTTTCTCTTGGTTAGGTCTTCCAGCAAAACCAATCAACCAATACACATGGAAAATGCATCATACAAACTTTTCAGATCAGAGCTGGGGCTTTGCCTTGTGTCAGCCGACGAAGAACTCCCAAGGCCGTTCTGGATTGAATCTCAGCGTAGAGATATGTAATATGCCACCAACTTTCCTCCCTTCTACCGGCTCCTTTGAAAGAGAGTCCTTCACAAGCAGTTCAAGGAAAAAGCACATTAACAATGACAATTTACACTTACCAGCTGGGGTGGTGAAGGTTAAAGGCAAACCAAAGTAAACTGACAATGATAAAGAACTTAAAAGCCTATGCTTTAAAAAAAAATACTCAAATCTGTCCTTCGATTGCTAGGTCGGCCGATTAGCTGTACAACCCTTGGCAGTCTCTTGAACTCTTTGGACCTCATTTTTCGTGTCTATGAAATGAGAGAGTTGAACCTAGCGACTTTGAGGTTCCTCCCAGTTCTAACCGGTCATGGTTTATGATCAAAGGCTGTGGCTACACCCCTGACCACCCACCCCTCACAAAGCCTCACGCCTGACTCCTCCCTCTTAAGGCTCTGTCTATACTGCGTTGTCTGAACTTCACAGGTGATGGTGGCAAATGAAGGTGGCATGACATCTTTTTGTTGCTTGGTCTTTACAAGCATCTCAGATCAAATTAATATTAAAGAGGGAAATAGACAAATGAAATAAGACTACTAAGATGATATTCTTCACAAAGGAATAAAAACACATATTCCTCAAAAAGGAGGGGAAAACCACTTTTGGAAACTCTCTGGACATTTTTTTCCAAGAAGGGACCCAGGGAGCCATTTTTACATTGTACTTCCTCAATCCTCATTCTTGAAGCTCTAAATCTTCTTGTTTTCCATCTCCCTTGAGATTAGGAAGGAGGGAGAGATATTTTTTCTCTCTATCCTCTGAGTTGGCCAAATCTGGATGACTCCTACATGCCTCTACGGTAATTTCCTATGCTATGCTAATATCTGGGACTTGCTGGTAAACCTTAATTAGGTCCATCTACCATGGGAGTCAAGCTTTTATAAAGATACTCTTTTTTTTTTTTTTTTTTTTTTTGAGATGGAGTCTTGCTCTGTCACCCAGGCTGGAATGTAGTGGTGCAATCTTGGCTCACTGCAACCTCCTCCTCTTGGGTTCAAGTGATTCTCCTGTGCCTCAGCCTCCCGAGTAGTGGGGATTACAGGTGCCCGCTACCATGCCCGGGTAATTTTTGTATTTTTAGTAGAGACAGGGTTTCACCATGTTGGCCAGGCTGGTCTCAAACTCCTGACTTCAAGTGATCTGCCCATCTTGGACTCCCAAAGTGCTGGGATTACAGGCATGAGCCACCATATGCAGCCGATTTTATAATGATACTCTAAATAACACTTTTCCTACACTGGATATGCACAAAGATCAATTGGTGAACCCTTCCCACCCTTGTTTTTGAAGCAAACGGAACTGCAGGGCAACAAGCTTTCCTTCCACCTGCCGCGGAGGACCTAGTAAAACCCCGGGTGTGGAGTCTGCAGGGATTTCTGCCTCCAAACCCACCTTCCCCCAAATGAAGAAGCTTTCAAGCATTTGGTTGAATCCAAGTATTCGGTGACCTGATGGGTAAATATAAATAAAAGCTTAATTTTTAAAACCAAAAATTCTGAATCCAGCTATGCACACGCTGTAGAGTATAGTGCTGCTATTACATTTGGGTCCTACATTCACGGGCCCAAACACCTATTGACCAACACATCTAAGGACAGAAATAGATTCTGCCTTCACAGTTTTGTGTGTGGCCCCTGCAGAAGTATTTATTTGACCACTATGGTATACATATTCACTCTTTTGCTCTAATATCCTTTTATATAAAAAAAAATCAAGGCCAGGTGCAGTGGCTCATGTCTGTAATCCCTGTACTTTGGGAGGCTGAGGCAGGAGGATTGCTTGAGGCTGCAGGGAGCCAGTCACGCCACTGCACCACTCCAGCCTGGGTGACAGAGTCAGACCCTGTCTCAAAAAAAAAAAAAAGGGAAATAATTTTCGATCAAGGTTTATGTAACTTGAAGACCAGTGAGTTACTGGAGATCATGTTAAATAAGGTTAGATTTCATGAAAACACACTCAGCAACAACAATGCCTTTCACTCCTGCCCCACCTTCACTCAACAACAGCAAGTTAAAGTGGCTCTCCCCTTCCTGTCCTCCCCGGGACCACTAAACCAAACCTCTCAGTGGCCAAAGGATGGAAGAGAACTTGGAATGGGTGTTTCCATTCTGGTGCTAAATACTACACAGCCGTGACCCTTTTCTTGAGCACATTTTGAGAGTGCCCCGAGTGTCACGAATAATGAGCTTCATATTGTCGAAAAATAAAAATAAAAAGGACTTGCTTAAGTAGTTTCATATGTAAACTAACAGAGTAGTTATTGTTTGTAATTTCCAGTTTAGGGTTTATCCAATTATCTCTCTACTGTCTGGAAGGCCAGGCATGGGGGATTCCAGTTACAGGAAAGGCATCTGCCATGGCCAACCCTTGCAGGCCAAGCAAACCCTGGCGCAGACTGCAGCAGATCCCACTGGGGTGCCCACGTGGTGGAGGGGGTTACCTAGGAAAGGAAGGTCTCCTGGCAAAATAACCCTAGTGTGAGGCTTAACTTACTAATTTCTTCTAACCACTTTGCAAGAATCTGTTATTTATTGCAGGAAAAGGAATCAAAATGAGCTGGGAGTGTGTGTATGGTGGGAAGGGAGTGATGGTTGAAACCTGCTTCAGGTGACAGCCAACACCTGTTATTGTAAAGGGTTTAGGGCACAAAGGACACCATGGGGTGCCCCCACCCTACTCCTCATTAGAGGGAGGCCTCTGATGGATGGTCTAGGTGGCTCTGGGGTAGAAAGACAGACTTCTGGGTGAGTCTAAGCTTGAGACAGACAGAGGTCAGCCTGGTACCTCTGCAGCTCACTCTTGGGGGCCGAGTCCTTGCTAAGTGACACAGAAACCTCAGCCTCCCCTTCATTATTTTTATGAATGGCAGATCTCTTTAAAACCTAGGTTGGGTCACTTCACTTCCCTGATCCAAACTGTCTGCTGGCTTCTCATTACATGCAAACAAAACCCAAAATGCTTGAAAAAGCATCTGGAAATCCATGGGGGCTGTTCTGGTAGTCACAGGACAATTGGGAGTCATTAGTGGCATTTAAGGGGTGGGGCCAGACAGGCTGGACAACCTGCAGTACATGGGATGGTCTAGCACAAGCCACAAATATTCTATGTCCCCCAGGACTTTCCAGTCTCCCCTGGAAGGGCTGAAAAGCCTACGCCATTTTACCTGTCAACACAAGGGTTTCCTCCATGATTTTCATAAATGCTGGATTTCAATAGGGAATGATGTACTTTGTTTTGTTTAGAACTTTACTAACACGTATTCACCATTTCAGAAATATCACATCACTAAAGTCAACACCGATTATGTCATTTGAGTGGCCAATATAACACATCTGCAGCCATCTGGATTTATAGCTGCCACGTTTGCAGTGATCCTACAAGTGGGTGCAAAACATATGACCACACCATTATGTCTTCCAGTGTAGTCATGAAATACTTCTTAGTTCATGATACATTTCTCCCCTTTTGTACTTCCTTTCTATTACAGTTAAGGCATTGTATGGATGGTTTGTAATGATGTGGGTAGATAGGTTATATTTTCTACAAATTTCATCATTGAAGAGTGAAAAGGGTGTTACTAAATATCTATCATAAGAAGTGAGGTTTTGGGTCTGGCCAGGGCTGCTTTCCTCCATCTCATTTCCCGCCACTTTCCCTCCCTCCCACTGCAATACCTCTTTCTCCCCTGTTGGCATGCCCAGCCTTTGTCCTGGACCCTCCACCTGCCCCCTGTCTGGGAGACTCTTCTCTCAGAGATCCACAGGGCTCCTTCGTCACTTCCCTTCCTCTGTCCCTGACTCTCCTTTTTCTTCCTATAGAATTTATCAGAGCTCAACATTACATCTTCTATTTAATAATTTCTCGACTGTCTCTAGTACTAGAATTAAGCTCTATGAGAGTGAGGATTTTGTCTATCTTGTTCCCCAGCACCAAGAACAGTGCCTGAGACATAAAAGGCACTTCTTGGCCGGGTGTGGCGGCTCATGTCTGTAATCCCAATGCTTTGGGAGACCAAGGAAGGAAAATCACTCAAGGTTAGGCATTTGAGACCAGCCTGGCGAGACCCTGTCTCTATATAAAAAAAAAATTGTTAATGAGCCAGTGCAGGGTCTCATGACTGTAATCCCAGTGCCTTGGGAGGCTGAGGCAGGAGGATCACTTGCCTGGGTGACAGAGGGAGATCATGTCCTTTTTTTTTTTTTTTTTTAAGGTATTTATTAACCTTAGTAGATGACTAAAGGAAGAAACACACATACAAAAGTCTGGTCCTACCAATGGGCTTAGCTTCCCCAGGAACCAGGAAATTTTACTCTCCCACCCCTATAACCACTGTTGCAAAATGGCTTTCTCTTCCACTGACCAGGTTTCTCATGCCCACCCTTTGCTAGGTAAAGAGTAGTAAAAGAGAAAATGGCCAATGAAAAGGAGGGGGAAACACTTTTTAAAAATAACTATATTTTCAGGACAGGCTCTGTGTGAGATACACTCTAACGTGGGGACACGCCACAGTCCTCAGTGGCCCCTGCCCATCCTCCCAACTCACTGTACAGAAACACTCTATGGAGGCCAATATTTGATTCTAGAAGCCAGTGTCCCTCAACCCAACTTCTGCAACTCCATACCCAACAAATGATGCTCAAAAACAAAAGCAGCTATTTTAAGATCACTAAACACTGGCTGGTGATGGCAAAACTGTGTCTTTCCTTATTCTTTTCTTCATTTTTGCTTTTCATCAGGCCACTGCCCCTCCTACTTCCTTAAAATGAATTTTACTCAGAAATTATCAGGAAGAAATACTATTCAAATCAAAATCTCAGTAGCTATTTTTGTAGATCTTGATAAACTTACTCTAAAAGTCACCTGGAAGCCCAAAAGGCCAAATACAGTCCAGATACACTTGAGGAAAAGAAAATGAGGTGAAGGTCATATTCTACAGGATATTGACAAAGACTCTCCTAGATCAAACTCAGGTCGGGCTCCCCGGAGCCTTCTCTTCCACTAGACCCTGACCTTGGGCTTCCTTTTCTGTCTTATAGAATCCAGTTTAAGCAAGAATCCTACTAGTTTTAGTGAAAATTCTCCACCCTTGGTATCTGTCCTCACCCCTAACTCTTGATATCTTATCACCCTGGCCTGCCTTCAGCAAGAATTCTGTTGAGTTGGTCTAGCAAGAATACCCCTGTCTCTGATGTTTCCTCTTCCATCCACTGACCCCACCCTGCTGCTTGACTATAAATCCCCTCTTGTCCTTGTAGAAGTTGGACTCCAGCCCAATCTCTCTCCTCACCACAGCAAGACCTCGTTGCAGCAGTCCCTCTACCTATCACAATGTTCCCCTCCTTGAATAAAGTCTTCTCTGCCATTTTTAACAAATGTTACAAATATTTTTCCTTAACAATACCAAGACTTATAGAGCTATAAGTAAGACAGTGTGGCATTGGCACAAGTGTAGGAAACAGACCAGTGGAAAAGAATAGACAGACTCATAAACAGACCCACACATATACAGACACCTAAGTTTTGAAAAACCTAACACTACAGCGCATTAGAAAAAAAGATGTCTTCCCCCAGTAAATGTGGCTGAGTTGATTGGATATCCATGTGGGAAAAAAAGGAAACACGCCCCTCCCAAATTCACAGCATTCATATAACTCAATTCCAGGTGCATTATGTAGATATAAATATAAAAGACAAATGATACAACTTTTAGAAGTTAACATAAGAGAAAATCTTCATGACTTTGGGATAGGCAACATTGTCAAACAAGACACAACAAGTGCCAACCATGAAGGAAAAGAGTGATAAATGAGGTTACATCAAAATTAAGAAATTCTTTTCATCAAAAGATTCTGTTTTGAGACTAAAAAGACAAGTCACAAAATGGAAGAATATATTTGCAACACACAAAATTAATGAAGGATGCATAGCCAGAAGCTGCAAAGAACTCCTACAAATTCATAAGAAATAGAAAACAGTTGAAAAATGGACAAGAGACTTGCATAGGCACGTTCTAAAAGAAAATAAGCATATGAAAAGATTATTAGTAATAAGTAATCAGGGAAATGCAAATTAAACCCACAATGTGATACTCCTGTGAACATGCCAGAATGGCTAAAATTAAAGAGACTGACAGTTCTAAGTTTGGAGAGTATACAAAACAACAGGAACTCTCATACATGGCATTACATCTACAACAATTTCACTATTTGGTGTGTTCCCAATAGAAATATATGCACAAGGCACCAAAGAACAG
Organism: Homo sapiens; assembly: GCF_000001405.40. Taxonomy (NCBI): domain Eukaryota; kingdom Metazoa; phylum Chordata; class Mammalia; order Primates; family Hominidae; genus Homo; species Homo sapiens. Next base: position 63,279,639 of record NC_000018.10, read on the forward strand.
GTACAATAATGTTCACAGCAGCATTATATATCATAACAAAAACAACAGGATGAATAAATACAGTGGGTGAACTTTCACAATAAAATACAACAAGGAAAATGAACAAACTTTAGCTTCATGAAATCTCACAAACGTAACTATGAGCAAATGAAGCCCAAAACACAAACTACATACACTACAATTTCATCTACATGAAGTTAAATAACAAGCACAACTAATTTATATCATTTAGGGTGACATACTTAGGTGGTAAATGTGTAAGGAAAGTAAGGAATTGGCTACCATAAAACTTAACATAATTTCTACCTTTGGTGGAAGATACAGGGCTATGATTGTCAGGGGACATGGCCTTATGGGGGCTGGCAATGCCCTGTTTCTTTTACCTGCATGATGGCTACAAAGTGTTTACTTTAAAATAGCCCAATGGGATATACATTTATATTTTATTTACATTTTGGTATATTTATTATACTTCTAAATAAAAGATTTTTTAAATGAAGGAAAATCATAAATCAAAAAGATAGAAGAGTATCCATGCCAAACTGCATGAGATCATAGGCTTTGGAGTGAGACATACCTGTGATCCAATCCTACCCCTGCCACTGACTAATTGTATGACCTTGAATGAGTTATTTAAACTTTCAAAGCCTCAGTTTCCGTATCTATTAAATGAAGGTGATAATATCTATTTCTCAGGGTTGTAAAATGAATTAAGATCCTATATATAAAGCACCTAGTAGAACATCTGGCATACTGTAAGCCTCAAGAAATGGTAGCATTGCAAATTGTATATCTGATAACGGATTAACGTCCAGAATATGTAAAGAACGCCTACAACTCAATAACAACAAAACAACCTGATTTTAAAAAATCAACAAAGAACTTGAACAGACATTTCTCTAAAAACAAGATAAATGAATGGCCAATCCGCACATAAGAAAGATGCTCAACATCATTAATCACTAGGAAGATCCAAATCAAAACCACAATAAGTTAACCACTTCACACTCATGAAGAGGGCCATCTTGAAAAACCAGAAAATAAGAAATATCGGTCAGGAATTAGAGCAGCTGGAACCCTTGTACACTGCTGGTAGAAATGTAAAATGGTGCAGCTTCTATGGAAAACAGTATGATGGTTCCTCAAAAAATTAAAAATAGAATTACAATAGGATCCAGAAATGCCACTTCTGGAAGTGGAATTTCAAAAGAATTGAAAGCAGGCACTCAAACAGATATGTGTACATACCGTTCATAGCAGCATTATTCACATTAGTCCAAAAGGGGAAGCAGCTCAAGTATCCATCAATAAATGAACGGAGAAACAATATGTAGTAGATCCATTCAATGGAATATCATTCAGCCTTCAAAATGAAGGAAGCTGTGACACAGGCCAAAACATGGATGAACCTTGAAGACATCATGCTTAGTGTAACAAGCCAGTCACAAGTGTGAGTCCACTTATGCGAGGTACCTAGAGTAGTCAAGTTCATAGAGGCAGGCAGTAGTATGGTGGTTGCCAAGGCTGCAGGCGTGGGGGAACAGGCATTACTGTTGAACAGATCCTGAGTTTCTGTCTGAGAAGAAAAAAATAATCTGGTGATAAATGGTGGTGATGGATGCATGACATTGTGAAGAAACTTCATGCCACTAAGCTGTACACTGAAAAACGGTTAACATGATAAATTTTATGTTACATACATTTTACCACAATTTAAAAAAATTATTAAAAAATACTAACAATAGGCCAAGCGTGATGGCTCACACCTGTAATCCCAGCACTTTGGGAGGCTGAGACAGGTGGATCAATTGAGCTCAGGAGTTTGAGACCAGCCTGGGTAACACAGTGAGACCCCTGTCTCTACAAAAAAATACAAAAATTAGTTGGGCATGGTGGCACGTGCCTGTAGTCTCAGCTACTTGCAGGGCTGAGGCAGGAGGAGTTCTTGAGCCCAGAAGGTTAAGGCTGCAGTGAGCCATGTTCATGCCACTGCACTTCACTCTGAGTGACAAATTGAGACCTTGTCTCAGAAAGAAAGAAAGAAAGAAAGAAAGAAAGAAAGAAAGAAAGAAAGAAAGAAAGAAAGAAAGAAAGAAAGAAAAAGAGAGAGGAAAGAAAGAGAAAAAGAAAAGAAATAGTAGCAACTGTTATTGTAAGACATCTCCACACACCAGAGAAGTTAATTTTAATTTTAACATGTTAAGAACAGAGAGAAGCCAACATGTCCACCTTAGGCTGACGGTTTGTTTATTTGTGTTGTTGCTGGTAGTCGGGTTTGTTATTTTTAAAGTAGCTTATCCAATACTTCATTAACAATTTCAGTAAGTTATTTCATCTTTCAACATAAATACGCACAAGGATTTCTTCTGGTCAAGACCAAACTAATATTAGTCCATAGTAGGAGCTAATACTATCACATTTACTAAGTATTCTATTTGCAATTTGACTGTAGCCCATAGCCTTTTGTCGGCTAAAGTGAGCTTAATGCTGATCAGGTAAATTAAAAATTATAGTTAATTAAAAGGGCATAAATGTTACCTGACTCAATAAGTCATTTCAATTAGGTCTGTTATCACAAGTTCTTGACACATGTAATTAAGAAAGCTAAGCTACAGGTCACTCTTTGATGATGTTTAAGCTGCAGTTCTGATTATCTTCAAACTGCGATTCCAATCCAGAGTTGTAACTAGCAGTTATTTCTCTCATGGACCAAAAGATCAGAATTTTCCCTGGAAGTTTATCAGAAATGCTTTCAAGTTTCAAAATACTTGCCTGAAGTATCCTATAGTGGCCTTGAAAACGATCTGTCCAAATACCCAGTTTAACCCATGGTTTAAGAAATAAAGAAAGTTGACTTCATTTATTTGTCTTTTTTCCCTCCTAAATGGCAGTTTGATTTGTAAAGCACGGCAATGGAATGAAAATCTTATTTTCAAGGTCAGCTTTAACAAGCATTCAATATCTCAAATGCCATTACACATTTTACTTACTCAAAACACCAAAAAGTCATCAACACGACCCTCCCAAAATCTACTAATGACTTCTGTGAAAGGCACTGAATCTTTGTAATTAGACAAAGTAAGATCATGTATGTCAAAATATAGGCCCTGGTTCACAGAAAATGCTTAATAAATAGCAGTAAATATATATAGATATATATATCATAATAGCACAAGTTGAATGTGCAGGGTCCATGTAAGCTAAATTTATTATCCCATTTTAGCTGAACAGATTTTAGAACATTCAGTGATTCCATTCCATTTTGTAAATTACTGATCTGTACCAATTCAAAAATTCTTCTGAAACTCAATTCCCAGGCATTTGGCTTTTGTTCCTGGGATTTCCACTGCTTTAGAGAATCCAGCTTTAATGGGCTTCTTTCTGAGAAATTCTCCATTGGTTCTGAGAAGTACTTCTATTGAATGCTCCATTTAATTTCATTTTGCAATTAATGAAACTTTCAAGACCTATTTCCCCTCTTTTGAAAAATTTCTAGTTATTTTTTTCTTGCCTTTTGGGTAATTAGGAGCAGCAAACTACTTCCACTAAGAACTAAAGGCAGTAAGTATGGCAACAAAAATACCAAATGTCAAAACAAATGTCATTTTCCGAGTTCTGAAACGCCCATCTCTCAGAATTAAAAACATTCCATGTCACCTCTACGGGTCTTTGGTTGCTAGCTCTCAAATGGATTCACGTTCTGATTTCAGTAAAATTCAACCAAAAGCTTTTAGGGTTTTTAATCTTCCTTGACAAAAATACTTAACCTTCTCCAGCCTGGGAGGTACCGTCTTTTCCTGCCTGTGAAACTCTACCAGTTTGGTAATAAAACAAACCACTAATTTAGTTGTTTATTATTCTTAGCCTAAAGATGTTTGCGTGGCTAGCTGAGTACAAATGTACTGTATCTGCGCTTCTTCTTTTTAAAGTTTTAAACAAATAATCACTGAACAAAATCAGCCAGGAATGATCTTCTGCTCATGGGAACCGTATCCCAACCCAGAACCACACGCAGAAGAGTGCAGGGCCTCGAGGTCTGTTATCTCACCAAATAACTTTCCCTATGTGGTGAAAAACTGGTTAAATCACTTTTCCAGCGATCCCGGAATTTTCAGTTCAATTCTATCCCTCCTAAGTCACCAGGGCCTCTTTGGTAATGGATGAAACCATGAAGTTTGGTTCAGAGGAAGCAAAGACACATTCAAATGTGAGACTCAACTGCTCCCCGAGGATTCTTCCTGCTTCCTAGTTTTAGGTAGATCAAGAGCACTTTTAAAATAAACTTGGCGTTTGTTTCCTATTCCAATGGAAAATCTGACTGGAGACTCCACAGCGACAGCAAAGAACCCTTACTTTTCTGGACAATCAAAATCCGGCTTTTGTCACTCTAACTGCAGCAGGTCAGCACACAGGGTACCAGTGTGTCCCTGAGCGCGCTGACGAATGGATATGGTGCTGGCAGCCTTGGCCTGGGGGCACTTCTGAGGAGCTTTAAAAAATACTAATTCCTGGGTTCCCCTCTCCAGCCCAGATATTTTTATTAAATTGGTCTGAGATGTGGCCTGGGTGGCAGGATTTATAACACTTCCTGGATGATGTTAATGGAAGCCCTTTGAGGTAGAAGAAGGTAGACAGGACTGACTGGGAGCGCATCATCAACCACCTCTGCCTCCCCACTAAGAAGTCTAAGAATACCCCAAAATAGGGGTGCAGTGGTTGAGGAGAAAAGAGAGGAAGTCACGTATACTTTTGCAGGCTTTCATGCAAGGACCCAAGTGTGTGTGCTAAGCACAGTCCCCAAACAGGGGACCCCAGAAGTCCTATTCCTAAGATCTGAATTGCACCAAAGGTAGAGAGACTCTTCCTGGGGTTATTTGAAACAAGGCAGACTTTGCCTGGCATGTATGCGCCAGACCCAGCCTCTGCAGTGCTTATGTGGCAATGCTTAAGCAGCTCCCAGCACTCGACAGGGTACTTTAAACAACTTCATTAGTTTGAAATTTTAAATCCAAAAAAAGCTACCTTCAAATGTATGACTCAAGAGCATAAAATTTCAGAGCAGAGAACACCGCCAGGCTAGTAGGTGAAGCATCTTATTTTTAAATGGCAAGGGGGAACCTTGAGTAAATATTTGGTTGCAATGTATTCCAGGGGTGGGGGGTTTGGACGGAGAGGAACCACTGGTTTTTATTCAAAATCCTCCTCCCGCTGGGCCCAGGTCAGGCCTACACAGCTCTGGCTACAGACTGTGAGAATCCTGGAAGGCTCCAGGGGCTGGCTCCCACCATGCTCCACTCCAGCAAGGGCAGACGCCAGGAAAAAAATGGAAAGGGGGAGTCAGGCATGGAAGGTTTCAGACTTGCTGCAGGCAAAAGGCTGCAGAGCATCCCCAGGGAGCAGAGACCTCACAACCAGGCTCCCTACCTCGCTGTCCTTCAGGGCCGCCCACAGCTGGCTCACCTGCAGCTGCACCACCCAAGAGACAGAGACAGGCTCACACGCAGCAGCTGGAGAGAAGGGGCTGGAATAAGGATTCTTTCTAAACGGAAAAATAAAGATCACTGGGGGAACTTCTCGCCCATCCAGCAGTTTGTGTGTACTCAGCTCCCCTGGCAGGGAATGAGGGCCCGTTGTTCCCTGCTGAAGACCATTGCCCTGGAGATGGGATGGGTGGGAAGAAAAATGTCAGTAGGGGCTCTGTCCTTGCTACCTTCTCTCTCTGGCTGACCTCTGGAATTCTCTTTCTGGCTGACCTCTGAAACTGAGTTCTGGGAACGGAAGGGGACCTTGTGATGCTCCCAACATCTCCCCAAGAATGCACGCCCTTAGTTGGAGCTGTAGCTAGGTAAGGAGTCAGCTGCAAACTGCACCCTCCCCACAATCTTGTGACAGGGGAACATATGCAAATATGAGATGGGTCACTGCCGGGGAGGTACTGGATGGGGGATGTGTTCAGGAGGCTTCTGCCAGCCATGGACTGAACATATGTCAGCCATGTGGTACGGTTCTTACACAAAAACAGAATCCTGAGTTTGGTTTCACAAACAGGCTCATCTCTCATCTCTGAGTGTGTAGCGGGAGAGGGTGCACCGTTTCCATGCAGGGCAAATCTGTCTGCATGGGGCTGGGGGTTCTGCATCTCAGCATGGGTTTGGAAAGTACTAGAAGTGCATCTCACTCAACTTGATTTAGCAAGCATGTCTTTGTGGTCCATGGCTTGTGTTGGCAACTTAAATTTGACAGCACACAAACTATGTGATGGTGATGGAGGGGCAGGTATAGCAACGTCCAGTTTCCCACCTCCAGGTAGTGGCATTCTCCCTGTCCTTTCTGCAACAGCAGCCTGGGAGGTTTTCAATGCCCTTACTTCTCCTGGGTATATCTGAACTATGTCCTGCTCTTATACACATAAAAGGGTCACTTGAGGAGCTTTGGCCATATGGCAGCTGTTTGGAAACAGGCTGCCTGATGCATTGACAACCACAAGAAATCTGGAAGAGTAAAACCTGCCCCATAGCTGGCATGCTACTTGTACATTAAAATGAGAGCATAATGTAAAAGAAATGCCTTAACACTTCCTTCACTAGGTTCAAACTTGCTGTGATTATTTAGGAATTCATTTCATTTAACCAAATATGAATTGAGCACCTTTTACACAGTTGGGGGCAGGGGTGTCCAAACAGACATGAATAATTATGATACAAAACCTATTGTATATATACACAGAAAATGGATGTAGACACAAAATGAATAAACATGAAATGAATGTAGACAAAGGATAGGTTAATTTTCATTGAAGGGGAGGCAGGAGGGTTCAACAAAGGAGTTGAACGTAGCTGGGACGTAAGATTAGGGCAGGAGTAGGGGCGAGGATTGGGAGCAGAAAGTAAGGAGGACAGAGAACTTTAATGGGAGGTAGACTGGAAAGTGGGCTGGTGCCAGCCCTGAAGGTCAGCTGTACACCAAACTCTGTAGCTTGGTATACAATGACCTCTGAGCCAACCTTCAGGGCTGGCATTCTGAAGGTCATTGAAGGGGAGGTAGGAGGATTTGGTTTGCGGCAGTTTCCAGGTGAGAGGCAAGAAGTAAGGAGAGAAGGCAGAGATGGCACAGGATGGTGGGAAGGGAGTCCTTGGTGCCCAATCTCTGCCAGGCAGGGTCCTATCTTGCTACCCCATGATCCCCACATGATGATTGCATGGAGCAGATGTCATTATCCCCATTGCAGATCTGGGTCTCCTGGGTCCCTCCTCAAAATAAGACCCATTCAAAAGACACCTCCTACAACACGGGTCTGAACTACAGGTCTCCCGAGGCCACTATGGAAGGATACTGGCACTCATTCAACAGCAAAACTGTCCCAAAACATCTTCTGTAGACATCTGTCCCTCTCCAGCGTTTTGCTTCTTGTGGCAGTTGTTCTCTTTTCTCCGTCTCTCACTTCTCTCTCTACTACCCCCTTCTTGGATCCCTTTTCTCACAAGAGCTCTAGGCCACCATTTCTTACTCAGAGTGACTTCCTGCTTCTCTGATCTGCCCATCAGTTGCCCCAGTTAGCAAGATGAAGGGTCCTCCTCAGGAACCAACCTCCTTAGAAAGTATTAGAATTCTGTATGCTCCTTATTTTATACTCTGGCTGGGTCACATTCTAACAAGGAAACTGAAGCTTGGAGAAACTAAGTGTTTCTCAAGGTGCTCAACAGAGATGTTTTAGGAAGATAAATGGCATTGACGAAGAGGATGGATGGGCTGGGAACAGGTGCTGAAAGAGAAGGATACCAATCTATGACATTTTGGAAAATACAAAACTCTAGGGATATAGAAGAGAAGAGAAGTTGCCAGGGCTAAGGGTTAGGGGGTGGCGGGCAGTTTGAGTACAAACTCTCATCA